>NC_000007.14:27740242-28990242 GCF_000001405.40 Homo sapiens | reverse complement strand
GAGCTGTTCATTGCGAAAAACTCAAATGTAAAAGCTTCCTCTCACCAATCCCACACCACAGCCAGTGGCAGCCACTGAAAACTCATCTCATGCTGAGGAGGGAGGGTGGGCCACCTTGAACTCAGTGTCATCAGGACTGCACCCAATGGGGGACAGACAATTGCCCACCACCAAACAAAACAAAACAAAATAAACCCAGGGCATTGTCACTAGAAGAAAGGGAGCCTGGATGTTGCGCAGCCAGGAGCCAGAAAACATCCACCATATGCAGATATTAAAGCTCAGTAAAAACATTAAAGCCAGTCTCTACATTTTGACATGCAGTGGGAATACACACTGGTGATTTCCCTAATTTCCCAATGAATGTTCACAATCAAAATTCACATGTACACCTAGTAATGTTTGATGATACTTTAAATTTTCATACATGAGTCAAAGGGAGCAAAAGAAGTGCCTGAGGGACCTGCGAGTATGCGGGGATGTTGTGTGATAAGAATAGGAAATCTAGACACTCAGCACCAGGAACAGAAATTGCCCCAGACTCCTGCCTCAGTCACACTTCCATCTTACAGCAGGATGTGCCATGTTAATCTTCTTGAAGACGTGCTCTGGGTGCTGAAGATATGAGGACAAATCTATGCTCTGCCGCTGAGGTGCTCTAAATGGGGACAGATGCTTATGAAGGGAAGGCTGGTGACCACTGCATAAATAATCCCAGTGTGCCACCTACTTTAATAGATGAAGGTCCGAAGTGCTTTGAGAACAGAGGACAGAGGATGACTAATTACTCCAAACCAAGGAGTGGGGGTGAGACTGGAGACCTTCCAGGGGGAGAGAGTATCACTGGTACAGGCCTGGGCATCAGCATTACTGTGCTGGAGCCTGCTAAGCCTCCAAACACGCCAGTATCTGCCTTCTCTCCTCTTATTTTTGTCTTCCATCCCATGATGATTTAATTATTTTGTTGCAAAATCTGAATTTGCAAATGACTGCCCTAAACTTCTGTCATGGGAGAGTAGAAGGACTGATTCCCTTATTACACTGATTGGAAGAAACCCCTAATGGCCATGCTTTAGTTTTTCCATCTTGTCTCTGTAGAGCCAGGAAAGATCTAGAAGGCTGTTTCCCTGCAAGCCCATCCATCAAGTGGCCTTGGCGGCGTGTGAAATGGCATCTCCTTACTAAAATCCTCACACGTTGCACCGTAACATGCCAGAACATGCTGTCATTGACCAATTTCCCATCTCCCCTGGGAAGAGAAACATTCTTTAAGGAGGACATTTTGAAATGGCTCCATAGTGTGACTCACTGGAGGACAATGCCAAAGGCTTTGGGGCAAAAATAAACAAAAGTTAAAAAAAAAAAAAAAAAGTAGATTCTATCAAAAAAGGTTTGGAGTGATGTTGCCCTGGAAAATGGAAGCTGATCTTGGACTGGATGAAGGGTGGATTTTGTTTGCTCCAATGAGGTAGTTTCTTCAGGGTAAAATTCCACTAGAATGTGTCTTCCTTGTTAGGGCAGAGGAAAAGGAATCTCTAATCAGTCACGGTTCCCTTAAATTAGCTCCTCTGTCCCCGAAAAATGTTAATATTTGTTAGGCTAGAGCCTCAGAACAATTCCTTAAGAGTTCTAGTTTCTTAAGGAATGAGAAATGCAATTCTGTTTTGGCCTCATAAGTAAACCAAGGTCCATGTGGATTTGCTTCTAGATCACATTCTTCCCTCACTGGACAGTCAGAAGAGAAAGGTGCACCATCCCGGGAAGCATGCGATTCTGAGCCCCGGTTCCAAATTTTCTGCCATTTCCTACCCTTCAGTGGAACGTTTTTCTCTTCTTGGGCTGGATTAGAGTAAAAAAAAAGAGTTGATAGTCACATATTCAATGTAGAAGCATTAAAGGAAGAGAAAAACAATTCAGTAATCCTGTGTGATTAGGACATACTCAGTTACGTAAACTGAAACCAGGTGGCTTAAAACTACCAGTGCCAACAACTCCAATGGAGTTGTCTTTTAGTAAAGAAAATGCTAGTAAGGCTAAGAATGCAGAGAGGTTTGTGTTATTCTCCCCTACTTCTCACTCCAAACAAATCCTTAGATCCCCAACAGCAGGTACCATAAAATGAAAACAGAGATGAGAATATAGAGAGACAAGGAAGGTGTGGGAAGCCTTGGAAAAGACCAAAAGGAGGTGAAATGGGATGAGTTCTTGAACCACCAGCAGCAACGTTTGGTACCACCCCAGAAAGTGAGATGAATGTTAAGCTTGCCCCTTTCTCCCTAGCCCCAGGTGCAGGTGTAACCCCCACCTTTGAAGCCCAAGGTGCTGCTGGTCTTTGTGATGAGCCATTTCTCCCCCTCTGCCCAAAGCCACCAAGTGAAGAAAACAACTTGGCATTTGGAGTAGACAGCAGGTGATGACAAGCGTCTCTGGGGACAGAAGTTCGACAGCGGGAAACATACCATGAGAGCTGGCAATGACTGGTTGCTACGTTTTCATGTGTACCATGCTGAGGGATTCTAGCATCTTGATAAATTTACAAAACAGATAAATTGCTAATAAATGGCATAGCAATAAGAAAGAGAGAACTATCTACCAGAAATCAGAGAGTATAAAACATAATACATGCCTCAAACTAGATATGCGATTTAAAGGCTATTTCTTCTCACATCTGCCTGGACAGATTTTATTAAATCACCATAAAAGGATTCTGTATTTATGGGAGAGAACACTTGAGGTTGTACAGGTCTACACATTTGCTCCTCAGTAATTGACACCTTTTTTGTTCACTGGTGCAGCTGTTTCAAACCATGTCCACTCTCAAACTCCAAGATGACACAGTGTGGCTTCCCTTATCTCAGCGAATGGCCTTGTCTCCTACCTTACTGAGAAGATCAAAGCAACCAACACCATATCCCTCAATTTTCCTCTTTTACCACCACATACTCCCACAGCATCATGACCCTGTTCTCTTCCTATCACAGGGAAAGTCCTGCCTTCTCTTCTGAGCTCCCTGCCCATAGCTCCAGCTGTCCTGATGGAAACTCAGATTCAACATGACCAGCCTGTTCATCCTCCCGCAAACCAGCAGCTTCCCTTCGTTTTCCCTGGTCTGTGAGAACATCCACATTCTTACCATCAACAGCTTTCTCTTGTCCTTCTTTTATATTCACCCAGTGGCCAAAGTCTGTTTACTCTTCTTCAGCAGTATCTTTTGCAGCTCGTTCCTCCTTTTCCTTCCAGTTTCTAGATGATTGCACAACCTACTGAAAGGTCTCCCTGCTCTAGTCTTTCAACAGTCCCAGCCATTAATCCATCCTAGACAGCGTTGCTATTTCATTTTCTAACACAGCAGTCTAATCAACTCACTCTCTGACTCAATGGCTGCCAACTACTTAAGTTGATGTCAAAACACCCTGGGCTCTGAAGGCCTGCCACAAACTGACTCCAGCCTACTTTTTTTGGTTTATTTTCTCACTGCTCAAATGTGTCTAGTCAGATGAGATGATTTACCTTCATGCAAACACCACTTCTATTTTCTTTCTGCTCCTGCCTTTCTGTTCGGTGTGCTCTGTCAAATGAAATCCCGCCCAGCCTTTGAGACCCAGCTCAAAAGCATAAGAGGGCCAGTAAGCCTCCCTCCTTCCCTGTTCTCTTTACCCACTCCCTGCTTATAATCATGTTCTTCTGTGCATTCTCTGTCTCACTCCAAGAAAGCACGTTTCTGCCTTTAGTCAGAGTTACTGACGTTTTCCTTCTTCATTGCCCTTTTGAGCAGGTATAGCTGACCCGTGTACTTGCTTTAGGGAGGTGAGCGGCAGGATGAGATGCAGAAGGACCCTGGGAGCATTTCTGGCTTTTGTCTTCTAAAAAGCCAGAGTCCAAGGGGAGGATTGGGTTTGAGGAAACAGAATGGCTTGGAAAAACAGGCAAGAATTGTCAGACTAAAAGGTAATTCCCCTAGCTGAGGCAAGGAGCAAGTTCGGCAGGTTCTTCCTGGCAGGGGCCAGGTCTGGGCCAGAGCCGGGAGAGGAAGAGCTTCCAGCTGGAGGAGCTGGGGAGCGGGGGCCACAGGTACTGAGGTTTTCAGCCTTGCCCAGAAGCAGCAGAAGGCCGCCAGGCACGAAGGGACTTTGGGGACAGGCACAATGTGATGGCCTGATTGGCAGAGGACCCTCTGAAATTTTCCACTCTGCCAGCAGAGTGGGAATTCATAATTTTAAAAATATCATTGTAGAAAATAGAAGCCACATTTCTTATCACCTGCATTTGTGGATCGGGATTCATTCTCTATATATTCAAGTACACCTAATACAACTTTTCCCCTTGAGGAAGAGCACCTGACTTCAAGTCAACAAGACTTAGCATGCCACTGTTCTGCGTCGTGGAGATACAGCAATGAGCAGGATTAAAGACCCTTCCTCAAAGACAGTGCATTCCCGTGAGAGGTCAGTGTTCAACATGCATACATATCTACATGCATACAGAAAGACATATTGCTAAGTGCTATAATGAAAATCTCAGCAGGGTAAGGAGAGTAAAGCCTGATGGGAGGTGAGAGTGTGATCCACGGAGGGGCCAGGAAAGTCCTTCCTGACAGCTGATGTCTGAGCAGGGCTGGAGTGAAGGGCAGCCATGAATCTCACTTGTATTGGGCAGAGTCCATGACCGGCACTGAGGACCAGCAAGGGGCCCAGGCCCTGAGAAGAGAAGCTCAGCTACCCCAGGGAGAGCTTGGTGATTTCAGTGCCATAGAAGGTGGCAGCTCAAGGTAAAGCCTTGGGACTTGCTTCCTTTGCTTCCCCAGCAGAGTGCCAGGCACACAGAATGTGCTTAGAAAATACTGACTGAAAAAGGGAGGGACCAAATGTGGATATTTATTCCACACTGAGAAGTAAGACATAACACATAAAAATATAAATAAATACACAGAACATAAAAATGGCCAAAATGCCCATAGCCCAGATATAACCACAGTATTATTATTCCTCTAGTCTTTTATTGTTTGCAGATTCTATTTTTTCCACACCGGAGACAATACCATGTCCTGTTGTCTTCATTTAATCATACTGCAACTTTTAATGTCATCCTTTAACTCACTGAAATTCAGTTTCTCTCTAACTGGCTCCAACAACTGGGGCAAAGAGGTCATGAGGCAATTGACCCTTTCAAGGGTCACAGAGGGTGCTCAGTAGCCCTGAATTTTATAGAAAGGGAGACCCGTGGGCCACCAAACCCTTTGAAGACCAATATCCTGTGGCGGTGTGCTGGCCCACACGACCCCTCCTGGCCCCTGGCTGCAGGTGCCAGAGTCTGGTCTCTGGCCCAGGAACATCCTTGCTTCACAATTCTCAGGGATTTGCCATCATTAGCAAGATGGTGCCTGTGAGATTTTCCTCTCTCTGTTTGGGGTTGAAGTATTGGAACATTTCCTAGAGAGGCATTTTGTTCCTCTCAGGCCTCTGCTTTTACTGCTAGTGGCCGCCCCCAGCTGTTCCTAATTCTCTCTCTGGATGAATGACTCAGCTTGATTCAATGTCTACAACTTGTGGCTTCTTAAAGGAGCCAGACCACTTTGTAAAACAATGAAACAGAGCTCAAACCAAGTAAAATTACCTAAGAGTACAGCCATAAATTAAAATACATAAAATGTATTTATTTTCAATGTCCAAGATTACAACTCTTTGACTATGAAAATAAACATGTGCCTGGCTTTTAAAAAAAAAATCAGAAAGAACTTAATAGAAATCAGACAGCAAGTCTACACTCTTCTCTGATGCAGCCTCCTATTGTTCCATCTGCTTTGGGCATAGCTCTTTCTGGAGAAGCTGTGGGACCTGTTCTGAGGTGGCCTCTTAGCCCCAGGAGAAGTGGAAGGGGCATGTTGACAGCCAAAAGGGAGGGCTCTGTTAAGTGTTCTTGGAGTAGATGCAAATTTTACAGGTGAACCAACATTCTTAAGGTCTGAAGATGTCTTTGGCTGTGTTAGATTTGCTTTTGCCCATAAGCAACAAATGAATTTATTCAAGACTTGTATTACCAGAAGGAAAACAAACCTAAGCCAGGACAAAATTAATGGGAAATATAAGGGTAAAAAACAAACTCCATAATCACCACCAACAAACAACCCACAGTTTGGTGGAGATGATTAGCATCAGATGGAGAATGGCGCCCAGGTGCCCAGGTGCCCAGGTGGGAGGATGTCCAAAGACAAAAGCAGCTGCATCTCAGCTGGCACCACCCAGAACACCTAAACCACTTGCAAAGACAGAAGTACTTCCTTCCACCCTCCCTCTCTCTCCTCCTCCTGCTGCTTCTGTTCTTCTTTCCTCTTTCCCTGGAGCAATGGGGATGTTCTAGGTTGGAACTTTCCCGAATGAGCGGGTCCTGTGTGATGGGGCTGAAGATAGAAACTGAGGGATGGGTGGGTGGGATTGTAGGATGGTAGTCATCTAGGAATATAGGCATGATTTCTTATCACTCTCCCCACACACTGGATTTCAAATGAAGACTTCCCTGACTGAGATAATAAAAGGTGCATTCAGCTGCCTCTATGGCTGTCTTATAATCAGTTCATAAGGAGTTGATGGGTGCTTTGAGCTTAACCAGACCTGCATATAACCTCAAGTCTAATTCTATCATGTGGCTTCTAATGCCATCATATGGAGCCTCTGGCAACAAGGCCATTTTCCAGTTGTTAATATCTTCTCCCTTCCATGCTCATCCTGCCAGAATCATTTACAGCTCTGTTTCTGAATCTACCCAGAAACGATATATTTTTTTCTTTGGCAACATGGTATCCAGAGAACAACACTTTCCTAGAACAAATGGATATAAAAGTTCTGTTCATTGCAATCAGCACAGTAGCAAAGACCTTCAGAGGTCTTGGTGTCACAGAAATTCTTGGATAGTATTTTTAACTTATAATTTTTATTACATTGGCAACTACACCCATTTAATGAAGAAAACTAGTTTGTTTTTCATATTAACAATTCATTAATGTTTTAGTTCATTCCAGAAAGCCTTAAGAAAAGCTACGAGGACAGGTACTTTTGTCTGTTTTATTCTGTCCTGTGTTCACAGCTCCTAGTGGAGCACCTGACACTTCGTAAATGTTCATTCATATTTATTGTTGAATGAACTGAGGTATTTTCTAATGGGAAATTGTGAGTTTGGTCATCTTTTCAATTTCATGGTATTTTATGTGAAATAGAATTGTTTATCCACCTTTAAGTTAAGGGAAGTTTTGACCTAGTTTTGCTCTTTAGAGGCAATGAGACCCTTACAAATAGATTTTTTAAAAAATCTAGCTTAATTTAAACTCATAAACTACAATAAGGTATTTAGAAAGTCAACCCTTTCTTCCAGTACGAATACAAATTCTATTTTGTGTCATGGCAGGACTGGAATATTCCTCTGTTGGTTACAAGCTGAGACCTGCCAGCAATAACAAACTGATGGTTCCCGCTACATTATGCCCGAGAAAAGGATTCTGGTAGAAGAGATGTAATTCAAATTAGATATGCTAAGATGAAATCTTCTCAACTCTTTTCATCTGTGGATAAACAAACCAAAAGCGAATGTCTAATTCTGAAAAATACTCCATATTGTTTTCTTCTTAATAACTCAACTACTTAAGCCACTGGTTGAGGAGTTGAAAAAATATAAAATTTCAACCTCTGCTTTTCGCAGTTAGAAAAAAGCTGATTTAATAGCTTAGAACCCCAACAACCGTTGGCCAAATCCCACATGAAGCTGTGCAGTGATTCTTAAGTGGCTTTTTAAAAGACTCTCTCATTTATAATGAAAATATAAACTAAAATCCAGACTGCCATATGTAATCTTTTCCCAGAGAGAAAAGCTTGCTCCAAATTTGTTGACGGCTAAAGAGAAAGCCAGTGAGACTCCCAGCAGTAAAACTGGGCCAGGATGAAAGAGGTAGAACTGAATCCTTTGACCAAAATTCAGATGGAGACCTATGTGTTTTCTGGGATTTCTATGAACCTGAACATAGGGAATATGTACCAGCAAGAGGTAAAACTAATTTGCGATCATGTCAAATCTGGAGCTTCTAATAGTTCAGTCTTGCACTTCACAACTTGCATGTGGAATTCCAGTGAAAAGAAAAGCAATACGCGTTAAGAAATCTCCAATGTGCCATTGAGGATTTAGGGATGAAGTTTCCATGTTCTTCCTGTTTTGATAGTTTTAAAAACCAGTTTTTGTTAACGGTGTATCTGATCCAGCTGTGAACTTATCTGTGAATGTGACTATCTAGAAAATTAGCAAATCAGTTACCATTTATCTTAGGTAATGCTGTTTCGTGTAGTAAATGATCAGTATAAACTATTTTTGTTCAATATTACAGTGAATATAAATGTTATATATAATCAATATAACATATAAGTACTAAAACCTTTTCCTTTACATGCCTTCTTTCTTTTTTCCACTGAGTACTTGAAAAAACAACTCTTGCACATCTTCTAGGATTCAGCCCCATGAACAGGAAATGTGATTTAACAGCACTTAAGCTTCTGAGAGTTAAATGAATCTGGCTATTGATTGCTTACCAGCATTAGGTGGGTTATCAGAAATGTATGCTGTTAATTTGGCTGGCAATGGGATTGACAGTATAACAGCACTACCACCGAAAGCAGCTTTGGTTTTAATCTCTAGAACTTTTGTACCAAAGCAGCTTGGATCTGCCAGGGATTTGTGTTTTAAAGGGATTATGTTAAAGATTATTAAAGTTGAACCCTCAAGGGACAAGGCTGGATATTCATGCTAGAAATGCAACTCCGGATCTCTACCGGCCAAGTCACTTCTGAATGTTTGAGGATTCCTGTCACACTCTAAGTTGCTATGAAAGTGTAGACTGGCTAAAGAAAAATCTTCCTTAGGAAAAGGCTGATTGGGAGTTGGCAAGGCAACTATAAACAGGACCCAGCCTTTCCCATTTTAGAACATTCAACGAGTCTAAGAGCTGGAAATGGAACGGCAGAATCATCTGAATACCTAAAAGTTAAGAAGATAGCAAAAGTGCACTTCATTAATTAAAGAAGATAAAATCAAGAAACAGAGTTGGGGGATGGAGCTAGCAAAGAGCTAAAGAGGCCTTCATTCTGTGGTCAGTGGAAGCAGTGTCAGATGGGTGAGATGGCCTGAGGCGGCCTCACGGGGCTGAGGGCGTTGAACAGGTCCAGGCAGTCCTCCAACCCTGAGCTGGACCAAAGGGACTGGCTGCACAGGCTGAATAAGAGGCACTGCCCACAAATCAATTAAAATATTTCATAATTAAGAAAAAAGCATTTCTAAAGCACAGTGCCCCAGGAAAGGAATTTGGAATAAGCCCAATAATAAAACAAACTGGACCTCTATTTGAGCTACTATCCTATGTGGAAGTGCTGGCTGTGTCATGAGCTCCTTCCTCAAGAGAAAACCTAAGACCTATGCAGGGCTCTTCCTAGACTGCCAGTAGGATGACACATTCAGGTGACATGAATCACAGAGGAGGGAGGTACTACCAACCCCCCTCCCAACATGACACATTTACATATTCAAAAGATGACAAAAAATCAAGCTCCGAGTGCTTGCAATTCATTTGGAAGAGATAAGGCTAGGACATAGCCGAACAATACTTCAAAATACTTATTAAGCAATAAATAACCAGCTGCAGTTGAACGCTCTCTAGATTCCACAGTCTAGTTTAATCCTATTTCAGCCATTTAGATTCCTGCATAAGAGCTCTGGCGCGTAAAATTCCAAGTGGGGTAAGACACAAAAATTTCCAAATATATGCCTTGATAATACTTTCCTGAAATGGAAATGTACTTACTACTCTTATTGATTAAAAGAGCAGATTGAGAGCAGTCTAAATATCCATTATTGGGTCTTCTCATATAAATATGATGTATTCCTGTTTTGTTTGTTTGTTTGTTTGGGTTTTTTTTTTTTTTTTTTTTTTTTTTTTGACTAGAGAATGAGGAAGCTCACTATGGACTGATATGGAAGGAACTATGTATCATTCAGTGCTCAAACACAAAAGTAGAAACCTCTCTATATATCTCAAGCAGAGTAGGATGGAACACAGGAAATTGGTTAAAAACTACTGGAAGGACTGAGGAGCAAAAAAAGAAGGGGCTCTTACCCAAAGAGGCTGGGAAGCTGCCACTGGCCCTTGGCTGAATCCTGTCAGGGATACTCAGTGTTGATCTTGCTGAAACTATCCCCGGATTGCTGGAGCCCAGAGCACAGGCAGTCCAGGCCAGCTGGGGAAAATGGCTAATCTCCTCCTCCCACACTGGAACCTAGCACCAGCGCCTCCCATGAAACCAGCTGGATGAGTGAGTCTGGGAAAGAGGATGGAGGATTATCCAGAAGGGTGGACTTGGACTTAAGAGTCAAGAGACACAATCCAGCACATCCACCCTTTTGCTACTCAGCATCCACACATTCCATTGTACGCACCCTACAGCAACATCACACTTCTTCCTCACAGAATGCAATTTTATTCCTCACACAGATGAACACAAGTTCACTCTCTCCCTAAAACAGATAATTCAGAGTAAAACCCTGTAAGATAGTGGCCTCAGCCACTGTATTCATCCCAGGGTGATGTTAAATTTTTTCCTTTCAGACACCATTGCACCTTTTATAATGGATGTTCTACAACCTAAAGGCTAAGTTGTAAAATTAACCACCAACACTCAGTGTTATGCAGAGTAAACAAAGAAGAAAATGTGCATAGCTGCTACGGGTTTTGTTTTGGTGACTGGTAACAAAACTAGTTGACTGATGATGATAATAGTTAAATAATAATTGAGAATGAACTTCTTCCAACGTCCATTCCATCTTCCTTTTACCTTCAGCCAGCAACTGAAGTTAGTTGTCTGGGGTTCTTTTCTTGGCAAGATTATTGAAACCTTCATTTTTGAAGGGTCTAAGTCTTTAGCTGTCCTGCAGGTTGCAATATTATTCCAGAAACTTTTACTCTTGGACATGGAAGTGCTAAGAGGCACCCAGGAGAATTTCCAGGGCTTCAGACATAGTCCTCTCTGCCACCATTGTGTGTCACGGCAACCCAATTACTCCCTGGTAATAATTCTGTTCAGTCACCCCAGCCAGAAAAGTAACCCTCTTCTTTGCCTGTCCATTTAGTGGCAGAAGAAACTTGAAATGGGCAGACAGAAGTATCGAATTCCAGTTCAGTGGAACGTTATTGTTTCCCCTAGAGGAAGCGTTCTCTCCTAGGAATCAAGACCTTTAAACCAGCTGATCTATGTTTTGTAGAAGGAGGGCAAATATTCTGTGAGTGATATTCAGGATGTGATAGTGAGAGTAGCCACTCTCATTTTTACCCCTTGACTCCCAGGTCTGTGTATCCTGACTATGAGAGACATAGCATCACTCATTTGCTGATTCAAAGCATAATCTACGTGCAGTAAGAAAGCCACCTAGACTGCAGGCAGTTATCTTCCAGATGGTACCATTTTTGAAACTTCAGTTATCTATTTCTAAATTTTGTAATGATAACTACCTTTGGGTGCTGGAGTACATGGTAATCCAATAAGTCCCATGGGCATGATACCAATGCTGTACTACTTTTGCTGTAAAATTAGTTCTTTGGTCACAAGCAAAGAACTTCTTTGGTCATAATCATCATGCTATTAAATAAGGCTCTGTGTTAAGTTCACAGATGGTGGTACTGATAAACCCACTGCAGGCAGTGAATGCACAGCATATTTAGAAATAGTGTCCCAGCCTGGGCAACATAGCGAGACCCTGTCTGAACAAAAAAATTTTTTTTAAAAAAGAGCTGGGCATGGTGGTGAGTGCCTGTAGTCCTAGCTACTTGGGAGGCTGTGGCAGGAGGATCACTTGAGCCCAGGAGTTCAAGGTTATAGTGAGCTATGATTGCACCACTGCACTCCAGCCTGGGTGACAGAGTGAGACCCTGTCTCTATTTAAAAAGAAAGAAAGAAAAAATAAATAGTGTCTATTCTAGAGGACAAAATCATGTCCTTCATAATAGAAGTTCCATGCAATAATCTGATGGCTGACTGGTCCCCCTGGGGAATGACTCCACATCAGAGACTCAGAGATGGTAGAGCCCCTGTCAGCAAGTTAGTCATTTATCAGTGACAGGAGCCAGACCAGTTTGATGAGGGGAAGTCCACATTGTTGAACTCATGTCTGGCTTCTCTCCCTGCCACAATGGCCATGCTCTTCATGAGCCTATTAAGCAAGCCTCGGGGTTGCTGGAAATGGACTGACTGACATCCACAGAACAGGCTATCCTGTCAGTGGACTGCTGAGGGCCTCATCAGTGGATGCCCTCTAATGAGAATTCATATGTGATAGTGCCCATAGGGAAAGGTCCATCTGCAAACCTTTTTCCTAGACTTCGTTGTCACCAGTATGCTAATAAAACCATTAATGACCCATCAATTGGTATATATCTCGACTTCTGGCCATCTCTCCCTCCAGATAACATGCTCAGTGTTTGGTCCTGAGAGAGCTCCTCTTACCACGTTCCTGATTTGGGCTGCAATGCTTCAGCAGTCCACATCTACCTGGTGCCTGCAAACTGCAAGGGACCATCTGCGAACCAGGCCCAAATGTTTTCTTAGTCTGTCAACAGTCAATCCTAAGAGGTCACAGATGTGGACTGATGGTGAATTAAAATTGCAGCAAGAATAGATGCTATGGAAGTCACAGCCACTTGCTCTTGAAACTTACTTGTGCCTGAAGGACCTGCTCAAACCGAACCTGGTATATACTATTTTACTACTTACACCTGATGATGGATTTCTGCCATGCATGCCTAACCTTATGGCTCAGAGGACTGGTGTATTAGTTGTCTGAGTTTCCTGAGTAATAAATTACCCCAAAACTTCACAACATGCATTTATCATCTTACATTGTTTCTGAGGGTCAGGAATCTGGGAACAGCACAGTTGGGAGAATCTGGCTGAGGGTCTCTCACGAGGCTGCAGTCCAGTTGTCAGCCAGTACTGTAGTCACCTTAAAGCTTAACTAGACCTGCTGTAGCCCAATGATTCTCACCTTAAAGCTTAACTAGACATGCTGTAGCCCAATGGTTCTCAAATGGGGGTGATTTTGCACCCCAGAAAATATTTGGCAATGTCTGCAGACATTTTCAGTTCTCAAAACTATGGGGAGTGATGCTACTAACATCTGGTAGGTGGAGGCCAGGCATGCTATTAAACATCCTGCAATGCACAGGCCCGCCCCACAGCAAAGAATTGCCTGTCCCGTAAATGTCAATAGTGCCAAGACTGAGAAACCCTGCTCTCTCTTGAGCCCTTTTTTGCACTGGTCCCTAGACAAAACTTGCAGCGTAGTAGGTAACTCACAACATTGCTCTGAACAATAGACTCTAAAAGTGTTTATGTTACCTCAAAAATAAAAAGACCCACAGAATATTATAGCTCTTCTTCGTGATAGGTGGTACAAAGTACAGTAATTTGTCTTTCACTTTGGAGAGGAAATGCCAATATTCTCCAGACCACACTGGACCCCTAGAATCTTCACCAAAGCAATAGGCGTTTGATTTTTCTTGGGGATCATCTCCCACCCCCTGGCATACATTTGTCTTATTAAGGCATGTACGATATTTGCTCCTTGCTGCTCATCATGTCAATTACACATCAGCAGGATGTTCTGCAGGATACCAAGATGGTCCAGGCTCCTGCAGACTAGTTCTCGTCAGAGAGCAGGAGAGGTAACGCAGGCCTGAGGTAAGATAGGGAGGTGTTTTGCCATTCCTCCAGCTGCTTGAGAGCAAGCTTCTTCTGGTGATATTTGCTAATTTGGTATCGGGGGGAAAAAGCATCCACCAGATTCGTAGCTGCATACCAAGTGCCAAGAGCTCTGCTGTGTTATCCAATAAAAGAGACTACATCTGGTCTAGTAACTTGTTAATGTTGTAAGAATTCACAGTCATTCTCCAATAACCATCTTCCTTCTGTACATGCCAGACAGAGGAGCTAAATGAGGACACAGTAGAACAACTCTTGTACTGTTCAAATGTTAGATAGAAGTACTAATCGCTGTCATTTCCCCAGGGATAAGGTATTGCTTTCAGTTTACTCTTACATAGGAAGGGGAAATCCCAAGAAGCTTTCACTTGGCCCTGCCTACCATACTAATACTCACCACACAAGACAGAAAATCCATATGGAGATGGGCTCTTTTTGTTTCTGAGATGACAGCTCCATTCAGGAATGGGAAGATAACCACATCGCAGGTGAAGAGACCCACTGGAATCCAATGAAGCAGCCACAGGTCCAAATTTCATTTACTACCTGATTACCAATAAGTGATACCCCCCTCCAATGGGTCAGAGGCATTTTGGGTCTCTAGAGATTAGCATAGACTCAGAACCAATGTCCAGAAATCTACCAAAAGCCTGGATATGCCCCCTTCCTCAGTACACAGTTACCCTAGTGAATGGCTGCATGTCTTTTGGGGAAGACTGAAAGGAAGATTTATGCTAGATACTTATAGCAATGTTATAGGGGCCTTCCTCAAACTTCCCAATCCTCTCCTTCATCTAAACTTTAGAGTTCTCAAGCCTTAGCATGCATCAGAATCAGCTGAAGTGAAGATTGCTAGGACCCACCTCCTGAGTTCTTGTGTCAGTGGGTTTGGGGCAGGGTCTGATAATGTGCATTTCTAACAAAGTCCCAGGTGATGCTGTTGCTGCAACTTCTTGGCCACGGTTTGAAAATCGGCAATCTAAGGATTTCTGTGTTTTAGAACTGACTCAGGTCTGGAATGTAGATGAGAGGCAATGACTCTCCATTGAACAGCTCAGGTTTCTATTCACTAGACCTAGAGATTTTCTGATTATATAAATCAGATAATTCTTAGTAGACTGCCCGTCTAGTTTGTCCTAGGGCCACTATGAATAGTGAGCCAATAGCAAAGGTCTCTGTATGCTACGACGTTCCGCTTGCTGCTCCATTATGACCATTACGGCAACTGTGCCCACCTTGCTCCTGGATAAGAGCTGCCACCTGGTTCTGCCCCTCCAGGAACCCATCATCCATTAAAATCAAGAAGTCTTTTAATGAAGAGGTCTTCTCTCAGTGGGGTCTCTTAAGAAGCCCCAACAAGACAGTTGGCTTGAAACATGTGCCAACTCTGGAGAAACCTGACCACATTAATGCCAATCAAGAAAGAGCTTTTCTGCTCTTACCACTCTATCTCCCTACATTCCCTACATCCTGGAAGGGCCAGAAACTGTGGCGTGCCTGAGTTTCATCCAGGCAATGAAAAAGAAATATCTCAAGGATTGGATTTTAAAAGATATTGGGGGCCAGGTGCGGTGGCTCACGCCTGTAATCCCAGCACTTTGGGAGGCCGAGGTGGGACGATCACATGAGTTCAGGAGTTCGAGACCAGCCTGGCCAACATGGCAAAACCCTATCTTTACTAAAATACAAAAATTAGCCAGGCATGGTGGCATGTGCCTGTAGTCCCAGCTACTCGGGAGGCTGAGGCAGGAGAATCACTTGAACCCAGGAGGCGGAGGCTGCAGTGAGCCAAGATGGTGCCACTGCACTCCAGCCTGGGTGACAGAGTGAGACTCTGTCTCAAAAAAAAAAAAAAAAAAGATATTGGGAAGCACAAATAAGGTTGCTTTATAATTGAACCCTCTAAGACCTGTTTGTTCAATGTACCAGTAATAATGGCAAATGGTGTGAAAACATATGGAGATGGTTATATCTCCATAGAGAAGGCAGACTACAAAACAGCATGTTCTCAGACACAGCCAGTTTCCCAGATCCCCAAGGGACCATGGAGAAAGGCAGCTGTGGATGGTCCTACCATGAGCCGTGAGGATTCTGCCATGGCCCAAGAAGCAACTCATGGGTTTTAATACCCACCTGGCCCTCTCTCACACCTGATTACTCTGAAGAGTCTGCAAATGTGCCTACCCACTCTCTGGGTGCAAAACTACCTCAAGGCATTTCTGAGTGTTAAATAAAAGACCAAGCAAAGTGAAAGGCAATTTCATGGAGCAACCCCCAGGAGGTCCAGACTTTAGGCTGTCTGAGTTCAATCCTGAATGTCCCCATTTGTTGGAGAGCCTATCAATTCCTCTCTTTAGTGAATAAAATGAGCTATTTAAATATATACACAAGTCTGTTTCTGGATTCTGCTCTACATGGGCACCAGGACAGCAAAAAGGCTACTGGGACCACAGCAATGTGAGCAAGAAGGGTAACAGGAGGTGAGATCAGAGAGGGATGTTCTGTGTGTGTGGGTTGGGGGGATATCACATACAACCTTTAAATGCTCAATGAGATGGGAGCCACTGTAGGGGGTTGATCAGAGGGGTGACATGACTTGATGAGTATTAACAGAATCGCACAGCTGCTGTGTTGTTCTAGGGAGAACAGATGGTGGGGGCAAGAGTAGAAGCAGGAGAGTGTGGAAATAATCCAGAGCAGAGAGGACAGCTGCCTGTACTAGGGTGTTGGAGACGAAAGTTATGCGAAGTGGTCAGAATCTGGATATCTTCTGAGGGTAGAACCAATGAGACTTCCTAATGGCCTGGAGTGTGAACAAAAGGGTGAGGTCAAGAATGAGTGTAAGGGTTTTTGTCTGAGTAAATAGAAGGATGGAATGACTGTTGCCTAATGTGGG
Organism: Homo sapiens; assembly: GCF_000001405.40. NCBI lineage: Eukaryota > Metazoa > Chordata > Mammalia > Primates > Hominidae > Homo > Homo sapiens. Next base: position 28,973,568 of record NC_000007.14, on the reverse strand, counting down.
GAAGAGTATGGGAGGAGCAGGTTTTAGGGACAAGACCAAATTTTAGACATGTTTAATTTGAGATTTCTCTATGGTATTTGAGTAGAGACATCAAGTAGGTAGCACAAGACACAAGCCTTGCCTTTAAGAGAGACACCAAGGCCACGGACAATTTGGGTGTCTTTAGGGTAGAAACAGTATTTAATGCCATGTGATTACAGTAGATCACTGATGGAGGGAGCACAGAAGGGACAAGGTCCAAAGACTGGGTCCCAGGCACACCAACATCAAGACATCATGGATACAGGAACAAATCAGCAACAGAGAGTTGGAAGGAGCAGCTAAGGTCAGAAGAGGGGGTGGTATCATCAAAGCCAAGTGAAGACAGTGGTCCAAGAATGGATCAGCTCTATCAAAGGCTGCTCAAGCAGAGTAAGACAAAGGCCAAGTACTCACCACTAGATATAGCAACAGTCATCAGTGACTTGCTAAGAGCAGTTTTGGTAAAGTAGCAAGGCTGAAAGTCCTAACTGGAGAATACTTGAGAGGATGAAAAGAAAAATGAAGACATGGAGTTTATACATCATTTTTCTAGAAGTTTTGATGCAAAAGGGAGCACACAAATGGGGCAGTAGTTGAAAGGGCAAGTGAAGTCCATTAAGGAATTATTCTTTCCAGATGTGAGAAATGACAACATGTTTGTGCTCTGATTAGAATGATCCAGTAGAGAAAGGGAGACATTGATGAGAGAAAGGAGAAAGGAGAGAATCATTCAAGCAATGTATGGGTGCCCACCAGGCAAACAACACTCTCAAACACTGCTGGGTACTGGCTCAAAAACTGTATACTGGCTCAAGCTTTTTGAAGGGAAATTGGGCATAATATGTAAAAATGATAGATGCACATATTCTTTGGCATAGCAATTTTCGATATTCTATTCTGCATTGAAATACAAAGACATATCTACATGTTATTTATCACAACATCACTTATTACAAGATTGTAAAAACCGGGAAAAACATTTAAATGTATATTGATAGCAATGGTTGAATCCATACTTGGAATATTACATAGCATTGAAAATAAGGTGATCTACATGTGCTGATATGGAAGCATCTCCAAAATTACTCAAGTAAAAAATATCGAGGTAGAGAAGACTACATGGTATACTTCCACCTGTGGGGGAAAAACCGGAATAAAGTAATACATAAAGTTATATAGAAAACATAGATTTTTATATATGCATAAAACATTTCTGAGAGAACTCATACTTTCCATTGAATATCTTTTTCCAATGTTTCCATTTATTTTAAGAAATTCATTTATATTTCATTAAAAATTAATGAAAGTATAAAAAGTATTTACTAAAAATAAAAAAAGTAAATTTAATAATTTTGGCTGTACACTATTTTATTAATGTAAATGTTCTTACATAGTGTTTAAGGAAGAAATACCACTATCTTCTAGTGTTGTTTTAGAAGGTAATGAAAAAAGACACCCAATAAATCTTTTTAAATAAATTTTTACTGAACCAGTAACCAGCAAGGTCTTTATTCAATAATTTGCAATTTTGGAATATAAGTTCTCTCTGCATACCGAATGTAAAAGGTTTTGGGTTTCAAAGTGTATTTCTGTGTATTTCTGTTGGGCACACTACATGCATTCAACAAAAACTTGTTTGGTTAAATCTGATCACTAATTAGATGAATGTCAACCCTATCCATTTGGGAAATAGAATTTAAATACGAAACATTATCAAGGCTCCCTTTTTTTAAAAGGTGAATTTGTTTCTGTGTATACATATATGTGTGCTTAATAAAGATTAGCTTCTTTTTATTTTCAGCCTATTGGACAGAATATAACAATGCTATGAGCTAAACGAGAAAGCCATTTTGATATAATTTAGCAAACTATTTAATCATATTAACAAGTGAGAAGCTATGAATTAACGGTGGAAAGGAAAATGAGAAGGAGAAGACCAATTTCCAGAAGCAGAAATTATCCCTGAGGCTGGAGTTTAAATGTGTAGCTATACGGAATTAAGAGGGTATTTTAAATATAAAGGCTTTAGAAATTAATAGTTCTTAAAAATAAAGAACTATAACCATTAGGTAACTCTAATTGGGTATAGATGGGAAAACGGAAGGTGGAAATTAATAATTTTTAGTGTCTGTCAGCTAGGAATCTTTTATTTAGTACTTCATGAGCAACACTGACAACCATATTGATGATCTTGATGGATGACAAGACCTTGAACTTCTTTCTAAAGCATCAAGACTACATGTTTTTCAATATTTCTAGTATTAAGCATACTTACTGTAATAATTTTTTAAACTAGCATTATATGCTACATAATATTATCATATATAACAATACTGATTTCTCACCATAAGAATTTTTTTAAATTTAATTTTATTTTTTGAGACAGAGTCTCACGTAATAATATTTTAAGCATTAGGGTGTCTCTGCTATTTAAGCACACATGTTTTTCCTTTCCCCGGTTTACTGAATTATTTATTAGCTACAGAGTATTCATGCTCTGTGCTAAGAGCCACTTCTCTTCCCTTCTGCAACTGGAGCGCAAGTACATATTCTATTTCATTATCAATTTTAAAACCTACCTGAAGCTAAGGAAGTAATTATTCATAGGGATGGAATCGCTGGGGTGGGAGTATATTTTTAAAAACATTAGGACTTGTTTTTAGTACTGGGTGTATTTGCTGCTTTTTTTTGTTTGCTAATAGACAATAATATATAGGCAATGCATAAAATCTTCACACTAAGGTACAATTATTTGTAATCAAGATCCACACAATGACAGGCTTCCAAGACTAAAAAGGCTAAAACTTGGTTTGCTGACAAAAGGTTCATCCATTTCAACTCAAACAAAAAATGATTGATGAAGCATTTGCACACCTGTTTGGGAGACTATGGAAGATGCTGTAGACAAGTATTTTTCAAACTTTATCGCACATACAAACCATCTGGGGGTCTTGTTAAAATACAGAGTTGAATTCACAGATCTGGGGTGGACCAGGACATTCTGCATTTCTAACATGGAAATCCCGATGCTGCTGGTCCACAGACCCCACCTTCAATACTGTAATCCTGGCTGCATATTATGGGGAAACTTAAACTGTGCAAACCAGGAAGACAGCCCTCACCAGAACCTGACCACTCTAGCATGATGAATTCAGACTTTCCAGCCTCCAGAACTGTGAGAAAATAAATCTCTTTTGTTTAAGCTACCCAGTCTATAGTATTTTGTATGGCAGCCAGAGCCAACTAACATACCAGGTGATTCTAATAATACACAGCCTCGGTCGACAACCATTGTTGTGAAGGGCATTGAGATGGCATAATCATAACTCTGTTTTAGGACATTTACTTACTAGGGAAGCTAAGACCTTGGCCTTAAAAAGTCACAGGTAGTTGAGTGTAAGACTGCTAGAGTATTAAAAGATTCAGAATGAGACAGCAGCCAGGGTTAGACTAATAAGCAAAGTGGACTGTGTCACTGCTTCACGAGTTTGTTAAGGGCTCCATTTTAGAAAATTAAAGGCATAATTTAAATTATACAATTAAAAGGCTGCACAGATATTATTCAGTTTTGACCACTCTATACAGGTATGTAATTAGCACCCTAAAAAAGATACGGACCATTGCCATCAACCCAGAAAGTTCAGTAGTATCCTGTCCAGCCAATTCCCACCATTACCAGAGGCAATCACTGTCTTGATTTCTATCACCACAGATGAGCATTGTTTCAGAACCTCACTTAAATGGAATCACACAGGAAGTGCTCACACAATCTGAGCTTCAGTAATGGTGGGCACTAGATGGCATGTGTCTTCTTATGTAACTTCAAACGAAAACATATGACAGTGCCCAAGATGTATTCTAGACTAAATGTATTAACATGAACCAACCAAACTCTCAGATCTAAATCACAATTTATAGGAAGTACAGAGAACAGAGGAACAAGCTATGTTGGACAGCATGGGGAAGCAATCAGACAAGTACTGTGAAGAAAAATTAGTAGATGAAAAGAACAATTTTAGATTTTAAAATATCTAAGCATTACACAAACCAGATATAATGGATGATCCTGATCTAAATCCTGATTTGGGCAAGCCAGCTTTGGGGAGACATTTGGGAGAGAATTAGGGTAATTTGAATATAACTAGGTATTGGATGCAATAAAATTTTATTAACAGGGAAAGAGAAATACTACAAGGAAATAGGCAATTTACAACATTATGATCTCATTTCAGTTTTTCATTTTTTTAAAAAAGCATATGTATGTGTATAAAAAGATCTAGGCCAGGTGCAGTGGCTCATGCCTGTAATCTCAGCCCTTTGGAGACCGAGATGGGTGGATCACCTGAAGTCAGGAGTTCAAGACCAGCCTGACCAACATGGTGAAACCCCTTCACTACTAAAAATACAAAAATTAGCTGGGCATGGTGGTGTGTGCCTGTAGTCCCAGCTACTCGGGCTGAGACAGGAGAACTGCTTGAACCCGGGAGGCAGAAGTCATACCACTGCACTCCAGTTTGGGTGACAGAGTGAGACTCTATCTCAAAAAAATAAAAATAAAAAGATCTAGAAATACATATAATAAAAGGTTAACAGTTATAATCACTAGTTGGTGTGTACATTAGTTTTCTAGTCTGGTGTGTACATTAGTTTCTATAGTCTGCCATAACAAACTTCCAAAATTTTGGTGGCTTCTAGCAAAACAAATCTATGATCTTACAGTTCTATAGGTTAGAAGTCCAAACTGGGTCTAATGGAACTAAAATCAAGGTATTGGCAGGATTGCATTTCTTTCCGGAGGCTTGGGAGAAAATCAATTTCCTTTCCTTTTCCAGCTTTTAGGGGCTGCTGGCATTCCTTGGCTCCCCCTCCTCCATTTTCAAAACTAGCAATGGCTGGCCAGTCTTTCCCACATTACATCACCCTGAACTTCTCTGCTTTCCTCTTCTACTTTTAAGGACCCTGGTGATTACACTGAGCCCATCCCATACTCTAAGATAATCTCCCTATTTTAAAGTCAACTGTTTACCAACCTTAATTCCATTGGCAACCCTAATTCCTCTTTGCCATGTAACCTAAACATATGTATAGGTTCTGGGGGTTAGGATGTAAGTATCTTTGAGGGACCAGTGTCCAGCCTACCAGGGTGGGAAAAAAATGTTTTATGTTCTTGCTGGTTATCTTTATTTTGTGACTTTCTACAATGTACATACACTGCTTCTGTAATAAAAAGCTAATCTTCATTTAAAAATAAATATAATGGTGGAGGAGAAAGAAATACAATAAGTGGTAATATTGTGGAGATCCTGAATACACACCTACAGTAGGAATGAAGAAAACAAACTTAATTATATGTGAGAATAGGTATTGGTGAGGTGGAAAACTGCCACTGAAAGAATCATATTTAAAAATGCTACAGTTCAAACAGTATGTATGAATGGGCAGATGATTTATTCTGGAAAATGTTAAGTATCAAACAGTGACTCTAGCTATGACAAGGACACTGTGATAAAAGATTCCTGTGAAAAGTATGCATAAAAATTTTCAGAAAATATTAATTCAAGTCCCAGCATTGTCATCACTTACCAGCTGTGTGACCTTATGCCAGTTACTTAATCTCTCTTTGCTTTGATAGCATTATCTATAGATGGGACTAACTGTACTTTCCTCAGGGGTCCTTGAGGGATTAAATGATTTAATACTGGTAGAGGGCTTAGAACTGTGCCTGGCACATGATCAACCCTCTGTAAACGCTAGTCATTAACGGTTATTACTCTGGCAGGTGTTTGTAGCCACCTGTTTCAGATGGAAAACCACTCTGGAACTTTAGTTAAGCTGGTGCTTACATGCCATCACTCAGGGAATAATGAGAGTCACCTGCTGATTATCCATGAGGTTCTTAAACCCAAGGATACTAGCTCAATTAGCTAGTATCAGTAGCTAATTAAGAATTTCAATAGTGAAACTATAGAAATTCTTCCCAAATGGCTAAGTTTCCAGGAAACACCCCTTCCATGTTAGCCTGGTGACTAAATAATACTTCTGAAGAGTCAACAGTTATTTAGCCTAGATTGTTAATGTGCCAAACGGTGCTTTCAACTATGGGGTTCTAACACCTATATCCTGATGGAAAGAAACGTCTAATAATTTGCTAGTTTGAGTGACAGCTTGGGGACAAAGCAAAGAAGCTTTCCAGAACTGTGAGAGACTGGAGACAACTTCAGTAAATATTATCCTGCTCACTGTGGATTAATGTTAAACTGGTTGGATACCATGAGTTGTTGAATTGGTCAAGCACAACGTGGAAAAGCACCTTCCATTGTAGAATGTGACAATTTTATGTAAAACACTGTATTGTATTCAAAGAACTGTAACATCAACAAATTTCAATGAATTCAAAATGTTCCATTGAAGAAATGCAGTCAATTCCTTACTGTTTAAAGCTAGAAGGGCTCTTTGAAAACATGTAACCCAGTGTTCCTCAAACTAGGTCAACAGTTCTATCTCCCATCCCCCATTTCTTTCTTTGTTTTCTGTAAGATTTCTCAAAGCTTTGTATGTGCTATTGCGCACTGTGAATCTCCAAGACTTAGACATGGTATTGAGGGCCAGTCTGACTACTGGCTCCTTTCCTTTACATGTCATCTTTTCATAACTCAAGGGCCACTGATGATGACAAGAACCTTCTGGGCAAACATTGATGTATCATCATGGACATTACATCAGACAGCAAGAAACTAATGTCCAGCACCGTCAAGTGATTTGCCCTGTGAGCTCAATGACTGCAGAGCTGGCCCAGAATCCAGGCCTGTCTATGCAGCTATCCAGAGAGAACCTGTGGGCCGAAGATGTGTGCTCTGGGCCCAGGTGGCCTGGAGAAGGGCTATGAAACCATAATAAGATGGAAACAGATGTACAAGGAAAGACAGTAAAGCCAGTTACCTGGGAATGTGGCTTCCTCCTCCTTGTTTTTTGCTGAACCTAACATTTATTAAAGACCTACAGTTTCAGAAAAGACCCTATGTTGGATGTTACAGAGAACACTACGAAACTGTGCAAAAGACTTGGTTCTGCCCTCAAGGACCTCAGATTCTCATTGAAAAAACACGCATGAGGTTGAAATGTTGGCAACAATTCTATGTTCATACCATTTGTTGTGTTCTAAGCAGTTTCACATACATTTTACAAAACTCTTACAGTGGGCAAGTATGATTTCTCCCTTTTTATAGATGGGAAAATGAGCAACTGATCAGGGAGACTGTGATGTGGCTCAAGGGCAAGAAACACAGCAAGTGGACCCCACATACACCACATGGGTAGTTTATGACAAGCATTGGATTTTTTTAAAAAATGACATTTGCAAATGCCTCTGGGGTTTTACACTGTATACAATAAATTGTCTGACTAACCAAGGTTATTTCTAGTACCAAGATAGATGTTTAAAAAATGTTTCTAAGAAAGACATTTGTAATGAAGCAGGGCATGGCAGGGCATGGCAGGGCAATGGAGAAAGCAAGAGTTGATATGAATGGCATCATATACATTTTTTACCAAAGATTTTTAGCTACAAAAACAAACATTCACTGTAAAAAATTTTGATTGTAGAGAAAAATAAAATGAAGAAAAAATATCTGCAGTCTCACCAACCAAAGAAAAGCAGTGTTCAGCAAACTCTTATCCTCCAAATTTCTAAAGCCATGAACGCTATAAAACCTGATCACTTACGTTAAGCTTTTGAACATTCTTCAGTTCCAAATATCTAAGTGGTAACAACACATTTTCCTTTTTCAATCTACAACATATTACAGCAGACAAAGAAAAAGATGATGGAAGCATTCATGTTTGAGGTTTCTCAATTATATTTTGGATATGAAGTAGGGATGAATGGGGGGCTGGGAGTGTCATTATGGATCTATTAGCATTCTACCAACAGAAATATTTGCTCCTGCCTACAGCAAGGACTCCAGTGCTATGTGTGGAGGCTTTGATCTTGCGTCCCACTCCAGCATATGGTGTTACTAAGCATAATCAAAGTGCAAATCTTCATAGAAAATTACAGAGACTGAAAAGGGGATGGATGCTTCCTTCCTCTGATTTCCTTTCCTGCCATGTTCCTGGTTTTAAGTAAAAGAAGATTTGGCCTTTTGATGAAATCTGCAAACACTTTTAGGGTATTTACACTGTATAGAGTCAATTATTTAACTGTCCAAGATTGTTTTCATTACTGAGACTGACAGAACGTTTCTTGCCAGGATAAAGCCCCAGTTTTCGGCAGCATGGGTCTAAAGCTGCCTCCCTTATTTGGGCCCTATACAGTGACATTAGAATAAGGAGACATCTGCAGCTCTAGGGGAGGGAAGGAAGGACCCATGCACCATCCAGGTTTGGATAATAAATATTTGAAAATTTACAGGATGAGTTGCTAATCGTTTTTGTTGTTGTTTTGTTTTTTTGAGATGGAGTCTCGCTCTGTCTCCCAGGCTGGAGTGCAATGGTGTGATCTCGTCTCACTGCAACCTCCACTTCCTGGGTTCAAGCGATTCTCCTGCCTCAGCCTCCCGAGTAGTGGGATTACAGGTGCTCGCCACCACGCCCAGCTAATTTTTTTGTATTTTTAGTAGAGACAGGGTTTTGCCATGTTGGTCAGGCTGGTCTCAAACTCCTGACCTCAGGTGATCCGTCCCCCTCGGCCTCCCAAAGTGCTGAGATTACAGGCATGAGCCACCACGCCCGGCCGAATTGCTTATCTGTTAAGCTGATACTCTTCAAAAGAGATAGAGGTGACCTCCTACAAACAGTTTTAAGCCATTAATTATAACAATTCAGATCAAGTTGTGAAACAATAGAACTTTTAAAGAATTAAATTCCCTTTGAGTATATGTCAGCTCCCTGAAGACAGTGGGATACCATTTCTGATTTATAAATTGAAAATAAAACTCACGCTTTTGTCAAAGTTAATCATCTTCACCCTCTCAACGTGCTATTGTTGAGTATGAATGACTGTGATGAACTTGGGCCCAGAGACGTAGGCCCCAGGCAAGTTTACAATTTGGAAGCATTTGGACCCAAGAAGCCTCTGTGTGTTGTTTCTCATGGTTACTGATTATTGTGCCCAAGCTTCATGCAAATTGTTTTAAATAACATCATTACGAAGAAAAAAGTGTTACATCTAAAGCACCATTCAGAAATTTGAATCAAGTACAGGTGAGTCCACCTGAAGCTGCTGGACACTGGCACAGCAGGGCTGGTTGTTCCTGGCTGTTGTCTTTCCTGACCAGTCAGTGCCCAAACCTGACTAGCCAGTGCCCTTGCTGTACCAGTTGTTAAATATTTTGAATATCACACAGAACTGGCCCCACTGGTTGTACATACAGGCAGATATCAATGGGGAGCCTGCTGAGGCTCATCTGTTTCTGTCGTGGTCTGCACTCTCCCATTACACTGGTGGATCATTCCAGAAGTTAGCTAACCTCTCTAGCTCTTAGCATCCTCTCCTCCAAACTGGGGATATGAATAATCCTCACCTAATTCTCTCCTGAGATTTAGATGGATGTTAAAACCAGATATTAGACAGGAAAACTTATTAAAATTTAAAAAATAATTTTGAAGAAATACATAGTATTTGTATACCATTTAGAAAATAACAAAAAGTAGAATGAAAACATGTATTTTCTCGCCACCTAAAGACGGTAACTGTTAACATTTTTATTTTGTTTCTTTTCCTTATCTTTACTAAAACTTTGACAATTCAACAACAGTTGCTGAGCACCACAAAAATGAAATAAAACAAGGCTATTGCCCTTCCAGTTTCGTGGGGATATAAATGGCTAAATAAATGTTATTAGTGTCATGTGGAGAAGGCCCAATAAAAGAATAGTGGCAAGTGGTATCATAAAATACAATTACCGTTCTGGTTCCCAGACAGGACAAATATTTCAGTACTTAAGAGATACATTTGTACCTACAGCATCTCCTAAGGCTACTGACTCAATTTCATTTTAAGGGAAGACAACATTATATTACTGCTATAAAATTTCAGTTACATGTAAACAAACTCCATACTGTAACCATAAACAACATTTGGATCTGCCTTACTCCCTAAGTCATTATACTCATTCCACATCTGCCTTGCCCTTTTGGCTTGCCAGAAGTGCCTACAGTTCACTGTAGTTCTTGCAGATCCACAGTCTGTTTATATGTTGGTTTCAAACAATCAGGTTTCTTTGAACTGATGGATAAGGATTTTCCTTGGACGTAAAAATCCAGAGTGTTGGAACAGTCACTTTGTAAATGGCCTGAGACACATACACATGTTCGCTTTCCACAGAGGTTTTCGTTCTTCCTTATTTTCCTCTCGAAAAATAATTGCTATTATAGCATATTATTCTCATTGTATTACCCTAGGATGGTACTATCCTTCCGGATTATTGGCTTTTGTACATTCATCTTCCCAGCCATGCTGAGCTCTCTGAAGGCACCGGCTTTGTCTTATTCCTCTTTCTATCGTCAGCCTCCCAGCAAAGGAGATACTGAAATGTCTCAGTAAGCCCTTACAAATTCTAGTTTAGCAGTTCCTAAGCTTGGGTCTTCACCAGGCAATACCTGGTAACGTGCTAAATAAAATCTCTAGGCTCTATTCTGAAGGTTCCAAATCTGATTTTCTGGGGGTGGGGCTAGGATCCTATATTTTTAAAGAGCTCTCTGTAAAATGAAGACAATAATCATTTCTACCCCACCAGGTAGTTATGGAAGTAAATGAGTTATTTTATGTAGAGTGCTTAGATCACTGCCTGGCCCTCACTAAGCACTACATAAGTGCCGGTTATTATTATATTATTATTGTTGTTACATGATCAGCCAGTCATAAATAGGTGTTTTGAAGCACTGTCTATTGGTTTTCTCAAACTTGAGTGTGCATAAAAATCATCTGGTAGCTTACAAATGCAGATGCCACAGCTTTGCTGCCCAGAGATTCTGATTTAATAAGGCTCGTACCTAGCCAGGGACCTGCATTCCTGTATTTCCCAGGAAATGGAGAATTGGTGGATATTCTGTAAACCAGTGGGTATCTCATTCGCATTCCTGATCCCGAGGACAATAAACTTGTCTCTCAGGCTGGGGCTAAGATGCAGCTCATAGAGAGAAAGACAACTTTGGGGGGCATTTGATAATATGCCAGCTAATCACTGGGGAGTCTCCTGTTTCCTACTTCGTCTGTGTCAGGGGCCACACTGCCTGTCTGGGTTTGGCTCCCATGAGAGGAGGAGACTGCTACCATTCCTGCAGGCTGCCTGAGTAAGCTCCAGGATGCTGCTCCAGCAGAAGTGGGCTGGCTCCACCTCCTCGCACCCCCTGCAGCCAGACCTCTCCTCCCCCTTACCCATCCCGCACTAGGGCACTGCCTGACCAACTCCTGCCAGCTCCAGGAGCTGCTGAAGACATGGCCTGGAATCCTTCATACCTCTGTAGCTGAAGTTCAAGGGAACCACAGGTTGCTTGGGAAGACACAGGTGCACAACCGTGGCAAGCCTGAGAAGATTCCATGCCTGGGCAAGACCCCTGAGAGCCCTTACGCCACATGTATGTGCCATGGACCCAGCCCAAACGCATTTGTGCTTCTGACCTCTGAAACTACCCTGCAGTGCACTTGAGATTTAAAGTGCAAGCTTTCCAAAAGTGAAATGACAAAGCTCTTGTCTTCTCTCATGAATGGCATTCCTTCCTGGATTTCCAGTTGTGATTATGCAAATTATACACTTAAGTGTAACCAATACTTGAATCTCCTAGAACCTGATCAAGTGGGGATCCATCCATTAACAAAGACATTACATAGTTAAGAGACATTCATTTACCTAGAGACAATAGTGTCCTTGCTTTTACTAAAAAGTATTGCTTTTTATAGAAAATTAAGCACAGCCTATGTTATAATAAAGTAGAACTTACATTTCTAAAAACCGCTTTCCAGCCAGGCGTGGTAGCTCACGCCTATAATCCTGGCACCTTGGGAGGCCGAGGGGGGTGGATCACCTGAGGTCAGGAGTTTGAGACCAGCCTGACTAACATGGTGAAACTCTCTCTCTACTAAAAATACAAAAATTAGCTAGGTGTGGTGGTGCACGCCTGTAATTCCAGCTACTCAGGAGGCTTGAGGCAGGAGAATTGCTTGAACCTGGGAGGCAGAGATTGCAGTGAGGAAAAAAACAAAACAAAACAAAAAACCCACTTTCCTTCAAACTCCTGATTTTTTTCTTCTTGTACTTTCTAAAATCAAAGTACATTTACTTTCTCCCCTCCAAAAACAGCTGCATATAGACAGGCCTGTCTTCAAAATTTGAGAAGCCCAGGATTAGAGTGTGAAAGGTCACTCACTGGCCCACGGCTGTCCTTCCCAGCTCTGGCTCCTGCATTATGAGGGGTCTTCTGGGGGCCTGCCAGTGGAAACTCCAGCCTGCATCTCCAGATTCTTTTTTGCATAGCTGCCCCCTTGGTCTTCCCTTGGCCCTAGGAGTATACACACTTGTGGCATGACTGGCCACTAGGAAAACAGATGTGAAGGCAGCCTATATATACTTAGGCAGTTACACAGGGAATTCCAGGGTCTAGAGAACTCTGAGTAGGAAGCGGGGTATGGGTGTGCACATCTCCTTTGAGGCCTGAAATCCTGCTCTTATTGGAAGGTGCACAACCAGAGGAGGACTGGAACACAGCCCTGTAAAGCACAAGGTCCACAGACAGCGCCCACATTGGCCTGGTTGAGGAGATGCATTCACAGTATCTACAAGATGCCTATGTGCGTGGTATAGCTGAATGCCTCAGTCTGGATGCTCTATCCACACATCTCACACCTATTGCTGTCACAGATTTCAAGGACCTAGAAGGCAAGAACTAGGAAGACAACATTTTTTTTGTATAGCACCTACTTTGTTTATTTAGGCAGAGATTCCTCTTGAGGTTGTAGTGCAAATATGATTACATCAGCTACCTGCTGAAATCCTTAAAGGGGAATAAAGGAATATTTATTTCAAGTCACTGTATAAGCTAGGGTGTATGATACTGTTAAAGAATAAGTTAATAAAGCTCACCCTAAATATGCAGACAGAAGATGTGGAGGTTTCTAAATCCCTCCTTGCATGTGTCCCCAGGCTTCTCCTCCTTGAGCGTCTGCTCACCTTCCTCTAGGTAATACCACTCACCCCTCAAACTCAGCACAGGTTTCCCCTCTTCTAGACGCCTTCCTCACACTCTCAGGCCAGGTGCTGCTCCTCAGGACTATCACAGCTCCACCCCTCAGCGCTCATCTCCTGGAATTATCATTGACTCACCTCCCTGCAAAGCCAAGGTCCCTGCTCACCCACGAAGTCACCACTGACTACCCTGCCAACGATCTCATCTTTCTCTAAATTCAGAACTTCCCTCTATCACTTGACTATATTAATTGCTAAATGGGGCAATTACTGTGAAACATAGAATTATTAAAAATCATTTGTCACCCTGTGTGGTGTGGCTCATACCTGTAATCCTAGCACTTTGGGAGGCCAAGGTGGGAGGATCGCTTGAGACCAGGAGTTCGATGCCAGCCTGGCAACATGGCAAAACTCCCCCTTTATAAAAAATACAAAAATTAGCTGGTCATTGTGACAAGGGCCTGTTAGTCCCAGCTATTAGGGAAGCTGAGGTGGGCAGATCACTTGAGCCCTGGAGGTCATGGCTGCATTGAACGGAGATTATGCCACTGCACTCCAGCCTGGGCAACAGAGTGAGATCCCACCTCAAAAAAAATAATTTTTGTTTTTGTGGTGTTCTCTATTACTGCCTTATATTATTATCTAACCTTTCAATGCATTCATTGCCCTTCCCACTAGATTGTCATTGTCTTCAGGTGAGGATCTGTATCTTTCCTTTAATTTTCCACATTGTTGCAGAGTACGTCCTCAAAACTTACGTTTTCTCAACACCTTGGATAGGGGAAGGGCCCTTATTTTTTAGCAAGATGGTTTATATAAAGAAACAATAATTAATAATTAACAACTCCTCCTTGTGTATTCTCATTCTCAGCAGGGGCTGATCCCAAAGGAGCCGTTGATTAAATGCTCCATTCCCTAGAGATAATAAATAATAATGCTTCCCCAACTGAGCCAGGCCTGAACATTTTTGGGCCTAAAGACTTTGAAGATCACTGCAAGTCCAGGCGTAAAGCAGGAGGGCCCTGCAAGGAACGTTTACCTTAGGATCTGTGAAGGTTATTATGTATGTGCACACGAGCAGAGCCTACCCCAGGGGCTCTATTACTGTAGGAGAGTTAATGCGACTGAATCACCAAAATGTGGCAGAGACACTTTCATGTTGGCAGAACCAGTTCTGTGATTTCTTCATGTTCTAGCCCACAGCAGGATGGAGTAAATACTCCCTTCAGACACCTAAAAGGGGGTGGTGCCTCTCCTCAGCTACTAGTCCAACGACGTCAAAACCCAAGCAGCAACTGTCAGACTGGGTTCACCTACCCCCTTCTGATGGCCTTCTGCAGGCAACCTTGTGCTCCCCCAAACTTCCTGTAGAATGCTGGCGGACTCCGTGCTGCCCAAACTTCCCGCAGGGTGGCACCTGGAAGAGCAAGTGACTTAACAACGAGGAAGGCCAGGCGCGCTCCCACTGCTCAGAAGCGGCTGGTGTACTCGTCTAAAATAAAAAGGTCTCTGTCTGCAAATCCCGTTTGCTAGCCCGGTAATCCTCCCCCGCCCCCGGCCTAGCGTGTCCGGCCCGTACAGCTGTTTTTAATCCCTACTTTTCTCACTTGGCATCCCGGGCCCGGGCTGACCAGACGCGGAGCCACTTAGTGTTTCCTCCTCCCCCTGCCGGGGTCTGTCCTCCCTCTGCCGTCTCCTCTTTCTCCGCCTGCGTCCCCGCGGGCAGAGTGTGGGAAGAACGAATTTCCGCCCCGTTTGCTCTCCGCTCGCAGACTTGGGTCCCTTCCGGACGCAGCCCGCGTGCTCCCCGAGCTATTGCACTGGAGCCGCCCTCCCCGTCCGGGACCGCGAGCGAGAAGGTGCCGTCTGCGGGGGCCGAGCAGCCGGGGCTCTGCTGCCAAGCCGCGCCCCGCGAAGCTCTTGGAACGGCTCCCGCCTGCAGCTGGGGAATCCACTCGGCTGGGAGAATCCGCGCCAGGGAATCCAGCTCTCCGGACTCAGCTGCAAACAAAAAGCGCCGGGTCTTGCTCCCTCCTCCCGCCCGCCGACGCGCACCCGGAGAAACAGTTTTATACAGAAATGCAACAAGTAGTACCCGGGGTCTGCAGAGCGCCCCGCGCCGCCTGACTTGGCCGGGCGAAGCCCGCCTGCAGAGACCCGGGCCGGCCTCCGGACAAAGGACGGAGGAGGGGCTGGACGGCGCTGCGAAGTCCGAAAGAGGCCATTTAGCGACTCTGGCCAGGCTAAGGGGAATGCAGAGGAGACACAGAGCCGGCGGGCCAAGAGGACGATCCGGCCGCTGCACGCAGGGCGGGAGGCGATGGAGGCTGCCCGCGCCTTGCGCCTCCTGCTCGTGGTGTGCGGCTGCCTCGCGCTCCCGCCGCTGGCCGAGCCCGTGTGCCCGGAGCGCTGCGACTGCCAGCATCCCCAGCATCTCCTGTGCACCAACAGGGGGCTCCGCGTAGTGCCCAAGACCAGCTCGCTGCCGAGCCCCCACGACGTGCTCACCTACAGCCTCGGCGGCAACTTCATAACCAACATCACGGCCTTCGACTTCCACCGTCTGGGGCAGCTCAGACGGCTGGACCTGCAGTACAACCAGATCCGCTCTCTGCACCCCAAGACCTTCGAGAAGCTCTCGCGGCTGGAAGAGCTGTACCTGGGGAACAACCTCTTGCAGGCGCTCGCCCCGGGCACGCTGGCCCCGCTGCGCAAGCTGCGCATCCTCTACGCCAACGGGAACGAGATCAGCCGCCTAAGCCGCGGCTCCTTCGAGGGCCTGGAGAGTCTAGTCAAGCTGCGGCTGGACGGGAACGCCCTGGGGGCGCTGCCGGACGCGGTCTTCGCTCCCTTGGGCAACCTGCTCTACCTACATCTGGAGTCCAACCGGATCCGCTTTCTGGGCAAGAACGCCTTCGCCCAGCTAGGCAAGCTGCGCTTCCTCAACCTCTCTGCCAACGAGCTACAGCCCTCCCTGCGCCACGCGGCCACCTTCGCACCGCTGCGCTCCCTCTCCTCCCTCATCCTCTCGGCCAACAACCTGCAGCACCTCGGGCCGCGCATCTTCCAGCACCTGCCACGTCTCGGCCTGCTCTCGCTCAGGGGCAACCAGCTCACGCACCTCGCGCCTGAGGCCTTTTGGGGCTTGGAGGCCCTGCGCGAGCTGCGCCTGGAGGGTAATCGGCTGAGCCAGCTGCCAACTGCGCTGCTGGAGCCTCTGCACAGCCTGGAGGCGCTGGACCTGAGCGGCAATGAGCTGTCCGCCCTGCACCCGGCCACCTTCGGCCACCTGGGCCGGCTGCGCGAGCTCAGCCTGCGCAACAACGCGCTCAGCGCCCTATCCGGGGACATCTTCGCCGCCAGCCCAGCCCTTTATCGGCTGGATCTAGACGGCAACGGCTGGACCTGCGACTGCCGGCTGCGAGGCCTGAAGCGCTGGATGGGCGACTGGCACTCGCAGGGCCGGCTCCTCACTGTCTTCGTGCAGTGTCGCCACCCCCCGGCCCTGCGAGGCAAATACCTGGATTACCTGGATGACCAGCAGCTGCAAAATGGATCCTGCGCGGATCCCTCGCCCTCAGCTTCCCTGACCGCTGACCGCAGGCGGCAGCCCCTACCCACGGCCGCAGGGGAGGAGATGACGCCACCTGCAGGTCTCGCGGAGGAGCTGCCGCCGCAGCCGCAGCTCCAGCAGCAGGGGCGATTTCTAGCTGGGGTGGCCTGGGATGGGGCCGCCAGGGAGCTGGTAGGCAACCGCAGCGCCCTAAGGCTGAGTCGGCGGGGCCCGGGCCTCCAGCAGCCCAGCCCCTCCGTCGCTGCCGCCGCGGGCCCGGCTCCACAGTCCCTAGACCTGCACAAGAAGCCCCAGCGGGGCCGTCCGACTCGGGCAGATCCCGCCCTCGCGGAGCCCACCCCAACGGCCTCTCCTGGCTCTGCGCCATCGCCCGCCGGCGACCCCTGGCAGCGCGCGACGAAGCATCGTCTGGGCACGGAGCACCAGGAGCGTGCCGCCCAGTCCGACGGTGGGGCCGGGCTGCCGCCGCTGGTGTCCGACCCATGCGACTTCAACAAGTTCATTCTGTGCAACCTGACGGTGGAGGCGGTGGGCGCAGACAGCGCCTCGGTGCGCTGGGCCGTGCGCGAGCACCGCAGTCCCCGGCCGCTGGGCGGCGCGCGCTTCCGCCTGCTCTTTGACCGCTTTGGCCAGCAGCCCAAGTTCCACCGCTTCGTCTACCTGCCTGAGAGCAGCGACTCGGCCACGCTGCGCGAGCTGCGCGGGGACACCCCCTACCTGGTGTGCGTGGAGGGCGTGCTTGGGGGCCGTGTCTGCCCTGTGGCTCCCCGGGACCACTGCGCGGGGCTGGTCACCCTACCGGAGGCCGGGAGCCGGGGCGGCGTCGACTACCAGCTGCTGACCTTGGCCCTGCTGACGGTCAACGCGCTGCTGGTGCTCCTGGCCTTGGCGGCCTGGGCGTCTCGCTGGCTGCGTAGGAAACTGCGGGCTAGGCGGAAGGGCGGGGCCCCGGTCCACGTTCGGCACATGTACTCCACCCGACGGCCCCTGCGCTCCATGGGCACCGGCGTGTCCGCCGACTTCTCGGGATTCCAGTCGCACCGGCCACGCACCACCGTGTGCGCGCTCAGTGAGGCGGACCTCATCGAATTCCCCTGCGACCGCTTCATGGACAGTGCGGGCGGCGGCGCGGGCGGCAGCCTGAGACGGGAGGACCGTCTCCTGCAGCGATTTGCCGACTAGGTCCAGGGCATATAGAGACCATCTCATTGGCCCTAAGGAGCCGCCTCTCCGTGAGGCCCACCAGCCCACCTCAGGGGAAGTGCCGTTTTGTGCACTTGCCAGAGAGGCCGGTGGGGACAGAGGGCCAATTCGGGCACCATCCCCCAATTCCCAATACTCGAGAAGTAAATGGATGGTACTTGGTGGTCAGAGCCAGAGTAGGGGACAAATGGATGGTGGGATGCTGAGGTCGGAGGCTTCGCTTGGAGGCTTTGACACAGCTATGCGAATGGCTTTTGTAGCACTGCAATGCAGAAGCCAGGCTTTGGGGGTAGAAAGGGGGTGCTTGTGCCCCCAACATGGCCAGAAATATTTGGGTGCATGCTTTTTGTTTGCTCAGTGTCAAACAGAGAAGTTTTGTTTCTATTTAAGGAAGGAACTTATTACCATTACAAAGGAGGCTTGGCCAGGGACTCCACTGGTTTGGTGATCTCTGCCAAGAAGGGGGATGTAAACAGGTGGTAAAGTTTAACATACCCGCCAAGGAACTCGTTTATGTTGGCTGATAGAGCATTCAGGATACCTTAAAGTTTAATAAGAGACGCATTTTTTTTTTTCAAAAATGTGAAAAGCTCTGACATTTAACGAACTGACCAATAGACTCAAGGACTGTTTTAGTTGGACTGGGCCATTTTATTATGTTCCTTTTAATATTAACAGTACAAGAGCGCTTGCTGACTTCGAGGATAACTAAGATTACATACTTTCTCAGGAGAAGGCTGCATGCAAGACTTCTCTGTCAGGGTTGCTCCTGTGGCTTTTTTAATTTTATTTTTTTAAACCTATATATGGAAAAGGAAATTTCAATGCCAGATTTGATAAAAGAATGTGATGTATATGTAGCTGATGACCCACTGGGGAACACCAGTGTTCCAGTTCACTTACCACATCTGTGACAGTGTGTTTAGATTGGAATAAATGTGATGCATTACTTCTTATGTTTTTATCAGTGACATGGTTGACTGTGCCCTAATTCTCTTGAGTTGCAGTTAAGCAATGAAGGTTATTTCCTAATAGGGAAGCAAAAGGTGATTGTCAATTGATAGTTTAATGTTTGACCACATTAGTGTCTTTATATGAAATAGTAGAGGGGAAGAAATTATAGAAAACAAATGTGAAAAAAATACACCAGTGGGTATCTGTTCTACTAAAACCAGAAGATTGTTATGAGTACTTAAACCTCACTGTGAAATAATGATATATTTTGCAATTAATCCCTCCCCAACTGAGTGTCTTACTGTGTTATTAAATCTTATCTTTTAGTTAATAGTTGCAGTATTTCTTTTAAATGTTTTTGTTTTAAACTTAGGGGTAGGATCCTTTATTTGTTCAGTTGTTTCCAACTATTTGGGATACTTTCATTCCCTGCTATTTATGAAGTACATGTTTATCACTAAGTGTAGTGGTTTGGTTTACATTAATAATTTTATGTGTGGTCTAAAAATGCAGTCACTAAGAGAATGTACACTGTGGTTATGGTCACAGTGGTTATGGATTTATTGGCAGTGGAGTACCATGGAGGTCACTGCAATGGTGCTAAGGCTGACAGTGGAATCTTCTGTTTAGGGCCTTAAGCCCCTGAGGGTCCTGGTGACTCAGGGAATCCATCACAGCCCCGGGTCTTTCACCCCAGTTCACTCCTTTTATGTTTGGCCTAGATTGACCCATGCCTGCCCTCTTCTCAACAGCTGAGTAGGGAACCAGCCATCTGAATGAGCTGATCGTTGTTTATGTTCAAATGAGTAAATGTCCAGACCACTTAAAACTACAGCTGCTTTTCTGGCAGTCTCGTCTGCGGGGCCAAAACTTAATAAACCACAGGAAATAGACTGTCATTCTTAGTTTGCTGCCAGGGCTTATTTTAGATTGAGAGCATACTGGTACATGAGAGCAGTAGTGTTGTTTGCTCTTATTTTCAACCAGGGAGCTATCTGGCACCTTTTGTGCTCCTGGCTTTTTTCAATCATAGCACTATTGCATCTCCTAGCTATTTCTTTTGCCCAGCAGGGTAATATTGAGTCCCATTGCAAGTATGGACAAGGCCTCTGGTTCTCCTCACCACCCACCTTTTCAGCCATAGAACATCACTGAAAATGCCTAATGCCTGGATCTGTGTTCTACTTTAGTTTCACTGGGAAGTCTTTCAGTGGGAGATGAATAAATGTTATACATTGTTATGTCCAGTTATGTCAATAAACCCACTAATAGAGATAATTTGTTGGAGTTTCCAAATATTTTATACACTTTCATAATGACACAATGCAGTTCCCATTTATGGAAATGAAACATAAGCTTGATGTCTTTCTGTCCTTTTTAATGTTTTTTATTTCCGTTTTCATAGGTGAGTATGGACTTTAAGAAAAGGATGTGTGATGTTATGTGCAAAGAAACAATGAAATGGCTCTAAAAGCAGATGGTCAGCCACAGCATGAAAGTGCTGTTGGACACCAGTGACATCAAGGTGCAGGTGATCGGGTCTCAGCAGGCATTGCCTGTTTAAAGGAAACTGATGAAAAGTCAAGCCCTTTGGCTCTCATGGTCAAAAATATGAAGGAATTATCTTGAGCTGGAAGTAATTTTTGATTTTTGTCACTACACAGCTTATGAAAAGATAACATTCCTAAGGAAAAAAGAATAAACTTGGTATGAGTTAGGAGTATTCAGTGAAAGAGCCACTGGCCAGTCTGTAATGTTGTGGGACCTTCAGGTCAACCAATGGGATTACTGCTTCCATAATGCAGGGGATTTTGCAGGGCTACCAGGTAATAAATAATTAGCATGTGATCAGAACACCTTCACTAAATTGTCACACACCTGATTGTCACCAAAACTACAGCAACATATATGAAACCATTAAAAGAGAGAACTGAATTGCCTGTTATTTGTGTTTAAGCACTCCCTCCTGTTCTTATAAGACTGGAAGGTAAATGGTGATGAAGCATATTAGTGCTAGAAGTTTATTCCCAATTCCAGACCATGGCCTAGTATCAATATTGTCACCATCCTCAGAAAGTATAGCATCATGAAAGTTGGGAATGATGGTAAGGAAGTGATGAAGGCACTTAGTCATTAGAGGGTTGCATTCATTCTTTTTACCTAATTTCTACCTCAGCTTCCTCATCAGTTAAAATGAGCAGCCTAAGAATCCTGATTGCATAGTGCTATTGTGAGGCATAAATGGGTAAGTAGCATTCAACAACGCCAGATACACCACAGATGTTCAGTAAATATGAGATGTAGCAGTGGTAGTAGTATTTACACAGGGCAACAAATTGTTTGATTAAGAAGTTTCAGACACAAGGCATTTCTGCTTAAGCCATAACCAATCAGAGGATTCAGGTAATGGAATTATGGTAACCCTTCTCCTCCTCTTTTTCTAGTTAATTGAAACATTTGTGTAATTCTTTTGAAAAGTGTCTGTGCATGTCCTTTGCCCACTTTTTAATGGGGTTGTTTGTTTTTCTCTTATAAATTTAAGTTCCTTACAGATGCTTTGTCAGATGCACAGTTTGCAAATATTTTCTCCCATTCAATGGTAGCTTGTCTGTTGACTCTGTTGATAGTTTCTTTTGCTGTACAGCAGCTCTTAAGTTTAATTAGATCCCATTTGTCAATTTTTGCTTTTGTTGCCGTTGTTTTTGGTGTCTTTGTCATGAAATCTGTGCCCACGCCTATGTATGGGATGGTATTGCTTAGGTTATCTTCCAGCATTTTATAGTTTTGGGTTTTACATCTCAGTCTTCAATCCATCTTGAGTAGATTTTTATGTATGGCATAAGGAAGGGGTCCAGTTTCAATCTTCTGCATATGGCTGCCTGGTTATCCCAGCACCATTTATTGAATAGGGAGTCTTTCCCCCCTTGCTTGTTTTTGTCAGCTTTGTCAAAGATCAGATAGTTGTAGATGTGCAGCCTTATTTCTTAGCTCTCTATTCTGTTCCATTAGTCTATGTGCCCTTTGTTGTACCAGTGCCATGCTGTTTTGGTTACTGTAGCCTCGCATAGTGCAAAGTCGGGTAACGTGATGCCTCCACCTTGGTTCTTTTTGCTTAGGATTGCCTTGGCAATTTGCCTTCCCATTAACTTATAGATAGTATCTTCAAGTGTCCCTTTATTTAGTTTACTTAAAACAATACTTTGCATGCACAAATACTTTTTTTCCTAGGGATTTCAAGTCACTTCATCCTTTTCAGTCATGTGGCAAATAGTATTCTTTTCATTTTGCATGGGGAGACTGAGGTATTTGGAGATTATGCTTAACTATTTTAATTACTGAAATAATTAGGAAAGAACGTATAGTTTCCTGATACCTGCTTGCTTTATCTTAGGGCAGAGTATCTAAATATTCCATTACAACTGTTGGAAAGATTTTTAAGTTACAGGTGGTGAGATTTCTAATTGACACAGAACTGTGAGTGGCTTTATAACTTGGCTGTGAAATGGTATCAGATGCTAGAGGGAAATAAATTGTCATGCCCCAGTATTTCAAGCAACAGCATCTTTCAACTATGTAAATCCACAAAATTTCTTTCAAACTAATGAAAGCTTTATAATGCTAGCTCTGTGCCATAGTTAATGCCGACAGGACAGCCCTGTTGCATATTAAGACCAGCTGTGGCCATGTAGCAGGCTTCAGTTTACCAAATTACAGTTTTTTTGGTTAAGTAATTCTTACCCCACAGCTGATTTCACACTCGGCTCTTAGTATATGGGTACTGAAGTGTGTGGAAACACACTTTGAATGGTGGCCTCCATCCTCTTATTCCGTTCTCTCCTAACTCTTGTGTCCTTCTAAGGATTGTTACTTTAGGAAATTAAAATAATTACAAATTAAAACAAATACCCATATTAGCACCACTCAGTAATAGTTAACATTTTGTAATGTTTGTTTTCAGTCTTAAATGTCTCTATTGACAAATACCTTTGGTTTCCTTCTCCACACCTTGTCCTCAAAGCCAACTACCATTGTGACTTGGATGTGTTTCCTTCTAGTCCATGTTGAAATGCAGTTGATTCTTTTATTCACAGTAAAGTCACCACAAACACTGGATTCATGAATGCTGAACCATTGCTCCTAGGGGAAATACAGCACTGGGTTCCTGCAAGCCTCTGGTCACATTTTCATCAATCAATATGTAACCTTAATTTATGTATGTTTCTATTTAAAGACACCTTATGTGGTATATATTGTTGGCTAGATGTGGTAACTCACACCTATAATCCCAGCACTTTGGGAGGCTGAGGCAAGAGGATTGCTTGAGCCCAGGAGTCTGAGACCAGCCTGGCAATATAGTGAGATCCCATCTCTATAAAAAATAAAAAATTAGCCGTGCATGGTGGCATGTGCTTGTAATCCTAGCTACCCAGGAGGCTGAGGTGGGAGAATCGTTCGAGCCTGGGAGGTTGAGACTGCAGTGAAGTATGATGGTGCCACTGCACTCCAGCCTGGGTGACAGAGTGAGACCCTCTCTCTCTCACACACACACGTGTGTGTGTGTGTGTGCACGCGTGCGTAGTTGGTTCACTGACACTGAACTCAGCCAACAGCACTATGACTCATGCCTGAATGGAGCTTATCTAACATGCATATTTTCTCCATAAGACACAGCTTCCTGCGCTTGGGAAGCTAACAGCACTTCGGCACTATGCTTGGGGAACCCTTTAAACAGCAAAGTCACCAGCAAAAAGCACAAAAATGGGGAAAACGTGGCATTAAATAGACTAGGAAAAGGACTCTTGTTAACAGCATGAGAGCTGAAACAAAAAGGCAGAACATCACCTTGTTCAGCCTCAGCTGGGAACCTGAATGGCAGCTCAGATTTTTCGCTGCCCTAAGCATGTCAGCGAATGACCATGACAGTGCTATGGAGTGTTGATTCTAGGGTCACAAACAAATTTTGGTGAGAAAATGAATTCACAGATACATAATCCGAGACTCAGGAAGGTCAGCTGTACTTTTTTTTTTTTTTTTGAGACGGTGTCTCACTCTCGCCCAGGCTGGAGTGCAGTGGCGCGATCTCGGCTCACTGCAAGCTCAGTCTCCCGGGTTCACGCCATTCTCCCGCCTCAGCCTCCCGAGCAGCTGGGACCACAGGCGCCCGCCACTGCGCCCGGCTAATGTTTTGTATTTTTTAGTAGAGACGGGGTTCACCATGATCTTGGTCTCCTGACCTCGTGATCTGCCCGCCTCGGCCTCCCAAAGTGCTGGGATTACAGGCGTGAGCCACTGCGCCCCGCCGGTCAGCTGTACCTTTTATCCTCCCAGCTGCTTCTGCTGTGCCCCTTACCCCTATTCCTTTTCTTTTTTATTTTTCTTTTTGAGATGGAATCTTGCTCTGTCACCCAGGCTGGAGTGCAGTGGTGCCATCTCGCTCATTGCAACCTCCGCCTCCCAGGTTCAAGCAATTTTCCTGCCTCAGCCTCCCGAGTAGCTGGGATTACAGGCGTGCGCCACCACGCCCGGCCAATTTTTGTATTTTTAGTAGAGACGGGGTTTCACCCTGTTGGTCAGGCTGGTCTCGAAATCCTGACCTCAGGTGATCCGCCTGCCATGGCCTCCCAAAGTGTTGGGATTACAGGCGCGAGCCACTGCACCCGGCCGCCTTTTCTAGATGCCATAAATTACCTTTTTTTTTGTTTTTAAAACCCCGTGAGTAATCTTGTCTTTTAAATTGGTAACCACACCTACTTTGGGATTGTTTGATATTTTCTAGTGATGCGCCTATGAGTTTTGTTCCCTTGCTACGTGTGCACAATTTTTAAAAAATTAATAGATTTATTTATTTTTATTTATTTATTTATTTATTTTGGAGACAGAGTCTCGCTCTGCCACCCAGGCTGGAGTGCAGTGGTGTGATCTCGGCTCACTGCAACTTCTGCCTCTCGGCTTCAAGCGATTCTTCTGCCTCAGCCTCCCAAGTAGCTGGGATTACAGGCGTGTGCACAGTTATTATTTCTTCTTTGGGGGTGCTTACCAGACATTAAAAATGCAGCTACTCTTGTGTCCTTTCTCCCCTCTACCCACTTACCATTCCCCATTTGTCAGGAAGGGCTCCACAGATGAGAACGGCTAAGTATATCCCCTGACCGCCATCTGGCCCGGGCTCACCCTTCAGAAGGTGTCAGTCCCTGTATCCCTTTTATTTGGAAAGGCTCTTTGACATTCTTTTACTCTAAGGCATTCTTTTACTTGCCAAGGAAAAGGGTGACCGGCTCTGAGAAGAACGTAGTTTGCTTCTTGGAAGCTCTTATTTATGTACATTTACTGCCTTCACACTCATTATTTGGTGACATGGTTGTTGTTGTTTTTTTTCTATTTCTTTTTTAACTTCTGAAAACACACACACACACACACACACGGCTTTTTGTTGTTTGTTGTTTTTGCTTTACACATAATTTGACTAAGGCTGTTCTCCTTCCTCCTCTTTGTTAGTATCACAATTATTTCTACTTTCTGTGTCTCGTTTGGTTCTTCTAAAAAACACATAATTTTAAACTTACCAAAAGAGCTGCAAGAAAATTTCAGGAAACTTCTGTATACCCTTGGGCCAGCTTTCCTAATTGTTAATATTTGTCCTGTTTGCTTTCTCATTCTCTCTGTCAACTACTTAAGAATAAACTACAGACATTATAGGTTTTTTTTTTTTACCACTAAATATTTCAGTTGTATTTCTGAAGAATAGGACATTGTCTTACATAACCACAGTACAATTATCAAGATCAGAAAATTTAACCCTGATAAAATGCCATTATCTAATCCACAATCCATATTCAAATCTATCAACTGTCCTAATAACATTCTTTTTAGCTGTTGCCTCCTGGTGCAATCTAGGATCATGCATTAGCTATCATGTAGCCTCTCTTTCCATTTTCTTTGCTTTGATTTTCTTCTTTCCTAAAGTAAGCTATATTGAGGTGTAGTTTACATACAGTAAAATTTACCCCTTTTGAATGTATAGTTCCATCAGTTTTCACAAATGCATACAATCATTTAGCCAGCACCATAATCAAGATATAGACCATTTCCTTTACCACAAACAGTTCATTTGTGCTCCTTTTAGTCAATGCCCTTTCCCATAAATTCAATCCCTGGTGATCTCAGATTTAATTTCTCTCCCTATGGTTTTTCCTTTTCTAGAGTGGCATATACATGGAATCATACAGTATGTAACATTTTGTGTCTGGCTTTTTGAGTAGTATTCCATTGCCTGAACATACCCCACATTGTTTATTCATTCACTGGTTCAAATTGGTTTTAAAAATAGATCCATACCTTATGGTGTGAGATATGGATCAAGCAAGCAAGCAAGATTAATGTTTTTTTGTTTTGGTTTTATTTTTTCCATATGAATATATAGTCATCCAGTACATTTTGTTATATATAAAAGATAACAACCAATTTTTCAGCATTGAATGACCTCTGCAACTTTGTTGAAAACAATCAGTTGGCCCTATATGTGTGTCTATTTCTTGAAACTCTATTCTGGTCCACTGATTCGTATGTCTATTCTTGGTCCAGTACCAAATTGTCTTGATTACATAGGCAGTCTTGAAATCAGGTAGCATAAGTTCTCCAAATTTATTCTTCTTTATCAAAGTTGATTTTGGCCAATTAGCTTTTTGATTCTCCATATAAATTTTATAATTGGCTTGTTATTGCCTGAAGAAAAATGTCTGGTGGGATTGTGATCTTGATAGTATCTTAGTCCATTCAGGCTGCTGTAACAAACTACCATCAACTGAGTGGCTTGCAAACAACAGAATTTTATTTCTCACAGTTCTAGGGGCTGGAGAGTCCAAGACCAAGGCTTGGGCAGATTCAATGTCTGGTAAGGGCCTGCTTCCTAGCAGACAGCTGTCGTCTTGTTCTAACCTCACATGGTGGACAAACCAAAGGAGCTCTCTGGGGCCTCTTTTTATAAGGGTACTAACCCCATTCATGAGGGCTCTCTCTTCATCACCTAATCACCTCCCAAAGGCCCCACCTCCTAAAATACCATCACCTTAGGGGTTAGGATTTCAAGGTATAAATTTGGGGAGGGAGGAGACACAAACATTTAGACTGAGGTAGATTGCATGAAATCTATAAATGAATTGGGAAAGAATTGACATCTTAACTGACTCTTGATCTGTGAATGCAGTGTGTTTTTTAATTTATTTAGTTCTTTGTAATTTATCTGATAAATGTCTTAAAGTGTTCAGCCAACAAATCTTAAATCAAATATTGTTAGCTCTATAAGTATTTCATGATTTTGATGTTATATAATAACATCGAAAGTATACATGGCACTTTTAGAAAAT
This sequence comes from Homo sapiens, assembly GCF_000001405.40. Taxonomy (NCBI): domain Eukaryota; kingdom Metazoa; phylum Chordata; class Mammalia; order Primates; family Hominidae; genus Homo; species Homo sapiens. The sequence continues at coordinate 28,946,272 of NC_000007.14, read as the reverse complement.
TTCAGTTTCCAATTGAACATTTTCTAGTCTATAGAAATAAGTTGGATTTTATACATTGACCATTAAACTTAGTTCTTGTAGTTTTTTGGCACATTCTTTTGAATATTTCATGCATATAATCACATTGTCTGTGATAAAGATAATTTTATTTTTTCATTCCCGTTGGTATGCCCTTTATAAATTTTTCTTGCCTTATTGCACTGGTTAAAAACAGCAACAACTCGGGAGGCTGGGGCAGGAGAATCACTTGAACCCGGGAGGCAGAGGCTGCAGTGAGCCAAGATCACCCCACTGCACTTCAGCCTGGACAACAGAGCAAGACTCCATCTCAAAAAAACAAACAAAAAACCAAAAAAACAGCAACACACTGTTTAATAGCAGTAGTAAGAGAAGGCTTCCTTGCCTCACTGCTAATCTTAGGAGTAAAGCATTCAATCTTTCACATTAAGTATGATATCAGCTCAGTGTTTTCATGATGCCTTTCATCAGATCGAGGAAGTTATAATTTGCTGAGAAGGGATGTTAAATGTTGCCAGTTGCTTTTTCTGCACTATTGAAATGATAGTATGACTTTTCCTCTTTAATCTGTTGATATGGTGAAAATTACATTGATTGATTTTTGAGTTTTGAACCAACCTTGCAACTAAGTGGGACAAATCCCACCTAGTTATGATATATTATCATTTTTATATATTACTGGTTTCAAATTCTTCACATTTTATTAAGGATTTTTGTATTTATGTTCATAATGGATTTGTCTCCAGTTTTCCGTTTTTTTGTAATGTCTGTTTTTGGTTTTGGTTTCAGAATAATGCTGGCCTCATAAAGTAAGTTGAGAACTGTTTCTTCCAATTCTATTTTCTGGAAGAGCTTCTATAGAACTGGTATTATTTCTTTTCTAAATGTTGATAGGTTTGCCAGTGAAGGCTTATTTGCTTGAAGTTTTCTTTGTAGAAAGGTTTTTTTCCCCATGAATTAAATTTATTTAATGGATTTAGGATTCTTCAGATTATCTAATATTCTTGGATGAACTTTAGTAATATGTGGCTTTCAAAGAATTTGTTCATCTCATCTAAGCTATCAAATTTATTGGCATAAAGCTTATTGGAATATTTTCTTCTTATTATTTTTAATATTAGTAGAATCTATAGTAATGTTCCCCACTTCCATTCCTGATACTGGAAATTTGTATCTTCTCTCTTATGAGCCTTGGTAAAGAGTTATCAATTTTATTATGTCACATACAGATTTGTTTGTCAAATAACATGTCCATAACCTTTAAAAACTGTTTCTTTTTTAGCCGCATTTATTGTGTATAGTAAAAAAGAATTTTTTTTTTATTTGACAGGCTATGTTTTTTGAGACTTTGTACACATGGACAGGTATTCTTAAATTTGTGTAATCTTTAGGCTAATATATACAAATTAGCACCCAGAAATATGTTTTCTTTATACTTAGCTCTTCTCTTTCCTCAACATTATGTAAAACATGGGGGGAAACCCTTTCCAAATAAAATTAATATGAGACTCCTTTTATAATGAACAGCTCTATAAATCAGATTACATTTAGGTCACATCTAAGAAAGTTCCAGTGAAGGAGAGTAAATAATTGTGTCTGCTTAACAGCCCTGTGGTTGAGGCTTTTGGTGTCAACTTCAGAACATTATCAATCCTGGTATCATGATTTCCCACTTAGACATCTTTCTGAGTATTGCATTTGCTTGGAAAGGAACCCTGTGCTCTTTTTGGCAGCATATATACTAAAATTGGAATGATACAGAGAAGATTAGAAAGGAATCCTGTCTTGCAAAAAAAGCAATAACTGTCTATTGTGCACATTAAATTTTAAACAAGTGCTCAATCTGAAACCAAAATTGGTTGGAGAAGAGGAGCACAATGGATTAGAGATATGGTAGAACTCTTATTTTGTGGAATAATTCATAGATGCTCCTCTCCTGGTAAGGACTGTGGCAAACTTACTACTATACAATCACCACCAGGTCTCAAAATTGTAGATAGACAAATAAATAGCTCATTGTTTAAAAGAAAATAAAAATGCTTAATTTTAATATTGCCTACATTAAAGATATTACTGACTTACAATATGGCAAATCTTATAGAAGGGAGAAGCTGTATTTGAGATTTTTATCTTGGTTTTATACATGTATTAAGAAACCTGTAATCCTAGCACTTTGGGAGGCTGACATGGGAGTATCGCTTGAGGCCAGGAGTTCGAGACTAGCCTGGGCAATATAGGGAGATCTCGTCTCTACAAAAAATTAAAAAGAAATGATTAGCCGAGCATGGTGGCACATGCCTGTAGTCCCAGCTACTCAGGAGGCTGAGGCGGGAGGATTGCTTGTGCCTGGGAGGTTAGAGGTTGCAGTGCAGAGAGCTGTGATCACACCACTGCACTCCAGCCTGGGCAACAGAGCCAGACCATCTCTGTCTCTCTCTCTCTCTCTTTCTCTCTCTCTCTCTCTATATATATATATACACACACACACATACATATATATACATGCATATGTACACATGTATTATTTAATTTATGTAAGACTCATTAAGCATAAACTACTTTGAGGCATAGGGTATTTTGTTTATTTAATTTAGCAGACCTTTATAAGCATGTATTTTGTGTCAGGCATGATTTTAAGAGCTATTCCTACACTAATTCATTCAGTCCTCGTAATATCTACCCTCTGAGGTAGGTACTGTTACTTTCTCAGATGACAGAGGAGAGGAGGAGGAGACAGAGGCACAGAGAAGTTATGTGTCTTGACGGAGGTCCCTGAGTGGGGAGCTGTTGGAGCTGGATTTGAAGTGACACTGGCTGGCTCCAGAGTCCTTGTTGTCAATCCTGATAACTTTTGTCACCTCATGTGTACACAAGATGACTTATAAAAATCAAGGGATTGTTCTTAGGGTGCATGGTGAAGATTTTTTCCCTCCCGTGTAATGCTAAAACCCATGCTTTAGTTCTAACCAATTTGGCCTTTTTTTTCCCCACCTATTTCTCTCAATTTATGTAACACATGTATGGGGCGCTATCCAGTGTTACATTATTTATACTTAAATATTTAATGAAGGACGTGCAGTTCATCTTGCAGCCATAAATACTTCACTCTGTCTTGACATGTAGGGTTAGTTCTTTCCACTGGTTTGTGAGCTCCCTAAGGACAATCATTCTATCTTGTATTTCTCTTTGTGTCTCCACAGGGCCTGGCTGGCTTTGAATAGAATTCCTGGATACCTGCTTATTGATGAGTGTTGCAAGGCAGCTGTTCAGTCCTTTCCCACTGAGACACACATGCCAGACACTGTTCATAAAAGTGATATTCATTCATGTGTTGGGGGCAAGTCATTTACTAGCTGTAATTTCACCCAAATATACATTTATATAGTCATGGTTAAAAATTGACAGATACTGTAAGACAGTACATTCAACTGGAAGCACAGTACTTTTTCTATCTTTAATGTAGAAATACAGTTTTCAAAAATGAGCATTTGGATAATTTAGTACAGATTTCTCCCCTTAGTGCACTATTTGTAGATTTCATATTGCATATAATAAATCTGGGATTATGTCTTATTTATGTCCTATCACCTAGCATGGTGCATTTCACATAGTAGGTTCTCAATAAATGCCAGTAGAATTTTTAAAACCTTGGTAAAGCATTAGTCCTCTTACAAAGGGAGTGACAGTAGGAGAAATTTTTCATCAAAGATCTTTGGAACTACTGAGTCTGAGTTTTTGCTTTATAGGACATGGAACAAGATATTGTTGCATGCACACTGATGACTTATTTTTCACCTCGTCCTCGTTCTTGAGTAACTTCTTCCCCCACAAAATCATGACTGAGACCAAAAAAAATGCAAGGCATAGCAATAATTTATGAATTTCTTTCTGCACCAGAAAGACATAAGACAAGTGTTTTTGTGAGATAAGGAACATTTCAGCAACACTGTGAGGCATGAATTAAGGTATAGGCAACTGGTCCCACCAGGTGAATGATTATCTGCAGTTGCCCGAGTGAGCTGTCTCAATGGCTGATGAAGCTGCTGACCTTGACATATTTATCATCATTACTCCAGGGGGCAGACACCAATATCTCTATTCTTGTGCATACATAGCCAGAAAAAGAGGCACAGTCCAGTGGAAAAGAATGTATGTGTATAGATGTGTGGTGTTTGTGTGTCTGTGTGTAAGAGAGACAGAGAGTGAGAGAGAGAGAAAGACAGAGTATTTGGTTCTTACATCTTCCTTCGTCTTTTAACTTTTTTCTGTTTTTACTGAAAAGGGAAAATGGCATTAGGCTCTCCTCTAAAAGATCAGATTCACAATAGCTCCTCAGTCTGCAAGACTTCAAGGGACATAGTTTTTCCTTATAAGGGAGCCGAGTAAGGCTGCAAAAAATAGATGATCTGTGTTATCATCTCTCCGGCTAAGATTGCCGGATTGCCATCTGATTAGAGGAGGCCAGAGTGAGGGATGTGACCCTGGATAATGCTGGTGCTGTGTCCTCCCCTCACCCCAGGATGGTGCTGATTACTTTCTGGCCTGGAGTTTGAAATCTGTTCCACTGTCCCATGCCTCTGGCCTGGCTTTCCGTGTTTTGCTGGCATTCTTAGGTGTCCCTTGGCTTGTGGGTACATCACCCTGATCTCTGCCTTCATCTTCATTTGGTGTCCTCCTGGTGGGACTATCTGTGCCTAAATTTCCCCTTTTTATAAGGACACCAGTCACATTAGATTAGGGGCCCACCTCATTCCAATATGACCTCATCTTAACGAATTGTATCCACAACAACACTATTTCCAAATAAGACCGCATTCTAAGCTACTGGGGGCTAAGACTTCAACATACAAATTGTAGGGGAGACACAATTTAACACACAGCAGCATCCAATCCATTGATGGTGATTCACTTGGGAGCTTTCTCTTCATTATGAATTTAACAAGAAAGAGGCAGGAAAACGCAGAGGAAATGGTGGAACAGTCAATCTTTTCTGACAAAGGATCTGGATGTGGAAACACGAGGCCTGGGGAATGGAGCGTAGGCCTCATACTCGTTCATCAGAACAGTCACCTACTGTCAGAGGACCCTGAGGGTATCTGAGTTGAAATATGACGTATGGGTCAAAGAGCGCCTAAAGCTCCAAAGCTTTTTGCAGACTCCCAGTGGCATGTGAATTTTAGCTGCCCAGGCAAAATTACTTGAAATCTTTGGCCTTATGCCTTTAGAAATCTGAAGGTGCTCACCTAAGAGGCCTGCCTTCTCTCCTGTGTTCTCGAATGTGGAGGGGTACTGCTTGGGAAGGAGCAGCTCCTTTGTAAGCGTCCGGTCTTCTCAGCCACTTGACTTCCTAATAGTACCGTGTTTTAAAAATAAATTTCCTATTTCCTTAACAAATATCAAAATAGAATGAAATTCAGCCAAGACTGGGTGCCGGGAGCTTTGTTAGACCCTTGTATGTCTAATCTCAGTTCTCACAGAAGCCAACAGTATGCCTATTTCCATTTCCAGATGAAGCCGCAAGGCTCGGCGTTCAGCGACTTGCCCCAGGGGCTCAGAGGAGGTGAGCGACAGCCCAATCCTATGCACTTTGTATTTGGGTGTCAATTTTTGAAGGACGCAGATTGCTTTTTAAAAAATCTTAAATATCACATTGAGATAAGAATTCATTTTACCCTGTTGAGCCTGTCATGTAAAATGAGGAGTGTGGATTTAGATGATCTCTATGTGCCTGTGCAGCCCGAAAATGCATCTACAATTATGATTTTTATTTTCCTGTTTTGGATGTAAGAAGGAGAGGATGTAGGCTGTCCATCTGCTTTTTTTTTTCTTTTACGATGGAATTTTTAACATCGCATCATGGAATTTCCTGGATCTCAACCAAGTATGCACATCCCCGTCTCCCAGAAGCTCATCTATTTTTGACTGCAATAGAATTAGAATCTGGTCATTTGGGGGGCAATCCCTTTGGAGGGGTATTTTTATTTTCTCTTCTTCAAAAATATATTTCATTTCTCTTCTTCAAATATCCTTGTGCTCCTATTGCTTCCACAGATGTTCAGAGCTGGCCACACACAGCCTCATTTGCACTTGGCTGACAGGCAGTAGCCTATTGCACTGGCCAGAGAAACACTACACCTTTCTTTGCTGAGACTGGATTCTGCTCTGGGCACCTCTCCTGTGGAGCAAAGGGGGCCAACCAACAGGCTTTGACTGATTTATTTCAGGAAGACTCGCTTGTTGATGGATATGGTAATCATGCCAGTAAAATTCAATTACTGTATCCCTGAGGACCGTAGCAAGCAATAATAAATTAGGGAACATGAGCTCTGGAGTATCCGAACTGAAATTATAATGGGAATATTGAAAAACAAACAAACAAAAATCCAAAGCATTCATTTATAGATGCTGCAGTTTTCCCCACCAAAAATTAGTTCAATAATAGATGCTGCAGTTTTCCCCACCAAAAATTAGTTCATCAACTAACCCTGTGTTCTTGTCATAAAAGAATATGCCTTAAACACAGCCAAGAACATTTTATCTTAATTACTTAGTATTGTTGTAGCTCCCAGAGCACTCGTGCCTTCTGGGTAATGGTACACAGGGAGGAAGCAGCCGTCTGGAAGGGCCTCCCAAGGCCACCGCACTAATCCATGCTGGGCTCACACACACTCGCTGCTCATGGCCTTGGGTTTCAGGTTGCCATCCAGGGCTGAGGTTTGAATGGAAGTTGTCATCTCAGAAGGTCTGCCTAGCACTGAACCACTGACATCCATCAGGAATGTCAAGTCGTGCATTGTCTCATTAACTTGAGCCAGCTTTCCTGCTATCAGATCCTTTTTCATTCCTGGCCTTTCCACCCTGTCTTTCTTCCTTTGTTTAACAGTTCATGGCTTCTCCTGTTTGTGCCTTCAGCCCGTGAGTTGTGCATGCGTCTCCTCCATGCCATAAGTAGAATTTGCAGAATTAGCTGACATTTCTTGTCCAACATAAATTTTAAGTGCTTGAAGGGATAAAGAACAATCAGGCAGTCTTGTTATATCTGCAGACTCTATGGTCTATCCCCAGATAATTTTGAAGTTACAATGGTTTGTCATGAATGTCTTCCTTCACTTTATCTTCTTTCTCACCTGGATCCCAACATTCAAGTAGATAACAGAACTGATAACCAGGGGAGATATGAAGAAGATGACAGAGGACCTAAAAATATTTTCTGAATCAGTAGCAGTAATTTTCCACCAGTAATAAATATCTTTTGGGGTATCCACTAAGACCAAACCTGTTTCTTGGAAAATTGCTACCCTTCTACCCACAAGTACATGAAGGACTGTAAGCCTGGAACATACTTAGTTTACGTGGCCAGATGGAAATGGCCAAATCCTGACCCAGGCTGGGCACCATAGAATTTTTCTCCCAGAAGCTGAAACATTATCCAGTTAATTGGTTTGCTAGAGTTTGGAGATGGCAGGGCTCTGGAGTTTGGGGCCATTATTTTTAGCTATATGAACAGTGCCATGTGCACAGGAAAGGGAGAGGGTGGTTTTGTAATGAAGCAGAAGTGTCAAGAGAAGCAGAGAACAGAGATGGTCCAGACATGGGCAAGTCACTGCCTTGGTTCTGATGACTGTCACATTCTGCTTCTAGAATGTTTGGGAGGCCGGCTGCACTCCATTGCCTACCCTTAGGTTTTCCCAGTAAATTCTCTTTTTTTGCTTTGGTTGGTCTCAATAGGAAGTTTTGCTATTTGTTTGTTTTCTTTTTTTTTTAACTGGCAAAAGAGACTTGAGATGTTATAATACCATCTAACACTTTCTTGGACTTGGATGGCATTTGAGGACAGGGGCAGGAAGGGCCCTGGCATGATACTTTGAACAGTAGTAGTGTAGTCGTGGTAGTAGGTCCCACCAGCTCCGTGTTAAATGGGTGGTTAGAGTAGGCCTGGCAGTGAGAGTGGCCTTGCTGGAGAGGGTTACTGTCCTTTGGTAGAGGAACATCCCCCATTTCACCCTCTGTCCCTGCTCCCATCCTGGTGTACACTCTCTCTGTAAGCCCTTGTCCCCAGCACTGCACCTCAGGCCTCAAACCTTCATTACCTCTTCACTATTTTGCCTTTTAGCCAATGCCTCTACCATGCCCATCTTCCTAGGACCTTAAACATTTTTCTAAGATGTTCACAAATGATGAAAAATTATAAATTATCTCATTTGGGCAAGGGAACTGACAATTCATGGCAGCATACTTTAGGACTTGCCAAGATTAGGGGTGATTCTTTCCATTACAATGAGATGGAAGCTTCAGGACATCAAGAGACAAAAAGCAGCTAGAGGAGCTTACTGTCCCTTTATTTCCCATGAAACACAATGCTGCGCGGTGCTCATATTGTGCCCACACTGCTTCCTGTGCTTCGCCAAAGCGGGGATTTCATCCAGCATCCCAGCTGTTCTGGAGCCTGTGCTGGGGTGGCTGGCTGGGAACTGAGGACACAGAAGGGTGTTGCTTTCACGCCACAGTCGTGCTTGGGCCCTCTGCACAGGCAATCAGTGACTCCCTCAGGGCAGAAGGCTGTGGGAATGTCCAGTCTGACTCTGTCCTCATTTGGCCCATGTCCACTATCAGAAAATGAACGAGCAAATACAACCTCCAAATAAAGGGGGACTTGCGGAGGAGATTGTAGTTCCCACTCCCTTGATGTTAGCTATCTTCTGGAAAAAGGGCATGAGACTTAGTGTAACTTGTTTAAGAACCATGGTCACAATTTATTAGCCTCTTCTGTTCTCCTTAGAGGGGAAAAATCGTATATAAGGTGTTGAGGTCAACTATTACACAAACCCAAGTATGCCCAGCCCCGTACTAGGCATCTTGCAGCACCTTATTTAGATGTCATAGTGGTCCGACAGGAAGACATTATTACTACTAGTTTTCCAGCAAGTTATGTAACATGCTGAAATAATCACCCGCCTGGTAAGTAATTGACATGGAATGTGGACCTGAGTTTAGCTGATGCCTAAAACTATGCTAATTCCACTGCAGTGTAATTCGGTATTTCTTAGAGCTTGTCTGATAGGGCACTCAGGGTGAGGTGAGCACTTGTTAAAAATCTGATCCTGGGTCGTGTTGCAGATCTGACATCAGAATCTTTTAGAAATGGGTACAAGAATTTGCTCCAGGTGAATCTCATCAGGCAAGTTAGATAAATGCTGCTGTAAAGCCTTTTTTTAAATAAAAAAACAAAAAAAAACCACAGTAATTCTTAGTGAGGTGTGCACTAAGAAAGTCTTTTTTCTTTTTCATTAACTTTTTATTTTGGAATAACTTTAGATTTGCACATAAGTTGCAAAAATAATACAATTTCCATATACTTCCTCTCACCTAATTTCCCCTAATGTTAACCTCTTAAAAAACCATGGTACAGATGTCACAACATCAACAAATTACTATTAACTTCACTCCAGACTTTATTCAGCTTCCACCTATATTTACCCTAATGCCCATTTACTGTCCCAGGATCCAATCCAGGGTACCAGAGTGTGTTTAGCAGAGAGACTTTTGGTAGTATATATGTTCTGAACTAAAGCTAATCGTGAGCATATCTACGGCACAGCAATCGCACTCCTGTATGTATTTGTAGCAAATGGCATGTATGAAAATGTTTACGGCAGCAGCCTCCAATGCAGGTAAAACCTAGACACAGCCCATCCATAGCAGAATAGATAAATAAAATGTATATTCATGCAATGGAATATTGTCTAGAGACGAGAAGGAATAAACTATTGCTACTTATAATAATGAGGATGAATCTTGCAAACACGATGTCGTGGACATGATGCAATGCAAGAAAGAGCACACACTCTAGGCTTCCACTTACAAAAAATTAAGACAGGCAAAACCAAACTATGCTATTTGAAGTCAGAGTACCTTTGAGAGGGGTGGTGACTGAGACGGGCAAGAGATTTTGGAGTGCCGGAATGTTCTATTTCTTGAGCTGGATGCTGGTGCCATAGGTGCGTTCACTTTGTGAAAATTCATCAAACTGTGCACTTCAATATTTGTGCAGTTTTCTGTATATATTTTATTCTTCTTTAAAATTCATTAAACACAGACTGAAGTGTTTCTATGGAAAAGCAGCACGGTGGGTTTGGGACAGCAGCTTTCATTTATATCTGAAAACAAATTAGCTTCATGCAGCAAATTGGATACAACTGACTGTGCAGTCACCCTGCACTAGGAAACAAGCATGGCTTCCTGGCTAATTAACAGACACCGGGGCATCCTCCTCCACTCAGAAATGTTCATTGCCATGTGCTTTTAGGGTAGGGTGTGATTTTTACAATAAAGAGGTTTGCCAGCTGTTGGTGTGACATGCATCCTTCCTCATGGAGTGAGGCTATGCTGCTGGGACACATGGAGAGACATGCTGTCCCCAGGCATGAGGAGCAGCCTTTCATGTGCATAGGTGACTGCCAGAAGCAGGGTGCAGGCCGCCCTTCTTGTCCTGGTCAGAGCTGTGACATCAGGTAGGACACATCACCAAAGACTGGGCATAGTAAGTAGGTGGTCAGATCAAACATCACCTCATAACCCCTCCCTGTCCCAACAGTCTCTGTCACCACTATCCTCTCTCCCTCTGCCTGCCCCACCCCCAGCCAGCCTTACACAGCAGCAGCTTCTCCAACCACTAGTTCCACTATCTCTGTTTTCAAATCCCACCCCGGCCCCAACTCCTTCTCGCTTAGAGCCCTCTTGTGTCTTTTCTGAAATTTTCCAGTTGTTTCCCAATGCTTCCTTCTACCTGCCTGCTATCTAGAGGTATAAAAGTGGTCCTTTCAAAAACTGAAATGTGCTTGTTTGGATTCTGGGATTAAACTCCATTATCTCCATAACTGTGAAGACAAAGCTTGCCCCCTTGTACTAGCTATGGTCTGGATGTGTCTCCCAAATTCATATGTTGAAACTTAACTGCCAATATGATAGTTTTAAGAGGTGGGGTCTTTAGGAGGTGCAGAGCCCTCATGAATGGGATTAGCAACCTTATAAAAGAGGTTGAAGGGAGCTCCCAGGACATTTTTGCCCTTCTGTCATGTGAGGACACAGCATTTGAGGCACCAACTTGGATTCAGAGAGCAGCCTTCATCAGACACCAACCTGCTGGTGCTTTGACTTTGGACTTCCCAGCCCCCAGAAGTGTGAGAAACAAGTTTCTATTATTTATAAATTACCCAGTCTCAGTTATTTGGTTATAGTAGTACAACTGAGCTAAGATAGTACTCAGGTCCTATATGCTCTTTCTGGAATGTTCTCCCCTTAGCCACCAACAAGGCTTGTTCTCTTGCCTCCTATAGAACATGTTTCAAATGTTTAAACTAAAATGCAACCTCCTTGTGCCCCTTCTCATGGGTGTATTTTGCCTTAGTCCTTGTCATATAATATATGCTGTGCTTCACCTGTCTTCTCTGTTTTTTCCTTCAACTTCAGGACCTTGTTCCACTCTGTGCCAGTGGAATTTCTGCAAAGGCAGGGATTTTTCTCTATCCCAGTTGCTCTCACACTGCCTGGCACATGGTAGGGGCTCAATGTGTTGAATGCACTATGGAATGAATCTGAGCTTGGCTTACGTGTCCAGGTTTATCTTCTGCTATATCCCTACAAACTCACTGTGCCCCAGTCCCATTGATCCATGAAGTTCCACATCACTCCCCCACAAGGCAGTGCACGCAGTTCCTTCCTCCCGCAATACCTGTCTCCCCTTTCTACACATGCCAAGCTTGTCTTCATCCTCTGGATTCCACTGGAGCTTCAGCAACTCCATAATGCCTTCCCATGGTGACACACAGTGCATGGACCATGCTAAATGCTACTGGCTTGTTCAGGCCTCAGCCTTCCCCAGAGACATTAAGCAACCCCAGGGCCAGACAGGGCCATTGTATCTTTTCCCCCAGCCTGGTTCTTTAGATGTGTGATGAGAGAATACATAAATGGCATCCCTAAAGACATACAGGCAGTTAGTGGCAAGGAACACACTGGTTTCCAGATATGCTGGTCTTCCATTAATGGTACATTACTTGTTATTTCCGTTAGAGAACTCCTTTGAGAAGACATTCTCACCTTCCTGAAACTCACATTCCTCAAATTCCTTACATTAATCAAAATGTCATGTGATTAATTACTTTTCATGAAGTGGCCCCTACTGCATAGATAGATTTTAGGCATGAAGATTTCTGTGAGATTTTGAGATGTTTTGAAATTACTCAAGCAAAAGAAAGATATCCTGGGCAAGCTGGAGGTTACTGTAACCTCCAACCTTTTAGCTGGAAGTCTGAAATTCTCCCCTACTTTCTTTCCTGGATGGGCGGAGCTTTATCAAGGCTTTCTTATTCATTTGAAATTGTCTTCTCTCAGGGGCTCAGTCAACAGTGGCTTTGGAGAACTGAGCTCTTTTTCTGGCTTATCTCCAGGCCCTTCGAGGGCTGGTGCCTGCACACACCTTCTACAGGCAGCCTAAATGCTAAGGTGGAGGTTGAACTTAGGTCATGAGGTCTTTTCATTTTCTATCTTCCTTGTTGGTCCTGGCATCTCCTCAGCACAGGGACCAGGTAACACTAAGGGGAAAGCATTCAGATTAGCGCATGCCCATCGCGGCACAAACCCAACCAGATTAGGCAGGGACCAAAGTCTCCCCCTTCTTCACTCCTCCCCGGCAGCCTGAGGCTCATTTTCCCTTCCTGCTTGTTTTCACCGGTTGCTAAGCAGCGTGTAACATGCTGGCAGGGCTTGCGGCCGCCTCTCTTCTCCCAGCAGGCTCTTTGGATTAACCCCGTGTGGAAAAATGGAGTTTCAAAACAGGGGGCTGTGTCACAGTCCAGAGAAGCCAGACCCAGACTTGATAACAAGCCACACCTTGCTTTGAGGGGCAGGGATTCGAATGGGCCCCATCTCCAAGGCCACTGGCACTTGACTTTGAGTTCTGGCCCTACCCCTTGGTAACTGAGTGACTTCTAGGAAGCGACTGACCCTATCCAACTAAGTCTTGGTTTTCTCATCTGTGAAAGGGGTTAGGCCACGTGTGGTGGCTCATGCCTGTAATCCCAGCACTTTGGGAGGCAGAAGCAGGTGGATCACCTGAGGTCAGGAGTTCGAGACCAGCCTGACCAACATGGTGAAACCCGTCTCTACTAAATACAAAAAATTAGTTGGGTGTGGTGGTGCATGCCTGTAATCCCAGCTCCTTGGGAGGCTGAGGCAGGAGAATTGCTTGAACCCGGGAGGCAGAGGTTGTAGTGAGCTGAGGTGGTGCCATTACACTCCAGCCTGGTTAACAAGAATGAAACTCTGTCTCAAAAAAACAAAAATAAAAACAAAAACAAAAAAGAAAGGGGATAATAGTGCAATTTCTGCATATGTTGTTCTGAGGATTAAATGAGAAGTATGAAAAGTGCCCAGCACAGAGTACATTACGTGGTGAGAACCCAGAACTCACGGTGTGTTAGCTGCTGGTCATGCGATTTTCACAGCAGTGCCGTGTCTATCATCTGCCTCCACATCACTGCAAGTCACCTGGCTAAGGTAACTGTTGATATTTCTATTTTAAAGATGGAAAACACAGGCAGAGAGAGGCAAGGGGGCTTGCTCAAAGCCAAACAGCTGAACTAGTGTTGGAGTCAGGTTCCCTAATAACTTGTTTTGTGTTTTTCCTTCTTTGTCACAGCACCCCAGATGTATCTAAGTCTCAAGGTTCCTTCCATCCGGACTTTTCTTTGAGGAAGAGAAATTAACTGGAGGCAAGCGAGTCTGTGCACCTTGCTTCCCACTTTGAAACAGTATAACTTTTGATCATTACTAAATCATCCCCAAGATGAAAACTATGTGTGCATCCATTGTCTGTCTAGCATAATGGGAATGAACAAATAACATAAACTTCACGTGAGACTATGAGGACCGGACAAGGAAAAGTTGGCCTTGAAGTACGTGGTATGAAATCACGCTTCCAACCTGTAGAGTGACAGGGCTGTAGGAAAGCTGAGCTTCATAAAATCAAAGACAGTGAGAGTTTGTCATACCACCCAGGGAAAAGTGGGTAATTTTAAGTCTTTTTCTCTGGACTCCTAATGATTCTAATTATACTGCTTCTGCTTTTTAGAGTCAGTTAATTCAGCTGGTTGCCAAAAAGGCAGCAAATTTGATCCTTGAAACTACAATTTCACTTTGTTCTGTTATAGCCCTGGGCTGCACTTTACCCTAGCCTGGTCCAGGTCTCTTGGGAAACCTGGTGAGAGGAGGAGGGGAGTGACTTTCCACTCTTTTGTAAAATTAACTCTAAGACTATAAGCACTAGGTGGCATTTGAGCATCACTTTCAAACATTTTTGTTATGTCCTGGACCATTGTGTAGTTAATATTTTCTTTAAATTCACTCATTTATAATCTTAAAAGTTTTAAAATATGTATTAGTCGGGATAGTCTAGGCTTTGTTGCAGTAACAAATAAACGCTGATATTGCAAAGGCTTAACACAGCAAAGGTTTGGTTTTCCATATGAACAAAAGCTCAACGTCACTGATCATTAGGGAAATGCAAATCAAAACTACAATGAGATACCATGGTGATTGTTCAAAAGTCAAGAAACAATAGATGCTGGCAAGGCTGTGGAGAAATAGGAATGCTTTTACACTGTTGGTGGGAGTGTAAATTAGTACAACCATTGTGGAAGAAGGTGTTGCCATTCCTCAAGGATCTAGAACCAGAAGTACCATTTGACCCAGCAATCCCATTTCTTGGTATATACCCAAAGGAATATAGATCATTCTACTAGAAAGACACATGCACACGTATGTTTATTGCAGCACTATTTACAATAACAAAGACTTGGAACCAACCCAAATGCCCATCAATGATAGACTGGATAAAGAAAATGTGGTACATATACACCATGGAATACTATGCAGCCATAAAGAGGAATGAGATCATGTCCTTTGCAAGGACATGGATGAAGCTGGAAGCCATCATCCTCAGCAAACTAACACAGGAACAGAAAACCAAACACCACATATTCTCACTCATAAGTGGGAGTTGAACAATGAGAACACATGGACACAGGGAGGGGAACATCACACACTGGGGCCTGTCGGGGGATAGGGGGATGAAGGGAGGGAGAACATTAGGACAAACAGCTAATGCATCCGGGCTTAAAACCTAGATGGTGCGCTGATAGGTGCAGCAAACCACCATGGTCCATGTATACCTATGTAACAAACCTACACATTGTGCACGTTTATCCTGGAACTTAAGGTAAAATAAAATAAACTAAAATAAAAAAGGTTTAGTTTTCATTCATGTGAAATCCAATGCAAGTCAGATGACTTTCCAGGGCAGCTTTTCTTGGGGACAGATGGCAATGCCTAAATCCATGCTCACTCCATTGTATAATGCCACCATCTCAAAATGTGACCTCCAGGGCCACTGATGCAGAGGAAGAATGACTGGAGGGCTGTGCACCTGCTCGTCAATGCCTTAGACCAGAGGTTATATAGGTTTCCACCCCATTTCATTGGTGAAGACCAGTCACATGACCCTCCCCCTAAGTGCAAAGGGGCTGGAAGTGGAGGTGCACACCAGGGGTATTTGCTGAGCACAATTGCCTTACCCAGAGATGGGAAATGAAGACTGATGTTACCACTTGCTGTGCAGAAAAGATGGTCATAAAGAGATGTATTGAGAACAATGTGTTAAATTCTAGGTAGATATTTTTATCTGCTAAACATTCTTGGCTTTCAGCCTCAGGTGTATTTAGTTTGTCCAAAAGATGTTGATAGGAGAGAGAGAGAGAGAGAGAGAGATTAAGACATATTACCACCAGAGACTTTCTCCCTGAAGAAATCAGCAATGTTGGCCAGACACGGTGGCTCATGCCTGTAATCCCAGCAGTTTGGGAGGCCGAGGTGGGCAGATAACCTGAGGTCAGGAGTTCAAGACCAGCCTGGCCAACATGGTGAAACCCCATCTCTACTAAAGATACAAAAATTAGCCAGGCGTGGTGGCGGGCACCTGTAATCCTAGCTACTCGGGGGGCTGAGGCAGGAGAATCACTTGAACCCGGGAGGCAGAGGTTGCAGTGAGCCGAGATTGCGCCACTGCATTCCAGCCTGGGCAACAAAAGTAAAACTCCGTCTAAAAAAAAAAAAAAAAAGAAAGAAATCAGAAATGTTGAAGGATCACTGGGTAAGGAATAACTTTCTCATTACATGATTCAATGTTGTTTTATACCTTGTCCATGTCCTATCTAAAATCAATCTCTTTCCACCTAAAATCATCTCAGCCATGGTCCACATGCCACGCTCTGGGAAAATGCTGCCCTACTGGGCCTGCGCCCGTGACTTGCAATCTGCTTCCTGTGGTGGTGACTGTGGTGTCACCATCCAAAGCAGTAGCAAACATTTATGAAGACTGACTGTGCACCTGGCACTGTGCCTGGGCTACTGAGGACAGAGTTGACAACAAATGTCCTGCCTTTAAGATTTCATAGAATGGTCGGGCGCGGTGGCTCACACCTGTAACCCCAGCACTTTGGGAGGCTGAGGTGCGTGGATCACCTGAGGTCAGGAGTTCGAGACCGGCCTGACCAACATGGAGAAACCCTATTTCTACTAAAAATACAAAAAATTAGCCAGGCATGGTGGCACATGCCTGTAATCCCAGCTACTAGGGAGGCTGAGGCAGGAGAATTGCTTGAACCTGGGAGGCAGAGGTTTGCAGTGAGCTGAGATAGTGTCATTGCACTCCAGCCTGGGCAACAAGAACGAAACTCCATCTCAAAAAAAAAAATTTCATAGAATGAGAAGAAAAATAAACTTGTAGTTACAACACAGTGTAAGAAACACATCTACGTAACTATAAGGTGCTAATGGGGTGAGTATCTGAGGAGTGACCCTTGAAGGGCAGCAGATTTTTTGAGAAAAATTCTGTAATAACATAGTTGTGTAGTGTTCACTCTTTGATGTTATTTCCTCTAAATTTTTCCTTCAGTGGTATTAGTGGTATTCTATTCAAGGTGAAGTCCAGTCTACTGGTAGAAGAATTAAAAACCCAGCTAGTATTTTCTAGGTACTTTGAATTGAGTGTCCCTTGAGGCATCAAATATTCTCAGAGGGCAAATGATAAGCCACACCACACCATTGCAGGATATGGGGAAGCGGATTGCAAGTCACAGAGAAGGTTAATAACAGTGTCAGATCAGTACCGTGGTTATTGATTGAAGCAACTCAATGTAGGCCAAAAGGAGTGAGCTGTGGTGTTGACTGGCAGGTTCTGGTCCTGCTTCCCTACTGTGCACCATTGACTCTGTGCTCGAGTTGCCTTCTTAGTAAAATTACAGGACTGGGCCAGATGTGGCTCCTGCACTATGGATGTTCTCAGATGCAAAAGAAGCTCTCTTCCTCAAGCCCCCTACCTGTAGATGAATGACCTTGGAATCCTGGCATTGTAAGTTTAGCTTCAGCCATCCCATCAGTTGTTATTCTGGTGCATTTAGGTTGGATTTTTAGGTGTTGGGGGAAATAGTATGAATCTCATCACCATCGTTTTCATTTATTTATATCTTATTTAGTACTACTATGTGCCAGGCACTGTTCCAAGTACTTTTCCAATATTAATTAATTTAATCTGTACAATGATGGGTACTGTTATCACACCCATTTTAGAGGGGGGACAACTGAGGTTCAAGGAGGTTAAATAACTCGCTCAAGATCAGCTGTCTAGGGAGGGGCAAAACAGGATTCAGTTTCAGGCAGGCTGGGTCTTGAATTTGTGATCATCACCCTGTACTGTCTCTGGACAGAATAATTGAATAATAATAAGACAAAGATGAAGTATGCAGTAATGACCCATTAAAATAAGATTTTTTAAAAAAAATTAAATGTGATAAGACAAGGACAGATGTGGCACATGCCTTTGGGCTAAGTCCTTTAGAAGGGAAACAAAGAATGAATCATGTACTATGGGAGAAAGAGAAGACAATGCCTACGCCCTTATGGGCCTACCAGGCTTTCTACCTGTGAGCTCATTTGCTCCTTACAAGACCCCAGGAGGTAGGTGTCATTATCATCACCATTTTACAGAGGAGGCTGAAAGACTTGTTTAAGATCACACAACTAGTAAGTGGAGGAAGCCAGGTCCCTGACTAAAGTGCCCAGAGGCTCCCTTAAGGGTGGGCTGGGGAATCCACATCAGAAGGCTCTGCCAGTCCGGGTCCTAGTGGGCAGATGCCTTGCAGTAAATGGGTCTCTGTGCTGCAGGAATCTGAAAGACCAGCTTACCTGCGGCAACACATTTCAATCACATGGAGCAGGTCTACTTAGGGGAAAGATGCACAATGCATAGGAGATGCCTGTCAACACTGAGAAGAGCTGAAGTGCTGAGGACTGAACCACACCCTCACTGGATGGAAATGCATCTACAAGCTGTGCACTCATGTTTGACCCTGGTCAAACCTTGGCACTATGAACATCTGCAGGGGATGATTCTTTGTTATTAGAGGTTGTCCTATGCATTGTAAGATGTTGAGTGACATCCCTGGCCTCTACCCACTAGGTGCTAGTATCTATGTAGTATCTATGTTCACCCCATCCCCCAAGCTGTGACAAACACAAATCTCTCCAGACAAGGCCAAATGTTCCTTGGGAGGCAAACTCCCCTCCTCCCCTCCCGGCCCCCGGTTGAGAACCACTACTTTGATCTTATACTCTGGGCTTATGAACGGTGAAAGCTTCCAGAAACTACCCTGTTCTGATGTCGAGGAGTTCAATATTCCCTAAAACTCCTCCCAACTCTCAGAAACTAAGAGAGAGAGAGAAAAAAATGATGGGTTAGCTTCTGCAGTGCAGATACTTTGCCATTCAGTTAAGTGTGTATATTTGAGGGGGTGTATGGATATGGAGAACAGGGATTGGAAAGCCTACTCACCACACTTCTTCACAATACCTCTATTTCATTCTATCTGTATGCTTATTATTTCAGCTCTTCTCATGTGCGATCAAATTCTTATTTTGCAGCATATTGCCCTCTAGCGGTCACTTCTCTTTGTAGCACACGGAAGAGAGGCACCAATACAAATCGCTTTTTAAGAATGAAACCCAGGAGGGAACTGGCTGGGGGAAGTGGACGTGGTTCCACGAGCCGGGTAACTTCTGGCTTCGCGGATTGTGAGCAGCCGGTTTCTCCTCCGAGCCGCGCCTTTTTCCTTCCCAAGCCCCACCCTTCCTCCTGCGAGCCCTCTCCTCCACGTTCCAGCACCCAGTGGCACTTTGCTTCTCCCGCCGGGATACCGGACCTCTTCTTTGCAGAGAGAATTCAAAGCTACTTCCATGTTAAACAGAAAGAGCATCCTGTGGGTAGAAATATCCGACGAGGAGCGTTTTCCGAATGCCCGGAAGGGAGTTGCTACGTGAAAAATAGACATGATGCGCTGAAAAAAATATAGATGATTTGTTGTTGCTCTTGGTTCTCAGCCGGACCTCAAAAACAACCCCAGGATTTTTTTCCTCCAAAGTGGAGCCAGCTACTTTGCAAGTGCTCCCCTTCTTTCTCCTTGCCCATCCCCAGACCATTTAGTTAACCTCAGTGGGACAGGAACCGTCCTACAAATGCATGTGTTTGTCGTCTTAAGAGCTTTGGTAAGCCTACTTAAATTTCAGACAGCTAGAGACTGTCACAGTGGCTTTCTTCTGTCGATAGGTGACATTGTGTAATTAATAACCCTATAAAGCCTTTGAGGATAGCTTTTTCTTTTAAAAATGGAAGCCCAGAGAATTAAGACAAAGAAAGCTACTCTGTGGAGTTAAACGTCATCTTCAAGGAGGAAATTTTTAAAAGTACCTCTACATCTACACGTGGGCTTCAATTATATGTCTCCAAGGTACAGCACCCAGACGTCAAACCACTCAAGCCTGGATGGTGAATTTATGATAGAGGTTGACTTCTTTGTAGAATAAGTTTTCTGTTTCCACAAAATAAAATTGTATTTAGGGGTATAAGCGCCAGAATTTCTTTTAGCAATTAATCAAAATGAATGACCAAAAAGTTTAATTCTAGACTAGAGCTATTAAATTACTTCCGAGCTATGAATGCAGTTTTGATTTTAGGCCATATCAATCCAGGAAAACACAGAACAATGAGCCTGGAGGGTCAGATACTGTGAAGAGCAAATTTGCAGAAGGCTTTTGGGTCGGCAACAGTTGGGTTTCCTTAAGATTTATAGGCTTCATAGGATAGACACACACTTCTTTATTTCTGCTCTGTATGAACACTCAGCAGATGAAGTTCCACTAACCGCTTTCCCCTGCCCCCACATTTAAAAAGCTTTCTCCTTCTCTTTTCTTTTCTATCTCTGTGAATGGCTTAAACAGCAGCCTGTGTTTTAGAACCATAAAGCGTGCATAAACGTTTCATAAAAAGAAATAGAAAAAATGGAAATCTCCAGTGTGAATATGTGTTTATAAGATTATTTAACCCCTTTTACTTTATCACCTTACTTGCTCTGACCCTGAGACCCTAGAATGACGTGGGCCTGAACCCGAATCCTCGGGTGATCAATACTACCTAAAAACAAAGGTGATGTCTATGGAGGGGCGCAAAACAAGGTTTCCCATAGGAGGACTTGCCAGTCTGATCAGTATAACTAGTGAACCCAGATAGTGTGGGTCCAGGAAGTTGGTATGACGCCAAGCTCCCCACCCTCAGAGGGCTCTGGTGTTCCCCGCTGAGGACTCGCATCCCGTTTATAGCTCTGTAGATGTAAGCAGCCAAGATGATTTGGGGGAATTTCTGTGTGACAAAGGAGACAAGAGGCTGTGGAAACCTTCCGTAACAAGTGGTTGAATTGTTTAAGGGATTTTCAAAACCCTCTAACTGGAGAAGCAGGATGAAGGCGAAAGAATACATGACTGATCATTGCTGGCTAACGTAATCAGGTGATTTGTGTTAACAATATGCCACAAAATCCCAGGAACAAAGTCTAGGTCCTGTCTTTAGCCATGTCGTGTCCACGGCAATGTGGACCTTTTATCTGATTATTGGATGGTCCACTGAAGCCATCTTTAGGAATTTAGAACCTTCATAAGAGAAGACGAGATTCAGTCTATGTGGAAGGGTGTTTTTTTTTTTTTAAAGAGGCGCTTGTAATGGTGGTGACTTTCCTTCCTTAACATTAAATGAATTACTAACTCTACATATAATCTTGTGCATTTCTGTCCTTCTTCCCTTCCTTCTTCCCTTCCTTCTTCCTCCCCTCCCTCTCCTTTTGCAGGAAAACTATATTTCAGGACTATGCCCAGCAATGATGGCTTCAAGATCACAATAAATTGTTTAGCTTTTTAGGGGATGAGAGGCAAAATGTTTAAGCACTGGAAAAAGGCACAGGCAGGGGAGATCCTGATTTTGTGAAGCCCAAAGCTCATATGATTTCTTTTAAAAAGAATATACAATTACAAATACAAAATTAGGCAGGAAAGTGAACATTTCTTTAGAATGAAAAATGATATCACAAAAAATTATTGGAGACTTGTAAGTTTAGATCCTTTTTCTCATGAAGATCTCTTTAGGCAATTTACCAAAAATGGCTGATTAGAAATGCTTTCTGATTGCAACCCAGCTTCCTCTCTTCTGGAAAACTCGATGACTCCTCACAGAACTCACAGAGGCCTGTGAGGAAGAAGGGCCTCAGGCTTCAGCTTCACTCGCTTCTCAGGAGTTTGCGTCTGGTCTCAGGTGCCACCTATTTAGAGTGGCCAGCAGCTGATAGTGGTTTATAAACATACAGGTAGGTCCTGGCCATCATAGCGTCAGGGTCCGGGAAGCAAGCAGGGCGGCTCATGGACGAGGAGAGCAGTTTGGGTGTGCAAGACAAGGTCTGGATTCAAGTCCTGCTCAGTACTTACCAGGTGGGTAAACTTGAGGTACTTTACTTCCTTCTTGGAACCTCTTTTTTTTTTTTAATCTTTTCTGTAGAACAAAGGTAATTAAAAGAGATCGGGTTGGGTGCGGTGGCTTACTCCTGTAATCCCAGCACTTTGGGAGGCCAAGGCAGGGGGGATCACTTGAGTCCAGGAGCTCAAGACTAGCCTGGGCAACATGGTGAGACCCTGTATCTACAAAAAAAAACAAAAACCAAAAACCAAAAAACAAAACAAAAAACCCACAAAAATTAGCCGGTAGTCCCAGCTACTAGGGAGACTGACATGGGAGGATTGCTTGAGCCTGGGAGGTAGAGGTTGCAGTGAGCCAAAACCGTGCCACTGCACTCTAGCCTGGGCAACAGAGCAAGAACCTATCTCAATAAATAAATAAATAAGAAATCACGTATATAAAGCACACAGCAAAGCATAGGATAAACACGCAATAAGCCTTTATCTGAGAGTGAAATGTATTTTAAAGTTTGATACTGAAAGTTATGTGTGTGTCTCTTTGCATTTGTCTCATCCCTTCCCTTCCCTTCACTGTTGACTACAAGAGACATTGGAAATCATTGAAAAATCCATTCCCTAGTTAATGTTCCCCGGCTTGCCTTTTATACTATCTGTCGGATCCAATCCATCATGTATGTAATCATATTTTACATTGGCTGCTCTATGAATAAGAAATGAGTGGAGGGTGTTTTGTTTTCTACCTCTTCCCTATCATGAGGGACTAGGTACAGGATGCAGATTTCAGCTCTACAGCTGAAGGGCGCAGATAGTAAATCATTTTACATGCCTAGGATGGAAGACAAGCTCCTTGGGGATTCTGTGATGGTGGTGGAAGAGGGGCCTTCTTCCTGATCAGCACTTTGGGTGCCAGCCTGCTCTGGTCAATGGGAAAGAATGGAAACCTTAGAATTCAACCATATCTGCCTGGGCCTGGGGTGGGATGAACTAAAAAACCAGAGCCTCAAGGTGGCTTGGGTAAAGTGCCTACTGGAATTTACACTTTCTCACAAGCATCAGAGAGATGTTAGGACACAAAAAACTCTTTTGTGCTGCAGAAGATTTTGCAATCTTTGGGTGCCAGGAAAGGTTTCAGTTTCCTTAGCTGTAAAATAGAGATCAAAGCCCCCTTGCTTGCTTCACTGGATCATGTGGAGAACAAAATATAAGCATGAAAGTGAAAACACCTCGCACATCTAGGGAGAGCTTGCAGTATTGCTATGAAAAGTGGTAGCATAAATTAACAGCATGAAGCATTTATGTATCATTTCTCCAACAACCCACTTTTCAGCAATGATTTCCTCACATTTGCATTTTGGTGCTGTTTTGTTGTTTAGATACGAATTAATGCTAAATGTTAAACTCTACTGGGTTCTCTCATTCAAATTGGAGTAACACAGGGAAGGCAATTCTTGTATTCATGGTCTTCTGTTTTCAGGGGGCCGTGGTCTCCTGCAAAGTGCTAAAGCCTCTCTCAAGTATGATGAAACAGCGCCACCGTGTGGTCTCGAGGCTTACCATCATTCACTCATTTGCCTTTGGATTTTTACGGAGCATTGGTCAATAAACATCAGAATATGTGTAAATGCATATTGAAATAATGGAAATTGAGGTAAATTTGGTGGAATCCTCCCATAGCTGTATTTGTGAGCACTTATTAGAGAAAGTATCCATTCATCATTGGCATGGACATGCTTGAATAAGGTTTGTGAGTGACAACAAGCTTAATATTGTCCAAAAGTCTATCTTGGCGATGGTGGTAACTAAAAAATGCATTTTTCCAGAATATCTCCCTCCATTCTCTGATGAAAGAGTCTATATAATGTGTGTATTTCATGAAATGCATTTTATTGTATGCGGAGGGGGAGAGAGAGGTATATAAGGCAACATATATTTAACAGAAAATAAGAATGAAAAATTGTAAAAGTCTTCTTGGCTAGGGCCACTCATTTATCCTGAAGTTAATCAAGCAACCAAGACCAAAGCACTTTGGGGAGCGGCGTGGTAACTATGCATTGGACTGTTACTAAATAGATGAGCCTTTGCCAGGAAATATTTGTTAGGGATAATAGCACAGCAAGGAATGGTTCTCTTCTTTTTAAAATGGCTTATGAATGACAATAACAATAATAACTTACTGTGTTTATTTAGCCAGGCACTGTCTGAAGCACTTTGCCTGCATTGTTCCGTATATTAATTGGAGAGGAGTTCAGTAATGGCCATTTTAAAAATATAATCTAATTTTAAAAAATGCTAGCCAATGTAAGCAGACACACATTCGAGATAAGAGCTAAGCCAGTGTCATTGGCGCTAGACTCAATAGCTCTGAATGCGCTGGGTGGTTGATTCCCTCTGGTGGCCATTCTGGGAATTTACAGATGTAATGCAAATGTCACACAGTACTATAATAATCACAAGCACTGGGATACATATTGGTGAATGCAGTCCTGTCCAGGGAACATGAAGCCACTGGGATGTGACTGTTAGAGTATGACCATCTTTGTTCTTATTACGTTCCTGCTGTAGATGAAAGAGAGAGTAAGTGAATGATCCACTGATGTGCTAGGATTCAATATGGAATGTGGACAGGAGCATACAAAATGATGGGCGTTAATAAGGGGCTAACATGCCACTCTCTGTTTTCCCCTTCAGCTCTGAAATCAAATGGGAGAAAACATTGAAAATGTTAAATAACCGAATGGGTAAGTAAATTGTGTTGTATCCACTGGATCCATTTGAAATAGAAAGCTTCTTTTTATAATATACATTACATCAATGCTCAAGCATTTGTATGTATCTATACATAGAAAAGATCTAGAAGGATAGTTACCAAGTTGCTAACAATCGTAACCTCTGGGGATTAAGGTGAGGACAGGGCAAGAGGATGAAGACTTTTGTCTTTTACTTTATCATTCATTTATTAACACAAACTTGTATTTCTTTTATAATGAAACAATCAAAGTAAACAAATTATAAGAACCAAATATATGCCCCTCTGAAATGTAACATGCCCTGAAAATGTGATAAGTGGGTTAGGGAAATGTTGTAATTCATCTTACGTTTTAGAACTTCACAATATATAGCTTTAAATATTAGCAATCATAGAGCCCCTCTAAAACAGAGTACTCTAAAAGTTTTAGTAGAATTTGTATTAATTCCCTGATATTTTTCTTGCTTTTGAACTTATGAAATGGAGGAGCTTACTTGACCACAGATCTAAAATATTTTCGTTACTTGCTGAGGAGTGTGTGAGCCACCAGTTAAGGCAAGAAATTTGGAATTCTGCTTCCAAGTTCCAATTTAGCTATTCCTTTATTTGTTGATCTTATTTAAAAAAATGTCTTTTCCTGCAAAGCCAATCCAAAAAGGCACATAGTGTTTTGTACACCACAATTATTAAAAATCACTCTGATTCCATGTATGTATATTAGAACTTTGAATCAAAACATTTAAGGTGGTTTTGGAAATCTATATCTAATGTTTAAAATAACATGATATAAAATAGACATTGGTTTTGGGGTGCGGGATAAGGAAAAGGGAGGAAAGGAAAGTGTAGGGACATGAAATGGGGCCAGACGTGAGATGAGTCCACAACATACACTAATGAAAATGAAGTTCTGCAAAACTTTTGGTAAGGGTGAATCATAGATTTGGTTTGCAGTTTACTAGCAATTCAAAGAAACAGGGTAAGCTCCAGGAGTCGCAGGCCCACAAGGCATAGATGAGTCGATTGTTAAGGAGGAACAACAGCTACTGGGCTACTAAGACAAGAAAAAATTGTCTCCTGCTTGACTGGGTTCTAGTTAAAAATAAGATGGTGTTCATCAATCGCAGAGGGAGACGCAGGAGAAGGAGATGGGATCCAAATCCTGGCAGGCTCCTTACTCCTGGGTTGGAGGAAAGACAGCTGTCCCCAGTCCCTCAAAAATTTTTATTTTCCATTTTTAGTAGCCTGCCTTTCCCATCTACCCTGACCCCAACCTGAACTTCATCCTTTCCTCAGTGGGCCCTGAAACGTTCCCCAGTTCTTCTTTATCAGACTAAGCTCAATGAAATGGATTTACTAGACTTTTTCATATTTATGTGTGAGTGATTAATAATAGATTCTGCCCCTGCCCCACTTAGGGCATGGGCATTTATTTTTTGTTCTCTTAGCATGGCAGCTGGGCAGGTGGTCTCAGTATACGTTTGTTATAACAATGGTTACATTTCACTTGGCAACATCATTTATCATCTCCTGTGACTTTTCACTGTATTTACAAATTCCCCTTTGGCTGTAGAGATCACAAGTGAACTCTAACAGATTAAATTATGGCAACTTTATTTACTGCATCCTGGGTACTATCTTCCATATATTTTATTCTAGAATTGTTTATTTTCCTACAGCCATTGCTCACTGAAATTCAGGGTAGGGTCTACTGTGACCCCGTCATCTTTTAAATCAGTCTTTAAACAAGGCCATTCATTCCCAATGGCTGTTTGTGTCATTTCCCCTATCCGCCCGCCTGCTTTAGTGTTCTTCATTTAGCATCCAAGTTCACACATAAAAAACACATTGTGCAATGACCGACTGTGATGGCCTGACCCGGGGCAATAAATGGACTATTCATCTCACCAACGTCTTGGCCTCAGAAGGAGACTTGAAAGGAAAATAAACAAAGTTGTAAGTTTGTGTAGGTGGAAACTTCCAGATTTCCTTTCCCAGACAGCACAAGAAAATTAGGCCAAATGCCCATAAAAACGTAGGCTCTGACATTCTTTGATTCTGCACAGTTTTCCTATACATAGGACGGGAACGTGGTGTGAGCCCATCAAGCGTCTTACACTAAGTAATGGATGGGCCTATTCTAAGACTGGAGATTCTTGTTAGGGCCAGTGTTCCTGCTAATTAACTTGGGTCATGAGTGGACAATGAAGGTCTCAAAGCAACAAAATTTACAGAGTGGGCACACATGGACCAAGGTCAGTGACGGCCTTGGGGAGGAACTGACGCAGCGAGGAGCTTGGAAACCTTCTCCTTCCACTTTGGCCTACCCGATGCTGCAGCATATCTGCCATGCCGTCTCATTCCAAGTGTACTGTGAACAATAAGAACACATCATCACTTCCCCTCTAGGAGGGTCCATGTATGGGACCTGCCATCAAGTAGCAAGTAGCTGGTTGATTTACCAGGAACAGAGCCATATTAGTTTACAGGTTTTCTTACAAAGGAAGTGGCAAGAGTGCAATTGGCCTTAGTGAGGAGGGGGGATTCATGCTGTTGTAGGCTATGCCTCTGCTGGTGTGAATTATTATGTATCTACATCTGGATTGTTCTTCAGCTGGTCTATGCTCAACATGCACCTACCAATATGTTTTTGATAAATATTTTCTCTTACAAATATTTTGCTTAATATCAGTGGATGCTAGTTTGTTTGAGGCATAGGGGTTTGTAACTGATTACCTTTATGGCGGATTAATCTGTTGTCAATACAGAAAACCATTCTTTGATTCATGCAGTATTTCAGGCTGTGAATTGCCTCTACTGATATTATGATATCAGAATATCAGAATATGATTGCTACCTCTGCTTACTTTTAGTTTGCATTTTCTTGAAAACACAGTCTAAAATTTGCTTTGAATTTTTAACAAGTTTACAGTGAAGTGTGACAAACATACAGAAATGAGAATAAATAGCTTGATGAATATTCCATAGCGAACACTCCAAGGTAACCAGTTTCCGGAGCAAGAAATGGAACCAGCACCCCAGAAGGCCTCTTCCCCAGTCCCCCTCCCAGGCACAGTTCCACACCAAAAATAAACACTAACCTCATTTCTAACACTATAGACTAGTTTTGCATTTTGGTACCTGATATAAATGAAATCACACAGCCTGTACTTTAACTTCTTTCATTCATCATTATGCTTATGATATTCATTCATGTGCTCACATGTAAAAATAGCACACAAATTCTCATTCCTGAATAGAAATACATTTTATTGAATATACCGTGATTTATCCATTTTGCTGGTAATGCACGTGTGGATTGTTTCTGGTTTTTGGCAATTGTGTAGTGCTGCCATGTACATTCTTAAACCTATCTTTCATGCATATATGTATTTTTTGACTTGGTAGAAAACTGGATTGGAATTGCTGGGTAATTGGCTATGGTAATATTCAGAGTAGATAGTGCCGAAGAGTTTTCTAGAGTAGTTGTAACAATCTCACTCCCAGCACCAGTGGATTAGAGCTTCGGTTGTCCCACAGCACTTGGTATTGCCAATCCTTTTACTTTCAGTCATCCTAGTGGAAATGCAATGATAACCCATTGTAGTTTCAGTTGGAATTTCCTTAATGTATAATGATATTTAAACACTTTTTCAATTGGCAAATGTTTATTTGCCAATTGAACATTCTCTTATGTGAAGTGATTGTTTGAGTCCTTTTAATTTGCAGAAATTCTTTATCTATCCATCATGTAAGTCTTTTGTGAATATGCATATTGCAAAATATCTTCTCCCACTCTGTGGTCTGTCTTTTCACTCTCTTAACGGTGTCTTATAACGAATAGAAGTTCTTAATTTTAACATACGATTATTTTTTCACCTTTATGATTAGTGCTTTTTTGCAACCTGTTTAAGAAATCTTTGCGGCTGGGCGAGGCGACTCACGCCTGTAATCACAGCACTTTCGGAGGCCGAGGCGGGCGGATCACGAGGTCAGGAGATCGAGACCATCCTGGTTAACACGGTGAAACCCCGTCGCTACTAAAAATACAAAAAAATTAGCTGGGCGTGGTGGCGGGTACCTGTAGTCTGAGCTACTTGGGAGGCCAAGGCAGGAGAATGGCGTGAACCCGGGAGGCGGAGCTTGCAGTGAGCCGAGATCGTGTCACTGCACTCCAGCCTGGGCAACAGAGCAAGACTCCGTCTCAAAAAAAAAAAAAAAAAAAAAAAACAGAAATCTTTGCCTACCCCAAGATGATGAAGATACTCTCCGAACACTTTTTTTCTTCAAGTAGTAGCTTTATTGTCTCTCATACTTATATTCCTCAGTTATCTGTAATTATTTTTGTGAATGGTGAGATGAGGGATGAGGGGATTATGGGAGCTTCTCTCCACCTTCCCTTATGGCTATACAAATTAACCTAGCACCATTTATTGAAAAATATATACTTTCCGTATTGTACTGTAGTATTACCTTTGTCATAAGTCAAGCAACTGTAAAAGTGTGCTTCTCAATACTCTGTTGTGTTTCCTGGTCGATTTGTTTATTCTTGGACTATTGCTGTACTCTCTTATTTGTCTATAATTTATTTTTAACTTTTCTTTGTCTTTTTTCTTTAGACATGTCCCTTATTAGCAGCATATAACTAGATGTAAACGTTCTAAATCCAGTTTAAAAATTATCATCTTTTTGTCTGGGCATCGTGGCTCATGCCTGTAATTCCAGCACTTTGGGAGGCCGAGGGAGGCAGATCTTGAGGTCAGGAGCTCGAGACCAGCCTGGCCAACATGGTGAAACCCCATCTCTACTAAAAATACAAAAATTAGCTGGGCATGGTGGCGCATGCCTGTAATCCCAGCTACTTGAAAGGCTGAGGCAGGAGAATTGCTTGAACCCGAGAGTCAGAGGTTGCAGTGAGATGAGATCACGCCACTGCACTCCAGCCTGGGCAACAGAGGAAGACTCCGTCTCAAAAAAAAAAAAAAAAAAAAAAAAAAAAAAAAAAA
This sequence comes from Homo sapiens, assembly GCF_000001405.40. Taxonomy (NCBI): domain Eukaryota; kingdom Metazoa; phylum Chordata; class Mammalia; order Primates; family Hominidae; genus Homo; species Homo sapiens. Next base: position 28,916,599 of record NC_000007.14, on the reverse strand, counting down.
AAGAAAGAAAGAAAAAAGAAAAAAATAATCTTTTTAAAAAGGGATTTTGGCCTGTAATCCCAGCACTTTGGGAGGCTGAGACGGGCGGATCACGAGGTCAGGAGATCGAGACCATCCTGGCTAACACGGTGAAACCCCGTCTCTACTAAAAATACAAAAATTAGCCGGGCGCGGTGGCGGGCGACTGTGGTCCCAGCTACACGGGAGGCTGAGGCAGGAGAATGGCGTGAACCCGGGAGGCGGAGCTTGCAGTGAGCCGAGATCGCGCCGCCACTGCACTCCAGCCTGGGCGACAGAGCGAAACTCCGTCTCAAGAAAAAAAAAAAAAAAAAGGGATTTTGGATTTTTTAAGGTAACTATAGCTGATATGAATGAATTGTATGTTTCAAGATAGCTAGAAAAGCGGATCTTGAATGTTATCAGCATAAAGAAATGGTAAGGTTTGAGGCAATGGACATACCAGCTACCCTGATTTGATCATTATACAGCATACACAAGTATTGAAACACCCCCCTGTACCCCATAAACATGTACAATTATTACATGTTCATTATAAACAACATTTTTTAAAAGGGAGATTTTTCTAAGGCATTTGTATTTTTTGTTATGGTTGATGTGTTTGGCTTATTTTTATGTTTCCTGTTTTGATTTATTTCATGTTTCTTTTCATTGCTTTATTTTTAAAACATCGAAACCCTAAATAATTCTAACTATTAAAATTGGTAAGTTGACAGGTATTAATTAGCTTCTTTTCAGTCACCTCTTTGGTATCAGTTCTGCTGCAGCTGCCTTGTGTTTTTTCTCAGAGTCCCAGAGCTTTAGAGGTCGAATCTTGTTTTCTGCTTCCACAGCTACCACCTCTTACTGGCTTCATCGTTTTTGCCTCTCTCCTGATCCTCCAAGATATTTACCCACCTCCTTGATTTTTGTCCTAAAGCATCACTTTTGCTCTTAACCATTTTACTGTCGATTTCACTTTTTTGTTATTGGAATTTTAGCTTTCTAGTGTTTTGCTGAGTCTCAGCCTCTGAGCCAAGAGAGAGACCAGAAGAGACCATCAGGGAGGAATAAAGCCTGTTTCTGCCTTGTTTGGTTTTGGCCTGGCAGGTGTGTTTTGTGTTGCTAGCAAACCCTCTGGGCTTTACTGCTCTTCAGTTTTTAGTCCAGCCCCGTATTAGTAGAAGTTAATGAAAAATCTTCTGAGACTGTGGTAATAAAGTGACTGTGAGTCTAAGTTTTTGATACTATGAGATTTCATATTTTCTTAGAAGTGGGCAGATTTTAGAAAAGCATTGAGGGAGGTCCCCTCTGAAATCGCTAACAGTTATAGGTACTAGAATATCTTCTTCCACTATTATATAATCAGCTTTCTAATGTACTTTTCCACAAACATATTTTTAAGTAATAACAAAAACTATCAATATAGAGACTTCATGTTTTAGCAATCTTTCAATCTTGTTTTCTCATGAATTCTTTATAAACTATCCAATGCCATTCACTCACCTTTTTAATAGGCTTTTTAATAAGCCAGAGTGTTGTATCTTCTGCTAGCTGTCTGACCTTGTATAATTCACTTACTCACTGATGATTTGGGTTAACTCGATCCAGATAATGAGGTAATTACATTAAACTGATTTCTAAGATTTCTTAAAATAAAAAATTCCACACTTTTCTAAAACATCATACAAAATTGTGCTTGGGTTTAAAATTATACCCAAATTGGTCTCAAAACAAGCCAGCTTACAGAAATCACAGTTCTTGGCACTAATAAGCTGTCTTCCTTAGCAATTTCTTTTCATTGACCAGAAACTTCTGGCATTGTTCATAACCAAAATATGTCTGATCTGCTGCTTCTCACTGGTTAGGATGGTAAAATGAATGCATCATCACCAGATACACTTATCTATAAGACCTTTGCAATTGCCACTTCAATGACTTCTGCTGAGAACAGTGCATGGCTAACATATTAACCCACTCCTGGGGGACAAACAGGATCTTGCAGTGGGGAGGTAAGAGGAATCTTTAAAATTCTCTGAAGAGATAAAAGATAATAAAGAGATATTAATGATGCTAGAAACATGAAGTTATGATCTATACATATATGATCTCTTTCATGTACATACATTTCATATTGTTTTCCCTGCTATTCTACCCAAAAAGGAAAACATTTCTTTTTTTTTGCACCATTTATTTATATATATATGTATATATATATGTATATATATGTATATATGTATATATATGTATATATATGTATATATATATGCATGTATATATATATGTATATATACGTATATATATATGTATATATATATATACACACACACACATAAACACACACATTTTTAAATTTGTAGTTGTGGTAAAATACACAGAATGTAAAATTTACGAGACTAACCATTTCTTTTTTTTTTTTTTTTTTTCCGAGACAGAGTCTTGCTCTGTTGTTCAGGCTGGAGTGCAGTAGCATGATCTTGGCTCACTGCAACTTCTGCCTCCCAGGTTCAAGCAATTCTCCTGCCTCAGCCTCCCAAGTAGCTGGGATTACAGGTGGCCGCCACCATGCCCAGCTAATTTTTGTATTTTTGTAGAGATGGGATTTCACCATGTTGGCCAGGCTGGTCTCGAACTCCTGACCTCGTGATACTCCCGCCTCGGTCTCCCAAAGTGCTGGGATTACAGGTGTGAGCCACTGCGCCCGGCCAAGATTAACCATTTCTAAGGGTACAGTTCAGTGGTGTTAAATACGTCCACATGGTTATGCAACCATCACCACCATCCATCTTTATAACTCCTTACACTTTGCAAAACTGAAACTCTGTTTCCATTAAATAACCCCCCATTCTTCCCTCCCACCAGCCCCTGGCAACCACCATTCTACTTCCTATCTCTATGAATGTGGCTACTCTAAGTACCTATATAAGCAGGATCAGAAAGTCTTTGTCTTTTTGTGACTGGCTTATTTCTCTTAGCATAACGTTCTTGAGGTTCATCCATGTCGTAGCTTTTAAGGTTGAATATTCTATTGGGCGTATAGACCACATTTTGTTTATCCATTCATCCATTGATAGATATTTGGGTTGCTTCTACCTCTTGGCTATTGTGAATAACGCTGGTATGAACATGGGTGCACAAATACTTCTTTGAGATCCTTCTTTCAGTTCTTTTGGATAGCTACTCAAAAGTGGAATTGTGAGCTCATGTGATACATCTTTTTAACATTTTTTGAAGAACTTCCCTACTATTTTTCATAGTTGCTGTTGCATTTTATATTCCCACCAACAATGCACACGTTTTTAAAAATAGCACTAGTTATTTTCTGGTTTTGTTTTCTTTTTGAAGTAATATTATTATTTATACATACATTTTTTGTTTCAATAGCTCTTGAAGTACAAGTGGTTTTGGTTTCATGGATGAATAGTATAATGGTAAAGTCTGAGGTTTTAGTGCATCGGTCACTTGAGTAGTGTACCTTGTACCCAATATGTAGTTTTTTTATCCCTCACTATCTCTCCCACCCTCCCCACTTCTGAGTCTTCCATGTCCACTCTATCACTCTGTGTGCCTTCATGTCTTCATAGCTTAGCTCCCACTTATAAGTGAGAACATGCAGTATTTGGTTTTCTGTTCCTGAGCTAATTCACTTAGGATAATGGCCTCAGCTCCATCCAAGTTGTGCAGAAGATATTATTTTATTCTTTTTTATGGCTGAGTAGTATTCCATGGTGTATATATATATATATATATATATATATATGTGTGTGTGTGTGTGTGTATATATATGTATATATATGTGTGCGTGTATATATGTATATATATGTGTGTATATATGTATATATATGTGTGTGTATATATATGTATATATGTATGTGTGTGTGCATACATATATATATATATATATATATATATAATCCAAGATACATGGGAGGCTGAGGCAGGAGAATTGCTTGAACCCGGGAGGTGGAAGTTGCGGTGAGCTGAGATCATATCACTGCATTCCAGCCTGGGCTACCGAGTGAAACTCCTTCTCAGAAAAAACAAAAATAATAAAATAAAATAAAATGAATAATAAAATGAAATAATTTTAAATGTTAAAGAAAAGTTTTGCTGAAGATTTTAAAGTGTCACCTCCAAAAAATTTTTCAGAGTTCACAATGGGAATGATTTTAGCATCAAAGACGTTGTTTCCAGCCTGTAAAACACCATTTTTACCCACAATGAAGCTAAGTTTAATCCTCAGGAAAGTAGGGTTAGCACAGACCTGTGGTGTTTTAGTACCAGAGATTCTTGGAAATGACCTGTGAGATTTATAAAAAGCTTCCACCAGTGAATTTAGAGAGAGGCAAAATGAAATGTGTCCAACACCCTGCCCTGTCTGCATTTGTCTTGCAATGAAAAGGCCTTTAAATGAAAGCAGGTGTTGCTCTGCAGCTAGGTGAGACAGTGTTCATAAAATACACATTTATCTACTTGAAGGATGCAGGGCGTATGACCATTTACATCAAAGGCAGAGTTGGGGTACCCGGAGATCCTCAGCCAGGCTACACAGACACCCACAGGCCAGGATAGTTTTAAAACCAAAAAAAAAGTTGGTGAGAAAAAGTTTCAAACAAGAGGCCTCTGTTTTGAGGTGTTTTTTTCTTTTTGCAAATAAGAAATTTAGGCAATTTAAAATAAGAATAGAAAAAAGTAGCTACAAAGAAAAAAAGGTAGCTACAAAGAATAACATGTATTCACAATCTGTCAAGAGTTATCACTTTGTGAGCAAAACATTGTCCAGACTTTTTATTAAGGGGGTCTTAGACATTATCTAGTCTAACCCCTTTATTTCACACTTATTCTGGTCACAAACATTGATTCAGGCCTACTATACACCATGCAAAAGAGAAAATTGAGGCCAGAGGAGTTAAGTGGTTTTTCCAGCATCAGGCGGGATCTAATAGTTATCTATGTAGGTAACAAATTACTCAAAAATGTAGCAGCCTAAAACAACACACTTATTATTTCACAGTTTCTGTTGGGGAGGAATCTAGGCACAGCTTAGTTAGGTCTTGGCTTCAAGGTCTTCTCACATCCCTGCAATCAATGTATCAGCCAGGGATGGGATCTCATCTGAAGGCTCAAATGGGGAAGAGTCTGCTTCTGAGCTTATTTATGTAGTTGTTGGCAGAATTCTTATCTTTTAATGTTGATGAATTCAGGGCTTCAGTTTCTTGCTGAATATTGGGTTGAGGTATCTCAACAGTTTGTTTCATCTAACCCAGTAAGACAGTAAGCGTGCTGTCAAAATGAAAACCATCTTTTATAACCTAATCATGAAGCGACACTCTCCCCCATCAGTTTTGCCATATTCACCTGGTTAGGTAAGACAAGTCACTTGGTCCAGCCAACACTCAACAGGAGGGGATTCTATAAGGTCACAAACACCAGGAGGTTGGCATCACTGAGGGCTGCCTTAGAAGTTTGTCTACTACACAGAGAAAATGGCAGGACTTAAAAAATACTACTTTGTGTTCTCTGTGCTATAGGAAACAGACTTCAGGTACATAATAGGAAAATGAGTTTTTCTTTTTTCGAGCCATGTGGAGTGGTATCTGGAGAGAAATTCAGTCAATTTTCTTCAATATAATTAAATCAAAATTAAATTAATAATTTAATTTTCTTAATATCCCACCAATTGCTTAGTAGTTTAAGGAGGTAATCAAAAAGGTTTTCCATATACCAGTCATAATCCAAGGGGCCATTTCTTCTCACTCCCTACATTAATCTACTTCTATTAGGGTAACCATATAATGTATCATCCAAACCAGGGCACTTTGGGACGTGGAAGTAGGTACTATTAGTATTTACTTCAGAAACTACAGGAGTAATCCATGGTCATCTCTGGTAAACCTGGCCAAAGAGCCACCCTACTTATAGCCACAATGGAAAGCAATCCTGAGCCAACTTGGAAGTTCAAAGCTTGAGGGATGAGGAAAAAAACAGAGGCTTGCAATCAACCCTGACCATTGGTGAGGTTATAGGTCTGCAGCCAGATAACCCTGCCATCCTATATACCAGCTGGTTTCTCTGTGAGCCTTTTCATGCAATCAAGGAGCTCTGGAAGCCATGAAAGGGTCTTAAAGCTCTTTTATCACTTCCCTATGGTCACTTTTCATTTCTCTCCCTGTTGATTTCATGAACAAATATGAGGTGCGCCATGCCTCTTTCAGAGTTTTGTGATAGCTTTATTGTTCTTGAGCCCTTTTATTTCCATTTTAATATTTCAAAATACAGTCATGCAGGTTATATGGGCAAGTTTGCCCACTATTGATGTTTGAACAATGGAGTTATTTTTTGATATAACATTGGCACCATGTTTTCAACGGAAAACATTACTCCAGGATTTCAAATGCTTATTTATCAATGAAAACCTGAAATACCACGGTCTATTAGTTGTGCATTCCTCTTCCTCTTTTAACACTCATTCTATACACTTGCAAACTAAGCATATAGCAGGCATTCACAGAACTACTTGATTAATTAAAGGCAGTGAGCATTTGAAAGTATTTGTTAAAGCTCATGGAAATACTAACTGCCTGCAAAGGAAGCATTTATTTGATAAAAATATCTGTTGAAACGAATACTTTCTTTGAGAAACAAAGCTGGCAAAACATTTACTTTGTTTGAATCCATGTACTTACTACTTTAAATAGAGTTTTAAAACATGAAAATCATTTCTGTATGTACACGGCATCAATTAAAAGTGAGGTCTAGCAAAATCTCTCCTATAAAAGACTTTTAGGCTGGGTGTGGTAGCTCATGCCTGTAATCCCAGCACTTTGGGAGGCTGAGGCTGGTGGATCACATGAGGCCAGGAGTTCGAGACCAGCCTGGCTAACATGGTGAAACCCCATCTCTACTAAAAATACAAAAATTAGCCGGGCATGTTAGTACCTGCCTGTAATCCTAGCTACTCGGGAGGCTGAGGCAGGAGAATCTATTGGACCCAGAAGGCAGAGGTTGCAATGAGCTGAGACTGCGCCACTGCACTCCAGCGTGGGTGACAGAGCAAGACTCTGTCTCAAAACAAAAAGCAAAAAACAAAACCAAAAAACAAAGACTTTCTAAGAGTGAAGTACAGTCAGCCCTCTGTATCTGTGTGTTTCACATTTGTGGACTCAACCAACCATGGATTGAAAACATTTGGAAAGAAAACTGCATCTGTACTGAATATGTACAGACTTTTTTGGTCATTATTCCCTCAACAGTACAGTATAACTTTTTTTTTAACAAGAGAAAACCAAACATGTTTATTATCATGTGGAGTGCACATCACGTGCAAGAAATCTCAATGAAAAGTAACTCAAAGCAGTGGCTTAGTATTTTACAATATAATATCTAGGTTTTTTTGGTATAACAACTATTTATATAGCCTTTACATTGTATTAGATAAGTGATATAGAATAATATAAGTCATATAGAGATGATTTAAAATATATTGGAGGATTCCATAGGCTATATGCAAATATTATGCCATTTCGTATCAGGAACTTGGGCATCCAGGGATTTGGGTATCTGCAGGACATCCTGGAACCAAACACCAGAGGGACAGCTGTATACACATGACTGAGCTGTCCTCCGATGACACGTTCCAGAACAGCATGTCCATGTCTTAGCTGTCCACCGAGGCCTCTTCCTTGTTTTCCATCCAGTCAACTGTGGTAATCTTCACAGTTCCGTTTTCCCATCTCTCTGCACTTTTTCTTGACCACAAAAAGAATTCCATATTATATCTGATAAAATATTTCAAACTTTGTAAAAAGGCATATAATCAAATACATATAGCACTACCACTCCCCAGAGGCAACTATGGTTTAAAATTTAAAAAAAATGAATATTACTTTGATTGACAAATCATAATTGTATATATTTATGGGACAGAGTGTGATGTTTTGATATATGTACATAATGTGAAATGATTAAGTCAAGCTAATTAACATATCCATCACCTCAATTACCTATCAATTTTTATGGTGAGACATTTGAAATGTACTATCTTAGTTATTACACAGTACACTATTATGGATTATAATCACCCTGCTGTGCAGTAGCTCTCAGAGCCTATTCCTCCTGTCTATCTGAAACTTTCTATCTTTTGATCAGAAATTACTGTTCCCTCCCTCCTCACCCCCTTCCCTCAGTCTCTGGTAACCATCATTCTACTCTCGACTTCTATGAGTTCAACTTTTGTAGATTCTACATATAAGTGAGATCATGCAGTATTTGTCTTTCTATGTCTGGCTTATTTCATTTGGCATAATGCTCTCCAGATTCATCCATGTTGCAAATGACAGGATTTTCACTCTCTTTTAAGGCTGAATAGTATTCCATTGTGTATATATACCTTATTTTCTTTATCCATTCATTTGTTAATGGACATTTAGTTTGATTCCATATTTTGGCCATTGTGAGTAATGCTGCAATGAACCTAAAAGTGAACATTTTTTTCCCCTGACATATTGACGTTAGTAGTTCTTTTGAATATATACCCAGAAGTGGGACTAATGAATCATGTGATAGTTCCATTTTTAGGTTTCTGAGGAATCTCCATACCATTTTTTATAATAACAAATTTAAATTCCCACCACCAGTATATAAGAGTTTCCTTTTCTCTCCATCTTTGCTAACACCTGCTTTTTCTTTCTTTCGCTCTCTCTCTTTTTTTTTTTTTTTTTGACACAGGGTCTGTCTCTGTCACCTAGGCTGGAGTGTAGTGGCGTGATTTCAGCTCACTGCAGCCTCCGCCTCTCGGGTTCAAGGGATTCTCGTACCTCAGCCTCCCAAGCAGCTGGGATGACAGGCGCCCACCACCATGCCTGGCTAATTTTTGTATTTTTAGTAGAGATGGGGTTTCACTATGTTGACCAGGCTGGTGTTGAACTCTTGGCCTCAAGTGATCCTCCTGCCTCGGCCTCCAAAAGTGCTGGGATTACAGGCATGAGTCACTGTGCCTGGCCAGTTTTTTTCCTTTTTGATAAAAGCTGTACTATACTAATAGGTGTGAGGCAACATTTCATGGTAGGTTTTTTGTTTGTTTGTTTGTTTGTTTGTTTTTTTTTTGAGACAAAGTCTCACTCTGTCACCTAGTCTGGAGTGCAGTGGCTCGATCTCAGCTCACTGCAACCTCTGCCTCCCAGGTTCAAATGATTCTCCTGCCTCAGCCTCCTGAGTAGCTGGGATTATAGGTATGTGCCACCACGCCTGGTTAATTTTTGTGTTTTTAGTAGAGATGGGGTTTCACCATGTTGGTCAGGGTGTTCTTGAACTCCTGACCTCTTGATCCGCCCACCTCGGCCTCCCAAAGTGCTGGGATTACAGGTGTGAGCCACCGCGCCCGGCCTCCTTGTAGTTTTAATTTGCATTTCCCTCATGCTTAGTGATGCTGAGATTTTTTTCATGTGCCTTTGGCCATTTGTATGCCTTCTTTTGAGAAATGTCTGTTCAGAACTTTTCCCCATTTAAAAAAATCAGATTATTTGTTTCCTTGCTATTGAGTTGTTTTGGTTCCTTATATATTTCAGATATCAAGCCTTTAACAGATGTATGGTTTGCAAATATTTTCTCCCACTCTGTGGGTTGTCTCTTCACTTTTTTTTTTTTTTTTTTTTTTTTTTTTTGAGACGGAGTCTTGTTCTGTTGCCCAGGCTGGAGTGCAGTGGCGCGATCTCGGCTCACTGCAAGCTCCGCCTCCCGGGTTCACACCATTCTCCTGCCCCAGCCTCCCGAGTAGCTGGGGCTACAGGCACCTGCCACTACGCCGGGCTAATTTTTTTGTATTTTTAGTAGAGATGGGTTTCACCGTGTTAGCCAGGATGGTCTCAATCTCCTGATCTCGTGATCTGCCATCTCGGCCTCCCAAAGTGCTGGCATTACAGGCGTGAGCCACCGCACCCGGCCCTCTTCACTTTTTTATTGTTTCCTTTGAGGTGCAGAAGCTTTTTAGTTTGATGCTGTCCTATTCGTCTATTTTTGGTTTTGTTGCCTGTGCTTTCAGGATCATATCCAAAGAAATCTGTTTCACAATCCAATGTTGTGGAGCTTTCCTCTTATGTTTTCTCCTAGTAGTTTTACAGTTTCAGGTCTTATATTTAAGTCTTCAGCTATTTTGAGTTGGTTTTCATACATGATGTGAGACAAGGGGCTAATTTCATTCTTCTGCATGTGAATATCCAGCTTTTCCAACACCATTTATTGAAGAGACTGTCCTTTCCCCACTGTGTGTTCTTGGGACCTTTGTCAAAAATCAATTGACTGTAAATGTGTGGGTTTATTTCTGGGCTCTCTAGCCTGTGCCATTAGCTGACATATCTGTTTTTACAGAGGCAACCATTATCAACAATTTCTTATGTAGCCTTCCTGAATTTTTCTATGTATATACAAGCATATAAACATTTATATATATATATTTCTTTTTTCTTTCTTTCTTTTATTCTTTTGTTCTTATTTACACAGAGGGGAGAATGCTATCATACTTAAAAAAATACTCTTTACAGTATAGTTGGAAGATCTTTCCATATCAATGCTTGCTGTTGGTCTCCCTCATGTTTAGCAATGCTCCAAGTATTCCACTAACGGGTGTACCATATTTAACATGGCCAGTCCTAAGCCCTTAAATTGTTTTCTGTTACTAAAAACTTGCTGTTGTGTACATCATTTATCTCTGTGTATGAGTACAAGTGTATTCATTTGTAAATCTCTGGAAGTAAAATTGCCAGGTCAAAAAGTATATACATTTTTATTGTGCTAAATATTGTTAAGCTGAGTCCATTTACACCGAAGATATCTCCAAACACAGAACCAACTTACACTTCCATCTGCAGAGAATACACATCTTATTTCGCTCCTTAACTTGTGTGTCATCAAACTAGCTCCTCAGTTTCCTAGGTGACAAGCTTTCCTTTTTTTCTGAGTTGATTTTCTGGAATTATGACTGTGGCCAAGTATCTTTTCATATATTTGTATTCCATTTAGATTTCATTTTTCTGGGAACTACATGTTTTCATGCAGTTAATCCTTGCCCATTTTTCTATTAGACTCTTGTTTCTCCACTACCCACCCCCTACAATCTGAAAAGTTCCGCTAGCTTTGAGTTGTGCGTTTATATACATATATACCAAATCCTGGATCAAGAGTTCTTAGGAACAATCTAACCACCATAATGTTCTTATATACGGTTTTTACTACCCTTTAGCTATTATGGCTCTGGGCTTTAAAAAATACACAAGGTCTGTCTTTTACAGAATGGATTTCAATTTTTAACATCAGCGCTTAGGAAGGCCTCTCTCCCATCTTTCCTTAATGAAGTGCGTGTGCTCAGCACGGCACACAGCTTTCTGGTTCTATGAAGACATGAACTCGGGTCCTGGTTTTCATTGGTTCTCTCTGCGTTGCTGTCAAATACTGTGATGATAATAAAAATAATTCTGTGCTTCACTTTGAAGTGTTAAAGTTGGGAGTCACTTGGAGAGGCTGATTTTTATCTGGCCAATGTGGTGCGGGTTTATGAAACTGGGACGTGGGGGTTTGTCTTGATCTAGCTAATGCGACTCTTCAGAGAGGCTATGTAAATAGAAAATATTTATCCATTCGTTTGATTTATATATTTTCTTAAACGTCATGATTTACATTCCGGTTCTCTATCTCTCCTTATGTTGCTTTCTGAGAAATGCAAAACCCGTGGGGAGAGAGAACTGTATTTCAGGATCTGGCTTTTGGGAGATTTTCAAATGTAATTCCCATTAGTATCTTTGGAGGCGGGGCTGCCCAGTCCTTCCTAAGCCAGCCAAATGTCTGGAGGGTAATGGATTATCTTCCTCTCAGCGGACTCCATGGGAGATATTCTCAATGGTTTATGCATTCTGGCTGGAAAATGCTCCCTGCAGACATGAGGGGAAAATTCTTCCTGTGTTCCCCAACAGAGGTCCACGGGGATTGCATCTGGCTCACAAAGTGTAAACCCCGTGTACTGTAAAGAGAAGATCAAGGGCAGCGTTGGCACTAAGTGGTTGTTCAAAAGGTTCCAACTGTTATAAGTTTTCAAAAACAGAGAGTGAGTGCTTGTTGCTTTAGCCTCAGGGAATACTTGAAGAAGGTGTCTTTAAACACCTCCTTAAAATGCCCAGATTTTAGCAGGAAGAAAGAAGACCATAGTGGGAACAAAGCTATCGGTTTCACTTTTGGCTAAGAAAATAGAAAGGCAGGAAAAAACAAAACAAAACAAAACAAAACAAATCTTCCGGAGCAAGCTTTTATGATCCTCTGTGCAGAAGATATTTTCAAATTGAAAGCCAAACAATGGGGAACCAAAAAATTATTTGGTACTCAAAAATACTTCCTTGACATAGAATCATATTGTGCTAGAGTTTAGGTGTCTGTAACATTTTTTGTGATGAAGCAACTGGTAAGCTTAGTAAATGAATAATGTGCTTTTGGAAAATCAGCAAGAAAATCTTTGAGAGCAATCCAAAGAAACAAAAGAGCTTTCTAAAAAAATCTTTGGGGTGGAGTTGTTTCTGTATCTCAAATCTTGGATCAGGAATATTGGAAGATTGATACTATTACTCAGTGTGCATTAACCAATGTAACTTTATCACGTAATGTTTTTCTGGTTGTTCTACAGAGCTTAAAGGACAAAAGGTTAGCAAACACTTAAATTACTGGTCACATTAAGCTTTTGTTTTGTGATCCTTAGGCTCAGGGGAGGCCTACAATTGGGGTTTGAGTAGATAAAAGGCAGATTCAGGGAATTATTTATTTTGCTTATTTTTTTTCCATCTGGGCTTCCACATTAATTGAATGGATTCATTTGGTGCCATTTTCTTTCCCTTTAGAATTTTGGTCATGAAAATTAAGAATCATAATTCTAATATCTCACACAGTCGGTGAGTAATGGCAGAATGCTTTATGGCTCTGACCTTTCTAGTTTTCTAAGTTTTGATTTGCTGAGTTCTTTCCTCTTCTTTCTTGCAGTTTACTTATTATGATTATTAATGAGGAAGCAGAAAAATGGCCATTCAGTCAAACTTTAGGGAATGGAACATAATAAACGGTCTCTGTCTGGGATCTAACATTTGCCCCTAAATACGGTAATTATTAGGTTGCCTGATGATGTGCTGAATTTTACAAGGCTCTTATTAGGGAAAGAAAAAGAACATAATAAATCCACTAATGTGGGTAATGACTGGTATGGAAATTGAAAATGGTTCAAAATTAACCCACTCTTTTTTTCCATCTTCTAAATGCTCCCTGGGTCTTAGTATTATTCATCATATAAGTATGCTTGTTTTTCTCTCATTTTGACTAGTCCTACATTGCCAAGAAGCTCCAGAATTATTTGCAATTAAGTGCTGTCTGGCTTTACACAGGCATTGCCAACACATTGAACAGAATCTGATAAAAAAATAACAAACCTACATTAGTAGATTGATACACAAACAGCCTGTAAGGCCTTTGTGTCTTACTTATTGTTAGTTCCCTCACACACTGAGCAGTGGGAACAGGGAGGCTTACGGTAAGTGGGAGCTCTTAGCGTCGCCACTAGATACTCAATGATGCCTGCCGAAGGGTTACTTAGCTTAGTTTTCTCTTTGGGCTTTCCCACTTTTGTGTGATAAAAGGCAATCTTAGAGTAAATGCAGGACTTTTGATGTGCCTTTTAAAGAAGCCAAAAGACAATGGGTAAAGTGGGGTGTGATGAAGATTGTGCAGGGAGACTATGAAGGAATGTGTTCTATTCTGTAGCTTAAAAAATATTGGAGGCGTGAGTCTTCACTATTTGCGACGCTATTGTCTAACTTCCAGCTTGCATAAAACACTGCATTTATAAAATACATTTTTCGTAATACATTGGATGCCTTTCTAAAATGTAGTTATTTATTGAGGATAAAATTGAAAAAAATGAAGTATGATTGAAAAGAGACTTTGATGTCATCCCAAATCTCTCTTCCTTCTATTTAAACACCTTCTATTGGTGTTTAAATTTTTTTTAAAAGCTTAATTGAAATAAAGATATAACTCTACTAGGAGCAAATTCCAGCTCTACACAACAAAATAAAAATAAAAAACAAGTATTTAAAATAAATAGAAAAGTATGTCTATTCAACAAATGGTTTGGGATTTATTGGGATAAATTGACTCACTATTCAGAAGACAATAAAGCTAGACTCCCACTTGATACCATGTATGTAAGTAGATTCCAGATGGCTTAAAATGTTAAACATTGAAAATAAACCCAAAGAACTATCAGAAAAAAATACAGGCATTTTTTTCTTAAACCATAACCTGAGGAAGAGAAGACCTTAATAAGCAAGATACAAAACTCAACAAAACAAAAAGCCTCTGTGTGATACCATAAATAAAATTTAAAAATCATGTAACAAACTGGAAGGAAATAGTTATGTAATAGACAAATGATTAATTTTCAAATCTATAAAGTGTGCCTATTAATTAATAACAAATTATCAAGAAACCGTCAGAATAATATACACAGGAAACAAATAGTTCATTCACACTAGAAATACAATAATGGTCAATCAACTGAAGAATTCTGAGCCTCATTTCATTAGTCATCAGGTAAAATAATGAAATACCGCGTATTACCTATCATTGGTAAAGATGGAAAGGACTTATGTGTCCAGCATTGTTAAATATGAACAAAATAATACTAATGAGGCCTTTTTGAAAGGTAGTTTTATGATCTCTGTCCAAATTAAAAGTTAATGATATGTTTTGAGATTCCTCTTCTAGTAACATTGCCTAGTGAAATATTCACACGTGTGCACAAAGATGTATGTGCAAGGCTGTGCAAAGCTGTTCACCAAAGTGGTCTATGTAAGTGTAAAACACTGGGGTACTAGTTTGCTAGGGCTTCTGTGATGACAGATTGGGTGGCGTAAGCCCCAGAACTTTATTTCCTCACAGTTCTGGAGGCTAGAAGTCCAAGAATAAGGTGTTGGCAGAGTTGGTTTCATTCTGAGGTCTCTCTCCTTGGCTTGTAGATGGCTGACATCTGTCTCTGTCTTCACATGGACTTTCCTCTGTGTGTTTCTGTGTCTGAGTCTCCTCTACTTACAAGGATATTGGTCATATGGATTAGGGTTCACCCCAATGACTTATTTAACCTTGATTACCTCTTTAAAGACTACGTATCCAAATAAGGCCACATTCTGAGGTTTGGAGGGGTTAGGACTCAACATGTGAATTGTGAGGGAGGGGACACAATGTAGCCTGTAGCATATGAAAACACACTTAATGTAAAATAGGAAGTGATTATGGTTCATTCAGGCTATATACTAGTATATAGTCATTAATAAGAATGAAGTAGACCAATGTAGGATTTACAAAATATTGTTAAGTGAAAAAAGAGTCACAGTGTATAGGTGTATAGTATGATTCCATTAATATAAATAGAATAAGAAGAGAAATGGATTTGAGTACTTATCAGTGTATATTTTGAGAGAAAGAGAGAATTGGAAGGGTGAACACCAAAATATTGGGAGTCGTTGCTTTGGGGAAGAGGTGGAAATGGGGTCAGGGTGGAGGGAAGGGTAGCGGATAAAGGGTGTTTTTTATTTTTCTCGGCATACTCATATTTGCTTGGATATTTTACCATGGGAATACAATTTTAACTTAGAAAATGACATGTACACATACACAAAAGGAAATTTCAAGTTTTTTGTTCGACAAAAGAAAACTTATAACTATTTAACTTACTAGATGTTTTAAAAATTCCATTCTCTACAGAGTTGAGAGCAGCCCTAATTCAGTTTCTCTGCTCTCTGCTATTTGCTTTCATGGGGAATGTGGATCAGTGCTCTGATCAACTAGCAGAATGACTTTAAAGGACAAAATGCCAAAGAGAAGCCAGAGAAGGCTTCACTGGGGCATCACTGAGGAAGGTGGTGGGGAA
Source organism: Homo sapiens (assembly GCF_000001405.40). Taxonomy (NCBI): domain Eukaryota; kingdom Metazoa; phylum Chordata; class Mammalia; order Primates; family Hominidae; genus Homo; species Homo sapiens. The sequence goes on along the minus strand of NC_000007.14, from coordinate 28,900,650 downwards.
AGAGCTAGCTTGCTAGCAGGGCAAGGCCCTGATGAGAGCATGGCAATTGCTGTCTTTCTGGTTACTCTCCACCTCCCCCTGGCCTGGGATCCCAAGAGCTGTCAGAGAGGGGATTGGGGGCAGCAGCTGGCCCTGAGCTAAATCTTCAGAATTGGCTGGGGATTAAGCCCCACCTGTTGGGAAGCTCTGAACTGGAGCTCAGCAGGAAGTTATACTGGTGAATAGGGAGACAAAGAGTGGCAAAACTTCAATCCCTATCCTCTGTAGTCTGAATGTTTCTTGTCGCTCTCAAAACCTTAGATCTAAATATGACACTCAGTCATTATCACACATACCATAGTTTAAGTAAGAGCAAGTATAAATGACTGGTTTGTTCAACTGAATGTGGCTTCGAAGGTGCACTCCAAAGAGTTTTCCTCCCATATAGAGTATACTATATACTCTCTTCTTACCACAGGGAGAAGAGTTGGGAAGACAAGCTCTGAGTGTCATAATGTGAAGATTCTTGGGAGATAAGTCAATTTGCAACCCAATATTTTTAAAAAAAAGTGTCATGGTGGATAAATGTGTCAGGATTGTGGAGCTTTCAAAGAAAGTGGGCTTTCAACGATGACTTCTGGGGCATGGTAGGCTGGGGAAATCAGAGAGGTGGCCAGGAGTTACAGTGAAATAATCAGAAAGAGGGAGATTGTTTCTGGTAAAAGAAAATCCAGAACAAAGGCTCAGTTATGAGAGTGTGGACTAGTGAGAAGGGCTTGCACAAAGAAAGCTGGAAGGTGCTCACTGGGGAGGAATAGAGTTGCTGATAGAAAGTGCTTTGTTCTTTTTCTGCCCCTTTTCCTCCATATGAAAGTATCAGACATGATACTGGTCACCCACCTTAAAAGCATGGTGAAAATTCATGGATTCAATCTCGAATGTACTGTGAAATATTAATTCCCTTATTTACATTTATTGCTGTTTTTATTTTATGATGATTATTAGAATTTTCCCTAATTTCATGGAGCAATACGGCAGCCGCCACTTCTACAGACTCATGGGGAGAAAAGTCTGCTTTGCCAGGTGCCCTTGATGTTATCCAGCATGGACGAGGGGCCACATCCTAAAAGGAGGGGTTTTCAGAAACAGATGAAGTGAAAAGACCAACCCAGATTTTCCATTTGTAAACTCTTCTCAAAATCACAAGAAATGGAAATGAAGAGATGTACTAAAAGTAAATGTCTCCTAGGTAAATCGCATGACCTATTCCCAAACCCAATCATATTCTGTAAGAGAAATTACCCAGCTTTACTCTGATATAATCTCATTCAGTATCCCTTAGCATTCACCCCATTTAGGCAGCATTCATATGCAATAGAGCATTAATTAGAATAGATTATGCTTAACTAATGAACAGACACCTTTAGAGTATTAATAAGGTAAATCTGGTCCCAGGCCATCTTTCTTTCTTTTCAAAAAACATTTATTGAAGTATAATATGCATATTGTGCAGTGCACAAATCTTAATAAACTCAATGGACTTTTAACAAAGTGGATGCATCTATGTCACCACCACTCAGATCAAGATACAGACCATTCTTATCTCCTAAGGGGGCTTGATCATGTTTCTTTCTTTTTTTTTTTTTTTAAGATGGAGTCTCACTCTGTCGCCCAGGCTGGAGTGCAGTGTTGTAATCTCAGTTCACTGCAACCTCCATCTCCTGGGTTCAAGCGATTCTCCTGCCTCAGACTCCTGAGTAGCTGGGACTACAGGCATGTGCCACCATGCCTGGCTAATTTTTTGTATTTTTAGTAGAGATGGGGTTTCACCGTGTTAGCCAGGATGGTCTTGATCTCCTGACCTCGTGATCTGCCTGCCTGGGCCTCCCAAAGTGCTGGGATTACAGGCGTGAGCCACTGCGCCCGGCCTTGATCATGTTTCTTTTCTAGGCATTTTCTCTTAAAGGTAACCATGATTCTGACTTCTACCATCGTGATTAATCTTGCCTGATTCAGAATTTTCTTAATCATATAGTTATGGGCTTTTGCATCTGATTCCTTCATTCAGCACCACATCTGTGAGAGTCATTCATGTTGTTATGTGAGGTCGTAGTTCATTCTTTTTTGATAATTCTATAGCATTCCATTGTGTGACTATACAAGCCAATATATCTCTCCATTCTATTGTTGATATGCATTTAGGTTTGTTTCTGCCTTTGGGATCAGACTGTTCTAATCTGTCATGTACATGTCTCTTGGTGAACATATGTAGACATTTCTGTTGGGTGCAAATGTAGGAGTGGAATTTCTGGGTCATCAGGTGTATGTGTGTAAGCTTTAGTGGATATTGCCAAAAAATTTTTCCAAAGTGGTTGTACCAATTTGTACTCCATTCACAGAATATGAGAACTCTACCTCCTTGCCAACATGAGTTATTATCATCCTATTTAAAACAATACCTTAGTAGGTGTGTAGCATCTTCTTGGAGCTTGAATTTGTATTTTGCTGATGGCTAATGATGTTGAGCACCTTTTTGTATGCTTATTGGCCATTTGGGTATTTTCTTTTGGGGTTTGGGCAATAATTTCAAAGGACTCAACACTGAATGCCAAAATCCCATATGCTGAAATCCCAAAAGATCAAAATTCCTAAAGTCTAAAATTTCAAAAATCAGAATCCCAAAAGACCAAAACCTTGAAAATATAATTCTGGAAAAAATAATTATAAAAAAATTTTTCATAACACATTTATTTGCATTTATAAAAGGGGATTTGTTTAAGAAACCAAAAACAACAGAATACTTCATAGGCCACTTTACATAATAAAATAGATAATAATAACATACATATTTTTGCAAATATAAACAGGTATACTAATGGCAGTCACACAGGTGTAAAAATGATGAGCAGGTAAACCATATTTGTAAAGAAATAAGTCAACAAGCAAAATGTACAGGCATAGCTCATTTTATTGCACTTCACTTTATTGTGTTTCACAGATATTTGTGTTTTTTACAAATTGAAGGATTGCAGCAAACCTTCATCTAGCAAATCTGCCAGCACCATTTTTCCAACAGCATGTGCTCATTTCATGTGTTTGTGTCACAATTTGGTAATTCTTACAATACTTCAAACTTTTTACTCCTATGATATCTCTTATGGTAATCTGTGATCTTTGATGTTATTGTAATTGTTGTGCGGCATCACGAACCGCACCCATATAAGATGGTGAACATAGTCTATAAATGTTGTGTGTGTTCTGATTGCTCCACCAACCAGCTGTTCCCGCAACTCTCTCCCTCTCGTCAGGCCTCCCTATTTACTAGGATATAACAATATTAAAATTAGGGCTGATCTATACCCCTACAATGGCCTCTAAGTGTTCAAGTGAATGGAAGAATTGCACATCTCTCACTTTTGATCAGAAGCTTGAAATTATTAAGCTTGATGAGGAAGGTGGCATGCCAAAAGCTGAGACAGGCTGAAAGCTAGGCCTCCTGGGCCAAACACTTAGCTAAGTTGTGACTGTAGAGGAATAGTTCTTGAAGAAAATTAAAAATGCTACTTTAGTGAACACATGAATAATAAGAAAGTAAAATAGGCTTATTGCTAACATGGAGAAAGTTTGAGTGGTTTGGATAGAAGATCAAACCATCTACAACATTCCTTGAAGCCAAAGTCTAATCCAGAGCAAGGCCCTAACTCTTTTTGAATCTATGAAGGCTGAGAGAGGTAAGGAAGCTGCAGAAGAAACATTTGAAGCTAGTAGATGTTGTTCCATGAGGTTTAAATAAGGAAGTGGTCTCTATAACATAAAACACAAGGTGAAACAGCAAGCGTTGATGGAGAAGCTGGAGCAAGTTATCCAGAAGCTCTAGCTAAGATAATTGATGGAGGTGACTACACTAAACAACAGACTTTCACTGTAGATGAAACAGCCTTCTGTTGGAAAAAGATGCCATCTAAGACTTCCATAGCTAGAGAGGAGAAATCAGTGCCTGACTTCAAAGCTTCAAAGGACAGTCTGACTCTCTTGTTAGGGGCTAATGCAGCTGGTGAATTTAAATGGAAGCCAGTGCTCATTTATGATTCTGAAAATGCTAGAGCCCTTAAGAATTATGCTAAATCTACTCTGCCTGTGCTCTATAAATGGAACCACACCTGGATGATAGCACATCTGTTTTCAGCATGGTTTACTGAATATTTTAAGCCCACTGTAGAGACCTATTGCTCTGATCAAAATATTCCTTTCAAAATATTACTACTCACCCAAGAGCTATCATCCTAGAGTTCTGATGGAGATCTACAAGGAGGTTAATATTTTCATGCCTGTTAAAACAACATCCATTCTGCCTCCCATGGATCAAGGAGTCATTTTGACTTAAGTCTTACTTAAATACATTTTGTAAGGCTATAGCTGCCGTGGATAGTGATTCTTTTGATGAATTTGGGAAAAGTCAATTGGAAACCTTCTGGAAAGCATTCACCAGGCTGGGCGCAGTGGCTCACACCTGTAATCCCAGCACTTTGCCAGGCCAAGATGGGCGGATCACCTGAGGTCATGAGTTTGAGACCAGCTTGGCCAACATGGCAAAACCCTGTCTCTACTAAAAATGCAAAAATTAGCTGGGTGTGGTGGTGGGCGCCTGTAATCCCAGCTACTCGGAAGGTTGAGCCTGGAGATTTGCTTGAACCCACAAGGCAGAGGTTACAGTGAGCCAAGATGGCTCCATTGCACTCCAGCCTGGGCGACAAGAGTGAAACTCTGTCTCAAGGAAAAAAAAAAAAAAGATTCATCATTGTTGGTGCCATTAAGAACATTTATGAGTCAAAAGAGGAGGCCAGAATATCAATAATGATAGAAGTTTGGAAGTTGATTCCAATCTTCATGGATGACTTTGAGTGATTCAAGACTTCAGTGAGGGAAGTCACTGCAGATGTTATAGAAATAGCAAGAGAACTAAAATTAGAAGTGGCACCTAAAGATGTGACTAAATTGCTGTAATCTTAGATAAAATTTGAAGGGATGAGGAGATACTTCTTATAAGTGAGAAAAGAAAGTGATTTTTTGAGATGGAATTTACTCCTGGTGCAAATTCTGTGGACATTGTTGAAGTGACACCAAAGGATTTAAAATATTACATAAACTTAGTTGATAAAGCAAGGTTTGAGAAGATTGACTCCAATTTGGAAAGAAGTCCTACTGTGGATCAAATGGTATCAAAAAGTATAATATGCTACAGAGAAATCTGCCATGAAAGGAACAGTCAATTGCTGCAGCCAACTTCATTGTTGTCTTATTTTTAGAAATTGCCGCAGTAATTCCAACCTTCAGCAACCAACACTCTGATCAGTCAGCAACCATCCGCATCAAAGCAAGACCCTCCACCAGCAAAGATTACAACTTGCAGAAGGCTCAGATGATCATTGGCATTTTTAAACAATTAAGAAATTTTAAATTAAGGTATGTACACTTTTTAAAGACAATGCTATTTCACACTTAGACTACAATATAGTGTAAACATAAATTTTATATGCACTGGGGAACCAAAAAGTTTGTGTAACTTGTTTTATTTTGGTGGCCTGAGACTGTATCCATGATATCTCCAAGGTATGCCTATATAGATGCATATCATTATGGTTGGTAATTGTGTGCATTGAGTTTATAATGCAGTCATTTGAAATACCATGACGTAAGTCTTTTGATGAGATAGATAAAAAACTATGATGGGTCACCCCTGCATGTGCAGTTGCCCGAGGTTGGAAGATCTCAAGAAATTTTATCTTTCGCAAATACGGATGTACAAAAGGACATCTCTTCATTTGTTGAGGAAGTTTCAACGTTCTTATGAGTGCACGCAGCTCTTATGCACAAAATCAACATTGTGATCGTGCACTTTTATGGAGCCAAATTTGCAAAAAACACATAAAACAAATGAGAACTCTCTAAAGGTCTTAACATAATGTATACCTCTAATATTGGAAATGATGTGAAGACGAAATGCATAGTATAGTGAATTGACCCTATGTGTGAAGGGGCAGAAGTCCTACACAGTTGAGTAACTTGGAATGAGAGGTTTTTTTTGTCTTTTTCGCCTGAGTTTTCACTTCTTTTGTGATCTTCAAAACACTCACTGCACTTGTATTTGGAGAGTTTATGTGGTCTACACATTTTCTAAATATATGCTGTCCATTTGAAAGTTTGATTATGGCTCAGCTGTTACAATTAAGCAATTTCTGCTTTTGCAGTACCAATAATAATTAGCTTTAACAGTTTTGTCCTTCCCCATTAAAGAGCTACATATGCTTAATTTATAAGAGCCTTTTTGCAAGGGAAAATTTCACAGATCTCTTCCACTGTGTTGGAAGAAATAAAGTAAGAAGGAATTATATTTACTTTTTCTAACACCAAATTTGTATTAGTCACTGTTCTCCAGAGAGACAGAACTAATAGGATATCTATTTATCTACATAAACATATGATGCAATTATGGTGGCGGAGAAGTGCCACGACAGGCCACTCTCCAAAAGCTGGAGACCTGTGGGATCCCGCTGGTAGGGTGGCTGTGTCCAAATCTGACGGCCTCAAAACCAGGGAAGCGGATGGTGTAACTCTCAGCCTGAGGCTAACAGCCTCGAGACCTGCAGGGACTGCTGATGTAAGTTCTTGAGTCCAAAAGCCAGCTATCCTGGAGTTCTGATGTATAAGGCAGCAGAGGAAAAGTTGGTCCCAGCTCACAGAAAAAGACCCATTTTGCTTTCTGCATTTGCTCTCTCTGGACTCCCAGCCAATCAAATGGGGCCTCCAACAGTAAGGCCAATCTTCCCCTCCTAGTCAATCAGACTTATAGACTAATCTCCTCTGGACACACCCTCACAGACGCACCCAAAACAACACTTTACCAGGTTTCTGGGTTTTCGTTAATCCAGGCAAGTTGACACAATTAAAGTTTGAGAGTCAAGAAGTTGTGCATATCTCAACCAAAATAATTGTATAGAAAACCACACCTAGACACATCAAAGTAAAACTGCTGAAAAGCAAAGAGAAAGTTTACAATAAATTAGGATGAAGAAAACAACAAAAGTAAAAGCCAAAATCAATGAGATAAATATTCAAAAGTGGAAATTGACAAAGCCTAAAGTTGATTTTTAAAAATATTAGTGAAATTATAAAAACTTCAGAATTGCTTTGGCTATTTGGGGTCTATTATGGTTCCACATAAATTTTAGAATTATTTTTTCTGTTTCTATGAAGAATGCCATTGGGATTTTGATAGGGATTGCACTGAATTTTACATATTGCTCTAAGCCGTATGTTCATTTTAACAATATTCTTGCAATCCACAAGATTGGTATCTTTCCATTTATTTGTGTCCCCTTCAATTTCTTTCATCAGTGTTTCATAGTTTTCAGTGTATACATCTTTCACTTCCTTGGTTATATTTATCCCTAAGCATTTTATTTTATTTTATTTTGATGCTATTGTAAATGAGATTATTTTCTTGATTTCTTTTCAGCTAGGCTGTTATTTGTATCTAGGAATGTCATGGACTTTTGTACATTAATTTTGCATCCTGTAACTTTATTGAATTTATTTATTAGTTGTAACAGTTTTCTGCTGGAGTCTTCGGGGTAGTCCACATTTAGAATCATGTTATTTGCAAACAGAGATAATTTTATTTCTTTATTTCTGATTTAGACACCTTTTATTTCTTTTTCTTGTCTCATTGTTGTTTTATCAATTTTTCATTGATATATAATAATTGCACATATTTATGTGGTATATATGATAATTTGATACATACATACAATGTATAATGAGCAAATCAGGGTAATTAGGATATCCATCACCTCAAACATTTATCATTTCTTTGTATTGGGAACATTCCAAATCTTTTCTTCTAGCTATTTTGTAATAGACAAAAAATTGCTGCTAACTATGATCATTCTATTGAACAGTATAATTTATTCTTTATATATATAACTGTATTTTTATACCCTTTAACCAACCTTTCCTTTTTCCTCTCCTTCCCCTGAACCCATCGTTCCCAGCCTCTGGTAACAATCAGAATCTGGTAACTTTCTATTTCTAACTAATTTTAGACTCTCAGAAAAGTTTGCTTTCAACCTTTAGAAGATCAACTTTTTAGCTCCCACATATGAGTGAGAACGTGTGATATTTGTCTTTCCATGCCTGGCTTATTTCATTTAACATAACGACATCTCGTTCCATCCATGTTGCTGCAAATAACAGGATTTCACTCTTTTTTATGTCTGAATACTTTTTTATTGTGTGTGTGTGTGTGTATGTATATATGTGTATATATGTATATATATTTTTCGATTTGATTTTTGTATATGGAGAGAGATACAGATCAAGTTTCATTGTTCTGCATATGCATATCCAGTTTTTCCAGCACCATGTATTGAAGAGATTGTCCTTTCTGCAATGTATTTTCTTGGCACTTTTGTAAAAAATCAGTTGGCTCTAAGTGTGTGGATTTATTTCTGGGTTCTCTATTGTGTCCCATTGGTCTATGTGTCTGTTTTTATGTCAGAACCATGCTGTTTTGGTTACTATAGCTCTAGTATATTTTGAGGTCAAATAGTTACAGCTTTGTAACTTTTGCTTTAGCAAAAGTAACTTTGTAACTTTACTTTGCAAAGTAACTTTGTAACTTTACTTTGCAAAGTTACTTTGTAACTTTACTTTGCAAAGTTACTTTGTAACTTTACTTTGCAAAGTTACTTTGTAACTTTACTTTGCAAAGTTACTTTGTAACTTTACTTTGCAAAGTTACTTTGTAACTTTACTTTGCAAAGTTACTTTGTAACTTTGCTTTAGCAAAAGTAACTTTGTAACTTTGGCAAAAATCTTTGTAACTTTGTAAGTTACAAAGATGCTTACAGCTTTGTTCCTTTTGCTTTAGCTATTGAGGTCTTTAGTGGTTCCACAGGATAGGATGTAGCAGCAGTTCAGCTCAGGAATTGTGGGCCACCAGGCAGAGGTGGTTCAGTGGTGACAAAGCCTGAGGGATGAAGGGGTGCAGTGACTACTGGCCCCCAGAACGCGACACATTCCAGCAGTGGCTCTGGTTTCAAGGTAGCTCAGTGCAGTGTCAGTGTGGGCCATGGGGAGGCAAGGCACAGTGTCAGCTCCTACTCTGAGTGGTCAAGGCATGCAGCAGTATGGATTCTGGACAGCTCCTGCAGCTGGACATAGCACCTGTGAATACTGCAGGAGTCCCCAGTAGTGAAGACTGTAGTTGTTCAAGGTGGTGATGGGGGTTGTCAGGGTCCTTCTGTTTTCCTTTTCCCTGCAGGGAAGTCCCTCCTGGTTCCAAGCTGATCTCGACCGGGGGATGGGTGGCAGAGGCAAGGTGTTTCCTTTTGTTCTCTATGTGACCATACTGGGTTTCTGTGCTCTACCGGTTCTGCTATTTCTTTGATGTGCTCTGGCACTCTCCTTTAGTTATTTTCATCGATGTGTGGTTGTTTGCTAGTTTGGCTGTTTGTCAGGGAGATAAAGTGCTAGGGATTTCTAATTGGCCATCTTGTTCTGCCTCCTCTATTTAAGCTTTTAAGAATATATTCTACTTGTTTGGTTTAATTTTCACATTTTCTTGAGAATATTAATGGTAATAGACATTTTAAGGTCTTTGCCTGATGACCTCCGTATCAGGATCCCTGTGATTGTATTTTTGCTTTACATTCTTGGTCATTTGTTTCTACTTCTTGGCATACCTATTAATTTTTTTTAACTTTCTATTTCTAACTAATTTTAGACTCTCATAAAAGTTTCAAATATAGTAAAAAGAGTTTCATTAAGACACTCTTCTATATGAAAGAGATGTTATTTCTCCCCATTTATTTATTTGGTTGCTTATTTATAGCATTATAGGTTTATGGATATTTATTTTATTTCATGGGTTGCAGTCCAATACTATCGTTATTTATTTTGGCCCTCGGATCATTCCAGCTTTGGTTATGAGGAGCCCCTTTAAGTTGGCTCTTTTGTCCTTTTGACAAGACCCCTTACGTTTTTAGCACTTTTATTACAGGAGCTATTAAGAAATTATTTTAGGCAGATAGGGTAAAACAGTCCTCAGTAAGGCTTTTTCTTTTAATAAAAAAGCCACCCCCAAAAACATTTTTTTTCCAACAGAAAGCAGCTTGAAAAACCAGACCGGCAAGCATTGGTATGTAAATGCTGGTGGCTAGAAAACAAGTCTACCCAATATGGAGGTTACCGCCCTCTTCTCCTTGTCATAATGTGTGCCAGGTGTCATGGCTGCCTCCAGATAAAGCCACAGGTGCAGGACATCATGGTGACCCGTATTTGCATATTAAGAGGCTAGGGCGGGAGGGCCAGGTTTTTCCTGGGCTACATGAATGACACACCTGGTCAAACCAATCCCCTGGACCCTATGCAAATCAGACACCGTTTCCTCCAGCCTCCCAGTAAAACCACCCATGGGGTTTTCAGTCTGGAGTCCCCCTCCTTCTACTAAAAATACAAAAAATTAGCCGGGCGTGGTGGCAGGCACCTGTAATCCCAGCTACTAGGGAGGCTGAAGCACGGGAATTGCTTGAACCTGGGAGGCGGAGGTTGAGGTGAGCAAAGATCACCCACTGCACTTCAGCCTGGGTAACAGAGCAAGACTCTGTCTCAAAGGAAAAAAAAAAAAAAAGAAACTAAGATCTGAGTGCTAGATGGGTTTGTTGCTTCTAGGCCCTCTTAGCAATGAGAGGTAGGAAATATATCTGTGCATACTTACACATACACAAACATCCATTTTATTTCTCTATCTGTATAGACTCTCAAAACATGAATTTGCATTGAAACCTCAGATTCCAGTCCAGCAGCAAAGGTTCATTTTAGCCTCCTACTTTCCTTACTTGTCACTTCTTTGACGGTGAGAAACTTGGTTTTCATTATCTACTTATTTTTTCAGTCCTAGCATATGCATAAACTAATTTCAGAATGGTTAACCCGGGCTTCTATAAGAAACAAATTTACCAACTAGGCTACAGCATTTATGTATAGTTCTTTTTGTCTTTAGTACCAATCAAAAATCTTGTTGTCCAAAGTTACTTAAGTTGTTTTTTTCTCTCTCTGTCACCCGGGCTGATGTGCAGTGGCACAATCATGGCTCAATGTAACCTGAACCTCCCAGGCTCAAGCGATCCCCCTGCCTGGGCCTCCTAAGTAGCTGGGACTATAGGCGTGAGCCACTACACCTGGCCAACAAGTTAGTTCTTTTCTTCCTTACTCCCTTCAGTGTAGTTATGTTCTTTGTTTACAATGTAGGTAAGTTAATGTGGTATTGTTTGTACTCCATCTTGAGTTCCCTTCACAACCTGGTTGGTTTGAATTGTTTATTTCTTTGAATGCGTGTAACATTACTATGGTTGTAGGAGTGGGATCTATACAAAAAGATATACTCAAAAGTGTTACTCCTTCCTCACCCCATTTTAACCTCTCCCATTCCTTTCTTCTATCTATTCCTTTCCCACCTACCTGCCGTAGTTCTTGGTTTATCTGTCACCTACCTGCTATAGTTCTTGGTTTATCTTTCCTGTGTTTCTTTTGTGTAAATGATCAGAAATGTGTCTTTTCTTATACCTTCTTCTCTGCGCGGTAGGTAGCATGGTATTCATTCCCTTATTCCCTTTTGTACTTGCTTTTATTTTTTTTTTTTTTTTGAGACAGACTCTCATTCTGTTGCCAGGCTAGAGTACAGTGACGTGATCTTGGCTCGCTGCAACCTCCACCTCCCAGGTTCAAGCAATTCTCCTGCCTCAGCCTCCTGAGTAGCTGGGACTACAGGTGTGTGCCACCATGCCCAGCTAATTTTTGTATTTTTAGTAGAGACGGAGTTTCACCATGTTGGCCAGGATGGTCTCGATCTCTTGACCTCGTGATCCACCTGCCTGGGCCTCCCAAAGTGCTGGGATTACAGGCTGCACTTGCTTTTTACACTTAGCCTGGTATCTTGAAGATCACTTCATATCAATTAATAGAGACGTTCCTTTTTTTCATTTTCTTTTATCTTTTTGTTTCTTTTTACAGCTACATAGTATTTCATTGTGTGGAAGTATCACAGTTTATTCAGCCACTCTCCAAAGTATGACTTTCAGGTTGTTTCTAATCTATTGCAATTTTACAGAATGCTACAGTGAATAACTCTGAATATGTATTTTTGTATTGTGAGATGTGTATCTTCAGTGTAGATTCCTAGAAGTCGGATTACTGTCTTAAAAAATAAGTGCATGCAGAGTTTTGTTAGGTATTTCCAAATTCCCTTCCAGGAAGATTCTGCCAGTTTGTATTCCCATCAGCAGTGTATGAGAGTACCTGTTTCCTCACAGCTTTGCCAACAAAATGTATTGTCAGGCTTTCTAAGTTTTGCTAATCAGTTGTTGAGAAATGGTATTAATGAATGATTATCATTTTACATATGTTTTGGAACCATTTTACTATGTCTTTATGAATAGTTTATGCCTTTTTCAATTTTTCTATTACATTTTGCTTCCCAACCTAAATGCTCATCAACCAAAGAGTGGATAAAGAAAATGTCATATATATACACCATGGAATACTACTCAGCCTTAAACTGGAATGAAATAATGACCTTCACAGCAACTTGGATGGAGCTGGAGGCCATTATTCTAAGTGAAGTAACTCAGGAATACCAAACATTGTATGTTCTCACTTATAAGTGGGAGCTAAACTATGAGGATCCAAAGGCATAAAAATGATATAATGGACTTTGGGGACTCAGGGGAAAGGTGGGAGGTGGTGAATGATAAGACACTACAAATTGGGTACAGTGTACACCTCTCGGGTGATGAGTGTACCAAAATCTCAGAAATCACCACTAAAGAACTTATCCATGGAACCGAAAACCACCTGTACCCCCCAAAACTACTGAAATAAAATAAAAATAAAATTTTTTTGGTTCCTTGGCCCTCAATTTTTAAGCATTCTCTAGCCCTTTATCTGTGAGATATGTTGCAAATATTTTTTCCCAGTTTGTCAGTTATCTTTTGGCTTTTTAAATTGGTATTTTGTTTGTTTTTTGTCATAAAAACCTTTTTATTTGTCAAAAGTTACCTTTTATCTCTTTTTCATTGCCTCTGGATTTTGAGTCATAGTTAGCAAGGCTTTTTCCTACATTAAGATTAAAGAATAATTCAAGTACTTTAGGTTTTCACTTTTTTTCTTTATATCCCTGAAGTGTTTGGAGTCTATTCTTATGTATACTCTGAGATATGGATCTCATTTTATCTTTTTCCGAATGTGTACTCAATTGTCTAACATCATTTATTTTTAAACATCTTTACTCCAGTGGTTTCAAATGCCATCCTCATCGTATACTACTTTTTCTTATATGAGTCTTTCTCTGAATTTTCTACTCCACCTCACTGGCCATGTGCCTTTGCCATGTTGTTTTAATTATAGAGGCTTTATAGTATGTTTTAATGTCCACTACTCATAAGTGTCACCTTTAACTCCATAAAATAGCTTGTTGGTGCTTTTATTGGCATCACATTTCATGTGTAAATTATCTTAGGGAAAATTCACATCTTTTATAATATTAAACTATCCTGCCTAAGAACAGAAAATGTCTTTCTATTTGTTCAAATCTACTTTTTTTGTCTTTCAGGAGTGTATTAAAATTTTCCTTATACATATTTTACACACTTCTTTTTAAGCTTATTTCTAAATATTTTATCTTTTTGGTAACTATTGTAAATGAGGTGTTCTCTACCATCATGTCTTCTAACTTTTCATTGTTTGTGGACATGAAAGCTATTGATTTTTTCTGTCATTTTAATATCCTGCTAGCTTACTCAATGTTTTATTGTTTGAGTTAGTTTCATCATTGATTCTGTTAGGTTTTGCTAGTATACTGTTATAGCATCTTCAAATAGAGAACATTTTACTTTAGCTTTATCCATTCTTAGGCCTTGATTGATTTCCTTTACCTGATTACTTTCACTCATAACTCTAGTACAGTGTGGGATAGTAGAAGAGTTAGTGGTCATCCTTGCCTTGTTCTTTATCTTAGTGAAAATGCCTGTTAATGTTTTATTAAATATGAAAAATTATATCGAGTATGAAAAATTATAGAGAATCTGAATAGTTATTTTCCTGAATTTGGAAATTAATTTTCTTCTAATGGGTACATAACAAATGAAAAAATCACTCTTTGATCTAGTTGGGACTGTTAGTTTCTCAAGGTGTATCACTGTTCAAGCTTTCAGGTAAAAATCATTAAAGACTTGTTTTTGTAGGTTTGGGGCCCCCGTTTTTTAATCTTTGCAGGACTATAAAACTGTCAAAATCTCTACCACTTAATTGATACTTTTGGTTTAGTTTCACAAATTTCACCTTATACATGTGCATTTTAGGAATCAGCAAGTACTGTGAGTGGAAATTAATGCAGAATCTTAAGGTATCCTAAGAGTACTTTTCCCCCGTATCTTAGCATCATGGGGTATCCTCTGACACCTTCAAACAGCTGGATTTTTTTTCTCTTTGTATTCTATCCAGCTTTGATGGTGTCCTCAGCAGGACAGATGGTCTGATACCAGGTACTCCATTGAGCTGGAAGCGGAAGTTATCTTCAGGTCATATTTCTCAAGTGAATGCTATTTCCTGGTGAATTCTGAAGACCCAGTAAGACTAGATTTTGAAGATAATTGAGTGCTCACATTGGGATTTATGCGTTTTTACTGAAACTGATTACCACACTGGCATGCAAGAAATGCCATTGCCTCAGGCCATTGATATTGGAAATCTGAATAGCTATGCCCTAGTAGATTTTGGTTTTAGCAGATACCACTTTGAAGTTATTGTACATCTTCCCTGGTTATAATGCTCAGATTAGAAATCTTAAATATTTTCAGCTCTCCACTCTCCTTCACTTTTCTTATTAGGTGAGTTGCAAAAACCTACTGATTTTTGCCTCTTCTATAACTCTTCTCTGTCCTTCACTTTCCATTCTCAATGATAGCGCCCAGATTCAGACCCTATTGTCCTTTTCCTGGACAACTTTCATAGCCACTGTCTGCTCTTCCAGCCTCTCATTTGAAACGCCCATCTCCCTTCTAATCTATACTGTATGCTGCTAACAAAGGTGGTCAACCTAATAAATAGTTCAGAGTATGAAAATCCCCTCAGAAACCTCTCCACTGCTTAATGAAGGAAGTCCATCATTATCTGATCTCACATTATAATCTCCTCCACAACTTCTCCCATTCATTATCCCATGAATCTCTTATCCAGTTATTCTGTCCTTGAACACGCCACACAATAGCTCACCTTCATGCTTTGGCTCATGTTGTTTTCTTTGATGAAACCATCCTTTTAAAATCTTCAAATTTTTGAAATCCTACTCATCCTTAAAAATCCTGCAGAAGTTCCAGAAGCTCCTTGAAATCTTCCCTAGTCCTTCTAGCCAGAATTAATTGTTCCTTCTTTTGTATTCCCATAGCATTGCTTGTAATAATATTTAGCACTCGCCTTGTATAATATGGAGGTAACATATATTGAGTACTTACTGTATGTTATGCTAGAGAATGAGCTAAGCTCTTGACAAACGTTATCTCATCCATTCCTCTATATTCAGTGAGAAAAGCACTAAGAACTATTGTTATCTTCATACATAGAGGGGGAATTTAGAGTGATTTATATGTCTTTTTTACATAATAAAAACTCATTCAAAGTATATAACTTATCTGATAAATTAATACCTACTATTCCAGTGCCTTCTACAAAGTAGAGTCTTGCTAAATAAATTTTGTTGAGACAAAGAGGCTCTTAATTGGATGACCTCCCATTGGCCCGGAAGTCTTATTATCCATAAGAGGTTCATTCACTCCCTTCAGGAAACTAAGTCAGGTAACATTTATTGAACTCTTACTATGTTACCCTTTATATATTTCACATAATCTTGACCAAAGGTTCTGTTATGTTTCCCATATTACAGGTGAGGAAACTAAGGTTTTAAGGAAGTTAAGTGACCCGCCTATGACCACACAACTAGTAAGTGTTAGAGCCCAAACTGGACTTCATGCTTTTTGTCTCCAGAACTAGATCTCTTAACCATTATGTTATACGGTCTTATAGAGCTAATGGTAATTGTAATTGATTTCAAATTGGATGTGTGAGGTATATTTGTCTTTTCAAATTTATCTTCACTTTTTTCCTGGAGACATAGCTTCCCAGCTAGAGACTAAATTTCCTAACAATCTTTGCAGTTAGGTATAGCTATGTGGCAAAGACTTTTTTGCCAATGAAATGTAAGCTTCAGAGATGTGAACGATTTCCACATTACTTGTCAGAAAGAAAATTATTTGCCTTGTTTTTCGTCTTTTTCTCTTTCTCAAGAGTTTAAAACCAGGCAAAGCAATAAGTCATTTTTGATCATTTAAATAAAGACAACATTTTAGGAATGACATATTAGCAAGATGAAATAAATCTAAGTCCCTCGACAGTTTTGTGGAGCAGAACTGCCCACTATCTATGTATGTGAAAGAGAAATAAAATTCAATCTTATTTAAGCCACTATATTTGGTGGTGGCGGGGAGCTAGGGGAGTTTCTGTTATAGCAGCTTAGCCTTTATTAACCTAATACACCTTTATTTCAAATTGATGCTAAGGATGCTTTTCTGGAGACAACTGGAAGCTTCTCATCACCATATTCTCAGAGTAGAGACAGGTATGAACCAAGCAGTTACTTACGAACATATCAGCAGCAAACCAAGCATCAATGAATAAATTACAATACTAATGACACAGTTAAAATGTTTTTCTTCATGCTTTATGATCACCAGTTTGAATCTCTTTCCACTGTACACTTCATTTATGTAACCAATATACTATAATAGCTTACAATCCAGCCACAGGATGTTAATATTTTTCTTCAGCTAATATACGGCAAACACTGAGAATTTAATGGAATAAACAGCTGGGTGACACTGAATATATTCTTCTCAGTTCACTAGATGCACACAGAGGGGAAGAACACTACCCAATCAGGGGATTACAAATGGGAAGACACCTGGCCAGATGGTAATGAAGGGAGATAATACTCTCCCTTCTCCCAGTCTGGAGAAGTGGAGTAGGCACCAGAGGACTATTCAAATACTGAAGTGTCCGAATATGAGAACTGTCCAAGTGAAAAATCATCTTTATTCTATATGTGCCATGAGCCAAGGTGGGACTTTGTTTGAAAGGCTAAAAACATTTGGGTTAGCAAAAAATCCAGGTTAAGAATGAGAGAATGAAAGGTGAGAGCAAGAAGAAAGGAAGGAAGGAGGGAAGAAGGAAAGGAAGGAAGGAGGAAAAGGAAGGAAGGAAAGGGAGAAGAAAGAAAGGGAGGGAGGGAAGGCAAGGAGGGGGAGAAGGAAGGAAAGAAGGAAGAAGTGGAGAGGAGAGAAAGTATTTTGGAAAAGAAAACACTACACAAGCTGGATAGGTAGGTTAATTTATATTCCTTCCTTAGAGGTCATAAAACTTTCCTTTGGCGCCTCCCTCGGCAGATGTATGACACACCCAAAGGAAGTCTAAGCAGGGGCTCAATGACACAAGAATCACACCTCATCTCAAGGTCCTTCCAGCTTCTGGCAAGGCTTTCTGTGAACTTGACACTTATGCAGAGTTTTGTTCCTGAGGCAGGCACCTCCCTTGTATATGCAGGAAAAAGCCAGAGGTGACTTAGAAGCAACTTGGCTCCGAGGTCTAACTGGAGGGATTTTATATTTTCCAGTGGTCTGTTTGCCATGCCACCATCTATGCCATGGTAGCTAAACCCTGGGTGAGTTAGGGACTCCCATGTAAATTTTCTGCTAGTCCATCAAGTAGAGCCGGAGGTAGATTAGGCTATCCATAGACTTCCCCATGGCAAGTGCAGCCAGGGGTCCATCTTATGGTAGAATATGGGGGCCAAGTCCTCATAAATATCCTTCAGGAATCTCCATATATATTCTGGTTTCCTAGTGAAGTCCATCATTACAACCTTCACTCCTTCCTGAAGAACTCAGCCTTTTCACTTTATATACACGTTTTTTCCCCAGAGAACTTCGGTGAGTGGTCCCTGGCATGGGATTTTTTAGCTACAGCATTCTTAATGATGAATTTGCAATAATTTATACTGATGGTTCAGGAATGAGAATGTAAACTTCCATAGCGCAGTGTTTCCTGGAAAGACTTTCTCTTCCAGTAAATATGAAGTCTAACATGGACTCATATATCACAGCTAAATGTTTTCTGGTTTGAATCATTTGTACTTTCAAAAGCATCACTGATAAAATGTTAAAGAGATACATTTAAACATTATTTAACAAACCAATCTCAAGAGTTTGTTTAGAAGACTATGAGAGATAATAGAAGGATATACCATTTACAAGCTATTAGGAGAACAAATGAGATAACTAAAAATATCTGATTAAGCTAAAAAGATAGGAAAACACAAAAGAACAAATAATAGGTGGGACATGTAGAAAACAAATGGCAAGATGGCAAATTCAAACTCAAACATATTGGTAATTATATTCAATGTAATTGAACGAAAAACTCCAAATGAAAGGTAACTTTGTTTGTTAATAAATAACAAAACATTGGTCAGGTGTGGTGGCTCATGCCTTAGTCCCAGCACTTTGGGAGGCCCAGGCAGGTGGATTGCTTGAGCCCAGGAGTTCAAGACCATCCTAGGCAACAAGGCGGAACCCTTTCTCTACTAAAAATACAAAAAAATAGCTGAGCATGGTGGCCTGCGCCTGAAGTCTCAGCTACTCCTGAGGCTGTGGTAGGATCGCCCGAGCCTGGGAAGTTGAGGCTGCAGTGAGCCAAGATTGTGTCCCTGCTCTCCAGCCTGGGCAACAGAGTGAGACCCTGACTCAAAAACAAAAACAAAAACAAAAACAAAAACAAAAACAAAACAAAACAAAAAAACAAAAAGAACAAAAAAACACGAATATGCCACTCACACGAGACTTACCTTAGATATGAAGAAAATAGAAAAATTAAAAATAAAAAGGTGGAAAAACATATACAATGCACACATTAAGATAATGAAAACTAAGATAGTTATTCTGACGAAAAATGGACTTCAACACGAGATAGTACTAGAGATAAAGAGGAACATTTTATAAGGACAAAGATCTAGCAAATTCAATCCTGAATTTGTGTGAAATAAATAACATAGGCTTACACTGTAGAAAGAGAAAAAATTGGCTGGGTGTGGTGGCTTATGCCTGTAATCCCAGCACTTTGGGAGGTTAAGGCAGGTGGATCACAAGGTCAGGAGTTTGAGACCAGCCTGGCCAATATGGTGAAACTCCAACTCTACTAAAAATACAAAAATTAGCCAGGCGTGGTAGCAGGCGCCTGTAGTCCCAGCTACTCGGGAGGCTGAGGCAGGAGAATTGCTTGAATCCAGGAGGTGGAAGTTTCAGTAAGCTGAGATCGCTCCACTGTACTCCAGCCCGGGCGACAGAGTAAAACTCTGTCTCCAAAAAAAAAAAAAAAAAAAAAAAAAAAAAAAAAAGGAAAAAAATTAACAGAACTGAAAAATAGAAATAGCCATATCTACAATCATAGGTATAAATTTTAACAAATCCCTTTCAGAAACTGATAGGCAGAAAGAAAAGCATGGGCCCACCTCTTCCATAAAAATAGATTTTCAAAATCCTCAGCAAAATATCAGAAAATGATTCTTTGTGATCACTTTGGGTTTCTTCTGGGGATACAAGACCAGTATTTGAAAAACTATGTAATTCTTCACATTATCAGAATAAAGAAGAACACCCAAATGATCATCTCAATAGCTGCAGAAAAAATATTAGATAGAATAAGCCCCCATTCTTGATAAAAATTGTTAGCAAATGAGGAATGGAAGGAAACTTTGCAAATTTAATTAAGTGTATCTCCAAAAAAAAATCTAGCTCCAACTCCGTGTAGAAATATTGAAAGCTTTGGCTGGGCGTGGTGGCTCATGCCTGTAATCCCAGCACTTTGGGAAGCCGAGATGGGTGGATCACCTGAGGTTGGGAGTTCGAGACCAGCCTGACCAACATGGAGAAACCCTGTCTCTACTAAAAATACAAAATTAGCCAGACGTGGTGGTACATACCTGTAATCTTAGCTATTCAGGAGGCTGAGGCAGGAGAATCGTTTGAACCTGGAGGTAGAGAAAAAAGAAAAAAGAAATATTGAAAGCTTTCTCTGTGAGATTGCAAATGAAACAAGGACATCTGCTGTCACTGCTGTGTTCAACGTTGTACTGGGGAGGTCCAACCATGTGCAAGGCAGCGACTGCTGGAGCGCTCAGAAGCGGTGGAATCTCAGGAAAGGGTTGGCCCTTTGAATGGAGGAGCCTCAAATCCAGCAGCCTCTTTCTAGAGAGGTCTGTGGTCTCAACAGAGTTGCACTTAGAACCAACAAGCATGAGAAGGAGCCTTAGAGAATCTCTGATAATATCTAGGGTTGACAAGAAGCTTTGGGGACTCCTGAATGACCAGGAGAGAGAAAGGTGAGAAAATCCCGTCTCAGAGAGCTGAGAACATTCCTGAAGAACCTTAGTGGGTGTTAGAGGCATATAAATATTGAAGTAGAATTATGTACAGTATTGATGCTTCCTCAACTTTTAAGAACTATTTTTGTTTATTCTGTGAGATGTCCGGGCTTTCGTTGTACTCTACAGAGCAATGAATAATTTTTTAGTATTAGTACATCCTGAATATTGCATGGGATGTACTTATACTAAACAGCTGTTTCTTTGCAATTTATTTACCTGGGCATCGTGTATTTTATTTGCTAACTCTTGCAACTCTATTGATACAAGAATTATAAATAATATTGAAGAATTTTGATTATTATATAACTGCCATCCCTTATCAGTTGCATTTGCATTTATATCTATAAATACAGATCTAAAAATGTAAACATTATACTTATTTTCTTTTGGTAAAATTTCCTTCTAATTTATTGTGGCCAATGTGTCCCTAAATGCAGAGTTTGTGTTACTGGTAGACTGTTGAGTGGAGAGATTTTCCTAGGTTGCAGGGCACCAAGAAAAGTGTGATCTGAAAGGATATTTTACAAGTGGAGAGGGAAGAGAGTTTATGGGTGCTCTGGGAACCTGGGTAGAGAGGAGGGGAAGCTGGGAAACTGGGAGCACCCAACAAGCTTTAGAGAACGGATTTTGAGCTACTCTTAATTTGTAATCACAGCAAAAATCAAACTTCCTTTGTTTGCCTTTGCCCCCTGCTGGAGCTCATTAATTGTGATTGCTTTTGTCCACCTCAGCAAACACTAAAAGTGCTGTTCTATAGACACCCCCTTTTCCTGCTCTAGCCAAAATTACTGAAAAAATCATCCGCTATGATTTTAACACTTACATTTGTTATGGAAGAGGCTGTGGTTTCAATTCTGCTTTCTTTTCATTACATCACTTCTCTTGCCTGAATATATTTCCTGCCTGTATTTCAATTTTCTTTTCTTATCCATTTTATCCTTACTAACTATTGATTCCCTCTCTTGAACCATATTCATGTTCCCTCTAGTAGATAGTGATTTTTAAATATACATTGCCAATCTTTTCAACTTTAATATTTTTCACTAGCCAATTTTCAAAGTTCTTTAAAATATGCATTTCTATAGATACACATTTCACATGCCCAGGGCTACTTTTTATGCACTCTACCATGTACCTGACTGGACTGAGCATTATGTGTACTATATTCTCTTTCTGCACCTTCATAGAGAATATAAAACTCCATTCATAAACATGACTTACAATACATCCCGGGCACAACATTTAAGATTATTTGGTTTGTATGAATATATCTCTACTGAGGAAGTCCAAATAAACAGCCTAAGGAGTCAATGTCACCACTGAAAAGAATTTATTCAACATTCACTGCACAGAAAATGCTCAGAAGATTTGTGTTGTTTATACAGAATGAATTATAAAATGTGTGGTCCATAGAGAGCCAAGAGAGTTCATAGCAGAGTTCCTAGGACCCGCCTGAGAAAGCTTCCAGTTCATCCAGGCACCTTGTCTTAGCTTTATAAACATGAAGTTCTATATAAATAATACTGAAGAAATGCAAGACATGTTAGCATTAAAGCCCCTTCAGAATAAGCACAGAAGTTAACATCTTCACGTGCCTTTATTTTCTAATGGAGCAGAAAGTGTTGATCATTTTTTGCAAAATAGCTGATGTCTTGGAGCAAAAGCAGAAAACCAAATCACTACCTTCATCTGAATCACTGGGAAGTCTGAATTATCTGTGTTTTAAAGCAACAGTTCAATGACCTGATAATAGGGTATAAGCAACAGCTAAAGTAACTCGTGTGTATTTCCAATGGCAGCTACCTTAGACCAGTCGTAAGGGGCAGAAGTTAGATAATAGATATTATTTGTAAATAAACAGTGGACCTAAACCCTTAACATCTTTCTATCTCTCATTCTCTTAATTAGAATGTTTGAACCTCATTCTTTCCCTCAAAATCTAGTTGTAGCCCAGTTACCAGGAGAGCTACCAGATATCAAGACTTATTATAAAGCCAGAGTAATTGCGATGGTGTGGTTTTGGTGCAGGGAAAGACACACTGATCAATGCAACAGCATAGAGGGCCCAGCAATATCTCACACACGAGGCAATCTGATATGAGGAAGAGGTGGCATTGCAGATGACTAAGGAGGTGAGTGAGTGAGAGTGTCTCTCTCATTAAATATGTTGATTGAGATAACATATTTAATGAATCCCTGCTTCACATGACAGGCAAAAAAAAAAAAAAAAAAAAAAAAAAAAAAAAAAATCCCCAATAGATTGCACAAAGCAAAACTTCAAGACTTTTCGGAGACAAAGAGAATATCTTTATAAACTTGAGGAAGGAATAGATCCCTTAAAGAAGACACACACGCATACAAAGAAAAGTTTGATACATTTGACTACCTCAAGGCTGGGCATTTCTGTTTACCAAAGGTCACTCAAAAAGGAGTGGAAAGGTAAAGCCACTCAATGGGACAAGATATTCATATCACGCATAATTGGCAAGAGATTAATATTCAGTATTAATAGCAGACTATGATAAGTTGATAAGAAAGAAACTAACAGAAATTAGAAAATAAGCAAAAGAAATAAATAGTTCACTGAAGAGGAAACATACATGGTGAATTAAACTGTGAAAAGATGCTCAACCTTATCAGTAATCAGGGAAATACAAATAAAAACTATAATGGGATTTGTTTTATATCTTCTTGATTGGCAAACATTTAGAATTTTGGTAGTACACAGTGTTGATGAAACTGTGGTTCAGCAAAAACTCTCATCCTCTGCTAGTGGCTTTATAAACAGATACAACCACTATGGAATAAAATTTCAAGCGATAGTTGAAAACCTTATAACTCAGAAACTCCACTCTGAATTACATAGTCCAGAGAAACTCTTGGTCACTGTGTTCCTGGAGACACATAGAAGTTTGCTCAGAACAAAATTGTTCATAATAGCAAACACAGAACAGCCTAAATGTTTATGGACAAGAGAAGAAATACATACACTATGGTGTATTTCTAATAAAGCATATACTGGAGCAGTGAAAGTGAATGAAACTCAGCAGCTCCCAAACCACGAAAGAATTTCAGGAACATAATGATGACAAGGTGCCACGATATGCCATGACAGCACTTCTATAAAACTCAAATACGAGGAAAACTAGGC
Organism: Homo sapiens; assembly: GCF_000001405.40. NCBI lineage: Eukaryota > Metazoa > Chordata > Mammalia > Primates > Hominidae > Homo > Homo sapiens. Next base: position 28,876,933 of record NC_000007.14, on the reverse strand, counting down.
AACACATTGTTCAAGGCTATGTACATACAGGATGTAATATTTTTAAAAAACAGCAAGAGAGTAAGTGCAACATTATCATAGTAGTTTTCTTCAGGAAGGAGGCGGAGCATACCAGTAAATGTAATATAGTGGTTTAAGTTGAGTGACGAGGTCACAAGCTCATTTTATAATATTTTCAAAGTTTATATATGCTATATATATTCTCTTTCATGTATCAAATATTTCATTCATTCATTATCACCATCATCAGAGTCATCAAGGACTCTTGTAAGTTTCAGAGATTTTTTTTTTTTTTTTTGAGACAGAGTCTTGCCCTGTCACCCAGGCTGGAATGCAGTGGCACGAACTTGGCTCACTGCAACCGTCCACCCCCTGGCTTCAAGCAGTTCTTTTGCCTCAGTCTCCCTAGTAACTGGGATTACAGGTGTGCACTACCACACCCAGCTAATTTTTATATTTTTAGTAGAGACAGGGTTTCGCCATGTTGGCCAGGCTGGTCTCGCATTCGCTACCTCAAGTGATCCGCCCACCTTGGCCTCCGAAACGGCTGGGATTACAGGTGTGAGCCACTGCGCCCGGCCAGTTTCAGAGATATTATTCCAACTTCCTTAACCTTTGGAGATCTAGGCCACGAGAGCTTCACAGAAAGGTTAGCCTCCTTTCGTTCATTTTCTCAGAGGACTCCTTTCAGGGTCTATTTACTAAACCCTCCTCCTCCCTCCGCTCATTTTGCCAGTTTTCTGCTCTTCACTCTTCTCTAACCATTCCCCTGGACCCTTGGCCCAGACAGCCCTCTCAGGCTCAGGGATTCTCATGCACACACAAGCAAGTGGGCCATATCTAGTCTCCTACAACTTTAACCTCGATTCAAACCTTAAGTCCTGCTGGCCTGGGAGGGGTGATGGAAGAGCAGCACCCAAGTGTGGCAGCCTGAGAGCCATAGAAGCATTAACAGAGAGGCCAAGTGAATAATTCTGATGCTTGAACCAAAGGACTTGACCACTTACTAATTCATTTAGCTAATCCTTAGAGCTATATTCCTAGAGTACATACCTTATTTAGCCTAGGCTTGGGCAGATTCTGAAAATAAGTTGGGATAAGATGAATAAAAGTTTATTGTCATATAATGCATTATCTGAACTTGAATTCATAGTGCCAAGGCTCTGTGGATTATTTAAACAGCATAGATTAAATTTTTATTGCATATTCCCATGATGAATTTTACACATGGGTCGTGGTAGATGGAATAATGGCTTCCATTTCTTCTCCCTTTCTTGTATGCATAGTTTTTGCCTTGTTACTTTGCAGATTTCTCCTCTAGAGGTATACATCCCTGCCCTTTGATTTGGGTCCAGGCATGTGACTTGCTTTGGCCAATGAATATTGCAGGTGTGACACAAATGGAGGCATCACAGATATGCCACTGGTCCCAGTGGCTGGTCTCAGACAAATGAGAGCTCTACAGAGCAGACCTAATTTGGATCTGCAGCCTGAAGTCAAACACAAATGAGATCAGCAAAGCTATCCCAGCCAACCTGCAGATGCATTAGACTGAATACATGCTTGTTATTGTATCCTACTGAGTTTTGGGTGGTTGACACAGCATTGTTTTGACACCAGGTAACTGATACCCTGGTGTAAGAATTACCACAGCTTTTCAAGGGACATCAAGTATTACAGGGACTGCTCGGCAGTAATGACAGTTTTCACCAACACATCATTATCCTCTCTTATCACCATCATTATTAGGAAAGTGTCAAGGGTACAAACTTTTGGTCAAAGGGTACAGACTTTCAGTTATAAGATGAATAAGTTATAGAGATCAAATGTACAGCCTGGTAATTAGAGATAATATTATAATAGTGTTTTGTTTACTTAAAATTTGCTAAGAGAGTAGATCTTAAGTATTCTCACCAAATACGAGCACAGAAAAGGTAAGTAGATGAGGTTATGGGTAGGCTTGATTGTGGTAATCATCTCACAACATATACATATATCAAAACAGTACGTTGTACACTTTAAATATATGCACTTTTTATTTGTCAATTATATCCCAATAAAGCTGGGTTGGTAGGTGAGTGTCATTGCTGAGAACTCTGAAGCAGATTTTCTAAATTTGACTCCTGGCTCTCCTTCTTAATAACTGTGTAATCCTGGGCAAGTGACTGCTTTAAACCTTACTTTTCTTATCTTCTTACTGTGTCTACCTCTTGGGGCATTGGGGTATTCCCAATGCTTATTACCATACTAAAGGATCTGAGAAGTCCCACAATAAAGACAGCTTTAAATTTCTTTAATCTGGTTTAACTTTGAAATCCTTTGATTTGTAGAAAACTGTTCAATATCTCACGGGACCCACATCACTTGGGACGTGCTAGTGTGCAGCCGTTGAACAATGAATTTCAAATGTGGCTTAGTGTCAGCAACATAGTCAAATGCCCTCCATTGCAGGGGCCTTTGCCAGGTTCTAAAACATTTCCTTTCTAGCAACAATAAAATATCACTGCCCTTTTCTCATTTTCTGCTTGTATGATAATAATTAGCAAAGTCTTACCTTAACTCTCCAATTTTAAGCATTAAAACCTTTGGATAACTTCTCAAATGTAAGACAGAACTTGATCCATTTAAAAGTGGGAGATTAAAATTGAGATTATTTATATTGCCCACAGAATCACCAGTTTTTCATTATTTTTTCATGTCTATGTACACTGTTCCAAAAATGAAAACATCTCTGAGCTCTTGCCAAAGAACCAAATTCACATTTTCATCTGCCTGCTGAACAGTTTTACTAGCATCTGAAATTCAAAATGCACCAGTCATTAAATGAAACTATCCTTCTTAATTTATTCAGTGGGGTTAAGACAATACCACTCTCACGAGGACCCCAGTGGAAATCCCAGAGTTATTTGTTCTTTTTCATGTCATTCTGTTTCCCTAATCCCGAGCGTTGCTGGGTCTTATAGATTTTACCCCTGTTCTATCCTTTATATCAGTCACCTCTTTTTACTTCTGTTATGATACTCAGGATCAGGAGGTGGCAAACTCTTTATGGAAAGGGCCAGATCGCAGATATTTTGGGTTTTGTGGGTCCATATGGTCTTGATTGCAACCACTCATCTCTGCCATTGTAGCTTGAAAGTAGCCACGGATGAAATCTAAATGAATGGATATGGTTATGTTCCAGTAAAATTTTATTTACAAAAAAAAACCCCAGGCTAACTGAATTTGCCAACCACTGCTCTAGGTCACCCCTCTTTATCTCCACAACTAGAACTTATGTTTGTTTAGGGATTTATATGTGCGTGTGTGTGCGTGTGTGTGTGTGTGAGTGTGTGTGTGTATGTGTGTTAATGCTTTGCAAACTCCCACACATTGCACACTATAAATATTATTTTAGTTGGCAGAGAAAGAAAGTGAGATTTGGAGGAATTAAGTGACTTCCCAAAATCTCTCAGAGGAAGTGGCAGAGCCAGGATTCAAACCTGTTTTCTGCCTGAAAGCCTAACGCTCTGATGATGGAAATTATCTGGACCACTGTCTCCTCCATGGCCTCCTGGACTTTTGCTTCCATCCTCATTATTCAGCCTAATAGTATGACCACACCATTTTTCCAAGGCACAGCCTGCTTCATGTGATGCCTCTGCTTAAAGCCTTCAGTGGATCTTGATTTCTCCACTGTGTACAGACTCATCTAGTCTTCAAGACCTTCCACAGAACAGTAGAAACTGCTTTTCTGAAAATAACTACCTGGCTGTTGTGTTGAAATCCTACTTTGTACCCAAGGCCTACTTTATGCAGCACCTTTACTGTGAATAATTTTCTACCCAACTCTCATGAGTTGAGTTCTCACGGAAGCAATCTCTGAGCTAAAGTTTCACACTCAGGAATGCCCTTGGCTCAACACCTGTGGAAGAGAGAAGAAGAAAGCAGGAGCTACAATGAACCACAGATGCAGATGACACATGGGGAGATCGGGAGCTGGAGTGGTCCTTAAGAAGTGTCCCGAGTGAGCCTAGGTCATCAAGCCTTTTACTTCTGTATCAATCAGTCAGGGCTGTGGGCTTCTCAAGAAGGGGCATGACCTTGGACAAGGTGGCTCTCTGCAGATGGGACATTCCCTGAAGGGGCTGACAGCTAAAAGTCATATGCCCCAAGCACTCCCAGCAGCTGGGATGGGCACTTACTGAAAGGGGATTATCATAGCATCTACCATATCAATCATATGTTGGATTTCTTTATAATCCCTTGATTCAACATTTCTTACACAATTTCCTATAATCTACTTTGTATTACAGTTTTATATATACTTGCATTTCTATATTTCCATAACTCTATATCCCTTCTTTGTGAGCTCCCTCAAGGATGTGGTATAGAAAAATCATGGACTTGAGTCAGATATACCTGGGGTAACTGTCGGCTTTACCTCTTACTAGCTGTGTGAGCTTGGGCAAACCCCTTAACCTGACTGGGCTTCTGTTTCCTGATGTGGAAATCGTAGTACCTATTTCACAGAGTTGCCTTGAGAATAGCAGGAAGTGACAAATAGGAAATGCTCGGTTTCATAGGAATGCTTGATAAATATTAGTTTTCTTTTTCTTGAGGGAAGAGACTCATTTTGGTGTCCTCTGGAGCAATTGTCATAGCGTCATAAACATAAATAACACTTGATACATCTTTGTTGAATTAAATCTTTGAAAGCTTCTTTAAATTCATTCTGACTACTGGTATGAATTCCTCATGCATGAAGGGCATATCCATATTGGAGCTAACCTAGAGACTTTGGAAAGAGGAAGAAGTGAAAGAGAGTGAGAGATGGGGGTTAGGAGAGGGAAAGTAAAGGATCTTTTAAAATTTCTTTGTTTGTGTGGGCCTGAGTGTCTGTATATACATGAGACTATTGGGACCACTGAGTAAACACTTCATGAGTGTCTCTTGTTGAAAATCCATCACTTGAGAACTACAGGACAGCAACAGTCAAAAAAAATTAACCAGGGTCTTTGTTCTCATAGTTGGCAGTGCTAATGACAGTTCTGGCCCTTTCCTTGAGGCTGTAATCTCTTTTGCAGCAAACAGCAGTAAATGTCAACTCTGAAAGCCACCCAGTTTGACAACAAATGATTTAAACACTAAGGGTGACAAGAAGACTATATTTTATGGAGCCATTGGGCTGGCTTTGAGGACTTCCTTGCTGGCATTTTATATCAGATGGGCAAAAATGCCTAGAGTAGCAGATGGGGAGTGTCAGCCTGGGAGGTTTCTTTCTTTCTGTTTTTTTTTTTTCTTTTTTTTTTTTTAACTCTCAGCTTGCAATAAAGGGTAGAAACTGGAGCTGATTTGTTACTTTAAAAAAAGAAGAATTTTCGAAATTCTCACGGTCTGTATTAAGTGTAAATCGGTTATTCCAGAGAATGATACCATCTTAGTCTCAATTAGAAGCTAATCATGCATCTTAGATGCTATTACTTGTAAATTCCCAAGAAACCTCTGAGGTTGGAAGCAATATCTTTATTTATCTGGAAATTCATTATTATTTCAGTGGAATATTGTCAACTGAATTTTTCCAAAAGACAAAGCTTACTAACATGCGATGGCTCTTATCACTGTTGTTGCCTTGAATGCAAAGCCACAGCAGGCTATGATCTTCACAAAGGTGCCCAGCCAGGGAGGTGAATGGGGATTGAATCAAGTCTATGTTCAGGAAAGAAGCTCTGACTGCATCCAACACAATGAGGCCTCCTTTTCTAAAACCTCAAATGCTTCATGGAGGGCAAATAATTTTCATAATTCAATTTCTCTTTATTATGCATAAGAGTTCAGAAAAGCTCAAAGAAAAATTGATGCCCCATCGGGAGGAGAAGAGGAGGGAAGTAAGTGTAGTAATATAAGGCCAACACAAGGGATTCCTGTGGTATTGGAACTGTTCTGTATCTTGACTGTAGGGGTCATATACAAGTCTACACACATGATAAAATTGCTTGAAGCTTACTCAATACACACACATGCACAAATGAGTACAAATAAAATGAGAAATCTGAGTAAGATTGATGTAGTATATCGATGTCAATAATCTGGCTGAGTGATTTTCCTATAGCTTTTCTAAGATACTACCATTGGAGGTAACTGGGTACAGGTCACATGGGGTCTCAATTATTTCTTACAACTGCATGTGAATCTACAATTACCTCAAAATTAAAAAGTTTAATTAAAAAAACAGATGCTCCAGGCCAGTGTGGTGGCTCAGGCTGGGTGCAGTGGCTCACGCCTGCAATCCCAGCACTTCGGGAGGCTGAGGTGGGAGGATCACTTGAGGCCAGTAGTTCAAGACCAGCCTGGCCAACATGGTGAAACACTGTCTCTACTAAAAGCACAAAAATTAGCTGGGCATGGTGGTGCACACCTGTAGTTCTAGCTATTCAGGAGGTTGAGGCACAAGAATCACTTGAACCCAGGAGATGGAGGTTGCAGTGAGCTGAGATCACACCACTGCACTCCAGCCTGGGTGACACAGCGAGACTCTGTCAAAAAAAAAAAAAAAAAAAAAAAAAAAGAGTTCCAGACTTCACAACAAACTATCCCTTTTACAGGGTGGTCCTCTTCCTATTTATGGCAAAGCTTCAACTTTCTCAGCTAGTGAGAAAAGATGAATGGCTTATCCTATTTTATTAACAGTAACACAACTTGGCCAGGGCCAGAGGGAAATGATTCTTAATCACTGTCTGTGTGCATCATAACCACCTTATCAAGAAGATTTTTCCCATTGACATTTAAGAGAGAATATAAATATGGGTGTGTATGTTTTAAGTAAGTCCCAAGAGGCAGAAGCTTGAGATTACAAATCTTCAGAAGTGTTTTAATAGTCTGTCAAACTCAGTTGACAATGTTTTATCAATTATGGAAGCTATTTCCATAATGATAAAATTAATGGTTTAGAAAGAGATGAAGAATTTCTTTGACCTCTAAGCACAAAAGACATCCCAGGGGTTGTGCAGATAAATCAAACACAGTGTTCCCTGTGTTAATGAAGAGAATCCATTTCAAGAGTGCACTTCTGTTCCAGAGACATCATTAGCAGGGGAAGGAAATAACAAAGTACAGGGAAAGTTCCAGGGTGTCAGATAAAAGGCAGCCCAGATTAAGAAAATATTAAATGCTAACTAAAATGCAATCAAACATCACCGAAAACACAAACCACACTGTGGGGATGGCGGGGATTCTGGTTTTCATGCTGTCTGTATTTTCAGTTTGAATAAAGGATTTCAGGGGCAGAGAGACATTTCCTGGGGAGGGTATTTTCATCTCCCCTTTCTTCACTCTTTCACAACTCCACACTCAGCCCATTTGATTTTTCCTGGAAAAATAAAACTATAGGCACACGGACAATGGGCCCTTCTGAAAGCTCATCAAGGAACCCGTTTTTAGATGCTATCAGTGCACCACAATCCCTTTCCCTATTCGCTTCTTAATTCTGCCTCTTTTTCTTCCATGCCTATTGTCTCTTTCAGATTTATTTAGTAGTGTTCCACCCATGCTGGAGGAAACTTAAGGATGGGTGCTTTTATCCTTTAAGTAGCTTTAAAGTCAAATAAATGAATACACATTACATGAATCTGATGTATAATAACACTTTTTATTTTCCTAAGCTATTTCAGAGAGGGGTGATATCCCTCACACAGAAAGCACTAAATTTCCTTATGCTTCTGTAGTAAAGCTGATGGTTTCATTGATTACAGTTAATACTAGCTATGCACTGGGCCAGTGAGTTTCTCTAGATCAACCGAACACAGAGCCTTTCATACATAAACCTCATGAGACAGGGCCGACACCTGTAAGAGGCAAAAGGCAGATGAGTCTTCCCCATTGTCAATATAAGAATTACAGAAAACTTAAATTTTAATCTTTGAAGGAAATGTTTCTTTATCAAGTGGGAATGCAGTCATGTATTGCTTAACGTTGGGGCTATGTTCTCAGAAATGAATCAGGTGATTGCCATTGTTTGAACACCGTAGAATGTACTTACACAAACCTAGATGATGTAGTCTGCTACACACCTAGGCTGTAGGGTATATATAGCCTATTGCTCCTAGGCTACATACCTGTACTGCATGGTACTGTACTGAATACTGTAGGTGATTGTAACACAATGGGAAATATTTGTGTATCTAAACATAGCTTAATATAGAAAAAGTACAGTTAAAAAAACTGTACAAAAGACAAAAACTGGTACACGTGTATAAGGCACTTTTCATGAATGGGTTTGCAGAAGCCTGGAAGTGCCCTAGGTTACTCAGTGAGTGAGTGGTGAGTGAATGTGAGGGCCCAGAACATTGCTATACACTAGCACAGACTTTATAAACACTGTACACTTAGGCTACATTCAATTTATTTAAAAATTGTCTTTAATGATTTAGTTATTATAACTTTTCTACATTATAAACTTAACTTTTTAAACTTTTTGACTCTTTTGTTATAATACATAGCTTAGAACACAAACGTACTGTACAGCTGTACAAAAATATTTTCTTTATATCCTCGTGCTATAGGCTTTTCTCTATTAGTTTTTTTTAAACTTTTTAAACTTTTTTGTTAACAACGAACAAATGCACACATGAGCCTAGGCCCACCCAGGGTCAGGATCATGGTCACCAGCTCCTTTGTCATCTTACATGGTTTGTCGTCGACTGAGACGTCATCATTCAGCCCACGACTGTAGCAGGGTTCAACAGTTTGGTTCCGGATCATTCAGTTTGGTCTCCTGATCTTGGTCAGAAAGAACTCAACAGAGCTATTACGTGAATAAGCTTTATTCTTTTGGAGACTTTGACCAGAAATCATTTATATTCATACCATGTAAGTTGTCCTTTATCTAGCAAATTGGTGTTTTGGATTAAGATCTTTGAGGACACAGACCATTTATCTTCGTATCTTTTACAAAAACCTATCCCAGTGTATGCATGGTAACTGCCTGAATTTCCACCTGTGTGTTCGTGCTTTTCTCTCACGCTGTCTCTTCCTGCTCCGCACACCCATTGCGACCCTCCAGTGGATTCCCCTTGCTCTTCGGCTCTCGGGATAATGGCTAAAGTCATCAGCACAGCTGTTGAGGCCCTGTGTGATCTCCCTTACCTCCTTTTGCAGCCATCCTGACCCCCATCAACTCCCCAACCCCATGGAAAGGGCAAATCACGTCCTCGTGGAAGTCTTCCCTGATCTCTTTGAGCAGCTCATCCCCCAGTGAAAGGTACTCAGAGCACATGCACCTTTCCTGGCAGCCCCATTACATGGCAATTTTACATCTGTTTGTGAGCATTAAAATTTAGTTCCTGGCCCCTTCACTAGGCAGTAACTTTCCTGGTGGCAGAGATTGATTTTATTTTCTTGCTTTGCCGTTAAATCCCCAGCACCTAACATCATGCCTAGCACACAGTGAGTGTCCAATAAATGTTTGTTAAATGGATGCATGAAAACATGACACAAAGATATCTTATTGTTGGCCAGCTCTGGAAGTGAGGCGTGGGGGAGAAAAATCACAGAAGGGAGTATGGGCAAAGCAGAGAGATGGGGACTGCATGGCATATCTAATTACTCTACATAACAAGGAAAGAGCATGAAATTACATCCCAAACGCAAGAGAATTGCACAATGTAAATTCAACCCACGTGGAGATTCAGGGACAATGTCTCAGTTAATTCATTTTACAAAAGATTTCTTAAGCACCTACTAGGAAATGTGCTCAGTGGTAGGGGCACTGTGATAAACAAAACAGCCTAAGTTCCTGCTTAAGGGGGATTGAGTTTTATATTTGCAAATAAATATTTAATCTATAAATTGGGGTAGACCTACAGAGAAAAATTAAGTAGGATGAGAGGAAGAGCATATTGAAGGTACTATTTTAGATAGGGTAGTCAAGGAAGGCCTCTTGCTAAGGTAACATGGGGCAGAGACCTGAATGAGGGCAGTCGGGAGCCTTGTGGATCCTGGGACGACAGTGTTCAGGGCTGAAGGAAGAGCGATTTCAAAGGCTTGGAGGCAGCGATGTGCTTGGTAGAGGAGCAGGTGGAGAGGAATGCCTTCTTCAGATATGGGGTTCATGTTAGCACTCTCTATCAGTCTCTCCTTCTTCCTTCATTAGATGAGTTCTCTATGCCTGGTCAGGACAGGCTCTGCTCCTGTAAGCTATGAGGAGTCCTTGTATCCCATGTAAAGGTGCCCAGCAAACAGGAGCTGTGGGGGACCTTCCAGCTGATTCTGTCTTGACCTTTACTTATTAGTCATCTACTTTTCCCCAGACTGTTCTCATCTCACCCTTTATGCCTGACTGCCAGCTCTGCCCCTGCCTTCTCTTGACTGTGACCCTCACTTAGGGCTGTTAGGTTGACCTGACCTGAGAGCAGGTTCACCGTGGCACAGACTCTGCTCTTCAGGGTGCCTCCTTAGACTTTGTTGGGTTCCTGGGGCACAACCCGCATGGGTTAGCCATTAGCAATCCTTGCCAAGGGGCTCTCTGATAGACTTACAGTGTTAGCCCTCCAGAAATTTCAATGTCAAAAATACTGGGTAATTTTGAAATTCTCAAACCCAAAGGCTTGCCTTTTAAATGGATGCAGAAGAGATTTCCATACAGAGGAGGGGGCTGCCTCTGCTTAGCATACTTAAGCCACATCCCTGACATGGTCTCCACGTGATTAGAACATTGAGCCGACTAACAATATCATTAACAGTCCTGTTATCTCCTGGGAGAGGGAATTCACAGTGATGATGGCTCCCTGGGTCTTTTCTGGATGATAGGCCTGTAGAAAAGGGTGTGGAAGATGAACATCAGCACCCTCTCCCTCAGAAGTATACAGTAATGCTCAGTGACGGCTCGGAATCTCACTGGCCAAGTTCTGTCTTTCCTCTGGAATGCGATGAATGTTTGCATTTTTCTTAGGAAGACACTGTTAATCTCAAGAGACATAAAATAACATGCAGTTCCATGGTAGTTTAGCTTTTAAGAAATGCAAGGAATCATTTCTAAGCGGTGGTGGAAAGGATTGTAACAATGGTGGAGATGGAGAAAGTTATGAAGCCACTGTTATTTATGATTGCTCTAACATGCTGTTAAAATAAACTCAAATATTGTAACAAAGAGAAATAATACTGCCTTCTTCCAAACTTGGATAGAACAGAAGGAATTCCTTTATACCCCTAAGGGTTTTTACAAGATCCAGTTTACAAGCATCAGCTATTAAATTACAGTCAAGAGCTTAGTTTCCGGATATACATAGGCTGCAAGCGTGCAATTGAGAAGAACAATGGAATTTTCTTGTGGTCTTTCTGCTAGCAATGGTATGTCTTCCATGATTAGAATCATTAGATTATTGGTAGAAAGGACCTCTTTTTACACATTTGTTCCAGCAAATAGTTGGTTACTTGAACAATAATTTCTATTATAAGACTTACTAACACATCAAACCAATATTGAGTAAGCCTTGGTAAATGATACCTTACCCTGGCATCTACTCCTTTGTTCATGTATCTAATTTGTCCTATTTATAGTGTTGAGAGATGAAGGACTTTTAACAGGATCTTTATTTGCTGATTAACTCAAGGCAATGGTGAATATCAGTCACTACATATACCCTTTCTGATACTTATGCAAACACAGAGAGAAAGTATGCTGGGAATTTAAATAATAAAAGTTCCACACTTATGCATTCAGTTGATGATTAATATATAAAATGAATATAAATAAGAAATCAAAGTGTAGGTGGGTTGAACTTTGTGGTGGGCATGTCCTCATTTCTGCCTGCCCTTTTCTATCTGCACTCTCATTTCCTTCAAGGAAAACAGATCTCAGTGGAAGCCTCCTAGCAGATCTGTGGTATGAGAATGCATTTGGCTTAAGTTGGCCAGAAAATGTTTCTTTAGCTTTTAACCAAGGATCCGAACTGATGTATACTTTATGAAGAACAAGGAAAAGAAGTAAATCAATAGACCGGGCGCAGTGGCTGACGCCTGTAATCCCAGCACTTTGGGAGGCCAAAGTGGGTGGATCACCTGAGGTCAGGAGTTTGAGACTAGCCTGGCCAACACGGTGAAATACTGTCTCTACTAAAAATACAAAAATTAGCCAGGTGTGGTGGTAGGCACCTATAATCCCAGCTATTCGGGAGGCTAAGGCAGGAGAATCTCTTGAACCTGGGAGGCGGAGGTTACAGTGAGCTGAGATGGCGCCATTGCACTTCAGCCTGGGCAACAAGAGCAAAACTCCATCTCAAAAAAAAAAAAAAAAAAAAAAAGTAAGTAAAGAGTGATCAAGATATACTTAATAACTATGACCTGATGAAAAACTAAAAAATTAATTCTGCTCTATATTCCCCAAGTTGATCTAGTGGGAAAGGAACTTTCCACTGAGGCAAATTCTATTCAGGCACGTAATTATCTTTCCCTCTACAATGACATTTTCTTTAGTTTCCTCCCTGTAAATAGCAGATAGGAAAAGAACATATTTTAACATCAATGAACATGGTGGAAATAAATGGGTTAATGTTCGTGCTTCATCTTAAATGTCTTGGATAGAAAGTGCTCTGTTAGAACAGCGGGTTATGATTACTGACTGCTCACTGGGGATGAAGAGGAGAAAAATCAATAGTCATAACTTCCCTGGTCAATAGTGTTTTCTAAATCCCTATGTAGTCTGACCTGAGTTATTTCACTTTTTAAAACTGAGAGTCGTGAACAAAAAAAATTAGCATAAAATAGCATGCTTCTAATATTTTAAAAAACTGCTTCCTATTTATTCTCCTCTGTTGTCTTTTCATTCAAGCCCTGTGTGTGCAGCCTGTCGCTGACAAGGAGAGTGAGTCTTTGGGTCCTTTCTGTATCATCAGCATCAGTATTGAGGCTGAATGGGCTGGAACCAGGCAGATCCAGCAGTGTGGGGAACGGCTGGTTCCCTCCCAACCCAAGCACACTTAGTTTGCCACTAGAACACCTCCCCGTGGGCTACTGAGATAATGAGCCACTTCCTCCTAGTGTTATTTATTTCAGATCTAGGCAATGTTAGATGTAAACAGTCCTTGCGAGACCCTTTGGTTTAATCCTGTCACATTTTGGAAAAGAAAGCAGAAGCCAAAGAGAGGTAGAATCTAGTCTAAAATAACATGACTAGTTTGGGCATAGGAGAGAAGACTGGAGTTTTATTTCTAGACATGACTTTTAGCCTTTAATGGGAACCACTGAATTTGTCCCACAGAAGTCAGTTTGAGGCATGCTGTAGTGGTCAGTGCTTTATCTAGTGAAACCAGACATTGGTTTTATATTGCAGGCAACACTGTCCCATAGAGCTTTCTGTCACAGTGGGAATAGTCCATCTTAGCACCATCCATGTGGCCAACGGGCACCTAAATGTGACGAGTGTGACTGAGGAACCGAATTTTCTTCAACTTTGTATTGTACAAGTGCAGAAAGCCCTGTGCACCCTTCACCCGGCTTTTCCTGATGTGAACCTCTTACAGAACCCACTCAAATGAAGACATGAACCTTGGCACAATGCTATTAACTAACCCACAAAATTTATTCAGGTGTCATCAGTTTTTCCACTACTGTCATTTTTTTCCTGTTCCAGGATCCAATCCAGGACCCCACATTGCATGTGATCATCATGTCTTCTTAGTCTCAAAGAACTGAATATTTAATTGGACTTCATTGTAATTTAAGAGGCTGCCAGTGGCTAGTGGCTATTAAACAGGCAGTGTGGCAGGAGTAGACAAACCCCTTCACATCCATTGCCTCCATGAATGCCAATGGCAACCCAATAAGGAGGCATCGTTACTTCCAAGCTGCAGGGGAGGAAAGTGAGGCCCAGCCGGGCGGTGACTCACTCCTGTCACGTCACCAGCGAGCAGCAAAGTGGTTGAAAGCATCCAGGGTTTTCTGACCCTCGGCTGCATGCATTTTCTACTTTGCCACAGCTGCCTTCCCGAAGTGACACATGTGACTTAGAACTCACAGGAGACACTGCTGTAACATTTATTACTAAGATATGTGGAAAAATCTATATGTCTTAGGACATCTTTTAAAAAGCAAACAGCCCTCTGGAGTGGAAAAGGTCTCACTATTCTGGAAGAGCAGCTCCTCCTCTCCCTGCCCTCTGGATCGATGTTGGATCCAACACCCCAGTCTTGGGACCTCTTCTGTATTTACACTCTCTTCCTAAGTGATCTCATTCAGTTCTGTGGCTTTAAATAACGTTTATAAACTGATGGGCCCCAAATTTATATCTCTAGGCCTAATCTTGCCCTGAAACTCCACCTGCTTCCCTCCTATAGGCATGTGAGTGTCTACCAGGCATTGCAAACTTAGAATTCTTGATACTGTACCCGCTCCAATGCCCCAGCACAGGCTTCTCCAAGCCTTGCCATCTCTGTAAATGGTACCACTACTATCTGTTACTCAAGCTGAAAACCTGGAAGTCAGTCTCAATGTCTTTCTCTCTTGTTCTCACTTGCAACATCCAAACCATCTGCAAGTGCTGTTTCTCCAAAATATAGCCATGATCAATCACCGCTTCAAGCCCCATTTTCCTCACCTGGGCTACTGCCACAACTTCCTGCTAATCAGTCCCCAATTAAATCTTGTAACTTCTCTCCTTAAAATCATCTAATGGCTTCCCATTGCCCTTAAAATAAAATCCAACCACCTTGTGATGGCTCAAAAGACTTGAAATGATCCCCCTCTAGGTCTCTTTGTTCTCTTTATTCTCCATGTACGGCATTTCAGCCAATTCAGATTTTTGTCAAATTGAAAAGTCAAACCCACCCAGTTCGAACTTGTCCACCTCAGGGCTTTGCAACTTCTGTTCTCTCTGTCTAGAAGCCCCACCTCCAGATCTTTGCATCACTGGTTTCTATTAATAGGGTCTCCGCTTAACTGTCAGCTTTTCCTGGACATCTTCTCTCACTGCCCTCACTCTGTACCACCTTGTTTCCTTAGTAACACTTACTTGCTTGTTGAAATTATCTTACGTGTTCTTTTTGTTTCTGTGGTTATCCTAGCTAGAATGTCAGCTCCATGAGACCCAGGGCCTTGTCACTCTTGGGCACTGGATGTCCAGCACCTGGAAATGTTTGGTACATTGTAGAAGCTCAATAAAGATTGTTGAAGAAATGAATAAAAGAGGTCTCCCCTGCTAATATTTATGTGTTGGGTCCCCAGTTGTAATGAAAATTCATTTCTATTGCCCGCTCAGTGGTTTTCTGAGTGGCATTCTAGGGGGAGAA
This sequence comes from Homo sapiens, assembly GCF_000001405.40. Lineage (NCBI taxonomy): Eukaryota > Metazoa > Chordata > Mammalia > Primates > Hominidae > Homo > Homo sapiens. Next base: position 28,861,673 of record NC_000007.14, on the reverse strand, counting down.
CATTGCTGGATCAGTCTCTCTGGTGATATTAAGAAAATGGTCAGCCACAGCTCGGTGGGCCTCACAGTCACATAGATAACAGAATGACACACCAGAAATTACAGCCAGTGTATTAGGCAGGCTAGGCGAGACGAGGCTGCGGTAACAAATGCATGCAAAACCGCAGTGGCTTAATATGACAAAAGCTTTTATTCACACTAACTCCATGGCAGGCTGGGTCACTTTCTAGTGTATCTCTTCTCCATGTGGCAAGTCAACAATGGGGACAGCTTAGATATTATGATGGTGTCATCAATATGAGTGGCTTCCTGGTATCATCACAGCAGGGGAAGAGAGAGTTGGCCATTCACACTCCAGCTTCTAAGTACTTTGGCCCAGAAGCAACATAACACTATTTCTGATCACTGCCCATTGGCCAAGATTCGCCATGAGATCTTGAGACATTGCAAGGGAGCTTGCAAAATGAAGGATTAAATGAATATTTGATGAGTAGAAAATGTCTCTGCCATAGTCTACCCTTGAACACACATGAGACAACTAATACCTCTCCAGGGTAATGATCTAAAGTTCCGTCTGGTTATTTCATCTAGCTCGAAGTCCAGGATGTCTAGGTGATGAGTCCATCAGGACACGATGAGGCTTACTGTGGTCCTGAGACCTGTGCGCTAAAATGATGTTATCTTTCCTCCCCATATACACCCAGCATACAATGGTGGTGCAGGAAAAAAACATGCTCCCTTTTGGCAAAGAGAAGATTGTGGGACACACAGCAGTCTCTGGTCAACACCAAGGTCCAGGGTTTTCCATGGTCTTTGTTTCCAACCTCTAGAAGTTTCTTCCTTTTTATTATTCCATTTGGTCAAATATAAAGTGAGTGTGAGGGAATGTGCCCTTCTAGAGAGCTGTGTGGCTTTCTCAGATCATCTCCTGCTTGCAGAATATTAGGGCCCAAGGTCATTTTAAGTCTCAAATAGTCTCTTTCAAACCAAGAGCAGTTTTCTCATCTATCTGCTTCCAGTCAATTCTATGCATCAGCAAAATGACCCTCCACTGTTCTTTTAGAGAAATGACCTAATCTTTATTTCCTTGCTTTCTTACCTCCAAGACTCTCAATGTCTCAAGTTAACAGTGCTGTCTGCTTGGTGGGAAAACTATCCCTTTCGGAGGATTTTAACATGAGTCTTTCAACCCAACAGAAAGGTTTTCTTGGACACCACACCATCCGTCTGATTTTTGTCCTGGGTTTATTTGTGTCTTTATTGCTCAAATGTTTTCTCAGTACTATTAGGAATCAAGAAGTGGTCCATTGACCAATTTTGATCAGGTCTTGAATTTCTGGAATGTATTTTCTTTGTTTTCTACTTGCAAAACAGCCATTTCTGTCTCGAGCTTATCTGCTTCTCCTAACATCTTGCCACACATAGTCCATGGCAACTTCTTTTCCCTGAAGCAGTAGGCTCACTACTCCTGCGACCTCCTACACCATGGTTTGCTATATTATGGCAGGCCACAGACTGCATAGTATGGATTACGATTTTTGCAAAATTTGACATTAATCTCCTCCCTGTCCATTACCTAACCACTGAGACAGTGCCGCATATTTCAAGTTTGAGTTTTTTTTGACATGGCAGCATCCCTGGATTAGGTGATCTCCAAGATCTCTTCAAACCATAGTGTTCTGTGATTCTAAAATGATGCATTTGGCTTCTCCCACAGTAGAATCCTGTTGCTCAAACAATATTGTTGAAAGTGTGTGAATTATACCCATACAGAAATCAGTACTCAGAGTAAATATCGATGTGTATTTTCCTCCTTTGCTTGCTTTAAAAGAGCAGAAGGAGATAAAAGAGGCAGCAGTGTAAAACACATGAAAGCCTAAAATGAGATAAATCACACATGCTGTTACCACCTCTGGATAACCACTGCTAAATTTGATGTATGTGCTTCCAGTGTTTGTTCTAAGCATGGCTATATAAAGGTATATACATATATTTTTTAATTAACATGGAATTAAATTATTCACCCTATAAAAAGCAGTAGTATAACTTTGGTTGTTAAGTCTTCCATATTTTTGGTGTAATGGTACTGTGTTGATCCAGTAAAAGAAGAAAGACATTCAGGGAAAAAGCTATCTGGTGTGAGAAGGCAGGGAGGAACAGAAGCTAAGGAGGATTGGGGAGGAGTAATTTCTATGGCCAAAGAGGGTGTGGTGGGCACAGGCAAGAGTGATTCCACCTTTCTGAGTCTCTGGCAGCCGTACAGGAAGGAGTTAATGGCAAGTGTCAGCAAATGACCCCAAACAGAAGCAGGGTTGACAGCTAAAGCCTCAGGTCTTAGCACTAGGAAGGTCAGGCTTCAGCCACTTTCTTCAAGAGTATTTGAAATTCTCATCATCCTGGGCTTTGTAAGAGAGACAGTCTAGTTAGGGCACGGGATCATGGTCACGGTGGGAACCGGTGGGGCTTTAGGAAAAGCAGGGCCCAGGGGCTATTTGTCTTCACAGCCAAAGTTCTCAGAATGCTGGGTGAGGAAGGCAGTTGTGCCTCTCCAGGGGCAGTCAAGGTAGATTAAGGAGACTGACTCAGCAGAAAAAAAATTAGAAAAGATCTTTTTGAATCCTTCCTCTACCAATAATGAGCTATTTGACAACTTCGGGCAAGTTACCTGATTGCTATGATTGTTACTTTCTTCATCTGTAAAATAGAAATAATAAAAATACTGAGGTTGTGGTGTGAAATCAAGATGGCGAACATAACTAGCGTGCCTGTGATGGTTAATACTGAGTGTCAACTTGACTGGATTGAAGGATACAAAGTATTGATCCTGGGTGTGTCTGTGAAGCTGTTGCCAAAGAAGATTGACATTTGAGTCAGTGGGCTGGGAAAGGCAGACCCACCCTTAATCTGGGTGGGCACAATCTAATCAGCTGCCAGCACAGCTAGAATATAAGCAGGCAGAAAAATGTGAAAAGAGAGATTGGCCTATTCTCCCAGCCTACGTCTTTCTCCTGTGGTGGATGCTTCCTGCCCTTGAACATCGGACTTCAAGTTCTTCAGCGTTGGGACTCAGACTGGCTCTCCTTGCTCTTCAGCCTGCAGACAGCCTATTGTGGGACCTTGTGATCGTGTGAGTTAATACTCAATAAACTCATATATTGCATTCTAATGTGGTGAAGAATGGTTCTTAGGAACAGTGAATGACTGTGAATTTATTCACTCATGCAGTTTTTCAACAAATGTTTACTCAGTCCTTTTGTGTGCCAAGTAATCTGGCAAGTTCTGGCATTCAGTGATGAGCAAGAGAGAAAGTTTTCTTGAGGAGCTGGTGGCCAAGTGCAAGAGCTTAGGCAAGAAAATCAGCTACACATTTGGGCAGCAGTACCTTCAATGAAAGATGGATCACATAGGGATCTCACCTATTTTTATCATGGAGAATTTCTTTTAAAAAGATGTACTGAGCACTTTGGGAGGCAGAGACAGGAGGATTGCTTGAGCCCAGGAGTTTGAGACCAGCCTGGGCAATATAGTGAGACCTCATCTCTACAAAAAAAGAAAAAATAAAAATTAGCCAAGTATGGTGGCAAGCACCTGCAGTCCCAGCTACTTGAGAGGCTGAGGTGAGAGGATTGTTTGAGCCAGGGAGGTTGAGGCTGAAGTGAGCCATGATCACACCACTGCACTCCAGCCTGGGCAACAGAGCAAGACCCTATCTTAGAAAAAAAAAGATGTACTGAAATTAATACCATAAAATTTTGTTCAGTTTGGGTGGTAGGTATGTGAGTATTTGTTATTTTGTTATATTTACGTATGTTTGAAATATCTTATTAAATAAGAAAATGCTACATTGTGCCAAGAGCAATGGTAGGGATTAACTTAGGATATGAAAGGAACAAAGATAAATCCACCTGCCAGCTAGCCCAGAAAGAGTGTGGGAAGCAGTGGAGAGAGTCAAAGAAAGCTTTCAAGAAACCACTGACACTTTAAAAAATGTCTTTAGTTTTAATTGACAAAGACGAATTGTATATATTCGTACAATGGGGTATAATGTGATGCTATGATACATGTATATATCATGAAATGATTAAATCAGGATGTCACTCCACATATTTATGTTTTCTTTGTGGCAAGAACATTTAAAATCTACTTCAATTTTTTAGCAATTTTGAAATGTGCAATACATTATTGTGAGCTATAGTCACCATGCTGTGCAATAGATCACCAGAGCTTATTTCTCCTGTCTAACTGGACTTTGTACCTTTTGACTATCATCTTCCCCTTCCTTCTCCACCCCCACACCCAGTCTCTGACAACCACCGTTCTACTTTCTACTTTTGTGAGTTCAACATTTTTAGATTGTACGTATAAGTGAGATTTTGCAGTATTTGTGTTTTTGCACCTGGCTTATTTCACTTAGCATAATGTCCTCCAGGTTCATCCATGCTGTTGCAAATGACAGAAAATATGGTGTACATATATAATGGAATACTATTCAGTCTTAAGGAATTTTTGTCATTGACATTTCTTTTAAAGTAGGGAGATATCACGGGGGGATTTGCATTTTAGGAAGATGAATGAGAGAGAATAGCGATATGGAGGCAGAGAGATCAACAGAAGACCATTTGCCCCAAGAAAAGATTTGTGAAGGCCTAAACCCATGTGGGGATCAGAGGGAGGAGCAGGGACTAGAGGTACTCTTCAGAGAACCCTTACATCTTGGGTTCTAGTTGGATGTGAGAGCTAAGCAAGAGGAAATCTGGAATGCCTCTGAAATTTCTGTCATGAGCTCTTGGGAGAATGCAGTTTCTGGCATTGTTAATTCAGCTCGTGTTTTCCAGATGATTAAGAGGTTAGAGGCAAGAGAAAGAAGACGATGAGGTTCCTTAACAAAGTGTTACATTCGTGGTTCTTATGGTATGCCCAAGTGTCCACACAGAGAGAATAATGGATTCAGGAGAGAGGTCCACGCTAGAGATAAGGACTTGGAGGTCAGCAGAGGTCTGTTCATCTCTCGAGGAGGGAGAATAGATAGGAATAGGGTCAGGAAGGTGGCCAATACAGAGCCTTGAACACACCTACTTTAAAATCTGGAGGAGTGGGGGTGAGAAGGAAATCCTTCTAAAGAGGGCTGAAAAGAAACAAACAAGACAAACAGGAGATAAAATCCAGACAGAGTTGTGACTGAGCCCAAGGGACGGTGTGAATCTCCAGGAGAAAATAGCCCAAGAGGTAAAAATTCATGGAGAAGCCAACAGAATATCCATGAAAGTTATCCACTTAATATAGCAAGCCATTTGCAGGCCAATGATAATTACAAAAGCCATTTCAGGACACCAGATTGTAGAGGGTGGACTTGTAGCATGGTAGGTGTTCATTAAACATTTGTTGGATTGAATTACACAGGGTTACTGCCATCCTGGAACAGGCCTTGATGCTCAGGGAAGGGGTAGATGTTAGAGAAGGAATGCGGTCTTTATTGGACATTCCAATTTGGTCTAGGACCAGTAGCCCTGGATCAATCTAGAGAGGAGGCTTCCTCTTCCCAGCCTGTTGAGTCTTTGCCAACATTTTACTGCTCTGATCCATTATCAGTGTGTCACCCCTTTGCCATGCATAGAAACAGTAAGTGCAAAGAAAATGCACTGTGGGGGTGGATGACTCAGGAGGTTTGGCAATGGATAAACAGCATTTTACCTTTAGTGGTGATAGATAGAGGGCCCGCAAGGCAAAGACTGCTGTCTGCTTCTCCTCACAGGCGTCCTCCTCCTACTGTATTTTTGTGTAGCTCCAAGCATGCCACAAGTACCCACAACAAACCATTAATTAAAGCTGGTTTCTGGTCTAGGTTTAAAAACTCCAAAGTTGTCACATGGAGGGGTGTGTGTGTGTGTCAGAGGGAGAGAGAGAGAGAGAGAGAGCTTCACTAACCTTTATAGCCACTGCCTCTCTTATTCACCCATCTAACTTAGCAGCAGGCACTGAAGCCCAAATCGAAGAAGAAACCCAGTGTGCTCTGTCCTTGGAGGTATCTCCAGAGTACAGTGTCTTGTGCCTGCCACTGCTAGACATTCAGAGAATACTGACTGACAGATAGGAGGGATGAGGTGGCATCTTCTGGCACTCTGAATTTCCTTCATACTTTTTCTGATTTGGATTGTGTGGGTTGTACCAGCTAGTGTTCAACCTCAGACACAGAACCAATATATCCATTCAGAGATGTCTTACTAGGAATTGGCTTATGCTGGCCGGGCGCGGTGGCTCACGCCTGTAATGCCAGCACTTTGGGAGGCCGAGGGGGGTGGATCATGAGGTCAGGAGATCGAGACCATCCTGGCTAACACGGTGAAACCCCGTCTCTACTAAAAATACAAAAAAAATAGCCGGGCGTGGTGGCAGGCGCCTGTAGTCCCAGCTACTCGGGAGGCTGAGGCAGGAGAATGGCGTGAACCTGGGAGGCGGAGCTTGCAGTGAGCCAAGATCGTGCCATTGCACTCCAGCCTGGGTGACAGAGCAAGACTCCATCTCAAAAAAAAAAAAAAAAAAAAAAAAAAAAAAAAATTGGCTTATGGTGTTGTGGGAGCTGCCTAAGCACATCCAAAGTCCACAGGACAGGGAGTCAGGAGGGGAAGCTAAAAAGCAGAATGGAGCTCTGGGCATGGCTGCGCTGTTGTTCATGGATGTGACCTCCTCTCTGTCTCGGTCTCTGTCTCTCTCTGGGGAGTCTTGGCTGTGCTTTGAGGGCTTCCGACTGATTAGGCCAGGCCCACCCAAGTTATCCAGTATAACCTCCCTTACTTAAAAGTGAACTGATTAATGACTTGAATGACATCATCAAACCCTTTCACAGTAACAGCTAGATTAGTGTCTGGTGAATCAATGGGAACTTTAGCTTAGTCAAGTTGACATATCAAAAAAGCCATCACATGGGGTTAAGAATAATGTTAGAGATCCTGTGGATAGGTAAAGAATAGGGTGTGTGTGTTTGTGTGCATGTGGGTGTGTTTACGCGTGCGCGCGTGTGTAGGGAGGGAGGAAGAGGGAGTTGGAAGTCTTGGGATCCTCCTTTCTCTTCCCTTTGAAGTCTCACAGAAGTCTGTCGGGGGAAGATAATTGGCGTCTAACACCTTGCCGAGGGAAACCATGCCCTGAGGTTCTGCAACCCCGACACGCTGATGGAAGAACCATGTTTGCTGGCAGAGCCCCTGGTCCAGTGCCTTAGATAGGAGGCACCCACCCCGCCGGCAGGGCTGCTCCACAGTGTTGTGCGGCATGGCGCCTGGCGCCGGATGATTTCCCCACGGCGGCGCCAGAGGGCGCCCGAACTGAGGATTCGGCCCAGGACTCCCAGAGGAGACCGGCAGGTGCGGCGACGCCCAGGACTCCCGCACGCCCCGCGGCCCCGGCACGGGCACCGCACCTTCCCTGGCTACCAAGGCTACCTCCTTCACGTGCACATTTCAGGGATGGGCAGGCCGACTCCTGGGAGCAAGGAGCTTGTCTTTGTAAAGGGCGGGAGGAGGTGGCTGCTGCGGAGGGAGGCGGCAGCCTCAGGGCCCGGGAGGCTCCGTGCCTCTCTAGTCCATGCTCTCGGCTCCTCCCTCTTACTCTCAGACCCAGGGTCAACTTTTCTTGGGGCTCGGACTTTCGGAAGGCTCGCTGTCCCAGGAGGGAGTACGGCCCCGGCATGCGCTCCCCGACTTGGCCACCGCCTCCCTGAAATCCTCCCGTGGGTGCGCAGCGTGCCCGAAACTCAGCCGAGGTGCCCCCTCTGCGCGCTCCACACCCGGGCTGCTGCGGCGTGCAGCGGGATCTGCGCTTCCCTGCCACTTAACCGCCCCTCGCAGAAGACCCTGCCCCCTAAAAAGTCAGGGCCCAAGGCAAAGAAGCAGGTCTTTTGCGTAGTTTTTGTTTTGTTTCAATCAGGAGTTTAAAAAGGATGTGTACTAATGTCACCCTTCTCTCCGTTAAACGTTCAGAATCTTAATGCAATGCTTTTTAAAAGCAATACAAATTTTGAGGGAAAGAAAAATCACTAGAGGACTTTATGGTTAAAGGTTTTAATGCAATGGTAGTATTACAAAAATAACTGGCATAGTTTTTTTTTTTTTTTTTGCAATTCTCAAAGGTGGTGGTGAACAAGGACAAAACAGATCAGACAGTTGGAAATAATAAAGAAAGGCTTCTGCGCTCATAATTTTCACTGAAAGTGCTCATAATTTGCACAACTGGAACAGTTAAACACTCAGTGAGACTGAGCAATAAACACATTTCTCACTCAAACATAGCAGAGGTCAGGGAAGGAAGCCCGTGTTCTTCTTTTCTTGTCGGATGTAGGCACCTCCCTGGCCACAGCTTATTCGTGTGGTTTTGGAAAACTCTGACAGAAATGAGTGTCTGGGAGGCTTCTCAGTTGTCAAGAGGCTTCTTATATTTCCTAAAGAAACTCAACCTAGATTCATTAAGCCAAGTCACAGAGCAAAGAGAATTAAATATTTTTCTAAGGCTGCAACTAATCCTGAAACTTATAGTGGGGGAGGGGAATCTGACATATGAAAGGTCTGTGATATTTTTATGGAAAATGTATAGAGATGTTGTGTTTAAATATCCTCAGATGAGGAAAAATGGATTTTTTTTTTGTTTTTTCAAAACAAAAACCAAATGATTTTCATCCTCCTATTCCCAGACCTCTCCTTATAGACTTCAATTAAGTATCCTAACGTCTTTTTTTTGAGTCATTTAGGAAAATACTTATATGTCAGTGAAAGCAGGGAGATCCTTTGAAAGATCTTGCTAATGTATGTTAGAGTAAGGCCAGCTCTTGTATTTATGATGGTTTTTCTTTTTCATCGAAATTGTAGGCTCACATTAAGGATTTTCCCTCCCTTTATAAACATCGGCACAGTGCCGTAACTTCCTTTATTTGCAATCAGTTATCCCATGGTTAACAAAGAACTTTTTTAGAGAAAAATGTGGCCTAATGAAATTCAGTAATTCTTTATATAAAGAAAAAAGGATCTTTTATATGCATTTTTATATGCATTAAATATATAAGCATGGTGTGTACCTGGTAAAGTTGATTTCTGCTGACGATGTAACACAGGTAAATCAACATAGGGTCTCTAGCACATTATAGGGTACACTTTATTGGGTTTTACCTTCAGGTAAAGACTTCTATTAAGAATATACAAGTGCCTGCATACCTAACCTGCCTTGTTTTCCACAGGGCTGTATACATAATCTCTTTTTAAAAATTTGTTTAATCAAAGCTTGCTATATTGAATACATTTAATTGGAATCCAGTGGTTAAAGAATATAAAAATTTACTGCTGTAGAAAAGTTTTGATTAGTGCTTTCCATTAGTGAGTGTTGTTGAGTAAACCCTCTAACAGCATATTTGAGTTCAGACAAGAACTGACTTAGCAAAACAGGTGATACTTTCAACTGTACAAATATATTATTTCCCATAAATATTCCTAATGAAAGAGGTGGTCTGTTTCAGAGGAAGTAACTGCAATGACGACTTTTAAATAATCGGAAAAAAAGTTCCCAACCTTGATAAATATGTGCACAGGGACTGAAAGGGTGAATTATTAGGTGAGGAAAGGTAGAGTCTAGAAATCCTGCCCCATGTATGTTATAAAGTAAGCTGCACAAAAGCATGGCAGATAGCATCTGTGAGCCAATGCCATTTTCCTGCATCAAGATCTTTCCCTTTCTTCTTGCATCAAAAAAGTGAATTCAAATACAAAGAAAGGATGTTTTACCCTACTGAAATGTTGCAGGCAGAAGAAAGTTTGTGCTTTTTCTTTTTTTTACAAAAAAAAGAAAAAGAAAAAAATACGTTTGAACAAAATTAAAATACAAGAAGGTTCAATTCTCAGAATTTAACAATTAATTTTCATTCAGTGCTTAGCTATCAACTACAGACTTTATTAGTTAACAACAAAAGCAAAGATGCAGGTTTAAAAGGGAACTTTGGTTCCCCTTTTCCCATTTATGATTCTCCAATTCAGGAAGGGCTACATTTCTTTTCAACTATGTGTTTAAATCTGGAATCAAGATGGGAGTAGTTAAACCACCGGCTGTGTCATGAAGTAACAAGTCAGGGTTCTGTGTCTCAAATGACAAACGTCTGACTTCACCTATTGCATGGAAAAGCCCCATGTACTGGAGTCAGAGGTCTGAATCTAGATTTTTCAACTATAGAATTCCAGCCCATTTTTAGAGGGAGCTAAGTGCTGTGAATATCTTCATGCACATGAAGTGTGTGTGCGTGTGTGTGTGTGTGTGTGTGTGTGAAGGCAACACAAGTGGGCAGGGCAGTAGAAGAAAGGGAGAGGAATTGGGGATGCAGAAAGCCTCTGCTTTGGAATATTACATGTTTTCCTTTTCTATTATTCACAATGAATTTAAAGAATATTTTATAGAGAAGTAAATCCCCCCTTCTTTTTCAAAATTAGTGACAGTTGTAGGTGACTATTTTGTTCTGCCATTGTTCAGATGTAGTGTATGAACAATGTCAGGGATGTAATGTATGACCGACTTTTGTGTATGATACCCACTTATAGATTGAAAACTGAAAAAGTTCAGAGAGAAATTTGTGTACACACAATTGTTCTTTCTCTTTCAATATCACCACTGTTGGCTGACAATGAAAATGTGAAGAACATCTCATTTTGTGTTACATCCCAATGTTCTGTCTTTGCAAAAGCAATACCTCAATATAATGGATGGAATTCAATGACAGTGGCAAACAATACTACTTACAATGCTATGTATGAAAAGAATGTTATACCATAACAGTACATTGCAGAAAAATGACATTTCATGTTAGAATTATTTGATTTGATTGTGGTGAAAAGAAAAATGCTAATGTACTAAAATAAACTAGTAAGCAGTCAAAAAAGCAAAATATGTAAAAGCATCTGATTTGTCAGATGAAATATATTTGATTACTACTCATCTAACATTCTACTACCAGTTTAAATAATTTTATTAATTAAATCTAAAATTATACAACATGTTAATCTTGTAGACTAAAAGGGGAAGGAATAATTGAAAGCCTGAATATTATAGAGTGAAGTTGAATTACTTTTAGGTATGAGAAGAGCCCTTTTCACAGTGTTACTTCCAAGTGGGTTTGACTGACTATTGATAACTTCCATTTGTAAGTAGCCTCATTTGCATATAAGCCGTGTATATTATGTCATTCAATAATAATAATTTTAAAACTTCTTTTATTATGCACCCATGAGGTACCTGGCTCTGCCCAGAGTGGATTTACACAAGGAATAAGAAGGATCCAGCTTGTTCCCTAGAAGGCACAGTCAGATGTCTTAGAAAAATTAAACAAGTCACTATGGAATCCAGTGTACTTGTTGTTTAATAAATGTTTCTTATTTACTAACATTCAAAACGTAATCTCCACTCAGTCCCAAGAGACTTTTTACAAATTCTGAATTTGTGTGGTTTTAATTAATAAAATGTTTCTCTAGCATTTCCAAAAAACTGTTTAGGTTGAGAGTTTTAAAACATCCTGGATATATGATCATTCACTCTTTATTGCCACTCTATATCTTGAACATATCTTTATCACCTATACCAATTTTTCTATACACTCCTCCCCTGTAAAAGTGTCTGTGAGGACAGAGATCTTTCTAGCTATCCCAGAACCTTTTGTTTTGAATGAAAGAAGAAGCTAACACATTTAGAAATGTGTAAAAAATCCACATTAAAAATATTTTAATTGAAAATATTGTTCTTTTAATACAAAGTAATGGATATTCTGAATTAAAATGAAAGTCATACCATAAAGAAAATGATAAAGAATAAAACAAACAACCCAATGCTCAGGAATGCGGAGTGCTTACATGTTAGCATTTTGACATATATTTTTGTCTGGACATTTTTCTGTGGATATATGCACACCTTTTACAACCCAAAATATGCATTTATATTATACAGTCTAAACTACTTTTTCACTTAACAATGTGTCAGGAGCATATTTTGATATGAATAAATACAGAATCTTCATGACCACTTTAAAAGACTTGAGAACATTTGATTTGATTGTGGTGAAAAGAAAATGTATACATATCAAAATTAATTTAATCAACTTTCTATAATTATCCATTTGTACTGTTTTGGGGGGGTTGTTTGGTTTTGTTTGTTTTTATTTGGGTATGCCATCATAATTTACAAACAGTGGTGAAGAGTGCTTTCTCTCTCTCCAGCAAAGACCAGTTTTAAAAACTCCATGCACGCACTCAAGAACCCATTTTTCATTATGTCATTATTCTGCTGCACTAGAGTGTTTCACATCTTCTCCCTGAGCAGTATAGTTTTAAAGTAAATTTGGTTTCTTTAGCCAATGTTTGGAGTGGCAGGAAAAGAAATTATGGAATACATGGATTCTGCCTGTATGACTTATAAGTTTGGGAATAAGACATTCTGCCAGTAGAGACAGCAAATCACTCCACAAAAAGGCGCCAAACAATCGGAAAGCCTTGACTAAAGCGAAGATCTCTAGAAAGCCACATATTGCTATGAAAAAATCGACTTCTAAAATCAATTACCTTGTAATGCAGGCAGCAATGACAGTCTAAGAAAAAACCTATTTGTAAAATACTTCAATTCTTCGTTTGGAAACGATAGGTGAAAGAAATACGGAACTTTAAAAAATGATGGTTAGGCCGGGCGCGGTGGTTCACGTCTGTGATCCCAGCACTTTGGGAGGCCGATGTGGGCGGATCACGAGGTCAGGAGATCGAGACCATCCTGGCTAACACGGTGAAACCCCGTCTCTACTAAAAATACAAAAAAAAAAAAAAAAAAAAAAAATTAGCCGGGCTTGGTGGCGGGCGTCTGTAGTCCCAGCTACTCGGGAGGCTGAGGCAGGAGAATGGCGTGAACCCGGGAGGCGGAGCTTGCAGTGAGCTGAGATCCTGCCACTGCACTCCAGCCTGGGCGACAGAGCCAGACTCCGTCTCAAAAAAAAAAAAAAAAAATGATGGTTATTTTTTAGATGTTCAAATTACAAAATTATGGCTTAGAAAGGTCAAGAAGAAAAATGGCTAGAACATTTCACTGACTGCCTGTATTCGTTATCACACCCCACGGGGCCTTGAAGGAGTGACAAAACTGCTTGCCTCCGTGCTACCCTTTGTGGTCATTTTAGAACACACGAGTTGTGATTTTTCAGTAGCGTCGCCATTGTCATTTACCTATGGCTGCTAGAACAAGAGACGGATATTTTCTAGAATGCTATGAAGTCAAAAGCACTCAAGACCCCCTCCCTGGGACATATGCACTAAGGAGGGTACGAAATAAAACAGGGCTGTCTAACCAAAGCTCTGTCCAGCGTGCACAGAAAGTTCTAGAAAGAACGAGTACTTCTGAGTGTCGCTGGTTGAAGATGCATCTAGGGTGATTCTAATCCTATTATGGAATTCTCTGATTTCACTGATATCTCCAGTTTTAGTCTGGACTAAAATCCTGGGTCCTAAATGAAGACCTAGTCCTGTGTGGGGTGGGGAAGGAAGCCAGATGCCCTGTGCCTCCCTGCCTTCTCCCCGCCATCGTCTCCCACCGGGAGGGCCGCTGTAAGTCGGGCCACATTTGGCTTGCTGTCACAGCGAGGATGACCACAGCCCAGGGCGGCCTGAACAACATCTTCCTCTGTCATATTTTGATAGTTCCCTACTGTTTTCCTAACACAGATGAGGCCGGGTGAGCCTCTGCAGGGAAGTTACTGTTTCTTTCCTGAGATGCTCAGCTAGGCCAGGGCGGGGAGCAGGGAGGGCCCGGCTGAAATCCTGGCGCGAGCCTGAGTGGACCCCACCTAAAAGCTGACAGAACACACGGTCCCGGCCCAAGCTGTTCCGCAGATGTAACCGGTTGCCTCCCAGCTCCAGCTGATGCAGCTTAGAGGATGAAATGGCATCTTTCCCTGAGGAACTTCCATTCCTGAAATTTCACTCAGGAGATGGGCTGCCTGTGATAACCGTGCAGAATAAAGACGGCCTTTCACACCCAGTCCTTGGCTGACCTCGGAAACAGGAGACAGACCCATGGTGAAGGAAACCTGTGCAGAGAAGACCCCTGGGCGGGCACAGCCCCTTGTTGGTGGTGGTGACGCTCTCTGCCCCCGCAGAGCTTGGTGGCTGGCGTGGGAGCCTGGCCACATGTCCCAGGGCGTTTGGGGATGAACTGAAGCAGGCGTCTGGAGCTGCTGGTCTAGGTATTTATTATTTCATGGAATTACTGCTGAGTGACAGGGGCTCCTTGCGTCCTAGCAGACTGGCATCCATGGAGCATATTTTTAACGTGAATTGCAAAAGAAATAACAAAAAATATGAAATGGCTAATTAGCCATTTCACGAAAGTCCTGCCTGATGACAAGTTTTCTGGTCAGTCTCACCATTTGCTTATTTCCAAGTGGGATGAAATCAGAACCCATGAATCCCGGACTCAGCTGGGGCTGGGAATGGAGGGGGCAGGGAAAGAAGGAATAAGGCTGAACTATTCAGTCTACCTTAATATATTTATAATGTATTGGGTGAGTTAACTGCTTTTTGGAAAGCTCTGGGGGACACCTCAGTGTTTGGTAGAATGGGGACTCTTAGTCACATAGCACTTGATTCTAGCCTAGTCTCCTCTAAGACACTACAATGGGACATGACTTTGCTCTCTGGGAGACTTCGAAAGCCTTCAAAGCAGGTAATCATGCTCTTGACGTCGGATGAAGACCTAAGTCTATTAATCTGTGCAGGAGTATGCCTTTGGAGTTAATACTTTTGGAGATTAAAAAAATGAACAAAAAATGTTTCCTCCATTATTTGACAAGCTAACACTTAAATAACTTCTTATTTAGAGGTGGGGGCACAAAGAAGACAACACACTGATCCACAGATTCCACGCAAGATCTTTCACCCATGAGGAAGGAATATTATGAATTGCATTAGTGTTTACCTTTGACCTACATGAAAGAAGAAGATCAGTCCCAGAAGGACAGTCAAGCACACACCAAGTAGAAGGGAATACGAAGGGACTCAGATTTCTCTTTTATCTTAATATGTATGGGCTAACAGGCTAACATCCTAAGTCATGTTAAGAATCTATTTCCCTTAGCATTATATATCCATCTTAGGATCTTGGTGTTTTGGTGAACGTTTCACTGCACAAAATATCCCAAAATGTAGTAGCTTAAGCCAGCCATTTTATTTTGCTCACTATTTTGTGGGTCAGGAATTCAGGAAGGGCTTGGCTGGGCAGTTCATCTTTGATCCATGTGACGTCAGCTCAGGCTTTGGGGACCAGAGGCTCCCTTCCAAGATGGCTTCTCCACTTACACGTCTGGTACCTCTGTGCTCCTTGGCATCTCTCTCTCTCTCTCTCTCTCTCTCTGTGTCTCCCTCCCTCCACATCCCCTTCCTCCCTTCCCACATGGCATCTCATCCTTCAGGACCTTTACATGGGGCTTGGCTGGCTCCTAAGAGGCAGGAAGTGGAAGAAGCCAGACCAGCTAAAGGCCATGCCCAGAACAATGAATGTTGATTCCACTGAATTCTGTTGGTGAACACAGCCACATGGCCCGCCCACATTCCAGGGCTGTGGACCTATAGACTCCTTCTCTTACGGGGACACAGCAGAAAGATACGTGGGATGAGATGTATTGTTGTAGTCACTTTTAGAAACTATCATCTGTCACAGGAAGATACAAAAACCTAAAAGCTACGCTTAAGAAAGTTTTTATTGTTGTTAGGACATCATCTATAAAGTGTTCATTTAACACTCTGATAGCAAAGGTTGCATTTCTGTCATAAATTCCACTTCCTCTGTGCCCATTGGGAACCTCCATGAGCGTCCCCTCCGCTCAAGCACCCACTCTTCCCTGAAGCCCACCAGACCATCTGTCACCCTTGCTCTCGGCCTCCAATCCTGGGCTCACCTCTCAGACACCACTTGTCTAACATTCCCTGTGCACTCTTACTGCTGGATTGTGAGTCAAGGCAATAATTGTGTCTTTGTCTTATTTGTCTCTATAACTTTTAAGTGAGTTTTCTTAAAGCTCAGTTCACTTACATTAACTGACTTAATGAATGAATAAATGTTAGCCTGATTCCAGGAGCTTGGCTCAATAGTTTCAATCATGTTGGTTCAGATAAGTGAGTATAAACTGAAAAAGGAAGACTGGTGTGTGGGTGGGAGTGTTTTAGTCTCCAGAAGTGGCAGAGAGAACCTGGATTTTCAGATGCAAAGTAGGGATAAGCAAGTCATCAAGTCAGGGAGAGCCAGCTTTAGCTCTCCCTTTTCCACTGCCGTCATCTTATGACTTTGGCTCCCTGGAGACAGTTCCTACACCAACATGGCTGCAGGTCAGGATGGCCTTGGAAGGACTCCTTCTGTTATTCAGACCACTGGCATGTGCAGATACACACATGCATGCCTATCTGTCTATTTATCTATATCTGTCTACCTAGAGAGAGAGAGGGAGAAAGAGAGAGAAGGCACTGAAAACATGACTTTTATAGTAATATTATTATTGATCAACATTACAGCCTTGTTGTAGGGAAGTTAAAGACTAGAATTACTCTAATACTTCTCAAATCTAGGACATATTATAGTGCATTTTACATATATAATTTTCTTCAAATACATTGCACCAATAAACAAAAAACCTGAGAAGGCCGAGAAGGCTTTTTTCTACTTGCATGAGGGGTGAAATGAATCCACATCTCCTTCATCTGATAATACCACTGACAAGAGAATTGAAGAGCTGCAAATAGCAGCTAACCAGCTTGTTTATCTCCATAAAATATGATTTAATTAAACATTCTTTTCAGCAGCTTGTACCAATCAAAGCATTAGGACTTCTCTGGCTGCCAATTACAGCCTCTCAGGAGGAAATTATCTGGAAGAAAGATAATTTTCTCCACCTTGAACTGGGAGTCAGGGAAAATATGAAAATAAATATTTTTGGTTTTATGTTTAGCAATTTTACAATTTCATATTTAGCTCTACAGTGTCTATTTTTTCCTTTAGGCCA
Source organism: Homo sapiens (assembly GCF_000001405.40). Classification (NCBI taxonomy): domain Eukaryota; kingdom Metazoa; phylum Chordata; class Mammalia; order Primates; family Hominidae; genus Homo; species Homo sapiens. The sequence continues at coordinate 28,844,630 of NC_000007.14, read as the reverse complement.
AATGTCATTTTTGCTCAGAACATTTCAAGGTAGTTTTCTGGCATTTTAATTGCGTTTCTGTAGTTTATCACCTTTGAGCTTTGCCTACTGTCCAGAATGGTTTATTTGTTACACCGAGGAAAATGTAGACAAAAGTTTGTGTTTGCCTAGTTGGGAAGCAGATTAGAATGCCCAGATAAAAAGGGTAAGTTAGTGATCTGCTCTCAGCAGAAAGTCCTGCAGCTGGGGGCAGTGAGGTCACCAGAGGCTCTAATCCTACAGGAGACTTAGAAAACCCCTCCCAAATTCAGCACCATTTAACACGCTTATCTGATAAAATTTGTTAGCACCAAAGCTATCAGGCATGAGGTCGGGAAATGACTGATTTGGGGTAAGGGGACCCACTGAATCAAAGGGATGGTGGTACCATTCAGAATGAATGCAAACCGGGGAGCCCAGTGTGACCTCCTGAAGGAGCACAGACATGTGGTTTTGGGCTGGAGAACTCTCTGAACCCCTGGATGAATGGCTCTCCCAAGGCAAAGTCAGTGAGAGATGGCCAAGAGCTGCACTGTGCATTTCAATCCACGTGTGCTTTTTCAGGGAGATTGCAAGTTACATGTTCACATGTCTATCATACGAACTGCCTGAAGGAGTTATATGAGAAAAGTGAAGGCATAGCCTGTGCATTGTTAGGCAAAATATTCTTGCATGTGGGTATAAGAGCCCTTACATAGGATTTTTATATTTTCATTTTATGTGGGGGCCAACTGTGTGTACGTACATACCAGATAGGTGATAGTTAAAGGTGATACATTGATAGACAGATACTAGGCAGATAGATATAGTAGGCAGATAGATTGTGTATATTTCTGACATTATTATGGAAGTTAATGGCATATATTCAAACACATTTCTGAGCCTTTTCTCAGTGCCAAGCTCTGTACTAAGTTCTAAGTTCCATGTGGGGTTATAGAAATGAGTAGGCTACAACACCGATCCCACAGATGCTATAGCTTCATGGGAGAGAGAGACAAACACATAAATATTGATATGAAGTATATTTTGATAATGCTATGATAAAGACATAGCTGAAGCACTGTGAAAGTAGCCAGATAGATAACACTCTAATTGGCAATTTTTGGAAAGGCTTTGTGAAAGAACAGGCAGAGGGCCTGGGCTTGGAGAATGCAGGAGCTTGGCAGACAGAAATCAGGGTAGAGGATCAGTGGAGGGATTCCTGGAAGAGGGAAGTGTATGAGCAAAGTCATCCCTGGAGAAGATACAGGTCTTGCATGGGAAAAGGCATCACTGGGATGGTGAGGGCAGAATGGAGGGGGAAGAGGCTGTAGATGATGGAGGAAGATGGAGGAAAAAGGTAGATTATGGTGATTCCACAGAATCACATCTGGATGCTCTAAATTACTGAATCTGGGCTTTGCTTGGTAGACACACAGGAGCCACTGAAGGTGTCTAAGGGTGGGAGTGTGTTGTGTGTGTGGGCAGGTGTGTGCTTGAGTGTGTATGTGTGTGTACACAAGCATGTGTGGTGAGTGTGTGTATTTGTGTGAAATGTCAAAGAGAGAGAAAGAGAGATAGATGGGGTGGAGGGGGAGGGAGACAGAGAGAGAGAGAGAGAGAGAGACAGAAGAGTTATGTGCTTTAAATAACTACTGGGATGGCAGTTTGGTAGTTACAGGGACATGAATGGAAGCAGGGCAGGCTAGGTAGGGCATTGCAGTCATTCAGCTCAGAGCTAATGACAGCCTACAAAAAGGAAGTGGACACAGTAAAGGGGAGGCAGGTTTAAGTTTTATTATGAAGCAAACTTGCGAGGGTTTGCTAACTAATTAGAACAGGGGGTGAAAGCATGGGAAATATGAATAGGGGCTCTGAAACACCAAACTGGCATAGTCTTGTCATGCCTGAGATGGGGAATGAGAAGAAGGAACAAGTTTGCATATCCAAGTATTCATTCATTAATTGGATTAATGGCAAATCTTTGGCAAATGATTATTGAGCATGCTGCAGGCACTGAACTGGGGACTGAGATATAAGGACTAGGGCAGATATGGTGCTCCAGGGGCTTGGAGCAGAATGTCATAAGAGTAATTAGGTTCCAAGTTACAGATTTGGGAGTTGTTCTTCTAGAAGTGATCCATGAATCCAGGGGACTAAATGGTTCATTAGGGAGGAAGTTCTTTGGCAATCTGTGGGAAGAAGGTTGTGGAGTCCTGATAAGATAAATAAGTAGCAATGTGGAAGGGCCCCAGTTGTGGGAGGGCCACAAGTGGGAAAGAATAATGAGCAATTGTTCTGAGGGATGGCCAATCACAAACCCACAGGCACAAGAACCTTCTTCCTAGGGCACAACGACCTTGTTCCCCACAAGCCCCCTTCAGCATGATCCTATAAAACTTCTCCCCAGCCCCTGCCTCTGCAGACAGTCCCTTCTCTGCTGTGCTGCCCATTGCAACCTTGCAATGTATTTTCATAGTTTAATAAATCTGTCTTTCTTTACCTACAGCTGTCTTGGTACATTCCTTTACTGCCTCAGCCTCTGGGCCCAGATAGTAGCTACCTGTGACAAAGATCTCATGAAGTTATTTGATCCCCTCATCCTCAGTGCTTAATTTAGCATGACTTAGCAAGTCTCTTTCTTTGCTTCCTTCCCTTCCTTCCCTCCCTTCCCTCCCTTCCCTCCCTTCCCCTCCTCCCTTCCCTGACTTCCCTCCCTTCCCTTCCTCCCTTCCTCCCTTCCCTCCCTTCCCTCCCTTCCCCCTTCCCTCCCTTCCCCTTCCCTTTCCCCTTCCCCTTCCCCTTCTCCTTCCCCTTCCCCTTCTCCTTCTCCTTCCTTCCTTCCTTCCTTCCTTCCATCCCTCCTTCCCTCCCAGAAAAAGAGCACTAAGAAAGAGTGATTGTTTCAGGGATTCTCCCCATTAAGGAGAAATGCATTTTTGTGCATGCATGCATGCACACATGTGTGTGTACACATACCTATGTATAGCCATTTGGTTCCTGAAAGATATTTGAAGTGAGCTAAAGCATCTTAGCCTTGCAAGAACACCTGTTCTTTACCTTTTCCTATGATTGCAATGTTTCATGCACAAATATTTTAATTTTTCTTAAGTGAAATTCACCTAGATGCAACTTTTCTTGAACGTAGTTAAAGTAATAGAGACAATCACATTGAAGAATTGCTTTTCAAGAAGCACATTGTGGTGTTTGGGCTCTGAGGTTGTGGTAGTCCACACCTTCATAATCTCTTCTCCCCAGCAGCACCATGGCCACTGCTGCATTGTTCTCCCAGTCCTTAGAGACTGACCTGCTCAGGTTCATTAATGGTTGGACTTTCCTTGGTATTTGCTTACATAACAATATCAGGACACATGTCTTTAATATTTTATCAGGTTTAAAGGGTAGTTTTCCTAGCATGGCATTGTGTGGCCTACAGAACAAACTAGGAGGGAGAAAGAAGGCTCTTGGCTTGTAGTAAGCAACATGACTTTAATATACATTCTGATATTAAACATTTGATTAACTTGATAACGAGACTGCAGGTGGGTATTAAGATGTTGGTTTTTGCCTTATCATAAAGACAGCTATTAAAGAATAGTGCACTTTACTTAAGTGTATCTCCCTTAGCTGGTGTAATGGACTCCTGAACATAAAAGTCACATAGTCCCGACCTGTGTCTATGCTGCCTGCTTGTTCTGGAGAACCGGGCACGGTCTAATTGTTTGATTTGGCTGTTTGCATATGAAAATGGAGTTCAAATGCTTCTTATAAGTGAACACTTGGAAGGGGAGTGGAAATGTATCCATTAGCTAAAAGAGCTGAATGCACTATAGGATGTAGAAGAGCCACTCTATTTGATTATTAAGTGTTTTGTAACCTGAAACTGTAAGTTAACAAGAATAAAATGAAATGACCCAGGAGCAGAACATTCTTTTAAACCTGCAAATGAGAGAAGCAACACCCCTTGTGGCTACTCTGAGAAATGGCCAGGATCCCTTTAGATATTTTCTAGTTGGCTAACTGATTATAAAACAGTGTCTGTCTGCTTGGGAGACATTATTTTATAAACAAATATTTCACTGTTTCCTACCAATTAAAGCCACTCCGGGAAACAAGTACTTCTACCTAAATCTTTAAACAATCGAATGTCTTAAGGCTGGCCTTTGAGTAGGCTGGCTCTTAGGATGGGAACCATGATCCTAGCTGGAAACATTTGCAGTATGTTCTAGTTTTTTCTATGAAAGCTCTTTGGCTCCCTTGCTGTTTGTCTTCTTGATGGTTATATTAAATTAACAATGTTAAAAGAAGGAGTTTTCAAATTTGAGTCTCCTGGGGAGCTTGTGAAGACACAGCTTGCTTGCCTCATTCCTAGAGTTTCTGGTTTAAAGAGTCTGAGGAAGGGCATGTAATTTTGCATTTCTTACAGGTTCCAGGTGATGCAGCTGCTGTTGGTCCCAGGACCACACTTGGAGAGTCACTAAATTCAGTGATTTCTGAGATCCCTCCCATAGGTGCCCCCAGCAGTCCGGTGAATTTAATGGAAGCTTTTCTGTCATGATAATTGATCAACTAAAAAAAAAAAAAAAAGAAAGAAAAGAAGCCTCCTCTGATTTCTATTATCCAGAAAACTAGCTAATCTCTACCAGAAAGTAGACTTTTTACAACAATCTTAGAATCTTAGGTGTATTTAATTAGAGTAAGTGGTAGACAAATGCAAGCTGAAATGTTGGATTCTTTTCCCAAGGGAAAGGTGAATTGACTGTTGAAATTTCTATTTATGAGTTTTGTTTATGAATGGAATGAGTTGCTACTTTATAGAAAATTTAAAGTAAGCATTCAACATGTAAAATATTTCTACCTGATGGAGACCAGAGGCATAAGTTAGGGCCAAGCAGTGTTACTGGGTAAAAAGAAGGTCTGAGGCAAGTGTTGAAGAGAGGAGTCAAAAAGGAGCAGAGAAAGGCTGAATTAGAACTAATAGTAGATACTGCCTACTACATAGTTTTTTCTATGAAAGCTCCTTGGCTACTTTGCTGTTCGTCTTCTTGATGGGTTATATTAAATTTTTTTTTTCTTTTTATTTATTTATTTATTTATTATTATTTTTTTTTATTGATCATTCTTGGGTGTTTCTCGCAGAGGGGGATTTGGCAGGGTCACAGGACAATAGTGGAGGGAAGGTCAGCAGATAAACAAGTGAACAAAGGTCTCTGGTTTTCCTAGGCAGAGGACCCTGCGGCCTTCCGCAGTGTTTGTGTCCCTGGGTACTTGAGATTAGGGAGTGGTGATGACTCTTAACGAGCATGCTGCCTTCAAGCGTCTGTTTAACAAAGCACATCTTGCACCGCCCTTAATCCATTTAACCCTGAGTGGACACAGCACATGTTTCAGAGAGCACAGGGTTGGGGGTAAGGTCACAGATCAACAGGATCCCAAGGCAGAAGAATTTTTCTTAGTACAGAACAAAATGAAAAGTCTCCCATGTCTACCTCTTTCTACACAGACACGGCAACCATCCGATTTCTCAATCTTTTCCCCACCTTTCCCCCCTTTCTATTCCACAAAACTGCCATTGTCATCATGGCCCGTTCTCAATGAGCTGTTGGGTACACCTCCCAGACGGGGTGGTGGCCGGGCAGAGGGGCTCCTCACTTCCCAGTAGGGGCGGCCGGGCAGAGGCGCCCCTCACCTCCCGGACGGGGCGGCTGGCCGGGCGGGGGGCTGACCCCCCAACCTCCCTCCCGGACGGGGCGGCTGGCCGGGCAGACGGTCTCCTCACTTCTCAGACGGGGCGGCCGGGCAGAGACGCTCCTCACATCCCGGACGGGGCGACAGGGCAGAGGCGCTCCCCACATCTCAGACGATGGGCGGCCGGGCAGAGACGCTCCTCACTTCCTAGATGGGATGGCGGCCGGGCAGAGACGCTCCTCACTTTCCAGACTGGGCAGCCAGGCAGAGGGGCTCCTCACGTCCCAGGCGATGGGCGGCCAGGCAGAGACGCTCCTCACTTCCCAGACGGGGTGGCGGCCGGGCAGAGGCTGCAATCTCGGCACTTTGGGAGGCCAAGGCAGGCGGCTGGGAGGTGGAGGTTGTAGCGAGCCGAGATCACGCCAATGCACTCCAGCCTGGGCACCATTGAGCACTGAGTGAAGGAGACTCCGTCTGCAATCCCGGCACCTCGGGAGGCCGAGGCTGGCGGATCACTCGCGGTTAGGAGCTGGAGACCAGCCCGGCCAACACAGCGAAACCCCATCTCCACCCAAAAAATACGAAAACCAGTCAGGCGTGGCGGCGCGCGCCTGCAATCGCAGGCACTCGGCAGGCTGAGGCAGGAGAATCAGGCAGGGAGGTTGCAGTGAGCCGAGATGGCAGCAGTACAGTCCAGCTTCGGCTCGGCATCAGAGGGGGGTTGGGTTATATTAAATTAGCAATGTTAAAAGAACGAGTCTGTAGAAGCAGTATGTTTATGAGTGGATGAAACATGTACCGCATCAGTGAATATCTGTGGTCTTCTTAGGCCCTTCGGTCCTGTTTCTACTACGTCCTTTGTATAATTAAGGTTTCCAAACCAAGGCCACCTGATGGAGAAACTCTAAAGGATATCAAACTTGAAAGTGCTCATGGATGACCTGGGTTCTTATTAAAATGCAGATTCTGGTACATTACGTCTGGGGCAGGGCCTGAGACTCTGCATGGCTAACCAGCTCCTAGGTGATGCCAGTGAGGCTGGTCCATGACCACCAGGACCAGCTTCATGGGCATGCACCAGTGCAGTTGTGCAGAATTGGGTCCTAAACCATCACATTAATTTCTTCTGATCATTGCTTTATCCTCTTATCTTACAGCCATGACATCAAATATTTGGTCGGCTTGTATAACTACTGCCACATACTAAGCTAGGGGTTTTATGTTTCTCTCCCCTTGATCTAAGTGATCCTGACACTTGCTAGTTTGTAGCTGGAGATTATTTAGCAAATGCTCTGCTTTGCTATTTTTCAGATCTCTCTCTGAGACAGGCTTCTTTCTCCTGTGCTAAATTGTTAGTTTGTTTTCATTTTTCAGATAAATCTCATTAACTGAGTTTTGGGTTTTGAAGTCAACTGTAGTTTTCTGAACCTTCCCCTTGCCTCTGGGCCCTGAAGATGATTAGGAAAAAGCAGGCAGTGACCCCCATGGCTGCCTCTGAATCACCACTGTGTCAGGGATAAGTAGCTCCCAGCCCAAGGAATGGATGATATCTGGTGGTTCTTTTTACATGAATATGTCAGCTACCTTCATTTGTATAATTTCAATTCTTTTCAATGCCAGATGCATATTCAATCCCAGTGAGCTGCTGAGCGGGCAGTCTAATAAATTTTCATTAAGCATCCTCTGTATTTAAGGCACTCATAGGATACTAAACTAGGTTATCAAGTTGGTCATAATCCAGCAGAAAAACTTGGATGGAAGGGAAATTTATTTAGGTGAAGACTGACAGAGTGTTCTACAGAGTGGTGATTCAACAAGTAAGGAAATGATGCTGGTGTATTGACAATAGCCTTGCAGGAATCAGGAGTACAGATAAGTGTCTTCTTCCTGATCCTTTCTGAATCCCTTCAGCTTGGGTTTTCAGCATCCATGTTAGCCAAAGACAGATCTGGCTACTTCCATGAAATTGTCGACTTTTTTGAAATTTTCCTACAGTCAACATACTCAGTGATTATGTTTTGTAGCTAACATGGGGGAAGTCCGAGTTTCTTAATCTGCAGGCTTTTCCTCACTGTTGCAAAACAAACATTTTCTAAGCACTGCACTGGCATTCATGTAACGTCTCATAGGCATCTCATGAGATATGTATTGTTTTCCTGATTTTACAAATGCAGTAACTGAGGCTTTGAGAGGTTAATTTGCAGGTTAAACAGCCAATGATAGAACCAGCATGTAGGCCTGGAAGTGCTGACTTCAGGTCCATTATACTTTCTACTGACTCGTGGGATTTGTGCATTTAAAGAATGTTCCTTAATGTATTGTTCATTTCCAATTTTTATTTTTATTGTTCCTAATGAATTTGCACTCTACTTTGCTGTTTGGAAGAACTTTAAAATTGTTTAGAAAATGAATAAAACTAAGTGGCTTTGGGAGATTGTTTTTGGAAACTCTCTAATTTGAATCTAAATATTTTAATCTTTTATTAGTTAATGCTATTTGATTTAATCAAGAACTGGCCAGGTGCAATGGAGTTAAGTACCATCATTCCATCATTAATGCTTAGTGCACAGAGCTTGGATTTAGACTATTGTTGTAGTAACTGGGCCTCCCATTTCAAAGTTCCCAGGATTTGAGAGGCAGGCTGCTTACCCAAATAGACAAATTAGGCCATGTGATTTGGACAATATTGGGAGATTTTTATTTCAATGAATTAAATCAATCTGCAGCCAGTTTTAATTTACTTGAGGTTTAGTTAAATGTCATTTTCTTTCCCTTTTCTGTTTTATTTTAAAAGACAATATTCTTATTTTGTTTTTATGAACTCAATTTGGAAAGCAATAATACTTTTAATTCCTGGGGCCAATAGACAAAACAAAACAAAACAAAACAAAACATTGGCCTAGAAATCAGGAGGCCTGGTGTCCAGTTTCAATTGTGTGACCTTGACTGAGTCATTTAACCACATTGGGCCTCTGATTCCTCATGGTAGAAGGAGAAATTTGAACTAGCTGCTCTCTGAAGCTTCCTTCCAGTTTTAAATCTGACTTTGCTATTATTGCTTATTTATACTAGAAAAAAGCATGAAAGTAAATGTTTTTCCCTATCTTCTGCATTACTCAAACTAGGTTAACTGCTATTAAAAACAAAAGAAACAAAAACCTTAATGGATTAACAAAATGGAAGTTAACTTCTTGCTTCTACAAACTCCAACATGTTGGTCAGCTCTCTTGGGCATCCCTCCTACATTCAGTGACTCAGGGATCCAGGCACCTTTCATCTGGTGCTCCTTTGTCCTTCTGTGGGTCCTCTGAATCCTCTGCAAAATCCTTATCAGGGGAGTGATGTGAGTCTGGGGCATCTCGCAGAGGTGTTAGGGGCCAGAGCAGACTCCATTGGCTATAACATGTCATGTGATGCCACCTGGATATGGTGGGCTTAGGAACCATAATCCATCTGCGATTGCCCAGAAGGAAGACAAAAAGGTTTGCATAGCATGGTCTCATCCACAGTTCATTAATTCAACAAATATTTATTGAGGGCTACTCTATACCATTTCACTGTAGCTGGCACTGGAGTATGGCAACCTACTCTCTTCCTACGGATCTAAATTCTAGTGGGGGAAATCATGTGGCTAGTGTGTATGTGTATATGCATGTGTATATGTACATGAATATGTATGTATGTAATCTATTTCTAAAATATCTATATGAACTCTGAGATTAAAAATAATATCACAAGTAATAACATTTTAAGAACTTGCTATAGACTAAGCATCATTTTAAGGGCTTTATATATATATATTTTTTTATTAATCCTTGAGCAATTCTATGCAGTAGATGCTATTAATATCCCCATTTTGCATATTAGTAAATGAGACAGAGTTTAAATACCTTGCCCAGGATCAGACAGCTAGAAAGCGGCAAAGCCAAGCTCCAAATGCAGGTAGTTTGAAGCCAGAGTTCACACTCTTACCTGTTGCTCTGAAAGCATGTGCCTGACTAGAGTGACAGTTCATCTAGCTGTATCTTTCTTGGTACCTGCCCAAATTAATTAGCTGAAAACTAAAGAACACCTGAAAGTGGATGTGTGAAAGCACTTTGCAAACTGGAAAACATTATAATGTGACATGACATGTTGCTTTTTCACACTACTCCCAGATCAGTTTGGTTAAAAAAAAACAAAAAATCAAACACATCCCCAAAATCAGCTATATCAGATCAGTTTGGAAAAAAAAGTTAAACTATTCCCAGCCTTAAAATCTCTGTTGGCTTCCTGTTGTCTGTTGTCTACAATACAGAGTTTTAAGTTCTTTGGACCTTTACCATCTTGCTTGTTTCCTTCTTCACTCTTTCTCACACCCTACCCTACTAGACAAATCACCTTCCCAGAATAAGACCCCAATATTCATGGCCTTTTGTCTGTCCAGTTTCAGTACATCATTTCCCTGCATCCTAGGCCAGCAGTAGGTCTAAATCACCTTTGTACCCTTGATAGTTCTAGCACACAGTCAGTGCTAAATAAATGCTTGGCAATTTACACCAAAGGTCAAAAAGTGAGGACCATAAATAATACAGAATTTAAGGTGATCAAAGCTGACTCAGCTGTCCCCATGATGCAGGTAGCATGGTTTTGCATGAGATGTTTTGCTCTTACAATCTCTGTTCTCAGAGGCTGGAAAATGGCAAAGAAACAGGAAAGAGCGTAGCTCTCCCAGTTTAGCCAGAACATTTGGCTTATGGTTGGCAAAGAATTTGGTTGAAAATGGATTTATTTTGTAACATTGTTTTGAAGGTAATTGTAATTGGGCCATTCTCCAAGACATATCCCTGGTGGAAGGGGCTATGCAAGGAGAAGCTCTATTTAATTGCTTTATACAGGAGGTCTAGTCTTCACATACCTTTAAATGAGAGCTGAAGAGAAAAGCATACACAATTAATCAGTGCCCTGAATTCAGTGGAGTGGACGCTTATAACCCATTGTGGCAGATGCTGTTGGGCTGCCGTCCATTTCTAAATCTTCTTTGCCAAAGGAACCTCAATGTGTTTGGGATTGTCACATGCCCAGCCTCTACGGATGGATGGCGGATGGTCTCAGCCAGTGTTTCCAAACTTTTTTTTATGACTTGCCACATAGAAAATGATTATATTTGCATAGTACTCTCTACTAACCTGGCACGGGGGGATTTGGAGATATCAATATGAGGTTTGGAGAAAAAAAATAACCTATTATATTATCTTCATATCATCTAATTACAACAGGAAAAATAAATATAAATATTTTGAAATATATGAATTATTGAATTTGGATAAAATTTCACATGAAATATTTTCTAAATATTTAAATGAGAAACTCAAGATGGCTGATTAAAAAAAAGCTTCCTAATCAGCTTTTAGGCTTGAAATGGTTAAATATAATTTCTCATACAGATTTTTAATTATGACTTCTTCAAATTCTTGATAATTATTGCACTTTTGCTCACCAAAATCAGTGGCTAAAAAGTTAGAACCATATTTATAACCATTGAAAATTTGTAGTAGTAGAAATTATTTTTAAAATGTTTAACATTCCTTGACAAATGTGATATAAAGTTTCATGTGATAATGTGTTTCAAATCCAGTCAAATTTTTATGTTAAGTGTTTAAAAATCATGATGAGGCTGGGCACGCTAGCTCATGCCTGTAATCCCAGCACTTTGGGAGGCCAATGTAGGAAGATTGCTTGAAGCCACAAGTTTGAGACCTGCCTGGGCAACTTTGTGAGACCTTGTATCTACTTTAAAAAATTGCAGTGAAGCTCTAATTTGCAGAATGTGTCCTCAGCCTGCAGGTAGATTGGATGCTACTAAAACAACACATCAATTGCACATGGACAAAAGTTTCTGACACAGGTGAAGGCTGAAATCAGAGGTGGTCAATCAGAGGTTGGCCTCCCAGAACCCCCATTTAAATTCCCTGATCCCCAACCTCTAATGAGTACACCTTGGTTGGTACAGTCTCCTCCTTGGACACTATAGAAACCTCTTTGGTGGCACCACAGGCCACGTGTCCCCACGCATCACTGCAGGCCCTGAAGCTGGCTGCCCCAGTGCATGCCCAGGTGGGACATGCTCCCATGTGGCCAACAAGTACCAGATGTTTCTCCCTGTGCTCGTCATCTGAAGAGACCACAGGGGATGTCATTGGATGCCACTTACTCAGGCCACCTTCTAAGGAGCTCTAGAAGAGTGTGCTTATAGCCATAAACAACCTGCCAGGAGGCTCCAGCCATCCCAAGAAATGAGCAGATCAGTTTTACATGGAATAACTGTAACCCATAGGCCTTCCTCAACATAGCACACTAGTTGAGAAGCATGGGTTGAAGGAAGCATAATAAGCCTGTTACCCATGATTTCCGCCTGTTTTTAAAGCAAAGAGTGGCCAAATTACCCCATTCTGGCCAGGGGTGAGAGTAGTTCTAGGAAAATCTTTGTTTTATTGATAAAAGAGGACAAAACAGGATGTGTCTGGTACTGATTCTTCCCCTTCTCTTCTGCCTTCACTGGAGGTGTGTTGTAGAGCTTCAACAGCCATCATGCCATTAGGAGATGACAAGCATCACTGAAAGGTTAATAGCACCACAGAGCTGCTGATACAGTTTCCAAATCAATGCCAAATGCCCTATCTCCAGATTTCCTACTTTGCAGGAAGAGTAAGCTCCTGTTTGTTTAAGCCACTGGAAATTGGATTGTCTTGTATTTGTAGTCAAAAGTATTCCTCATACATTTTTTTCCATTATATTATATGCCTAAGGACACATAGGGAATGAAAAGCATTACCTTGGAGTCCTTTATCCATTCATCAAAGTAGGCAGGTATAATGCTAATTTTGCAAACATTCCTTAAGAAGAATAACTTAACTCATTGTCTGCGAAATAGGTGTGGATATTCTAGAATAAATACAGCTTGTTGGTCCAGGGAGCCACCTCTAGGGCATGTTCTCTTCAAGTATGGTAACACTCTGATGTATGGAGCTGCATGTCCTTGTGTTGATTGGGCAACTTCACATCTCTTCTCCTATGGCAGTGTAACATAGACTCGAAGGACCGAAGATAGTCTTCAATTGGCTTCTTATGGTCACTTTAAGAATAGACCTCTATTGCTTCTAAGTGACAGAAACCCACCTGAACTAATGTAAGCAAAAGGAGGCATTTATTAGAAGGACCTCGGGCTATCTGATGGTAAAACCTTGCTTTGAGGAGGGTTGTGGTTGCAGTGAGCTATTATGAATTGCTTAAGCAAGGCTGGACTCCATGGCTCATGTCTGTAATCTCAACACTTTAGGAGGCCACAGCGGGAGGATTGCTTGAGCTCAGGAGTTTGAGACCATCCTGGGTAACACAGTAAGACCCTGTATCTACCAAAAAAAGAAAAAAATTAAAAAATGAAAAATTAGCCAGGCATGGCGGTGCACCTGTAGTCCCAGCTACTTGAGACTGAGGCGGGAGGACTGCTTGAGGCTGAGGCCACAGTGACCATGATCATGTCACTGCATTCCAGCCTGAGCAACAGAGTGGCAGCTTGTCTCTCAAAAAAAAACAAAGAGTTGATAAAAAGAACTATTTAAACAGGAAATGAGCATTTCCAGAACCCTCTTTCTGCCTCTTTCTTCTGTATCTGCTGTGTTGACTTGACCTCTCTCTCTTGCAACTGAGTTCCTTTCCCTGACAGAAACATGGCTTCTGGCAGCTCCTAAGTTTTATATCTTTTGGACTCACCTGCCAGAAAGAAAACCCAACTCTCTAGGTTCCCTGTCCCAATATCTAGTTGCTGGGATTGATGATTCCGTTGTGAGCTAAGGGCTGAGTATTAGACTAAGAACATAAGCCTGGAGGCATGGTTATGGAATCTCTTGCAGAAGCCAGCTGGATGGAGTTGGGGGAAGAGAAACTCTCCAGAGAAGGAGGTAGTTGTGGTATTGGGCAGAGTTCCATAGAAAACCACTATAGAAATTATGCCCACTTCACCCTGAGTATGTTTATACTGACAAAGGAGACAAAGAACCAAGATTTGTGTTTGTTTAGGTCATATAGGAAATCAATAGATAATTTGGTATTAAAATACAGAACTATTAGTTCTTACTCCAGGTTTTTAGATTCTTCATTAAGCGCTTGTTCTACTCTTCTTTGTAGCAATACTCATTGCTTTCTTGGAGGCTTATTGATGGGAACTGTCCTGTTTCCTTGTCACAAAGATTTATTAAGATAGTTAATATAATACTTGGAGGGAGTTTTGGGACAAGAGTGTTTCCTGACCCCATCCTAGAGAGACATTACGCCAACATTCTTAAAAACACTAACACGTTGGAGTCACCTATGAGTTTATAAGAACAACATAGCAGTAGTCTTTCTGGGAAAGCATATGTATAAAATCAGTTTAAAGTAAGAGAGCGGTAAATCATTATAAAACATGGCAAAATAAAATCTCACTCTTGCTGATGGTTAACTTTTATATTTTGGATTTTATGGAATACAAGCTAAGCTATTACATACACAGAATCTTTAACTTTGTGAAGTTACTTATCTAATCTTCAATGAATATTCTATTTGCTTCACTTCAAAGCTTTCAATAAAACAAGAATTAGTAGGGCCAGGAGTGGTGGCTCACGCCAGTAATCCCAACACTTTGGGAGGCTGAGGCAGGCAGATAACCTGAGGTCAGGAGCTAGAGACCAGCCTGGCCAACATGGTGAAACCTTGTCTCTACTAAAAATACAAAAATTAGCTGGGTATTGTGGCGGGCGCCTGTAATCCCAGCTACTTGGGAGGCTGAGGCATGAGAATCACTTGAACTCGGGAGGCAGAGGATCCAGTGAGCCAAGATAGCACCACTGCACTTCAGCCTGGGCGACAAGAGAGAAACTCCATCACCAACCTCCCCAAAAAACAAAAAAACCAAGAATTCATTAACCATTCATTCATTCAACAAACATTTGCTACCACCTACTAGATGTCTAATTTTGTGCTAGTCTCCTCACCGTACTTTAATCCCTCGGTAGGTTTTAATGGAAAGTGACTAGATTCTTATGAGGTAGCTTTAGAACCACCAATTATTTCTTTTTAGCAATCATTTTCTCCTCACTCCCTTTCTGGAAATCCTGCTGTCTCCAGAAGTAGGAGCATGTAACCCTGCTTCCCCACACATAGCTGATTGGAGTAGGGATGCAGGCCTCATCCGATATGGCCAATCAGATTCTCTCTCCTGGGAAATTGGAATAGAAAGATGGAGGCATTATGAGTTGGTCGGGTGCTTGAATTGGAAGCCCATAGATATGCTAGGGTGTGGAGGTGACGCTGTTGTTTTGGAGAAGAAATTATGGGCCAACATAGAAGCAGTTGAGTGAGTGTACAAATCAATTTACACAGAGAGAGAAGCAGGCACAGAGCAGAATGAAAAACCATGTGGCCTCAGAGCCAAAGACAAGCCAGGAGATTAGCCATTTAATGACCTTCCGGAAGCCTCCTATAATTGCCACAGTGCCTGGTTGAGCTCCACTAGCTACCCCTTATACCCTTATAAGAAATCTCCTATCATTTGAGCCTACTTGATAAGGTTTCTCTTTCTTAAAGCAAATCTACTTTGACTAGGAGGTGAATCAATCAAGATCAAAGTTGGTGGACTAGACTTAAACAGAGAATGCTCTATTTAGAATAACCCAAATGTAATAATAGTAGATCAAGGATGTGTGCTGTGTATATGGAATAAAACAATCAATCTTAGATGGTTGGAACAATTTTCTTGCTGTAAGAGTATTGAAAAATAAGAACGTGTTATGAATGAACTAGAATCTTCCTATTTGATTCATTTAAATGAACATGTAGGCAGCTCTCCTTCCAAGAAAGTAGAAGTGCAAGTGACTTATGGGAGACCTTTTATAGCCTGTTGGGTCTATATATTGGAGTAATATTGTAGTAAAAAGATTTATAGAAGATTGATGACAATTGCTATGATTCAGCCTCCAGTTGGGTACAAGGAAATATAATGTTGGTGAAGATACAGTATTTGACAACATATAAGATGAAACTTTATGGTTACTAAAAGCTTCATGGCTTTATTTCTGGGTTTAAATATAATAATTTTCAATAATAATAATGTTTTGCTAGGTCTACTAGCTAACAGACAACTATTTTCAGATGTTATAATTTATCCATCCTTTCAGCCATTTTGAAAAGCCATCTATAGTTGCCAAAAAGAAATATCTTCTGAAGGATGCAAGTCTGAATCCAGACTCTATCTTTATAGATTTAAACTTAGTCTTTCCCCCCACATTCTTTGGCAGCCTAATTTTTATAGCTGGTTTGATAAAATCAACATTACTGCCATGGGAGCAGGCCTATCAAAGTGGCTTGTTTTCAATGACTTTAAAAAGAGGGCCCATCGTTGCTCCAAATTTTTACAGTCTCTTAATAAACATACTTAGGTCTCAAAACACAAGGCAGGTTGACTTGATAAAAAATTATTTTTGTTGGATAAGAGAATATGTAATGCAAAAGTAAAACGTGATCTAGTCATCAACCAGTTACCAGCCACATCAGCAAGTGTAAGATAAAGAACACTACAAAGCTCCAGGGACACACAGGGATGAGAGGTAGGATAGAGATTAGAATTGGCTGCATTTGAAGTACAAATGTAGGATCATAACAATTTTTTTAACCAATAGTAATGGCTTTTGAAATTGCAAATGAGTGTGGAATGGGCATTAGAAAGACTCTCCTGGGAACTATGAGAATACTGAGTGGTCTAAATGTAAATGTAACAGATGGGATCGCCATTAGAACAGCGATCATTTCCCCCAGTTGTTTCTGTACTGATTACAAATATCATCTCCCACTGCCATGTGTCCAGTGACATGTCTTGGTACTGGTTTTAAAATACAGCTGCTTTGGCCGGGCGTGGTGGCTCATGCCTGTAATCCCAGCACTGTAGGAAGCTGAGGTGGGTGGATCATGACGAGGTCAAGAGTTCGAGACCAGCCTGCAACATAGTGAAACCCCGTTTCTACTAAAAATACAAAAATTAGCCAGGCATGGTGGCATGTGCCTGTAGTCCCAGCTACTTGGGAGGCTAAGGCAGGAGAATAGCTTGAATCCAGGAGGCAGAGGTTGTGGTGAGCCGAGATCGCTCCACTGCACTCCAACCTGGGCAGCAGAGTGAGACTCAATCTCAAAAACAAAACAAAACAAAACAAAACAGCTGCTTTGGCTGAAGGAACAGGTGGAAGGGTTGGAATGTTCTGAGAATAGGAGGAAGATAGAAAAGGACAGGTCATCCATTCCAGAAATGTTTGTTGTGTGCCCATTGTGTGTCCACTGTTTTAGATCTTAGTGACAAATTCAAACAAAATAGGAAATACCTTTGCTCTTGTGGTGGCAACAAAAACAACAAATATAAATTATGGTAGGTGGTGCTAAACACTATAGAAAAGATAGTCTGGGCAAGGCAGACAAGTGATGTAATTTTGTATAGGAAGCTAAGAAAAGGCTTTACTGATAGGGAGATGCTAGAGGTAGTGAGCTATGCTGATATTGGGGTGAAGAATATTCTTCACAGGTTGTGAAAAGGCTCTCAGGTGGATGGTGCTTCTGAGGTTTGTGGAATTGCAAAGACATTAGTGAAGCTGGAGAGGGGGAGAGGGAAGAGAAATGATAGGAGATGAGCTCAGGCAATGAATGAGGTGGGGGTGGGTCACGTCGGGTTGTTACAGAACTTAAAGTGGGTGGTGGAAGAATTTTTGCTTTTACCTGATTTGAATGAAGTGAGAAGTCCTTGCAGAGTTTTTAGCAGTGAGGGGACGTGGTCTGACATCCATTTTCAAAGCCTCCCTCTGGTTGCCAGTTAGAAGATTATTGTAATAATCCAGGTGGGAGATGTTGATGGCTTGGTCAGGGCATAACTTTAAGATTGGTGCTACATGATGGTTGGATTCTGATCTTGCTGATGGATCAGATATCGAGTGTTAGAGGAAAAGGAGAATGACTAAAAAAAGAAAAAGAAATAAAAGCAAGAGGAGGAAGAAAGGAAGGGCAATATCTAAAGGAACACATAAAAGGACTAAGACTACCCTTGGGACTCCTCTGGAGATCAAGCAAAGAACCCCAGGATTTGATTGTCCGAGAAGCCAGCACGTGATTCTTGGTTCCTAGACACGGCTGGAACATGACCTTAGGCTGCCTTTATTTCTTGACTGTTAAAATCTGCTAATTCCAAACTCACTTAAAGTGAAATTAAGTTGTATGGCCAACCCACTGTGAATATGCTGGATTAGTGACCTCAGTTGGGAAGTTGGATGGAAGAGGCAGTGGGAATGTAGTGCTGGTCTGGGAAGGAGAAAATCTGATCTCCTTTTGTCCCTAGATAATGGTGACCCTGAAAAGGTAAGCCTTGGTTTATAAGTCATGAATGAGACTGTTATCGGAAAGGGGTCCCGGTCCAGACCCCAAGAGTGGGTTCTTGAGCTCCTGCAAGAAAGAATTCAGGGCAAATCCGTAAAGTGAAAGCAAGTTTATTAAGAAAGTAAAGGAAAGAAAGAATGGCTACTCCATAGACAGAGCAGCCCCGAGGGCTGCTGGTTGCCCGTTTTTGTGGTTATTTCTTGATGATATGCTAAACAAGGGGTGGATTATTCATGCCTCCCCTTTTTAGACCATATAGGGTAACTTCCTGTCGTTGCCATGGCATTCGTAAACTGTCATGGCGCTGGTGGGAGTGTAGCAGTGAGGACGACCAGAGGTCACTCTTGTCACCATCTTGGTTTTGGTGGGATTTAGCTGGCTTCATTACTGCAAACCGTTTTATCAGAAAGGTCTTTATGACCTGTATCTTGGGCCAACCTATCTCATCCACTGACTTAGAATGCCTTAACCTTCTGGGAATGCAGCCCAGTAGGTCTCAGCCTTATTTTACCCAGCTCCTATTCAAGATGGAGTTGCTCTGGTTCACATGCCTCTGACAAGACTATGTGAGGAATAGATGTCATTACCCCCAACCCCAAATTTCATCATACAAAGGTGACATATATTATTTGCATTTGAGTGCTTTATTATATTGGAATTGCAGTGATATTAACATTTGTACAAATGCACAAAATCTTGTCTCTTCTTGCTAGAAAGAGATGTAAAAATCTGACCTAGTTGAACAGTCTTAATGAACTCATTGTCCATTGGTAACAATAAATGTGTTCACGATGCAACAAAAAGCTTAACACAAAATTAAACATATTAAATGCTGCAGCAAGTATTTACATGTATGTACCCCTTTTTTTCTCCTTCCAATAAGGAAGGTGGTTGCTTTACAAATAGACAAACAAACACAAATGCTTTGCTGTTTACAAATACAAAGAACCCCAAGTCCAGAACTTAAAGTGACAGCACCTTTTTGGGACTTCCTCAGTTAACACTTACTTTACACAGTGCTAAACTTTTTTCTTTTAATTATATTTTTGGACAATATTTATATTCCAATTGTCCTAGAACATTGTATTTGAACTGAGCTATTTTTCTGGGCCTTTTCAGAGGATCCCAAACCCTATGTCCTCTCTAGAGAGAACATTTCAAGCTTATCTGTTCTCCAAGACAGTTCTCAAAGGCAACATTCCTTTCTCTATGAGGCAGATGTGATTTAGCAGAACTTAGAAGGGAAAAAGGTGAGTAGGTTGTATTTTCTACTGGCTGCTGGTTGGGAAGGGTCCTTTCTCTTAAACTCCCTCCACTCAACACAACTGATACCTTTCATTATCTCCTGTAGTGTCTGTGGCATTGGTATTCTAAAGGAGAAAACTAGAATCTAATGAGCTTATTGTGCATAAGATTTTAATGATGTATTTAAAGCTAATTTATTCAGCTTCCACATTCTCAGTCCTGAGGCTAAATTATTCTATTGTAAAATATCCAATCCTATAAAGTTCTATAATATGAAGCTCAATGTAAGAATATCTTAAATGGCTTAGAAGGAGCTTTCTAGATCCTGGCTTCTAATGAGCTAGATATTGTAAGTTGGTCTAAATACAACAGTTGGTAATTATTGATTCCTTTCTGATGACAAGTTGGAAAGGTATCAGAGTGCCACTTAAGAGTATTAATCTTTTAACAAGTGTTGGCAATTTGGCCTTACCCCCCACTTCAGCTGTGGTTAAATAGCTTTTTTAAAAAATAGACAATTTATAAGGAAAAAAATATATAAACACTCTTTAAGCAATTTGGCTACAAGCATTACATCACTGAAAAACTCCACAAGAAATAGTAAAATATTTTGAATGGACATTCACTTTTTCATTTTCACAACATGATGAGCTAGGTTTTTTGTTTTTTAAATTTCTTTGTGTTTGTTTTGGTATTGAATTTTACTTGTAAGTTTATTGCTGCTGTGTCGTCTTATCCTACCTTAGATTATAATTGTGAAATAGAGGTGCTGTCCCTAATTATGTTACAAGGCAACATTGTATTTTTGAGACCTAGGAATGAAATCGATAGGGCCACTGTTCTTTCAGTGGCCTCAGAGAGTCTATGGCTAGGACAACAGTCAGATGTGCACCAGGGTGCACAAAAGAATAAGTCTCCTGGCTTATTCAGGACACTTTGGTTTGGAAGGTGAGAGAAAATTCTTAAGTATAGCTTAGCTGCTGCCTCACATCTGTTGCATAATATAACATTTTTAAAAAACATGCTATGAATAAAGGGATAAAGAGTATAAACCATATAGTGTACTGGCTCTTCTCCTTGGCATTCTTGTAGTAGGCTTCACCTAGGCTGATGTGAGACACAGGTCTCAGCTGTGCTACCAATGGACGCACATAAATGTACCTGGTGCAAATATCTGTAAAGTATTTTAAATGATGCCGCTCAGAGCCTTGGAGGAGGGGTGGGGGGTA
The DNA here is from genome assembly GCF_000001405.40 of Homo sapiens. Taxonomy (NCBI): domain Eukaryota; kingdom Metazoa; phylum Chordata; class Mammalia; order Primates; family Hominidae; genus Homo; species Homo sapiens. The sequence continues at coordinate 28,824,045 of NC_000007.14, read as the reverse complement.
TTGTAAAGGAGAGCAAAGGCAAGTTTGAGGACAGAGAAGAGGTTAGAAAGAGAATAAGAGAAATACAAAGGGATCAAAAAGCTAAAGTGCAATTTTTAAATATAAATTATTTTAAAAGCAGAAAAGAGATTCTAAATTGCTACTGTTCGCATAGGCACGGTTTTATTCAAATTTAAATGGGTTGTTTCCTTTCCCTTCTCAGATATACTGCATAATGGAGCTTGAATGGCTTAAAGCTACTGCATATTGTTCGGGAAGGGACAAAAAGCACTAAGGGAGCTGAATAGTGCAAGGCTTTCTAGGAAATTGGGGTGGGGTGGAGAGAGGCAGAGATGAAGCTGTTTTTACACTTCTACAAGAAAGCTGTTCCAGTTAGAGTTACTGATTCCCTTTAGCTGAACTCTGCTTCCTAAATGAAAGAGCTTACTTTAAAAATGAACACACAGAAATAAATGTTTAAAAAAAACTGTTCAGAATGTTGATTAAAAAATAACTCACAGAGCAATAAAAATCCTTGAAATGTCTATGCACAGAGATCTAAGCAAACATTTCCACCAAATGATGGAGAATAGCCATTTGAAACCCTGAAAAATGAAAATACACATAACTATAGTAGTTTATTATGGACTAACACTTTAAAAACAAGTAGATCCTACAGAATACTGTTCAAATGGAATGTTTAAAAATAACATTTATTAATAAATATCTTATAAAATTCTAAATTAATAGATTCCTGTTCAAATTTTGCTTTGGTCCTTTGAATTCCACTGTATACACACATACATACATATATATTTTCTTAGATGGTTTTTCCTTTTTTTAACCAGAAAGAAACACATTCTATCCTAACTGGATGGCTAGTTTTATAGCAGTTACCGAGGCTTAAAACTCCCCAGCCAAAGGCTTGTCTGTTACCGCAGCTGGTTTATGATTTTAATGACAAACTCAACTTACACACTAAAGTTTACTTAACAGGCAACAACCACCAGAACATTCACCGTCGACGTCCTTCTATCAGAATACGCTCTCCATTTTGTTTCACTGACTACATAGGATCTGAAGAGTATTTGCTCTAAGTCACCCTAATTACTATAATATATACTGTGAGCACACAAACTGCTTGTCTCCCACAGGCTGTGTTAAGACTGTGACTTGCATCCGTTGATGTGGCCGCAGGAGAGGGCTGAGTAGTAGTGTAACGGGAAAACATCCGACTTAACACTTGGCTTTCAAATTAGTACATTCATCCATGGCTGGGATTTTCACTCTACCTCTCCTGGCTTCGTGGATTGAGAAATGTGTCAAGGAGAAACAATTAAGATGTGGACACCTCCATTTAAGTGACAGTTTACCTGATAGAAATGCTCTCAGGTGTACTTATCTGAGTTGTTAACTCCCATCACATAAGGCAGGGGAGGCACTATAGACGTTCCCAGGGAGGCTGGCAGTGACTTCAGAGACAGATCTCACCGATCAAGAAAACCACACACGAATGGGGAGAGGCAGTGTGACAGGATTTTCCCTCCTTAGGACAGGTGCTCTGCAGGCCGTGATGATTGATTCATGAACACATGGATGGGTGACCCAGTAACTGGCTGAGGGAGGAGAATGGAGTACAAAGATATTCTCCCAAACAGGCAAAAAGTGTAGGACAAGGAGGAGGGATTTTCAGGCAGATTGATTATTCTGTTGTCTGGTGACGGCTGGGCCTTTAGGTAAAAGACTTAATATTGATAAGCCAAGTGTTGGATTTGACCAATGTATCTTTCTGTTTGGAATTTCAAGAAGCACTGACAACTAGTTGGAATCTTTCATTTACTGTATTTCCATACCGTGAATGAACACACCTAAAGGCCCTGAGTAGAACAAGAAGACAGTTTATTCTAATTATATGTTGAGGCCGGTTTGCTAATGTGTGTGGTTGGTTTTCCTACTTAGCATAAAAAACAGACATAATTGAGCTATATATAATGCACATCAGTCAAACTGTCAAGTTGCTGAACGAAGAAAACTCAGGCAAGTTCTTAACTGCCGAGGCTTTCAGCCTAACAACTAAATATTTCAATCAAAAGGTGGAACAGAAGTAAACTAAACCATCATTGTAGTGACAGTCACTCCCTGGACATTCTGATATTACTAGTGGATTTTTTAAAAATCCATTTTATTAAGTGCTATGCATGCAGTAAAGAAAGAAAAATTTTTGTTTACTTAAAACAAAGCAAAACATAACATAAAAATTAAAAATTAAAAAACCCAACTAAACATTTTAATGCACTCTTTCTCCTTTTTGTGGAGGGGAGGGGAGACACATAGATGGTCCTAGGAAAGAATTTTGAAATATGATTTTTGATTTCAAAACAGAGATATGAATGTTAACTTCTTTTTAAAGCTGAGTCTTAAACATTTCTTAGGAAGCCAGTCAGATTAAACCATTCAGCTGTTACTGTTGGAATTTAAAAAACAACAACTATGAATTCAGTATTTAAAATACTCGAAAATGATATGTTTGTCTAAAATATAATAGAAAATTATTCCATTTGCATTTTTTCTTTTTTTCTCTTTTCTTTTTTTGCTTTTTTTTTTTGCTTTTGTTTTGATTCTTCAACCATATATCCAAGTCATAAGTTTCACTGGACACTCAAAACCATCTTTTGAAAGCACTGCATACAAGGAAAGATTGTTGATAAATATTGATTTAAAAAGTAAGTTATTAGATAAAACTGAAACTAGTTATATAAAAATCATGCTTCGAGACCCTCATATTTTCTTTTTTTCTCCAAAATAGATTCTTATACTATAGTGAGAGAAAAAAACACATCCTTCCCTTTTCTGCACTCTTATAAAAGCTACACCTTTTGTAAAATACTGTTCTTTTAAAACCCATGAACACACACACACACACACACACACACACACACATTAAGAGGTCAAGCATTCAAATGGAGATGAAACACCAGCACCTGCCTAGATTGCTAGAGAGAAACATTCACCCCTGTTATTTGTGAGATGTGATATTAAAACATTAGCACAGTAGAATGGCTTGTTTCAAGGAGGCACGACTGTGGTTCAGGGACTATCTGCTTTGTATCACGGGCAAGTTCACAAAAGTTGTTGAAAATAAATCAGAATAATTCAGAAGAGTGAAGTAGGCTGGGTGCAGTGGCTCACACCTATAATCCCAACACTTTGGGAGGAAGAAGTAGGATAGTTTGAGACCAGCCTGGGCAACATAAGACAGACCTCATCTTTTATTTTAAAATAAAAGTAAAAATAAATTAGCCAGGCATGGTTATGTGAACCTGTGGTCCCAGCTACTCAGGAGGCGGAGGTGGAAGGATAGCTTGAACTCGGAGGATGCTGCTGCAGTGATCCATGATCGCACCACTGCACTTCAGTCTGGGCAATAGGTGAGACTCTGTCTCAAAAAAGAAAAAAAAAGAGTGAAGTAGCCTGCACCTCATCCATGGGGTTCCTTCAGCAGTCAAAGAGTGCTTAACTGTTGTGGGAAGGCTAAAAGTGCCCCTATGGAAACACTGGGTTTTCTTTCTCTCTTTGTTTCTCCAGTAGTTAGTCTATTTTCACCCCCCAGAACAGCAAAGCCGGTTCCATAGGCTTAAGAAAAAAAAAAAAATAAATCTTAGGCTATTAGCAGCTGATGATTGAACAATGTAATCTGTGTAGTGAATAGAGCCCTTCTGAATTATTATGTAGTACATGGATTTTCAACGTTATAGGCAGGCCGTATAAAACCAGTCGCAATCCAAGGGTGTCATGTTATAGCCCCACATCAAAATTTGGACTTTCGCAATCAAGGCTTACAAAGCTCCCTTCCCTAGTGTCTCCCCAGCTGGTATTCAACCATGCTTCACTTATAACTAAACCACCTTTCATTTGCTGTGATTATTAAAAACATTAAATCAGGCACATTAAACATCTCCTGGTTACTATTTTGTGAAAAGCAAGAGTTGAATGAACTCCAGCTGTGGGTGAAGTGTAAGTGAAGCAATGGTTAGGTCCACGTTTTGGAGGTTTGCTTTTTTTTTTTTTTCTTTAAACATTATTTTCTTATTCACATGCAATGCTAAAGGGAAAAAAATAAAACAGAAGGAAGTCAAAATGAATAGTAAATAGGGAGCCTAAGAAAAAGTGGAAATGGAGAAGAAAACTGGGCATTAGCAAGTGGACCAAGAGGAGGAGAGGTGAAGAGATGCTTGGTGGTATTATTTGGACATCAATGGATCTTATAATATTTTATAGTAAGAAAAAAAAAGGTATGGGAAAGGCTGTGTGTTTATCTGGAATTCTGGTGACACCACAGCACAAACTCAACATGAGTTAAGATGTCAAAAGATTTCCTACCCAGTTACCTTGGATCTGTCTTACTTGACATCTAGGTATACCTCATTTTAGCTAAAAGCTGTGGTTTAACAAGATTCAATGTTTCAGGCAAAGGGTTGGACTGATAAGAATGAAACCATGGCTATATACAGAAAAGGTTCAGTTTATAAACAAGTAACTGGTACCAGAAAACTGGAGAAAAGCACCAAAGCGTTTCCCAAGCTGATAGATATTAATTGCATAACTCCCTTTTTTCTTATATAACTAAGTATAAAAGACAACATTTCCATAATAACTATAAAAATGAAAGCCAGTCTTTGAAGAACTGAGGAGTCTTCCAGGTCTGAGTTAATTCTAAAAATGCCCTTAAAAGAAAGGACGCATGGTACGCTACAGCTCTTCTTGGAGGCCAGGTCTGATGGTGCATTTTAAAGAATCGGATTCAGGTCTGTTCTGTGAGTGGTGAGCTGGCTGAGGGTGGAGCTTCCTACCACCTCGCTGACCGATGAGGAAGTAGTGATGGTATTATGCTGGATGACTTGTTGCTGGGAGCAAGCTGGGACAGGACTAGCAGGAGGGCTACTCTCTGGACCTAGGGAGAAAAAAAAAGACAACACACACACATACACACACACCAATATAGGTCTTTTTTGTATGGACTTGTGGACTCCTCAGAGAAACTGTACTAGATATTTACTTGAAATAGAAGTTTCACACATTTTCTTCTGAAAGTTAATTTCAAAACTTTATTTTCAACTGTTGTCACAATGCTATGCCTTTCCAGTTTATATCTACGAGCAAAGCCATGCTTTCTGTATCAGTAAAATGATTTGATGTGTTTCAGTCATGGATATGTGAACTTCCCCATTTTGTCTTTTTAAATAGCCATCCGTATATCAAATGTGGAAAAATACTCACATGTGGTGGGAGAATCTGTGTTGCTCAATCTAAAAAATTATTTGAAAATAAATTGACCTTCAGCCATGAATCCCTGCTCCTCCCACCATCCCTACTCAACTATCATTTAACCAACTGGCATTCCAGATGCAGAAACTGGGGTCTGAAGGAAGGGATCATTTTACATATTGGTAAACTGAGGCCAGTCACTAGCTTTTCAGCCCAGTGAGTAACATGCAGTGTTTCTGGAGGCACTGGATATGATTCACCCAAGGCCTGGTTCCCAGACCACAGATTTCTGAAGGCGACTGCTAGGCCACTGGTACTTGGGCTTCAGCTGGCTCTTTTCTTACTGGCTGCAAAATTGGAATTTGGTATTTCTTTTGATACTTTGAAATGCTAGGGAAGGAGTGGCCAGAAATTATCAGGAGGTGGTGGGCATGGTGTTGCACAGGGGTCAGAAAAAAGGGATCCCCTTGGAAGAATAGTCTGGAAGCCACTCAAGAATTCTTGTATATCTGCCTGGAAGTACAATCTACACTTTACTTTTGCTCTTTCAATCAAATTCAGTGCAAACTTAGTGGCAAAAAATATTGGACACTAAAGAAAAGTGAAAAAGTCGGCGACTTACTTAGATATCCTTGTGATTCTTTCTGCATGGCTGTTATTGGGCAGTCTTTATGTGTTAACAACAACTGTTTCAGCTGGGCCACCTCATTTTTCAACATAGACACTTCATTCTAAAAGAGATATGTATTAAAACCATGTTGAGAAGACCAGAGGATACAAACCCACAGCCCTGTGCACTTTCAACAACAAAACTGGCAAACTCTTCCATTATGTCTAAATGACATTAAGAATATTATTTAATGTGGTTCACCTGAAAGTTTGTAGCTTACCTTTAATTTGGCCCTCACATTTCCCAGGGGCTTTCTGCAGAGCTTAGGTTTTAACTCAAGAGCTGAACCTTATTAAAAGGCTAGACCACACCCTTAGGTGATGGGAACCGAAGCCAGGTGAGAATCCTTACTCCACACTGACTGTGTGACCCTAGGTAGATTACATAACCCAGCTGAGCTCCAGCAACCTCGTTATAAGATGGGGATAAGAAGAGTACATTATTTGTGTTACTATGAGGATTAAATACAGTAATAGATGGGAAACAGAACAATACCCAGCACATAATAAGGACTTAATACATTTAACTATTGTAACCTTCACAAGCTCAGGTTTACATCCAATTGAGAATGTGAATATGAGGCGCACATTGGGCAGAATTATGTGGTAGGATTTGTGGCTTCCACCTGAAATGCAATCAGAATAAGCTGACTCATCTACCATCAGATTTTCCAAAAGAAGTCTGTGTTGCTCAATCTAAAAAGAATATCTGAAAATAAATTGACCTTCAGTCATGAATCCCTGCTCTCCCCACCATCTCCTACTCAATTACTGTTCATGGGATACTGTTGAGCAGAGCACATCTACCTGCCTGATGCCCACTGAGCAGGAGGTATGGAAGCATACAGTACACATGTTGGTCAGCTGCAGGTGGATGATGTCAGCTCAGGGTGGCAAGGAGGCAATGAAGTTTTGGGCCATGATTGAATTAATTTGATTGAGTTCATTGATTATTTGGTCAATTTCGGTCTATAAAATACTCTTTCCCCCCTCAATATCAGGATATTGTGGATGGTGTGGGGTTTTCTTCTTATTTACTCATGTAAGTGCCTCGGATCTCTACTTTATCTGTTAATATTAATTCACAAAGGCATGCTCATAGCTTTGTAGAATAATGAACTTGGCACCCATTGTCTACAAATATAAACATAAAATAGATGGTAGCTCCGAGATGCTTCCACTTGATAAAAGTGAACGTAAATGTAGCACTATCTTGAATAAGCCACTTAAAAATTGTGATCAATAATATCCTCTCTTTGGTCAAGGTTTATTTGTGGCTGCCAGGCATTATACCTCACATGTAGGAGACTTAAAAAATGCATGCACACCGAAAAGGACGATTAACATTGCTGTCATTAAGTTGTACCTACACTTTCAATATGAACTTGGCTTTTCAGCCATGTATTTATCACCTAGGAAAGTATGTTTGGGATTCTAGAAGTTGCGCTAAAAAAAATTGAAATCTGTTTTAAGGAATATCTCCCATTTCTAAATTTCTTGGTGAAATAAATTATAAGCAACCACATATTGAGTAACATTAATAACAAAAATAATAAAATAAAACAATGACAAAATAATAAAAATCTCATCTACAAATCTCATCTCATTCCCTTTCTCTTCCAAACTTTATTTTTACAAAATAAAAATGACTATTTGGGAAATTAGCCTTAATGATGAATAAATCACTTAATCAAACAAGAAAATTGCTCTTACATCTCAGAACATACAAGAAGGCAAATTGTACCTCCCAACTCCAAATGAATGTGATTGATAAGGGGCTCTGTGGAAACCAAAAGTGACCCTGTCAATTCCAAGGTCAGTGGGATAACTTACAGGACAATTTATTTTAGCCTTAAACACTAACTTCTTCCTCTTTGACTTTACACCTATCTAAATTCAGATGGCCTTCCTTCTTTTTCTCAGTTCTCCTTCTGCTCAAAATAGCACATATAAAAGAAAGTCACTTCTAGACCATCAAATGAAGGCAATCTCTGGTTAAAAAAAAACAACCAAACAAAAACCAAGAAAGGAAACAGAGATGTGTTTATGTGTGTGTGTGTGTGTGTGTGTGTGTGTGCGTATATATTTGCTTCAGAAGGAAATGTCATATTATTTGCATTTAGACTACAGAAATAACACTTTTCTGAAATCGAAACTGCTAGACACCTTGCCCCCTGAGTAGAAGCTCTCAGCTGCAGATAATGTAGACAATGGATCTTAGAAAATGGAATCAAGTTCTAATTTCTAGTGAATCCACACTTTTCTACCTAGAAAACAAACAAGAAAAGTATTAAAAACAAAACTGGGTTCTCTTGCTTTCTTATACTTTTGGAAGAAAAAACACCCCTGCCTGTGGCCATCTTGGAGAGGTTGAATTTAGTCTCCATTTCTTCCCCCACTATGTCCTGGGCAATGAAACCCTTTCTTGGCAGCATTCGATCTCCCAGGCACAAAGTGTTCATTGCCCCTTCCCTAAGAAAACACTCAATTCTATTCTCTGGGTTTCTACAGTTAGCAAAGAGCTAACTGCCTATGATATTTGGCATGCCCCAAACAGTTTCACAATAAATTTTTGCTTTCATAAGTCTGTTTTACTATAAAAAGAGCACTAGTCAGCACATGTGGTGCCCTGGCCTATCACCAAAACCCCATACAAAGTATATGACTTTGGTGGCATTTAGTCTATGAACAGCAAAACACTTTATTAATAAAGCAATATGTTGTAAGTACAGAGACCAAAGGCCTGAGTGTTGTGAGGATCTGTAAAAATGCAGAACCCTGAGAATATTGAGACAACTGACCATCATTTAAAGATATATGTGAATATGAACATATTCTTTTTTTCTTTTTTATTGTTATAGAGACAGGGTCTTGCTATGTCGTCCAGGCTGGACTACAGTGGCACCATCATAGTTCACTGCAGCCTCTACCTCCTGGGCTCAAGCAATCCTCCCACCTCAGCCTTCTGAGTAGCAGGGACTAGAGACATGTGCCACAATGCCCACCTAATTTTAAAAAATGTTTTGCAAAGATGGGGTGTAGCTATTTTGCCCAGGCTGCTCTTGAACTCCTGGCCTCAAGTGATTCTCCAGCCTCAGCCTCCCCAAGTGCTGGGATTACAGGCATGAGCCACTGTGCCTGGCAGGACATATTTCTTAATGTAACATGTTAATACTTATTTAGCCATGTTATTGTGGGAAAATGAACACCAATTAATGTCCTCAGTAGAGAAGGGCAATCAGCTTCTTGTTTATCCATATACATATAACTATGATGCTGCAAGGACTAAATAAAGGCCTAATAACCACATAAGCCATAGAAATTCATGGGGCAGCATCCAGTAGGAAAAGGAACTCTCACTTGAGAGTTGAGAATAATAGGGTTTGAGTTCCCAAGCTGCCATGCCAACCAAGTATAAAACACGATGGTTGAACTACTTCCAGAAAGTTCCTTCCAGAAAGAATTTTTTTTTATTCTACAAGCAATTCTGTGTCACCTTCTATTGAGAAAGCAAATTACCCAATTATCCAATGAAAGAGTCCATCTTGACTTTTATTCATTACTTAGCTACTTTCAATATGCTCAAATATGCTTATAATTCAGGTCTTATCTTTCATAAGGGAGCCAGTTCTAGCACCTCTTATGCTTCTAAATCTTAGTAGGGCAGATTCCAAAGCAACATTTATAGTTTCATTTTAGAGCAAAATTTTCTATGTCCATTTATGTGTCCATATTACTGAGAGAGCATCTACGGAGCCTTCATTATATTTCATAAGGGGCCTTTGGCTTAAGAAAGGTCAAGAATCACTATCCTAGAGAAAGAAGAATGAATTGTGTGCTGTGCACATGCATAATCATCTTAAGGATTCCATAGTGAAAGACTGATTAGTGTAGGAAATGCACAAATACTAGACTATATTTTAAGTAAAAACGCTTTTCAAGGGAACGTAAGTGGAATCACCTTGAATTCATTTTGGAAGAGAACAACCAGATAGCAAATGTTTCAAAATGCATACAAGAAATCAAATGTGGCCTGGAAGTCTAGTAGGGAAATAAAAACCAGGCCTTCTGGAGGCATTTTCTTACTCTGAATTACCTTGCTTTATAAATTGAGGAAAATCACCATTTTGTATTCCCCTATGAAGGTTATAATCAGAGTTTTAGGTCTTAATATAAAAGTATTTTGTAAATACAAGGTATTAATAATATGTATTGATTGTCTGGTGGAAATCAACTCTTCATTTTTTCATTTTTCTAAACGAATTTGAGTTTGCTCCTCTAAAGCAGTTAGCTGTTTAGCGACTGTAAGATCCAGTTGGACTGATCTATTTTTAAACCCATAGTTTGCCTTGGGATGAAGCAGCACGCCACAGAGATATTCAATACTACAAAAACATACTTTCAGCAAGCACTCCAACAAGTCCCTAATAGCTACATTTGCAGTGTTCAGCTTTGGGGATGTCATTATTTATATGATAAATCCACAATGCTTTTTGGTGTAAGCAGTAGTTTGTGCCAAAAAAATAATTATCAAAATGGGCTCTACAATATACCCTCCCCCAGCTTTTTTGTTTTGGTAGATTAGCTGAGACCAGGTTTGGTTCACTCTGAAACAAAGAACTTTCAATTTGTCAAGCAACAGTTCCCATCTGGCCTATTCGCTTGCCAAGTCCCAGACCTGGGCTCATGTGTCCAAAATTTCAGCAGCAACTTAGACCATGTGTCTTTGCACTAAAAAAGAAAAGCAATTATTTCCATGGGTGACCAGATGATTTCCATATCCTCTACTGAACACAGACGTTCTACTGAGTACCACATCAGCAGTCGATGAATTTAGAGCTGATCTTAGTCCCTTGGTATCAGAAAAAAGAACATGGATTTCTTTGGCTTACGGAGTTTCTAAAATAGAAGATCACAAAGAAGTGGGTTAGGTCAACAGGAGACTTCCCTGAGTCCTCATTCTGCCACCTACTTGTTGTGTGACATTAGGGAAGACCCCCCATTTCCCTAACCTCAGTTTCTTTCTCCACAAAATGTCAGATTAGGTGGTTTCTAATATTTTCCCCAATTCCTATACCTTTTTTGACCTCTTGGGCAGAGATGTGTTGTGAGACTAGGAAATGAAGTCTGGGAGTTTGATTTTGTTTTCTTAGGTCTGGTTTTTCCAATCTGAAATGCTGCAGCCTAACTAGAGGGTTCTACGCTGGAAAACAACTCAAAAGTGGCAGCTGGCCATCCAGACCTTGGATATTCCATTTGGCTGGAGTTTGTTTGCTTAGCACCTTCCATTTCTGTTTACTTAAAATTTGGCTCACTGGTCCAGCCTCAAGAGAGACACCTTTTTCTTTTGACAAAGGTCCAGTGAGAGGGAAAGGGTCATTCAAAGGTAGCGGAATCTGCAGCATCCTCTCCAGCATCCCGGGGCCTGATGCAGGACACTCAGCTTCACAGAGAACACTGGGTGGTTGTGGCTTCTGTCCCTCCAAGGCAAAGCAGTGGTTGGAAAATATCAACAATTTAGTCTGTTCAGAGACTGTCCCTTTTTTGGGTACTGTTTTAACTACCAAAAGATATTGGTGCCTGTTACATGAACTCAGTAGGATCTTTTTTTCTGGTTTTGGGAGCTAGAGTTCTAGTTTCTTTTTTTCCTTAGCCATTTGGCTCTAAAGAAATGTGAAAAAAAATCAGTGCATTAGGGTCTAGCGAAGGGTAAATTTACCTTGTATGTTCTGTAAAAGCAATCATAAATACGCATATGCCAAGTCACGAACACCTCTGGCCTCAAAGTCTGTGGACATCTTTACTTTCCTGGCTCTCTGCTATGATCCTTCCATGTTTGCATGCATTAGGATCACAGTCAATACCCTGAAGGAATTCTGCAAAGACTCATTTTAGTTAAAACTGATTTAAAGCCTTGGCAGCTGATATGTGCCAGCTGGCTATTTTTGGCTCCTTCATCTAAGCAGTGGTTTACAACTAAGGCTGACTTTGCCACCCAACCTCCCTTCCCAACCACCACCAGGGGACATTTGGCAATGTCTGGAGACTCTTTGGTTGTCATAGTTGGAAGATGTGCTCCTGACATATAGTGGGTAAAGGCCAAGGATGCTGCTAAATAGCCTGCAATGCACAGGGCACAACAAAGAATGATCAAGCCCGGAAGTCAATAGGGCCAAGATTGAGAAAACCTACATGTTTGCATCATCCTTCTGCAGACCTCAGAGATGGTGGCAAATTCCTGGGATTCCCCCCACTTCAGTTATTGCAGAACCACTGCGGTAATATTTACTAGGTTCACATATACAAGAACTTTTATTTACTTAACATGTTTGTGCAAATTAACTCAATTTTGAATGATTTAGCCTTCTTACTAATATCTTTGAAACTGCAGATTTGATCTTCTAATTATATTTTTCAATACACATCAAAATTAAAATATGATTATTAATGTTAAAAATGCTTGGCTGGGCATAGTGGCTCACACCTATAATCCCAACACTTTTGTAGGCCGAGGTGGGAGGGTTGCTTGAGCCTGGGAGTTTGAGACCAGCCTGGGCAAGATAATAAGACCTTGTCTCTAGAGAAAAAAAATTAGCCAGGCATGGCGGTGTGCACCTTGGGAGGCTGAGGTGGGAGGAACACTTGAGTCCAGGAGGTCAAGGTTGCAGTAAGCTGCCCTCCAGCCTGGGCAATGGAGTGAGGTCTGTCTTTTTTGAGACAAGTCTCAAAAAAGAAAAATGCTTAACCACATTCTACCTAAAAGTTTTTCAGATACTACTGTGCCTGTCAGATTCTACAAGTGGCTTTAAAGGTGGTTGAGTCCAGCCATTTCTCTGGTGGCTTGACTCCCTGCAATCACATCCTTGCCAAGTGGTCAAGCAGCCAATTCTTAGACACTCCAGCTATGAGGAATTCATTCATTTATTTAACAAATGGTTACTGAGTGTAGACACTATACTATAAACAGGGGAACCCATTCATTTATTCAACAAATAAGTTACTGAGTGTAGACACTACACTATAAACAGCAGATAGATAGATAGTGGGCGGAGGGAGTAGTAAGAGACAGTCCCAATCTTCCCGCGGCATACAAGTTAGTGGGGGAATCATTATCTTATTTTCCTCACATCTGCTATATGTTTCCCAGTTTCTTTCTCATCATGTCTATCACAAAAAGAATGACACATTTAGGGGGAAAAATGAACATCCATAAATTATGAAATTCAGGCCCTCATACAACACATGCTTTCCTTATATACTTTCAATTTGTACACTGGAAACCCCAAGCCATCTCCATTTAATGAAACTGGATATGCAAAGGCTTTGGGGTTTGGCACCCTAACTGTTCCTTTCTAAGGATGCACAGAGAACTAGGTGTGGGAAGAAGATAAAAGTGACCTACCAATGCCTAGTCATTAACTCTTTTTATTTATTTTTTTGAGACAGTCTCACCCTGTTGCCCAGGCTGGAGTACCGTGGTGCGATCTTGGCTCACTACAGCCTCTCCCTCCTGCATTCAAGCCATTCTCCTGCTTCAGCCTCCTGAGTAGCTGGGACTACAGGAATGCACCACCACACCTGGCAATTTTTTTTTGTGTTTTTAGTAGAGACGGGGTTTCTGCACCTTGGCCAGGCTGGTCTCAAACTCCTGACCTCAAGTGATCCAGCCACCTCCCAAAGTGATCAGCCTCCCAGAGTGCTGGGATTACAGGTGTAGGCCACTGCGCCCGGACCCCATGAACTCTTAAAATGCAGTCTCACTATGTAGGGTAATTTCCTCCCTGCCCCACTCTCTTTGGCCATTCTCTCAGCTTCTGGAAGCACTGGAGTATAATCCACAACTCTTAATGCTATCCCTGGACTGTGGGTTGCATACATGTCTATTTACTTGCCTTTTTTTTTTTCTGCTGATAAATAGTGCACATATTTTTAACATTAGAACAAATGCTCTGAACTGCATCATTATAATCTATAAAGTCTATTGGAGAAGCCTGGGTACTAGAGTTCCTTCCTTTCCTCTTAGACACTCCCAGACACTTCTGGGCCTCATTATAAAATCTCCCCAGTTAAGACATTCATAAAAAGCAAAAATTAAGCAAGATTCAAATCTTGGTGAGTTGGCAAATGAGATGAAAACATGCCTTTTCTTTCAGAGCTACATAATGACCATCAACCTTTCTTTCTTCCATGAAACAAAAATAGAGATAATCAAGTATAAGCCAAGGCAACCCCCTCAACCTAGTGAATATAATTAATGAAAAGCTCCTTTTCAGCTGAAGGTTTGTTATGGGCCAGGCACTGGGCAACTGCTTTGGAGACATTAGTTTGTTTATTGCTCCTAACGTAACAACTCTATAAAGTTATTATTCCCATTCTGTAGAGGAAGAAACTGAGAGCCAGAGAGTTAAGCCTAGCAAGTAATTGCTGAACCATGGTTTGGATCTCTGTCGGATTAAAGCCTGTTCTCCCACCCCTACAACTTAGTGGGGTAGGTCCCCCCTTCTCAGAGCTTTGTGGGCAAATTGATTGAAAACTGAATGGTTAATTTTGTTTTGCAGGGTGTCCTGGAATTAATAAAACTCGAGGAGTGGGGCTGCGGCTCCTCTGTGGACTAAGTGTGTGGTATCACTGCTTAGGTCAACAAGTGCCTGTCAGGGCCGGAAATGCCCGTGGAGCAGAGGGCCTTTGAGTCGCGGGGAAAGACACCGTGGGCTGCACCTGAAGCTGCATGTTTGTCTGGGTGAGTTCTTCTGCTTTCTTTTCCAATGACATCACCCAGACCTTCCTCTTCTGTCTGCAGCGGGTGGCAGCTGCCCGGTTCCGTTCCAGAAATTTCCGCCGCCTCTCGTCCGGATCCTCGTCTACCACCCTTCGCCGGCGCCCCCCTGTGGGCTGGGGTGGCTGTATTGTCTGGGTTGGCTGCATCTGTTGTGTTGCTGGTGAAACCTGCTGGGCCAGAGAGGGAGGAGGTGATGGGGATAGGGAAGGACGTGGTTAGGTAAGGGAAGAAACCCAAGCTGATGTTAAAAAGCAAAGCACAGAAAGTCTATCGTTTCAGTCAGCATATGAGACTTGCCTCCTATGAATGAAACAGACGATGAAATCACACTCATGAAAGAAAAGGAAAAGCATCACTGACCTATATTCTATGATGTGTTGGCAAGATATAGGAATGACTCGTGAAAAGATGTAGTCAGATGGATTTTTCCCTGACAGGCATTTGGCCGAATCATGGTAGAGGAAACATTTATTTTTCTCCTTCAACTATTAAAAATGTTTTACTGACGGTGTGTTTAAAAACTTTAAAGTAAGGGCCAGGTGTGGCGGGAGGATCACTTGAGGCCAGGAGTTTGAGACCAGCCTAGGTAACATAGCAAGACCCTGTCTCTACAAAAAAAAAAAAAAAAAAAAAAAAAAAAAGGAAAAATTGGCCAGGCATGGTGGCGCATGCCTGTAGTCCTAGCTACTCAGGAGGCTGAGGTGGGAGGCTTGCTTGAGCCCAGGAGGTTGAGGTTGCCATGAGCTATGATCGTGCCACTGCACTCCAGCCTGGGCAACAGAGCAAGACCTTGTCTCTAAAACAAAAACAAAAACAAATGAACAACTTTAAAATAGCCAATGTATGGCTACAGGGTGAAAACAGAAAGGTCAGGGTTATTATCACAATATGGATGACTCATCTGTCATCTACAGAAAACCTCTGAGCAGGTTGTGGGCTCCTTTCATTCTAATAGTGGTAAAATTGTGTTCCTAACATACCTCTGGGACATCGTTGCCACTGTGACTCCTATGAAAAGAAGCCCATGAAGCCAGGAAAGCAGATGAAATCCTATTTTGACTATTACACAGTTCTTAATGCAGAGGACTAGCTGGACCTGCATACTCCAGCCGGGCCTGCCTGCCCCTCAGAGCGCTCACCAGGGTGAAAGGAGATCCAGGAGAGCTTTCTAGGTGATTGGGAAGCTGGGCCTTTGAAAGCATTAAATTGATGCCTGAAGCAGCACTGAGCCCTGTCACACTGTGTGTGTGTGAGATAGTGAGAGTTGCTTGTGCATTACCATACAGTTACATTAGAAGGAAATCCTGAGTGGCAAAGCACTTTATTAAAAAGTTTTACTATGCTTATAGAGTCCTTGCAAGGTCTGTGTGGGACTCAGCAACATCTAAGGCTTGGAGACCCCCACACATAGAGCTTTATTTCTATTCATAAGGCAGACACACAGCACCTTGTGAAATTTCTACACCTGACTCTTTTCTTTATATGTCTGGACACCTAATGCTTTCCCTCATGCACTTCACTCCTTCCTCCTTCTTCATTCTCAATAAAAGGTGTTTTTTTTTTTCCTCTCCCATTTCTTAGTCACTCAGGTTTATGACGGTAATACCTATAAAGTTGTTTTACAAGAGACATTTAACCTGCAGAAATAACAGGCCAAAAGTTTTAAAAATGAAGCTCAACAATCTTTTCTACCACATTGCAGCACTATGATTGAAATCAATCAGAATGACTGTAATTGCACTAATAATGGCTACTGGTTGACATCAGTTGACTGATGGTGATGTATTTTAATCCAAAACTCTATCAAACCATCTATGACTAACTGTAAAAGAATCAGGCCCAGGGTTGAGGTTGAACTGCATCTTAGTAATTTTATGCAAAGCAAAGACATTTTCTTTTTTTCTTGAGACGGAGTCTCTCTCTGTCGCCCAGCCTGGAGTGCAGTGGCGCGATTTCGGTTCACTGCAACCTTTGCTGCCCAGGTTCAAGCGATTCTCCTGCCTCAGCCTCCCAAGTAGCTGGGATTACAGGTGCCTGCCACCATGCCTGGCTAATTTTTGTAGTTTTTTAGTAGACACAGGGTTTCACCATCTTGGCCAGGCAGGTCTTGAACTCCTGACCTCGTGATCCACCCGCCTCAGCCTCCCAAAGTGCTGAGATTACAGGCGTGAGCCACCGCACCAGGCCAGCAAAGACATTTTCTAGAACTGTTTGTTTGTTGGTGACTCTTTTCCTCCCGATTATAGAGGAATAACAAAATAAATTAACTGTCTAAGGTCTTACTCATCAGAGTTGCTAGTGAAGGCGTCATCCTTGTTATTGGCAGGGGCTTAGCACTTGTCATTCCAGATGCTAATTCCTGAGCTAACTACTGCAAAGAAAAGCATTAAGAGGGAATGTGCTAACTGCTCGGATATTTTTGCCTTTAACTGTTTCCTTTTGTGAATTATAATCTCTTATTGCCAGCCCCAGACAAAACCCTCAAATAGGAAAAAATTGATTTTTAATCTCCATTGCAGGGACTTATCTTTCAATTCTGTATCCTCCTACCCTAAGTTTAATCAACCTGTAACCCATGATACTTTTCCTGTGCCTTCACCCAAAGGCATAAGTGACGTGGTTTCAGGTGTAATTAGGTTCAGGATTGATTAAGAGAAATTCCTTGAAACCAGCACTCTACAATCACATCCTTACATGCAGGAGGAGCACAAGAAGCCAGGAGAAAATGCAAATACAACCCTAAAACCAGAATTTGTATACCTGGTAATTATTGTCGCTTGTAATTTTATTTTTAAAGCAGAATTCTCTTGGCATAGATGCTCTGAAAATTTTGATCAAAAGTAATAAATTATAATTTCAAAAAGGCAGATTTTATTCCAAATCACCTTAGAATCTCAGAGTTCAAAGGATTCTATTCCTACTTTCAGATAATCATACAATTAAGCAAAATGGCAAGATCTCAGTAATCAGCCAAGTTAATACAATTTAAGAGTGGTATTTTGGGATACTGCCTAAATGATCTGGTTCAAATTTTAGCAAGACCAACCTGGGCTCTTTCTTTTTAGCATACAATTAAAAAAAGCAACTGTTCATAAAGCTAATTATAATAGCAATTAACTAATTGCATATACTATTGGCCACTTACTGACTTGAAACAGAGGGCAATTGGCTAATTGGTAATTAGCTAGTGAATGGCTTTTATATTCAAAGAATTGTTATATAACTTGCTCTGTGAAATAACTTGCCCATAAAGGCAACCAAACCTTGATGTTCTCGTTTCCTTATAAACTAAGTACAAATGTGAATCAATTTGCCCATCATTGACTTTGTAGTTTTTTTTTTTCTTTCTAAATACATGTTCTAGTATGGCGTTTGACTAAAAATGTGACTAAAAATGTTCTCTGGATAGCATTTGATTGCTATACAATTTGCTAAACTTCTACTGGTTTGGAATAACATATTTTGAACACTGTGTCAAGGGCTTTACAGAGATTCTCTTATTTAATACTCATAAGAGCCTAGGAGTTTAGTCTACTATTACCCAGCCCCATTTTACAGATGGGAAAACTGAGGGGTAGAGAGGTTGTTTCTGTTCACAATCACACAGTGAGGAAGGCAGGAAAAAAATTAAGGTTATCTCATTCTAATGCTCAATTCTTATTCACAATGTAGAACACCTCTAAGAACCTTGCAAAAGACAGTTTATCTAATGAATAGCTTCGAGAGTTGCTTGTGCCTGACCCATTCTGTGGATGGCTGTCCAGGTTTGGTGCATGTTAATGGAGGGGGGCTCAAGAGTTCAAAAAGCTGCCGGGTATAAAGTCACGTCTCCAGAGGCAGATGACAGAGGAGACAGTGAATAAGTGTTTTTTGGCGGTTCCATGCTTCCGACACCCTTCTGATTCAGCTGGTTGGAAGCTGGCAGTGTGGACTGGGTGGAAGGTATGGATGAAAGTCATTCTGCTTGAGGATCCAAAGTGTCTAGGCCCAGCCATGCTCCTGGACATGCCCTTCATCCACTTACTAAAACTCACTCCAGTACAGGACTCGCCTCTCTTCTTGGCCGTGGGTGACATAATGTCTGCCTGGTCCCCCAACCCTCTTTCAGTTTTGTCTAAATGCTGGCTTTCTTTGCAGCCACTCCTGGTGACTCTCACCCACTGGGATTTGGCCTTTCTCTTGGTCTGATCATCTACAGAACTTGGCTCTCTTTCTGTTCCCTCCAACGCATTTCTCATTCAGGGGGATGAGTCACCTCTCTTCACCATTTACACAGCACCTTACGCCCTAGCATCCATGATGGAGCTTCTTTGTCTGCCTTGAATTGTTACTCTTTAGATTTTTAACATTCACTGTTACTCAGAAGATTGCCTGTTGTATTTAACTTCCATTTTACAGGTGACAAAATTGAGTCTCTATGATGTTTTAAAACATAGCAGCTAGAACCAGGGTTAGAATTAACTCGTTTTTCTCATTCTTAATTCACATCTTTCTTCACAAGCTTAAGTTCTTCCTAATCCATTGATTCATATTACTTTTGAGAGGGGCTAACTTTCTGACACACTGCAAAAATAGATTTTGGAGAACTTAAAGTTTATGCTTGCCCTTAGAGACTAGACCTGATATTTTTTAGTGTATTATTTATAGAAATTATGATCTGGTAGGGTCTTATGGGTAAGGCTTGCCTCCTAGGAGATAAACAGAGCCCCTAGAATGTGAGATAGAACACCTGGGCTTGTCAAACAAGATTGCTGCAAATGACCCCAGCATTAGAGCTTGCACTGTTAAGAAGGAGAATAAGAAGGGGAAAGAGATCACGGAAAAGGTCTACCTGTGCTTGGTTGCCGGTGTGCAGGGGCGGATGTGGCGAGGTCTGGTGATGTGCTGGGTGTGCATGAAGGTGGGAATGGGAGTGGTGATGTGGATGGTTCTGCTGGTGATGGGGTTGAGGGTGAGGATGGTGTGCTGGGTGCTGGTGCTGGTGTGGGTAAGGGTGATGGGGTGGCAGTGTCTGGTGCTGATGCGGGTGCGAGTGCATGTGATGGTGTGGCGTCTGGTCCTGCCGGGAGCCCATCATCTCCATCATGTGTCCCATGGTGTTCATGTTCCCATTTGACATGGCAGCAGGGTGGTGAGTCAATGCAGCCTTCAACCTCTGAAACAGAACAAAAGGGAGGAGAGAGAACAACTGAAGTCAGTCATGTACATGATAGAGATTTAAAAGCAAAATGACTCACATTTTCAATTCTATATTTTACGATGCTATTGTTAATGTTTCCTACCAGTAGCTATCTTGCTACCAGTACAAGATAGCTTTTATATTAATTTCATATTTTCTTATATATCGTGGTCAGTAGGAGGGTCAATGTCAGCCAAATAGGTTAATTCAACTGTCAAAGCCAATGGGCAGGATATCCTATCAAGAATCATACATTCTACTAAAAGGTATTTCCTATTATCCAATCATGCATTATATCGTATCTACAACTGAATGCAAGCATACACCAAAGAGCACCATTCAATATGGTGATAGCACTGAACAAAGAGACTCCATCTGGTGTGCTACTGTATTTAATTTTTTTTTTTTTTTTTTTTTTTGAGATGGAGTCTTGCTCTGTCACTCAGGCTGGAGTGCAGTGGTGCGATCTCGGCTCACTGCAACCTCCGCCTCCCAGCTTCAAGCAATTCTCTGCCTCAGCCTTCTGAGTAGCTGGGATTACAGGCATCTGCCACCATGCCCAGCTAATTTTTGTATTTTTAGTAGAGATGGGGTTTCATCATCTTGGCCAGGCTGGTCTTGAACTCCTGACCTCGTGATCCATCTGCCTCGGCCTCCTAAAGTGCTGGGATTACAGGCGTGAGCCACCGTGCCCGGCCAGCCACTGTATCTTGTAAGAGTCACAAGAACAAATGCTCTTGCCTCTCAAAATATTTCTCAGACACAGAGAATAAATAATTTCAAATTTTAAAAAGTAGAGAGCTAATCTGATTTTAGGGCTTAAAATTAGAGTTAGTAATTTACAAGCTTCGGAGGTAATGTGTAGGTCTTTTCTGTTACCATGATTTTTCTTATGGTCCCTTCCAATACTCTTAATTTTTCTCACTCAATAGCTTTCTTTTGACTTTGAGAAGGGAGTGAGGAAAATAGAAGAATATGAAGTATTGCACCTCCTTTGATGGCCACATCAACTGGCCAGATGTATTTCTAACACAAAAGCATTATCCATTCATAAGCAGACATGCACACAAATAACTTGTACCTGAGTCTAAAGGAGGGGTCAGCAAACTTTTTCTATAAAGAGTCAGATAGTCAGTATTTTCTTCTCTTATCTTCTGTGTCACAACTACTCAACTCTGATACTGTGGTGCAAAAGCAGCTGCAGACAATGTATAAATGAATGAATCTGCTATGTTCTGATACAACTTCAGGGACAGGAAATCTGAATTTCATATAATTTTTACATGTCAGAAATGTTATTCTACTTTTGATTTTTTTCCCCAGTCACTTAAAACTTGAAAACCATTCTTAGCTCATACACTGGACAAAATTAGGCAGCGGGCCAGATTTGGCCCTTGGGCCATCATTTGCTAACCCCGTTCTAAAGATTCAGTTGATAATCAGCTTAGTCCCAGTTTCTTCAAAATTGTTTCTTCTGTGACACAGTCAATTATCATCATATCCCGAGGGGCATAATGTGCTAAGGACTGTATAATGCAGTTACTCGTTGGAAATATATCTTATGCAGAGATGATTGTCTAATTGGCAAGCTCCCATTGCCTTCATGAAGTATTTACCAGGGGACTGCAAGTTCTTTCCAGATTTGTGTTCTTATCTGATTCATGATAGTGGTGTATAATTGCTGGGCAAGGAAACAGTTGTATTTAAATGACGATCAAAGCTACTATGCTCTAACACTGTACAATATTAATGATTCTCAACCAGTTACATACACTATTGAAAAATACCAATTCAATTAATCAAAATCCTTAATTAAACATAAAGAGCCTCTACCTGCTAAGAAAAAAAATAAATAAAAAACAAGAGGAAAGGATGGTAGACTGTATGTTAATATGCGGTCATCATTTAAAATATTTTTGTCATCCCGATTCGGTAGCCACATAGTCTACTTCTCACCTCTTTCATGAGCAACAGATACTGCACAACAGCTACTGACCTTCATAATCCTGAAGAAGTTCAGCATCCTAAATGTCTGGGAAAGATTAGATGCTGGGTACTGTGTTTCCTCCTTTTTTTTTTTTTTTTTTTTTTTTTTTCAGATGGAGTCTCGCTGTGTCGCCAGGCTGGAGTGCAGTGGCAAGATCTCACTGCAACCTCTGCCTCCCGGGTTCAAGCGATTCTCCTGCCTCAGCCTCCTGAGTAGCTGGGACTACAGGCGTGTGCCACCATGCCCAGCTAATTTTTGTATTTTTAGTAGAGACAGGGTTTCACCATGTTGGCTGTGATGGTCTCCATCTTTTGACCTCGTGATCCACCTGCCTCGGCCTCCCAAAGAGCTGGGATTACAGGCGTGAGCCACCACACCCGGCCATGTTTACTTCTAAACAGAAAAGTGAACTAACACTTCTCATCTCCAATTTTAAGCAATGATTTCATTGTTTTTATAAAAATGCTTATTATAAAAATTTAAGCAATGCTTTGCAATGAAGTCAGCAACAATGAAGCCAAATGCGTTGTTTATATCTGGTGGGTGAACAGCATTCCAGACAACTCTATATATGTATATGGAGAGATGAAAGAATAACTAGAATAATTTTGTAACTGTGGAATTAAAATAGCATGTAATTTTAAAAACTTTTATTTGACTATGGCACAGCAAAGAAATGAAAATCTGGGGAATTGCTGGGTTTTAGATACATGTTTCTTTACCCCCAGGAGAAGTTTTTGGATGATACTTCCGAATTTAAGGATGAAAAAATATGAAAAGAGGTTATGTTGAAATCATCATGCCTTTTTAAAAAAATGACATGATGGAAAGTATGGACTTTCTAAACTATTCCTTGTAATTTCATTACTATAAAAGTATACTTTTTATAATAAAAAATCAATTACTACAAAAATATTAGATAATAAAGTAAAAGCCACTTGCCTAGCCTTCTCCCCTAAACCCCAGTCCTGTTCCTCAGATGTAACCACCACATATCCTCAGACATTTGCTTTGCACAAAATCAAGCTGTTTTAATACATAGTTTTGTATCTTGCTTTTTGTCCCTTTAGCAATATATCTTTGACAGCCTTCTATATCTGCAAAAATAGGTAATAATAATGGCTAACATTAACTAAGTACATGCTATGTGCCAGTCCTTGTTCTATATGTTTTACAAGTATCAAGCTACCTAATCCTCAGAACAACCGTGTAAGGCTAAAGGAGAGGCAAAGCCACTCTAACTCCAAAGCCTGTTCTCTAAACCAAGAGAGAAGGTGCCACAAGCCATGCCATTCACACTTTGCCAAAGAGAGAAATGAACTGTGTTTTGCCACCTCCCCATCATCAAAAGGAAAAGCAGAAAGCGCGAGAAGGGGCTAGAAGAGCTGACAAGAGGAGACGTTATTGCCGAATGGTCCAGCAATGGCCACGTGCAAGTGTTACTCAGCACACAGCTAGGGACCTGGATGCACTCTTTCTGAAATTTAGTGGAAGGGAGAGTGGATGGTAAAGAATTTCCAGGAACCTCATCTGCAGCAAAGAAAGGATTGTCCAGGGCTCAGCATCTTCATCTCCCTTGTTGTATTTGTGAAGAACTGACACTTACATTTCCCCTACTCCAAAACACAGACATGATAAGGGCCATGTATCCCTTCTCCCTGCCTCTACTTCCTCACCCTTGGCTTTAACCCTTGTAAGTCTGTCTAATGCTCAGGGGATGAAGGTCCAAGCCCTTAATATGGCCTAGCTGTGGTCCCTGCAGGGCGTAGGCCTGCCTTCCCGTCAGCCCTTTCTCTTCCCACCCAGCCACACTGGCCAACTTTCAGTTTCTGGAGGGCGCGTCATGCACCCTCCAGACATGGGGCCTTCGCGTTTCACAATCTTCTTGCCTAGGACGCTCTTTCCCTTTCTTCAGATGTACTTCAGACATCCCCTTTCTTCAGTCCAGCCTTCTCCTTAGTAAACTTCTCCCTGGTCTCCTAGTGTAAATCAGTTCCTGTTGTTATATGGTCCTAGTAGAACCATATTTCTTTTAAAAAATAGTTTAGTTTGTAGCGATATAATTTGAGTATGATTATTTAATTAATATTCATCAACCATCTCAGATTGTAAGCTTAGAGCAGAAACCATGTTAGAGTTTGCTCAGTGTTAAATACACAGCTTTAGCACAGAGCCTGATACATATGATACACTGAATTCATATTTGTGGAATGAATGAAGGAATGAATGAATTAAACTTTCTGAGGCTTATGATAAATGCAGCATTTTAATCTTGGATCACTGTAGCTGGTATTTATGTGGGAGGATGATTTTATTAGTCAACCAAGGTTAGCAGAATCAACTACAGAAGTCATGTAGGCAGATGGGCTGTAAAAGTACAGTCAAAACAGTTTACTGCTCCACACCCTGCCTGCCCTCTAGAAAACAGTAACAGAGAAAAGAAAACAGAAGTAAGTAAGAGGAATGCCTGTTAATTTTATCTTGATGTATTTTCCTTGAAAACGTGGCAAGGAAAATAAAAAAATCTATGTAGGAGTGGGTCATTGTGCCATCCCTTCAAAGCTACAAACAACTTTTCCACCTTTAATTAGGAGCAAATGGAACCTGACAAATAAATACGATGCACCAGATCTTCATCTCTCAAATAATTAGCTTATACTGTTAAGGGAAATTACTTGATTGCCTCAAGTCTATTCTTGCACTGTTAAGGCCAAGACAATAATGCTAGCAATGCTTTTAACATTCTACTTAACTATTTATTTACTCAACAAATGTTTATTGGGCTTCAACTATGTGCCAGGTACCATAATAGGCACATTGTTATTTGCCCACTATTTGAAGGAAGTGGAAGATGCATAAAACCAAGCTTTTTAAAACACCAGAGAGAAGAAATACACACTTAGATGTGGAGATGAAGACTTTTGATCACCCCTCAGAAAATGATAGGCCTCTGGGTTGAGTCTACCCTCTGAGCAGCAGCCTGTGTCATATTTGAAGGAATGCAGTGAAGATAAGTGATTATCAAGCTGCTCTGCATGTGCCACAGTGAATATTCTCCATGTCATTTCGAAACAGTGTGGGACACTCTTCGAAGTCCTAAGGAACCTACTGCGTCCCTGGATCCTGGTGCCAACAAGAGTCACAGTTGCACTGTAAATCATTCAAATCTCCCAAATATAGAAATTTCTACTCCACTCTCTTAGGGATGATAAATGACCAGTAAATGGGTCTAAGCTGTATTTTGCAGAATGATTTTTCTTTTTGAAGCTGGACTGTGTCTTGTTTTAAATAACATTCCACCTAATGCCAAGAAAAGGCAAGGGAGAGAGAGGAAAATTAATGAGCAAATAAACATATATTTTTCAGCTATAAAACCCAGGGCTATTACTGACATGACTGCAAGAAAGAAAGAAAAATGATTCTTGTCGACTTTCTGTCATCTTCTACCATGTTCATTTATATCAGAGAAAATTAGGGGAGGCGGCGAGAAGCCTGACGCACAGGTAGTTTCAGTCAAAAGGAGTCATTTTCATTTGGTCCATGTATTTTCTCAGCTCCTGTCCACTATCCGCGACGGGAGGGTGGGCCTGCTGCCGGGTTCTTGGTAAGGAACCAACTATTCGCCTCCTCCCATCCGAGTGTGGCCGCTGCTGTCATGGCCCAGCCCTGGTCCCTCTTTAATTTCCCGTTTAGCTCAAGTTTGCATCATTGGCATGTCGAGTGAAGCCTGGGTACACCCACACGTCATTACTGCCACGAGCGTGCATGCTTGTGTGCCTGCGTGAGTGTGCACACACGCAGCACACCCACCCACACCCACCCTGGGCAATTTATCTCCCATTAGCAAGTGGTTCATGCCAATTAGAAACATTTGTGGAACTGTGAAAACATCGCTTCTCCATCTTCAACAAGGCTGACTGCTTATGCTTTATAGACTCTGAAAGCCGAGCCGAATTATTAAATGTTAATTGAAATTCAATTGAGTGAGAGTGAGGAAGGTTGGAGTATTCTTTCCAGAAAGGTTTTAATTATAAATGGCTGTTGGTTTTTGCTCCAGAAAAAAAATGTGAAAGTATCAAAATGTAGTGTTTCTGGGTTGACCACAGAAGTAAGAGGCTCTCTACATACAAATATGACAAAATCTGAATTCATATTTCCTTCCAAATACAAAATAATTGGCCTCTGTGGCCTCTCCAAAGCATTACTGTAATTTCTCCTTTTTTTTTTCACTTTCCAAACACAGTTGATCCACAAAAGCAGTCAACACAGGCTTCTGAAGGGTCCAGTCAGTGGTTTGAGACCAAAAGCCTTCACTGCATGAAGCCTTCACTTCATTGCTTTTAATAGCAATGATTACCAACTTCCTCTAGGTATCAAAGATTTCTGAAATTCTTTCTGAATTACTAAAAAAGCCCAAATTGATACTTATCCACTGAATTTAACAACTGTAAATGGCCAGCTTAGATCCCCAAATGCTTTCAAACTTGGAGATGTGGCGATAGACAGAAAAACAACAGTTCCGTGCTGTGCATGGGATTAACTAAGATCATACTTGGCTTAATCACTTGGAATAAAATCTATTCCTTTTAAAACTTTCATAAGGTAACTCAGCTTTGATGGTTCCGCAATTTAAGTATTCTGATTTAGATTTTGGTTTGCTAATAAAACTTCAAATAAGTCCGCCAGGTTGGAAGGAAACATTACCCAGGAGGAAAAGGATTCCATAAGACCTAGAAAAATAAATATTCCTATGATTTGTCACATTACATCATTCAAACTTACTAACTGAAGATATTAGAAAGGATATAATTAGTAAATAACACAAAGGAGTTGTATTAGAAATCAATACTCTAGTCCATTGGGAAATGATGCCAGGAGTATCACAGGATGAAGTACCATCCTAGCTCATGAGTAAGGATGGTATTTCAGAAAAGTAGACCTTCAGCGGATCTAATGTAAGCAAGAAAAAGAATTTGGTGCTTGATCAGACTAAGTGCTAGGTGATACATTGCACTTTGATGTCTAAAAAGCCAAACCCCAGAGACAAATTTTAGCAATTTCCCTGCCAGCCTTTTCCATATTAATATCTAAATCATATATTAATTACAGTTCTGTAAGAGTGAGCCTTTAATTTATTCTTGCTGAATGAAGAAATTAATGAATGCACATTTATAGAATTATTTTATTGCAGATACCACTTCCCTGCGTCTCTTGGACTCAGTGGCTGTCTTTTATAATTCAGCAGGAGGGTGAGCATTTTAAGAGACTGTGCATTTCAGCAGCTTTCAGAACAAACTTCTATCCTGAGAGCCAGAGCTAGTCTTAGCTCCATCATAAGGCAGCTCTAGGTCCTTAGAGAAGTAAACCACTTAGCGCCATGTGCCTTCATCTACCTAACAAAGGAGGGCATGATTCTTCACTCCCTATTTCATCAGAGAAAGGATCCAAGTTGAGGTTTACTAAGTAAAGAAATCTATTGGAGAAATGAGTTGGGTGAATGTCTAAAACAAAGAAAGAAAAGTTATCATTGCAGAGAACTTCAGAAAAACAACAGAAGACTTAGAGTGAGAAGTCTTGGTTTTAAAGCCTGGCTCCAGGACCTTGGTTGATCACCTTAAGCTTCAAATTCGTCTTCTGTGAAATGGGGGTACATAATGAGATGAGAATCTGTGTAAACCATAAAGATATACAGCAGAGTCGATGGAACTGAGTAGAGTTGTTTTGTGGATGAGGGAGGAGTGGGTGGGTAGGGGTGAAGTTAATATCAGCTTTTGATGAAAAATAAAGCACAATGGAATATTATTTGTCCGTACAAAGGAATGAAACACGGACATATTCTACAACATAGATGAATCCCAAAAGCATTATGCTAAATGAAACAAGCCAGACACAAAAGGTCATGTTTTGTATGATTACATTTACATAAAATATCTAGAAATACTTAAATCATAGAGACAAAAAACCCAGATTACTTATTGCTGGAGGCTGAGGGGAGGATTAAGTCACTGCTTAATGGTTCCAGGGTTTCCTTTTGAGATAATGAAAATATTATGGAACTAGACAAAGATGATAGTTGCACAACACGTCGAATGTACTAAATGGCACTAAAATGCACACCTTAAAATGGTTAATTTGGGCTGAGTGCAGTGCCTCACACCTGTAATCCCAGCACTTTGGGAGGTAAAGGCAGGCAGATCACTTGAGGTCAGGAGGTTGAGACTAGCGGGTCAACATAGTGAAACCCCATCTCTACTAAAAATATAAAAATTAGCGGAATGTGGTGGCAAGCGCCCATAATCCCAGCTACTTGGGAGGCTGAGGCAGGAGAATTGCTTGAATTCCGGGCGGTGGAGGTTGCAGTGAGCCGAGATCATGCCACTGCACTCCAGCCTGGGCAACAGAGCAAGATACTGTCTCAAAAAAAAAAAAAAAGAAAGAAAAACAGTTAATTTTATTTTATGTGGATTCTACCTCAATTTAAACAATATTTTAAAAAAGAAAGCAAAAGAAGAATGTCTTTTCTTCTGACAGCGGGCTGATAGAGAACTCTTGACTTCATCTGAGACTTACTAATATTCATTATGATGCCACCTTATGCGAAACACTGTATTATGAAACAACGAAGACCAAAAAGATATTTGCCCTACAATGACCAAAGTCAATGCCAGGGTTTTAGTATTTTTCTCAGAGAATTTGGCTCCTCTGCCAGATACTGGTACCCTCCTTTTCTTACAATTCTATTATCTACCAGCTGGCTTAGAACCAAAGAGAAAATGCAGAAGTCACAGCCATCAACTGTGTATAATACAAAGCTAGTCGAGAGTGTTTAACGCACCAGATGAAGAATCAGTATCCGTAAAGATCTTGTCTAATGAGAAATTGAGCAGGAATCAGAATAACATCTTATGCTTGGTTTAACAAAAACAAAACAAAAAGCATCTACTATCCAAAGCAGCTTAGAGGAGATATAGCTTGGGGCTAACATATATGTAACAGAAGGGTGTGGGGATTTTGACTTCGCAAAGCATCATTATGCAATGCACACATCAAAACAGCTGATGTGATTTTTCAGCTGTATCAATAAAACTAAATTAGAGAACTCAAGAGAGTGAGAGTCCTGTTCTCCGCAGGGCCATGATGTGAGCCATACAAGTCCAGGTCCCTCACCTGCCTGCCCCCACCAAAGATCTAAACATCATATCTAATAGTGTTGGATTTTTCTCTAGGGGAGTATCCCAATTCTGAATTGATGGGCAGGCATGCTATTTCTATTTTTCCTCTGTAACACTGGGACGAACATCCCTATATATACATCTTGGCACGTTTGATGATTTCTAAAAAGTGTTCATTAGTTTTTTAACAAAATCTGATGAATTGATCCATTTAGTTGGGTTCAACTTCTGGGCAGAGACAGTGGTGGTGGTGACAGAGTGTGTGTGTGTGTGTGTGCAGGTATGCACATGTAGGGAATGAAGGCTGGGTGTCTCTTAAAGGAGTTCGAAAGGGAAGAAATGCCCTGACAAGTTCAGTTTTAAAAAGCCTTTTTGGGGGTCTGATTTTCTTATTCCATCAATGTCCCCATACTCAGGTGAGATATTAGAGATCCGCTGTTCCTTTCCGGCTGCCGAGCTCCTTAAGCATTATGTCATGACCTCAGGTACTAATTTGGCCCTAGAAAATATTATATGCTAGTTTCCCTGGGAATTTTAAAGTCACTAAATGCACAATGGAAGTAGAATAAATATTTGTTGATTGCCAGCCTGCCTGCTGCCTGAAAGTCTCCAGTAGTAGTGCCTAACTATGTAATGTCTTTGAAGCAGTGGCCTATAATTTTCTTTATAGAAAGAACGCTTTCTGTTGGTGATTGCAGGGAGAATAATGCCCTTTGTCTTGCTAACAAACACTACTCACCTCTAAAGTCTCAGCACCTGCAAACCTGGGTAACTTTAGGTAAGGGCTTATTTCCAGCTTTTATCGAAGAAGAAAGTTCTATTGGAAAAAAGTAATCCCTTGTTATTTTATTTTGGATGAACTTTTAATCAGAAACACAGGCAGTAACATATGTTAGAAAAATACATATGAAACATAGAACTTTGCATTTATAACCCACCATGGAAAATCCATGCTAATGCAGCATTAACTTTGGGATTTTAATTGCACAGAAGTCAGGAAATTCAGAGTTCAAGTTCCCACAGCAAACTTTACTCCACATATGTATCACAGGGCCTTTCCTGAGTGAGTGACCTAATTATTTGGCAAAAAGGGGTGCAATGAATAGTGATTTCTCTTCAATGCTACACATCCCCAAATCCCAAGCAAGCTGGACAGAGAGCAACTCTAGCTACACAAATGGCACCTTTTCAACGCACAGTAGTCCTTGGGTATGTGCTTGGTGACCATCATGACAACAGTCCTTTTGCAGTGTGTGCTGCAGGAGGTGCAGGATTTGGCAGTGTGCTGCTTGGGCGGGACAGCCAGTCGCTGCCACATCACCCAGCTCTCTAGCAGATCCTCCCCCAAGCCCTTGGGAGGGCGGCTGTGCTCGGCTCGCTTGATGGACACTGTCCTTTGCTCCATTCCCAGAGGGCATCTCAATAACTGATGCTTAAACTTTGGAATCTGGAAGTTTGACTAAAAAGCCCTCAGGGGACTGGAGATGGAACCTTCTCCCAACACATGTCTACCCCTCGAGACAGCTGTCATCTGGCTTCCCTCCAGTTGTTGGGAAATAGCAAGATGTGTACCATTGGGCCTCTGTCGTAGACATTCGGTGTTCTGGCCAACAGGGCCTCAAACTTTTTCTAGTAAGAAGTCTCCTGGTTTTTCTAATGATAGGGTAAGTTGACTGTATGGAAGTTTAGATTGTCTTGTCCCTTGGTATCCATATCTGAGGCTGTCTAATGTGCTCTGTGGGTGTCCAGTCCTGCTTTTTCTCCTTGGGAAAATAGTGATGGTGTATTTGGGTCCTCCTTGCCATCTGTTGCCTCTGAATCTCACCCCTGCCTGAGACCTCAAAGTGTGGGGGCTCCCAGTACTCACCACCGATATGAGAGGAGTGGTCAGAGGGAGGAGGAGTTGGTGGGGATTAGGGGAAGTGAGAGAGAGAGAGGGATTGCAATACTCTCTGATTCTTAAGCACCTGCCTTACTTCCTTTGGCTTGCTATTAGTGGTCCAAAGTCATCGGACCAATAGCCAAATCAACTTGCTGTGACAGTTCTACCATCCTGCTAAAGAGGAGGTCTGCCTGTGAATGGTCTGGGTCATATGGCACTCAACCCAGCAGTCACCTGACCACCCAAACAGCACATTTGTAAATAGCCCCTGGGCTCTGAGCACACTGAGAATCCATGATGCCATTTGTCCACTGCCTGGTCTCCCTGAGCCAGACCTGTAGAAGTCTCTGAGGGCCACAGGATGAAGGCCAGTCATCACTGATAACAGCATGATCTTCAGTATTTCAGGTAAGCCACACCAAGGAGAAGAAAGCTGTGCTCAAGGAAGCCAGAATAAAAAATACGGAATCTTTTCTTCTTTCCCCTGCATGTCTACATTCGAGGCATTTAAAGAAGAGTCATTCATAATCTATTAAGAATCTGGCCGTGTGTGTGTCTAGAAAGTTACGCTTAAGAAGAGCTTTTGAATTATGCCCAAGAAGATGACAGTGCACAGCATTTCCAACCAAAAAATGAGGAGCAACTTTCTTCTGAGCTGATACGCATCCAAATCATACTGGTTCTCAACTACATTGTTAAAATTTCAGTAATAATCAGGTATTAGAAAATATTGAGCATTTCTATACTTTCTTCTAGTTTCAGAGTTTTCTCTAGTTTTGCTTTTTTTTTTTCCATGTGATATGACACTTATTATTTGGCAATTTTTTTTTGAGACAGAGTCTTGCTCTATCATCCAGGCTGGAATGCGGTGGTGTGATCTTGCCTCACTGCAACCTCCACCTCCCAGTTTCAAGCAAGTCTCATGCCTCAGCCTCCCAAGTAGCTGGGATTACAGGCGATTGTAACCATGCCAACTAATTTTTGTATTTTTAGTAAAGATGAAATTTCATCATGTTGACCAGGCTGGTCTCGAACCCCTGGCCTCAAGTGATCAGCCTGCCTTAGCCTTCCAAGGTGCTGGGATTACAGGCATGAGCCACCACACCCATCCTATTTGGCACATTTTTGACGGTAGAATCACTGGCCCTTGCTAAGCTATCTTTTTACGTCTCCATTTCTATTGTCTTTATGGTGTACAATTCAATGAACCAGAGATCTAAATCTACTTTTTTACTGCCTACAACACAAGTAATGGGGGTGGTGGGAGGAAAGTGTGGAACCATCTCCTTAAATCACATTGTCACAACTGAGTACCATTCTAAAAATGCCAAATAGAAAGCTTTCTGGTTGATTTATTAATTGAAAATGGCATCTCTAAAAATTTATCTTCTTACAAGCTTAAGATATCATTTTCATGATCTGTCTTCTTTTCCAGCTCAAGCAATTTCTTTTCTGACTCCAAATTTCTTTTAAGCAACTGCTCACCAGGGACTGACAATAATATATAGTAGCTTGCCCTAAATCAGTACCTTGCAGATATTAAGCTATGAAATAGGCGACAAAAATTATTCCCTACCTTTTGGAGATATAGAAAATTCCTGTGAAGAAATGTTAAGTGATCTCTTAGGAGTCAGTAAAGGGAAGGAATTTGAACCTCCTGCTTTTCTTTGTGGGTGTGACCTACTTAGCTGGAGAGCCTCTTGGTTAAAAGAAAGATGGTAGATGATAAAGAGCAAGATGGGGAAGGCAAGAAGGAAGGTGAGAAACAAGGACAGAGAGAAAGAAGGAAGATGCGCGAGAGTAGCAAGAAAGAAAGCAAGTCAGCTCTAGCTGAAGGTAGAAAACGTACATGATCCAAGGGCACTGGTATTTATAAATGTATAATGATAAGGCAGAATCATTCCAAAAGAGAAGTGAATACAAGATTGAGTCAAAGTATTCCAAACTCAAAAGAAGCTCAATTCCTTTTTTTGGAGAATTGTCCACTCCACCCTAGTTTCCAGATAAATTAATCACCAAAGGGGTATTATCAAGTGGGTTCTTCTTTTCACCATATGCCAGCAAGATTTGGTGTGGATTTGATGTGGTAGATAAGGAAGGAATTGTATCCTATACGGTTGTTTTCATATGCATAAGATTGTGTATGGAAATTTTCCCACTTCTGTAAGGTTTTCAAACCATAAGTGGTTAACCAGAGGCTAACAAAATGGTTAACCAAATGTGTCAACCACTAAGCCAAGTGGAAATGGTGATGGCAGGTCTAGCAGTGGGTAGTTCTCCCATTTCTGTGACATATTCCAACCAGCCTGACTTAATACGAACAGCATCATGCTTAAGGAGCATATTTGTGTCTGGAGAGCTCACAAAGGTGAAGCTCAACTTACCAGGGGAAGGGCCTTCTGCATTTAGTGACTGCTTCTGCTAGGCAGATGTTGCTACTCTGGGTTTCGATTGAAACGTTTCCTTCAGCATGTCCACGATAAGTGAGCTCACCACTTGGTTCTGGTCTGACTAACTGATGGGACCAAGCCCATCTGAATGTGAATCTTTTTCAAAGTAGAGGAGGGATTGTTTTTCTTGGTACTGATTCAGTGCCTGCTAGTTTTTCCCTTTCTTTCTTTATTTTTCTTTCTTTTTCCTTCTCTTTCTTTCTTTCTTTCTCTCTCTCTCTATCTCTCTCTCTCTCTCTCTCTCTCTCTCTCTCTTTCTTTCTTTCTTCTGCTAAAATGTATCCTTTGATTTCGTTCCAAAGCCCATTCACTACGGGAAGTAGATCATCACTGAGCTTCCTTGGTGAGACACCACATATTGCATGCTTTGCCAAGGAGGGCAACTGTCAATAGCCAAATATTCAATTTATTATGGTTGGATAACATTTGCTATGAGTAGGACTATTTTTTAAATGAACTGAATTGATTTGTATTATTTAGAAGCTTAAAATCCTTCCTGGAAGAAGGAGGGATATGCACTAAAATTCAATTTGTAAACAAAGAAATAAATAAATATTATACCCTTCTGCAACCAACCCCAAATGTTTCCCTAAACGTAAGTAATAAAAAGTTTTAAAATCAGTTTCCAACAAGAGAAAATGCACCTAAGTGCTTTCATTCCTTCCATTCAAAAATCTTAAATTCAATCTGGGTCTACAACATTGATTTCCTTGGTGTTCTTGGGGTGGAAGATTGGACAGACACAGACAGAGGGAAAGTAAATGGAAACAGAGGCATATTCTCATTCTCTTAAGTCTCTTTCTTCTCTCACCCCAGGTTTTAAAATTTTGATCTATTTTTGTTTTTTTTAATTTAAGGATAGAGTATGTATCACTAGATAGAAATCTGGGACTCTAGGAATGTGTATTCATGACCCATGCTGATGAAACTGATACTCATTGCTGTATGAATCCACCTTCTGAAATAACAGTTACACTTCTCTTTGAATCCTAATTTTGAGCCTTGGTTTCATGTGCAGAGATGGTAAGCCCTACAAATGTGCTCTTTCTATTCCATTGCTCTTTGCTTAATTTTGATCTCACAATTAAAATCTCTGTAACATCAGTTGTTAATTAACTATATTATCAAAAGGATGCTATAACCGAGAACATTTTATAGAGTGCTGATAAGGCAGGGTGTTTCCAAAGCACTTGCCATTCAAACTCAATAAATGGACCTCTTGGGGAGACCTATTTTGAAACTAAGACATCCCCAGTGAGGATGGGGAGAGGGGACTGAAAGATACGGTGCAGCACTAGTCTGGTGGATTTCCTCCTAAATGACAAATACCCAGCTAAGAGGCGAACACTCTCACAGTAAATCAACTTTGTTCATTTCGGAACTTAATGATTACAAAATAATATCAGATGAAATCCACGAACCTCATGAATCAGACCTAATGCTTGCATTCAGTGATTCATATAATACCTATAAAACAACAAGCATGAAAACAAACTCAATGCAGTACTAGCATCTATAGTGACAAATACAGGTGGTTTCTGTGTATTCTGAGAAAATTATCTTGTCAGGACAACTGAGTGAAACATTTCAAATGCAACTTAAAGTCTTACTCTTCAGGCACATCAGAAAAACCAGTAGGACTCCCATGTTAGGGAGATTAACATGGCAGATGCACATCTGAGATTCCACAGTCCCATGCCACCAAAATATACGTCAATGTAGGAATACAGAAGACGTAAAGCAACTGAATCTTTTACTCTTATTTCCCTCTAGGGAGCCTGGGTGATGTACAGCGTGGGCTGTGATGTACTGAGGCTCGTCATTAAATGTTCCATGGCTTTTTTTTTTTTTTTAAACCAGAAGAGGGTTTTAACCTGGCTTCACTTCAGCTAGGGTAATGGCAGCCTCCCTCCCAAAGATTCCTTCTACCCTTCCAACTGGCAAACACTTGCTTCATTTCCTCCTGTAGAATAAGAATCATGCAGAATGACTGCCTGAGCATGGCAGCTCCTCATTCTGCACTTCTCTGGTGTTTTGGAGCAAGTTGTTTATTCTTTCAATAATTTGCTAAGCGTTTACTTTGTGCACGGTAAGAATACCAAGACAAAGATGATACTGCCTATTTCCAAAAGACTCAAAATGCAGTAGATTCCATTGCCTGCGATGCACTGTAACATGATAGATTAAAGGGATTGTTTCTGTTGAGATTTTAGAATGAGGTTAGATTGTTCTAACTTGAATTAAATAGATGGTGCTATTGCTCTGGGGCTAACTAGTGTTTTCAGTTGGTAACAAATCAAATCTATGTAGTTAACCCTGGCCTAACCTGGTCATGGCTTAACCTAGTTGTTCTCAACTGAGGGCAGTTTTTCCCTTTGGGTGACATTTGGCAACATCTGGAGACACTTTTGATTGTCACAACTTGGGGGAGGAGGAGGGTGCTGTGATACTGGCATCTAGTGGGTAGGGACACTGCTAAACAACATTCTACAATGTACCGGACAGACTACCAGCCCCCTCGCCCCACAGCAAATAATTATCCAGCCCAGAATGTCAATAATGCCACAGCTGAGAAACCTTGCCTTAACCTGACAGCCAGGTTAACTAAACCATGACTAAATGACATTTATCAATGTTACTTATTTTATTACTTTGAAGGAGACACCACAGGACCACTATCATGTGGTATTAAAATTGACTGGTATCAAAATTCAGCTAAATAACAAAATGTCTTTGTGACATATCCTCTCTGTACTTAATGAAGCTCATTAAAGCACTCTGTGGTTCAAGAATGGCAATGATGATAGCAGAGTTAAGAATCTAGTTTTCAGGCTAGGCGTGGTGGTTCATGCCTGTAATCCCAGCACTTTGGAAGGCCAAGGTGCGAAGATTGCTTGAGCCTAGGAGTTTGAGACCAGCCGAGGCAACAAGGCAAACCCTGTCTCTATAAAAAATACAGACATTAGCCAGGTGTGGTGGTACATGCCTGTAGTCCAAGCTACTCAGGAAGCTGACGTGGGAGGATGGCTTGATCCAGGGAGGTCGAGGCTGCAGTGCAGCCTGCGCTTTAGCCTCGGCAACAGAGCAAAACCTTGTCTCAAAAAACAACGACAAAAGAGAATCTAGTTTTCTATAACCATAGGATCTAATAACTGAAAGAGATGTGGAGCCCACCTGGCCCAAGAATACTTCATTTCACAGATTAGAAAACTGAGAGCCAGTGAGATTAAAAGCCACTGTGACACATGACAAGTTTAAAGTTGAAGGTATATTAGAACCCATGCCTCCTGACTGCCAGTCCAGGCTTTCTCTGCTGCCCTAGGGACTAGTCTGGCACTCAGCTGCATCTAGAATACTAAATAAGAAACAAGGAGGAAGTATGAAAGTGCTAACAGCCCATGTGCTATGTAATTTCTGTGGCATTGAGTCAATGTGTTTTGAGGCTGGGCCACTTCTTTTCAGGAGCCACAGAGACAGTGTCAGCCACTGGGCCACATGGGGAGGGGCAGAGTTAGTTAAACCCACAGGCAGATGTCTCTTCTCAGCTGGGGACAGGTGCTGTCCAGGTAGGATCTGCCAACCTTCTCATTTGCACAGCAGGTATGGGCGGACCCTAGACCTCAGGAGTGTTATCCAGGCCGTCGCTAAATTCTCCCTGGCCAATGGCAGCTGGGGAACTTCTCTCAGCTTTCTTCTGCTGGCTTCCTAACATGGTTTTTACACTATATTCTGTTATCTGTCAAATAATTCCAACCCTACGAAGTTCTCCAAAAGCAATTACATAAAAAGCTTTAGCCCTGACATTCTCTTGTCAGTGACTCAGTAGATTTGCACATGGACTTTGGCTGGTGGGGTGGGAGAAGAGGCGCAGACTCCACTTGTTCACAGGAAAACAATGATAGTGGGCCCTGAGTTAGGTAGTGGCTTTAATACTTCAATTTTCAAACAATCAACCAAAATCCAGAGATTCCAATAACACTCACATAAACCTTTTTAGAAGACAGACTCAACATTTTCTTAGTCAATAAGAGTCGGGAGGAGGACTTGCCTCCCATCCCCACCCTATCTTTTATCTATAAAGAATTTCAAGAGAGGGGCCTGGAAATATTCAAATTAAAGTACCTAGGTAGGCCATAGGCCTGGCGCAGTGGCTCACACCTGTAATCCCAGCACTTTGAGAGGCTGAGGTGGGTGAATCACCTGAGGTCAGGAGTTTGAGACCAGCCTGGCCAACATGGCAAAATCCATCTTTACTAAAAATACCAAAAAATCAGCCAGGTGTGGTGGTGCATGACTGTAATCTGAGCTACTTGGGAGGCTGAGGCAGGAGAATTGCTTGAACCTAGGGGGCGGAGGTTGCAGTAACCCGAGATTGTGTCACTGCGCTCCAGCCTGGGTAACAGAGCGAGACTCCATCTCTAAATAAATAAATAAAGTATCTAGGTAACTTCCCTTCTTTTCTCTACTTAGATCATCCAGGGCACATCAAAGCCAACTTTAAGTTTTAATTTTCTGTTTTATGCTACTCATTTTCTTTGAAAAGGTGGGGAGAAAGGCCTGTAAAATGGGCAGCCATGAAACTGAGTACAAGTTGGCTGTATCTTCTTTCAGCCTCTGACACTATCACTAGTTTTCTTGAAACTATCATCATCTGTTCCCCTGATGCCATTGGATCTGCTGCATGGGGGTAAGGGGAGGAAGGAGGCACGATGACACGTGACCACGTTCTAGATATAATGTAGAAGTCTGCTCAGAGGTTTCCATATGACCCTTTAAACAGGATCCTTATTGGAATTTTTGGATTCTATCCCGTGGAGTTCAAGTGCATTCTTCAGGGCAGGCATTTACAGTTCCACAGAGGTGTGAATGTCCTGGAGCTTCACAAGCACAATACTTCACATTGTTGGTTCAGAATTACTTTAATTCCTCTCTCCACTGACCCACTCCCACCCCATTAAGAAGCCCTGGATCTGCAGAGGGGCCTAGCACAGCCAGGACTGAAAATGCCAATGAAAGCACAAAACCCTGCAGTAAACATTCTAGTATAAGAATATAATCAAACATTAACAAGGAGTGTGGTCTCAAGTTTTGCCTGATAGTGGTCAAGGTCTGACTTTAGCAATGACATGACGTTTTCCCAGAGCTCTGTTTTCCTGGAAAAAACAAAAAGAACAACCATCGCTTTATCCCATTTCAGGGCAGTGGATGAAAAGTTCTGCTCCATACAGGCAGTGAAGAGCCTATGCTCTGGAGAAGAGCTCCTTCGAAGTGTGTTTAGAAGCCCATGAATCAAACAAATCGAGAACCCTGCATTCACGCAACCTACATCTCTTGCCAGTTCTGGGCCGTTCCATGCAGATGATTTGTATATTATTACACAAGGCGACATCCTATAACGCAAGCACCTCTGAGAGAATTATGGTGTTAAACTGGGACATACGACCCAGATGCTTCCCAACCCCGGTGAACCCTGGGAGGTCTCCACACCACAGAGTGAGTTGACACAGAAAAGCCTAATGATGTCTACACATGAATTTAGCCTGATGGTGACTGTTTATTTTTCCAACTTGGAGAAACTGCACTGGAGATCATCAGAAAAATGAATAAAGAAAAGCCTCCTTAAATTGTACAGGACTATTAATAGGTTGCATGATTCTGACGAACAATGCTGAAGAATGGCTTGTAAAAATCAATACCTTTAACAATCGTGACTTGAAATGAGGCCCTAGGATACACAGAAAAGAGGGTGGAGAGAGAAATTGAAGAAGGTTGCTAAGGTGCAAAACAGGGTGAAAAGCAAACAGTGCATCAAGCAGCCGCTTCGATTCCCCACAACTCTGGTGAGGCCTTTGCACTCATTCCAGAAAGGCCCAAAAGCTGTTTGGCATTAGAGGCTGAGCGAGAGAAAGCAGACATCATAACCCTTCGTTTCGCTCATCAACCACATCACACCCCCATCCCTTAACAAGAATCCTGTGGGCTTAAACCACAGGCTCATATCCGAACCTTTCCTGCCAGGGTAGCAGACAAATCTTGCTTTCCCACACACTGGCGCGAAATTTCTGCATCCCACTGCCGTGCTGGGGCTTAAGGATCCATCATCAGGGCAGCCAGATACGTTTCTCCACTCACTTCAACTCTATGTTGGACCTCAGCCAGAGTGAGAAGACCAGGAGGGGGAAAAAAAAATCCTATAGCTAAGCAAAATGAGCAGGAGGGAGGGAGCCCCGAGAAAGGGTTAGAGTGGCTAATTTTTCCACTTTCCCCCTGCTGTGGTTAAAGCAGTGACAGATAATTTATCACACATTTTGATTGCACTCCAGCTGGCTGTTAAAAAAAAAAGAGTTGTTTATTAATTCAATTAGCTGGCTTATTTATCAGGGCTGGGTCAGCAGGGGCAGTGAGAAGCCAAAGGATTCCTGTGTCAAGCTGTCTCTCTCGCAGGCCCTGCAGGCAAGTGGAAACACACATTTCTCAGCCCCAAGACTTGAAGTGTCCCACGAGCTGTGTTTACCCTGAATGCTTGGAGCACGACAAGGAAGCCCATCAATTGCAATGAAATACTAGAGTAGAAAGATGCTCCAAACAGGACAAAGTCATCTGAGTGACGGCAGTCATTACTGTTCATCACCCTTGCAGGGGCCACTTTCAGACACAATACTAAGTCCTTTCTGGGCACATTTTGGTGGTTGCTTTTGCTTTGTTATCACTCGTTGGTGGGTATTTATTAAATATATATGAGGCTGCCAGTGTATCGGCACTCTGTCCAGGCCAGCATTGCCCGGGATCAGGGAAATCATTCCTTCTGTAAGTGGCTTGTTTAAGAAAATCTATGAGAAGTTTATCAAGGGCCTGCTTTGTGCCAAGCTCCGTTTGCTGTACTTTCACTGAGGCTACCGGTTAGAGTTAATTCCCATGCAGTGGATGAGGTTTGGGCCCATTTTACCAGTGAGCCAGGTATGGTAGAGATTGCAATGGATTTACCCAAGGTCTCCCCCCAAGGCCCCTGTCAATTCAGTGCAGCTGTTGGTGACTCTAGATGACACATCTGCTACTAACCCTGTGGTAGCAAGTAGAAAAGAAGAAAGAAAAGGAGGGAAAGTCTGAAATTTTATTTTTTTTAATTTCAAAATAACCTAATTGTAAGCAAATGGTTATAATGCATGCATTTGGTTTTGTTTTTATTCAGACTATGACAATTTTCCTCATGAGTCTTACAAATAAAGTGCTTTACAAATGTGAAGGAAGTCAAATTCTGGACAAAACTATAATACTAATTGTCATGCAGAATTTATTATAGAATAAGTGACATTGTGGACAAAAAAAATGGATGGTGAGAAATGAATCTAATATAAGAATATGATAAATTTTCTGGTTCATCAGCTGGCTAATCAAGCAGCAAATGTGACACGAAAATGGTGCCACTGATAAGGCCACATCAGTAACTTTAGTGTGGACATTGCATATTAAGGAGAAATGTGATTTTTGAGGCTGTACTGGGGCCAGGTCTCAGGTGGGAGGAGTGAGGCACGTGAGTATTTTATTGAACATTAGTGTTCTGGAGGTGTATTTTGCTGGCTTCTCCATATCATGCTAACAGTTAGAACCTCTTCACTGTTTCACATCAATCCCCAATTATGTGGAAGCAAAGGTTTTTCTCAACTTCTGGAAGCATCTTAAATCGTCATCTTCCTTTCCTCCCTCCCTTCTTTCCCTGTGTCTTTCATGCACACAGCACCACGTTTGAGAATGAAACACAATGTCAGATGCACAGATAAATGGGTGTGGAAAAACTCACAGCAGGATCACCTTGCTGACTCCTGGACTGTCGCCCCGCACAACTTATCAAAGAGCCTGTGCTGTCTCTCTTCCCCTCACCATTGGCCAGTTCAGTTTTTGGCTCATTGGTTGCTGAACTTAGCTTTTCCCTTGACAATCCGCTAATTTCTAAAATT
Organism: Homo sapiens; assembly: GCF_000001405.40. Taxonomy (NCBI): domain Eukaryota; kingdom Metazoa; phylum Chordata; class Mammalia; order Primates; family Hominidae; genus Homo; species Homo sapiens. Next base: position 28,782,728 of record NC_000007.14, on the reverse strand, counting down.
TCCCCCAAGAAATGCCAAATCCTTAATGTTAGCTCTTTTTGATGATATTTCCAACACGTGCATTCCAATACCTAAAGAGTGTCTATTGTTGAGTTGAATACAATCAAGTGGAATTAAATTCCCTCTTCCTATTCACATCTTTTGCCTCATCAGTTGCAATTGGTGGGGAGCTTCTGCTTTCAAAAATGGGAAGGAAGCTTCTTGGGGTGATGTGCTAGTATTTCTTTCATTTCTTCTTTTTATTTTCAGATCAGCTTGAGCAAAAAAGAAAAATTAAAACTGACTTATTTTATCTCATTTTAGAAATTCAACTTTTTGTATGTGTTCAAATTTTCTAATTAAGTGTGTTTTCAATTTCTGCTGCTGACAATGTATCAAAATAAGATTTTAAATATTCTGTGTGATAATTATATCTGGAGATTGCAAGGCCAATATAATAATTACCCTCACACTGCTTTAATCTTTTATATCTAGAAAAGATGCTTTGTTAACCTTTCAAAAATGTATTCAGCAGTCTTGGGTCAAAAACACTCTTACTGTATTTCCAGCAAAAGGACAGACAGATGTGATGTATGGTAAGTACATCCATTTTTGGGTTGAGAAGTTTACCCTTAGGTAGAAACAACTGCTCAATTTAAAAATCACATTGTTGGGGATTGCCTGGGATTACAGGCAGGCGGTGCATGCCTGTAATCCCAGCTACATGGGAAGCTGAGGGGTAGATCTCGTGAGGCCAAGAGTTTGAGACCAACCTGTGCAATACAGTGAGATTCCTGTCTCAAAAAAAAAAAAACACACATTGTTGAAATTTAATGAATATTTGTATTCAGCAACATCTCTAGTAAAGTTCAGTTTTTAAAGTTCATTTGAAGTTTTTAAAATTGTGGAACAGTCCAAACCCTCTGCCCCAGCACAGTCTAAGTACTATGTATACTGTTTCCAGAAAAAAAAAAATCAATTTTTGTACCAAACGATAGACTATTTGATTGATAGGGAATTTCATGGAAGCATTCATAGCTTCTCTTTGCAAGTATCTTGTCCAGCCTCTTGATTTATTTGAAATGAAACGTTATACTTTTAAAAGTGAGAGAAATATTCTTGTCTAGCATGGAGACCACCTTGGTGCTGAAGGTCTGGCTTCTCAACTTTGGTAGGAAATGCTGTGGATGATTCATCCCTGGACATTGTTTGATCTTCACAAAAGTATTTCTCAGGTTGACTTCTGGGGTTTGCTTCTGGAAGGTTCTTATGACTGAACACAAATTTTACATTTCAAGCCTGATTCCTTTGAAAACGGAAACATTGCCAGATCATTTCATTCATGTAGATTCCTTAAGACCACACATTAACATTTTAGAAATTTTTAATTTCTCCATGGAAGCCTTTCAAATAGCTCTGTGCAAGCAAGACTTATAATTTCCAAGTAAATCAGGTACATTAGGGATTTTTCAGGATTTCTCTTGATGTTTTCCATAGGGAATGGGAATACCATCTGCTTTGTTGAATGCAGGAAAATCGAAGGGCACAGATCTGTCCAAATGGCTTCATTCATTACTGTCTCTGGATCCTCCAGAGTGTCTGTTGCTCAGAGAGTCGACTTAGCTACAGTCTGGGCTCTAATATATGTCACAACACAACCAATGAAGTCCACACTTCCTTTAGGATGCAAAATGCTTCGAGATGCACTAGCAGGAAGGAATATTTTCTCCCTCAGAGTTCAAAGTTACAGAAATAACACAATTCTATTCCTCAAGTTCCAATTTAATATGCATTCAGAACTTAGCCCTATTTTGGCTAAGACAGTTTGAATATATTTTACTGTTTTGTCATCTTAAATGCAAAACTACACAGTGTACAAAACTACAGTGCAAACAGGGAGAAAATAGTCTGCAGTTACTGAATGCTGAAATAAAAAAGCATCATCTTGTATGCTGGGTAAATGCTTCAGTACATTTCAAGAGTAAGAGTTGAAAGAACCACTAGACTCATAGTACAGGGAATCTAAAAAGCTTTGATTTTGAATCTGTGGCCCAGGCTGGAGTGCAATTACACGATCTCGGCACACTGCAATCTCCACCTCCCAGGTTCAAGTGATTCTCGTGCCTCAGCCACCTGAGTAGCTGGGATTACAGGTGCACGCCACCACACCTGGCTAATTTTTATATTTTTTGTAGAGACAGGGTTTCACCACATTGGGCAGGCTGGTCTCAAACTCCGGACCTCAAGTGATCTGCCTGCCTCAGTCTCCCGAAGTGCTGGGATTACAGGCATGAGCCACTCCACCTAGCCCTGATTTTAAATCATTTTAATATAGGATTAATTACGTTGTGAATTGTGGAATACTTTTTTCTACTACTTAGTTAAAGGCTATTTCCTCCACTGAGTGGGAAAGCTGTGTTTTCTGCAGTGCAGAGTACATTGACTCTGGCAGGGCATTGTTTGTTGGGGTAGTTCCAATGGCATTCAGCTTCTTTCGTCTCCTTAGTGCAAGGGTCTGCCCCTACGCTTCTCATTGCAGTTTCCTTGCCTAAGCCACAGGAACTAACCAAACAGGGCTGACGATGTGTGGGAGATGAAAAGGAGTGGAGAGAAGCAGAAGATCTGGCTCCTACTCTCAAGGAACTGACTGTCCAGTTGGCGAAATAAAAAGTATGCACATGGCTGGGCGTGGTGGCTCATGCCCTGTAATCCCAACATTTTGGGAGGCTGAGGAGGGCAGATCGCTTGAGCTCAGGAGTTTGAGACCAGCCTGGGAGAAATAATGATATGCCTATCTATCTCTATAAAAAATAAAAACAAAAAAGTGTACACACCACAGCTTAACAATCAAAGTGGCATAAGTGTCAAATCAGTGAAAGAGAAAGAAAGTGGGTGTCAGAGAAGAAAGAGCCTGACAGTATCTGGCTGTCATTTTATGTGATTGCAATCACATAAAATCCAATTTGGAATTTGGGTGGGTTATATGGACGGGTTTGAGAGGAACAAATTCCAAATTTCTAACAAGGCTTAGAGAACTAGTCTAGATGACAAATAGCTTTTTGGAAGATGTCCCCTTCTTCTTTTCCTCTGTTCATGACCAAGACTCATTATTTACTTAAAGTGACCCCAATTATTTATTACCTATCTAAGTCTACCTTCCTAACCAAAAGCAGGGCATGCATTTGTTTGATCAATTTCATCTGTAAAAAGAAAAACACGGGAACTGTCACCAATTGAGGGCAGTTAGGGTTGGCAGGCCTGGATGAGGGAGGCAGCATGATTTAGAAAAATGCATTATTTGTGCTATAAGAATACTCATTTTCCTCCCTTCTCCTTTATCTAAGAAGGGCTGTGCAGAAACAAAAATTCCAGTTGATAAATATCCAAAGATAACAAGTCCAGTGAGCCCTTTTCTTTAAATTTTAAACTGTGAACTTCCTTTGTGTCTATCCGCCCTGCTTTCTTCTCCTCCGAAACAGAGCTGGATATGGCAGGCTGAGTTCCAAAACAGTACCCTTTACTCTTCTTCCAGGAAAGAACTTCTCAAATAAGGTCCTAAATGCTCACACAGTATTAGTGAGCACACACACACCTACACATGGTTGATACATGCCAACTCCTGACATGGGAATTTTCGGAAGCACACCAAAGTCTCTGTGTGATTTACATTTATTTTTAATCACATAACATCCAATTTGGAAAATGGACGCATGGGATTTTCTGAGTCACCAGAAGCTCTTTGTAAGATTGCAAATGCATCCAGAAGGAAGAACTCTGTCTTGGCATGGCGGGTATTTCACAACAACTATAAAAACAATCCATTTCCTCAGTTTAGAATGAATGAGTTTAAAAATCTATAAAAATACGTGATTAAATCCTAACATAAAGTCAAAATACATTTGCTATATCTGACTCATAATGAAGAATGGGAGGAGTAGTCACCATTTTGAAATAATTTTGTTGGCTTTCTTTTTCATTGTATTTAATTATCCAAATAACGTTTAATATTCTGGATCCTATTAATTAATTATAATAGTGATCTTTGCCCTCTATGCCCAGTCATGTTTTGTTGTTTTTGGCACTATACTAGCACATTTTCTAATTCCTTAAAGAGTTCCCAAAATGATAAAAGTAATTTGAATTCATTTCATACTTACTCCTTATTATTTATATGCCCATGGAAATAGTCCTTGTGTTAATATCTGTAAGTAGATTTGTTGAAAAAAAGCATGACAATTTGTATTAAATCTAACTAGTGCCATGTCTCCACCATGATCAAGAATCACAGATTTATAACAAGAATCAGTTCTAATGATAATTGCTAGCCGTATCTTAAAATTCAGGTGTGTAGGAGTAACTTCCCATCTCTACAAATCCAATGTGCCAAACGTCCTTGAAGTGTTACCTGGTCTTCTTCTATGCACAAGGGCTCTTCTGCTTTTAATTCAAAAGCTAATGCCTTGTCACTGGTAGGCTTAACATTACATACCTTTTTACTAATCGAATAGTAAATTACAAAGTACAACTAGAAAATTATGTTTACATAAAGATGTGCTCAAGTTACTACAAGTTCTTAGTATTTTCTTATAAAACTTTGTTGTTTTCAATTCTTTCCATGGGAAGGCTAGGCAGGTTTTGTATGCCTGTGTCATCTTTCCCACCATAATGTGAAAACAGTGTAGAAACATCAACAAACAATATGGAAAAGATCAATAAATCGTTCTCCATTGGGGATGGTTCCATAAATCACAGTAAATTAGTATGTGACATGTCATTCAACCAGAGAAATTATGTTTTCAAAGAATACGTATGCATAGACAAAAGACCAAAAGAAAATATTCTGTTGACAATAGTCGTCTCTGAGTAACTGAGTTCCAAGTGACTTACTATTATTTTTATTTTCTTTTTTCTTTTCTTGGCATTACCTAAAATTGTTTTTGTTGTTAACACAGACATCTTTCAATCAGAAAAAAATAAATACTATAATTTTAAAAATTCACTGAGCATCAAAAAATTCAAAAGAAATATTGTGAACATTTATATTTATGCAGTAAAGAAGAGCCTCCAAAAGAGAGTGATTCACAAGTCCCAGAACTTTTGACAGGCAAACATCTGGAAGGCAGATTAATTTGTTCTCCTGATTGTTTTGCAGTGGTGTTTGCAGGACTTCCCACTGTCTTATTTTTTCTTTTCATTCAAATATGAACAGGCTACCTTGTTGATGGAATGTAGTTATACAAGGCTTCTATATTTTTAGACCAGGTGGTATTTTTCTACTAGTCTTTATATATCAGAGCCATTTAAATTTAGATGATAAAATAAACATGGGATGGAAATTACTACAAGGATTTTCCTTACAATGAAGCCATATCGAATTGAGGCTAATGTAAAAATGAAACCTGTCATAAGACTATTTCATTCACAAAATGAAAAGGCAAGTATAAAATTGTTAGATATAAGCACCGGATAGTAGCACATCACTGTACAATGAGTTCGGACATTGTTTTAAGGTTCGGAACACTAAATTGAGGACCACAATGAAGACAATTAAGCTAGAAATGTCTTTGGGGTGTTGAGTTCCTTGTAAGAATCTACTGTGTAAAATGGTTCAGTCGCTTTGAAAAACAATTTCACAGGTCCTCAAAAGATTGAACAGAGTTACTATATGACCCAGCAATTCTACTCCTAGGCATATACCCAAAAGAACTGAAAATATTTGTTCACATAAAAACTTGTGCATGAAGGTTTCTAGTCACATTATTCATAATAGTCAAACAGTGGAAACAAGCCAAATGTTCATTAATTGATGAATGGGTGAATAAAATGTGGTATAGCCACACAATGGAATATTATTCAACAGTAAAAAGGGATGAATTACTGACACATACTACAACATGGATGGACCTTAAAAACATTATGTAAGTGAAACAAACAAGGTGGCCACAAAAGGCCACATATAACAGATCCCATTTTTATGAAATATCCAAAGAGGCAATCCGTAGAGACAGAAAGTAGATTACTCGTTGCCAGACGCTGGTGAGGAAGGCAAAATAAAGGAATGCTTACAGATAAGGGATTTTTCTGAAGGGTAATGAAAATATTCTGAAATTAGATAGTGTTGATGGTTGCACAACTTTGTAAATATACTAAAAACCACTGAACTGTGCACTTTGAGAGAGTGAATTTTATGGTATGTGAATTAGAGCTCAGTTTAAAGAAAGTTTAAAAAAACTCTCTTGCCTTCTTATGATGAGATGCTGTTCCTCCAAATAAAAAGCAGAAATAATATAAATTTAAAATTTTTCATGTCAAATTCTGAACTAAAAAAATTCAAAGTTTTCTGAATATAATGGGTGAGAATGATTGTTAAAATAGCACGCTTAACTTTCTTCTTCTTCTTTTTTTTTTTTTTGAGACAGAGTCTCGCTCTGTCGCCCAGGCGGGAGTGCAGTGGCGCTATCTCGGCTCATTGTAAGCTCCGCCTCCCGGGATCACGCCGTTCTTCCGCCTCAGCCTCCCGAGTAGCTGGGACTACAGGCGCCCGCCACCACACCCGGCTAATTTTTTTGGATTTTTAGTAGAGACGGGGTTTCACCATGTTAGTCAGGATGGTCTCGATCTCCTGACCTCATGATCCGCCCGCCTCGGCCTCCCAAAGCGCTGAGATTACAGGCGTGAGCCACTGCGCCCAGCCGCACGCTTAACTTTCTAGTTAAGCTCACCACAAATTCTAACTTCTAATTCTGTATCAGATGTTAATTTGCTGTGCACACGGGGCAGTTACATACTGTCAGTTTCCCCATTTGTAAAAAGGTGATAATATTTTCTGGCTCTCTTGCAAGCATTTAATTCAAAAGAACAAACATATATAAAGCATCTACTGGAACTGTGCTAGGCAGAGGGTAAAAAGTATATAGGCAACTGACCTGTCTATGGTACAATGTAGTGTCATAATAGTGATTTAAAAGTTATATGAGAGCAAATGAAAATACCTTAAATGTACACCAAGAGAATGATCAGTAAATTTTAATGATGAAATATTCTACAGCTATGGAAATGAACTAATGAAAATCAACATGATAAATCTGCTAAACATAAATGTGAACCCCCCCAAAATCACTCAAGTTGCAGAAGAATACACAAAACAAAAATCCATTTATAGAACACTTACCTAAAATACGCTAATATATATATATATATATATATGGCTAAGGAATACATAAATATGGCATAATATATTATGTGAGAATGGGAATGATATATACCAAAATCAGATAATGGTCTTCCAGTTCCCAGAGGGCTTCTGCATGATAGGTAGTGGATAGATGGATGTTTATTGTATCATTTCTTATACAGTTCTGTATGTCTTCAACATTGAATAATAATTTTTAAAAATTAAACTAGAGAAAAATTGATAGGTCAATTTCTATTAGGTGAGGCGGGGAATCAGAGAGGACTTCTAGGAGGAGGTATCTGAGCTGAGCCTAAAAGAGTCAGAATTTCAACAGGCAGAGAGGAAGCAGGAGGGATTGTGGGCAACGGGAATAGTGTACGAAAATAAAATATGTCAAGGTTTTAGCATTAGGGACCACAGGTTTCTTTAAGCCACACAACGTATTTTAGGTTTCAGCTTCCTATAGATTTTTGAAATGCAGAATTCAAAGGACACGGAAATTTTCATGAATTATAGTGCCGAAAGCCTGATATGTTAAAAACAAAATATAACCAGAATCTCAAACTGCCTTTGGAGATTGCAAACTTGTTCTTTCTTTTTATTAGTGAGAACAAATTGGGATCCCTGGACTATACCACTTGGGAGATGGTGGGAGAATAATTTTATCCACAAGTATTAAGTTGTTGCCTGAGGACAGCTGAGTAAACAGTTTGCTGAAGTCTGTTTGAGGACTGCCAGCTAGTTACACCCATAATTTCATCTCTATTAACAAAAACAACTCATACTGTCGCAGTGCCCTGCTTTGGCTACCCCATGGTTTGCAGTATTTGAGTTATGGAGTGTCACTTGAGTAACATTCTATAGCAGTGGGGGCTGTGTTTTGATGTCCTTTCATTACCCACCCCCACTCTGCTGATTTATGGCATACCATGCAGAGACCTAAATCAAAACTAGAAAATACGTGTGAAATAATGCAAAACAGAGTCGAAGGGTTGGCAATTCTGTAATTATACCTAAAGGGAAAATAATTATGTAATACCATATGGCAACAGTCAGTCTCAGAATAACAAATGTCCATACTGTAAATGCAGGATTCTGGGAAGAGCACACAGGGTGTTTGAAGAGAAGCTGAGGACAAGTTTGCCTTTTAAAAGGACCCATAGACAACTTTGTGAATGGTATTTGGCCTTTGATAGTACTGTTTATTAGCCCAGGAAATGAAGGCCGGAGTGAGTGAAGTGACATGGCCCTGACAAATGAATGCAGAAAAATGGGACAGGACTTGAGTTATTTATTGTTCCTGCTCTGTCTAGACTACTACCTGCAGTAGCCATTGGTTTTACCCACCAGTTGAAATTCTGGAAATGTGAAAGCAACTTATTGATAGAAAACAGAAAACTCTCCAAGTCTAAACAGCAACTATGAAATAGAAGCTAAGTCAACATAAAAAATAACTCATACTGGTGACCTTTCAGTTAAAAGAAGGAAAGAAAGATGAAAGAATTCCTTGGTAGTCAAGAGTACGAAACTCTCCTCTACAAGTTTATTAGTTAATGAACAACCTCTACATGGAGGGAAATAGGAGAGAAATGACCTGGGCAATATTCCAGCTGAAGTCTTTATGTTGGAAAACACACCTCCATCCACCTCGACATTGTAAAGCGTTGGCATGGGAACTGAAATGAAGGACGCTAGGAAAAGATTAAGTGACTAAGGCTCTTACTGGCCAACTTTCCTCACTAAAAATTAGCCCTGAATTTAAGTGTTCCCTAAGTCCTTCAAGTCACTAACCTGGTTGGAGCCATATTAGGGGCTGGTCTGAAATACTGTGAACTCAGTGGACAGGGGTGACAATTAAAACCATTCCAAACAGGGAAAGCAGAAAGATATGGGTTTCTTTAAGACAGGATTGGCAAACTATGGCCAGCTGTTTTTGTAAATAAAGTTTTATTGGAACACAGCCATGCCCATTCATTCAGGTATCACGTATGGCTGCTTTTGTGATACAATGGTAGGCTTGGGTAGTTCTTACAGACATCATATGACTGACTCACAAAGCCTAAAATATTGATTATATGGTCCTTTTCAGAAAACGTTTGCCCACTTCTGCTGTAATATACTATTTATCTGGAATAGCTTCAGTTATTAAAAGCTTTAATTAATAATTTATAAGAATAGCTCTAAAACTGGAAACCAACTTTAGGTAATTATGCTTAAGCTTTAGACCTGAAAACTACTTCCTTGAGTTCTTCATGGTTATTTTACTTTCCTAATTAAGGGTAAATATATGTTATATATTTGGTCCTAGCTTTGAAAAAATTTTGCTCTGCACAAAAGATCCTGGCAATAGAGGTAGGTAGAGTTCCACATAGTCAAACAAACAGTCTTAAAGTGATTTTTTTTTTGTTTGTTTTTGGAAACCAAGCTATTTAAGAAAGTATTAATTTTAAAAAACAGATATTAAAAAGGAAATGCTGAATGGGCGCTTAAAGGAGGAATTTACATGTTGAAAATAAGACTAACAATGTCTAAAGCTCTCGAAAACCCTGCCTTGTAGTCACATATTTAATCCTTACAATAACCCATACATTAGATACAATGCAGCCCATTTTAGAGCAATGAACCTGAGATCTAGGAGGTTACGAGAGCTGCCTATGACCACCAAGTAGCAAAGTGGTAGGCCAGAGCTGGTGCACAAGTGTCACTTAAATCCAAGTATTTTCCTTACTCTGCCCGCCCCAAAATGCAGTAGATGAGAGAAGGAGGACTTGCTCAGGAAAGGTGAGCTTCTGCATCCTAAACCTGAGTGAGCCTGGACAAGTCTTTTAGTCTCTCCAGATAGCAGTTAGTTTATCAAAAAATGAGTGCTAGTGTTCTATAAAGGCTTTACTGCTTTGCTCTATGAAACTTATAATTGAGGATTTTACTACATTTAGCTTGAAAATGTCTCTCAAAGAGAATTTAAAACCTTCCTGTGTTTCCTTTGTTACAACAGTTTTTGCTTGTTTCTTTTCAAGTCTTTGGTGGAATGAACGGGCAATTTCATGCCTGCACTACCCAGTTATTCAGTGCTGGGCGCGCCTTCTCCCACCGCTCTTCCATTTCTGCTTCACCTAAAACAAACAGTGGCGAGGCTCGAGCGGCGCCTGGGCTCCCAGCCTTTGGTAGTGAGTTGGGCTCCCCGTTCCACCTGGCTTCCTGAGCACCCTGCTCTCCATTCCCAGTGTTGCCTCAAGCAGTCACCCCTTGGGCTGCCCAGGTCACCCTGCAGCCCTCATTGCTCTTTTGCCCCAACTTCCAGCGGTTTTCGGCTACTAACCTGAACATTTTTTAAACCTGAGCCAACAGGTCCCAAGTGTCTAGCCGTCTGAAGCAGAGTCTCTCTAAAGAGAGATTCTGCCAAATTCAGGAAACTCCACCAGTATCTGCTCTCTCTGAGGAAGTGGATTTTATAAGTGAAACTATCCCATGTCCCTTAACGTCTGGGCTGGGCAGCCAAGGTAGGTGGTGGCCCGAGAAAGTGGGAGTGTTTTAGAGAATGACAACTGCCCTTTGCTGTCCAGTTTTTACCAGGCCAGGAAGAAAAAGGTGACTTTCCTCCTCATGGGAAATTTATTGCCAAGGGAAAATAGAGACTCAACACATCAGCCACACAGAGGAAGGCTGGGATGCTCCCTGAGTTTATGGAGCACACTTACTAAACCTTTTTTAAATGACCAAAGAAAAAAGTTACAAACAAGAAAAATGTCTTCTCCTGAGAGATTGGCCCCACCCTCCCACCCACCCACGGGGAACTATAAATTAGATATTACAGGCACAGCAAATTGGCAGCTGATGCTTTAAACATTATGAAGTGCCAGGTCTGGACCTCAATACAGATACTTTTTTGTTTTAGGTACTTGCCATTTAAAAATACACTTAGAAGTTTCTGGAAGGGGTAGCGCTGTAAATGAAATGCCCCACACAGAGAGATCATGACATGAGAAGGGTTGCCCTGCTCCTCACACGTACCGGGAGCCTGATAAGAACCATCTCATGTGTTCATGCAACGACTCCCTGAGGAAGGCATCGTTGTCTTTCTTTTAAAGAGGATGAGGGGCCCTAATGGAGGAAGGACGCCCCCAGACTTCTCGTGAATCCCGTGTCCACATCAGGCAGCATCCAGAGGACAACCAGAAAACACATTGGATAAAATCCCCCTATTCTAAGGTGGCTCCCTTGATGAGGGAACGTAAACTGACTCTGAATTTTTTTCATTGAAAAGTCTTGAAAATGTGACCCTGGAATTTCAAGCCCTGTATCTCTCCCCTAAAGATGGAGCCATTTTTTTCTCTCTGCTTACAGAACCACTGGGGTGTCAGAGATCAGTTCATCCAAACACCCTTACAGAACAAAGCAAGAAATTAAAGCATTGAGATGTAGGGTGATTTATTCAAAGAAAGAAACTAATTAGTGGCAAAACTCTTATTTTTGGCTCTACCACTATTTCATACTTAAAAAAATTACAGCTTTACTGAGGTATAATTGACAAAATTTTGTGATTTTCAGGTGCACCACAGGACGATTTGCTATCATATATATTTTGTGACATGATTACCACAATCAACTTAATTAACACCTCACCTAGTTACCCCTTTTTGTTTTGTTTTATGATGAGAACACTTAAGCACATTTCAAGTATACCTTGAGTACTGTTAACTGTAGTCACCATGCTGCATATGGGATCTGAATTTATTCATTCTATAACTGAAAGTTTGTACCCTTTGACCATCTTCTCTATTCTCCCATCCCCCTGCCCCTGGTAACCACCACATATATATTTTTTAAACATAAGAGTGAACACTCCAGTTTGTGAGAGAAAAGATGTACTGCTAATGTCGCAACTAAAAATTTAAGGACCACCCACTTCAAAAACCATCATTAGATGATCAATTCATAGCATGATCATTGATGTAACTGTCTTTACCACAATTGGGTTTTCTCCCCTTTTCTTTAGTTATTTTTCTGGTCATGAAAACCAAAACATTAAGTGGACTAACAGATAAAAAATGGATCATGATGAAAGGTACAAATGTACCCACTCATATAAAAAAAAGTTCCATTCTTTCTCTTTCTCATACTTTACTAAGGAGGGTTGGCCAACAAAGATGTTCCTTGGTAGAATTATAAGAGAATGTGGAAATGCTCTGGGTTTTGTTGTTTCTCTTTCCCTACCCAACTCTAGTGGTGAGATTAAGCTTACTAGTAGCTAGAAGCTCCAGTATTACAGGCTTTCATAGATGCCCAAGAAAGACTGCAATGAGCTTGTTCCTCCAAGTGGCCACAGATCTGCTCTGGATGGCAAAACAGACCAAGTTGAAGCTGAAGCCCTGTCATATTAACTCCACTCTTCTCTCCCCTTTCTCCACCGGCTCCCCTTCCTCATGGCTCACTTTTTCATAACTCTCACCTTCTATACTAAATTTTCCATTAGAGACAGGAATGCGGCTGTTGGAAGAAGTTGTTGTAGGGGCCTGCTCCACTCTGAGCTCAGGCTCCCTGTCTGTCGCGGGCCAGCAGTGGCTCACTCTGGACACAGTTGTACAGAACTATGGAGCCTATTGCCAAGAACCATCCCAGTTTCACCATTGGCAAGAAATGTCTCTTTTGTGGTCATGGAAAGGTCTGATTCTAAGGCTGGAAGAATGCTCTAGTGATCCTACTTGTCTTTTAAATCTGATCTCAATTTCCAGCTTCCTGGATTGTCCTATTGGAATTGTCTGTCTTTTAAATCTGATCTCGATTTCCAGCTTCCTGGATTGTCCTATTGAAATAAAAAATGGCTGTCTTCATTTTAGCCATGGTCATACTCTAACTGCCCTATAAGGACAAAAAATTACATTTCAGTCAGGTACCCAAGGAGACTTCCCTGATGATTCTCTTTAATAAGGAGTTAACTCCAAGCCTTATTCTATCCACCGGAAGGTACAGTTAACTCAACTATTTCAAAGCATCAACAAGACATACACCTTGGGGCCCTACGACATATTCTGTTTTTTAAAAAATTATTCTTCATTAAATTAATTTATATTTACTAATTTTATTTTATTAGTATTTATTTGGTACATAATTATACGTATTTATGGGTATATGTAACATGTCAATATATGTATACAATGTGTAATGATCAAATCAGGATAATTAGCATATCTCTCATCTATCAAACATTCATTTCTTTGTGTTAACATTCAAAATCTGCTGCTGTACCTATTTGAAAATCTGCAATAAATTGTTGTTTATTATAGTCACCTTGTAGTGCCACAGAACACTAGTCTAGGACACGTTTTTTACAAGCACTAGAGGTTCATAAGCAAACAAGATATCCACTGAATGAGCTATAGTTTCAGGCCTGGTCAAAGCATAGCTAATTTATCCAGTTGAGTTTTAATAAAAGAAAAAGAAAAAATGTTGTTCTTTTACTATCTTCCCAACTCTTTGCCTGTTAATGCTTTATCATTCAGACCCCAAATAAATGTGTTTCCTTTAGTGTACCAGAGGAATGAGTTTACACTCAAGGACTCACAGCTAGTGGTCAATGCTCACTCATTTATATAACAGAGTTTTCTGAATGGTCTGGAAGAATGAGAAAGGTCTTGCTTTGCCCGAGGGGCTGCCTGAGGAGAGGCTGAGGCTGAAGGAAAGCTATCCTAAATGCAAGCAGCTCAACTCAGATCTAATCAACTAGATGAAACTACCTCCTTCTGGGAAGATGGCCAACACTGTTAACTCATTTGAGTGGGAGGAATTTCTCAAGTGGCATCATCAATGGTGGGACTAGATTGGACTCATGACCAAATTTCAGTGTTTGTAAGACCTTCTTGACACTTGTCAGGAAGTGAGTGCTTAAAACCTCATCCACAGAAGCAGAACTGGAAGAGAACCTATGCAAGAATTCTTCTTCCCTCAAACACACACACACAGTACCTTCAAAAGGTTGCCATTTTATCCTCTAATTCAGACAGGAAAAGTTCCCTGACTATAAAGCAACTTCTTCCACCTCAAGGTAAGATCTGTTTTCCTGAAACTCTAACTCCCTTCTCACACTGCAGATTTTCAAATATATGAGGATAATTATTTCATCTCAGATTAGATATTGGGGTTCCATCATCCTTTTTTTTGTGACATGGTTTTCAGATTCTTTACCCATTTGAGAAAGAAAACTATTCCCCCAAGAACTTCATCTCACTTCCACATTCATGAGCAGATGAAAGCATTGGGTGTAAGTGCCTCCAATTGCCACTGTCCCCTCCTTAAATGGTATCCATCTGCAAACCCTCTTACTTTCCACAAGAGTCTTTTTCTTCACTAGCCTGTCTTCTTTCCCTTCTGAGGAAACAGAAGAAGGTCCCTTCCCTGCACATTCACCCCCTACTCTGGAACATGCCCCTCAGACTCTGCCTCCCCACCCCAACTCCTGTCTACAAGGCACATCCAACTCAGACTTAATTCTGCATTTTTAGCCAAATAGGGCTAAAATATGCAAAATCCTTAGATTTTATAAATGATAGAATTAGTTCCTATCCTTATGGGGATCTTAGACCAATTTTCAAATACTTTAAAGACTGTTCTTTCTTTAAATTTTATCTTTGTCTTTTCATAATGGAAATTAAACTTTATCATATTTGTAAGAACTGAATGGATGCAAAAATCCCTTGTGCAGAGATTAAATTCTAGATGGATCATGGGAAGGACCGATGTTTAGAAACTACTTTTAGGTTGAAGAGGCATTAGGCAAAATGAGCTGCTTTTGTTCCCCAGTTGGGAGCTTGGAAGCTTGGGCTGGATGGATACAGATGCGATGCAACTTAGTAATTGTGAAAATGACTTTCTTTTATGTGGAAAAAGCCACAGAAATAAAATTGAGGATGGTAGAAAGGGTGTGTGCCGATTTGCAGTGTGTCGCTTCTCTCCCCATTCCCACTCCATGTTAAAGGTTAAAAATGCTCCTCAGTGTATGCCAATATCTGCCCTGATTCATCTTGGAAACTCTGAGTCTTTAGGGCCATGTTGGGCTGAATGGTTATTTTGCAACATCTCTAATCAGAACCACTGCCAAGTTCAAAATAAACTCAGGTTTGTTAAGTTATTTTCTAATAGGAAGATTCCTGAAAAGATAGTGCAAAGCTCAAAGAAAATAATGTCATGAATATATCAACTCAAGAGAGGCTGGCTAACCCATCTTAGAATTTCCATTCTCTTTCTCTCTATGTTCGATATGCTTTCCAATTTGTCAGTGTCACACTGCCTGTAGCCCAGTCTGGTACACATAATTACAATGAAAATAAAAAACAAAAATAAATGCATACATGGAACAGGGCAGCAAGAATTTTAAAATGGGCTAAGTTACTTGGGTACATAAATTGTGAATGAAGTCATTTTGATTTTGTAAAAATTAAGTCATGACATGAAGACAAAACACAAGATCTTGGGCAATTCTCCTTCTAGGATTTTTCCCCTAGTATGCAGTTTAAAACCAAGTGTGTATTACTCTTTGTTAAAACAAAGACTCAAACAAAAGAAGCAGAACTTGACATCAGTATAGAAATAATGTTTAGCGTCCAATTCTGTGTTTGAACTGGAGTGCAGATGACCTGTCCTTACTCCATACTTCAGAGAGGTTTGAAGTGTGATATCACCCTGTCCCCAAGAGTTATCTTGTACATAGAACCTCTCTTTGATGAAGACACACGATCATCCCTGCCTTTTCCCGTGGATACTAGTGGGTGATGGGATCAGAAAGTCAGGAAAGTTTACCAATGTGGCTGAGCTGGACACCTGAGGGAGTCTTCCTCCTCACTATTTAGGGCTTAGTTACCCACAAGGGCCATTCTGGTTTCCATTTCAACAACCAAGCAGCCACAGCCTGAAGGGCAGTCTTCAATCTGGGTCGACATTCCAGCCCGTGGGTGCTCCAATGTTTGCCATGCACTGACACATTCAACTTTTCCTGCACATTCCAGGGTAAGCTGGACAACAATTACAAGGCATTTGAGAGATCTGTTTAAATCCCTTGCTGAGAACCAGTTGAGAAATTTAACTAAAATTCTGGGAAACGAAGCATAACCTTGTCATCTTTTCAACAGACTTTGCATGTTAATGCTTTATCATTCAGACCTCAAATAAATGTGTTTTCTTTAGTGTGACAGAGGACTGAGTTTACACCCAAGGGCTCACGGCTAGTGGAGTTGGGGCGGGGAGGCAGAGTTTGAGGGAGCTTGTTCCAGAGTAGGGGGTGCTTGTGCAGGGAAGGGACCTTCTTCCCTTTCTTCAGAAGGGAAAGATGACAGACTGTTTTTTATTTCTCATTTATCTTTAAAGTAACTTTAAAGAGATGGTGCATAACAAAGAAAATAAGCATAGTGGCTAAACTAATGAATTATATGTAATGAGTTCTCATTATGCCCTAGGGATGTGCTAAGGAACATACAAATATTATCTCATTTTTTTTTTAGTTGATGTGTATTAGGACTTCTGTTTTACACTCTGAAAAAATGTAGCTCCAAGAGATCTAAGTAACTTGCCTAAGGTATTAAACACACTAGTCTGATTTCAAAGCCCTTGCTTTTCCCTGCCGCACCACCCAAAGAAAATGTCTGAGATTAGAGTCAGTGACAACTTGATATTAATTCTCGAACTGTCCTGCACACGGGCAATAGCTGCAGTTCTCTGCCACCAATGGGTAGAGAGCAGGCTCGAGGCATGGTGGGGGCCCATATTTGGAAACATACTTTATCTGTTATCATTTTCTGTCTAAGGGCACATTACAGTGTGCCCACCGTAAATACTGCTGGTCTTGAGATCTGGTGTAACATCTGAGAAACCTCTGCTGTGAATACCAACAGGCAAAGAAGAGATTTCTTCTCTGCAGCCATTCGTATCTCTACCAAATATTTTCGTCTTTTTTTATTGCTGGTGCTAGCCCTCTCCTTCAGTTTTTTTCCCCCTTTCTCCCTTCCTGTCTACCTATATCATGGCTCCATGGGAGACAGAAAACATACATGTACACACAAAGCTACGAATAAGGCAAATGTGGTTTTGTGGCATTTGCTCCACTTGAGAGAGGAATACCAAACGAAGAAAGAACAACAACTAAATATTTCACTACACACCTAATACACATTCATGTTTGTTGGAATGGAATGTTGATAAATAATATTGAATAAATATTTTCACATTTTAAAGTGCTGGATTTGTACAAGGGTAAAACACTTAGGAAGTACAGACTCTTATGTTTCTGACCTTGCACCAAGGTCTAGATTGTGTTCAAGAAAATCATACCACACCAGACTGTGAGCCATGTGAATATATCCACCATCACCTCAAATCCATACATAGTTTCTATCATGACACGTATGATCACAATAGATGAAAGGTAAACACACATTTATAAGAAAAGTCTGCTTTGGGACCCTTTTAGATATTTTGTAATTCAAAAGAATAAAAATGTCAGTAACATAAATACAGTGAGATAATCAGCTCATCTTTGTCATCATTTTGGTGATCCATATTCTAGATGTTTCATGGCTGCATAAGCAGAGAATTGGAGTATGAATTTCGGAGTTTGAGGCTGCATACCTACATCTATGAGAGACTATGAAAGGCGGCAAAACTGTGGTCACCTAAGACACTGAAGTTACTAAAGATAATTTATGAGACGGTAACAAAGTGAAAGTGACCCTTCTAAATCTCATTATTCTCAGAAATAAATTCTTTAAACCATGTAAACAGGAATTGTCATCGACATTTATATGTAGACTCTAGTGAAAAGAATTAAATCCTCAATTACCTATGAAAACATATAAAACTGACCCAAGTTTTAAAAAATCTGATAGTCAATCCATGGAGAGGAGCATTTATTTCTCATAGGGAGATAGTAGCTTTACAAATCAATATTTGCAAAGAGTTTTGAAAAGTGGGAAAGCCTAATATGAAAATAGAACCCAAATTATAGCTCAGACTTTCTTTCAACCCACCGAAATCAAATAGTCTAAGACCATCCAACACGAATATTTGCACCAAGCAAATATTTGTGCAAATAAACTCTCCGGTTTTAGTTTTGATCCTTCTCTTAAACATTATGAATTTTATAGCTTGGCAAAGTGTTGTGTTTGCCATCCAAAACCCAAATGGCTAATGGTAAATTAAAAGTGTAAACTTTTGGGTCAGTTTTTTTTTTTACAGGAGAATTAGGGCCTTTCCTGCATTTCAGCTCTGGCTTATGTGTAAAACTGTATAACTTGTTATAATGTTAATGTTATATCATTTATATTTTGCTTGAAATTTAAAAAAAATAATAAGAGAACATTAAAGAACCTAGGGGTGTATTCAGGTCAGTAAAAAATAATTTTTGTATCTACTGAGTAGTCCTTGAAGAAAACTTCTTCCAGCACCATGAATGTAATTTCTATACTACTGACAATATATAATATCCTTAGGCCAGGCATGGTGGCTCACACCTGTAATCCTGGTGCTTTAGGAGACCAAAACATGAGGATTGCTTGAGGCCAGGAGTTTGAGACTAGCCTGGGCAACATAGTGAGACCCTCTCTCTACAAAAAATACAAAAATAATTAGCTGGGCATGGTGGTGCACACCTGTAGTCCTAGCTACTTGAGAGGCTGAGGTGGGAGAATCATTCAAGTCCAGGGTTTTGAGGCTGCAGTGAGTATGATCATGCCATGTACTCCAGCCTTGGTGACAGAGCAAGACCCTGTCTCAAAAAAAAATAATAATAATAATAATATCCCCACAGCGATTACATCATGCTTTCAAATCTCATGAATAAGAACAAAAAGTAAGGAAACTTTGCTAATGGAAAAATATCTGTTATAAATCACCAAAACCTCAGAATAAGGGCAGGATAATTTACAGGAGTACTGAGAACCCACTGAAAATATATTCAAGGGCCCTTCTTATGTTCAGGTCTGTGCTATAAAGTGGCAAGGCACAGAGGAAACGTTATATGTTGTAGCAAGACTCGCTTTTAAAGGCTAAAGTGTGGTAGGATAATTAATTGAAGGTTTAGGGTAAAGTATTTAACTGCATGGGGACCTTCACAAGTTGCTTGACAGTATTAAAGCAACAAGCCCAAGGCTTTTATATTCCTAAAGACTCAAATTTTCTCCCCAAGCTCCTAAGAAATAGTGGACTGTCTTTAAAAGCAACTTACAGAAAGAAAGGAGGACTCTCTTTGAAATAGAAGGTATGGCAGTCCTAAAAAGAAACAGGCACTTGTGTATAATGTATATACACGTCACAATTTGAATACCTATTAGTAGCTACTAAGGATGCAGAGGCACATCTAAGTGCTTTTCTTATTTGAGATGATTTTCTTCTTTGCATGTTTTTATATTAAAGAAAGAGTGGAATAGAAAATCAGGAGAAACTCACAGGAAAGACAAGGGAAATTCTGATCTGATCACCCTCAAGATGCCCTGGAACCAACAAGATGCACAAGTTATACTTTAAGCAAGGTTAGGCCTCTTTCTGTTACAATTCCCAATTTTTTGGTAAAGCTCCTGAAAATCTGTGTCTTGTCTGGGTAAATGCTGTGGAGGTAAGAAACAAGGCCCACATCTTAAGTGGAATACTTTTATAAATAAGATCTTTTGGGACACTGTATTTATTCTGAACAATGATTAGAGCCAAGAGTCTTTAATGGATTTGTTATGTGTTTCAGCTATTAAACAAAATGGAGCATTGAAGATGTGTGAAGAAATAAATGAATGAAAAGAAATGCACTTTCTCTCAGTTTCATATTGTATCGAGGTCATCTGACAGCCTCAAAAAAAAGAAAAAGAAAAAAAAAAAACCATAGCCAAGAGTTTAAGTTTAGGACAGATGACTATTTTGCTTAGGGAAAGATCAATCCACTTAGGTTTATTGGATTTTTGTTTTGTTTTCTTTTGTGTTGGGTAGAAGGGAAGGTTTAAAGCACAGAAGGTTCTCATGCATGGTGATAGAGAAATACAAACAATTATCAAATGGTCACTCAAATTTTATCACAGCATTATTTTGCTCTAAATTTCATAGAATTAGTTGTGTTGTAGCAGGATATTTGCATCTAATGCTGCACGTACAATTTTAAGTCCTTGTCAACATTAGCAGCAGCAAATAATAAAGTTACAAAATAAAGGGTTGCTGGAAAATCCAAACCACCAAGCACAATATATTGAAAATTCCTTTAAAAGTAATGTAACCTGAAAATGTGAGCACATCATTCTGACATCTAAATATTTAAAATTCTAACCATACAAAATTTCTTTCTGTAAAATGTTTATTTTATCTTCAGATTTACTTTGAAATGTGGGGTTTGAAGTTCATCGACCCAAATTGACAACCAAAATAATAGTTTATGCCAGATGTGGTAACCTTAAGTTTAAAAAACAAATACACAAATATGGGTTGTGCCATTGTAACGCTGCATGAATATCTGGGAAAATATATAAAGCTTTCATTTAAATGACTTAGCTGGTAAGTTTGCCTTTCTCCTCATTACAAACTTTCTTCTGCTGGAAGTTTCAGAATGAGATCAGTTTTATCCCCAACCAGTTATTTACATTGAGATTCACATGTTTCACACTACTTTATCTTTATGTTGCGAACTCATTTCTAAAAATTATTCTGCTTCCCAAAGCAAGCAGGATCACACTAGTTTTAAAAATGATTTAAATATTTAAGGAATCACTGAAATCTTCTCAAGTCTTGGCATATATAATTGGCTTATTTTCCTGAATTATCACCTTTGACCCCTCCACACACAAATATTTCCATAAAACAAATGATACACACACACACACACACACACACACATCCCTCACATCATTTAAAGTGATTACACATAGGAAAGAATTTGGACTCTCTCCCAGTCACAAAATGTTAGCTATATGACTTGCTCCAGCCAAAAAAGCCCCATACAGTATTTGCATTTCTGATATTGGTACGATGCCGTGAAAGAGAAATCTTTAATTGAGGCTTGAGTTTAAATCTAATTGGATAAATGTACTGGTTGGGGATTTATGCCATGTTCCTGCTCTGTAGCTAAAAAGTTGCCCCCTCAGAAAACATTCCCCTGAGACCCATCTCAGGAATGAAGCCTTGTCTATTGACTTGCCATTTGCCCTGAGCAGAAACCTGTGAATTTCAGAACAAGAAGGATCTTGAGACCTTCACTCCGACACCCGCAATTTACAGTTGAGGAAAGTGAAGTCCAGAGCAGTTAATATCTTACCCAAGGGTCCATCGCTGGTGAGCAGCAGCTGTGGAACCCCATCTAGGGTCAACTACATACAAAAATATATTTCTTTCCACCTTGACTCTCCCCTTAAACTTGGGATCATTGGGCATATGCTCATTTATTTACAATTTCTGGATATTTGAATTCCTTTTCTTTGTCTCACTTTCTAACCCTGTCAATCATATACTGTTGTGTGCTTTGTCAGTTCTCTACCTGACGATATTCATTTTGGTTTAAATGTGTGGATAGCCGGAGGAAGCGCATGTAGGCAAAGTCTCTAAGGGTTTTCCTGTAACATGAGCCTCCTATATGTGCTACGCTTTGTGCAAGTAGAAGAATATATGCTCCTACTACTTGGAAATATTATGGAAGATTAATTAGTTAGCATTTTCAAAGTGCTTTGAAAATGAAAAGCACTATTATTACACCTAATGAAATTTCTCTCTTAGATTCCGCAACAATTTCATTTGTATTTGCTGCTGTGCCAAGAAAATAACTGTAGGCTCACAGAGACATTACTGTGAAAGCCAGTCATAGGTAGGCTTTACTACTTTCTTTTTCTTCTTCTTTTTTATTCAATGCTTTTATTACTCCTTCTTGTCTCTAAACACAGACCTGCCCTGAGTGGGCACATATTCATAAGAGAATGCTATATTTTGGAGGGAAATATTTCTTCATAAATAGGTTTTTGTGTGTGGCAAAACAGTCTACTAACAAGGTAAATGCTGATTCAGAAAGAGACAGCCACAAATGATAATATATGCCCTACATGAGTTATGGTAAGACTGCCCATCAGATGAACACAAACATGCGGAGGCAGCATCGGTTGAAGAAAAAACTTTGGCAGGTCTGAATCATTCTCTGGGATCTTCAAGGTGGTATAATCAGTGGGCCCTTGTAAACATCTTTCCCCACTGGCTAGGCTACTGTCTTAACCTGCCATGATGCATCAGAACTGTAGAATAATTTGGTTGGTCTGGTTTTGCTGCCACATGTAGATACCCAATTGAGTCTCCTGGGAGAGGAAAGAGGTGTGTGGGGAAACTCAATCTGATTTAGAAATCAACTCTCCTGTAGGTAATGTTGTGTTCTAATAAAGACCTGGAAATACAGACTCAGAGGGTATAATTAGCAGAGTTGGGAAATCAACAAGCCAGAAAACTGTTGATAGAGAAGTATTTCTATTGTTCAAAACATGTTTTGTGCATTAGGAAAACAAAACCAAATTCTTTCTCTTGGCGTCTACCTTTAAAAGCACATCAGCTAATGAAGGGGGCATCAGAACTGACATCATGGCATTAACCAGCAGCCTGAGACCTATTTGTATGTGGTTAGAAGCTAAATTCTAATTTACTGCCCATGTCATTAGTCAAACTCACATTAGTGATGTGAATTGGCAAGCTTTCCATTTCTTCCACATAATAAACAACCACGGCATACCACAGACAAACATAAACCTGAGCATGTCACACATTCTGAAAAGTTGCGTGGTATGTAAATTCCAAATGGTTCCCACTGCCCAGAGCTGCGGCAGCAGAGAAAAGCTGGAGTGATGACACGAGACCTTCCTGTTTTGCATTCTCTATACAAAGGCAAGTGACCCTCCATCCTCGCCTGAGCACAAATGAATGGGAATGGTTTTGCAGCAAACTTACTTAGCTAGAAATGCTGGCAACCAATGCTCCACTTGGTAAACTCAGCAGGAAATAAAGAAAACTAAGCCCTCATTTAAGGAACATAGTTTGATCTGCATGAATGTGTACATTGTAAAAATCTAATTGTGCATCTATAATTTCTGGTAGACTGCACATATCTACTGTAAAACCCACAAAGAACACTGCACATCTGCTCTGGCTATTGAAATTCTGAGACAGCGTTCTTCAAATACATTTTTCTAAGAAGCCCCATGTAAGTATAAATAACCAAACTCAGAGTTCACATAGCTGGCAGAAGTAAACATCAAAATTGGGTAAATTTATATTTTATTGCTTGTTCTCTTTGTTTTGGAGCTATTTCCTTTTTACTTGACATGATCTAACATATCTTAGCTCAAACTCAGCTGAGTTTCCAGTACAATCTCTGTGGCATATATGTTATCAGAAGTACACCAGGTAGGTATTCCAAAAGCTCAATTAATCTTTATTTACTTGTTTTTTGAACAAAAAATATGTGTCTGCGTGCCTGTACCTGTATACACACACAAACACATGTATCCATTGCCTGAATAATCTCCAGGGGTTTCTACCAAAGTGTTTCCTAACAAGAGAAGCAGTTGAGTTAATCACCCCCATACAAATTAGGGGTGCTCAGGACTGAACCATTTGCTCTTCCATTGGCCTCCTGACTGTGTGTTTTTCATTAATGCTATTCCCTCAGTGGAATTACTGACGTCTCACTTTAAATACACTTTTCTGTAAGTCAACTAACAAAACTAATTAGGAACTGTGAAAGGCCATATTGATAGAGTACAAATATATAAACCAGCTCTGACAATTTCTCCTAGAGGACTCCATACATCATGGGACTTTGTGCTCGACTTTGGGTTCTTTTTGGCTAGCATATAAATAAACTAAAGTAAAATCTCTCATGTTAAAGTGACTTTAAAGAACCACACGTTTCCTGAAAGAACCATTTTCAAATTGCATATAAACATGTTTAATCAATCTTTACTGCTCTAAGTGGCTGGGGGATTTCACAGGGGCAGGACTCAGTGACCTACTGACTGGTAGTGCAAACCCTGGTGGTGTCTACATGGGGCTATGGTTTGATCTGTCTCACTGAATTGACAAGCTAGTTCAGTCACAACTAATTTGACTGACTTTCCCCACCGGACCTCCCTCTATTCACATACCAGCCCTCACACTTCCAACAAATCGGTGGCTTGAACATGACATAGACTCAGCCAAGGATAACAACAACAACAGTGACAACAAACCTTTCAAGTGCCACAGTGTATGGTAGCATTGCCAAACCACGGCCAAGCCGCTGAGCAGGAATTTCTGCAGGCTACAGAACAGCCATTTTCTTCTTATGTGAACATCCTGAGAGGCAGGAAAGGACTCAGATACCTGTGAGCACAAATCCTGTCCTGCCATTGACTCGTTAGTAGGTCTACCTGAGCCTCGATATCTTCATGTCTGAAAGGAGAGTACAACAACCAGGCCAACAGAGACAATGATGGCTGCTTCTACTGCTGTACCATGACAATATGACTACAATACTACCACCACTCTTACTGTGTTCTGCACTGCTGCTGCTGCTGCGCCCACACTACTGCTACAAAACGACTACTGTTACAATAGCACTACCATTGCTGTAATACTACTGCTACTGGGACTACAGATTGAACACCCCTAATCCAAAAATCCAAAATCCAAAATGGCCCAACATCTGAAACATTTTGAGCATCACCGCGATGCTCAAAGGAGATGCTCACTGGAGGATTTCAGATTTTGACTTTTCAGATTAGGGATGCTCAACCGGTGTAATGTAAATATTCCAAAATCTGAAAAAAATCTGAAATCTGAAACACTTCTGGTCCCCAGCATTTAGGATAAGGGATACTCCACCTGTACCATCACCACCACTACTACCACAATTCATACTATTACTTCTTTTTTTTTTTTTTTGAGACGGAGTCTTGCTCTGTCACCCAGGCTCAGTGCAGTGGCGTGATCTCGGCTCACTGCAAGCTCTGGCTCCTGGGTTCACGCCATTCTCCTGCCTCAGCCTCCCGAGTAGCTGGGACTACAGGCGCCCGCCACCACGCCTGGCTAATTTTTTTGTATTTTTAGTAGAGACGGGGTTTCACCGCGTTAGCCAGGATGGTCTCGATCTCCTGACCTCGTGATCTGCCCGCCTCAGCCTCCCAAAGTGCTGGGATTACAGGCATGAGCCACCGTGCCCAGCCCATACTATTACTTCTATATAGGTTTCTTTCCTCATGTTGCTGCCCATTGTTACAGTGGCATAGTAGTTAAAGGCATGAACTCTAGGAGTGTGGCTGCTCGGTTTAAATGTCAGCTCTGCTACTTACTAACTGTGTGACTTTGGGTAAACCATTTACTCTTTCTGTGCTTCAGTTTCCTCCTCTGTAAAATAAGAATGGTATTAGCAGATGTCTCATATACGACGGTTGCGAGAATTTACTGTGTTACTATTTACAAAGCATTTAGAACAGTGCTTGGCTCAGGGGAAATACTATGTAACAGTACGCTAAAAAAATTAGGGTGAGTAACTGAAAACTGGCAATAATGCAACATGATGGGCAGTAACTGTGTTTAACTTGGTACCTATAAACAATATGTTGCAGATTCTCAAAATTTACTTATTAACAGTTGACTATACAATCTTTGAAATGTGAGCGCCTGAACCAATCAATCATCCAACAAATTGTAACCAGCAATTTAAACACCCTGCAAAAATAGCCAGTTGATCTCTCTCTGCCTCTCTCTCTCTCTCAAAACCTGCTGTTGTCAATTTCCAATAAGTGTCTCTGAACATTAGTTAAAGCATGTGCCCAGTTCAGAGTACACCATTGTGGCTGACACTAATAACCAATATGGTGCTTGAGGAGAGGGCCGCTTTGGAGAGCACCAGTGGTAGTCATGGTGGTTAGGGATATTTTGAGTCCTCAATGAACACTTCACACTTCTGGAAGATTTCTAAGTGAAAAATAAACTGGACTCCATCCTGCTGAAATGCAAGGGCTACTTAGACTCAATGTGCTGTTTTTTTTTTTTTGGAGATGGAATTCCCCTCTTGTTGCCCAGGCTAGAGTGCAGTGGTGTGATCTCAGCTCACTGCAACCTCCGCCTCCCAGGTTCAAGCGATTCTCCTGCCTCAGCCTCCCTAGTAGCTGGGATTACAGGCATGTGCCACCATGCCTGGCTAATTTTGTATTTTTTTAAAGTAGAGACGGGGTTTCTCCATGGTGCTCAGGCTGGTCTCGAACTCCCAACCTCAGGTGATCTGCCCGCCTCGGCCTCCCAAAGTGCTGGGATTACAGGTGTGAGCCACCGTGCCCAGCCACTCAATGTACTTTTGCTGAGTGAAAAAGGGAGATGGCAAGCCCTTCATTTGGCTGCGACTTGCCTTCCTCGACACTTCCACTTCTCTCTTATAGGCCACAGCATCACTGAACCTCAGCCAGGCCTGTGAATGAGTTCCAGCAGGTAGGTAAATCCCCCGAGGTAGGAGGGTTTGCATACAATAGTGCTATATATGCTGTAAATTCTGGGCTTCTGAACCTTCCTATGTTCTGTATTTTTAAAAATCTATAGCAAATATAAATTTCTTGAGAAGATAGAATACATTGTATTGTTCTTTATGCCCGCCCCACCCTACCCCGGGACTATCATGGAACCCAGCACATAGTAGGTTTGATCTAAATGAATGAATGAATGCACTTGAAGATCTCTGAAACACTTCAGAAACACTCTTTGGCCACTAACACTTACAGATTTTAGGGCCTACCTGAATAATAATTGGGTCCTTGGTTCACAGCATTCATTTCATTCTTTTCATGGCGAGCAGCTCTCAGGATCAATGTTCAGCAGCCATCAGCAGAAATGAACAGGGTTCATCGTTTAATCATTGTTTAACACTGCCTAGAGTGGAACTGTAATATTCCTAGCTTAGTAAGTTTTTTTCTTATTACTATTAGTTGATATGTGCTTCTTGTGCATCACTGCCAGATTTATCTTCCAAAAAAACTGATTTCATCGTGTCCCTCCCTACTCCTAATCCTCCAGTGACTCACTATTGCCTAAAAGATAATGACCATTTCCTTAGGCTGGCATTCCTGAGCCTCTATGGTCTGGCTGGGACCCAAAGTATCTTGCCAACTGGACCTCCCTTCTCTCATAGGAATTGACTTCTCAACTCAACAGGTCTACTGATGATCCCTGAACAGGGAGAGGTGGTCATCTGTCAGTCGACTGAGCTAGTCCAGAGTTTGTATCTTCAGCAGCTGTTATAAATACGGCACCAATACCCTTCTCTTTACACTATTGTTCTCAACTGGAGATGCCCAAGCCTGTTCCTCCTTCAGTGACCTCTCATCTTCTGCTTCCTTTACAAAGTATTTTCTCCAAGTCTTCCAGATCCAGTAGCAGGTCCTTCCCTGAACTTCTAAAGCACTTTCTCTTGGCTATAAACTTACAGAGGGACCATGTAACCCCCATAATGCCTATCCTAACCAATCTTATGCTCTCATTTATCCCCAGTACTGATACCCAAGATGAACTCTATAGGATTTGGTTAATTTAAAGAGTCAATCTTACCCATTCTTGAAGTTTTGGTTCAGAGAGTGCTATCTTTTTACTTAATGCGAGTTTATATGCTCAGGCCTCAGGTGTGAAAGTTTTCCAGGAAAGATTTTAAAAGCTGTTGTTATTCCTGGTATCATGGCACCTTCCAAGGCAGATACAAGCAAAGGCGTAGTACCCATATCTTGGAAATATCTTATTATTTAAATTGGATGCTGCTTGATGCTGACTGGAGAATAAAGGATCCCTCTCTATTGTAAAGCAGGAGGTAAAACGTTTGGAGAGCTTATTGGGGGAAAAAAAAGAGTGAAGTTTTTTCATGTTCTCACAGCTCTAATGAGGATCGTGTTGGCTGGGAGCTACGTGCCAGCATGCTCTTGGCAACCAACTTATTCCTCTAAGTTAGTAGGAAATGTAGGTAAAATATGAACTGACATGCATCTTTAACCAATATTCTGGTGACTTAGCCTGCCACTGCTTGGGAGGGAAGCACACCACAGTGGGGTCCCCATAACTACAGCAGCGATCCCTCATGGATCTTGTGGCAGGGCAGTAGGAAACGGAAGGTACCATCTTTTCCTTTGAGAACAGGTGGCCAACGTAGATGTTTAAAGAAGCAGAAATTATACACTGCTGAGGTTCTGGCCACATGCTACTCCTTGCAGTTCTGGCTCTCCTTTGGAACACTTGAATTATTCATGACACACAGTGCCATCACTACACACAGGCAAGTGGGGCTGCAGCCCGGCACAAACAAACCGAGGGCCTTTGGTGTGAGAATGGCAGTTCTGTGGCTTTAAGAAAGAGCTGGTGCACCACACTGCAGAAAGCCTGTAGATTCAGCTGTGTTCTTACCTCACTCTCCCTTCTGCAGTGACCTCACCCGGCCACAATGCTACTATTCATGCAGATGGAGTGGAACACTGCATACAAAAGTTTCATTTAGGCACATAAACATGAATATTTAGGCCTGCTTGATTAAAAATGAAAGCTAGATATTTGGCTTTCTGTAATTTGATGAGGTTGAGGGAGGTTTTTTTTTTTTTAATGAGTTTAATTTTAAAGACTAACCTTGAAAAGAATAATATAAAAAAGATCGTCTTCTTTTTTTCTGAAAAACTGTATCCCTGGTAGGGTTAACCTTCTCTCATTCTTTCTTGCATCATAGTCCTTACATCCTATGTATTTTCTAATTAGATTTAGAAAGCCAACCATGGAAAAGCTAGATATTGAATTTTTTTCTCCAAATGCACATCATCTAATTTTAAAAATTTTAATCATTTCACTTCATCATGCAGTTCATTCTGGCTCTATAAATATGTGTGTGAATGCATATACACATAAATATTTGGAATAAATTCAACAAGTGCATGCCATTTAGTTTCTTTCAAAGCTGTAATCTACACAGGGTTGAAAAAGAGGAAATGTAAAGGTATTTCAATGAATCTATCTCCCCAAAGGGTACCTATGGAATTACTGCTAATTTTCTCAGAAATATCTTCCTGTTGTTAATATAAGAAGATTATAGCACAAGAATTGGAAAACTAAAAAGCATAAGGAAAATAAATATCAGTCATGATTCTAATACCTACAGATAACTCTCTCATCAGTATTTCTACCAATTGTGAGTGTGTGAGTGTGTGTGTGTGTGTATGCATGCACGAGAGAGAGATTAGGGACATTCTGTATAGACAATATTACTTCTATTTTTTCTACATAGTATGGTATTGTGATCACTTGAACATGTTTTTGGGGCATTTGTTTTTGAAAACATGAATTGTTGGACAAAATCCCACCATTTCCTATTTATTGGGCATTTAGATTATTGCCAATTTCCCAAATCATTTCCTTAATACTTTATAATAGCACTGCAGTAAATATCTTTGAACATAAATCTCTGCTTGGGTCTGTGATTATTTTCTTAGGACAGATTCTTTGAGGTGGAACTCAAGGCTTGGTACATTTTGCCAAACTGTTTTCCAGTAAGTGGAATCATGTGTATGGCATATAATTGATATCCTCTTAGCCCATCTACTTTGGTATTATGTTATAGAATATTATCTCTGAGAATTTATTTCCACAAAACATGTGTATTTTCCTGACCTTCCCACTAATTCTGGCAGTAAAAAAAAAAAAAAATCCCTTTAGAAAAGAATAAAGAGTAGAAGATTTAAGCTCTATTTCTTCTTTCAGTGACCTACCAGGTAAGAGAAATTCTGCTGTTTTTTTCTCATTATATAAGGGGATAAGAAGATATTTATGGATTATTTGCGAAGACAAACATTGTCCTAAAAGAGGCCATTGTAGTAAACATTGTCTCAAAAAGTTAACTGTTAACATTTATTAGACAGGCCCTATGTTAAATGTACTAGAACTGAGATTGCTATTTAAAATTGAATCCTGGGGTGAATCCTTTGGAAAAGTGAAGAATTCCTTTGTTAATGCAAGAAAATACATCAGTACTTATTTCATAAGTTCAGGTTTCCATGCGAAGATTTTCCTTAAAGTAGGGTGTTCGCTTGTCTCAAAATATTCTTCTGAGATACATATTAATTACAAAGAGAAGGCTGAGCACGATGGCTCATGCCTGTAATCCCAGCAATATGGGAGGCTGAGGCAGGTGGGCCACTTGAGGTCAGGAGTTTGAGAACAGCCTGGCCAACATGGTGAAACCCCATCTCTACTAAAACTATAAAAATTAGCTAGGTGTGGTAGCGGACACCTGTAATCCTGGCTACTTGGGAGGTTGAGGCAGGAGAATCACTTGAACCCGAGAGGCAGAGGTTGCAGTGAGCTGAGGTCTTGCCACTGCTCTCCAGCCTGGGCAACAAGAGTGAAACTCCGTTCCAAAAAAAGAAAAAATTACAAAGAGAAAGATAGGAACTTGAGAGGGGAGAACACTGGAACATCCCACCTTAAACAGGTGATCAGGGTTAATATCACCAGGGATAAGATTTATCATCATATACCCTTTGACATGACAGACCAAAAAGGGTACAACATCACCTCTGAAGTATTCCAAAATATGCATAACTTCAATTTAATCATGAGAAAACATCACCCAAACACAAACTGGGGGATATTCCACAAAAGAACTGACCGGTACTCGTAAGAAATATCAAGATCATAAAAGACAAAGGAAGACTGAGAAATCGTCATGGATTGGAAGTCTAAGGAGACATAAAAACAAATGCAATGTGGCACTGGGTGCTGGAACAGAAAAAAAGACATTGGTGAAAAAAATAGGGAAATATGAATAAAGTCTGAAGTTTAGTTAATAACATTGCACCAATGTTAATTTCCTGGTTTTGGTAATTGTATTATGATTGTATAAGATGTTAACATTAGAGGAAGCTTGGTGTGTATCGGAACTCTGTACCATTTTTGCGACTTTTCCATTAGTTTAAAATTGTTTCAAGATAAAAAATAAAACAATGACAACATTAGTAAGTAAAAGAAAAAACAACATGTGTCTATTCCACATAACTAGGGAGGCAAGCCCTCTCTGGAAGGCACTGGATCCTCGTAGATATTTGCAAACCACAAGCAACTCAACGACTGAGTGGAAAACCACTAGGGTCTGAAATGGCGAATTTAACCTGTCTTTGCTGAAATCTGAGAACACATTATAGACAAAATCCACTGGATCTTCACATGGCCAACATGCCAATTCCAAATGTGTCAGTTTCTCTTTTCTGACAAAGTGATAACAGTGGCAATCCCTTCCAGCAGAGCTGTGGCCTTCTTTGAATGCTGGGGATGGCATCTGAGTTAATAAAGATGTGTAGAGAAGAAGGAATGCCTTTCCTCTCCACAGTGTCCCCCCACCCCCCACCCCTGGCTCACGCGCAGTCATCTTTTGCTTCCTGACGCTTCCCAGGCTTGTGAGCAACCAAGTGGCTTCGTTTGTTGGTTAATGGGGAAAGGGAAAAACTGCCTTGATATTTGTTTGGAAGAAGCCTAGAGAATCTAAACGGAAACCTTTCACCCAGCGATATGGCATTTAATTCTTGATGAGATTATCAAACATTTCATTTCTAACCTTAAAATTTTTCAGAATCTGTGCTCAACCAGACAGACAATTGAAAGGTTCCATAGGGGTAATTAGGCCTATGTTTAGTACAGTTCTGAAGGCTGATGGCAACCTGAAATTACATTACCTGATAAATTCATTCCAAAAATATTAGATTTCATGTCATGACACTTCAATTACACATTTAAAATGAGTATTTAATATATATTTAATTTGACAATTATTACATGCTAATTAGGTGTAATAGTTTCATAGAAAATATATCTTCTCTGGGTTTAATTACCACATTGCAGAAACATCAAAATGAGGCTTAATTCATATGTTTTAATCATCTTTTACCAATTAAAATACAATAAGTATGGAAACAGCAAGCATCTCTGACTCTAATAAAAAAAGTGATATATTTCGTATTAAGCTTCTACATGTATTTCTTACATTTCTTGTGTATCACATATCTATAGTAGAGGTTAAAAATGATTTGTATATGGGGCCATTCTCTTCCTTAAAATGAGATCCACAAATTTTCTTGTCAGAAATTTATAATGTTAAGTGAAAAAGCAAGCCCAGACAACTCCATTCTATATGCCATTTCATATAAAGCTCAAAAACAAGCAAGATTAACCAGTTTATTGTTAAGATATGCATACATTTGTGATAAAACTCCTTTTAAATGCCAAAGGATGATGAGCCCCAACTTCAGGACAGTGACGACCCCAAGGGCGAGGCAGGATGGAACGTGGAAGGAACACACTGACAGTTAGAAATGACTGGTGATGCTCTGGTTCTGGGGCTGGGGGCTGGGGGCTGGGCTCATAGGTATTTGTTGTATCACTGAGCTCTACAACATAAAGATATGCCACATATATTCTCATTTCAAAAATACTAAAGGAAAAAAGAAAAAATGCATATTTCCATTTGAAATGTTGTCTATTGCTGTGACCAACAGTTAGGAAACATACTTTATCATTTACATATATTGATTTATTGTTAAAAGTTATATTTGCAGTCTAATATTATATCTAGAAAAGATATAGTGAGCTTTTTATATAATGCACGTTAAAAAAAAAAACTATCAGTTGCCAAGAATGATGTCAAATTTCAGCTCTTGGCCAACTTCTTGGCCAATTGGATTCTACTTCTGAGACATGTAAAACTATTTATCTTGCATAAAAATCTGGCAACTGCATTAAACACTTCTTCTATTCGTACTGATGTATTAGGTACCCCTAGCAACCTAATAAACACAAAATAACCTTAAAGATTGTCTTGAAAAAAATCAGCTGACTCCATCATTATGGACATTGTTGTAATGAGACCTATAAAATGCAGATGACTGATTTAAAACCAGCATCTATAGCCTTTTGTTTTAATAAATGCAACAGACAATGAACATATGGAAACTGATCCTATTTGGCCAATATACAACTGCTTCACAATTTGAAGTATCCAGTGATTTCTTGTTCAATAATAATTTCATCCACGTTATTTGTATTCAACCCACTCTCTTCTTTTAACTGTCACTTTAAGCAAGTAGACGCTCCAACCGCTGGGTGCCACTCAATGGGTTTGCAGCAGAGGAAGTAAGAGTGACTCAGATCAGAGGACTGCCTTGTAAATCAGCCACATGCAGCACTGAGACATCCATCAGGGCGGTGTGCCCTTTCCCCACTGCTGCAGTCATGAAGTCATGGGCCTGCCAAGGGGCTAAGATATTATTAAAATAAATCACTGGCCTGGAGACTTGTATTTAAATACTAATTAACTCATAAGTAAATGGGAAGGAGCTGACTTGTCTCGCCCAGAATGTTGTTTGGAAAAGTTGCTGAAATTACCACTCTGGGTTGAGGCCTCTGCTTTCACAGATGCTGAAACACTCAGAGAATAAGGGGTTGGAGCATACACCTTAGGAGGTCAGGCTTGGATTCTGCTTACAAATCCAAGTTGCAGTTGGCTCAAGGCAGTTTTAGTAGGAGCCTGAACTTTCAAGAATATTAAAGCCTCATTGATTGTTAAGTGAGACAATCAAATACATAAATCCCAGCCACCCACTCTTTGGTTGCTTTCTTTGTCCCTGTCCCTGCACAAAAGCAGCTACGACACTGGGAGAGCCCTCCAGAATAAAAACTTCATTCAGATTTTCCTCCCCTCTTGCATTTATTCCTTTCCAGGCAGAATCTCACAGAGGCTTGCAAACTCACTGTCTGGAGGGCCAAGACCTACAAACCATCTTAAAATCCTCATTGCACGCTGGGGCCTGTGCAGGCTGCTTTTCCTCACTGGCATGCCGTGGTAACTCAAATCTATCTGAGTAGAGGCTTCTTTGCTCAGCACTATGCTCCGATGCCAAGTTCTAGCTTCACTTGTTCCACAGATACTGAAGTCTCTCTTCTCAAGGATGAAGGTACCTCCACAAAGCCTGCCCTGGGTATTTAAAGAATTTTCTCCAGAACTCTGAGATTCTTCTTTTTTCATACCACTGAGCTCTAGTAATTCGTCGTCCTTGGCTTGGACACATTCTCTCTAGTTTTAGCAGGATCACACTTAGAATGCTGTCTCTGTCCTCAAGATTGCTGGCTCTGGCTTTGAGCAAAGAGCTTTTCCTTGCCCACACATTGTTCTTCCTCATAGTGACAGCTAGAGTGATAACTGGGATTTCAAAGAAGTCCTACACATATATGTGCTTGTCTCATTCATAAAATCCTGACATACCCACAGATCACAGAATTTACCACAAAATTTGGCTTGTAGAGATTTAGATTTGCATACAGTACCCATGAAGACAACTCATTTTGCTTGTCAAGAAAACAAAGCAAAACACTACACATGAGCTCTATGCTGTCCCTGTTCCCAGTGACCTGCAGACATGTTATTAAAACTCATGGTCTATTAAGTCATTATTTTTTATCCTGCTTATCCAAAGCCATCAGGTAACAAAGCAAAATCTGCAGCCAGCCACATGGCCACAGGCCCAGCTGGAATACGTTCATTGACCCTGGCCTGTGGTTCTGGCTTTCCTCCTATGGGAATGGAGACACCACCGTGAGCAGTGATTCTAGAAGGGCCTGTTAAGGACATCTTCCACAATTCTGTTCCCTCTCCTGCATCCAGCTGAGAAAGTGTGTTTCTTCAGGGGAGGGGCGCCCTTAACAAGTTAAAGGGCAAGACTGGTAAACAAAGGCTGTTTTTCAGCATCCATTACATGCTGGGAGGCTTTGATCTTCGTGTTAGGTAAAGTAGGGTCAGGATACGCTTTGCCATCACTTACAGGACAGGCACTGTGTCAGGCTGGCCAACCCAGCCTGGTGTCTGAAGCTTTCTCAGAGGGAGAGACTGGAAAAAAAACACGCTGGGACTGGTCTTCTTTGCCTGCTGTCTGGCTTCAAATTAGGGCTCAAGAATGAGTGTGTCTACTCTCTGCTCAGCTTCGGAGCAGAAAGGTGAGTCCCTTCACCACTGCAGGTTCCAGACAGCTGCCAGCAAACCCCTGTGACACAGCTTCCTTCCTCACTTAAAGGGAATTTGCTGTAACTCCCTTTGGATCGAATTCTGCTGTGCTACAGATAACTGTCTTGTTGCTCAGCCACTTTGCTATTCTAAATGCTTCTTTCTCATTATGGGACTCATTTTGGCTTCACCCTTAATGAGGAGGGATTGACACATTTATCAACTATTACAGAAGTGATGATGCTGAGAAGATTTAAATACAGACTTACAAAGAACATTGAGGCACCAAGCAGGTGCTGTGTGTGTATTTGCACACAAGTGTGTGTGCACACATTTCTGTCTCCCTGTATCTTTTCCTCTCCATCTGTCTTTCTTGTTTGTATAACATCATACACACTGGCAACCCTCATATTATTTATTTACTGCAGAGGAAAGGAATTCCACAACAGCCTCAGGAAAAAAAAAAAAAGTCTTGTTTCTAGTTTTTCTAAATGATTGAGAAGATAAGGATTTAGAAAATAAGGTATGAAAAGCCATATTTGAAATATTTCTTGAGGGGGAAGAAAAGAATCTGCCTTGTTTTGAACTGAAAACTGTTTTCTACTCTAGAGCCTCATGTTTCCACCTTCATCAGCCTTCCTGCCCTAGGAGCCTAAGAAACGTCTGGGAACCAATAACGTTTTCTCAGGGGATTTCATTACTGAAAGGGCTCATTAGGAAAGACATTAAAATACGAATTACCTCATAAACTATTTAGTTGTGTACCCAGTGGGAGTGTGCTTATTAGGGCCTGAGCTTTTCACAAATAGAGCTAATCAATTAAGCTTCATTACAAACTGAAGGGGTCTCAAACAGAATGGATAAGAGAGGGACCATCTGCAAAAGGACTTGATAGGAAGAAACCATCGCCTCTAACAACTGCTAAAGTTAATTATCAGCTTCTGGGTAGAGAAGATAATTCAAATCTTCCTGTCTTTGGACAGAATCTCTTAAGGTTCATTAGTTCCTAAAACAGTGCTTCTCACAGCTTAATGTGCTTGCGAGCTACCTGAGAATCTTATTAAAAAGCAGGTCTGAGGTGGGGCCAGGGATTCTGCATTCCTAAAGGGCTCCCCGGTGGTGCTGTGGGTCAAGGGACCCCACTTTGAGCAGCAAGGCCTTAGATTATTAAAATTTAGCTGGAAGTAGCCTTTGTGGTATTGAAACGAGCCTCTACAGACTAATGCCATGTTGAACTTACAACTTTTCTTGTTGCTTTACATAGAGTGAGAGAATGAGAAAGTTACAGGCAGACTGACCTTATAACCAAAATTTCTTTCTCTCCATGTCCCTAGAGAATTCATTTTTGCTAATATTAATGGTGGAACTTTCACGTAATACTAAAAAGGGGGCTCATTGCAAAAGTAGCTTTGTACCTCCTTAGAGATCAACTTCTAAAGGAAATTCTGGTACATTTTGAATAGTCAGATGGAAGGGGAGAGGTGGCTTTGATTTTCCCCTCAGAATGAGAAAATATTTCATCAGGCTCTGCAAATTCATGTCAAGGCACTGAGCTGAGGACAGTGAGTAGAAGCATTGATCTGGACTTCCTCCAGGAGGGCTTGAGCAGGTTCTTGGAGGAAGTGCGTGTTCTTAGGCAAAAGCAGGGAGCCAGAGCACTAAAATGTTCATCCTGAAAGCCTGGGACTTAGGTGTCCTAGCTGGTCTCTTAAAAGACAGCAACATTCACTGCCTCACTAACCACGCCACTTCTGGAAAGAAAACAGCATTGCCTCCATGGTCAGATCAAGGACTGCCAGGGGTAAGAAGGAAAGCTCTCTCCTGTCTAGACAGCTCCGGCCTGTTGCTAGAACAGCAGCATGCTCCAGAGGTGTGGATCATCTGCTCTAGCTCTTGGGGTTCTGCTCTGTAATAGCAGAATGGGTTTCTAAAGTTCACAGCCACAGCCACTGGCAGAGATGAGGTGCATCTGCGCCTGCTCCGTTCTCAGAATAGAGCTGGACACTTCTGAGAGGATCATATCACTGACACAGTGCCAAAGACCTCAGCATATTCTGAGCCTGGCTATGGATTCACAAATCAAGGCATGGAATCCCTTCCCAAATCCTGGGCTGTCCTCTAGGTCATCATCTAGCATCAAGGCTAAGAATGCAGCCAAATAAAAGCAAGCATGACATTGGGTTACAAATGTAGAGATACAGCACAAGGACCTCAAAATCTATTCCTGGTTCAGTGGCTGTCACTATTAACAAGGAAATGACTTAGGACACCTTCGTATTCCTTCCCCCAGCCTGTGTTAACAATCACACTTTCAATCAACTTCTGAGAACACTTGAATACTAGATGTTTGCCAAAACATCATTGAAAGAGCGACTACAACTTATGAATACTGTTTGCCTTCCTCTACAGAAGTGCAAGGACCAGCGTGGAGCAAGAGAGATGTTCAGGGCACAAGATTTAAAGAGATATTCACTCTCAGAATTGTGCAAATGCACAGTACACGGTCAGCATGCAGACAGCCAAGAGCAAGCTCTTTCCTATATTTGTACCCTGGGCACCTCTCTTGCCTGCTTTCAGCTTCATAAATGAACCAGTCTGCAAGCTACAATATTCTCAAGGGAGGTCTCTTCCTGAGAAAGACCAGCCCAACACAGTTAGGCTTTACAGATCCTTAGAGAACTCCCACTGGAATTCGAGATTTGATTTTGCAAAGGCAAATCATTGCATCCTGGTTAGGATTTTGTTTAAGATTTTAATATTTAAGCAATCTTCAGTTTAGGAAACTGCTATGGGCTGAATTTTGTTCCTCCCATGTCCCACCTCAAATTCATATGTTGAAATCCTAACTCCGGGACCTCAGTATGTGACTGTATTTGGAGACAGGACATTTAAAGAGGTAATAAAGGGGGCCGGGCATGGTGGCTCATGCCTGTAATCCCAGCTCTTTGGGAGGCCGAGGCGGGTGGATCACCTGAGGTCAAGAGATCGAGACCACCCTGGCCAACATGGTGAAACCCCGTCTCTACTAAAAATACAAAAATTAGCAGGGCGTGGTGGTGTGTACCTGTAATCCCAGCTACTCGGGAGGCTGAGGCACGAGAATCGCTTGAACGTGGGAGGCGGAAGCTGCAGTGAGCTGAGGTCGCATCACTGCATTCCAGCCTGGTAACAAAGCAAGACTCCATCTCAAAAAAAAAAAAAAAAAAAAAAAAAAGAGGTACTAAAGGTAAAATGAGAGGTCATATGGATGGGCCCTAATCTAATATGACTGGTGTCCTCATAAGAAAAGGAGATTAGGAATCAAATGATAGACTGGATTAAGAAAATGTGGCACATATACACCATGGAATACTATGCAGCCATAAAAAATGATGAGTTCATATCCTTTGTAGGGACATGGATGAAATTGGAAACCATCATTCTCAGTAAACTATCGCAAGAACAAAAAACCAAACACCGCATATTCTCACTCATAGGTGGGAATTGAACAATGAGATCACATGGACACAGGAAGGGGAATATCACACTCTGGGGACTGTGGTGGGGTCGGGGGAGGGGGGAGGGATAGCATTGGGAGATATACCTAATGCTAGATGACACATTAGTGGGTGCAGCGCACCAGCATGGCACATGTATACATATGTAACTAACCTGCACAATGTGCACATGTACCCTAAAACTTAGAGTATAATAAAAAAAAAAAAAAAAAAAAAAAAGAAAAGGAGATTAGGACACAGACACAGCAGAGAAGAAAGACCGGGGAAGGACACAGGGGGAAGTTGGCCATCTACAAGCCAAGGAGAGAGGCCTGAAACAGATTCTTCCCCGCACAGCCCTCTGGAGGAATCACCCCACTGACACCTTGATCTTGGACTTCCACCCTCCAGAATTTTGAGACTGGAGAAATGAATTTCTGTGGTTTAAGCTACTCAGTCTGCGGTATGTTGTTGGGATATCGCTAACAAACCAATACAGAAACAAACAGTTTCCTAAGCTTTTCGTTTTCTTTCTTTTTTATTTTTTGAAACAGGGTCTCACTCTGATGCCAAGCTAGAGTGTAGTGGTGCAATCACAGCTCACTGCAGCCTTGACTTCCTGGGCTCAGGTGATCCTCCCATTTCAGCCTCCCAAGTAGCTGGGACTACAGGTGCACACCACTATACCCAGCTAATTTTTGTATTTTTTGTAGAGATGAGGTTTCACCAGGTTGCCCAGGCTGGTCTCAAACTCCTGGCCTCAAACAATCCTTCTATCTTAGCCTCCCAAAGTGCAGGGATTACAGGCGTGAGCCACTGCAGTCGGATAGAGACAAATCTTTTTCTAAGTTTTCTAATGTCCACTTCCCTGGGTTTCCTCCCTGCCATGTTTTGGCAAAAAATAGCCTTGAATCACCAGGGACAATGAGCTATATAGCACCTTAGGGCCTACACTGTCATCCAAGTCTCAACACTCGATTAGTAAAAGCAAAATAAGCTGGGCACGGTGGCTCATGCCTGTAATTCCAGCACTTTGGAAGGCCGACGCCGGCAGATCACTTGAGGTCAGGAGTTCAAGACCAGCCTGACTAACATGGTGAAACCCTATTTCTACTAAAAATACAAAAAATTAGCTGGACATGGTGGTGCACACCTGTAATCCCAGCTACTCAGGAGTCTGAAGCAGGAGAATCGCTTGAATCTGGAAGGTAGAGGTTGCAATGAGCCAAGATCGCACCATTGCACTCCACCTTGGGCAACGAGAGTGAAACTCCATCTCAAAAGAAAAAAAAAGCAAAATAAGAAAAAGCAACAGTGTGTGATACTACTTGAAAATTTCCCAAGTATATCCTGAGAGGTGAATGAGGATTAGTGAGTAACTTATGTTTTAAGAAATCATGAATACAATTTCTAGGTGGACAAAAATGTCAGACAATGTTGGTGTTAGTAATGATGAGGAGGAGATGAAGGGTTTGCTCATTTTCTTTTCTTTCCTTTTCTTTTCTTTTTTTTTGAGACGGAGTCTTGCTCTGTGGCCCAGGCTGGAGTGCAGTGGCGCCATCTCGGCTCACTGCAAGCTCCGCCTCCCAGGTTCACGCCATTCTCCTGCCTCAGCCTCCCGAGTAGCTGGGACTACAGGCACCTGCCACCATGCCTGGCTAATTTTTTGTATTTTTAGTAGAGATGGGGTTTCACCATGTTAGCCAGGATGGTCTCGATCTCCTGACCTCATGATCTGCCCGCCTCGGCCTCCCAAAGTGCTGGGATTACAGGCGTGAGCCACCGCGCCCGGCCGGGTTTGCTCATTTTCTAATATGAAGTAAGCACATAGAATTGCTTCAATTAGTTCAGCCCTTGCAGTGGGTAGATTTAATCCTTCTGTAGGTCATTTCCATCACTCCCATCTCTGGTTTCAATGGTAATAAGAATCAATTACTCAGACATCAAAAAGTCATAATATGTTAATCAAATGTGAGAACACCACACTATGGATTTTTTTTTTTTTTTTTTTTTTAGAGGGAATCTCACTCTGTTGCTCAGGCTGGAGTGCAGTGGTGTGATCTCTGCTCACTGCAACCTCCGCCTCCCGGGTTCAAGCAATTCTTCTGCCTCCGCCTCCCAAGTAGCTGGGACTACAGGCGCACACCACCACGCCTGGCTAATTTTTGTATTTTTAGTAGAGACAGGGTTTCACCATGTTGGCCAGGCTGGTCTCGAACTCCTGACCTCATGATCCACCTGCATTGGCCTCCCAAAGTGCTGGGATTACAGGTGTAAGCCACCATGCCTGGCTTACATTATGGCTATGTTTAAGGGCTATGAAATGGATATATCTTGGCTGGTGGGAGATCCGTGCCCTTGCTAAACAATGAATCCAAGGGATATTAATTTTGATTGTCATACGATCATCATTCCTCTGGTTTCGAAATCCAGTAATGGTGCAGAACAGTCATGACGAAGATCATGGTAATAAAAGAAGAGAAAGTTCAAAACGTACTTAATTGTTGGTATGGAGCTATCTCAAAGGAAAGAAACACATCTCGGCTGATAAACATTCACTCTACAAAGGACTCTTCCAGGGATGGCTTCAGAGATAGAATCCACTCAGAGAGAGATGTGTTTCCTTTCTTTCTCCCTGAAGTCCAGGTGGCTGCCTCAGCAAATAAAAAGTGTTGTCCTCAGGGATGGCAGGGTGGGGGTGGCTGGGGTGGATTTCTGTCCAGTACTATTTCATTCTTCCCTCAACAG
This sequence comes from Homo sapiens, assembly GCF_000001405.40. Classification (NCBI taxonomy): domain Eukaryota; kingdom Metazoa; phylum Chordata; class Mammalia; order Primates; family Hominidae; genus Homo; species Homo sapiens. The sequence goes on along the minus strand of NC_000007.14, from coordinate 28,741,330 downwards.
ATGGAGGGAGGCTCTTTCAGATACGTTATGGAATAAAAGGCTTTTGTGGGCAGCCCTGGGAAAGTAACCATCTCTGACATTTCTTGTGAGGAAAACTGTGTTTTGAGTTCTGAATGACTGACTTTTAAACACACTTTGGGAACACCACCCATGAGTGCGCACGGAGGCCTGTTTTTAATGGAAGTGTTTGTGGAAGATCTACCTTGGAATTCCAGGGGAAGCATTGTAAAACCTCCTGAACTGTGCTCAATTCCACAACATTTTTGGTAACTCAACAACCTTTAGTCAAGTAGAAATCAGTTAATTTAACAAGGTTGAAAAAAAAAAAAAAATCCCTGCATGGCCAGGTAATACGTTCATAATGTATTATTGGTCCTGAGAAACTAAAAACATATTATCCAGGTAGAATATGTCCTTTTGATATTTTTTTGCCTGAGTAAATATCCAACTACATTTAATTAAAATTTTAAAGTCACATATCAAGTAACAATGAAAAAAATAAAATTTCCTTTTTCTTTCAAATAATTCATACCATCTTTCTAATCACCTTTTTATTTTTCAAAGGGTTACATGAGTTTAACAGAAGGATTTTTCTACCGGAAAAGAACGAAGACGCAAGCCTTGGTTACCCCATTTCAGAGGAGATTTTAAAGAGGGATCTGGAAAACTGTTTTTTCCTTTTTTTCACTCATCATCATGTTACACAGTTTCTAAAGACCTGATCTCAACTTTCCTCTCAGCACAGGCTATAATTTTTTTTGCTAAGACGATCCTTTTCTGTCATTCTCTTGAATGTTTCTCTTCCTGGGTGACTGGGAGAATTCCTTCAAAAGGATTTCTGAGACTGGTGTTTCCCAAACAACAGAGAACATCGTACCCCTAGAAATGGAGGACCAAGTGGCTTTTGTGATAAGCAAGACCTCACCTGCACTTCGCAGACACTCCCAGCAGAGGAAAAATACCAAACAGAAAGGGAAAGTGGTCATGGAACAGATTCTGCTACCAAGAAATCAGGGAATAAATGGCCAGGGATGAGTTTCATAAGACCTGAATTATACAATTCAGAGAACAAAATTCATAAATTTATCTAGTTGTTTCCTGACAATTTCATTCGATCTGCCTAAGTTAGCTACCCCATAGTTCACCTAGAAATGTTTCCTAGTTCCCTTACCTATTGGTGCATAAAAGCTGCTTTCACATGTCTCCAGTTTCCAACCTACATATCAGCCAGTGATTTGCATAATCCTTAAACCCCCACCCCCATTCCTTTTTTCAGCCACCTAATGCAAACAAGATCTGGCTCAGGCTTCCCTAAACTAATCCACGGAACACCATTTAGAAGGGAGACTATTCCGTGTAAGTTGGCACGGCCGAATGAGATCTCTATTGTATAAGGGGCAGTCCCAGTAGAAAGACATTAATGAATATGCCAGTGGGGAGAGCCTCAGCTTCCCAGTTGCTTGCTGGACCCTAAAGCTGTAAGAACTCTGTGAAACTTGAATGTTTCTTTTTTTAACCAAGGTAAGGAATTTAATGCCACTGCCCTGTCTGAATCCTTACAGCTCATCAAGACCCAAGTCATAAACAACAACTTCAGGAAGAATGAAGCCTAGCCTGAGCCTCCCTCCAAATTCTCCTTTTCCCACTCACTGCTTCACACTTGAACTAACCAGTCTGTCCTCTAAACTCGAATATGCTTTTCTGGTAATATTTTATGACCCCTACCTTGCCCATAAAAATGTAAGTTCTTTAGAGGCTGAGACTGTGTTTAAGCATCTTTGCAAAACCCGCAGCTTGTTAGCACAAATAATAAATGCTTCTTGAATAAATACATATGTTTTTAAAAATAACTTGTTATTTTAAAACAGTTATTTAGTGCTGTTTTTCCCCAGTATCTCCAGGTTTCAGCTCACTCTTTGTATTCTCCCTCCAAAACCCCTCCCCTCTCACCTTTCAGATCTGCTGAGACCAGCGCTACTGAACAGACACGATGGAAATGTTCCTTATCTATGTGGGCCCATATGCTAGCCTCTGACCTCATGTAGTTATTGAGCGCTTGAAATGTGGATAGTGGAACTCATAACTGATTTTTAAATTTTATTTTATCTTCATGTATTTAAAACTTAACCTAGCCACAGGTAGCCACTAGGCTACTGTATTGAAGAGCACAGGACCTTGACTCTTCTGAGAAGTCTTGCTGAAGAACCACTCTAGACACCTCCCAGCCATCAGTATGAAGGTAGATTAGGAGCTTACCTTGTGCTTGACTTTATCATAATATTTATCACAACATACTTAGTTTTCTATTTATTTACCTGATTTTCTTATTGGACTGTAAGTTCTTGAGTCTTAAGTTATAGCTTATTTATCATTGTATCTCTGAGAACCAGGTGTAATACTGGTATTTTAAAAGTGCTCAATAAATATTTCGGGAGGAAAAGGATGAATGAATGAACTGATTGCTCAGTGGACGGCTAGAGACATTTTTTAATATATAAGAAATCTACAAAACAGACTTGTTGGAACAGTGAGCTGGGAACTAAGAGATGAATGGTGGTGATGTGACAAATTATCTTTGTCTAAGGAGCATACGCAGTTCTTTAGCTCATCTTTCCTCACAAGCTCAGGCCCTGCCTTCTGCTTCACTGGAACACAGGAACAACTCGCTTGTAGACTCTCTGGTCATTAAGCCATGACTTTGTCCAGACTTGCCCTTTAAGAAAATTCCCAGGAGATAAAGTTCACTGCAATGACGGAGTGAGATAAACATGCTTTTTGCTGTGATCCCATGTTCTCACATACCCCATACTGGTCTACCGAACAGCTGAACTCATTCATCAGATTTGAAAATAATCAGGTTTTTTACACTCTGTTATCATGGGTACGGTTGTTCCAGAGGGTGTGTTGGCAAAGAGCCTACTGAACCATGTCCTCGAGACCGAACCACATCCATCCAAGGGCCTGGGGAGTTCTTGCTCCTTTGCTAGCTTTATTCCAAGTACACTTGCAAAGCATAAGGGAAACTCTTATGCAAACCAAAAATGATCCTAGGTGTTTAGGAAAAAATAATGCCAAAAGTTGGCATGGCATGATTCATGTCATTTTAGGGTACCTAGATAATTAAGTCTCAGGGCTAGACGTATTCCAAATATTTGGATAATTCAAAGTAATTTGCACAGACATAGTAAAAATCTATTTTAGGTGGTGGAATTTAATATATATTTCTTGGTGAGAATTTAGTCTTCTGTGCAATTTTAGCCCTAATATTTTAACATTAACAGGTTTAATGTTATAAAGTGTTTTTGTACTTATAAGCTTGTGAACTAACAAACCATAAAACAATAACATGTGTTTACAATTTGAAAATATACTGCACTGAGCTCTGTTTTCTAAAATAAATTTTGAACTATTTGTAAAAAATCTTAAAAGTCATATTTACTTTTTCATATTTCAATTAATTAATTGGTGAATTCAATGTAACAGCTGTATAACTCCCATGAGTTTTTCTATCCAAGTCTCTACAAAGGACATGGTAACTAAGTCCATTAATCAAAGCTAGGAGTTGAATGCTAGAACTGATTTTTACCATATCTTTGCTGAATGATCTAAAGTAAGTTACTTAATCTCTCTTAGTCTCAGTTTTCTCCTTCCTGAGACTATGCACCTTGAACAAGTATGTTTTAAACCATATGAATTAAACCAGTAAAAGAAACAGAAGTATCCTTTGAAACAGGAGTTAAAAATATATATATATATATATATATATATATATATATATATATATATATATACGTATATATATACATATATACACACACACACACAGAGAGAGAGAGAGAGAGAGAAATTACTATGTGCTAAATGATTTCTCTGTTACCTCATTTAATCTTTAAAAATTATCCCCATTTTGTCAATGGGGAAATGAGGAACAGAGGGGGGAAGAAACCAGGAGGTGCAGCTAGATCTGAAGCTAGGCAGTCTGATTCCTTGTTTTTGTTTTCAATCAATGCCTCACCTTGCTTCTTAAAAAGAACAACAACAGCAAAAAATTTTATTCTTAATTCCAACTGAGAGCTGTGGTTTTCCTGAAAAGGTAGCCTACTGTCTATGTGAAAGGTATGAAAACATTTCCTAGTTCTTAAAATATGAGCTAGTGGTCATTATTAACATTATTGTTAATGATACAGAGACTTGGTATTTTCCAATTTAACATTCAAGATTTCAAATATTAAAAAATAACCCCCAAATTCCATGACCTATAGTGATTTGAGCTTCCACTGGGGTATAGATTTGAGCTGCATTTGCTCCACAGGTCTGGGTGGGAACAGGATGATCAGCCTGGCCCTCCATCTGGGGTCAGGATTACAGTGTGGTTGTGTTCCCCACTTGTTGCCCTGGGTTCAGGGAAATGATGTGCTCCATGCACGGTTCTAGGGATTCATTACATGGCCAGGAAAAACCCACAGAGGAACATCAGGGGCCTACTGTTAAAAAAAAAAAAAAAAAGAGAGAGAGAGAGAGCCTAAGTACATAGCTGACATGGATAATAAATATTTGCTGGCTAATTGTCACTGCTTCCATGCGTCCACACCTCCTGAAATCCAGTCACCACGTTGCTTTAAGGTAACCAAAGCAAAGACAGCATGGAAGGGTCAGCTAGTCCTCTAGGGTTACTAAGAATGTGAGATTTGAAACCAGAGCTGGGTTCAAATCCTTGTTGGCCACTTGCTGGCTAAATGATCCTGGGCACTGTCCCCTGTACGTCAGTTCATTTGTCTACAAAAATGAGGACACCCACCTCATAGGAGAGTGGGATAATTAAAGAAGATAATATATGTAAGTGCACAGAGTGCTTTGTGTGGGGTCCGGCGCAGTGGCTCACGCCTGTAATCCCAGCACTTTGGGAGGCTGAGGCAGGCGGATCACCTGAGGTCGGGAGTTCGAGACCAGCCTGAACAACATGGAGAAACCCCGTCTTTACTAAAAATACAAAATTAGCCGGGCGTGGTGGTGCATGCCTGTAATCCCAGCTACTCGGGAGGCTGAGGCAGGAGAAATGCTTGAACCTGGGAAGCGGAGGTTGCAGTGAGCCGAGATCACACCACTGTACTCCAGCCTGGGCAACAAGAGCAAAACTCTGTCTCAAAACAAAACAAAACAAACAAACAAAAAACCATATAGTGCTTTGTGTGTAGTTCCTTGCTGACTCCTTACCACATAGCAAGCACACGGGGCCAGGTGTTGGGGCTCATGCCTGTAATCCCAGAGCTTTGGGAGGCCCAGATGTGAGGATCGCTTGAGGCCAGGAGTTTGAGACTGGTCAACATCGCGAGACCCTGTCTCTGTAAAAAATTTAAAAATAGCTGGGCGTGGTGGCGTCTGCCTGTAGTCCCAGCTACTTGGGAAGCTGAGGTGGGAGAATCGCTTGAGCTCAAGAATTTGAGGCAGCAGTGAGCTATGATTCTACCACTGCACTCCAGCAGGGATAACAGAACAAAATTCCATTAAAAAAAAAAAGAGAGAGAGAGGAAGCACACAGTAATATGGCCCATGATTACCACTCAGTAAATGTTTAATACTATTATATAATGAATTATTCATATTAATTCATTTGATAAGTAGATATTTTCTAGCAACTATATGCCAGGTGTTCAGATCCCTCCCCCTCAGGGAGCCTAGACACTAGTAAGGAGGTTACAACCTGGTTAACAGAGGACTCACTCAACTTTAAAAGAATACTCCATTAATAACACTTACACTCCTTATATTTTCTGTTTAACTTTCTTGCTTGAGAATGGAGTCAGCAACACTTACCCACCCAATGATAATGATAAAGTTTAACTAACATAAATCTATATACGTACATAGTGACTGAGGAAATAAAAATGGCCAGAGATTGATTTGTCATAAATGGGATAAGAGCAGGATCCCTGTAATCCTACCTCAGAACATTGTGAATGACACAAACACATCTCTGATTTATTTCAGATACTTAGGCATATATTTAAATAATCAAAGTCTTGGTTAGATAAACACAGAAAATGTGAAAGAGCCAGAGTAATAATCCTGGAGAAGCCAATATTTTTGTATCACATAAGTTGTATAACTATAAAAATCAGAAAGCTTAAGCTTAGAATAAAAACAAACCTCTAAACACTGCTTCCAAGCAAAAAAAGTAATACCAAACAAACAAAAAATCCACACACAAAAAAACAAAAAAAACCAAAACGATTAAGTGTATTTTAAATCATGCATTTAGTCTTAGAGAATGAAAGTATAATTAGTAAAGTAAGGTGGTGAAGCTGGTTAATTAGTAAGAATTTTCAAAATGCAGCAGAGGAAGGACAATTTGCTCTATTACTAGTTCCCTGGATTCTGGTACTGACCACAAAGAAGAAAAATCACCTTCACCTTAAAGTAAAGAAATTTATCAAAGAATAAAATCAAGCGGCCAAAAAATATTTAAGACAACTTTCAACATTACCTATAATGTAAGAAATGCAAACAAAAATTGGCAAAATCTTGCTTAAAATGATAATGTTAAATATTTCTGAAAATGCTGTGAGATGAACATCCTCCTGTATTATAGAAATAAATACAATTTAGTATAAATTTTAAGAAATTTGGAAGCGTTATAATGTTTATTCCCTTTGACCTGTTAATCCTAATTCTGAAAATCTATCCTAAGGAACTAAGTAAAGATGTAATTAGTTTCAGATTTTTTTGTCTTTCTAATTTTTATAATCAAAGGACTATTTCTAGCAGAGAAAATTCAAATATCCAGAAATAGAAATGAGGAAATAGTTAAATTTTTAAGTGAAACCCCATAAGATAAATTAGATAATTATTAAAATGTTTTCAAAAGATACTTGATAGGAAAAAATACTCATAACATTTTTAAAAGCATGATATAAACTGTATATTTAGTGTGAACCCAATTTTGATGTATTACTTATATGAACAGAGAAAAAAGGCAAAGGAAATTTTCATTTTAACACATTCCTTTGCCTCTATGTATTGAAGGCAAAAAGTTTAGTTTATACCTATGTGTTTGGATCAAAACTATACTGGAATCCATTAACCTGTTTTTTTTGTTTGTGTTTTTTTTTTTTTTTTTTTTTTTTGAACTACTGAAGCCTTGGGCCTGCAGCAAGGGGATTTCAGTACTAAAGTGCTAAAGCATTTCATGTAAGGCCACCACACCTTCAGATGGTGCCACACCAGGGGTCAAGAGGCCTCATGCAGGGCTTCTCTGCAGAGCTGCACTTGACTGTGGCTGGCAGAGCCCCCAGGTACCAACGTAGATATCTGGGGAATTTTGGGTAGAATTCACACCTGTTCAGTGTCTCTATCCCACCTACTTATCATGGGTCCTTGAATTCTATCATTACGATTAAATGGTAGAATTAAATTATGATTTAAATCTTATCTTCTCCCTGGAACTTAAAAAGTAGCTCACAGTGTGGGATGACATATTAAATCACAGTAACACCATCTCAATTAGTTTATCAGACTTTTCTTCCTTCATTCTATCAGCAAATGTTTACTGGGCACCTAGCAAGTACAGGAGAGATGGCAAACTGGGGACACGGAGCTGAATCAAACTGGCCCCAGCTCTCATGGAGCTTGCAGGCTGGCGGCGAGGCAGGTCCATGGACAATGACAACACAGTAAAGCTCCATGAGGAAGAGACAAACAGTGCAAGTGGAGTCTGTCCTAGAAGAAGGCATGGCTCCTGCCCACCTGGGGAAGGCAAGAAGACTTCACAGGAAAGGTACATTTGAGCTGAGCCTTGACAAAAGGAGTGGAGTTTGCAGCAGCAAACAGGGATTGTATGCAAGTCTAGGCGGGGCAGCCAGAGGCAGCAAGAAGCCCTCAGGAAAATGCCGGGCTCCTGAGAGGGGGTCCTGGAGCGAGATCATGGTGTGCAGAGATGAGTGGAGGAGAAGGGGCTGGTAGGAACACTGGACCAAACTGAGGCTCAGGTACCTTGGAAACATGGGTGCAACATGTTCCTATGCAAGGTGCCAAAAGGGAGAAGGAAGTTCCAGAAAAGGGTGCATGTGAAACACTTTACCAGCTCTGAAATTCTACCCAAGTGTGCTCCTTACACCTCAGATCCTGGCTCTATTTTGAAATCAAGGTTACTGACTCGGCTCTCTGGTTGCACTTTTTAATCTCTGGAATACAAGGCCACAGTTGGATTAAAATCTCATCCTCCTTGAACACTTCTGTCCTGGGGACTGTGTATGCTGTTTTGAAATAAAAATAATTGAGGCATGCCTTTATTGTCTGGGACCTAAGTATCCTGTGAAGCTAATGATTCATCTTATTCACACTACAGCAATACAACAATCATTTAGTACAATCCAGCTTCTCAAACAAGCGATAAAAAGACAATTTTAAAAGGATACCAAAAGGGAAAACATACTCTTCGTAGTTTAAATTTCAAGATTGGATTCTTGGGTTTTAAGAAAAAAAAAAAAACAACCCTAAACCTTTAGGAAAACTTTGCCTCCTCTGTCTACCCGAATGCCCCACCTTCCATCCCTATCAAGGCACAAATTTCCAGATAGATCTTCTGTGCTTCCCACAAAAAAAAAAAAAAAAGCAAGACAGAGTCATCATCCCAAAGTGCAAAGCAAACTTTCATTATTAGCTGTGCTGGCAAAAATCTTGGAAGTGTAAGCTACAAACATTCCAAGAAAATGACCAAAATATATCTCTGCAAAGCAGAACTTCCCTGTAACAAGATTGTTAAATTTCCTTTTTTTTTCCTGGCTTTTCTGACACAGCTGAACTTATTCGCACAATGTTCCAAAGCAGACAGGGACACACGCGTGCTCACACGTCCACAAATACACAAGAAAGAGGCTCTTGAAAACTTTGTCTGAGAGGGGGTGTTCTGACCCAAACCATATGCAGTTTTTTTTGCCCAGATGCATCTGAATTCAGGCTCAGGAACATTAAACAAACATAAAAACAAGACCCAGCAATGCGCGTGCTGGGCTGGGTGACAGAGGCAGCTAGCAAATATTGGGATTGTATTTCACCAGTTGCCGTGGTTACCAAAACAGGGTGGATACTGGCAGAAAGAGAAAGAAATAAAACCGAGAAGACAATGAGTCCTAGGAGAATGTCTGAGTGTGTGTACAAGGAGCCGGTTGTGAGGGTGGAGAAGGTAGGGCCAAGAGAAAAGATGGAATGGAAAGGGGCGTTTCAAAACCCCTCTGTGCTTGTGTGAGCAGTGGGCTCATTCACCACTCCACACCCAGCATGATGTGGAGCTCTAGAACCCGAGGAAGACCCATGCAGGCACAAAGAAAACAGCGAGAAAACATGGGGATTTGGGTTGGTGACAAGCAAAACCAAGGCATTTTGTACTAGGTGCCAAGGGATGAAATCCTCAGCATGTATTCGTACGCTGGCTGGCAAATAAGCCAAGTCAAGACCACCAAGTCTCTGGAAGAATCATAGAGAATTGAGCCCATTCCTTCGGGGAATTTGATGATCAGCTTCAATTCCCAGTTGACATAGAAGGGAAAAGCTGATTGGCCTCTTTCACCCCTGTGTACTTCGCTTCAATAACCAAATTGCAGAAAATGCTTCATAAGCTATCACCTTAGAAAGGTCACTCTCACAGCAACCAGCGGATGACTTTCCCCATCAAACTTGATAGTATATACAGAGGGAAGTTCAACACACTTGAAAATCAGGAACCTGGGTTCTAATTCTCCTTCTTCCATTCATTAGCTTCTTGACCTTAGACAAGTTATTAACTTGAACTTCAGGCCTTTTTTTCTCAAAAGAAACGATTTTGCCAAAAGAATCCCCGAACTCCCTTCCTGTTTTGGAATTTGGTGATTCATAGGCAATTAATCATCTCTCAATTCTTGTTTTCAAGACACATAATCGAATGTATATTCTCGTGTATTTGGAGTTCTGATCAGGTCATGGAATACAAACTCTGTAAGAACTTATTCTTTTCTGTAGAAATATAAATAGATGGTTGCTAGCCCTTCTCTTATCAATGACCTCATAATCTAATCATTTACATTTTATTTTTAAGATGACATGATATATTCCTAAATTAAACTTTCTACAGTTTAAATGGGCAAAGTGGCAATGGCATATAAAACGTCATACTTCTAGCCAGCAGAAAGGAGATGGGGTTTCTGTTGGCTCTCAGTGTTAGTCTCAAAGTGCTATTGCTTTTAATTCTTTAATAACAATAGCTAAACTCAAATTCAGCACTTGTCTCAGCCAGACAGAGATTTAGAGAAGACTCCTCTCCAATATTTAGTTGATGAGGTCTAGAGAGTTTAATAGGCATAAGCAAAGAGGTGGTGGGGCCTGAGCTACTAATTTGAGCCTAATCTTACTTTATACAACTGAGCTTTATTTTTATAAAGGCATGCTTTTATTCAGAATAAGTTACCATGGGAACGCCAGGGATAGCATGATATAATAGAAACAGGACAAAAATCAAAGAAAACCTGGGCTCAGGTCCTGGTTATACCACTGAGTGATCCTGGAAAAGTCACTTAACCTCTCTGTGTCTATAAAACAAGCATAGTAACTTTCCCTGTTGATCCTACAGGGTTGCTATGAAGCCCCAACAATATGATGTACATGGAAGCAGTTTGCAATTTGTAAAGTGCTCTACTAATGTAAACTCACAGGATAACAATCCCTACTGCTGGCTAAACATTACAATTAAGGGCTAGAACCAGGAGCCCAGTGCTTGGGTTCACATCCCAGACCATATTTTACCAACTGCATGCTCTACAACATACCCAACCTTTCAGTTTATTCACTCGTAAAATAAGATTAAGGACACTATCTGGGCCAAGCGTGGTGGCTCATGCCTGTAATCCTAGCAGTCTGGGAGGTTGAAGTGTGAGGATTGCTTGAACCCAGGAGTTCCAAGATGAGCCTAAGCAACATAGGGAGACTCTGTCTCAAAAAAAAAAAAATTATCTGGGTGTGGTGGCGCATCTGCAGTCCTAGTTACTAGCTGCACCACCTAGTACGTGGGAGGATTACTTGAGCCTGCAAGTTTGAGGCTGCAGTGAGCCATGGTCCCTCCACTGCACTTTAGTCTGGTTGATAGAGCAGGATGTCTCAAAAAACAAAAAAAGAAAGAAAAAAGAATATCTACCTCATCAAATTGTTCTAAAAATTGAGAATATATTGCAAGATGCTTAACATAGCTCCTACCACATACATAAGTGCTTGATTCAGGCTGGCAATAACTACTCTCTACCACGGTGTTTTAAGAAGGAAAATCGCTTTTAAGGTGAGACACAGCATACATACAAGTGAGACTGTAGATTGCTATTGTTGCTGCTGTTGTCATGGAATCTTATGTAATTCCTATTCATCTGCATGGTGGACAGTGGTTTTCACAGCAATGAGGGAGGAGCATTCTGAGAAACGTGGTCATCTTACTTCAGCCCATCATCATCATGTTTTGATCACAGGCTACAGGGTCACATGGCTGCTGGCATGATTCAAAAGTTGATGAGAGCTTCTTTAAAGTCAATAGCACTTCTTTCCTAGTCACAAAGCTTCTGAGAAGCAGACAGCCTATTCATTCATTGCTTTTTATTCCTGGACTTTTAGGAAGTGAAGCTGGGGATGATTAAAGCAAATAGGCAAATCGAAGAACTGCATTTTTCAGGAGTGCCAGAGAGATGTTACCTGGAGACTGTCTTTTCATGTGTATAAGCTTTCCAGGCAACTCCATCTGGAGCCAGGCTCCTCTGTGATTTATCTGTTGGACAGTGGGTGGCCAAGGGGCACCGTAGGCAAACAGTTATCCAGCTCGATAATTAGGGAGGGGAAAGGCAAACACAAACACACCCAGGTTGACATTCAAAACGAAGTGGATATGCAACCACGGATTGCTCACCATACCTCCCTAGTTCTTGTCTGCCAGGCTGTGCGGAGGAAACCACGAGCCGACAGAAGCACTGTTAGTAATGTGTCAGTGCAGCTGACAGAGAAATCACAATTCTAGGTAGAAATGTGAAGGCCCAAGCTCAGGGTCCAGTTTTGTGTTTAAAATATGGCTTTATCTCCCTAAATCTTTAGTGGGCCTCGGTGTCCTCACTTGTGAAAAGAAGGAATTGGAGAAGGTTCTAACTAAGTAGTCTCCATTTCTAAGATGCCTTGTCTTTCTCATCCTTTTAGCTTCTTTCATTGATTCATTAATGCATGTACTTAGGTATCTATTCAATAAATTGCAAACCTAACTATAGACGAGGTATTGACAATAAATGATCAAAATACAGCATGACCAGTCCAACACAATGGAAGAAATAGCATTTAGTACTGATGCTCAACTCCAAGGAGGACAAAGACATTCCAACTTCTATTTTCAAAGGAACAGACATACTGCTTTTCTCTCCAGGAAAAAAAAAATGACAGATTTAGGTATTTTTCAAAGAAATCAAATGAAGTCAACTACTCTTGATAGGCTGATTACTTAGCTTAGAATTCATCTGGATTTATCCCACTTCACCCCACCTTCATCAGCATTGCTAGGGTTTGTTCCTTCCCATTATTTTAATTCAACTCAACTCAAACTCAAATTCATTTCTCATTCATGGGGCCTTTCTCAGTACAAGGAGCTTGCACGATGCAAAGATCATCTTCAAGGAGTTTTCAATCAATCGAGAGAGACACACGTGTAAAATAAGAAAAGTCAAGACAAGAATGTGTTTGGATAAAGAACAGTGAAGCTGTACCAGTTAGTGAGGCTACAGAGTCCTGTTTAAACCAAGCAGGAATGCTGCTAACCACTCTACATCTTTTCCAGGTTATTTGGAGGTATAAACTATCCTTGCCATCCTTGTCTCCCATTTTTATGTAAATATAAATTAACCCAAGGGAATCTGATTTAATCTGCTGGTTACTGACATCTATCTGGTAGCCATATGATATTTTTATCCAAAGGATCAATGTTGTGATCAAAAGCTTTGTTACTGGAGTCTGAAACTTTAGTCTTTGCTAAGTGTTGTGTCACTGGGCCAGTTTTATTAACCGTTTGTAGCCTCAGTTGCCTCAGCTGTAAAGTGGGGACAATAGGCCAGGCATGGCGGCTCATGCCTATAATCCCAACACTTTGGGAGACTGAGGCAGGAAGATCTCCTGAGGCTAGGAATTTGAGACCAGTCTGGCCAACATAGTGAGATCCTGTCTCGACAAAAATATAAAAAAATCTAGCTAGGTGCACACTTGTAATCGTAGCTACTCAGGAGGCTGAGGTGGAAGGATTGCTTCAGCCCAGGAATTCGAGGCTGCAGTGAGCCATAGTCATGCCACTGCACTCCAACCAGGGTGACAGAGTGAGATCCTGCCTCAAACAAACAAACAAACAAACAAACAAACAAACAGGGACAATATCTCTGTTGTGGGGCTGTACTGAGGAGAAAATCAGGTCACACCTGTACATATCTTTTTCCTACTGTCATTCCTAGTATCAACACTCTCTAGCCTTCACTAACTCTGAATAAACTTAAGGTGAAACCTGGGCAGAGTGGTCAGAGCCCTCCATCATTTTAATCAGTCCTATACAGTAGTAGCCACCTCATAGTTAATGAGACACAAGACAGGTGTATGGCCACATCTCCACCCCTAACCCTCACTGCTTATTTAGCTTCCAAATCGTTACTGGTTTCTTTAAAATAAAAACAAAAACCTCTTTCAAAGCTTAATAGAATTGGTCTGATTCCCATAAATAGAAATGAACACATATCTACATAACTCTGAGAACACCATAACCACATTACTACAGAATCATCTGCATGCTATAGAGACTGGAAATGTGTCCCGGGATGGTTTGCATTTCCCCTACCCCTTCCTTTCCTCCTTTTCCCCTTTGAATGTTAAAAATGTCCACCAGGTATCTATCAGTGAATTTCTTTCTAGCAGATCCCACTTTCATCTAAGACACGTATTGCTCCCAGGAATCTAGAAGGAAGAGCCTATGATGTTGAGAGGTTAGAAAGACAGAAGCCTCTCAGAGCTCTGAGTCTGCTCTGACCCCCAAAAGGAATCCAATACGTGCATTGTGAAGCCATGTCTGTTGACTTAATTCTTCAGAAAATGAATCCATAAAATGAAATTATAATTAGCCAGAATTATGATAAAAATAGCTTGGACAGATGTGGCTACAGTACATTGATACTAATGTACATTAAATCAAAAGATTTGCACATGTGCTTCTTGATCTAGGATGTCCTAGATTAATGCGCTGGAGAACTTGATAAAGGCACTGGGTTTGCTTGCTCTCACAATAGAAATTACTAATTGGGGGCAAAGAAAACAGATGCATTCTAATGGGCAATCACTACTCAGAAAAATTCTAACAAAATTGTGCATTTAAAGCAATCCTGTCTTAAACTTCTGTCCACTTCTAAGACCTCCAAGTTTCGCCAGAGATTTAGGATAATGGCTTTTGTCTGTGGCCAACAGGGAGCTTGAAATGGACACTCTGACAGCACTGTCCCCAGGGGAATAAGTCTGCAGTGTTTTGGTGTGGGCAACACCTCCCTTGCAGCTCTCTGGTTACTTCTGTGCTCTGGGAACACACCCTGCAGAGTGCATTCATCACAATAGTCCATGTGTGACCTTTGGAAAAGTCCTTGAAAACAGTGAAACAAGAGTTTTAGTTGAAATCTGGAATCCATTCCAGTCTTACACAGGAAGAAAATTAGGCATAGAACAACAAAGCCCATAGTTCAGAGAAACCTGGGGAGGCTCTGGCTGACATTAAAATCGTGCAAGTTTTTTTTTTCCTTCACTACTTTGTATTTCGTAAAAGCTTTTCATCTGAGCAGCCCAAAGCTGCTAGAAAATACTATATGGTTAGTATATGGCAATAACTGATTTCTCCAGTAAAAATGCAAGCATAATAAGAACAGAGATGCTGAGTGACATATTCAAATTCACTTAACATTTTTCCAGTACTATTCTTTCAAACATGAGCAGCCAATGCTACCATTTTTCCCTTCAAATTGATGTATTGGCAATAACAGGGGTAGAGGTGGGAGCTTGGGGCAGAGAATAGCTGTACTCCCTAAGCCCCAACCCTATGATAGAGTTCATTAGCTCAGATGCTGTGGACCTGGAAATATTCATTTTCTTAGAACATGAATCAGCCTCGTGGTGTGCTTACTCAGTAAATTTAACCCAACAAACATTTGTGGGGTAAAACTATTTTTATAAGTACAGACCAGTTCCCTTTGTTTCCAACTGACATGATTCACTATTCATTTGCCAAATCATATGATTTATTTCATACGTATAAATAAGTATAAACCTGCACCACCTTTGGAAGCATTTTCCTTCTTTGCCAGCAAGAAGAGAAGAAGGACACTTTTGAGTCAAGCAGTGGCATAAAATCCAGTGAAAATCAACTGGCAGAGAAATTCAGTTTGGAATTGTGTTTTAGAATCTACCTAATATCTATCTGGAAGGTCCCTCCAAAAGGTACAGACCCTGAAGCAGATAAGAAGATTCCAAAGTAAACCACAGGGAGTAACATCTCAGACACAGACCCTGAGTATTTATTCATATACATGAAGAACTTACATTTATTTTTCTTAAGTACCTTCACAGTTCATTTTTTCTTTTCTTTCTTTTCTTTCTTTCTTTCTTTCTTTTTTTTTTTTTTTTTAAAAAAAGATATATGGCATTACTTTGGTCTCCAAAACAGTTGCCAGTTTGAACTTTATTCTGCCAGCAAGTATTTGGTTTGGCTCAGCAGGGCTCAAGTTGAAAAAATATTTGCCCATTCCAAAAAGATTTAACGAGCTTTGCTGCAAATGCTGGTGCCATTTGGCACATCACAGGGACTGTGGCACAGCAAAGAGAACTCTCTCAACCACAGATTTTATTTGCCCAAGGTAGCCAGCACTGGGAGCTCAGTTGATTCCTCGGGTCAAGAAGCTGCAAGTCAAATGCGTGAAGTTTCCAAGAGAAAGTGACCAAAGCAGGCATGAGAAAACTCTTGCTGACATTGAAAAGGAAGTCACTGGGTCTGACTCCACCCTGCACAGGAATTGATGGCTAACTTTCAGAACTGTCAACAACATCCTCACACCAACCATCAGATACAGTCTCTAATGCTGCCAGTCAGCAGACCAGATTAATCTCCAACTTCTAGCACAAGCTATCCTTATCCAATATCAGATGCTAGAAAGTTTGCTGCAGTGTATTTTGCAGTCATGTGATACCTTATTAATTGTGGCATGAGAATTAAACTGTATGTAAACTAAATGACCTATTTCAAGTAACTCCACTAAATATAATCACCAAGCTTACTTTATATTGCAAAGACAGACACGTATTGCATTGGTTTTGCTAATATTTGGTAGAATATAGATGCATAACTCTATCTGTGATTGGAAAGACTGACCTTACTGCAAACATGTAACATATGTTAAAAATCACTGAAGATTTTCACCTGAAATCATGCCTTTCAGTAAGGGTTGCAAGAAAATAAGGCTCTCATCCTTTCAAATCAATGTCACTTCTGACAATATAACAGAAAACACAAAACATTTTCATACCAGTGTGTGTTTAAGCATCAAGCTTCTGTCTTAATGAATATGGGGACAGGAAGAGTGGCATTGAAACTGTAACTACCTTGAAGAATGAGTAGTTTTGTATTATTTTTATTATTTCACATGCTGAGCAAATATATACACGCTTGGGTATATCCTACCCCAACTTGTATGGATCTACCAAAACTCCTAAATGTTCCTTTCATTAATACCACTTGCCAATCCAGTGCTTGTTACATGATTATCTGACACCAAGGCTCTGTAACAAACATCCTCAAAAAGAGAGGCAGTCTCTGCACTGCCTTTCATTCACCAAAACAAAGATGGAGCCCTCTACCTAGCTGAACTAAGGTTTTGGAGTCAGAGTAAAATTCAAAAGAAAAAGTCACAGAATAATGAAAGGGTGATTATAACTGTTACTTACCATTTTGGCTTCTGAATGCATTGGCTGGACCTGGGGAGAAGCACAGGGGTTGCTGAGATTTGGACCTTGCATCCCCATGATGCTGGAGTTCACTGACATTTGTCGCTCCATCTAAGAGAAAGGAAAGAAAAGAATTAGAAGTCTGCAAAGGCAGTCTAGGTCATTAGACAAAGCTGCACTTTTCTGTCCAATGGATCGTTTAGTATTTCTTTGAAGAAATCCTGAGAAGGCCTATGGTTTGGTGTGTGGTAAGCAATGCCCTCCTGAGCCTTGAACCCACGCACATCAAAGAATCATCCAAAGCCGTGCTTCTATACAGGGTGCCCCAGGCCAAAGAGAACTACATTGTCATGGCAGATCACTTTCAAATAAAATTACCAAATATTTCCACTTTTGTAAATACTCCAGCTACCACCAATAGTGCTTATTTGTATGGCTGTAAAGAATAATATATCCATACAAAAGCTATAGGAAAACTAAACGATCTATTTCAAGTAACTCCACTAAATATAATCACCAAGGTTACTTACTATGAAAGGATAAATAATATACCAAATGGTTAACTTGGGAAATCTATGGCTTTTTTTGTCTCTAAATTTTATATAGTAAACATAAATCTTTTGGGCAATCAAAATAATTAGTTTTAAAAGCAACACTCTCAGAGGTGGTGGGCCTTCCTGTCACCCTAGTTCACAAACACAATCATTGTGATCCAGCCAGGCATTTGAGCTGCTGCCCAGTGCATCTCTTCTTCCTTGTTACCCTGCTACTCTACGCAGCTGCAGTTTCAGGCCTGGTTTCATAGCAGGGCTAAGTCTTTGGGTAGGTGAAGAAAGCGGCCGAGGGTTTTGTATTTCACATGAATGGCCGCTCTCACATTGTCTTCCTGCTGGCCTGCCATTGTGTCTAAAATGAACATCGTTCAAATACCTGAATCGAGTTCTGGCATTTTAATCTCCAGGGTGCTCGTACTAAGAAGCGAATACGGCAAAATGTCTACTTCCATTCAGGAAGGGTGTGTTTGATTAATAATATTTTCCGTTTGGTGGAAAATTAACACTTTTAAAAGAATAAGAATAAATCAAGTACACTTAATACTAAAATCACACAGAAAAGAATTAGACTTTCCTCAGGGGGACAAGAATAGATTCTTCAATGCAAGCGTGTTTCCATTTGCCAACGGATGGAAATGAAAACAATGATTGGAAATTTTAAGAAACCAGGTTTCTGCTTAAAGTTAGCCTAGGTAGTCTTGGAAAATACGGAGTTGCTTGCTATTGGAGGTGTTCAAAGAGTGGAGGACTGAAACCTCACGAACAAGAGTGAAGCTTGAGAGGGCTCATTGAACTAAATGACCCTTAAAGGTCTCTTCCCTTGTTGTGATTCCATGACTGCAATTTCTGTTGTGTCTGCCTCGGAGCAGGGGTATAATTATGACATAAATCTGTGGGTTAGTAGAGGTGCTAGCTAAAAGCTTTCTCTCAATTGACTGGTGGCTACTCCCTGTGACAGTTAAGAGCCATCAGTCTTACCTTAGCCTGAATGAGCTGATCAGTCATCTGGCAGTGTGCAGATGTGTGAAACTGTTTCAAGAGGAGCTAATAAAGGTGAATTTTCTGTACATTTCCAAGCACTTCCGTACAACTTTTTGAGGCCTTGCCAATTCAGTAAAATAAAATGTTCACTCCCACGCACCCCCCTAAATCTCTGAACAGCTAATTTTTAAAATTATTTTCATTGTGGTAAAACACAAATAACATAAAATTACCATTTTAACCTTTTAAAAGTATCATTAAGTACATTAAGTTCAGGGCCATTAAGTACATTCATGCACTGTAATTGTAAATCATGAAGAATTCAAGAGTTTCATTGCTCTAAAAAAATTCATGTTACTTTTATCTCCCCTTCCAGAGGCTGGTGGATGGGAGAGCTGGAATAGTATTTGACCCCTTATTCCGACTGGTGACCCTCTCAGAGAGGGAAATCAAATTCCAAAATAACTTTTGCTTCCAGGTTGCCAAAGAAGGATCTTTCAGAAGTACAGATAATTGTCCAGAGCCTTCCAAGCTACTAGTTATATAAAGAGGTAAGAGTAGCCTGCTTACAGCTTCTGGAATTGTAGTCAGCAACGCTTCCCACTTTTTGGAAAAGCTATAGTCTCTACCTAACCTGTGATTCACAAAATGCCAGTTTTAAACAGGCTGATTTATCTATTTAAAAAATTGCATTTCCAACTTCATGACTGTCGTCTTATAGACCTAGAGTCAAAATAACTATTTGGTGCTTTGGACTAATAAGGCTCTGTCTGCACCAGGAGCTTGACTTCAATGAGTTGATTAGAATAAAAAGCCCAGAAGATGGGAGTGGCTTTGCTGAATACTGGGCAACATTTAGCACTGCAGGTAAAATAGCCATGTAAAGGATTTCACCTTTTGCACACACTGGAAAACAGGAGCTAGCCTGTCTGTAGTTCAGTGAGGTTTTGTAATTATAAATGTGTGTTCACGCTTCCAAATTATTAAAGCATTTGAATTTCAAGATAAGAAATCACAACCCACCGAACTCCTTGAAGGCAATGCCTGCCTTGTTCTTCATCTTGTCCCCAGCACCCAGCACGGTACTTGGCACATAGAAGGTGCTCAACAAGTTTATGAAATGGATGAATGAGTAAATGAATGAAATAATACATCATTTTGTTTTACACCTAGACTTCATAAAATGTGTGGTCCAGCAGCATGCATTACAAATCAGTGAAGAATCCTGTCCTCACTTATAGACACAGACTTCTCTTTTATACCCAGGGAACTGTGGTCTTCCAGGGCAGAAACTCTAGGGGAAGCGTCTCCCCTGTGACCAGGTTTGAAATGCCTAAGTTATAGTACAGGAACTGGTGACACGATAAGGAAGAAAGGGCCTAGGTTTCTAGGGCCTGGAACTCTTACGATATGCTTTTTAGAAATCTTAAGTTAATGTTTATTAGTTACATTGATGTCACTCAAGACCAGGGCTTCTCAACCTGAGGCCTGTTGAATATTGGGCTAAATAATCCTTTGTTGTGGGGGCTGTCTTGTGCATTGTAGGATGTTTGGCAGCATCCCTGGCCTCTACCCAGCAGGTGCCTGTACCTTCCCACCGACCCTGGTTGTGACAACCAATGGAGTCTCCAGATATTGCCACATATCCCCCGGGGGACAAAATCACCCCCAGGTGAGCATCGCTGCTCTAAACTGACGCCTATTGCCATGGCAGCTGTGTACATCAATGTCACAGGTTTGGGAGCTCTTGACCATGCAGCTGAACCTTTGCTGCTACTCTGAAGCACTAACAGGAGGTCAAGCTGTAGGAATAAATGATGTGGTAGAAACTGGTTTCTCTGGGTCTTTTCAGCCTAAGTGTCTCATCTTTGTCTCTGGGAATGGTGCACAGCTTAGCCAAATTTTTTTTTAAAAAGTCTCTGCAGTGGTATTTTTCTGGGCAATGCATAGAAGTTGTAAAAAAATAATAATTTTTGGATGGGAACAACTTAAAGCCTAAAAGAAGACAGCTTGTGGTGGAAGTCTTCACGTAGTTGGTTGGGTTGAATAAAATGTGGGATAATTGCATTGATGGTGCTGTTTTCTTTCATGTAAAGGGGTCTAAGGAGAGCAACATAGGTAAAGTCAACCAACGTGATCTGTCCTCTGGCCCAGTGTTGCAAAGACTGTTTCTAATCTGGACTACTCAGTATTTAGGGTGGGCAAGTCCATTTCTCTAAACTGAGTCTGCGGGCCCTTCGCCGTTCCCCTGCCTATACTTAGATAAATGAGCAAATTGCTCAACCTGGGATGATCTGAGCTACTCAGTGTCAGTTGAGACGTGGGTTCCAGCCACAATTCTTCACTCACAAGCTGTGTGACATTGGACAGCTACCTTCAATTTCTTCTTCAGCTTTTCATCTGTAAAATGAGTGTATCAGTAATTACTGCTACTGTATCCCCACAGGATTGCTGTGAGAATAAAATGAAATAACAATGGAAACAATTTCTTAAAATGCTAAAAGGCTTTGCAAGGCATTGTTAATATTGTTGTGGGGAGGGTTTTCATTGAGTTGTTACACTGCCTCTAGGGCTTCTGAGAACTCCGGTGGCCCTGTGAATACACCAGCCATCTTCACCAAAGCACAACGCCAGGGAGGATGAAGAAGAGGTCCATGCAAGGAAAGAAATATTTCTTCTGGAAAACTGGGTATCTCCCTTCTATGTTTATCTATTATTATTTTTTGTGTTTGTTTTTTGAGACGGAGTCTCGCTCTGTCACCCAGGCTGGAGTGCAGTGGTGTGATCTCAGCTCACTGTAACCTCCGCCTCCCGGGTTCAAGCGATTCTCCTGCCTCAGCTTCCTGAGAAGCTGGGACTACAGGTTCATGCCACCACGCCCAGCTAATTTTTCTATTTTTAGTAGAGATGGGGTTTCACCATGTTGGCCAGGCTGGTCTCGATCTCTTGACCTCATGATCTACCCACCTTGGCCTCCCAAAGTGCTGGGATTACAGGCGAGAGCCACCACGCCTGGCCTTATCTATTATTTTTATTGTTTGTTATTAGATAATGATTATGAGTGGAGACTCAGAAGTCGGACTACCTGGATCTAAGTCCTACCTCCATCACCTATTAGCTCTGTAACCCTAGCCAAGTTACTCAGCCTGTCTATACCTCAGTCTCCTCATCTGGAAAATAGGTATAAAAACAGTGTCTATCTCACAGGTTTGTTGTGAGAGGGAAAGGAGAGAGTGTGTGCATATCATATAGTGGTTAAGAGAGTGGGCTCTAGAACCAGAATTCCTGGGTTCAAAACTCAGCCACTCTGCTTCTCAGCTGAGCAAGTTACTTGCCTTTCTTTCCTCATTCAAAAAGTGGGGACAGTAATACACCCATTTTGTAGAATTGTTTTGTGTGAGGATCAAGTGCTTGGAATGCGACTAGCATACAGTAAACACTCAATAAATACTGCTAGCATGATTAACAGAACAACAGAACATGATATGCATAAATGCATGTTAGCAGCTATTATGTATGATCATTGTTATTGATATTATTATAGTTATTATCCTGAGTCCTGGTTAGACGACTCACTGGCAATTTAAGGACACTCTGTATACAGCCCAAACTGTAGACTTTGGAGTAGATATGAAACACCATCTCCCTGAACAAATTCCATTCCCTGGGTGTCACAGGCCCACTTGTCACCATGGACCATATCTCATAGCAAAGCACTGAAGGGTGGGGAAGCCAACACGATGCCTGGGGATGGGCAACTGGGCCCTCAAAGCAAAATTGCACACAGCTCAACCCTCCATTCAGAAGCAGTCGCCTTCTTTCCCATCAGCTTGGATCTCAGAGTTTCCTTTGCCCTTTCAAGAGTGGCAAACCTCAGTGCAAGTGACAAGCTATTGTGAGACACACAGAAACACTTACTGGCATCAAGACGGCGGAAGATCCTGGCATTGTAGGGTTGGGCAGGGTCCCAGGCATGGAGGCTGGCATGGGCTGTCTCTGTCTGTTGTGGAGATGTAGCAGAGAAGATAGAGAGCCTGGGACAGGCCTGGGACAAAGAAAAAAACAAACAAACATGATTCCTGGTGCCCTGGCCCTGTCTCCCCAGTGTCCAGAACAGCAGGGACAACAATGTCACATGTGCAGCAGATCAGATCCACTGATGGGAGAGTCACATAATTGAGGATATTAGGGAAATAATAACAAATAAAACACAAGCCTGGTTTCCTTTGCTGCTTCCTAGTTAATATATCAAATTCCACTTCATTTCCTGACCTCTGTTATCTAACTGATGTTCAATAGAAACAAGCCAATAAGTCTCCTAAACGCTCGCATCTTAGGAAAGGAACTTGGTGGTGAAATCCTTTGTTTACTCAGAAATCTCAGCCCTCTGAAGTGTCTTAGAGCCTGAGATCTATGTACATTTATTTTAGCCACGCTCTCCCACACCTCTGCCTGGAAGCCTGCCTGGCTTTGCTCTGGAAACACTTTCACTCTCTGGATTTTCAGAGCAAACTTCATTCATGAATTCCCAACAGAAATCTGTTTTGACTTTTTCAGCGTTCTCCACTGTGAATGGAAAAAAACAAACCAAAGAAGCCGGATCCTGGTGCGGCAGCACAGCTGGCCTTTCTCAGAGCAAGTCCGGAGCCTAGCCTCCAATTACCAGCCTCTCATTTCATAATAACGCGAGGTGTTAGGCTGTTTCACAGAAACTGATTTGGGCCTGACCTACAAGACTTGGGTAAGCACTCCTCGGGGGAGTATTGTACATAGTTTGAGCTTTTGCTTCAATTTGCCAGAAAACAATTTTAAGAGCCTTAAATTGATTTAATGAGCCAGAGAATGTGGAGCTGAGGGAAAAAGGGAATTATTTGTGTTTATTAAAAATGGCAAACAAGAGACCTCCCCACATAAATTCTCAATCTCCTCATGCTTTTGCTCTGGGGAGCTGTATAAATGTCAAATCATTTAATTAAAGACCTAACAACAAACAAACAAAACAAAACAAACAAACAAAAACCTCCCAGGACCTCTGAGGCTTCCATGTTAAACAACCTTCTCCTGAATGTTATGCTAGAAACTAGTGCTTCCAGAATTAATGCATTCTCTTAAGAGAGAGAGAACGAGGGAGAGGCTCCCTCGTGCTAAGTGCTGGGCAAAGGTTGCAGACAGAGATGTTCTGGGTAGGGCAATACTTTCCTGTGCTTGAGAAGACAGCCCTGTCTAGTGCTCCCAACCAGAGTAGGAGAAGGAGCTGCTTCCCCAGAGTTCCTTTGGCTCCCATGAAAAGTGGAAGATTGAGGTGGGGGACAGAATGCCAACATATTCTTCCTTCACATGCCTGTTGCAATTTCAAAGAAGATAAAGTTTTCCACTCTTTTTGCCCAAGAGGTCTTTTGGAAATAGAGCTAACCACCAGAGTCACACACATCATAGAAGGATTAGTCATTAATCAGTCAAGATTTATGATCAGTTTAGATAGGTGTATATATGAAAATATAAAAGAATATAAAGAGTTCGAGACCAGCCTGGCCAACACGGTGAAACGCTGTCTCTATTAAAAACACAAAAATTAGCTGGGCGTGGTGGCGCACGTCTGTAATCTCAGCTACTTGAGAGGCTGAGGCAGGAGAATTGAGCTGAGATTCTACCACTGCACTCCAGCCTGGGCCACAAAGCGAGATTCCATCTCAAAAAAAAAAAAAAAAAAAGAATATAAAGCCTTTCCGCAGAGATTATGCAGATATACACTAATTACACTCAGTTGTATTAGTAGAATGTGTATGTGAGGAGATACACAGAGAGGCTAATGGAAGCAGCTTGTAACAACGATGAGTGCTTTCGGATAAGCAGATGAAGTGCTATGGGTATTTCTTGACATGTACTCTTGGAACTCTGGAGTATAGATTGACAATAAGGACTAAGAGGGCCTTTGAAGGTCCTTTGGCTTTTACAGATCTAGAAGACTGCTGGTTTCAATTGATCCAAAATACCATGGCAGGTTGTGCCTTCACTAGGTCTTAAAGTCTCCTTCACAGGTGGATAGACTGAGTCAGATAGGTATAGGATGTGGCTCAGTCAACCAAATTTGTTGATATCCTCCGGTCTTAATGTTTTGTTTGGGAACTTTACTGAATAGAAAATAGTGGAATATCAAAGTGTATATATAATGTTTAATAATGGTCAGTTCTTCTAAATCCAAGATAAATAATCCGAACTCCCTACCTCCATAATGAGAAAGATTCACTGAGAGGACCCCAACATATAGCTAATCATCCATCTATCCATCCGTCTATATATCCATCTCAATAGATGTACACAATACAGCTATACACACATACAGCCTTTTACCACGTTTGTATTCCTAGTCACCAGAGGGGAATGTTTTAAGTATAGACAGTTAGGAACAAGTAAAAATATTATAGCAAAGACAGCTAAAAACATTTCTTTTTATTATGTTGGTTTGCAATATCATGCTCATGGGACAAAGGGCAACATATTATCATCATTTACATTCTGTATCCAATGGGACATATGAAAAATAATATTGTTCATTAGGATTTTTTTGAGGTGTTCTTTTTCAAAAAGAAATCAGGGAATCTGTCTGAACCTATTCTAGTTCAGGAGATTGCCTACTAAAAAATAAAAATTAAAAAAAATTAGAGAAAAAATTAATTAAACAACTTAATGGTTACGCGAATGGGGATGCAAAAGTAATTACATTTAAAATGAGTTTTTATTCTTCCTGAAACCATGGAAAACTCTCAGTTATATAAATAGTTTGGGAATGGTATGTTTCATTTAATTCAGTGTTCTTATTAGGTAGGTTATTTCTACACTTTGTAGAGACCTACCAGATTTTAAAATATCAAGTATTTCCTCATTAAGATAGCCTTTCAGGGTACTAGGTTCCCTTGGGATTATAATAATAATTTCCTAATGATATCGATCAAGCTAATTAGTAGTGTATAGAAGGGAAAGGATTATTTGAGATCCCTATATGTTTGGATTCTGAATAATTTTGAGGTTA
This sequence comes from Homo sapiens, assembly GCF_000001405.40. NCBI lineage: Eukaryota > Metazoa > Chordata > Mammalia > Primates > Hominidae > Homo > Homo sapiens. The sequence continues at coordinate 28,715,767 of NC_000007.14, read as the reverse complement.
TTGTTCTACACAGATTCTATAAATCATTTCCCCAACCCCCACCTACCAAACCAGCAGAATTTTCTCTCTGTTTCTTGCTTGAATTTTTAAAACTACAAAAACTGAAAAAAGTAAATTAAATGACCTGTGCCTACTCATCACTAGGTATATAAAGGACTAGACTGACGCATGTAGCTATGTAGCTAGGTCCAAGAAACAATCATTTGTCCAGAATGCTCATATCGTTAAAGTAAGCATGGCATTGTCTAATTCCCTTCATGTATATTGAAACTAGAATTATTATTTAATACATTATACTTGCATAAAACTTTTTCTATTGCACTTAAATAATACTTCATATTTTTAAAGGCATTTTATTGTCCCTAACTTCATGTGCCTTGAAACAATGCAATGAGGTAGTTAGATCATATTCTTCCCATTTAAGTCAGGAGTATGCTGAATTCAGAGACATTTAAATTTTCCCAAGGTCACATGGGTCATGAACGGGAACGGGGCTTATACTCAACTTGCCGTACAGGGTTTCCCCCATCACACCTGGATGGCTCCCATAACTACGTTATTATTGATTTTTTATGTTAAAAAATTCACAGTTCATTTCTTTTGATATTCACAGTGCTCCCTGGACTTTCTATAAAGTAGTAAAATCCTGTAATACTGCTAACGTGAGAATTCACTCATCCACATGAAATTCCATTTTCTTCCTTTAAAACAAAACAAAACAAAACTTCCCAAACAACACATCAGTTAGACTCTGAAAATAATATGGCAAATTGCAGTAAAGTTGTGAAAACAAAGACCCAACAGTCCTTCTCCAGTGCAGGCTTGTTGCCATGAGCTAATAATTCCAGACTTGGTGCAGGCCAAGCCTCCCTTTTAATAACCATATGCCTCTAGGTAAAGTATTCCTACTAAAAATTATTGAGGCATGGAACAAGGTAAGATGTGTGAGCTCATGTTGGATTGTTCAATTACTAAACTGAGTCCTGCAGCATTAAGAGTTTTCCAACTTGACAGATTATTCCTCTTTCTACACTTGTATAAACATACTGCTTACAGTTGAAATCTATGTAAGCTTTTCTTTCAATTAAAATGTCAAGGATGACAGACTGTGTTTTCACTGTCCTTAACAGAATGATAGGCACCGCAGCAAGCGATTTCATGTCCTCATTTTTCCCCCCGAAGGATGTTTTCCTGTCTAGGGGTGTCTGAAAAGCCAGAACTGTGTCTACAGGGTCTTCTTTGCCCTTGGGCAAGCCTATCCTCAGGCCAGTGCTTTCGTCTGGAAGGTGCGAAGGGGTCTCTCCACCCTGCTGTCCTTTCTCAGGTCTTCAGAAGATCTGTGGCACACTGGGACTATCTGTTAAACTCTCAGGACAGACAGATCTGCCACGTATGTGACCAGGCAAAGGAAAGAGAGTCAATAATGCAAAAAAAAAGTAGGTTAGAAGATGGGAAGATATTGATCTTCCCATTTTCTTTTAATTAGCATCAAAAGCAGACCACAGGCTGGGTGCAGTGGCTCATGCCTATCATCCAGAACTTTGGGAGGCAGAGCTGGGTGGATCATTTAAGCCCAGGAGTTCGAGACCAGCCTAGGTAACATGGAAAAACTCTGTCTCTACAAAAAGAAAAATACACAAAAACTAGCCAGGCATGGTGATGCTTGGAGGCTGAGGTGAGAGGATCACTTGAGCGCAGGAGGTGGAGGTGGCAGTGAGCCGAGATCACACCATTGCACTCCAACCTGGAACCTGGGAACCTGGGCATCACAGTGAGACTCTTATCTCCAAAAAAACCGAAAAACAGAAAACAAATAACAGACCATAGATATCGAAGAAATCTTGAAAAAAAATTGAAAAAATAATAACATAAGGACTTGGTGGAGAACAGAATTAAAAAACAAAAAGCTTCAGGGAGCAGGAGGATATCCAGATGTCATTGTTATTAAAGTTATTGACTGGGGGAAAAGACTCTTAACTTTCAGGCTCTCCATTTCACCATCTTGTAATGAACAGATGAGCCTATAGGCATCTCAAAGACTCTTGAAGCTCTAAAATTCGGATTTCAGGACTTGAAAACAAGATGTTCTTAATCCAACTAGATTATGACTTCCATCATGATAAGGGTATCATGCACTGCTCACTGCAGCAACCACAGTGCTTAACCCAGCATCTGGCACACAGTAGGTGGTCAGCGTCTTCATTTAGTGAAATCAAGCCGGTCCAGCCAGCATTTAGTTCTTCATATCAAAACTGCATTTAAAACATGACTAAACCCCAAATAGAAGGTGTTCCTAAAAATTAAGAGAAGTTGATTAAAAAGGCTTTATATTCCACGGGACTCATGCTTCTTTCTCATTTAAATACAACAAAATTTCACACCCAGACCACAAAAAGAATATTTGCTCATTGCACTTGTATTTGCTTATGCAAAGACATGGTGCTTCTGGTCAGGTGAGGTGGCTCACGCCTGTAATCCTAGCATTTTGAGCTTGAGCTCAGGAGTTCGAAACCACCCTGAGCAACATGGCAAAACCCCATCTCTATTAAAAAAAAATACAAAAAGTAGCCAGGCATAGTCCCAGCTACTTGGGAGACACAGGTGAGAGGATTGCTTGAGCCTGGGAGGTCAAGGATGCAGTGAGCTGAGATCTTGCCACTGCACTCCAGCCTGGGCAACAGAGCGAGACTTTATTTCAAAAAATAAAAAATAAATAAAAATTTTTTAAAATATGTGCTTCTTTTGGACCTTCTTAAATGAAGTCTTGTAGCCTAATTTGGCAAACTACTTTTTTCTTTTTTTTGTCTGGGACAGGAGACTGAAATGCTAAAGAGAGGAATACAAACTCTTAAATCTTAAGAAGTGGCAATTACTAATGCAAAATGCTTATTTACTCATTCTTCTCCAAAGTGGAATTTAAAAATTTCTATTTTTGGCCAGGTGCAGTGGTTCACACCTATAATCCCAGCACTTTGGGAGGACGAGACAGGCGGATTGCTTGAGGTCAGGAGTTTGAGACCAGTCTGGCCAACACAGTGAAACCCCATCTCTGCTAAAAATACAAAAATTAGCCAGATGTGGTGGTGGGCACCTGTAATCCCAGCTACTCGGGAGGCTGAGGCACAGGAGTCGCTTGAACCCAAGAGGTGGAGGCTGCAGTGAGCCGAGATCACTCCACTGCATTCCAGCCTGGGTGACAGAGTGAGATTCCATCTCAGAAAATAATAATAATAATAATAATAAATTCTCTTTTTTTTTTTTTGAGGAGTTTCACTCTTGTTGCCTAGGCTAGAGTGCAAGGGTGTGATCTTGGCTCACTGCAACCTCCGCCTCCTGGGTTTAGGTGATTCTCCTGCTTCAGCCTCCCGAGTAGCTGGGATTACAGGCATGTGCCACTATGCCGGGGTAATTTTTCTATTTTTAGGAGAGACGGGGTTTCACCACGTTGGCCAGGCTGGTCTTGAACTCTTGACCTCAAGTGATTCACCTGCCTCGACCTCCCAAAGTGCTGGGATTTCAGGTCTATTTTCATAAAGAAAGAAAATTGTTAGAATAATCAAGTAGAAGGTTAAACAGAAAGACAATATACTTAGCTTCCTTGGCAGGTAATAATTACATTGTAAAATGGAGTGATGTGTAAAGTGAAGGACATGGGCCAGACTACCTAGGTTGGAATCCTAGCTCTATCACTTACCAGCTGTGTGACCTTGGGCAAATTACTTGTCTTCTCTGTGCCTCAGTTTCTTCAACTGTAAAATGGGGGTGATAGAGATATTTATCTCATGATACTAAATGAGCAGTTGAATATACTAAATGGGTTATTTTTGTCACTATTATTATTCTGAAATGTTGATCTAACAACAGATTAATCACCATACTACAATAAAAAATTATGGCTTGCTCTAAAACACCAATCTTTAGCTTTAAAGAACCACAGTCCAACAAATGTAAAAGGTCCAACACTGGCTGCATGTAAGATATTTCTTTAAAAATCCATCAACTTTAGATTTCCAAACCCTTCTACAGAGGCAAATGAACTTCTCTCACCCACAACTTTACAGAATTTTCAAAATGACTTCACATTATTTTTCAGAAAAAGCCCTTGAGAATATTTCCACAAAATGGAACAAAACTAGTTCCCCAGTATCTTGTTTTTCCTAAAAACAATGACAAATGAACACAGAAGCAAGAATTAGGAACACGAGAAAGCTGCCTGACCCATATTTTTAAAAGACGTCTTATTACCCATATCTTTTTGTGAATGAGCTCATGTTCCGAACCAAATCTTACTGTCAAGCTCCTAGAGAGCAGATATAATATTTCCCCTTTTAACAAATGACACAAAGAAGTAGAAATATTTAGCCTTAGAAAAGGCATCAAAATGCCAGCAGACTCAATTAAAACATGTATTCTCTCTTTCCACGCTTTCTTAGGCTCAAGGGAGGGCTGCTGGCTGAAGATCTGGGATTTCCCCATCTGCTTTTCTTTTGGTGACACAGAATGTTGAGTGTGCAGGAAGAGAATTTTGCCTTTGTATCTGTAGCCTATTCTCTGCCTCTTCCCTAGCCCCTCTCCTGTCCTAAAACTGTCACTGTCAAACAGCGAATGCTATAGCTTATCAGGGAGACCAGTAAGCCCACCTCCCTGTGACACAACATGACAAAGCTCCAAGACCTTGCACCATCTGGCCTCTGACCACCTCTCTCGCTCATTGCTCTGGGCCTGGTATACCTGCCATAGTGATTTCCTTTCACCTTCATGGAAGCGCCATCTGTCTTCCTGCCACAAAACCTGACATATGTAATCTTCACCACCTTCTCTGGGCAACCACATCAGACTGGAGCCCTTTCTCGAGTGCTCTCAGTATACCCTGTACATTTCTCTAGGAACATTTATCGCTATTCAATCAATGAATCAATCACTCATCAAAGATCAATTAAACAACAAATATGTGTCAGGCTTGGTGCACGCTCTCATTTTAGAAAGGAAAACTGGTTTGGCCAGTTAGATCATTTAAATAATAATTTATTTACAAATTTCCAATTGGTGTATATATAATGATAAATTAAATGTGTTCTGTAGGCTCTTAGAAGGGACCATTTCAGCTTCCTGATTTAATTCATCAATGATTTATGTTTAATTTTTAGAGATGGGGTCTTGCTATGGTGCCCAGGTGGGCTTAAAACTCCTGGGAGCAAGAAGTCCTCCTGCCTCAGCCTCCTAAGTAGCTGGGACTACAGGCACTCACCATAGCATCTAGCAATTCATTAATTTTGAGTAATTTTTAAAAATGTCTCTTCTCCCAGCTAGACAATAAACTTCATGAGTCTGATATTATGTCTACCTGTTTACTGTAGCAGATATTTCTGAAACTTAAGAGAGTACATGGTACCTAGTAGGTGCTTAATAAATATGTCTTTTATTAATGAAAACATAAATATCAAGAATCACTCTAACAATGGACATTCCAGGAATCACGTTCAATAGATATCTTCACTTACTAATGAGAATAAATTAATTGATTTACAAGTCATAAATGGAACTCCATTTTACATTAACAGCTTAATACAACTCATTTCTGTTCTTGAAAAGCATAAAAGGTAATGTGTAGTTTTTATCAACACCCCTTAAACTCAAGCTTTTAGATGAGTTCTAGACCCACTTGTTTTCACATCAATTAAATCAATTTCCACTTGAAATTATATTTTAGGCATTTCATAAGAAAAGGCCAAGGATAATTCAGGAACACTCATCTGTCTCCAATCTACACTATGTTTTAAAAATTGGATGCCTGCCCTGCAATAAGGTCGTACTTTAGAATGCTCAAAGCTGTGCGCAAGGAGGCACCAGTTACACCCACACTGTGGTCAACTAAACATCTCATTTCTGCTTCGCACGGACTTATCGATATTGACAAGGGCACTTTTGGATCATTATCACCAGGGTGTTGGAAATGAAGTTTACCACACGAGGTAAATTTGGGCCTCCTTTTTATGAATTTGGTACTACTGATGCCTTTATTTTATGGATGTAGTATCTGTTATTTTGCAAACGATAACTTCTTCTTCTTTTTTTTTTTTTAATAAAAGCCTGGCTTCAAGTAAGCCAATGGTAGTAATAAAACATAATACAGCTAACAGATCTGCATCCTGCTGGAGACTTTGCCTTGTTTTATAGCATATACACTGCATCTACTTAGGCGGAGGAGATGTTTACTAGGGCTTTCAAGCGTTTTAAACACAGAGAGCAGTAATAGGAGGGGAGATCCGAATTTATGATCATTCTGTTAAGACTATTAAAGCAAACTTTTTTTGGCTTCTTTAGTGACTGATTTCTGCACCATTAATCTGAATTAGTCATGCAGTCAGCTTGATTCATTTATTAACCAAAAACCTGGCTGGATTGGTTTCTAATGTACTATTGTCAGAAAAAAAATCCATTTTCAAAATCTGATTTTTTTTTCCTTATAAAGAGTGAAAGGCTTTTTATAAAGACCTTTCATTAAAGACCCTAAAAGCCTGAACAGTTGGCTTTACCCATAGGTCAGACTTACAGACATGAAGAGATGGCTTTTCAATCAGCCAATAACTTCCCAGTTCCATCAATTATTCATAAAGTTACACTTAGAAAAGGCAAGTAAATGCAGACCAAAAGATGAAATAAAAGATGATTTTGAACGCAACTCAAATAAGTGCTGTACATCTGACTAGCTGGGAAAAAATATCCTCAGAAAGACATCTCTCAGTTAAATTTCTTTCCGTTGTGAGTTGTTAAAAAGATTCCTCCTTGCCTCACAAGGACAAATAAGTAGCCCTCTGATTATGAGTCTTGTCATTTACATGTGATTGCTGCTTGCATTCATTCACCATAAATGAATAATTCATGAAAACATTCACTGGCGCACTTGCCTGGGTATTCTGCAGAGGCAGAGAGCTCCCTGAGCTCACAGTCACACGGAGAGCCCCACCCCCATTCTGAGCTCCAAGTCAGCAATTCTGTTTAGGTTTGAGCTTGTCAGTTAGTGTATTTTAACGAATAATCTGTGGTGGAATCCACACCTAGCACAATCTTCCAATATCTATATTCCAAATAGATGACGGAATTTTGCAGCTGAATGGCAATAGCTCCAGCAGCAAGAGACTTCCATGAAAACAGAACTCTTATAAAAGATCTATTGGATCTTCCCGGCAGCCTCTGCTTATCCCGTGCCTCCTGCAAGGCTCTTCGATTCACTGCTGCCCTCACTCATGCTCTTATTTCACCTTTTCTCGAATCTCAAGGCAGGGTCTCTTCGGCAGTTTTCAAATATCTCTCCTGGGAGACCAAATTTATGACACCCTCCACCCAGCCACTCGCTGGGATTATTTCAGCTCTTTAAAAGGCAGCGCTAGAATTTATTAGCTCCACGATACATTGGCAGGGGAGGGATGTGTCGGTGGCCCAGAGGGAGTGGTTTTCAGCAGCTGTGACTACATGCATGGACTATGCAACCTTGGGCTGCTAAAAGCCTGATTTCTCAAGTTCTATTCTTAATGATAAAGTGATAGCGTGCTGAGAGGATCACTTATTCTCCAAGGAAACATGAACAAGGAAAGGGGCATTGCCTAACAAGGCTGAGCAAACTCTTCACTGGGTTATATCCTAACAGAGAGCTTCAGGCTCTATCTCAATCACCGCTGTGATCAAATCACCAAAAACCCTGGGATCAGAGTGAGGATTCCCAAAGGGATCCTTGTCAGGCATCATGGGGAGAAGGGGGAGGTGTGGAGAATTTGGAGAAGGTTCCAGAGAAGCATGAGAAAATACTAAAAAGCCGGAAGGGAAGACTTAATGGGAAAAGTAAAGGAAATAAGACTTCTTTAGCCCATGGGGGAGACATTAGAGAAGGCTGGCAGATAATGATGATGATCTTCAAAGTTGCAAATTACTATAATCTGAGAATGGTCACCAGTTACTTTCAAACACAACTGAAGCAGAATAGTAACAGTACATCAGCAGCATGTGGATTTAACTTAGAAAAGAATATCTCCCAAGAACAAATAGTGTAAAACAATTAAATGGCTAATAGAGATTTTGAAATTTCCTCTTCTTGGGCTCTTAAAAAATAGACTTGTCCCTGTCTGACTTGCTTTCTAGGGAGAAGGAGGAAGAACTGGCAAACCTCTCGGAGTCCTAAATTAGGTCTATTATTGTCACTTATTCCAGACATAGTGGCTGACAGAAATGATAGAGATAACGCTGACTCCCATCCTTAACCAGGAAATCCAATAAGGTAGCCTTGTGGGGCTGACAGGCATAGGCTTTTGGCCGCCTCCTGGCTCTGCCACCGACCAGGAGTGTGTGATCTTAGCAAGGCATCTAACTCCTCTGTTTTCTCATTGGCAAAAACTACGTGGCTGTAATATCCATGTCACAGGTATGGCATGAGAATGACTTTAGAGAATATTTTGAGTGTGCTTAGCCCTTTGAAGACGATCAATGCATAATCTATTTAAGAGATGAGTGATCTGCTGTAGAAAATACAGTTAATACAACTGTCATTTTAAAACACAAAGTAAAGCTATATTGTTCTAAATTTGGGGGTGAAGCATTTGGGGAAAAGACCCAGAAACACCCAGCCTCTCCGAGGGGTATGGGTGTCTCCTCCATTACTGTGAGTCCCCAGTTATCCCCCATCCTCTTCTCAGGGAAGCCGGCTTTCTCTCCATGCCAGACCCCTTACAGCAGGTACCAGTCTCTCTTCTAGGCTGAAGGGAGAATATTTGAGAGCACTGAGCTTGGCACACAATAGGAGCCCCACAGAGGTTTCTTAACAGACTTAACAACGTTACCTCATGGTCCACTATCTCTTATTTCCTGGCAGCTATACCCCTATGTCACATCCATGACAGTCATCTTTTTAAGGGCTATGATAACTTGAAACACTATCCTGATTTCTAGGGACAGTCAAGCTACCACTGGCTTGAACAGGGGGTATGGGGGAAGGGTGAAGTTTCTAGGAAACTGTGTGCTCTCTCTTGTGCAACCTTCCCTGAGCTACCTTGCAAGTTCTCCCACTTTGCAAGAGCACTTATCATGAAGCAGAATTGATATTAATCTGAAACACTTAGTAAAATAGTAGCAATAAAGCTCATAATAATGATACTTGGCATGTACTTTACACTTTGCATTCAAGGATCTCAAATGGCTTTTCAACCTGGCTTTGCTATTTTCCAAGCTACTCATGGACTGGACACACAAGCAAAGAAACCACTGAGTATGGCTTCCCTGTAGACAAAATTGATTCCATTATTAGGTTCTGAGATTGACACTGTGTCCAATCTATGTACATAAATACACCTGCTACATACAAACACCCACAGATACCTACATCCTAAAGGGCAAAAGTGCTAGAAAGATTTTTTTTTTTTTGAGATGGAGTTTTACTCTTGTTGCCCAGGCTGGAGTGCAATGGCACGATCTCAGCTCACTGCAACCTCTTTCCCCCAGGTTCAAGCAATTCTCCTGCCTCAGCCTCCTGAGTGCCTGGGATTACAGGCAACCATCACCATGCCCATCTAATTTTTTGTATTTTTAGTAGAGATGGGGTTTCGCCATGTTGGCCGAGCTGGTCTCGAACTCCGGACCTCAGGTGATCTACCCGCCTCGGCCTCCCAAAGTGTTGGGATTACAGGCGCAAGCCACTGCACCCGGCTGAAGATTTTTTTTTGTCTCAAACACACTTTTGCCTGTATTAGCAGGAGAAACTCTGGAACCCAGGTTTACATTTTAATGGACTTGTTTTATTTCGATATTTCTCTCAACCCTCTTCTCAGGGTATTTATAAGTACAATTGAAATGTCTGTGTCTGTTCATTAAAGGCATGGAATTTTAAAAGGCTTACTTTTCTTTTGAGTTCATTCTAAAGAATATTTTGTTTACGTTTAAATGATTACTTAAAAGCCACAAGGGGTTTATATAAAGTGTTTCTTCTAAGGTACTTTTCTCTTCCCTGGTGGCCCTGCATGTTGCCAAAGAGAGTGACTTGCTCAGTTTCTCAAATGATTCCTCAGACAGTCCTATTCCTACTTGCAAACAAATGTGGTATTTGGGGTTTCAAGTTTAAAATGCAATTTGGTATCATTTCAGATGTCTTCCTACAGCTTAATAAACATTTTCCCCAGAGGGACTTGGGGTCTGATTTTAATTTGTGGTAGGGTTATGGGCACAGTAAATGTCAATTTTAGCTATAGACAGTAAGTCCCTAGTATAAATAGAAACGGAAAGTGACTGACAGTACACTTAAAGAACATGCAAAACATTATGCTTGCTCACTGGCGGTAAGTGTTCCCCCAAAAATCCCTTCACTGGTCTGTCATGATAGCTTGGTTTTCTTTTCTTTCTTTCTTTTTTTTTTTTTTTTTGAGTCAGAGTCTCACTCTGTCACCCAGGCTGGAGTGCAGTGGTGAGTGATCTCGGCTCACTGCAACCTCTGCTTCCCGGGTTCAAGCAATTCTCCTGCCTCAGCCTCCTGAGTAGTTGGGATTACAGGTGGCTGCCACCACACCCAGCTAATTTTTGTATTTTTAGTAGAGATGAGGTTTCACCATGTTGGCCAGGCTGGTCTTGAACTCCTGACCTCGTGATCCGCCTGCCTTGGCCTCCCAAAGTGCTGGGATTATAGGCGTCAGCCACCATGCCCAGCCGATAGCTTGGTTTTTTTCTTCAGATTCCTGACCAGAACAGAAAGGCCAAATTGTGCTTTCTTAAGATGTGTCAACCTGATGATCACAAAATGACAAAGTGAAGTAACTGAGTCCTGCATGATATGGCTTTGAATATGAATACACCAGCAAGAGTGTCTACTGACTCAGCCAGTCATTTGCCTGGTGATCTAGGGCTGTGTCCTCAGTGCCTCTGAGTTTCTGTTTCCTCATGCACACACACACAAAAAATGGCTGAACCAACAATCTTCAAGGGCCTTTTCAACCCTAAAGTTAAATGAGTAGATATGATCAAGAGAGAGTAATCCGGCTGGGTGCAGTGGCTCACATCTGTAATCCCAGTGTTTTGGGAGGCTGAGGCGGGAGGATCTCTTGATCCCAGGTGTTTCAGACAAGCCTGGGCAACTTAGCAAGATCTCATCTTAACAAAAAATTTAAAAATGAGCCAGGCATGGTGGGGTGCCTGTAGTACTAGCTACTTGGGAGGCTAAGGTGGGAGGATCACTTGAGCCCAGGAGTTTGAAGACACAGTGAGCTATGATCGTGTCACTGCAGAAACAGAGACTCTGTCTTAAAAAAAAAAAGTGAGAGATCCAGAACTATTATTTATTTCAGGGAAGCAACACGTCAGTTAAAGGTAGATTTTCCTCAAAGGTGGACACATATAGATGAGTAATTCCTTACTGGTTGTTCTTGGACTTTCCTTTCCTTGAACAAAAGAAAGGCTCAAATGATCTCTGAGTGCAAGTAACATTTAGCTGAGGAGGGCAGCAGGAACCAGGAATCGTGACAGGTAGGCGAGGAGGTCATTTCTTCTCACATATGAACAATAATCCTTTGGATGAGCAGGAAATAAAGGTTTCACTCTTTGTGCACTAGAATAAGTAATTTATTAGTAAGCACAATGACATCTTTTAGGAGAGGTAGGACAGGTCCCCAAATAAGCAGTTCTGTCTTTTCAGTGTTGGAGCCATCAGACTCATTGGGACTAGGTTTAAACTGGACATTTTGAGAATGATGAAAATCCTCCAGGTCTGCCAGGAAAAACATTTCACTACTTCATAGTAGATGATACCTGACACCACCTGCTAAAGAGCTAAGATGACATTCCCTAAGTGCCTAGGTTGAGTCCTATGGATGATCCAGTCCATGGTGCCTGTGATGGTAGGTTTTATGTCAACTTGACTGGGCCATGGGTTGCCCAGATATCTGGTTAAACATTATTTCTGAGTGCACCTATAAGGTTGTTTCTGGAAGGGATTAACATTTGAATTGGTAGACTGAGTAATGCAGTATACCTTCCCCAATGTGGGTGGGCTTCATCTAATCCATTGAGGACCTGAATAGAAGAAAAAGGTGGAGGAAGGTTGAGTTATCTCTCTCTCTGCCTGATTGCTTGAGCTGGGACATCTGTCTTCTCCTGACCTTAGTCTGGGAGCAACACCATTGGTGCTTCTGGTTCTCAGGCCTTCAGAATCCAATTGGAATTTACACCATCTGCTTTTCTGGGTCTCCAGCTGGCAGATGGCAGATCATGGGGCTTTTTAGCTTCCATAATCTGGTGAGTCAATTCCTTATAATAAACCATATATCTCTCTCTCTTTTTGGTCTGTTTTTCTGGAGAACCCTGACTAGTACAGTGCTCCGTCTTTAGATCTTTCCCCTCATATTTCCTTAAATATATTTGGTAGAAGTGAATTAGCAGAATTTAGTCATTAACTTTGAGATTCCTCATCTTGTACTTCTAATCATTCACCAAGTTCTATTCACTCCACCCCCAAAATAGACCTGGAGTGTATCCACTTGGCTCCATCCCTACTGCCAAGATCCTAGTCCAAAACACAGTGTTGTTTCTCTTGGTTTCTTCCAACAGTTTCTGACTCCAGTTTTGCTCTTCTTCTATCCAAACTCTGTCTTGTAGCCAGAATGATCTTCATAAACCAAAGATCTGGTCATGACATTTCCCTGTTCAACATTCTTGCATGATTTTCCTTAGCATTTAGGATGTTTTTTCAGTATCTTTTATATGTTCTACCTCATTGATGCCTGTAGTACTATCTTTCCACCTGGCTTGAAAGGGTCTATCCACCCAAGCTTCCATTCATTTCCTAGAATGTGCCACACTCTTTCCCACCCCAGGGCCTTGAAGCATCTTTTGATCTTTGCCTGGAAGGTTTTGCCGTCTGCTCTTTTGTTGACAAATTCTCATTCATCCTTTAGGTCTCCTTTTAAATATCTCTTTCTTAAAATTTTCTTTGACCCCCAAATTAAAGGCCAAATCTAGCAACCACAAAGTTAAAGGGTCACATAGGCCCCTGTGGTTTTCCTTCATGCTATTTCTAATAACATATTAATAGGTATGGTTATTTTGTTTAGTATCCATCTCTGTGATTAGTCTCAAATCTCCCTGGAGGCAGGGGCTATGCATTTGGGTAAAATCATTCTGGTTTCCTTTCACCATTGGGAAAATGTACGCTTACTTTCTGGAGGACACTGCTCCGTCTGGATGGAGAAGCAGAAAGGAGAACATCATAACATAGTTGGAAAGGCTTCTAGAAGTGAACAAGATTGATCCAACATAAGTGAGCACCGGAGTGCTTGCCTCATGATATTGGTAATAGATCTTTCTGCTTTTCTGAAGCCTGAGGCTATTTCTCTTGACAAGCACAAAAGTGAAAATGCCAAATGGAAATGTTTTCTTTCCAAGGCTTATAATTTTGCTTTCGGGTAATACTGAAACATTCAAGTGTTCTTACGAAAGTTAAGTGCTTTCCATTTTCACCATGGTTTCAGTTGTTGAAGCTCTCCAGAAGGATCAAAACCTATAACTTTTATATAAAATTCCCAAGCATCAAATATATATGCCAAACAAACCTCTTTAATTAAAATAAGGCTGAAAGAGCTATAATTATAAGTGCCACGGACTGCTATTCCTTATAAGGAAGAAAACTGAAAAAAGACCTTCTGTTATATTACTCAAAAACAAAGCAAACAAAATCAATGATTTCAAAGTCTAGCATGGCTGAGAAAATTCATTTTCTTAATATGGATTGAACTTCAGAGTGATAGGGCAGAGTGGACATACAAGAATGACTGTCTACAGCAAACTTCTGGCAGACTCTTTGGCCTATTGGTTCACAGCCAGTATTTGTCTTCATAAATGAATTCCACATCTTTATTAAGTTAAGTATTTCTCTTTTTATTATTTGAAACATACTTTAAATATTTTGTTTTACAACGTCCTGGAAACTGATACAATTCCTTCCAGATCAAGGAAGATGGTAAAAAATCAATTATATTTTTTTACTTATGGAGCAATTACAAAAAAATTATGCTCCAATTTATCCATTACTATAACTATCATTTGATGTCATATGTGAACAACTTGGGCAGCTGGAATGGAAGGTGTCCTTCTGACTAGGTAATTTTTCAAAGAGCTCTAAGTGACTATTAGATAGAAATATATACCCCTAGTTTGAGTTGATTTGTAGACGAGTATGTAGTAAGAATTATAGATTTTAAATTGGAATCAACCTTTTATAAGAAAAACCCCTGCAAGAACCAACCAAAACACATCAAAAGCCTGAAGTGAGCTTCTAATGTCAGATCCTTTACAGAAGCAAGTCACAGTTTGTACTTTACAGAATAAATCTTATTAAAATGAATTTTATCTGCCATTGATGGAATTTCAAAGTTGGCCCATTTACAAATGAGTTAATTGGCTTTATCCAAAATAAGAGGGATTTTGGGGGGCCATTTAAATCATTAGAATCACTGGTTCAGGGTGCAGAGAAGGGCTGGGCTTCATCTCCCCAGCACCCGCAGAAACTAGACTTGTCTTCCCTGCGCCTCAGAACCCAGTTCTCAAAGCCTCCTAATGGGTTTCACTGTTTTCTTTCCAGTGCTTATCATAATCAGGGAGCTGCACATTTGCATCCCTAATGGACCTTTTTCAAAAGTGTGTTGACATTTCAGTAGGTTTCGAATAGCTCTTAATGCTTCTCTCAAGTTGGGCAGGTGCCCACAAATCTCCTTATATGGGTCTCCACATATAGACTGTCTACTTTACTCACAGGGTTGGTGGGTTGTTTTTTTTTTTTTTTTTAAATCCCTGGGAACCTATCTTAATTATACTCTTAAAAAAATGAAAACTCAGAAGTTAGATGACTCAGAAAATGACCATCTAGCTGGATGCCTACACGCAGGGCAGCATCGTAACTCTATCTGTGAAACTTAGGCCTGAGTTAAAAGTATCCTCCCTTGTGTGGTAGATTCACTTTTTGGAGCTTCTATTTTTATCGAAAGGAAATAGATATAAATAAGGCCATCAAGATAAACACAGGTTACAGGAGAGAGTTGAAATCAAGCAGGAAGCTCATCATCTGAGCACAAACTCCCCTGCGTTTTACTCCTCACTTTTCCTAGGAGTACTAAGAACTCAGAAAGCCTGCAGAGGGCCGATTTTAGTCCCACCTAACTTTGTGTGACTTCAATAAACATTCGATCCAACAGAAACACAGCTAAAATTATTTTTAAAGTTTTTTTGTTGTTGTTGTTAAACTTTTACTCAGCTTCTGCTGTATCTCGGGAACTGTGCTGAGAGCCTAGCGTGAATAAAAGATCATTGCTGCCCTGCAGGAATTCATCATTTATGAAGGCAAATAGCCAAGGAAGTCAGCTGAGGGTGTAATGGGAGATACCCCTCAAAGTGTTATTTAATACCCCGGGGGTTCCAGGGGATGGTCCTCGAAGAGGAGACATATGAATTGTTCCAGGAAAGATGAGAAGTTAGCCCTGCATCGTGGGAACATGCATGCATGTGTGTGTGTGCTTGTGCGCGTGTGTGAGTTGGAGAGATATTGGTAGCAGGGCTCCAGGCAGAGCTTACTGTCTGTGCAAGGCAGGTTGTTAAAATATGTCAACAAAGGCCAAGAAGATATTAAACAACTACTGTCATTCATAGCTTAATAACATGAAAACGATCTCTGGATGATAACAATCCTTTCTAGGAATATCGACTGTCTGATGTACGTCCCATTTAGGTGATGCCCTTGTATACACCAAATTGG
This sequence comes from Homo sapiens, assembly GCF_000001405.40. Lineage (NCBI taxonomy): Eukaryota > Metazoa > Chordata > Mammalia > Primates > Hominidae > Homo > Homo sapiens. The sequence continues at coordinate 28,699,995 of NC_000007.14, read as the reverse complement.
GAACTATATACATATAAAAATGTTAAAACTGATTTCCCAGTATTTCAGGTAGATGGCTGAGTTACAAATTAAAAGAACCATTTGATAGACTGTTCTGCACACTTTGGTCGTTTTTGCATTAGAGAGAGACATTTGGGGTAAGTGGGAGGGAGGCACTGGAGCTCTTGGGCAGGGGACTCGGTATTTTTCAGAGCGAAAAAACCCCTTCTTGGCCCTATTGTTCTACATTAAGCTGCTTTGGAAAAGGTAAAAATAGAGCCATAATTTGGCCCTACTATTTCTGTTTCTAAAAAGCCTTTTCCAAGACAGAAAGTTGATATAACTTTTTTTCACTCCAGTATTTCCAGTTTTCATTTATACAGTTCAATAAATATAGATAAGCATAAGTTGGTGGGAGTCAGCGGGTAGATTTTAACAATCACTGTTATGCACTATCTTCCCTGGAAGTACTGAAAGTGGTTTTCTGAGTTTAATGTGACATTTCCTCTCCCTTTTAGGTACTGCTTTTGCAACAAATTAATTTTGGTTCCCAGAGAGCACACTCCTACCTCAAAGTGCTGTGTGAGATGCTCCCCTAACAAGATAATAAATAGATTTGTCCATGACTTCCAGCATAGAATTAAAACATATAGATTTAAAGATAGCTTTTTCTTGGTCTACGATGAATTGAAATCTTTTGAAAAAATACATTGTTATCTCCTAGTTTCTTTCTTTTCTTTTTTTCACTTTCACAGGGCAGCAAAGTTAATACTCTAGTTTCTAAACCGATATTGGCAGTCACTGAATACGCCCTTTCTTTCAAATGAAAAAAAAAAAAAGAAGAAGAAAGGAAGAAAGGAAGGAAGGAAGGAAGGAAGCAAACCTTGGTCATCCTGGCTTAAATATGAAAATGAAACAAGAGTATGAGACAAGGCAGCCTCACAGAGCAAATGGCCCAGCCCATGGCTTCCCACCCAGTCCCTCTCCCTCCCTTATTGTGAGTATCTCGCTCAAAACCCACTTCTGTGCTTTTGCATATGAAAAATGAGGCTGTAAAAGGGTCAGCCTGTAAAAGGCATAGCTAGTAAAAAATAATTGGAGGGCATTGAATACAGACGATGTGCACCGTTCATAAGATAATTAGTCCCGGGATCCTTACTATGTTGCTCCTGATGTTCCTCATGCCAGGAAGAATTCTGAGGTGTGGAGAAATTATAACACAGCTTACTCAACAGAGAAGCTATAACAGAATGCACATTTCCAAGACCATTCCCAGCAACTTGAAAGCCTCATCCCATGTCTTGCCTTCATAAAACATAGCATTTCCACAATGTGGCTGTTTTAATAAACCAATGAATAGTTCTCTCCAATCTGTTTGCTTTTAGTGAACTTATTTTCTTTCCCCAAAGAAGCTGGCACTATAATGTCAGACAAATGTCTAGAATAACCATGCACTGCTCTGGACACCAGTGAATAAAATATAGCAAATACTGCCTATCCTCATGGTGCATTATTCCACTTAGAAAATGGTATAATTGGATAGTATTGGGAGGGGACTCATGTATTTTTGAGTCGTGGGGTTATTTTCTGGTAATTGCCTGACTCGAAACTTTAATCAGGAAGTTCTCTTAGCCCTGTGAGTGTGTTTTTTTTTTTTTTTTTGGTGGGGAGTGGGGTTTGGGGGATGAGGAAGAGAGACTATTAAAGAATTGAGAAAATGGCTAAGTCCCGCAGGCCTTTTTTTCTTGTCATACAGTTGTTGTCAAAAAGATTCACTATTATGTCTGGGGATAGGGAAACTCAATGGCATTTTGCGTTCGGTAAAAATGTCTCAAACCATTTTTCAAACATTTTGAGGTTTGGCACAAACCTGAAATCCATCTTGCCAAGCACTTTCCCCCCTTAATTCTTAAACCCATGTGTCTTTCAAGGGAAATTTAATCCGTATGTTTCTGATTCATTTACACTTAACTCATCAAAATGGTGTTTTGTAAGAGCTATTTGATGTTCAAGAAGTCTTATGAGCTTCTCTTTTTATAAGTCTGAAAAGCCTTTCTTTTTGAGAACCCAGAAAATTGTATTTTACCAGCTGTAGGCCAAATGATTTGAGCTGTGTTAAAAATCAAGAACCTGCTGAATTTAGGAGGCAAACAGCAGACACAATGACATAAATAAACATCCACACGTGTCCACCTGCTCATACATCAACTGAAGACCTTTCTAACTCATTCCTTCCCTGAAGAAGTCTATCTCTTAAGGCCAAAGAACAAATGACAACGCTGAGGCAGAAAAGAACGATGGTCCTACAGCAAAAATCCCCATTGGTTCTGGAGATTCCCAATTGCGATTCCTAGCTCAGAATCCATGGAAATAAATCAGATTGCATTTTGTTAGATGAATCTATTACCTAAGAAATAAATTAATCATTGAAGGCCAGAACTAGATGGATGTCATGAAATTTCTAATCCAGTAGGATTTGGATTTTGTTGCAAGGACCTCTGGGAGGGGGTGGGGGTGACTTACGGGAGGAGATATGGACCAGTCAGGGATCTGTTTTCCATAATGGGCTTTTCCACAAGAGGATTTCTTAAAAAGTAGTCTGAGGGTACCCTCAGTTTGAAAACAAAATACCTTAATTTTATATGAGGACACAGAGTTTGGGGAAAGGAATCTAGGAGTTGGGACAAAACTTGAAATACAACCCAGGTCCCCTGATCCTTGCCCAGCATTCTGGTGGCCTTTCTATGATACCAGTGTGTTTCCAATGCTGACTGCACTTCATTAGGGGGCCAATTCATGAGAAATTGGTGAAATCAGCTTAATCTGACATTATCAGCATTTTAGAACAATAGATACATATCTAATATATCAGATATCCAAATAATGTTATACGCAGTAAAAATTAAGTATTATTCCATAAAAATTGTGTGTGTGTATATATAAATATGTATGTGTGCATATTATACACATAATCCAATGTACATATGTGTGTATATAAATATATACACATGTATATATTTCCATGGGTATATATACACACAAATATATATATGTGTGTATAACACATATACACACATATATGTGAAGTATATATACACATATATGTGTGTATGTAATGTGAGTATGTGTGTATATACATTACACATTACATACACACATATACGTATGTGTATATATACGTATGTGTATGTATACGTATACGTATGTGTATATATACGTATACGTATACGTATGTGTATATATATGTATATGTGTGTATGTAGTGTGTGTATATGTGTATACATGTGTACATATGTATATATGTGTAGGTGTATATATATGTGTACATATATATGCATATGTGTGAGTATACTGGGCTGTGATACAGAATATATTTCCCACTATTGCTCATATCAAAAAAATTTAAAAACTACTATACAGAAAACCACATTTTCTTCCCGGATGGTTCAGCCAATAGTGGTTTTCAATTTGCCTCATTAAAGATCACGTGGCTGGAAAAACCCTATAAGATCCTTCTCACTTCAGTAGAAGAAATGGTACAAAACACTGGCCCATTTCAAAGGGAGCTTAAATACACAGCTCAGAAGAAACGAATGAAGAAAAAGAGGAGGAGGAGGACAGATAACTCTTTGAGAAAAGAAAGGGTCATATCCATCTTCCTATGCTTTACAAATGGCAGGAAGGATTTCTGATTTGCATTCAGTGCATCCGCACAGCTGAAGATGCAGACATATGAGCCCCAGCATAGTTCCACAGTGCATTTTCCAAGCACTTAACAATCATTAATTAGTTAGAAACATCCTTTCAAGGTCGGGAGGCACAATAGTTCATCTCCACACAACAGAGCTTTGGAGGCTCCCAGGCAGCCGAATGGTACGGCACCTGGGTAATGACTGTGGGAAGACTAATTGGGTTAACTGGCTGTGAAGAATCTTGTGAAAATGCTGCTCCACTGCACTGTCAGATGTCAGAGAAGGCCAGCGTCCTTTGTGCCTAACAGCTGAAAGCTGCCTCCATGGGAAAGGATGCAAAGTCATTAAAACAACTATGAATTACCCTTTGCTCTCTTTTTTTTCAGAATCATAATGAAGTGACAAGTTTTCTGTGGTCACAAAGTGCTGGAGTCTCTTTGGGATTAAAGTGCAAAGTGGGGCTGTTTGGGAATTGTGGTCTAAAACTGTTCCCTAGGTGGGGAGGAAGAGGGAGGAAGCAGTGTGTTCAGAGCCCAGAGGTCACATCCTGCAGGTGGGTGGGTGCTGGTTCTGGGGCAGCTTCCAAGCTCTGTCCTCATCAGACATGCACTCAGTGTAGCCAGGGCTCAGGCATGGAGAGGGAGGAGAGAAGAGAGTGGTGGGAAGCAAAGAGCTGGACTCCAGGACATTTACCCCAATGCTATTAGGGCCCACAACTTCTGGCCCACTAACTAGACCCCAGTGGGGCTGATGGCTGGAGGCAAAAAGCAAGCTATCTTGTGGCCTCTGCACCCCTCTCTCCAGACCAGAGGGAGGAGTCTCTGCACAGCTGCCTGAATGATTTCCAGAGTCTCAAGGGCCTGCCTGTTGGTTGCTCCCTCCCACCCCACCATCCCCAGGAGTCAGAATTCAAAAAGGGACTGCAAAGCATTAGCCTGGGCAATATGACAGAATTCCTGGCACCAGGAAGCTCACTGGCCTGGCAGGGCAGAAATGTGCTCCTCACCGCCTTAGAGCTTGGTCTGGGCACTGACACCAATGGTTTTATGATATAGAATAACTCTCTTCACATTTTTGGATGGCTTCAGTTTCCCTCCCTCCCTCCTGTCTAGCTCTGTGGCCCAGGCTGTAGTGCAATGGTGCCATCATGACTCACTGCAGCCTGGAACTACCGGGCTCAAGTGATCCTCCTGCTTCAGTCTCCCAAGTGGCTGGGACCACAGGTGCATGATACCATGCCCGGCTAATTTTTTAATTTTTTTTGTAGAGATGGGGTCTCCCTACATTGCTCAGACTAGCCTCAAACTCTCGGGCTCAAGCTATTCTCCCATCTTGGCCTCCCGAATTGCATGCTGTGATTACAAGAGTTAGCCATTGTGCCTGGCCTTTGATTTCTTAATCTGTAAGGTGAACGGGTTGGGTTGAAACATCAATCTTTAGGTTCTGGCTTCATCAGTGCATTTAGAATTATAAGACTGGGTCAGGCTAAGTAGCTCACGCCTATAACCCTGGCTACTCAGGAGGCTGAGGTGGGAGGATTGCTAGAGTCCAGGAATCTGAGACTAGCCTGGGCTACATAGGGATACCCAGTCTCCACAAAAAAATTAAAAACATAGCCAATGTGTAGTGGTGTGCACCTGTAGCTCCAGCTACTTCAGGAGGCTGAGGCAGGAAGACCATTTGACCCCAAGAGTTCGAGGCTGCAGTGAGCTGTGATTGTGTCACTGGGTGACAAAGCGAGACCCTGTCGCTAAAGAAAAATTTTAAAAAAAGAATTATAAGATGATTATTCTACTACTAAGGAAGTTCTGGATGGTGAGAGCAAATTCAAATCAAATGACGTTCCCTGTGACCTGTACACGTCACAGGGAGCTTCCTGCTTGCCCTCAGAGGAAGGAAATGGCAAAAAGCAGCCATGTACTGAACTAGGGCAAGAGCTGAACTCAGAAAAATAATCTGGCTATAGAGAGGCCACTGCATGATCCATATTAGGGTGGATGCTGGTGAGAGCAAAACTAAAGGCGAAAATGCTACGCAAGAGCAATTTACAACTACATTTACACTAAATGGGTTTATTATAATTGCTGTTATTATGATTAATTTCAGAGGAATTAAATGGGATCAGTCCTTTATTGCAAAGTGTTGCTGAGCTGACGGAAGTGTTAGATAAATAAGAAGGTCAAGAAGAGGCAGATGCAAAAGAAGTTACTCTATGCCATCTAAAAAAGAAATCTACTACTTAACAAAAAGCGGTGAAAAAAGACCCTGCTCTTTTGATGTTGAAATAAACTACAGTACATTAAAGTGAGAGCTGAAACCTCGTTTTCTGACCAATGGCATGTACAGCCAGAAGTATGATTCTCTCTTCACCTCTCCACCCACTCATGACCTCACCTGCATTCTGTGACTTGGTTTACCTTTCTTGGAAGGAACTGTTACATGACAATATTTCTCTCTACATTATTAATGCCCAAAATATATTATTATCCAGACTTCCAAAGAAGTCAACTGGCTCCATTATTAAATAACTAACATTTGCTGAGCACTTACTATGCTAAGTGTATTATGCTCTTATGAATTCCATTTCATAAATGAAGTAACCGAGGCTCAGAAAGCTTCAATAGATTGTCAAAAATCACATAATTAGCAAATGGCAAAGCCAGAGTTTGCCCCCAGGTCTGTCTGACTCCAAAACAATCCACAGGGCCCAATCTCATCTGGCCATATTGATTACGAGTAATTAGGCTTCCCCTCTCTGCACAAAAGCTTGTTTTGCAGACATTTTTTTTCTTTTTTTTTTTTTAAGCAGTGATACAAGCCCCATTGAGGGCAGAGGGGCAGAGCCAAGTGGGCAGACAGGCCCAAAAGGCTGCAAGAGGGCCAGCTGGACTGTCTGCCGTGTCAGCACATGGGTGCAGCCCAACGTGACTTCAATTCAAGATCTTTGATTTGCAAAATAAAAAGTTGATGGACTCCTAAAACATAGTAATTCATGGTAGCCATTCCAGTTCACACAATGCAGTCTCCTGACCCTATTTTCCCGTTAAGACGAGTAATCAAATCTATGCATTAATAGATACCTTGACATTCACTGGGGGCCATATGATTGCTTTTTCTAGGCTTTGCTTTTTGGACACATCCAGTTCTATTTTAGTTATTCAGATGGAAAATAGAAAAAAAACCATAAAGCAGAATTCAGTTTTTTGGTACCATGTGAAGAGAGAGAAAGAAAGACTTTGTTGCTAGCTAGATGGGTCTTGGCTATTGTCTAACTACTGTCCCACTCTCCATAATAATTGCAAACTATTGATTAATTCTTCTTGGGTACAGCATTGCCTCATCAATCATTAAATGAGTTCTCTTGCCAGCGCAGGTACAGGAAGGAAAGATGTATGGACTTGTGTTAAAGTGTTTGCGTACTATGGAGTGGATTTTGGAGTGCTAAGTCAATTTCAGTTTTCAAAGGTGTGTAAGTCTTTAAGAAATTACTCTTGTTGTAACCCAAACTCATGAAATGCATGCCTCTTAAAGCACCCAGTCTTTTTTGTTGTTTTTTTTGAGATGGAGTTGCTCTCTCACCCAAGCTGTTGTGCAGTGGTGCGATCTCGGCTCACTGCAACCTCTGCCTCCCAGGTTCAAGAGATTCTCATGCCTCAGCTTCTGGAGTAGCTGGAATTACAGGCATGTGCCACCATGCCCGAGGTTGGCCTGGTTATCCTCAATTTACAGAGAAGATAGAAACTGTGGCACAGAGAGGTGAAGTGGTTTGTCAAAGTCACACAACCAGTAAGTAGAAGAGTGATTGAATCCAGGCCTTTTAAATCCCAAAGGCCATGCTCTTTTCAGGAGACCCCACCCTGCTTCTCTGATTAGTAGATGCCTGTATTTTTAGTAGAGACAGGGTTTCACCACATTGGCCAGGCTGGTCTTGAACTCCCGACCTCAAGTGATCTGCCTGCCTTGGCCTCCCAAAATGCTGGGATTACAGTCATGCGTCACCACCTCTGGCCACACCTCTAGCTGCAATCCAATGTAAAAGGAGTCCCCTTTGAAGGTCAGAATCCCAAAAAACCAAACAAAAAGGGAGCAGAAAGGAGAAGCCAGTGCTTTATTCCACAGCTGCTGCTTTTTTTTTTTTGGAGACGGAGTCTCGCTCTGTGATCCAGGCTGGAGTGCAGTGGCAGGATCTTGGCTCACTGCAACCTCTGCCTCCCAGGTTCAAGCAATTCTCCTGCCTCAGCCTCCTAAGTAGCTGGGACTACGTGCGCATGCCACCACGCCCAGCTAATTTGTTGTTTTTTTTTTTTTTTTGTATTTTAGTAGAGAGGGGGTTTCACCGTGTTGCCTAGGCTAGTTTCAAACTCCTGAGCTCTGGCAATCCACTCGCCTCGGCCTCCCAAAGTGCTGGGATTACAGGTGTGAGCCACCACGCCCAGCCACAGCTGCTTCTTTTTTAAGTAGAGTTCCAGATTGGCCCAGCCTATTTTCTGTCAGGCACATGACAGGGCTCATTCTCAGTCTACACTAATTTCTGCTTCTTAATGTTGACCTGGCCTTCCTGACCAATGCTTACTAAGTAAAATCTGAGACAATACTTCTTTCAAGCAGCTTGAGACACCATATGCCCTTTTGCAGCTTAGATTCGGGGATCCCAGCATGGAACTCTCAAGGTGCCTCTTGGACCCCAGAGATGTTGTCTAATTCCACTACCCGCCATCCTAACCCTTCCACTTGCCTCCTTGGAAGTCCCTTTCTCTCCAGTCTACAAAACATCCTTTTTTAACCACTAGAAAATATATGTGAGAGGGAGGCAGCAAGTTTAAATGGTAACTTCACCCAACTAAAGATAAGAATAACACACATATGCTATTGCAAATACAAACTTTTTTTTTTTTTTTTTTTTTGGAGACAGAGTCTTGCTCTGTCACCCAGGCTGGAGTGCAATGGCACAATCTCTACTCAATGCAACCTCTGCCTCCTGGGTTCAAGCAATTCTCTAGCCTCAGCTTCCCGAGTAGCTGAGATTACAGGCACCCGCCACCACACCCGGCTAAGTTTTGTAGTTTTAGTAGAGACAGGGTTTCACCATGTTGGCCAGGCTGCTCTTGAACTCCTGACCTCAGGTGATCCATCTGCCTTGGCCTCCCAAAGTGCTGGGATTACAGGCACAAGTCACCACGCCTGGCCTACAAACTTCTTTTATTCAAGCTAGGAATAGAATTCAGTTCTCATAACTGAATTCACTCACCTCCATCTCACTTTATTTTCTTGTTCACAGTGCCACAGGGCAGTAAGCATCCTTTCTTCCAAACTGTGATGTCCTGTGTCCTTCCCTCCACCCAGATCATGGGAAATTTGGCATTTTAATCGCTAGTATCCTCACCTCACTTTAGTCAGAATGGTCTTTTTACTTCTCTGTTTCTAGGACCTTGTGTGATCTCAAACCTGCTTGATTTCCTGAATTTAAAAAAAAGGCATAACAGAAGAAAGGCTAGAGAAAGAAGAAGGCTAAGTGATGCTGGGACAAGAAGCCCAGTTAGAGTCAGGGAGGCCGTACCTGCAGCAGGGACTGCTGCGAGGAGAATCCTATCCAACAGAATCCTCAACAACAGAAACCACCAAGATTTCCTCCCCACCATCCCACTATGTGCCAGGGGCCTTAAAACCTTATCTCCACCCCTCGCAATGGCTCCTCGAGGTCAGTCTGGTTATCCACAATTCACAGAGAAGGTAGGAACTGTGGCACAGTGAGGTGAAGTGGCTTGTCAAAGTCACACAGCCAGTAAGTAGAAGAGTGATTGAATCCAGGACTTTATAACCCCAAAGGCCATGCTCTTTTCAGGAGACCCCACCCTGCTTCTCTGACTGGCAATGCCTGCTTGATATTATCCCCATCCTTCCTGCTGTAAAAGGGCTCACCAAGGGAAACATGTGAGGGCGAGGAGGAAGAATGTGAGTTCAGCATCGACTATGGTGATGCTTAGGCATGGACAGCTGGCACTGTTCTGCTCTGTGTCTGGTGGGCAGAGGGAAGAGATTGATGCCTCTTCTGTTGCTTAGCAAAGCCATCTCTCCTCCTCCACCTGCTCACCTGTGGAGCACAGCCCCAGGGACCCCTGTGGAAGGCAAAGCCCATGGACAGGCCATGTCCAAGGGAAGGTAAAACACAGTCACTGTCACCAAGACTCCCCAACTGGGTATTTGATGACTTCCACTGACAGGCAAGGGCATTAGACCCCTTCCCTTACCAAGTCAGGATGGTGATGGAAAGTTTGTTGGTGATGGTGAGCTAGACCTAGAGTGAACTGGACTCCAATTGCCAGAACTTATATGTACTTGGGTAAGCCTGACTCTCAGTTTTTACATTGACAAAAACAACACACACACACACACACACACACACACACACACACACCAAATACAAGTAAAATGGGAGAATTCACAGCCCATAAACTTTTCTAAGAGATCCTGCACATCCTTCAGATTCATGAAATGGTGTCAAAAATGCAGCAGACACAGGCTTTTGTGCTTCAGTTGCTCGCAAGGAGCAGAACAGTATTTTTAATAAATTTATTCCCCCAAAGATTGCATGACTACTTGATAAGTTTCTATAATTTTAACATAAACTTGAGTTTTTAAAGGAGATTTAAGGCTGCATTTGAAAACCTTCAGAAATCATGAAAGGCAAAACTGTATGTGCTTGTTCATACAGGAACGCAGAACAGGATCAATGGATTGTAACAGTGTCCATATTTTGATTGTAGTAATGTACTACAACAGTTTTGCAAGATGTTACCATTGAGGGTAACTGGGCAAAGAATACATGGGAATCTCTCCATATTATTATTATTATTATTAAGACAGAGTCTCGCTTTGTCGCCCAGGCTGGAGTACAGTGGCTCGATCTCGGCTTACTGCAAGCTCCGCCTCCCAGGTTCACACCATTCTCCTGCCTCAGCCTCCTGAGTAGCTGGGGCTACAGGTGTCCGCCATCACTCCTGGCTAATTTTTTGTATTTTTAGTAGAGACGGGGTTTCACCATTTTAGCCAGGATGGTCTCGATCTCCTGACCCACCCACCTCGGCCTCCCAAAGTGCTGGGATTACAGGCGTGAGCCACTGCGCTCGGCCCTCTCCATATTATTTCTTATGAATGCATGTAAATGTATACTTATCTGAATAAAAATTTTTAATTAAAAACCAAAAATCAAAACAAAAACCATGAAACAGAACAAAATAGTCGTCAAACAGTGGAATTAATAATTTTTAGCCCTCTGGGTTACCGTGGGTAAGTGTAATGAGCTGAGATCATGTAAGTGCAACCTGGTATCACAGCCGGCATGGAGAGGCCACAGCCAGGCTAGTGCTCCTGGCCTTGTCTCTGTCAGTCACAAGCAGAGCATTACTGAATATGAGTGAACAATTCGGAGCCAAGTCGACATAAATTGTAATGCTCTAAAAAAAGAAATCATGCCCTCTTTATTCCTGAAGAGTCCCAAGCATACACTTGGCACTCATCAAACTATGCACAATGACTAATAATCTTCACCACTGGTTTCATTTTAGCTCTGGGTAATTTCTTCCCACAGATAGGCATAGTTAAGGTCCTTCCCTGTGCGCAATTGAGCTGGGCCATAAGTACATAACTACATACTTTACAATAAGGCTACTACCCCGGATACATAAATATATACTTTATAATAAGGCTACTACCCTGGAATTTGCCTGAAGAATAGGAGTATTGTCTGGAAAATTATCTAACAAGCACATACGGTTTTGCTTTTCATGATCTTTGAAGGTTTTCAAATGTAGCCTTAAATCTCCTTTAAAAACTTGAGTTTATGTTAAAAATACAGAAACTTATCAAGTAGTCATGCAATCTTTGGGGGAATAAATTCATTGAAAATACTGTTCTGCTCCATGTGAGCAACTGAAGCACAAGGGTCTGTGTCTGCTGCATTTTTGGCACCATTTCATGAATCTGAAGGATGTGCGGGATCTTTTAGAAAAGTTTCTGGGCAGGTGAATTCTCCCCCTTGTCTACTCTGCCACTCTTTTTGGCAGTCTCACCTAGGTAATTTATCTCATTGAGGTCTCCTCAAAGGTAGCATTTGAAAACTAAAAAGTTTACCATGTTTGTTTTTTTGCCAAAAAGCAAGAAGTAAACAAATAAAGATCAAACTTCAAAGTGGGGAAAGATATACTCCTGTCCATCCTCCCCCATTCATTTCAAGTACTAATTCATCCTGAATTTCAAATGTACTTTTCTCTGAAAAGCTATGCTAAATACTCTGTAGCAAACTTTTGTATAGAACATGGATATAAACATAGAACTTTCGAGTGGAAAGAGACTCCAGAGATCATCTAAGATTGGTTCCCCATGCGGGGAGGAGCTTCTAGCCCACCTTGCCCTTTCCTGCTCTTTAGAGTAGTGCCCAGATGGTTTAAGTGATTTGCTCAAGGTCAAGCATCAGAATCAACACTCAGGCCTCCTCACACATCATGCTACTTCCTCCAAAAATTACTTCTCCCCTCTGCTCCCCACTTCCACCTCTGCCCAAAAAAGGAGGAAAGAGAGAAGATCCATAAAGTCATAATGAATGATATCCAAAACATGCGTTAAATAAATAGACACCTTTCTGGTATGTGCCGCATGCCTCAATATGCATCCAGCTGTAGGATGATCACGTCTAAATAAGCCCAAGAGAAGTTTTGAAGTTCCCAGAATGAGAAAGTGTTTGCCCTCTTGTTTTAGTGGGTTTCAGTTTATTACTATCTAGTAATGCCGGATGGTGTCAGAAAGCACCCAACTCAGGCAGCATATCACAATACGAAATCTATTCTATGAAACAGAAATGTGGTAATAATTTTCAAAACATCAAAGTCTCTCTCTCTGAGTACACGAGATCCTTAAAACATTAAGAACACAATCCTTTGCCCCCTCTCCCTGTATTTCCTGTTAATTTCTTACTCTGAAATATTAACTGTTTCTAAGACAACTCAATCAAGAAGTCTTCATCATCGCCCCCTCACTACTGAAGCATATCATCTAAAAAATTAATTCAAGAACATAAAAGTCTTAAAGATAGCACCGGATTAATTAGCACGTGGAACAACAGAATGTCAACATGCTCAAGCAAATGCACAATTGCTGTTAACCTTCACTGAAATAATAGGGGAAAGGCTATAACTACTTTTGAGGATCATCATCTATTACTTTTAAAAGCTGCAGTATATTCTTAATAATAAATGGAACAGCACAATCATTCACTTTTCATACAACACACAGTTTTCCAGTCATTTACAATTCACCAGTTACACTCAAAAATCGCCCCCCCAACCCCCCAACCAACCACCACACCATCACTTCCACCTTTTATGAAAAGACAACAGTTTTAAGCCATTTAAAAAACAGAGAGAGAGAATCCTGGCAGAAAATAATACACAGCTGTGATAATATCGTGTTATTTTAAAATACCATAATATAGTTTTACTTTTAATAATAAAAGATAAAAAAGGAGCGTCTGTGAATAATTAGAGATTGCAGTCTGAAGCCGGTTACAGTCACTGCAATTGATAATAAACTGAAAACCCCTTGAGAGCAGGTAAATGCTTTGCAACCCTGACCCCCTCGCTCTCACATTACTTAACTACCCTTCGGTTCTTGCATTACATCACCATTCAAGCGATTGGTTCCTGCATTTTAACTCTCTCCCTGTCTCCTCCGATTAGGAGCGACACCGCAGCAAAGAAACTTCGCCCGAGTTTGCTCTTTCTCGCTTCGCTCTTTATTTGTGGCCCTTTTGCTCTGGTTGCTTTGGTTTGCTCTGCTTTTTTTTTTTTTTCTTTTTTCCTCCAACCCGGCCTCTGTTCAACTCATTCAGGTCTCTGTGCTAGAACAAAAACTCTGATCGAAGTGAAAAGAAATGCCTCTTCGGGCAAGAAGAGGAGCGGAGGGGCTGGGGAAAGAGGAGAAGGAAGAAGAGGAGAAACAAAGACGGGCAGAAAGGGAGAAGGGGGAGAAAATGAAGAGGAGGAGGAGGAGGACGAAGGCTCAAAAACAGAAGGCAGTAGGGGCAAAAAAAATCTATAAAATCAGGAGAAAAGAAAATAAAATTAAAAACAAACCTCATGGACATCACTGAGGCTGAATTCCCTCCTGAGGTGCAGAACATGAGAGCTCTGGAATGAGTGTGTGTAGAATTTGAGCCAAAGCTTAACTAGCTTGAGTGAGTCATATCCTTCCCATTTGATTCCAGGCCAAGCGATGATGTAATGTGCTGGCCCTTCTTTTGCGCCTAGCTCTGGCTCTCCCTCCGGCTGGGCTCTCGCTCACTTGCTCTCTTTCTCCTGGTCTCGCCCTCCTCCCCCTTCTCCTTTTTAGCTCAGTGCTAGTGAAGTCACCACTTAAATCTGGCAGAACTGAAGCAAAAACTTCAATGTAACCAAAACAGCCCCAGGCTGAGTTCCAGGCTCGGAGAGCCTTCGTGGTGCACTTGCCCTTAGAAACGGGTAAACAAAGGGGGAAACAGTGCCGCTGGGGATGGCCCTACAGCTGCCATCAGAGAGCTCCAAGAGGGACCCGGAGTTCTGCAGGCAGGGGTCAGCTGGTTCTGCTGGAAACAAAAAAAAAATACTGGTTAAAAAAAAAAAAAAAAAAGAGTGCCCTGTGTTTGGAGAAAGGGAAATAACATCAAGACACGTGTAGAGATGGGGAAGCAGGGAGTGAAAGATGGCAGGTTGGAAGGTCTGAGTGTGAAAAACTAACCTCAGTTAGCAGCTTGGGCTTTGGTTCAGAACCAGGTGACAGGGTTTCCATCGCCCAGGGCCCTTTTTTCCTGGAGCTGGATGGGATTTTCTGTTGCTGAATGCCAACCACCAGCCCTCCGGAGACTTCTCGCATCTGACCTCCCTGTCAGCGAGGGCAAAACCACTTCTGGTCCAAACACGTGCCCGTGTCTGGAGCCACCAAGGGCTGTGAAATCACAGTCACTTCTCCCTTGGCCCCTATGGGTCACCCTGTCAGGTGCTAAAGGAAAAAGACCCCAGCCACAAAACACAAAACTTGCCTTTCTGAGATTAGCACTCCACCCTCAGGTGAACCTTCCAAAGGAGAGGGAAGGAAGACAAGTTCTCCCTTAAAATGAAAGACAGGCTGTGCCCCCACAACTCAACTCGCTGGAGGGGGTGCTGGTGTGGGTGGGGCCGTCTGTGACTTTAAAGAGGAGAACAGACAGTATGTGTGTCTCTTTTTTAATTACAGAGTGAGGAAAAACAGCCTGGGGAGGTGGGGGCAGTCAAGCATGATCCTTCACAAATGACAGTGAAGCCTTTTTAATGGCTGAATTCTACCCCTCACTTCACACCTCCCCACTCAGGGCTCCACCACGACAATGACAACAGTCCAGACACTACTCTATTAGCAGGGCTTTTTAACCCCATCATCTCTCCGTTTTGCTATTTCTCCCCACACTTCATGTTTCCTTCAAAAAGAAAAAAGTAACATGAAAATGGGAAGTTCGCTAGAATTTTTTTTAAATACCACAAAAGCAGAAGAAAGGCATGAAGCTGCAATTTTTTTTTCCTTTTCCAAAAATGACCATGGCTTGTGCTACAGTCTATTGCCCCTAATGCCTTTTGTGGCCAATGAATCAGGTAGATAAGACAAACATTGTCTCTGCACGTTGCAAAGCACAGAGGATCTTGACTTCTAAACTGTGTTTTTGGAGAAATCTCTCAGCTTATTAAAGACGTCCACTGATGGAGGTCAGGGATATTCATCTGAATCCCCTGGAATTTAAATCACAGCTTCAGGGAGTGTTGCCGTACTCAGGGTGAAGAGTTAAAAAGCAATATTTGCCCAAGGGTCTCCAGGACCCTGGGGGTTGGGGTGGGGAAGTGCTTTCTCCAGCAAGCTGCCCTTTGGCTTGACATCCTCAATTGATGCTGATGCCACAGTAGCTCCGAGTGACACCTTTATCAAGGCAGGCAGCTCTGAATTAGAGGTGATCAGCCATAATTACAGCTGGCGCCACTGAAGCCTGTGGCCTGACAGCGGCAAATGTGGTTGTTATAAAGTTTGGTCCACCATGTCAGTGGCCTGTATAACTCATTTACGTCTGACTTGCCAAGCAGACATTGATTTTTCTTCTGCTAAGGGGAATAAATAAAACAAAATTTTCAATAACTTCTACAAGCCTTTACACTTCAAGGCAGGTTGGCAAGATTTTGCATAAGCTACTTTTTCCTTTTTAAATGAGCCATTGACCATCTTGGTTAATATCAAGCTATGGACTTTCACTTTCCCTTCCCTACCCCCCAAATCTCCCCTCCCCACTTTAGTTTTCTTATTTAAATGTTTTATTTATGTTACTATTTTTGGTGCAAAATGGATATGTGGTAGAGTTTTCCAAATTTACATCTTTTTGTAAGCTCAATGGGAAAATGTTCTCTGTAGGATTTTCCTTATACCACATTAGAGGGCCGGGGTGAATCCACTAGATACCAGGCTTCTGCTGTTTTTCAGTGACATAGGCAAAAGGGACCCTGTGCTTTAAATAGAGGTGATGTAAAGATGGCTTTCCTGTGCCTTGCTTGGGAAGTAACAAAGGAGATGATAGCTTCAGCCAATGCCGGGCACGGATCTCAGATGAGACCCGCCAGCATCATTGCTTCTGCCAGGAGGAGTAAGAGAACAAGAGGTTTGAAGGTGGCCAGTGTGCCTCTGATCAGGGAGTGACATCGCCAATGGGTACAGTGTTTCTAAAACCCAGACAAATGCCAAGGACCCAGAAATGTCTGGGTCTGATGATGACGCCGTTAAGCCACCAACGTGCCAGAACACTTCGACATCCCAATAAAACAACTTTGGAGTGCTGGCCTGAATTGAAATCAATTTCAGAGTTCAAAGGTCTGCATATTTACATTTGCACTTGTTGTTCGGGACATAACTATTCCCTCCTGCCCCTTCCAAATCAGGCATTCCACTGGCTGCTGGGTGCCTCCCCACTTGAAAAGAAGCCCTACTTTCCCATTTTCCTTCCTGTGAGCAGCTAAAGAGAGACAAGATCCTGTTCCCAAAAAGAAATGCCCCTCTGACTCAAGAGATTCCTTTTTCACCCATTTGGCCTTCTCCCCTACCCCATGTCCTAGCTGCTCCTCTGAAGAAGGGGGGCTTCGTAGATAGAAGTCATAAGATGCTGTAATTCCAGAGGGAGGCTTCTTAGAAGTAGCCCCCGGCCAACAGGCTAGGTCTCCAGATTAGCTGGCTTGCTCAGGAATGCTTACAACACCCTCCTTTGCAGAGCGTGTCATCCTTGGGGAGAGGGTGGTGGGTACCGCGCAGCTGTTCGGTGTAACTCACTCACACACTCCCAGCCCCTGATGAAATGTTCGGCTCCGAAGAAGTGGAAACCTTTGAGATTTGAGCTCAGAGTTCAGAATGCTTTTGGACTCTTTCCAAATAACCCAATAGAAAAGGCACAACTTGGATTGCAGGGATGGAGGGGCTCAACAGCCAACTAGAGTAGACCTTTTGTGTGCCTGGGTGAATTTCTGAGCTCAAACACGTTATGAGAAACATAGCAAATATGAGAAACAATGGAGATCCTTCCTAGAGAGAGCTGGGGTTTCCCCCCCCCCCCACTTTTAGGTTTGAATTTATTCTCCTCAAGGAAAAGTATATCATCTTCTTTCAAATGTTGTTTTTAAAATTTAACCCAAGATTTCTACAGTCCCGGTGGAGTTTGAGGGGCCAGATAATTTCAGAGTTAAATAAGCTGTAATGACTATCACATGTACCCAGCCATAAACCTAGTATTAAAAATTATTCAGAAAAAAGTGGCATCTCTTCCTTTTTTAATTTACAATAACCATCCAGGTGGTTTTCTAAGTCCTCCTTTGCAAATTGCTTCCAGTGAACCCTCTGGTCACAGACCACTGCACACCCACATGGTGTCATTCAGCATTCCCTTCGACCTGGGTGTCCCGTGTTTTCACAGTGGACAGAGGATGAGGGGCCGCCTAGGTGACCTGGTGCAGCATGCATCCTGAACCATGTGCAGGCAGGATTCACTGGCTTAAATTGTCAGCCCTGCTGAAGTCAGCTCCAGGTGCTCCCAGAGAGAAGACAAGGGAGTGATCTGCCCTTGGTGACTCCTGTCGTGTAACTACTGCACCTCCTATACCCCAACCCTGGCACTAAGTACCCTTAGGCAATTCACTGGCCTTTCCTGTGTCAAAACCTATTTGTAATTCACGGATGTGGCAATGCTGAATGTGTCTCAAACAAAGGAATGAATTTATAATGGTGGAGGCATCAGGAAACCTTTGGGGGTGGATATTAAGAGGTCACAAGAGCCATTTGATTAGCCCTAAAATATTGTCATCAATTCTGCTTCCTATAGTGTTTTTTCTCTAACTTCTTAAAATGTGCAAGTCATTGTACCACTTAAACCTAAACCAATGTCTGAAAGACCGTTGACACTCCTGGAATATTTGTTGAATAAATGAATGAGTGAATGAATGAATACAATCCTCAGCTCAGGCATTATCTTTTCCATGGTCTCCTTGCTGGGCTACCAGACTGGGATAAGGGTGGCCATTACTCTGTGCTCCTTTGGCGTCCTGAAGCAGATTGTATCCCAGCAATAAGCCAGCTATGGAGAGGATCTCTTCATGCTTGTCTTCTTCAGCAGCCATTTGCTTCTCCAGGGCAGAGACTGTGCTATACATCTTCATTTCCCTAGCACCTAGCACCTGGCCCATACATAGTAGGTCCCTAAGAAATGTGACTGGGACTGGGCGTGGTGGCATACATCTATAGTCCTGCTACTGGGGCTGAGGTGGAGGATCACTTGAGCCCAGGAGTTCAAGACTACAGTGAGGCATGATCGCACCACTGCACTCCAGGCTGGGAGACAGAGCAAGATTCTGTCTCTAATAATGATAATGATAATAATAGTAATAAATTAATTAAAGAAAAAGAAATGTAACTGAGCCTGAACTAGCGGCAACACAGGCTGCTCGGTCTTCCCTGAATATGTTGCCTCCTGAAAGTTCTTTTTCCTGTTTGTATTATTGCTCACACTTTTTATGCAGCTTCCTAAAGATCTGAAGCATCTAGAAAACCTATAATAAGAAAATCCTAGGAAATCTACTAGTCAGCCTTCTCCATCCCTACACTATACCTTTTCTCCCTGGAGGGCCTCAGATTCCTCTTGCTCCCTTTTTTTGGACCCCCACAGCAGGGATGGCAGAATGAGCACTCTGTGGTGGATGTCAGAGCAGCTGATCCTAGACTATTGTCACCAGCTTCCTACATGAGGCACCCAGGGAAATTGGAACTTGAGGTGAGAGCAGCTAAATATTCTCCTGTTGGGACTTCTTGCACAGTTGTTGAGGTGCCCTAAAAAAGGAGACACTGCCACCAGGACTTTATCATGTCCAAAGAAAGGTGATGTCAGTTCTAACCAATCTCTATGACTAGAGTGGGCACTACAGGAAGAACTCAAATAATGGTGGGGGAACAGGAGGTCCAATTTTTTTTTTTTTTTTTTGAGATAGGTTGATACAGTGTCTTGTTCTGTTGCCTAGGCTGGAGTGCAGTGGCATGATTTCAGTTCACTGTAGCCTTGACCTCCTGGGCTCAAATGATTCCCCCACCTCGGCCTTCTGAGTAGCTGGAACTACAGGTGTGCACCACCATGCTTGGCTAATTTTGTTTACATTTTGTAGAGACAAAGTCTCCCTATGTTGCCTGGGCTGGTCTTGAACTCTTGGACCCAAGTGATCTTCCCAGCTTGGCCTTCCAAAGTGCTGGGATTACAGGTGTGAGCCATAGTGCTCGGCCAAGGAGGTCCAAACTTTTGTGGGTAAAAGTTTATACGGGATTGGAGCCTAATGATGTTGTCAGACTAACTACACTGATTCATGTTCTGGTGTTGAGTGGAGCCAAGACAAGGCATAGTAGCTGATCAAGACTGGCTCAGAGCAGTTATGCTTGGGAGAGGTGGACAACCCAACTGATGATGTCCAAGAAAGAGGCCTTTCCTGGAGGCTCTGTGGGGAACCTTGGTTAAAGGAGATTATCAACCAAATTCCTACTTTCCCCTTTGACCAAGGGTGGTGACTGGACCAGTCCAGGTTGAAGCAAGTGAGGTGCCTAGGGTGCAAAATTTAAGGAGGTACTCACTCTCAGGTGCAGGTCTGCAATTGTCCAACCCTGAGAATAATTGCCCCCTTAAATGTTGAGCCATAGGGGGCTCATTTGTGCCCCTTAGTCCCAGCCTCGTTTGGAGATAATTTTCTACTCTGTGTACTCATGAGCATGGGTAGGGTTAGTAGAAAAATATCAGGTGAAGCTCTGGGCCTGCCTGGCTCTTTGGGGAGATGGAGAATGATGCCTGCAACAGACTAGACTCTTCCTTAGTGTCAGCTTTCATCAGCCTTTCCTTCTTCTCAATTAGCCACTGTGAGCTGAGAGCTGAACTAAAAGTTGTCTGATACCAAAGTTGGGAATGCGACCATTCGCTGTTTTGTACTGATACACTAACACCTTTTATAATCCAGGTGTTCCTCATGACCTGGGTTAATCCATGTGTCCAGAAGCAAGCACTGTTACCGGCCCTGGAATCAGGAGAGGCAATGTGGGAAGACAACCATCTTAGGAACATCATGATTCTGACCAGGAAGATTTTCCAAGGGATGAGGGTTGGAGTAGAGGCAGAGAAGAACAGAGCATTTTTGTGGCATAACATCAAAAAGTAAGAAATGTAGAAGGCCACTTCCCTCGGGTCCTAAGAAGGCCTTACACTGCTCACCTGGTCTTCGTCCCCTCCCTTTTACACCCTGAAATCTCATCAGGGCCCACACTCTGAGCCAAACTTGCAAAGTAAATGCCTGCCTCTTTCCTGGAACCCCTAAGCCACTGGTTTCCAAGGCTGCCCTGGTGGGTCTCCCCATTTCACAGAGAGGAAAACTTGGGGCTGCCAGAAGCTGACCATCATTTGCTGAGAATTTTTATCTGGAAAAGCAGTTCATGGGGACTTTCATAATCAGTGGAAAAATGTTGTCCCTTTGCACATGATAAGTTCAAAACACTGCAGTATCTGCTTTCTGAATATTCTCCCTCTGTCTCCCCTCAGCACTTTGCAATTCCACATAAAGGCCCTCAGAAAAGGATTACTTACGTATCTGCAGGATAACCCTGAAAATATACTCCGCTGGCTGTTTTCATTGTTAAAACATGCTTAAATGAAAAAAAAAAAAAAAAAGAACTACAAAAGTAAAAATGAGTTTGAAGAGGTTTTGAAGGTATTAGAAATAAAAAGGCAAGCTTAAACTAAGGAATTGTATTTGTGGTTTCATTTCTTTCCACAAGGATTCCAGCTGTAGAGCTCTGTGTCTATCTAATAACTGACCTTCTCTTACACTGAGCAGAGAAGTTCACCAGCACTGATTTATTAAGAGGGTTTCTGCAAGGAGAATTCGCCCTCCAACACTTTTGCCCGGAGGGGATGAGAAGAATTTTTTTTAAACCCCAAACATGAAGCTCTTGGGTCTTCCAAATGAAATTATCTATGTTTTTATTAACTGGGCCCCTGAGTTAAAAAGTTGGTTTTGATAAGGGTGAATAAATGAAAGAGAAAACTGCTGACATAATATTTTGGTTTCCAAACCCACTTCCACATTCTACTGTCCCTCTCAGGCCCATACATGACTGTGGTTTCTCTATTTACACCAGAATCCTGGAGAGAAAGGTGCAGTTAATCCTGCTTTATGGTAAAATTCATCTCTAAACTTTAATAAAATGATCATAGTGACTCTTTTAAATGCTTTGGTATAAGTTTTGATTTTTCTAGACATGGAGTACTATATGATTTATAAATAATGCAGGCTTGTATTTTCCTTTTATTTTTATTTTTATTTTTATTTTTTTTGAGCAGAGTCTCACTCTGTCGCCCAGGCTGGAGTGTAGTGGTGCCGTCTTGGCTCACTGCAACCTCCACCTCCGGGGTTCAAGCAATTCTCCCACCTCAGCCTCCCAAGTGCCTGGGGCTACAGGCGCACACCACCACACCCAGCTAATTTTTGCATTCTTAGTAGGGACGGGGTTTCACCATGTGGGCCAGGCTGGTCTTGAACTCCTGACCTCAAGTAATCCACCCGCCTTGGCCTCCCAAAGTTCTGGGATTACAGGCGTGAGCCACTGCACCCAGCCTCTTTTCCATTCTTACAAGAGGAAAAGTAGATATTATGATGTCCAAGGTGTTCTATAGATTTAGGAGTAAAAAGATTCTAAATTTCTTATTTCTTACAAAGTTGAAAATTCTTCCTTTATTAATAGAAATGGGAAGGAAAGTGAGATTCATGCACTGTCTGGGCCAATCCCAGTGCCCTTTCTTTCTCTCTCTCTTTCTCTCTTTCTTTCATTTTTAGAGATGGGGTCTCACTGCATTGCCCAGGCTGGAGTGAAGTGGCTGTTCACAGGCACAATCATAGCTCTCTGTAGCCTCAAACTCCTGAGCTCAAGTTATATTCCCACGTCAGCCTCCCACGTAGCTGGAACTACAGTACAGGTATGTGCCACCACACTCGGCCAATTCCTTTCTTTTAGCACCCACCCAAACTGGAAAGCATGCATTTAAGCTGGTGTTAGAATATACTTTTCTTGGGCAATAATCCTCCTTGAAAAATCTAATGAACACTCTGACTCCTCCTTTTAACCATGGACCCCAGGTTAAAAACCCCCAAGAGAAAAAGTATGCTCACTTTGTATTAAACTTCAAGCTATGCTCTTTTACAGGTAAAGAAAAGCAGGCACGAAGACATGAATCTCAATCCCTTGAAGGCTGACCCTTGGCCTGGCACTCCAACCAGCAAACATCAGTCAGTGGTTCTCAGATGTGGTGTGCCTGAGAATGTCTGGGGAATAGATTAAAACGTAGGTCTCCAGGTATTACCTTGGAGATTATATAGGTCAAGGTGGGGCCTTATTTCTGTGGTGCTATGACAGAATATGTATTTTTAAGCAAAACTCCCCAGAGATTTTGATGCTAGTGATCCATAGTCCACACTTCTACGTGGTCATCCTATGGTCATGGAAATTTTATAAATAAATTAATTAAGTTGATAACGTAAATGAAAAAAATATATAAATACATTCATATGTCTCTGCTGTCCATGCTCTAAAGGAGCTGTGATTTCCTTTCCCCTCTTCTATTTTAAGATAAAAAGTATTTAGTAATCTGTCCTAAAGTGATCAAGCCTTTAGACATTGGCTATAGTGACTTTTCCAAAACAGGATGCCCACAATGGATGGAAAGAAAACATCTGTGTTCACAGTAACATAACACCCATCTGAACAGTCTATGGCATTATGGTCTCCAGGACCCATGATAAGATTAGGGTTTCCTGACCTGTGGCTAGTTTTGCAAGACATTTCTCTTCTATGTTTACTATCAACATTTCCAGATGTTTATTTTGCAATATTCCTAGTCTCCTAAAGTGACAATCATGAGGAGGGTACGCTGGGATGGGGGAAGGGATACCAGTGGTAACGGAGAAGTCTATTGCAAGGTACCCATCTACCACGACTCTGGCATACCTTGATTATTTTCTTGAACTTTAGTTACACATCAACAGTGGCCTCTGGATACTAATGATTGCACAGAGTTTCCTTCTCTGGGGATCTTCACCCATCACTCTCCCAAAAGGATGTTATCAATGTTTTTCAAAAGTCTTGAATTTGTAGGCTTGTAAAGAGCTACAGCACTTGAGAGGAGAAAGGGCCAGTCTATCCACAGACCCAAAAACACGAGTGACCCAGGAAGGAGAATGAGGATCGCGACCTGTGAGTCATCAAGGGCTGCATCTCCTGCTAAGTGGAAATTAAGTGTCTGAATTACAATGAGACTCCTTACATAATTTCTATTTGACCAACTCTTTGTCATATTAATACTGTCATAGCGCCACAGAAGCAGCCACGGAGACAGACAGCACACACACAAGCCCAGGGAATAGACAAAATGAAAAACCTTGATAGGTGCCGAATGTCTGGGAAAATAGTAACAGTAATAATGCAATAATCTGTGTGTAGATTTGGAGGAAGAGGCAGTGAACCTGAAAAATAATGATAGTTATGATGAAAGCAAAGAGGCCTCCTAACTAGTTCTTTGGTCATGTACTATCTTCTAGCCTAGGGCCACCAAGCCTATTTCATCCTGACCCTTGCTGGAGATTTTTATACCCCCTTACTCAGAGGAGCTTTGTGTTGACAGAAGAGACTCTCCAAGACATGGAGAATGAAGAGATAGTGATTGTTAGGAATGACACAAATATCTGAAGGAATTAGCTTTGGGGCAGTAATCCTCTTTAAAATTCTAGAGACTTTCAGAAATAAATAAGCTATAAATGCCTGTAACTCGCCCTTTCCATTTGGTAAAAATGTCCTTGGTGTTGACTTCTTATAGGCGAACCCAGAGTCTTCCTCATCTCAACTCTGCATTGCCAGAGCAATGCACCTTATCCCAAGCTGAAACAGGATCTCCCATATGAGCACCTTATCCCAAGCTGAAACAGGATCCACACTGCACCACTTTGCAAGGGTAGGTGGTTTTGAGTCTAGAAGGCCCCATAACTCAGTCTGAGGCAGTTCCGTCTTAATTTGTCAAAGTTTCTGTTATTTTAACAAAGGCTATTTGGTGTTACTTGATCCCTCCTGGCCTGGCCAAACCTCAGCACAATTGAGATCCTTTTGTTTCTCTCTCGTCTCCCCTTTCACTACCTCTCTCTGCATTTCCTGATACCCTCTTAATCCTCACTGGTTTCAAGTCATCTCACAAAAGACTTTAGCTGAGGAAGACAAATTTTCCTTATTTCATATACTGATAACGCAGGGAAAACCAAAGTCATAAGTTCTGAAGGTGGGCTCTGAAACACCAGGACAAAAGATGCTGGGGGCTGTGTTTTGTACAAGGATGCTGTTGAGTTCTTGGCTCTATTTCAGAGACACAGAAGGAAACAAAACAAACGAGATGCCAGACCTCAGGGAACCAGCATTCTAATGGGTCGAAAGAGATAATCAACACGTAAACAGCAAATACTCTTACTTTAGATCGTGATAATGGCTACAAAGAAAATAAAACATGGTGATGAGAGGGAGCATTGGATGTGGTGAAGACTCTTAGATCAAATATTTAGGCAACTCCCCTCCAAAGAGATGACATTTTACCTGAGGATTGATTAGTGAGAAGGAGCCACATATGGCTACAGGGAAGAGGTATACAGAGAGAACCACCTAGATAAATGCCCTAAGGCAGGAAGGAAATTGGTGTGTTTCATGCAGGAAAAGAAAGAAGACCTTGGAGGGAAGGAGAAAGAGAGGGAAAAGCGGTAACCTGGGAGAGGTAGGTGGAGTATTGCAAGTCACTACAGAGTTTCTATTTTAATTGGTGAGAAAAAGCCACTGGAAAGTCTAAAGAAGGGACTAGCATAATCTGATTTTTATTTTAAGAAAATTGCATTAATTGCTGTGTGGAGAACAGACTGTCAGAGGGAAAGAATTCGAGATTGGACAACAGGTAAGATATTTTGCAATAGTCTGGATGAGTAGTGATACAGGCTTGTGCCAACTGTGGTGAAGACGACTGTGATCACATGTGGTTTGAAAACGTCCAGAGTTTTGTTTTGGACATACAGGCAGAGGAATCAGGAGAACAGAGGGACAGGAACATCTGAGCTCAGCAGGTTGGTCTGCGCTGAAGACATCCAATGGGAATCAATTCTGATTGACTTTCTTTAAGGCCATAGGCAGTGTAAATCTCAGAAATGAGTCATGCAGGATACTCTCACAGTAAGAGGTGGGCAGAGAAGGATTAGCCAGCGACCTGGGAGGAAAACCAGGAAGTGGACAGGAAAGAGTCCTGGAAGCCAATGTCAGTACAACAGTCACTTCAGATGACTCCAAAGTACACATTTGTTAGACATCAACTATTCAGTAGCTCCTGCAGCTGGGTTCTGCTCAGGAAAGAGATTAAAAGTCAACTCACTCTCAGCTGAGTGGGAGAATAGTCCTCCTTCTACCTAACACCTTCCTGCAAACGCTCCATCCCTTTCCCCTATGGTTGAAAACATCAAGAAAGGGACTCTTGTAATGCAGAAAATTTGAAGATCTTATTTGCAGGCAAGAAAAGATAAGGAACTTAAAAAAAAAATCTGCGTGAGTCCAAAAGCTTTTAAATACCCTGCTGCCTATGCACCCTGTCCTTTTACCATGGATGCTCTTGGGGGAGTTAAAACACTGCTCTAATACCTAAACAAATATATGTAGTTTTCATATGCAAGAGATAAATTGGTTGGACATGGCAGCCACACCTGTAATTCTGGCACTTTGGGAGGCTGAGGTGGGCAGATTACTTGAGTCCAGGAGTTTGAGACCAGCCTGGCCAACATGATGAGACCCCGTCTCTACAAAAAATACAAAAATTAGTTGAGTGTGGTGGTGTACGCCTGTAGTCTCAGCTACTTGGGAGGCTGAGTAGGGAGGATCACTTGAGCCTAAGTAGGTGGAGGTTGCAGTGAGCTGAGATCACGCCACTGCACTCCCGCCTGGGTGGCAGAGCGAGACTCGAATGTCTCCAAAAAAAAAAAAAAAAAAAAAAAAAAAAAGAGAGAGAGAGAAACTTCATGTCAACACGGGCTCTGCTTTATTCATTACCACTTTTGAAACTTGGCAAAAAGGATAAAACTAAAATTGCCCATGGGCATGAGATGTAGACCTTCTTTAGTTTCTAAGTTTAGAGAGCAAGATTAAAAAGAAAATCATAAAGCATGTTTTAAAGCAATACACCTTATTAATGTATGTGATTTTAAGACTTCTATGCCATTTCTCACTTTGAGAGGGTCCCAGGGCAGTTTGGGAATGTGGGCTGCCCAGCGGGTTCTAAGAGCTGCTTTCCAGGGGACAATAGGAGCAGATGCTTTCTGGATTTTTCTCCATCTGTGAAAACAGGTATCCTGGGACAGGTTTTAAAATGGGGAGGTCCTTTTAGAATGTGTGATGATAGCCATTGTGTTAGACCCAAAAGGCCCTGAGTATACAAACAAATGGAAGATTTGAGAAATTCAATATCCCAGATTGCAAACACCAATTAATACATTTTAAGATTTAAACGCTAAATTGTGGATGTTTCTGAAAATCCTTGTATTACTCTGGGTAAATCCAAATTTTGCTCAACAGTAGTGGCACTGGGTCTAAATCAATCCTTCCCTCCCCAGAAGATGGCCTACACTGACTTAGAAAAGGGCAGTAGAGGTAAGGTATGGGGCGGGTGGTTTCTGGGGTCCAGGGGACTCAAGGTAATCTAAGAGGCCAAATGCCATAATGGTTACTTCAAATTTATGGAAAAAGAACAGGAAAATACCCTAAAATTTTCAAAGTACTTTGTTAATACAATCTCACACAGTGTTGGAGCATGAAAATTTTAAAGTCCAAATTTCCTCATTCTGCAGGTGAAAAAACTGAACTAGGGAGAAGTTAAGCTGCTTGCTTGCTCAACCACTCCAGACCCCCTTCTGAGTAATTCAGAGCTGTTTCTATGACAGCACTGGGAGGGCTGGTATCTCTGGATTGTAGGGGAGGTCTCATCCAGTAATTTCCCTGAATTCGTTGTTGGCTTTGGGCTGGGGAGTGGAAGCTGTGAAACTGAACAATATGTCAGCCTTGGGTCTGAGGCCCAGGGCATTTCCCGTTAACCAGGTCAAGACAGCCAGTCTCTGTCAATCAGAGTTTATCAGAGCCTATTTTATAGTACGTTATTAAATGCCATGATGTTTTTGTAACCAAATAAATGCATTATGAAAAGAGCATTTTTTTTTTCTGCAGTTCTGTACAACATCCTGGATCTGTTCTTAGAAGCAGATAAAAAGCAATAGGGACTCTAGCCACAATAATACCAATTTATATGTGTTACAAAGCAATCTGTTATCTCCTTTAATCTTCTTAAAACTTTTCCCAAGGAGAAAGCTGAGATTAGAAAGGTGTAATGACTTGGTCAAGAACACAGATTTATTAACTAGATCCCAGGTCTTTTAAAACCTAGTCCAGTGTTTGTGTGTGTGTGTGTGTGTGTGTGTGTTTTTTTTTTTTTTCCATAATACAACTGATCTCCTTGTCTGGTGTCCTGAATGTGTGTTGTTTTATTTTAGAAAGTGATTTTTGTATTTAATTGTTTGGGATGATTGCAACTTGTTTTTTAATTCATTGTAGTAAAATATACGTAACAACAAAATTTACCATTTTAATCTTTTTAAGGTGTAAAGCTCACAGGCATTAAGTGCATGGTTGAAACTTTGAAGGTAAAAAAGATTAAGAAAGTGTAATAATAATTATTATAATAAAAATAAGAGCTAACCAGAAAGTCCTTGCTAAATGCCAAGCAATGTACTAAGAGCTAATCTGTAAGGTCTCTTCACATTCTAAAAGTAAATCTGGCTATTTTTATCTTTCTTTTACAGTTGAGGAAACAAAAATTCAGACAGGTGAAGTAACTTGCCCAAGGTCACACAGCTGGCACGTGGCAGAGTCCAGTCACACACTCAGGCAGTTGACTGATGTGTTCATACTCTAATCCACCACACCTTGTTGCTTTTTCTTTGAGGCCACTAAACAAAACAAATAAGAACTGAAAGGCTCAATTCGTCTTTCTTGGTTTCTCCGTCTGGTTGTAACCTTCACATGTTGACTGGCGACTAAGCAACCCAAGTCCCACCAGAATTTTAGATGAGGTACCTGAGACAGGGAAAAAGGCCAAAGTCTCTTGCTTCTCCCCAGTCTGAAAAATTAGGATTGCTGTGTTCTAGTTGAACTAGCAACATCTAAGAGTCACCCAAGTTACCCAAAATTATGCTTATGCTAAAGCAAGCGATAAGAGAACCTCAGTTTTCTGGGAAGAGATCATAGAAAGCAGGAAACGTATTTTTAAATAGGAAATGTCTGAACTCACTTGACAATAAATGTCACTAAAAAAACTCAACCAATTTAGTACACACTTTTTTTTTTTTTTCTTTTTGAGACAGGGTCTCACTCTGTCACCCAGGCTGGAGTGCAGTGGTGAGATCACGGCTCACTGCGGCCTTGACCTCCCAGGCTGAAGCAGTCCTCCCCACCTCAGCCTCCCACGTAGGTGGGACTACAGGCCTGTCCTGCTCATTTTTAAAAATTTTTGCAGGGACAGGGTCTTGCTATGTTTCCCAGGCTAGTCTCGAACTCCTTGCCTCAAGCGATCCTCCCGCCTCAGCCTCCCAAAGCACAGGCATGAAGTCACCACTCTCCGCCACAGTTATATTTTCTGCAACAGTCCATTATCAAAAAGTGTGTGGCCAAGTGCAATTGCCTGAGGCCAGGAGTTCGAGACCAGCCTAGGCAACATAGTGAGACCCTGTCTCTATTTAAAAAGAAAGGGAAATGGATTTCTTTACAAATTGTTTTAAAGAAATGTAATGGTAACTTCCTCAACAAAGCAGGCTACTACAGAGTTGTGGAAAGAATACACACTGTACCAACATGCACATGCCTATATATTTTCATATTAGTGAACTTCTTTGTTTTGACTTGTATTGATTTATAGTTCCAGGCTTTTTAGATGGCACATGGGAGATATGTAGAATTAAAGACAAACTTAAGACAATTTCCTCATATAAGCTACATATCCCCTTATGCCGTACTCTGTATCAAAGTAGTCATAGATGAAATATGTTTATATTATTTTGGGGTAAAGTGTCAGCTTCTCTTAGTCTGCATTAATGACTACAGAAAACATTCCTAATGATGGAAACACAGTAGCCCAAATTCAGGTAAATGGTCTTAACGGAGAGATACATTTAAAATCACCGACTAAAAGGCAATGAGCTCAAATATAGTAGCCCTGCCTTATTCACAGCTTGGTTTTCTGCCGTTTCAGTTACCTGCAGTCAACTGCAGTCAGAAAACAGGTGAGTACGGTACAATGAGATATTTTGAGAGAGAAAGAGAAACCACCTTCACATAGCTTTTATCACAGTATATTGCTATAATGGTTCTACTTTATTATTAGGTATTGTTGTTAGTCTCTTATTGTGCCTAATTTACAAATTAAACTTTATCATAGGTATGCACGGATAGGAAAAAGCAGTATATAGAGGGTTCGGTATGATCACAGGTTCAGGCATCCACTGGGGGTCTTGAAAAGTGTCCCCTGTAGACAGGGAGAATTATTGCAAGCACTTTTCAGACCATGTACCAACTGGTCTCAAAAACGTTTTACTTTCTCTCGCATGTGGCAGAGAACATGAGAACACGGTCAAAGGGGATAGTGACAGCAGGAGAATTGGTACAGAAAGCAAGAAGAGAAGCCCAAGGTAGCGGGGGCTCCCCTTGTTGTGCCTGGTGTGTCTGTCCCTTGAGCAGCCCTTGGCTTTGAGCTGAGAGTTACATCCTTATGGCAGGGCACAGGACGACGCAGATCCTAGGAGCAGGTGAAATTACAGCAACAAAGATTCTTGACACAGGAAACAGACTTCCAGAGCTTACGGTAAAACAGTAAATGCTTTACTTCTATGAGCTTGGCTTGTAGCCACTGTTATAAAAATCAGCCAAGCCGTCCCCTGTTGCCCTTGATGTGATGGTCCTGTGTTGAAGATAGAGTCCCACAGTGGTGTTTTGTTGTTGCTGTTTCTTTTTATTTTGAAATAACTTCCGATTTTCAGAAGTGTTGTAAGCCTAGAGCAGAGCCTTCCTGTATGCCCTCCACCAGCTTCCCCTCATGGTAACATCTTACACAACCCCGGTACATTTACCAGAACTGAGAAATTGACGCTGGTACAGTACTATTAACTTAGCTTCAGGCTTTATTTGGATTAGTTTATTTCACTAATTTCATTTCCAGGAACCAATCCAGGACACAAACATAAAGGGGTTTTAATCATTTTATTCCCTTGCTCAAAACACAAGCTCTCAATTGCTAACAAATCAAAGTAAACGTTGCCTAGTTATTTGGTCACATCCTATATTTTAGCATCATCTGCCACTATTTACCAACACGTACCCTGTAAGTTTTGGCTAGAACCAAACTGGACATGTTTGATTTTTCTCAATACATCTTGATCTTCCCTACATCTACAACTTTGCTAATGCTGATCCTTCAACTTGAAACATCCTTCACAGCTCATAGTTCTGCAGTTTCTATGAGACCCATATCAAATGTTTTCATTGCAAGAAAGGGTTCCTGGTACCTCAAGCCAGATGTGTTCTTTCTTGACTAAGAATTTCTGATGCACAGTATTGGTGCCTTTCTCGTGTTGCATACTGGGAAGGATACCACTACACGGGGCCTCAGAGCAGGGCAGAGTGAAAGGACAAGGTCTAGAACTGAGGGTCAGCAAGAGGGCCCCAGCCTCTGAAAGAGGAGGGTAGCAGCGGGCCGTGGACAGAGCATTGTGATGAATTTGACATGAAACTTCACACTCTCACTCACCGGTAAAACTGAATGCCATGGCACGCTTGAGGCCTAACAATATGATCTGATTCTAATACAGACTGAAATTATAGAAATAATATCAAAGAACCAGATAGTTCCTACCTAAAATACTCCCCGTTGCTTTCAATGTAATAAAACCTATTTTCATCCAAATCTGTTTAGAAGAAAACCTAACCCTTTGTGAACTCATTTTGTTTTGGTTTTTGTACATACTTCCTTCTCCCTTCCTTACTATATTAAAGATTAAATCAGTATTTTTTGTTGTAACATAAACTTTACAGGAAAACATATATTTCATTGGCCATAGCAATTCTTTTGTCATCGTATAAAACCACACTCACAGTTGCATAATTAAAATAGGATTCTGTATAGTTACAAACATATAATAAAAGTAATTACTAAAATAATGAGAAATAAACTTTGACATGTCCAGAGATGTTTACAAAACCCAGACAATGGAAAAGAATATATGACCCTTCATTTTGGAATGCAAAGCACTCATTTTTTCCTTCAATTAAAAGATGCTATACTCTTTTTATTAGTTTTCTTATATATCTTTTAGCATTAAGCTAGCAAAGAATTTAATAAAAACTGAACAGCATAAAGTGAGGTCATGCATTAGACCTGGGAAGGGAAACTTCATGAAGTTTCTTTCCGTGTCCTCATAACAATGAGTCCTGAAACAAGTAGAGTTTATAAGAGACTTAAACGTGGTACAACCTAACTATAGATTGGTTTATGAAAATGTGTGATTTTTGTATACAACTCTGTAGTACTCAAGGCTGGGGAAATTATGCAAGAAGAAGTATGATTAACTTCATGTGACTGAAAGGCAGACGTGCATTTTTTAAACCTTTAAATTGTCTCACATAATGTAAATATTCTCCTTTTTAAAGGCAAAGCAAAAGTTTGAAAACTTTGTTAATAAGAACCAAATATTAACCACTTGCCATATTTTTCAGTCTAACATATTTCTCAAAGAAAAGTATAAATGTGGACTAATTTCGAGTCCATTAAACAGGTATTTGTTTTCGTTTCCTCGGCTTTGTCATTTTAAGGAGACAGGCTGGATTCGGCTTCAAAAATGGTTGTATAGAAAAATTTTTATTTGCAAACTTAGAAACATTTTGTGAGTTTACAAATAAACAGAATGAGTTCTTATATAACACCAAGAAGTTTTCTTTTTTAACGGTTTCATCTTTTTTTTCTTTTCTCTCTTTTATTTTTTTAAAACATCATCTACTTAGAGAATGATTCCCATCCCAAAGAAAATATTTGGGCAGATTTATTCATATCCTTGGTTTAAAAAGGATATAAGCAGGCTAAGCGTATTTCATGGAAGAAAGGAAATATGCCCACAGTTTCTTTTATATATTAACAAGTGCTTTTTATTCCAAAACCTCAAAATATTCTGTATCTTTAAAAATTTGAACACCCTCAAGACAGAAATTTCTAAGGGGTCACATAGCATTTTAATTGCCCCAAACAAAACTTGCTGGCAGTTTCGAGCAACTAGATAGGAAGGGTAAGTGCTTACAAGAACACACTCATGCCAATAAATAGTATCCTTGATAATTCTGATTGACATTCCAGCTCCCACAGTGGGATTCAACAGCCCCACCCAGGGACAGCATGCATCTGAGAACTGTTTGAAGGTGTATATCTTTCGGATTTGTTTACAGTGGCTTGTTCACGGTCAGACAGAATTTTCTACATGATTCCAAGAGCATCAGTCCTCGTTTCACTCTTCACAAAAAAGCAGATCCCCAAGTCTTGTCGCTGGTGACCTATTTGATCCAAGCAAAGTTTGTGACAAGCAAGCTCCACTATAATCAAATAACTAGGGAAATCATTTTGAGGTTTTTTTTTTTTTTCCTAAGAAAGGGTCTCTCTCTTTTGTCCAGGCTGGAGTACAGTGGCATAATGATAGCTCACGGCAGCTTTGAACTCAAGTGAGCTCAATTGATCCTCCCGCCTCAGCCTCCAAGTAGCTGGGACACACTCCTGGCTAATTTTTTTATTTTTTATTTTCCCAGGTTGGTCTTGAACTCCTAGGCTCAGGTGATCCTGATCCCCCTGCCTGGGCCTCCTGAGTAGTTGCAATAACAGGCGTGAACCACCATGCCCAAGTTTGACAAAGTTTGTTGAAGTGGGATTTAGCTTGCAATGTATCCATTTTCTCCTGTTCTGTTGTACCCTTTCTTTTCCTCTTCCCTTTCTTTGGGCTATCTGGTCCATGGCGTTTATTTTAAATAAAAAATATATATATTTTAAAAGTAAACAGGGTTTGGACTGATTCTCAAAAAAGCCGCACCTGCATATGTAAAGGATCCGTTAACATCAGGAAAGGAAAGTGATTTGGGACTGACTCAAGTCAGGGAACTACCCACTGAATCATCACTGACACCTCCAGGGTTTCTTTGGAGGTCTCTCATAAGAACAGGGATCTAGCCCAACCCTGTTCAGCTTATGAGAGCTTAGCTGAAGGTGGTATGGCTGCTGGCCACATTACTCATTGGGGATATTGAGTCATATACATTTATAAGGGGTGGGCACAGAACATTAAATATCCCTAAGGTGTTTTGTAGCTTGAATGGTGTTGCTGAGCACACAGAGGGACAGAGCTCAATTTCTGATTTTGGGTATGACATGCAAGTTTCATCTTCACAACATGTATTTCTCATTTATTATCCAAACTTTTGGCAATCGCTCCTTATAACTCAACATTCACAGATTTCCAAATAAAAATGTTTACTATTTTTTGAGAGATGAAATGAAAAAAGACAGCAAAAAATAGATTTTTCTTACTGTTTTTTCTTTAGAAAGTTTAGGCCATTTAATCCATCATGGGTGGAATGACTTTTACATGGGATATTTTTAAGGGTGTCGGCAGCACTCTTTGTTCTTCCTTGTGCTTTAGACTTGCCTCTTAATTCTACTTGCGTAAGTTAACCTCAGAATTTAGATCATGCCTACAGTATGGTGCCCAGACTGGTCTCAAACTTCTGGGCTCAAGCAATCCTCCCACCACAGCCTCCCAAGCAGCTGAAGGCTAAATGTGATCTTTGAATAATGGCTTTGCAAGAAGATGGATAAATCTTCTATTCTCTCAACCACTATTTTCTGAGAATTATCAGTTCAAGCCATGTTCCCCCTATATCCTGCCAAATTCCTCTTTCTTACCAAAAGAAAAAAATGGATAATCTTGCTTGTCTGTTTTTCCCCCTACTTTCTTATAAAGTTCCTAAATACATTCTTGTAAGTTTCATTTAAACTAGGGCATTTGGTAAGTTGATAGTTATAGCATGCTCACAGCTGTGGGAAAACTGACATAAAAAATAACCAGCTCAGAAAAATGGCCCATGTACAACATCTTTGAGTTTTTATGTTTTATTAGCAATTTGGACTCATTACTGTTTGGGGGAGGAAGGAAGGGAGGTAGATGTTTCTGCAAGTTGTTTCTTTAATGTATTAAGCAGAGTTTTCTAATCAGGTTTAATGCAACTCTGCCTGGCCCTTTTAGCTGGGCTGTAGGAGACGCAGGCAACATTGATCACTGGTTTCCGCTCTCCCCTACCCCATCCTCCCCATACACCTCCTTGGCCCTCCCTGATGGTCCTTCATGGAAATTCATTACCCAGCAGCAGAGGTCAAGCTAGGTATTTTGTGATGCTTCCATAGAGAAATGAGATAACCTCCTTATCGCAACCCAATATGTTCTCTGATCTTTCCCAGCTTTTGTCTTTTTCTTAGCCTTTTGGGCAAAGGCATGATAACCACTTGGCTCACAACTGCCACACTGTCCTGTGGTTTTGAATTATGATGACCAGAAAGAGCCGGATAATATTTAATAGCCTGAGATCACAGACTTCCCTGACACAACACTTAGCCAGGTCTGTCTTCCTTTTACAACCCTCATTATTTGTACCTGTTCTGTGACTTCTGGGAGAATACACTACGTCTAAAACTCTCTTTTTCTTCCCTTTTTGCTCTTCTGGGGTATTAATTTCCCCTTCTCCACATGAAAGGGCTGTCCATTTTGTTACCAAAATGCATTAATGCAGACTAGAAGAGTTCTGTTCCTAATCTTTTATGAATCTTGGTGAATCTTTGGAAAAAAACAGACGGCATGCTGAAATAGTCTCCTGTGGCATACTTCAGGAAAATCACAAATTATCACATTTGAGAAAATGTTAAGTACACAGGTATCATGTCTTCCAATTCAATGGTCACCCTTTCCCTAGGAACACAGGAACTATGATGGAAAAACGGTAGGCACAAGAGAAGTCAGAAGAATAAAATGGGAAATTTCATTTTAGTCAAACCTTCATACTTGGAGAGAGAAAGGAAGGAAAGAAGAGAGGAAGGAAAGGAGAGAAAGAAGGAAAAAAATGTATTTTTCATCTTTTCTTAGACAAGCATTATTCTTAAAGTCCTACAAGGCATTGAAACTGGAAAAGATTTAGAATCTAAAATACCAAGTTTTACTTGAAGGGCTGAATTGGCTCTTCAAGCTAATCAAACCAAGGATTTGATGTGACACATAGCTAGAAGACAAGAATGTTAATTCTATCTCTATGGACAAGATCACTGTTCAACTTGTTTTTCATGATGAAGTTGAAAGCTCTCAGAAAGAGAGATGTTAGAAGCCAAGTGAGCAGAAAAGTCCTGGATCATGGGTTTCTAGGAAAGTACAGGTCCTAATTGAAGTCCTGGGACCAGCAGCATCAGCATCACCTAAGGACTTGCTAGAAATGCAAATTCTTAGACCTCACTTGAGATCTTTGGGAAGGTGGGGTCCTGGAATCTGTATGGTTTTCCAGTTATTCTTCTGCATGCTAAGTTTGAGAAGCACTTATAACACTCTCCCACAGAAGAATTTAGCCTGCACTTTGGGAAGGGATAGTAATTACTAAGGCCCCCATTCAATGAAACAGCAGTACCTGCAGTACTAAAGCACATGAAAGAAGTCAAGGTGTAGAAGAACATGTTTATTATGAGCAAATGAGAGAAGGGGAAAGAATAAATTAACACAAACACACAAATGTAAACAGAGATGATTAGAATCTCTCTATCTATTACAGATCACAAACATTAAATTTCCAGAAGAAAAATAAATACTAGGATTATATGTGTAAAGAAAAGAGATCACCATGTAAAAGCAGGCTTTCAGTTTCTGATACTTCCATGTAGAAACCAGAGATGGTTCCAACTGGCAAATATGAAAACGGAATCTTAGACCAGAGACTTGTGGTCCCCTCTTGACTTAAAGGATCCTTCAGCCTTCACTCAAAAGGGGACAGCTGGCCGAGTGCGGTGGCTCACACCCATAATCCCAACACTTTGGGAGGCCAAGGCAGGGTGCATCTCTTGAGCCCAAGAGTTTGAGACCAGCCTGGGCAATATGGTGAAACCCCATCTCTACAAAACCCACAAAAATTAGCCTGGCTTGCTGGTGCACACCTGTAGTCCCAGCTACTTGGGAGGCTGAGATGGGAGAATCGCTTGAGCCTGGGAGGCAGAGATTACAGTGAGCTGAGATCACTCCACTACACTCCAGCCTGGGTGACAGAGTGAGACCCTGTCTCAAGAAAAATAAAATGAAGGGAGAGCTTTTCCTCTAAGATTTTAGTATGAGGAACATTTCGATCTTTCTTTTTTTTTTTGAGATGGAATCTTGCTCTGTCACCCAGGCTGGAGTGCAGTGGTGCGATCTCGGCTCACTGCAACCTCCACCTCCCAGGTTCAAGCGATTCTCCTACCTCAGCCTCCAGAGTAGCTGGGATTACAGGCACCCATCACCACGCCTGGCTAATTTTTGTATTTTTAGTAGAGATGGGGTTTCACCATCTTGGCCAAGCTGATCTCGAACTCCTGACCTCGTGATCCACCCACCTAAGCCTCCCAAAGTGCTGGGATTACAGGTGTGAGCCACTGCGCCCAGCCTGATCTTTCATCTATACCGACACCCTTATGTATACCATCCTCTGCATCAATCAATGAGTACTAAATAGTAAAGCTGACAGTGAAGCAAAATGGGCAGACAGTAGCTAACTCATTTACCAAAAGCTTTTTTGCCCTTTCTTATCCTTCCTGGGGAGAGAAACAGAGACGGAACTTCCTCAGCGCCTCCCAGCATATTCACAGGTCATCTCTTTAGGGCTGTGTGTTGGGGGGAGCTGGAATTGGGGGTTGAGTAGCTCATCGTCTGTAGGTAAGTGCTTAAATCAAACTTTTCAGAGAGAGATGACAAGTCAGCTTTATGGTTTGGCCCCCGAAGACTTACTGTGGGGAGCAAAAATCAACAACCCTGCACTGCACGGGTTTGAGCGGGCCAAGTTTAACCACCGCCATTTCCTGCCGAGGCAAGCACGAGAGCGCACTTAACCCACATTGCGTTTGGAACTCCTCTCAGTAGCTTGAAATACAGTGCTGAGCTGGGGCGAGGCCACCTGGTGAAGTCACTTATCCTTAGATCTTTTTAGGTACTTGAAGGTCTCTGCCTCGTAAAAGCCCAGGCCCCTTCAACGTCTTGTCCAAACCATGTTAGGTGTTTTCTCACCTTTTAAATCAAGGCTGGTGGCTGACCCTGAGTGATAAGGAACCATTTCAACCCATTAGATCATCAAAGGAATGACCTGGCTTTTCTTCTGCTCCTTTTTTGTCTACTCTTGTAGTGATTTTACAAAGTTCTCTGGAGGATCAGGTCTAGGCCGCTAGAAGAGCAGCCCTTTTTTCTGCTGTTCACTTTGGGGCAAGCACCTTGTCCCCAGGGGTTGGCATGCACAGACCTAATGTGAAATGCACTCACAGGAAACAGATCCAAACAAAGAACTGTGTTCCCTATTACATGATGTTTCTGCCTAAGTACAGAATGTCAGTTTCCTTCACAGCTGGTGTGTTTGCAGATTGTTACAGGAAAAGCAGTTGTCATTTATAATGTTTACAATTTGCCTGCAACTTTCATGTTAAATCTTCATTATCTTCCTCCTTAAAAATAATGTACATTAGATTTCAAACTTTCTGTAAGCGCAAGAGAGGGATCCCTAGTACATGGACAATAAATGAGTGTGCTGTAAACCTAGAGTCAGAATGAACCTGAAAAACCAATCAACTGTTGCTTGAGAGAAAAATAAAAGTCAGAAAATATCAGAGCTTTCCTGAACTCTGTGACTCTGTTTCAATAAAGATAGGGAGTTATATTTATGAAGTTTAGTCTCTAAATGCAGCAAGTAATTTATGCTAGCAGACATGCACATAGCCCAGAGAAAAAGATAGATGATGTATTGAGAAAATTTTGATTTTGTGCAGAATGAGGGAGAAGCAGTTTCCCCCCTTGACATGTACATAGAGCCTGGGCTCCAGGGAGCCAGAGGGGTGGGGAGGGTGGGTAGAGAAATGAGAGAGAGAATATTTATGGGAAAATCTTTATTCTCATTCATTATATGAATTTAAGAGACACTCACTGAGCATCCAGAAAGAGTGACACATACAAGTGATAAACAATTATGACATACTAAATGCTATGGCAGCAGAGTGGGCTGTACCAGGGGAAGGACAACTAGGAATGGGGCTTAAGGAGGAAGGAAGCAATTGAAGAAGGCTTCACTGAGGACATTACATTTGAATTAGGGTTTGGGGGCTAGGAAGAAAAATACCAGAAGCAAGAGACAACAAGATCCTTGAAGAAAGGGCCATGTTTTCATTTCTACTTCTCCCCTCACCCCCATTCCCACCACCCCATTCCCTACCCTCCCCCAACATTTCCAGGGATAAAAGCTGAAAAAGTGCTCGGTGAATGAGTGTTGAAATTTATTCAGATAGAGAAAACAGCACTGATGACAAGAAATTGCCAAAGTGGTTGGAACCTTCAAGGCCTGGCAAACAACAGAGAGTGTCTAAGGGAGAGGTTTGTGAAGAGCAAGGAGGGGGAATGTAAGCTGGGGTCAGACTGAGAAAAACCCTGCAGGCAGTGCCAAGGAGGATGGCTTTTTCCTTTGGATTCCAGCACTTCCCAGAATGAGTTGTGAGGAACACAAGCTCCACAGAATATTAATGTAAGAATAAGAATGGGAAGAAGAAGAAAGGGAGGAAAAGGTGAAGGGGTGGGGGCATAATTCCATATTTAAATAAGTTTAGGAAACATTAGGTTAAACAAAGTTCTCTAGACTTTTTTTTACTATAGGACTTCTCAGTTATTAATAAGATAATGTTTTATTTCATGTTTGTGTGGACAGTACTGGATGGTGCAATTTATCCCTGTCTGTAATTTTCCATTTGTTTGAGTGATTATTTTTCTCCACATCCCCAAGTAGATTATCAGCTTTGAGAGGGCAAGAAGTAACTCTGCTTTTGCTTACCGTTGTATCTCTTCAGAATAACAGAATGCCTAACTCATAGTACATGCTCAAAAAAAAAAAAAAAAAAAACTGTTGAATGCATAGATGATAGTTTGGCTGGGTATAGAAAGCTAGGTTCAAAATAATTTCCCTCAGTTCTTTTGAGGACAGTGGTTCTTTGCTTTCTAAGAACACGTGGTGCTGATAAGACATTTGAGGCCATTCTGAATTCTGTTATTTTAACTGCAACTTTTTTTTCATAAAAAACACTTATAGAATGTTGTCTTTGTTTTTATAGATAAGCTATAAGCTATCATAGCAATGCTATACTATGCACAGCACATTTTTGGCATCATTTACAGGCAAGCAAAACTGCCAATCATCTCAGCTCATTTCAATGCAGTTCTTTAATAAATTTTTGCTCCAAGGCCACTGCTGCTCTTCAATATTGTTGAAGTTTGGAGTGTAGCTGAGGGACCTGGGGAAGCACCCACTTGCTCCTGGTGTTTAGGACAGCAGTTTCCTTTAACTTTTCTCTACTGTTCTTATTATGTCTTCTAGAAAATCCTCAAAATGTCTGATCCAATAATGATACCACTGTCATTTCCCAGTGCTGTTATAGTTTAATATATATATTTCTTATTTTTATTTCTTATATCAAGAGGAGGTTATGAGAGGAGGTAGGCATATGGACTCAGTTTGTCATCTTGAACCACTGTATTTGTATTTAATTTTTGTATTTTAAACTCATCATTCATTAGAAGTATCAAAATCATATTGAAATTTAATTCAAATTAATCTAGTCCATATTGCATCAGTTTTTTTGTATGTTTAAATTAGGAGGCAGCTTAAAAACTAAAAATAATTGTAAAATATGTTGTCACAAAGAGTTATATATTTATATAACTTGTTTTCCAGCTCCTTCTGCCAAAGGATACCATGAGGATTAACAATAATGTTGGTTTAGGGCTTTGTGCTCTCTGCACGCAAAACACAGCTGGCTACAGGACCTTGTCACAGCATACTGAGAGAAGAATAAAAAGGATTCTTGAGTTTAGAGTGTTCTGTAGCTCACACTTTAAACTTCCTCATAATTGGAAAAAATGCTTTGTTGCCTCTTTTAAAGCTCAGTTTGCCCTTCTCTTGCATAAAATATCCAACATCCTAAAAAGTATTTCACTCTGAACACCATTTCCATCTTCTGAAGTGCCACAGGAACCAATTCCAGTTGCTGAGAGGGACTTTCCAGATACGAAATAATTGCCTGCAAAGACTTTACTCAGGCATCCCTAATAAATAAGAAAAATCCGATCCACCTAGTATGTTTATTAAGTAGGTTGTTTAAAACATTGATTCTCTTCCACATTTGTGAAAGGAATGAGTCAGTTGGCCAGTGTTCTGAGGAAGAGGACCAAATAAAGTATTCATTCTCATTTCATTTTGGAAATCCCTCAACATGAAAACTTATTATAAATTATGACTTATATATACATATATATATATATATATATATATATACACACACACACATATAATATTTAGTGCAATGATTTAAAGATTAGAGACCGAGTCAATAGAGGGACCACTGAGAAAGCATTCATTTATTGGAAATAGTCTATGTCTATGCTGTTTTTTCCCCTACAACAGGAGGCTGCTATTGCTACCCATGGTTTTCACCAGTTGTGCAGCAGCTGTCAGCCCTTTCCTTATCCTCCTCCCAAAACTGGCGACTCAACATGGCCTTCCCATCACCCCTTGATTTGATCAGCTCAGAGTCTAAGAAAGCCAGGCTGCATCCTCCTGGGAACACCATGAGCTGCTTGTGGGCCACTTGGCCAGGCCTCAGTGAGCTGTCTATTTGATGGTGTCTCTCACGTTTCTGTGTGCATGAGTGCAGACGTGCTTTGTTCTGGGATGCCTGAGCTCCCCAGTGCAGCTGCAGGGACTGGCTTCTCTTGCAATGAAGATAATTGCTGCATGTGCAGAACAGAAACTCTTGCCTCCTTCACCACTGTTAAGCATCTCCAGCCTGCGTGAAACTCCAAATAAGAGTCGATCTAACAACAAAGCCTTTAAAGCAAAATGAACACTCAAATCAGTTCATGGGCAGAGGTAGATAGGAACTATTGTTTTGGCCACAATTCTGTTTCTTTCTGAGTTCGTACAATCACAGGGTAGGTCATAAAATGAATTTTACTCTTTGACTTCAGAAATTTTATCCTGATTCTTTGAAAAACAAGTCTGGGGCGTGCATGAGAGAAATGGCTCCAAAAGGCAGTTAAAAACTCTTTCTCTCATTTTTCTAGAGCCATAATTATCCCTGATGTGCAAGCCGTGCTCCGCCCTTATGAGTGTATTTATTTTTATTGCATCCTCTGCATTAAGGAGGACAAAGGTGTGGAATAAACGATGCTCATGGTCACAAATATATTGTTTACACCAGAGTAGCCTAAGATAGACTATAATGTGCCTGCTCAGTGAGCAGACGAGAAATGGAACCAGCAGTTCATCATTTTGTTCAATCAGTGTTCTCTGTGTGCAAACAAAGAGATTTATACACACATAAAGCCATAAAAACATCCTTCAGAATATTTCTATGAATTAGTTTATAACTGTACTCTAATGAGCCATGCCAACATATATCTAAGCAGCTGGCTTGGATAGCTGATTGGTTCCACTACTTTTACAAAGGAGACATAATGACTAGAATAGTGCTTTGGAGCAATTTTATTCTTTTTTTTTTTTTTTTTTTTTCGAGAGAGAGTCTTGCTCTGTCACCCAGGCTGGAGTGCAGTGGCACGATCTCCGCTCACTGCAACCTCTGCCTCCTGGGTTCAAGTGATTCTCCTGCCTCCGCTGCACAAGTAGCCAGGTCTGCAGGCACCTGGCTAATTTTTGTATTGTTAGTAGAGACGGGGTTTCACTATATTGGCCAGGCTGGTCTCGAACTCCTGACCTTGTGATCCACCTGCCTCGGCCTCCCAAAGTGCTGGGATTACAGGCATGAGCCACAATGTCCAGCTGCAATTTTATTCTTGAAGTGTAGGCCAAGGGGATATGGTGGTGGGGGTGGTGGAGAATACAATTGCAACAGCAAGGGGAACTGAGGATCGACCCTGCTCTAATATCACTGGCGAGAATTATCAAAGCAGGCTCTGGCTTGGTCCCTGAATTCCTTCTGTCTTGACAGGGTATATATTTGGAAACCAATTGTTCAGAGACACCCCCTTGAAACTTGTAACTATCACCTACTTCTCCAACACATGGCATGAAAAAATTATTTTACAACTACATCCACCATGTACTTATGGCCCTCTGTCAGTATGGCAGGTGAGGGTAATGGGGTTGGTGCCTTGCAGATGGACAGGTGTATTTTCAGGAGGGATTATGTGTGTTTGGGATCCTGGCTGCATGGAAAAGTATTACATGCACCTAATCACTTGAAATTCTCTCAGAAAGTCCCTCTTTTTCCTTACTTTTCTTCCATACACAATAATTGTCTCATGTATTGTCCTGTGAGTTGGCTGTCCTGACATATTTCTAAAACAAGAGGACACTGAGAGAAGGGCTAAAACCTTCCTAGTGGGTCACAACTGATCCTCAAAAGAGAAAAAAAAAAATCTTCTTAGATGTAAATGCACAAGGTCAAAAAATTGGTTTGTAATAACCAAAGAGAAATGCATTACAAATAAAGTGCCCTGGACTAAACATCTCTCTCAACTCTCGAGATGCATGAAAGTGCTGACTGAGCAGAGATGGACTTTCTTAAATAGGTCCCTCCTGTTCACACACTCCTCAGCCCCTTTTCCTGAGAGAGGAGGTCAGGAGCTTGGACTGACAACTGTTGAAAGTGCAAATCCAAGGCTGTGGCCAATTAGCCTTGTTGGAACATTGCTATTCTCTATTTTATACTTTGGATTCAGGCTTTGGATCATTTATACACGATGCTGCTATGATAATAATCTGATTTTAACTTAGAAATATTGCAAAGCAGGAAATGATTAGGTATAAATACATGAGAGTGATTTCTTTTTTGTTGTTCATAAGAATGTTGTACTCCATGATATTACTCAACAGGCTAAACAGCACATTATCACATTGACTCTGAAAATGAGGAATGCTATGTCCAAGATGGTATGTTTAATCTTCTTAGGTTTAATAATTATCTCAAAAAACCTCTCTCGTCTTCATCTTCATAATTTCTTTGTTGTTTTTATTTTTAGTTGAAATAACTTTGAAAAGATAAATTTGTGTTCAAGTAGATTCTAGCTTTTGTTCATTGTGCCTTTTTGGTTAAGCTTATGAGTAAATGTTATGATGTTGTTATGTGACCAGTCCACATAGGGGTAAAGCTGGGCTGAATTTTAGACAAGTACCTAAACGTATCTCCATTTATTTTCTCTCTTAATCAATAAAAATTATATTCAATATGCTCAACGTTCTACATTTTTTAAATGTTTTAGAATTTGTTAATGAACTGTTGGCTTTTTTTCCCTGCCTTTTCTTTGTCCAGCTCTAACTGTTGGCCTTGATGGGGATTAATTAAATCCTGTTATTCCTGTTATAGTCTCTGCACAAAGCTCAGTTGACGGCAGACATTTAGAGTTTCCCCAATCTGCATCAATGTGTAAAACAAACAAAGATATAAACAAAAATTCCAAAATGTGTTCATTTGCAAAGATGGTACCATTATGAAAACTAAATGTACACATAACACGACTAACAGAAACCTTTTATTTTTGTGATAAAAAAGCACATAATATAAAAATTTATCATCTTAACCATTTTTAAATGCATAGTTCAGTTTAACAGAAACCCTTTTAATCTTATTAAATTAATTACTTAATTAATTTGTGTTTTTGAAACAAGGTCTCTGTCACTCAGGCTGGAGTGCAGTGGCATGAACGCAGCTCACAGCAGCCTTGACCTCCTGGTCTCAAGCAATTCTCTCTCTCTCCTCAGCTTCCTGAGTAGCTAGGACCACAGGTATGTGCCACAATGCCTGGCTAATTTTTAAATTTATTTTGTAGAGACAAGCAGGATGGCCACACAGCCCAAGCTGGTGTTGAACTCCTGGATTCAAGCAATCCTCCCACCTAGGCCTCCCAAAGGGCTAGGATTATGGGCATGAGCCACCATGCCCAGCCTTATTTTGTTCAAATGCTTTTTAGTGTATGTTTTCAGACAGGCAAAAACGTTTAAAGAGTAATACAACAAACACCTACATGCCACCATTCGAGCTAAGAAATAAACACCAG
The DNA here is from genome assembly GCF_000001405.40 of Homo sapiens. Taxonomy (NCBI): domain Eukaryota; kingdom Metazoa; phylum Chordata; class Mammalia; order Primates; family Hominidae; genus Homo; species Homo sapiens. The sequence continues at coordinate 28,655,213 of NC_000007.14, read as the reverse complement.
AAACAGGATGGTGCCTCACACAGTGGCTCATGCCTGTAACCTCAGCACTTTGGGGGGCTGACACAGGCAGATCTCTTGAGCTCAGGAGTTCAAGACCAGCCTGGGCAACATGGTGAAACCTCATCTCTACAAATAATACAAAAATTAGCCAAGCATAGTGGCACACCCCCAGCTATTCTGGTGGCTGCTGTGGGAGGATCACCTGAGCTCAGGAGGTCGAGGCTGCAGTGAGCCAATATTGTGCCACTGTACTCCAGCCTGGGTGATGGAGTCAGACCCTGTCTGAAAAAAAAGAATTGAATTTTCACCTGTAAACCCCGACTAGGTCTGAGTCGTTCCCTTCTCCTCTGCTCCAAAGGTCACGGGGGTCTTGAATTTATTAATTATCATTCCTATGCCTGGCTTTAGACTTTTACTGCGTGTGTGTACATTTGAACCTCTCATTTTTCATCAGGGTGCCTCATTGGTATCAATTTTGCTGCTTGTTTATATGGAAGATATTAAAATACAATAATTCTTTAGTTTGAATGAATATTGCCCATATACCACCCATACCTCTAAACCATTTGCAATCTCATCACTAGCGACCCTGTTCTGCAAACTTACAAAATGCAGTACAGAAAAGGTAAATGGATGATCCAGGATCAAAGGACATCTCAATTGCAGAATGCAGAAGAAAATAGTATAGAGGGCTCCTACCCTTGCCTACTACTAGCCTATGATGTTGGCATGCTCTAGAGCTTCATAATATATTTATAAGTGCTCCACAATATGTAATACATCATTATGTATTGATTTAAACAGTGCCATTTGCGAGCCTCAAAGTGCTGTACTGTATTACGCACATAAAGGAATCAAATCACTTTGCCAGCCACTGACAGGCAGAAGCAGCTCAGTTAGGAGCCCAGCTGTTCGAGTGGTGTCAGCAGAACTCCTCAGTAAGCTGAGAACTAGAAGAGGGGGAGCGAGCTGTATCGACTCCCGAAAGTGGCAAGCCTTTACTAATTGCTGAGGGAGTATGTGCTATAGTATATCTTAGATTTTTAATGGTTTGGATAAAGAGGCAACATCTTATTTGTATAAATCAATGTTTTCATTAGAGGTCTGGTGTATCTGGAACTTCACAGGTGTAATGTATATTGGCTACTGGAAATGAAAAACAGCTTTAAAAAATGCAGTAAAGGCAAGTAAATGGGGGAAAATCCACATGCTCCTATATACAGCCTCAAGTGACAGGTAGCTGTCAGCTTCATTAAAATGTCTCTGGATCCAAAAGAAATTCAAACTGTCAGGGCTTGAAGTTCTAAAATCCACTCTAAAGGGAGTAGTGTGGTGGGATCAGTTGTACTTGCTTTGCCAGAGCCAATTGGTTAATAGTCAGGAATCTTGCAAGCAGGTTCATAAACTGTTGGTAGCTTCACATGGACCACAATAAGAGAATTTATGCTGCAGAACCCAGCAAACACTACAAATCAGAGCTCTTCCCCCAGGGAGCTGGTTTACCAGCGTACCACTGCTTCTGTGCATCTTTGGGTGGTAGATTTTGGACTTTAATTTTTACTGGATTCTGAAAAGAGTCTTTTGAATGCCTATGGATTCATTCTCAGATAGTTGAATGCAAAATTATTATACCTGACAGGTAAATAATGTGAGGTGATGTCCAGCATGCTCTCTTGGTTGAGTAGTAAACTCACATTTTCCCAAAGTGTAACACGGGAAATGGCTAGCATGGAAATAGCTACTTCTAAAGGGATAAAATAAATGTATAATGAATGTTTTCACCCACACTCAGTCAGGCTCAATGAAACACTACTTGCCTTCATGCTGGAAATCTGAAAGGGCATGCCATGTCAACACACTGACAAGTTACAGAATGACTTCTGTTCCTAAGAAAATCACCTGCATTTCAAAATCCCATCACCCCAAAGTGCCTCAAGGAGAAAAACAGCACAATCTTATATATGTTTAGTGAATATACCTAGTTCTATTTTTCAAATGGTAGCTATAATTTATTTATGGATGGCTCTTCCAGAATAAGAGTTGGTGTCTCACATGTTTCGATTAAAAGGAATAGTTTATATTTGATGTTACGCTTTACATGGAAATTTTCCAAGGTAATCTCTTCAACTCTCTGCCGAATCACACACAACTTGTTACTCACTTTCCTAATTTTATTCTCTTCCTCAGTTTAATTTCACTCATGTCTGTGGCTACAGAGCTCAATGCCATACCAAGTCTAAAGATTTTTCCTAGACAGAAAAAAGAAGAATGAACTTGGACTATCCATTACAAAGTTTTTCACCTTTGGGCATGTGTGCAAAGGCAACTGGTCACTAATCATCTTTTATTGAATCAGAGTTTCCTTGTACTTAAAAGACAGCCTACAATAAAATTACACATTCGGGTAGCATCATAGGAATCCACTGTGATCCACCCATTAGCAACAGGCACCAAAGCCTAAGAGAGTTTATTCCCAGGTGAATATGTGTAAGAGGATAGTTATGTAATAACAGTTTATTGTGCATCTAATCTGTGCACAAGGCATTTTGCATGCAATCTCTCAAACTCTCACAACGTTACTGCAGGATGTTACTATTTAATCCCATTTTATAGAAGGAGAAACTAAGGCTCAAAGAAAGTAGAGGGACCACACAGAAAGTAGAGGAGACAGAATTCAGACCCACTCTGGCTAGCCTCTTTCCACTCTACCACCTGTTTCAATACAGTGCTATCTTAAATAGACCACATAATCATATTCTTTCATCTATGCTGGCTTTCTATAAATACTCATGTTTCTGACACTTTAAAAATCAGAACCATTAAAAGTTTAGGTTACTAGAATAAATATCTTTAAAACCATAGTGTGAAACCAAAACTTCCATTATTACCTTAAAGCAATTTGAAAATAGGAGCTTTCACAGTAGGAGTGAAATTATGACATTATAAATTATGAAATGCTACCCTGTTATTCTAATTTTAATAACTAATATTGAGAGTAGAAAAAGTCATTAATATAAACTATTAGATATGAGAAATTCATATAAAAATTGAAATATGGCTATCAGTTTACCTTAAAATAAAATTTTTTTATTAATTATTTTGGGAGTAAGAGATTACTCCATTGCCAAAATTTATAATTTGGCTATTTTAACACATTTGTTTAGACTTCTAATAATAATAATGTCAATATCTTTCACTTTTAACCACCAAAAGCCAGTAGGTCAAACATTATTTATCCTGTTTTACAAGTGAGGAAGCTGAGGCTCAGACAGGTAGAAAGTCACAGAGCCAGAACTGGAATTCAGCTCTCATGATTCCTACCTAGCGGTGCTTCCTCTACCATGCTACCTAGAACCATGAGTTTACGAAAGCTTGAAATAGTGAAAGTGCAAAAGACAGGTGTAGCACTTCCAATAAAAGAATAAAATTAAAATTAAAATCAAAATGTAATATGCACAGTTAAGAATGCAAAACAGCACCTTGAAAACATAGGTGCATTTGGATAGGAGGAAAGAAAGTTCAGCAAAAGCTTACGTCTGACACATGTTGGTATCAAGTGCCCGGCGAAAGAAAGAGGACCAGGAAAAGTTGAAACAGAAATAGAAAGGTGCAGAAGTCTTTATTTTAATTTTTTTGTAGAGATGGGGTCTCACTTTGTTGCCCAGGCTGGTCTCAAACTCCTGGGCTCAAGCGATCCTGCCACCTTGGCCTCTCAAAGTGCTGAGATTACAGGCATGAGCCACCACGCCTGGCTCCAGAAGTCTTTCTTAAACCTGTGTTTCAAGTTCATTTAAGGCTTATTCTATATGCTGCTATGACATTAACAAGGCTCCTGGCTAGGTCACTTTTTGAACATATTTGGTGGGAAATGCTTTCTCTCCATTTGGCCCTTTCCTCAAGAATGCATTTACAGCCCTTTGTATTATTTTTAGCATATCTCCATCACATTCTGAAAGGACAGCAACAGTAGTATTCTTCTATATTGGCCTGAAGTCATTACTATGATTTTCAATAAAAATTGCCTGGCATATGCTAAAGTATATTTGTTCAAAGATATATTGGTTTTACAGGTTAATTTGCCAGAAGGTGCAAACCCACTTTTCCTATTAATTGAAAAAAAAAATAGTAAAAACAAAATCCTGTCCTCTAGCAATGAACTGTCTTTATATTCCCATTCTCCCTTTTACTACCACTGCCAATGTTGGATTGCTGCCATTCCTGAAAATAACCTGTAAAAGGCGTTCTGTTACCACTAATCATAGTACTTGGGCTTTTCTAGGGCACAGACCCCTGCCATCTTTATGTGAACCAAGTAAACACATCAGAAAACTTTCATCCAATATGCCAATGTCCAATAATCAAAGATGACTAAAATCACCATTTGTTGTCTCTTTTTTTAAAAAAAGATAATTAAATTTGAGATCTAAAGAGCCATCTGCTACCACTACAGATGAGTACATACTTAGTTTGGAAAATAATTGGTAATATTCTTTTTCTTTGCTATTAAGAAATATGTAGTTCAGAAATTTCAGCTTTATTTTATATCATTGAACAAAATAACCTTATGATGATTTGTTTCCTTCTAATCTGAACATTAATTTCCTATGGAAGGTTGGGGGGGGAAGCACTAGGCTAATTCTTAGTAGCCTGGTGTTGTGATGTTTTAGCCTTCCACTTGAAGGATTTTAGACTATCTGGATCTGTGTGATTGAAATGGCATGACTGTGTCCTGGCAGAAGTAATCAGTTCAGGCAGCTAAATGATGTGTAAATGGAAATGGCCACACAATTGATTTGACCAAGGCAATCAATACTGCTTTATGAAGACAGCAAAACAACAACAACAACAACAAAACCAAGCAGATCAGCTGGGCCACAGTCCCACTCCATGGCTACAAGTAGATACAATTTACCAAGAATGCTTAAGACAGAAAATCTTGTTCCAGAGAATCTGAGTTTCAAGGTGTATGTGAAATGCCCAAGTCAGCACCTGACACAAAGAAGGTGTTTAACAAATATTACCCTTTCCATTTCTCTATTCTGGACACAGAATTTTTCAAATGTTTCATTAGATTATGTGTTTTCAGTATGAAGTATAACAGTGATTAGCAGATACTGGGGACTATTGGTGTGTACACAATTCAACAGATGTAAATGGCAGATGTAAATGGGAATTGGAGAACGTTATCTACCGGTTTTGCACATTCCTTGTGACATGGCCATGAGTCTGCATGTTTCAAAGGGTGGCTTTCAATTGCAAGAGCTTCTTCTGTGACACTTTACTGTTCTTGATATTGTCCTAAGTGTTTTCTAGTAATCAACTGACTATTTAGCTCATTACTTCATGAAAGTATTATAATCCTGATGTTTCATATGAGATAATAATGAAAAGGTAAGTCATTCCAAACATAATTTATTTATTCATTCATCCATGCATTTAATCATTCATCAAAAATTATTGTTCACCCTCTATTTCTAAAAACTACACAGAATATAAGAGATAATAAGATATGGTCCATTCCTAAAACCAAGTAGCATTTATTGGGAGAATGATGAAAAAAGGTCTCAAATGAAAGGCAATACTATCCTTTCTATGCTGAATCAAATACATTCCAAGCGGGTTGAATACTCTCTGGTGGCTTGGAGTATGACCCATACTATATGTCATCTGCAAGGTCAGAGGTTGGCACACCTTTTTTGTAAAGTGCCAGATAGTAAATATTTTCATCTTCACAGGCCATCTGTTCTCCATTGCAACTGCTCCACTCAGCTGCCATAGACAATACATCAATGAATGGATGGGGCTGTGTTCCAATAAAACTTTATTTGTGGATACTGACATTTGAATTCATTTGAGTTTTACATGGCATGAAATACCATTCTTTCTATCTTTCCAACCATTTACAAATGTAGAAACTATTCTTAGCTTGTGGGACATACAAAACAGGTGGCAGGCTGAATTTGGCCCATGGGCCATGGTTTACCAATTCCTGTCCTAGGTTGAAGGCGTTTTGGTGGCTTCCTTTCTTTGGAAAATCTTGCTGGTGGCCAGGAATCACAGAGATTTCAACTGCCTGCTTCGTATATAGTTCACCTTTGACCACATATGTGAAGTTACCTTTATAATTTATTTATGTCTTCCAGGGAAACCACTGTGGGCTTTCTGCACACCTACGAAAACCAGTCCCTTCCTCTCTGGTGGGGTGTAACTGCCTAATGTTGCTCGTCATCCAGAAAAGCTCTATTTAGATTCCAAAAGCACAAAACCTTTATTGGTACATTAAAGCTTTTAAGGCATAGCTTTAATTGGAAAGAGAGCAAAAGAAGAGAGACTTCAGAAAAGCACAGGCTTCCTTTGGTTTGGTTTTGTTTTTAAATAAAAGAGTCTTTAAGTATATTATGGAAATTCTCAGTAATATTTTAGTAATAAATTTAATAGCACCTTTTCAAAGTTATTATCATTTTTTTTTCTTTAGACAGGGTCTCACTCTGTTACCCAGGCTGGAGTGCAGTAGCATGATCATAGCTCACAGCAGCTTCAATCTCTTGGGTTCAAACAATCCTCCCACCTCAGCCTCTTGAGCAGCTGAGACTACGGGCATGCACCAGCAAGCCCAGCTAATTTTTTTATTTTTATTTGCAGTGGAGATGAGGTCTCACTATGTTTCCCAGGCTGGTCTTGAACTCCTGAGCTCAAGCAATCCTCCTGCCTAAGCCTCCCAAAATGCTGGGATTACAGGTGTGAGCCACAGCACCCGGCCAAAGTTATCATCTTCCTATTCCTCTTTATATCTCAAGAGGTTCAGCGTCGAGGGCAATACAGCCTGTTCATTGTCTTACACCCATATTTATGTTTGTAAATTGAGTTGGATACTCTTTTTTTAAAGGCTAAATCCCATTGTCTTTATATCTCCTCTTCAAATAAAAGACTATCAAGAGAAATCACACACTTTGGTGCTAATCAGTGGTCCTTTTTCAACATAAATTCTTTATGATCCAGTTATCATTTATCTTACCCCTGAGAATGACAGTCTCTATACCCTCCCAGACCCTCTCACCAGGTATAAACCTAATTATCTTGCATTCAACATACTTTGCATTAAAAAATAACTTCAAACTTGCTATGGGAATCTCAAATATCCCTTCCAACTCTGCGCTATGATGCTATAATTTTTATAAGATTTCATCTAGATCTGCTGTGTCCAATACAGTAGCTGCTAGCCATATGTGGTTATTGTCAAATTCAAATTGAGCTTAAATTATGTACTTTTTCATTTTCTCTTATTTTTATTTTTTGTAGAGTTGGGGGTCTCACTATGTTGCCCTGGTTGGTCTTGAACTCCCGGGCTCAAGAGATCCTCCTGTCTCAACCTCCCAAAGTGCTGGGATTATAGGTGTGAGCCACTATGCCTGGCCCAAATTGGGTAAAATTAAATAAGATTTTAAAATTCCGTTCCTCAGTTGCACCAGCCACATTTCCATTATTGCTGAAAGTTCTACTGGACAATGCTGACCTACATTAAAGAAATAAAAAGACAATGCAGTTATGTCTGTCAATCTTGATTTATTTATATCAGCTAAGAATTATCCTGGCCAACTTGGCTCTTAATTTCTCCAGAAGTTGCAGATTTCCGGAATTACAAGTACTAATAATGTCTTAGTATTAGAGAGCAATGCCTTCTAATAGTAGGCTGGATTTTTTGTTTGTTTACTGCAAGCCTTCTATCTCCCATGTTTAGGACCAGAAATTAGCAAAATATCTTTAATCATACCACCCATATTAAACACATGCCATTTTAGGGAGGTATCCGGCATCTAATCTACTTTCCTCTTTTGGGGGGAATTTCTGTTGAATAAGGTCTTAGCAGAGCACACAATGCAGGCTTGGTCAATTGGATGCTCCACCCTAGTCTGTGACTCCAGGACAAGTGAGGTCAAGAAAGGGAAGACTGAGCCCTTTAGTGTCATGTTTGCGATGCTGTTCAGCAGTGATAGTGGCCAGTGGCCAGTGCTGGCAAGCCCTGGTGTCTGGCCACTGGCCACCATCACTGCTGGTCATCTGGAGCTACTCTGATCTCTGCGTCTTTGGTGTGATTGATTCCCTCCAGTCTCTGGCTAATTCGGGGAGTCCAAATATCTTTGAATAAATTCCCCTTTTCTGCTTAATAGGAGTAAGCTTTTTCTTCTCATTACCAAGATACATCTCCACTGATGTATCACCAGTGTTGCCCCTATGTTATTTTCACATTCTATAAACATCTTTTACAGGTTAGTCTAGTTTTCGGCCAATGAAATAAGCCCAGATGCAAAGAGTGTTGTTATTGTTGCTCCTGTTGTTGTACTGGTAGCTACTTAAAAAAAAATTTACAATCACTCTTTGTTGCAAAATAAATAATGGTGGCAGCCCAATTTTAAAAAAATCTCATTTGCAAAAGGATTTAGTCCACAAACAAATAAGTAAGAACATTAAAAAAAACACATTCCAATTTGTAATGGTATTTCCAACCTGCCCTTTGGGTTTCCATGTCAAAAATATTCTTTCCTTTCTGGACGATTTCTTTCTTCTAAGTTTAAAAGCTTTGTTCTCTGTTACCCTTGGTTAATGCTGTCATGGTAACCGGCACTATCTCTCTTGAAAACACATGAAATAATCCTGATCCAAAGACACTCAGAGGATGACCTTTTGCACTGTTAACATAGTCAGTGCAGAGATGGTGCAAGTAGGAATGGCTTTGAAAGATAAAGCAGGTATCACCTCAAATTGTTCCTTCAAAATATTTAAGGAGATGGCAGCACCAGGCCTTTAGAGAAAGATGTGACTGATGTTTCTCTCTTCCACTTTCTATTGTTTTTTGTTTTTTTTCCCCCTAACCACTAGACTACCTGGAATGATTTCTCTAGGTTTGCTCGGGATCTTTAGACTGAAAAATTGCTCATGGAAAAATAAGAGTGGGAGGATTTCTCACTGAAGAGGAAATTTTAGGTTTTCCTAACTCTCTAGCTCCTGGTCAGGGTTCTCCAGAGAAACAGAACCGATAGAAAATAAAGTGATAAACAGATCTATTATGAGGGACAGGTTCACATGACAATGAGGGCTTAGAAGTCCTATGATCTACTGTCTGCAAGCTGGAGGCCCAGGAATGCTGGTGGTGTAGTTCTAGTTCAACCCTGAAGCAGAGCCAGTGGTGTAAGTTCCAGCCCAAGTTCCAAGACCTGAGAACCAGAAGCAGATGTCTGAGGGCAGGAGAAGATGGGTGCCTCAGCTCAGAGAGCAAATTCACCTTTCCCCTGTCTTTCCATTCCATACAGGCCCTCAACAGATTGGATGATGGCCCACCTGGATTGGTGAGAGTGATCTTTAGTCAGTCTACTGATCCAAATGCTAATTTCTACTGAAAACACTCTCATATACCCAGAAAGAATACTTTATCAGCTATCTGGGCATCCCTCAGCCCAGTCAAATTGACACGTAAAATTAAAGAATACACTGGCAAAGCTGTTTTTCTCCAAACACTAGAAGCCTCATTTGCAGATCCATTTATCTCCTAGTACATACCAGCATCATAGAAACACTGATCATAAGGCATTTTAGTTCTTCCTCTGACCATTAAGAAAAACAAAAATCTCCAATCATAACATATGATTAAATATTCTCTGTCTCTCTGCACATTTCTGTATTTTATAATTAACATCAGCTCAGGCATTTACAAGAGTCCTGTGTATGCACAACACAGATTCTGGGATCAGCAAAATCACCCTATTGGGCACAGTATCCTATGATGCTAACAACCAGCTCTATTCAAAACCCACAAGCAAACCAGCCACTTCGTCAGGTTTTTCAAAAAGGAGGTAAAATCACCATCCACAGAACAACTGTAGTTTTATGTTAGTATCCAGAGAGATTACATTTCCAGTCTGAAATCTTCTCCCTCATGAAGATTCAAAGGTAATTAGGATTTTATCACCATAGTAATTATCATATAAAGGGACCCACAGATTGCAGGGTAAGAAAAGAAAATTATTCTTAATGCTGGCCATCATCTTTCCATTGCCTCAAGTTGTTCTAGGCTTATTCTTTATTACTCAGCTGAAGGCTGGGCCGAAACCTAGCCACAAGACTCAAGGGTTGGGGGGCTGCAATCAGGGTAGAGCAGAACTTGATCTGGACATTCCTATCTTGACAACGGCACTGGGGATCTTCCGTCTGAAAAGAGAGTTGGCCAAGGTACGCGTTGTTGGCCAAGAGTTTCCATCTGTGAGCCTCTTCACATGCCTTTCCTCTAATTGGCATAAACACTCATTGGATTTTGTGTGCTAAATAAAACTCATCCTCATTCTCAAGGAAGAGCAATCTAGAAAGACTGGTAGAAATTGACATTGGTGGGACAACAAAACTAACTAGCTCTTTGAAAATAATAATAATAAAAAACCTTAATGCTGCAGGTCAGTAAGCACTTTTAATTTTAATAGAGAAAAAATCTAGATGCAGATTGATGCACTAGAACCTTTCTGGTTTTTATTTGTCTTTCTTTTTAAACATCTGTAATATTTCAAATTGAAATTTCAAATTGAAATTGAAACATTTCAAATTGAAATTCAAAATTTCAAATTGAAACATAATGTTTTAATTCCTTGACCTTCACCCCACTCCACGTTCATTCACAGATAATGTTCTTTGTTCCCAGTTTGCAGTGGAGTGGAACGTTGGGGGCGCGACAAGGTCTTACGCTAGATAGAGTCGTGTTTTTACCATAATGGGACTCAATTTTATTCATAAAGTCTGGCCCCCCAAAATGGGTTTACATCAAAATAATCTGAAATTCCCACTGGTAGTCTGAAAACACTTCCTCTGGTGCTACTGTGGAATAGGGAAGGGCAATGACAAAAGGGTTTCTACCTTTTGAAGAAAGATGATAAGCCATCAGGCAGCCCAAGGCTGAGTGTGAGACACAGGCATCACCAGGTCTGCTTGTCCCAAGACACTCAGCTACATTACAGGAACTCCCCTTCCCTTCCCTTCCCTTCCTTTCCCTTTTTCTTTCTTTCTCTTTCTTTCTTTCTTTTTCTTTTCTTTTCTTTTTCTTTCTCTCCCTCTCTGTCTTTCTCCCCTCCCTCCCTTCCTTCCTTTTCTTTCTTTGACACTGAATCTTGTTCTGCTGTCCAGGCTGGAGTACAGTGAGGGGATCCTAGCTCACTGTAGCCTTGACCTCTTGGGCCCAAACAATTCTCCCACCTCAGCCTCCCTAGCAGCTGGACTATAGGTACACACCACCATGCCCAGCAGATTATTATCTCTTGTGGAGATGGGGTATCCCTATGTTGCCCATGCTGGTCTTGAACTCCTGAGCTCAAGTGATCCTCCTGCCTTGGCCCTGCCAAAGTGCTGGAATTCCAGGCATGAGCCACCACACCCAGCCAGGACTCCAGGTTTGTGTGTTTTTTTTTTTTCTTCCGCCCCCCCCCACCTCCCAAACCCGTGAACTATTCGTGAGACTTAAAGGGACAACTTTCTTATGGAGATTTGCCTCTAGCACAAAGTAGTGATGGTGATTGTGGTAAAACCTGATGCTTCTTTACCTCATTTAATCTCATAACAACCTGTTGAAGTAGGTATTTCTATTATCACCCTATTACAGATGAGCAAACACAGGATAGGGAGGACTTAAATAACCTAGGTCACATAGTTCCATTTAATTCAGAAAGGATGTGTATCTATCTGTGTAAGGTGGGGGAGGGTGACAGCCAAAGGTTACTATGGGAACAGGGCAGACACTGAAAGTGAATGGAAAAATGAAACATTCTTTTCTAGCCAGTTTGGAATGGAAGTGGAGTGCCAGACACATACAGACACCTAGAAATTTGACCCATATAATTCACCCTGTCGGTGACCTTGGACAAATATGCCCTAAACTTAGCTGGAAGATTCCCTATGGGAATTTGCAAGTGTTTTTGGAATTTCCCAGGAAGGCTGGTTCCAGGGGCAGATCTATGACTCTGTTTATGAATTCTTAGATATACTCACATTGTTACGCAAATTGAGCGAGAGAAAAAAATTCCTAACACCTACAAGTTCAATGCAGGTGCCACTGCAAACCCTCAGGACCCGACAATTGAGAATTTATTCTCGAGGAACTGGCTTTCTCAAAGGGTCTTTAGAAGTTTGGGGCTAGACAAGCCCAAAGTGTGTGTGTGTGTGTGTGTGTGTGTGTGTGTGTGTGTGTGTGTGTATGTGTGTGTGTGTGTGTGTGTGTGTGTGTGTGTGTAAATCTACCCTCCTTTCGGTCTGTTTGTGGCATATCTTAAACAGATCTGTATACACTCTGGGCCAAGGTTTAGCATGCTTGTGTTCATCCGTCTTGAAAAATATGCTAGCTATTACATATGCCATTTACATCTGCTCCCATCTGTACTCTGATCGCATGCAAAAATTCACGATGGACAGTTTAGTCAGCTAGGACTGCAAATAACTTTGTTAACAGAACTGAGATGAGACTAATACATGAGCAATCAATTGGAACATTTTCAGCAGAAGGAGTGAAGCTCACATCTGAAGTATACACAGAGGCCCTAATAAAAAGTATTACCCCATTGCCGAGCAGCATGTTTATTCCTTGACAGATATTAACAGGCTGATTGGCAAATCGTATTAAAGCATTAACATGCAGAAAAGCCCTTTGTATGTGAAAGAGCAAAAAAAGTTCAGCTTGAACTATTTTTAAAAATGAAGTAAAAACGAAGTTGGTAAATGCATGATTCTGTTGAACTAAATAGTTACGTTTGTATTAGTAACAGCTTCTCACTTTCTGGAGTTTTAATTATGTCTCTTGGGACTGGGAGAAGGGTGAGGGCGGGGCATATAGATTTTAACAGCTTATTTGGTTGCTATCCATACCTTTACTGCTGTTGAACTACAAAAATCTCCACAGGCAAAAATTCTTTGCATTGCAAATAAAATAGTTTTTCCCTGGTTTTTATCAGCATAGGTCCCACAAGGAACCGACAGCAGGTTTATGTCAATGAACAAGACTTATTGTTTTCAGATTTATTTTTTTATAGCAAAAAAGAAAAAAACCAGTTCATGCTGAACTTAAAACAAAGGCAACAAAGAACAATGAGACTCTAATACGGGGTTCCAGCACAATTGCTGGGTTGGATAAAGGCCATCTTACACCCAGGTATTTGTGGGAGATCTTGTTAATTTTGGTCCTCCCATAACTTGCTTCGCATTGTGACATGCACACCCAGGAACACGTGCACACACAGGAGCACATACACACACGTGCACACACGTGCCTTTTCTTTTGACCCAAAAGACAGATGTGTTTGCTGTGTGTGTATTTCTGGTTTCCATGATCCATCCATAAAAACGAATGGGATGGCGACTGCAGGTCAGAGGAGCAGAAGGTAAGGAATGAAAGACAAATCCTGGAGGATTTAGGGTATTTTATCTGGAATAAGATTGCGGAGGTGACAACTCTTCTCATGGAGCTGGATCTATAAAATCATTTCAAATTGTAGTCTAACTCACCATTTCCTTTCTGGCAGAGAAAATGATGTAGCTAGAAATGTGAAGGACCCAAAGCACATTTTGGGTGTTTAGTTTAGTTTTGTTTTTTCCCTGAAGCAAACACCGCCTGCAGGCCTCCACATCTGCCATGCCCGAAGGAGGGTACGCTTCGGCAGAGTGGAACAAGTATACCCTGGAAGTCAGGAGAACCTTGTGCTACGTTTAGCTCACCACAAAGTTGCTATGTGGGTGTTGGCAAGTCACTAAATTCCTTGGGGGTCCAAGTTTCTTTGTCTGAGCAATGGATTTTGCAAGGGGACTGCCTGGGTCCAGCTTTTCTTGGTTCCACGCTTTCCCCTTTGAAATTTTAGCCCCATCTTCCCTAACCCAAAGACAGTCCCTTCAGCCATCACCCGATGGGGGGGTGGTCCTTGTCATGACCCTGCATACCCAGCTTCTGGATGGTCCCCTTCAAACTTATTAAGCAGCAGCTCCTGAGTTCTGGGAGAATCACCTGGGCCAAATCATCCTCTCTGGGGCATTAGCTAACATTAACCCAGCTCCCAGGAACACTGCATTTCCACTAGGGATTCTTGACTCTTGAACAAGGATAATGGAATGTAGGCCCCTGACTTGATGCAGAGATGAAGGGGTCATTGTGGGTGATGTCGTTCAGGATGACACTCAATCATTTGGGGAAAACCAACCTTCTAAAAGGGGCCCCAGCTGCACCAAAGATTTAGAGACAAGAAGTTAAATGTGCTTGACAATAGAACTCAATTTTAAAGCACTGGCTCTCAGGGAAAACAAACTGGATATTAAAACTCCTTCTCAGGGGCATGCTGCTGCAATGACCGATGAACTGAAGGTGAGGAAATCATTTTCCCTCAGTACTCTAGGGAAGCGGGTCTCGATCTGGGGAACTAGGTAGGAATCATCAGTTTGAAGAAGGAGAGGAATGAGCATCGTACATTTGCAGGAGGTGTGTAATTTTAAAATGCTGTCCTGGCAACACTCCCAATTCCCAGGCTCATTTTCTTCCAGCATGTGGCCAGCCCATATTTTGTACTATATCCTAATTGTGGAACTTACCATACAAAGGCAACTTTCATAGTTCTTTCTTGTGATCGCCATAAAATATAGAAACACTTTCTATGTAATTTTTCTTAATCTAATTTTGTCGCAAGCAGTCATGTGATAGAAATGATATAAAAGAGGCATTTTTTCCAAATGGTAAAATGAACATCCAAATAGCTATACTTTTGTTAGTTGTTGCTGAAATTCTTATTTTTGCGTTGTTGGTTTTTGAAAGATGTTTGGTAAGCTTTTCACCAATATCATAGTGTTTTGGGCATTTGTTACTTCATGTGTGATCAAAATCAAAATACCACAGAAATGTTGTCACTGAGTTCACATGGTAAACATGGAAAACCTGTAGGCAATGCAGGGCAGTAAAGGTTGCTCCATCACGACATTTTTATGGTGTGAGCAGTCTGGATGGAGAGTTACGCTCTGTGGCTGAGGCTCTTGCTTTATTATCTAGAGTTTCACCATTTAGGGCTGAGCTGAGAGTGCAGAGTATCTGAGAAGGGAGAGGAGGCACACCCACCTACACTGCTCTGGAGCAGGTAACTAAGGTTAACAGTTTCAACCAAATTCCTCCTGCACATCCTATAGTCTGTGAGGCCAGAGTGAAGAGGCATGGGAATGACAGTGGGATTATATTCCTCATACACTAAGGGAGTACTTGTCTTTTACATCTAGCTGATCTCATACTTGTGTGTGCCGTCATTTTTTGCAGGAGTAGGTTCATAGAAAACCACAAACATAGCCAGTTGTGAATTTCAGGCAGGATTTGTGGCATTGATTTTCACTCTACAACACTGCTGCTGGTCTCAAGTTGACATGCTTTTAAGTATCAAAGGAACCTCGTTGATAACAAACTCTTGCCTGTCCCAATTCAAATTTACTGGAGAACTGGGTTCTCCTACATAGCAGATAAGACATGATTTCAGGGCTCCTTGAGGTCTGTTCTTGATGACTGTCAGGTAAGTCCTTGTGAGGTCTTTGGGTCCATGATTAGTGCCCGGCCTGCACTACTCAAGTTCCAGTGAGAAGCCAAAGTACCAAGAAATGATGGAGGTCTTGATTCCAACTCACACTTGTATTATGAAAAATTAAAACATGGATTCCTTTTATTAAATTTAAATATATTGTTCAATGCTCATTTTTGAGGAAAAAATGTGCAGCTAAGGCAGAATATAATAAATACCAACAAAAATCCATATTCCTGTTTCTATTTCTTAGCTCTTAGGACACAAAATTTAAGCCTCCCAAAATGCCTAATCCCTTTTCTAGAGCTAAGGAATGTCTGTTGGTATTTTACTACAGCCTATTTGTTTTAAGGAATTTTGTTTTGTTGTGTTCTGTTTTAAGAGGAGACCCACGTTTGCATCAGAATATTGGACTTATTCTAGAAAATGCTGAAGGCCAAACAGAGATAAGATTAAAGCCAAGAAATTTATCACATACCCTAGTTAAATATTAGGAGAGGCTGAAATCATTAGTCTGACTCATAATTATTCAAATAGTCTAGAGGAACTAATACTACAAAGCATTCATGAAGTGTGGCGTGGAACAACTGGGCCAGGTATGCACACTACATGTTCCCAGCTCAATATATTTCATTAAAAAGACTTTTTTAAATTGTAGCCAAATATTTAAAATAAGCAGATCTGTTAATTTTCCTCTCATACAATAAATAAGCAGGGTAAGAAATGAATATAGACATTTCACCTCTCTGGGATTTGGGAAGAAGTATACAAAGTACTCTCTACTTATGATCTGACCACTCTTTTGGAGGAGCAATATTTCCAAGTTTTGTTCTCTGATTTGCTATGGGATGTGAAAAAGATCATTTGCAGATTGTCAGGTTTTTCATATATAAAATGAACTAATTTCTAAACATTATGTGGAGTGTATTATTATTAACTGCAGAAGTTATAATAATATCAATTGTATTGGTGCATTCTCTCTTGTTTAAGATCAAGAAACAGAATGTGACCGGGCGTGGTGGCACACACCTGCAGTCCTAGTACTTTGGGAGGCTGAGGCTGGTGGATGTCTTGAGCCCAGGAATTCAAGATCAACCTGGGCAAAATGACAAAACCCTGTCTCTGCCAAAAAATCCAAAATAAGCCAGGTGTGGTGGTAGGTGCCTATGGTCTCAGCTACTTAGGAGGCTGAGGTGGGAGAATTGCTTGAGTCCGGAGAGGTTGAGGTTGGAGTGAGCTGTGATTGTGCCACTGCACTCCAGCCTAGGCAACAGAGTGAGATTCTGTTTCCAAAAAAAAAAGAAAAAAGAATATGCAAACCTTCCTAGCAACCAGCCCTCACTGTGTGTGTGTGTGTTCGTGTGTGTGTGTGTGTGTGTGTGTGTGTGTCTAGTTTCTTTCTTTAAGATAGCAATTTGAATGAAGGCAGGGATCAAGATTTTCTTAACCAACACTGCAGTGATTGTTCCATATTAAAAATTCTTAGTCCGTATCTTTGCTGATAAACCTCATTTGGCATACAAAACAAGCCCCAAAATTTGATAAACATTGGAAAAATCCAGGAGAGACCATTAATTAAAAATCATAAATCAATATTTACACTCAGGAAAGAGTCTCTGTAGCTAACGAGGCTAATGATAAAGATTCCCAAAGATGCATATTAAGTCACCAAAAACGATGTCAAGCTACAATTTGATAAGCCCACACAGTCTGAAGCACTGAGCTGTCTGAATTCCTTTTCATTTCCATACCTAGTCTAATATTCCTTGGCCAAACTATTAACCAAGTATTGTTGGAAAAACACAGTAAAAAATAAAAAATAACAACTATAAATGCATTGTTTAAACCAATATTTTATGTTTAAACATAAGTTCTTAATTGGTTGACTTGTAGAAGTTGAAGGACTCAGATATCTTTATGAACACCCTCAATTCACAGACTAAGCAGTGCAAGTTCTTCCCCACCAAAGTGCCTTCGTCCTGTTGTTTCTTCTGTGCAAATAGTTTGCCCTCTGCATCTTCACACAAACAGCTCTTTCTGATCCTTGGGGTCTCATCTGAAACGTCACTTTCCAGAAAAGCTTTTCCTACCTAATCTATCTAAACCATCTCTCCCTCCCCTTCTGCCCCTCTATTCAAACTCCATTTTAGCATCTTACTTGTTTCTTTCACATTGACAGTCATCACAAAGTGTAAGTCCATATTTTAGAATTGTATCTTGTTTTTTATCAGCCATTCTCACTAATCTGTGAGCATTTTGAGAGCAAACTTTTATGTTGACTTCTACATAAAAAGCCCCCAAAAGAGAGTCCAGCAAACTATGGCCTCTCAAAGCTATCTCTTGAGTGAATGAATAAATGAATGATTGAATAGAAATTCACTATCTTCACTACTGAAGCTAGACATAATTTGAATTATAATATGAATTATGAAACATAATTCAGGTGGTCAAATTTTCTTTTCTTTTCCTTTCTTTTCTTTCTTTTTTTGTTTTGTTTTTTAAGACAGGGTTTCATTCTGTTACCCAGGCTGGAGTACAGTGGCACGATCATGGCTCACTGCAGCCTCATCCTCCTGGGCTCAAGTGATCCTACCACCTCAGCCTCCCAAGTAGCTGGGACCACAGGCACACACTACCATACCTGGCTAATTTTTGTACTTTTTGTAGAGTCAGGGTTTCACTATGTTGCCCAGACTCATCTCAGACTCCTGGGCTCAAGCAACCTGCACACCTCAACCTCCCAAATTGCTGGGTACAGGCATGAGCCACTGCACTCAGTGAAATTTTCATTTGAGAAAAACAGCTCTAGCTGCAGGAGTGAGGAGGCTGGATAAAAGAGACCATTTAGAAAACCACAGAAAGGGTGATGAGGCCCTAAACTAAGGCAGGTATGGTAAGGATGAAGACAAAAAGACAAACATGAGATTTTCCAAGTAGATAAATAGCATATAGAACACAAACTTTCAAGTTGTAGGTTATGATTGAAAGGGAAAAGTCTAGGATGACTATGATAATTTATTAATCCAACAAATAATTGGGGATGTCATAGGCAGGCGTAGTATCTATCAATCATCATGGAGTTTACAGTGTAGGAAAGGGAACATTAAACAAAGAATTATATAAAGGAATGATTTTTCATAGCAGAAGTAAGTGCCACACAGGAAAGAAGTGAGCAGTATATGGTGTTTGCCCTCAAGGAGGGAGGCAGGGGATGCAGTAGGGGTAGATTTGGAGAAGGAGGAAGATGATAAAGTCATCAGTACCATGGTGTTGATAATCCCTGCCAATCTTTTCATGTGTGATGATAATCCCATATTGGAACACTCTAAACACATTCCACACTCCTCTTCCTCCATATCCCTCCTCCCTCCCACCCCCCAGTGGAGAGCCTTAGACATGGTCCCTCAAAAAAGGGCATGGGCAAGCAGCACACTCTGGCTTCTGGCCATAGCTGTGTGATCCTGCCCTTCGTGTTTCTCTTTCATCAAGTGAAGGGTATTGTGTGAATATATTATTAGAAAAGAATATGAAAATATAAAAAGAACAGCACACTCAACTTAAAAAAAGAACTCGAAGAGGAAATTGGAAGAGATGATCTCTAAGGTTTCATCCAGTGCTATAATCCTTTGATTTTGTGGCTCAATAACTATTTATTGGTTTTATTTTATTCTTCTGGCATGCTCAACTGAGAAGTTGCTGGATATGCTTTGCTAATCTCTTCAGAAAGCTGGGCTCACAGGTCTGAGCTACATGCAACAATGGCCTGGCTCAGGAGCAATTCTGAATTGTCAGGTAGGCTGCCAGGAGTTTGGGAGACACCATATCAACTGGCATATGCCAATCTGAAATGTGGCTGGGCCCAGAAAACAATATGAATGAATGAATGAATGAGTAAATGAATGAAAAGGTCAACAAAGACCTAGGGGAACCGAAACAGGTGGGTACAATAATAAAACCCTAAACCAAAATTAACATAGATAGATGATGGTGATAGGCAGAAAGAAGTACACAAGAAATATGAAGAAAGAATAGTGTTGACTGAATTGGTGAGTTTATGGATTCAAAATGACTAGCATCTTTTGATTCCGCAGCTTGTCAGCTGAGGCAGACATTCTAGTAAACCTTCTCATGATGATCGAAAAGACTGAAAGATGGTTAAGACTGGTCTACTAATTTAAGCACATATTAAGTGCTTAATCTTGCCTGGCATAGTAAGTGGCCAACAAGTATTAGTTATTTCCAGGATCATTACCACTACCACCTCCTCTAGAACTGTGTATTCATCTTTTAAATGGAGAAGAAGTGCTAAAGAGTGGAATAAATGAGGGTAAGATATAGCAGAGAAATAATGTGCCAAATTGAAAACCTATCAGCCAAATGTGTATTACACCTGCAGGATAAAATATGAGCAATATCAGTGGCCCTGTGGTAGTTACCCTCAGCAGGCTCACTCGACAGTCATTCCAAGCCTCCTCCTTGCCTTCATGTACTATAGTAGCTGAAAGGTGAAGCCTTTGGCCTCCTAGCTTCTCTACTAACTAGAAGTGGTATGGGACATAATTCTATCAAAAGAAACACATAAAAAAGTCCCTGGAATAAACAGCCCCAAGTAAATTCCTCGACAATACCCTTGGGTTAGCAGCCCTGGACTACCTGCCTCCAAATTTCTTGTAATATGAGAATAATAAATGTCTTTTGTGTGTTGTTGGGATTTTTTCGTTACTTGCAGGCAAATGCATTCCTAACTGATACAGTGCTCTACCCTGAAGCTGTTTCTGTCTCCTTGAAAAGACAATAGTAATCTGTATAAAACATAAAAATACATGAAAACATACAATTAAAAGAAGCCATCAGAGATACAGACTAAATTCTTCTAAGAGTTCAGAAAGTGAGATGGACCAGAGCTAGAAAGTAAGGGAAGAAGGCAGAACTTGAAAAATGGGTAGGTATGAATGCAGCCCATGGAAAAAAGAGAAAATGGTTCTCTTCAATGCCTCACATCTAGAGCTTCAGTAAAGACTAAATGTTTCTGGGATTACAATTTTGACAACCCAAGCAATAAGGCATGATACACAGGGGAGGGCTTGTAAGGCTCTTAGAAGTCAGGCACATGAGAAATTGTGGCCATCTAAGGTTTTTGAGCAATGAATGGCAGGATGAAAACAGTTTCATGATATGCAGCTCATCATAATTTTTTAAAAAAGAATTTCAAAATGATGTAACAATATACATTTTAAAATATTTTTCATTAAGAGTAAAGCACATGATAGACATGCATAGACATCATTTACCCTTCCCATTAAAAAATATCAGTTCAATTTAATCCATGAGCATGCATTAATCTGTTCAACTGGTCTGAAAGGGAAGTGACATAATTGAAGCTCTGGGTGAAAATATTTTTTTAAAGAAGAAACTTCTTTTGGAGTCAAGACATGCCAGTTGCTGTTTACAGACAGGCTGGATGGGCAGATTAAAGCTCAAATGAAATTTGTGTGGAAATTTGCCTGCCATTTTACAAGGGTATAATGGGAAAGACCAAGATCACACTTAGGAAACACTGTCAACTTCTGAGAAACAGAGGAGGCTGAAAATGGTTATCAATTATCTCCGTTTTACTTTTTATTCTGGGAATCTTAACTGATCAGATAGCCAAGAAGACAGGCTAAAGTTTCAGACACATTGATTTTCTTTTCACTCTCTTCTTTAAGAGGCAGACTCCTGGCTACAGACAACAGTGATTTAGAGATTTGGTCTCACTTTATAGGCAGCATGAATTCTGTGCTGCCCAATAACTGGAGACAGGCTAGATCATTATCCTTTAGGTTTGAAGATGTATGACCAAGGGGACTCAAAGACAGATGTAGGACCACTACCTCTGTCTTTATGTCTTTGGAGATGCTCTTGGAGTTCACACATTTATAATCCTCCTTCTCAACTCTACCATGAACCCCACCCCCACTACTGTCATGGCTGGTAGCTTCAGAGTGTTCAGACACAAAGTAACCAGCCAATCAAAAGGATGGCTGGTAAGTCCACAACTCATCATTCTCAGCTTGGCCTGACCACTGTGTGAGCACCTTGCACAGGTTAGAAATGGAATTTGTAGATAGAAGAAACACCTTCTTTACTTCCTCAGGTATTCTCCAGAGTGCTTTTTCTCTGAATGAGATATAGGCAGAAGCAGAGGTAACTCTTGATAACCCAAGAGTTCTAGCTGAGAGAATATTCAGTGTTTGATTTTCTATATTTCATTACACACAGACACACACACACACACACACACATGAATGATTGAATCCTTGGTTTAAACTGATCAAGCTTCTCATTTGTAGGAAATAATTTTGTTGTAAAAGAGCCTTGTTTTGGTATCACCAGTATTTGTTTTGGAACAAAAACGCATCCCATAGAGTGGATAAAAGCACATATTATATAGCCAACCAGTCTGTTTGAATTGTCATTCTAGCATTTATTACTGTGTGACCTTAGACAAATTGTTTTGCTTCTCTGTGCCTTAGTTTACTAATCTGTAAATAAGAACCATCCTAGTGCCTACCTCATGTGTTTATCAGAAAGGTGAAATAAATTGATGTTTAAAGTGCTTGAAGAAGTACCTGGAACAGGATAAGAGCTATGGAAGTCTTAGCTCTTGTTATCACTCAATCTATTCAAACATTCATCTTTCAGCCATCGAGTGCCCATGATATAATACACTATTATACAAACTAGCGACTCAGGGTGAACAGGATAGATGCCAGCCTTGAACTTACGGTGTTTCTATTTTAGTGGAGGAGGTAGATGATAAACAAAAAATTAAAAACACAATATCATTTTAGACAATGATAAATGCTGTGAGGAAAACAATGAAGGGTGATGTCATGGAGGGTGACTGAGATCAGGGGCTGGCTAACCTTCGAGCCGAGGGACAGAAAATCCTCCCTTGGCGACACTGGAGCTGAGACCTTAACTACATCTCCTATAAGAAACACTAAGCATAAGTTAAGTAGCAGCGTTCTCTGTCCTCCCGGGATCCCAGGACAATAGGTCCTTCCTGCCTTAGCATTACATGTTTTCTTTACATTCCATAGATATTTCTAATGATGGTGAACAAAACTTTTAAAGAACAAAACATTTGAAAAGAAAAGAAGGAGCTTGTCCCTGCAGACCATCACCCCCAAAAGAAGGCACCAACAGGAGAGAGGGAGAGAAGAATCACAGAAGGACCCTCACTTCTCCTTTCCTGACATCTCTTCCTAGTCCTGGCCAGGCAGTTCAGACTTCAGACATCCATGTCCTGTCATCAGTCAACTTCAGGAAATTTTTCGAAATTGCTGCCCAATCTGCAAGGACAGGAGGTAGAGGAAATGGAAAAGTGAGAGAGGGAGGAAGTTCTGTTCCTTGGTAGCTGCTAGAAATCAGGGGAAACACTGGTGCTTATGTTTATTCAGTCCAGGCACCTACAATTTTGGTGTAGGGGGATAAAGGCTGTTATCTTGTGGAAATGGAACAAACTTCACTGGGTTGGAATGTTAGTCTTGACTCTTATGGGAAGAACACGGTCCAAGCTGTGCTTTGGAAGTGGCCAGTGCTATTTTCTATTTGCAAGAGAAATTTCTGACATGGGTTTAGCCTACTTTAGTTACAAAGTGCCCTTATATGCATAAAATGGTGAATTTTCATTGACTCCTTTTCTCCAGCACAGAGGCTTTGAAGACGCCATGCCTAAGCCTGTCATTCTCTCTACTCTTCTGTTGGCAGGTGCCTCCTCATCTTTCAAACACATTCTCTTCCGAGACACCATCCCTGGCGCCGCCTTATGGTGCTTCCCTCCACTCAATTTCCCAAGGCCAAGATCTTTCATTTCTTTTGCAACCCTTATCCCAACTTGTGATTATTCATATATTTGCTTATTTCTTTTTGTCTAGCTTCCTTACTTGACTGCAAGCTCCACAACAAGGCAGAATTATGAGAGGCTGAGGCAGGAGAATCGCTTGAACCTGGGAGGCGGAGGTTGCAGTGAGCCGAGATCACGCTGCCACTGCACTCCAGCCTGGGTGATAGAGGAACAGAGGGAGACTTCATCCCCTCTGCCGCCCCCTCCGAAAAAGGCAGCACTGGCATCTCTTTCATCTGCAGTGTGTACTCAAATCTTTGCCAAGTGTTTGACACATACAAGATGCTCAATATTGGTTAAACAAAATAATTCATGCCATAACCCTGGGAGGTGGTCATTTTTACAAATGAAGAAACTGAATCTCAAAGGATTGAGTGCCTTTCTCAAGGCCACACAGCTGGTATTTGGCAGAGCTGAGGCTTTAACGCAGGGTTTCTGATGCTTGGTTTTTAAGGCTGTTTTGATTACACTCCACACAGAAGGCAACTCACAAACAGCTGTGAAGGGTGCTACAGAGTATCCCAGTTATTCCAGTATCCCAGTGGGAGGCAGATTAAAGCAGTCAGTGATTAGGAATCAACATCCCTGAAATCTTTGTCACAGAGAAGAAGAATCAATGGCCCTGACCAAGATACACTCAGAGCGGGTCGGTATTGAAAAGTTTCCGTACGTCTCTGAGTCCCACTGGTGGTACCCTGTAGTGGTTGAGCCATGTGCTCTGGGGTCAGAGCTCTGGATTCTGACTCCAGCCTAACCACTTACTTGCTGTGTAATTCTGGATAGGTTATTAATGTTTCTGCCTGGTTTCCTCATATCTAACACGGGGGCAAGAGTCATACGTACCTCATAGCGTTCTGTACCATACATACTCTGCCTGGAATACAAGGGAGGTAGTCAATAAATTAATGTTGACTAAATATTGAAAGACTCTATAAACATATGTCTTCTGCATGCAAAAAGTCACTCTCTTAGCAAGTAGGGTGGTGATCAAAGTAGAAAATGGTTGAAAATATACTTGGAATTTTTCTGAGACTCTTAGCCACACTATTGTCTTTTTATATGGAAATCTACTTAATCAGAATGATTATAATTCCCCAGCTATAAACCAAAATGCTTTACGCATTGCTTGTTTTGCTTCATCATGTGTCCCTCTGTTGCTATAGTTTTGAGCAGCCACATTTTTTCGAACTTTTTCAGCTGCTGCACACCCAGCAGGATGCCTTAAGATGCAATATGTCAGGTGAAAATGAAAAACATATGTTTTTTTCAGCACTCGGTCTCAAGTATTCATGGGTTTCCAAAAAGCACAGATTTGAGGATAAGATTTTCAAACAGACTAGACTGAGATGTACATTTCCCATTGTTCCTGAAGTTGCTATTAGGAGTAGGTAATTAATCAGCTGGCATTGGAAGTGAGCAGTTTGTTACTTTCACAAATTGGGTGGTACTACAGAATCATGACAAATGACAAAAACTTTGCCTAACTGAGATTTGGGTCTGAAAAGAGGAAATTCAAGAGAAACAAGACAGGTATCATTTGGGAGAAGAGATTGATGGGCTTAGTCAAATTAGCAGAACTAAGTCCTATGGGTAGAAATACCAGAAAAATGTAACTGGCTCCATAGAAGTAGTACCCTCTAACGATTCAGGAACAGTTCAGGCTGTCCAAGTAGCCATCACATGAGCAGTGAGTCCACAGTTTCACAGAATGGCTGGGGCAGAAGGTGGGTAGCCACCTCTCAGGGCTGTTTGGAAGTTGTACATTGGATTGGAAGGTTGGATTGGGAGGTCTCCAAGGTTCCTTCCAACATTGAGAGTCCATGTTTTCTGAATGTGCCATAGAAGCCTATCCTTTCAAATCTATACTCCTTTGTCAATCACTGGCCAACAGTTCTACTTACAGAAGCATAATCAATACTGAAGCTTCTTTGAGGGTGGACACTCAATACAGGAAAGAGCCTTCACATGTTTATGATGTCTCTGACAAACAAAAATTAACTTTTACAATTTAATAGATGCCATCCCTTATAAAAAGCTGAGACAGCCATTGGGAACATATGAATCATGGATGGTCAGAGCTTTGAGAACAAGACTCATGACTGCCATGAAGCAAAGGTCATCCCAGGAGAATGTTGTGGCTCTGTGTTTAAAGGGGCCCTTCCTAACCCTAGAAGGCCAACGTGTTTCCTGAAAGCAACACAACTGTTCAACCCCTGACTGTCCCTGCTATCTTTTAAAGCAAAGAAACTCCCTGCTTGCCAGCCTGCCTGCTCAACAGTGAATACAGAGTTGTCTGTTGGCTGCCCCAGATCCTCTCTGCTCTGTTTAGAGAGGCCAGAAAGAAGAATTCAGGGACCAACAGCAGCTGAACAGCTTGGCTGACCCGCACGCTGGGCGTCTGATTCCAGGACAACTCTCCAAGGAAAGGGAGGAGGTGGAAGGAGGACTGGGTAATAAATTAGCCCCTTGGACTTCCCTGCAGAACCTGCTGCTGTGTCCATCCTCAGCTTCTCTTTTTAAACATATGCCAGTGGATTAATGTTAGCAATCTAACCTTTGTTGAGTGCTTGCTATGGGCTAAACTCATCTCTGAGGATTTCGCACGTATTGTTTTATTTAATTTCTACAACAACCTGTGAGTGTTTTTATCAATGTTTAAGCAAGTAAACCGAGGCACCATTTGGTCCAAGATGACACAGGTGGCAAGAGGTAAACTCACCGTTTAAACAGACAACTTGGTTTAGAAGTCTGGGATCTTAATCACTATCCTAAATTAAGCGGGAAGAGGGGACGTGGGGGAGAAGGGGCATTGGAAGTTTGGCTTAAGGGTTTTTGTTTGTTTTTAATGTAGTTAAATCTATCAATGTTCAATGCCTATCTAATAATCTTTTCTCCCCCCAGCTAGACTGTAGTTCATGAACCAAGACTGTTCTTTCTTCTTCTCAACTATTAGCACAGTGTCTGGCCAATGAGAGGGACTTGGTCACAGCAGAGGAAATGTCTATAAGGATTTTCCTAGAAAAGCCAGATAAATGTTACATGAAAATCAATAACATGCAGCATATTGTCTCTAGCACCTTGGATGCTGCTGTTGGACCCTAAGAGCCCACCCCTTGGCCAGCATGTCCCCTCATCTCCATGACAGCCACCCACCCTCACACAGTAGAATGTTCTTGAAATTTACACTTTCTTCTGCCACTGGCTACCATGGTCTCTTCCTTCTCTTACCCACTGAAATGCAGATTTCCTATGTCTTGTCCCCTGGGCTCCAGAGAAGCCTGTTTATTTTCCTTGGGTGCTGAAACATCTTCTGGAAGGTTTTGAGGGCAAAGTAGACTGACAGATGCTAAGCCTTCTGGGGCAAATCAGAACTAGAAGAGGTGACCAGACAGGAGACAGACAATAAGCAGGCGTGGTCAGTTGCTGTAGCTGCCCCAGTGGTAAGAGGTTTCAGTAAACAAACAGAGGTAAGTTCAGGAAACCTGCTCAGTCTTATCATTTGTGCTACAAATGTAGACCACAAAAGTCCTGGATTGCTGTCAGTCTTTAGGGTCTCGAGACCCTAAAGACTGACGAGAGATATGAGAGCCATTCCTCTCTGACATCCCTGAAAAGCTGAGCTGATCCTGTTGGGCAATACCGTAGTAAGAAGAGGAACTGGCTGCCTGTTAGAATAAGAGAATAAGAGAAATCCCTTCACTGAACTGGGAAGTTTCCAAATAACTGGAAAAGAGAGGCATTACTGCTGCGTGATAGTGGGTAGATCAGGATATTTCATATAAATTATATAAACTGTGAACAATTTGGCAAGGCAGGCATCATTGCTTCTATTTCACAGATAAGAAATAGAAGCAGCCTCACACCATAACAATAGCCTCTGCTTATTGGACTAAGTCACATACAGATTTTTATTTACTGAACACTCAGTACAACAGCCACTGTCATGAAAATAATTTCTAATGAATGCCCTGAGGTTTGTCTAAGGCTGAAGATAAGCTGAAAAGAAGAGGATATGGCCAGAGGAGGTCCAGGGGTGCGGGGTAGAGGGGGCCCTTAGAAAGTGTGAAGTGAAGAACTTCATGCTATCCCACCAATCTGTGAATGACTATAACTGCATGGCGAAAACCCTTTTTTGCATTTCAAGAGGCAGGTCATGGGAGCTACAACTGGTCATTTAAATGAATTTTACTTATTTCTGAGCCAAGGCCTTTCAGGGTCTTGGTATTCAAATTTAAGCCAGAAGATTAATTCAGCCCAGTGTTTTGCAACCGTGACCTCATGTAAAAAAAATACTGATGCCTGGGCTCCACCCCAGAAGAAATGATTCAAACCTTCTGGGGATGGGCCCAAGTACTGGTATTTGTTTTAAAGCTCCCAAGTGAGAGCAACAGGTAGCCAGGGCTGAGCCACTCTTTCAAACGAACGGTTCAAGTATTATTGTATCTAATGAAAGGAATCAAGGTCCCAAGTTGCCTTGAAAATTCGAGGTGATCTTAAATTTTTCTCTATCAAATGCTGGGCTATCAGAAACTCCAAGCTGACAATACCAAGGCAACTGTGATAGACATTTTGGAACAGATGCCCAGCAGCCACGGTAGAAGACAGGGAAAAAAAAGATTATATGAACCACCATCTTAATTATGGAAAACCAGACACCCTGGCAGAAGGCCAGGGGCGTAGCAGAATGGATGGGGTGGAGGACAGGAGAAATTTTAGGAAATTAGAAATTTTAATAACTTTGTCTGTCAAGGGCTGCAAGTGGATGTCGACTTGTTTCTAACTCATTGCAAGCATTGAGAGCAAAAACAGATGAGAAAAAAAACCCCTGTATCACATCCTGGCTGCTTTTTATTTCTCCAGCCTAGGAACAGAAAAGAAATTGAAGCCGTCCTGGGGCCCCTTTCCCCAAATCTGATGAAGGGCCCCCGGTAGGCTCCCTTTCTGAACACCAGGGGGAGTAAGACATAGTTTGCCTTGTTCACCATGCCTTTCCATGGAGCATGAGAAAGAACAAGTTCTTGCTTCTTGTTTAGATCCCTTCTTGAATAGCTCTTCCTTCTCTCCCTGGCTAAAGAGGACGATCTATTTGCACTCGTTTAAAAGAGTAAGTAAATGCTCTTTAGAAGCAATAAAATCGATTCTGTTCCATCACCCCAGGGTTTGAAGTGGCAACAGAGGGGAGGGGTTAAGAGAGCAGATCCTGGTGCCAGACTTCCTGGGTTTGAATCCCAGAAACAGCACTTAGTAGCTCCTTAGCTACGGGCAGGTTACTTAACCTCTCAGGTCTTGGTTTTTCTGTTTGTAAAATGGGGATAGTCATAATAACACACCTCATGGGATTGTTGTGAGGATGGGTGGGTTAACACACATAAAACTTGGAACAAGCCTGGGCATATAGCCAGCAGTCAATGAGTATTAGTGCTATTTTCCAAGAGACTACCAGGAAATTTTCAATTCAAATTTGAACTCTTCCACACTTCAATCATTCTAAATATTTTATATTAACAATCATACAACTCAAATCACAGGAATGGTAAAGCCAGTGGAGCATTTGACAAGAAGCAATCTTTTAAGGTAGAAATAAATGACTTATGTAGTGATCTCTACTTGATACAGAAAACAATGAATTATACTACCTTAATGTGAATAATACATACGTTAAATATAAAATGACACACCCAAATAGAATGACCTCATAAATGAATGTACTCCAATGAAGAAAGGCAACAATCTGTTAGGATATCATTATCGTAAACTTTTCCCAGAGGGTGTAAGAAATTAGTTGAAGAAAAGCATATGGTACCTAATGACAACTTAGATACCTTTTTAAAAGACTCTTACAGTAGTTATTTCACTAAAATGCATGTACTATTATAATTTCAGAAAATTGTTCTTATTGAAATAGATGATCCTCTATGATATTATGTCATTTTAACAAAATGAGTGGCCAATAAGGAAGACCTGTGTTGATTTACTCCTCTTAAAGTCTGATAGCACATTTTCCATGGATGGAGGCCATGGAATAAACATTGCTGTATCAAACATTCCTGACAATGAGGGAGAACTCTGCTTGCATGTTTTTTCATCCTAGCACACATAACTTTTTTCCCCTGTGGATCTTCAGCAAGGCAACGCAGTTGCCTTGGCTGTATGGAATTCAGCAAACAGAAATGCATGACCAGTGACCACACACTTGCATCTGGATGAGGTTTTGGCGGACTGTGCTTTGGGATTTTAACTCC
This sequence comes from Homo sapiens, assembly GCF_000001405.40. Classification (NCBI taxonomy): domain Eukaryota; kingdom Metazoa; phylum Chordata; class Mammalia; order Primates; family Hominidae; genus Homo; species Homo sapiens. Next base: position 28,625,520 of record NC_000007.14, on the reverse strand, counting down.
AGCCACTAACAAGGACCCTCTTCTTTTTGACTATATAAGTCAACTCTGAGAACATGGGGTAGAATGCCTTTTTTTTGGAGTTCCTTCCATGTCTCCTGTGCACTGAGAATGCAGATAGGAGAGAACAACTCTCTTGTCCTTTGCACTTCCCGTAGTTGGAGGTACCAAAGTCTGGCAAGAAATCAGAATGATGGAGGAAAGAGCCATCTTAAAGGGTAGAATGAAACATCCTTTGTTCGTCCTATCAGCATGTGTGGGTAGAGGATAAAGCTGTCTGATGGAGTGGCACAGAGGTCAAAAGCAGGGCCTGGGCCTGGCTTGAATCCAACTCCACAGGTACTAGCCCTGTAACTTGAATTCAGTTGCTTAACTTCCCTAAGCCTCATTTCCTCATCTGTAGAACGGGGTTAATAATAGTTTCTGCCTTATAATGTAGCCATGGGAATTACATGAAATGCTGCTTATGAAATCTTTTATCTTACTCTGTATTTTTAAATCCTCACCAAAAAAAAAAAAAAAAAATCCAACATGGTGGATACTACTGTACCAATTTTGCTGATGGGAAACTGAGGCTCAGAGATATTATATAACTGGCCCAGAGTCATCCAGGCACGTCAGTGTAGGAAACTGGGCATGAACCTAGGATTGCCTGGCTCTGAAGCTGATGCTCCAAGCACTCACTGACCCATATCACAAAGTGAGCACTAGGAGCTGTCAGACCATCTGGGCCAGCCTTTCCTTTTATAGGGAAGAGTTACAATTAACAGAAGTTCAGCGAGTAAACTCAGGGTAGGAGGCAGGCATAAGAAATCAGTTCTTCAAGATTGTTTTTTTTTTTTTTTTTCACGTCTGTTGGCGGAACAAGGAAAAACGAAGTACAATTTGAGAAAAATGTTCAACTTAGACACCAAAGTAACAAGAGGATTTACTGGGGTGAGGCAGAAGTGGAGGCTTAAAGAAGGAGCCAGATAGACCCTCTTTTTGTACACAGCCTGTTAATCTTTAAAAATGTTGGCTACCTATGGTATGAAATTCAACTTTTTTAAATTGCAAACAAACTTGGGATTTCCACACGCATTATTACTTATTAATCATTCATTAAGCATCTGTTATCAAATAGGTCTTAGCCAAACCAAAGGGCAATTAACTTTTTCAAGAGTAAACAGAAAATGAGTTCACAAATTCCCAACTGTTCTTCCCTGCTTCTGACATAGATAGGCTCAAGTATACGCACTCAAAAACTTGGAAGAGAACATTAAAATGAAATAGTAAACGCTTGATTCTTCTTTGGCTTTAGAATTCACGCAAATTAGACGTGCAGAGTCTAAAGGATTTCCTTATTTAATTGGCCTCAATATTTCATTTGCACTTACTTATTGGTCTGTGTATTTCAGAGTGCTTTATCTATTTGTAACGGCTTCAGACTATCTGGTTTAGGTTGAATACCTGTAGAGGGCAGCATGTCATATTTATTTAAGGGATGAATCCAGAATCTCTGCTAAAGGTGATAATGGAGGAAGTTGTCATCACCACCATCATCATCACCATCATCATTGTTCTTATCATATCCCTGGGTTTTGATCTTAGAGAAAATCTCTGTTACAAAGTGGCAAAGTAGACTATACAATCTCCCCCCATCTTTATGAACGTTAATATTCTGCATAGTTTTCTGATGCATTATTTTATTCAAAATCAAAAAGATTCTCTTACTTGCATACCACAAAACTCCTCTGCTATGTATGATGTTGGCATAAAATTCTGTCATTCTGCTGTTAAATAATTCAAAACCATTTAACATGACATGAAGAGACTTATCATTAAGCCACGGGCAGGGGAATCAAATGGAAAGAAAGTTCCTCACTGAGATATGTTTTCACTCAAATTAGTCTGTGGTCAGACACAAACACTCCCTGTAGAATCTGTTTCTTTAAGATTCTAAAAATAAATCTTGATCTGTAAGTGACTTTGCTGTAATACATACAGTGAGTCAGATCAAGGAGTAAGAGCCATTTATAGAATATGAACTAAACTCTGGCCTGAGACAACCATTTAACCCTCGCAAACAGAGAAGCGGCATTTCAGATCATGCAGTTTGATCTATAAAGCTATTTTGACATATAAAGACTCTTTTTTATGATGACTCTGGCTAAAAATATTAGAATATGCCTAGAGGCAATCACAAGGACAAAACTTTTGGTAACAGGAAGATTAGCTTGACTGTACATGGTACATCTATGTGTGCATGCTCAGAACGTATTCTAGGTATGCCTGTATTCCTATGGGCTGGACGCAGTGATAAGTTGCCATTCCATGCATCCTCCTATAAAGAAGTAGATGGGGACAGGTGCAGTGGCTCATGCCTGTAATTCCAGCACTTTGGGAGGCTGAGGCAGCTGGATCACCTGAGGTCAGGAGTTCAAGACCAGCCTGGTCAACATGGTGAAACCCTGTCTCTACTAAAACTACAAAAATTAGCCGGGCATGGTGGTGGGTGCCTGTAATCCCAGCTACTCTGGAGGCTGAGGCAGGTGAATCCCTTGAACCCGGGAGACGGGGGTTGCAGTGAGCTGAGATTGCACCAGTGCACTCCAAGACTCTGTCTCAAAAAGAAAAAAACCAGAAGAAGGTGGGAGTATTTTTAAAATTATTATTATTTTCAAAAATAGAGATGGGGGTCTCACTATGTTACCCAGGCTGGTCTTGAAACCATGGGCTGAAGTGATCCTTTTGCCTCGGCCTCCCAAAGTTCTAGGATTACAGGCATGAGCCACCACACCCAGCTGGTGGGAATATTTTAACTTGCATTCCATGGTGATTTAGAATGGCTTGTGTGCCCATAAATAAGTCATTGAACATCTCTGAGCCTCAGTTTCTTCATCTCTAAAACAGTAATAAATATAATCTGTACCTCAAGAGGTTGATGTAAGGATTAAACAAGATAAAGCATATAAAGTACTCAGTACACAGAACACAATTTTAAGAAATGTCAGCTAATATTCTGTTCTTCTCAGCCCTGGCAGTTATAGAATGGTGTAATTTTCTTTTTGTTCTTTCTACGCCTTTGCATGTCCCTTCATTTCTAGAGCATGTCTTCATAGTCTTGTAAATAGCTGCCTTATAGAGGGCATGTCTGGTGGCTACAGGTGGGTAAGGGTTTTCTTTCTCCTTCTGCATGGCTGATGTAATGAACATCTCTAAGGGGATATATGATTGAAGGGTGTGGGGAGTGTGTGTGTGTGTGTGTGTGTGTGTGTGTGTGTGAGAGAGAGAGAGAGAGAATGTGTGTATATGTGTAAGAATTCACATTGCGGAAAGAGAAATGTGCCACCCTCCTCACCAAGTTTCGCTCACAGGAAAACACGTTAATTGTTGAGTAGTCACATTGTGTGCACACTATCTCAAACCTGGCACACTGCAAAGAGCTGCTTTACAAGAAATATGACTTCATATCACAGTGTTAATCATTGACCTCCACCCTGGTAATAAGATCTTTTTTGGCCTTGTACAAGTAGAATCCACCTGAGACTTCCTCATCATCTATTCGCTAACAAATTGGCAGAAGTATTAGGAAATTTCACCTTGGCGTTTGGGTGAGTCTTTTCCATCAACATAGTTTATTTGGATTACAGGCTCTTCCTCAATTAAAACAATAAATCAGCCATTTTCATTTTCTTTTCACCTCTGGATATATGTTGTCCTTAATACTTTAAGTTGCAGTCAGAATGCTTGCTTGGTATGACGACATCATCCTGTCTTTCAGGTGTAGTTTCAGGGTCACACAGAACACTTGTGTCCGGAAGGTTGACTTCACAGCGCACCACAGACACATTCTGCTACTCAGGGGAGTGAGATCATGGGCTGGCATAAATTTATCACTCTTTTAAATGAACGGGGTTGAATTCTATCTACTAACCTTGATCAGGAGGCTAGTGATACTGGCTGTGTAAAACAAAACAAGACAAAATAAACAAGGGAAAACCACAGCGCATGTGGCCACTTTGTTCAGAAGGTGACACCACTGAATTTAGTCTGTGAAGGTCTTGTCACATGAAAGCCTAGAAATAGCTATGACCTAAACATGAGAGTAGAAGACAATCCGGTTAGAAATGAATGAACACATTCCATTGTGCTTGTATAGTGTTTAAAATCTATTTTGGGGCAAAAGGGGTATTGTAAATACTTTCCCTTGTTCATAACTATCATAACCCAAACTTTCTGGCTCTCAACATTTTCCAGTGACCCTGCATGCCTATAATTTTTTACACACCACCTGACCTGGCAAGAATTATGCTACCAGAGATGTGGATGCCCTGTGACCCCCACCCCCCAACCCCGAATCCCCAAGGCCAGCCAAGACTAGATTGGACCTTATGACTGATTCTAATCTGGATGTCTCAAGGGGCTGTCCTCGTCTCACTGCACAATTCCAAGGCCACTTGGTTCTGATGGCCCTTGGGAGATGCTGCCATATTAGGCCTGTGGAAATGGCCACATCATTCTAAAATTATTTTGGAAGTAGAGATTTAACATAACTTTTTGGATTAGCATTCAATTCCAAATTTGGGGCTGGGATTTAGGTAAAATTAATTTTAGGGACTTCTTATTGGGTTTGCGAAATGTTAATTCCAGCAAGTATTCCTTTATTCTTTAATACCGACTGGATCACAGACTGTGTCTTTTTTCCATTTGATTCTCTCTTTGGTAACAGTATTTCTAGGAAGACTTGGCTATCTGTATAGACAACTCCTGACTCTGAAGTGGTTGACTAGATAGGCTTATTACTGAATTCAGGTCAATTCGTGGCCGCCTCCTCTTTGACCGTAGCGGCTCTGGATGTCAATGAGAGGGTTAAAATGGGGCGAGCCTGAGGCCAGTTATGGAAAAGAGGAGGGAATAGGCATTTCCTGGATATACAGTTCCTAGTATCTCCACGAGGCCAAATATAATTTGTATCTAGAAACTTACCTTCTGCCTACCTTCACTACCTGAGAGAATTCCCTCCAGAGATAACGATGATCTTTTATTAGGCACCAGAGCGTGAAGATCTGGAGATGCTGAGACACAGCCTTAGAGGGTGTGCTTTCACAGGGAAAAGAAGCTCTATGATTCTTTAATCACAGAATTCCCTTTTAGCACTGTTCACTGAGACACTAGGTATGAGTGGCACCCCCCTCTTCCAAATGGATTTAGTTATAGAAGAAATAAAAGGACTTCCATATGGAAGAAATTAAAGGACCAGCCTGGGTAACATAGTGAGACCCTGCCTCTTTAAAAATAATAATAATAAAACAAGAACAAAGTGAAATAAATTCTAAAAAGTTTGGTTTGTTCTGAGTTTTTCTAGAAGAATCTATGAGACGACTGCAAAAATTGTTTCCCTTATCTATACAGATTAAATATATCCCCAGTTAAAATTGTACCGTTTTAAAAATTATTATTTTGAGAAGCTTCACTTCATCAAGTCTATTTTATTAAAATGATGCCCAAATTCTGCAGAGGCTTAGAAACCCATCAAATTTCATTTTTAAAAGTATGGCATGTAATGTATAGTATTTCAAATAATTTTCACATATTTTTTATAACAGAAAATGGGCAGAAGAGGCTCTGCCTCTTCCTTAATACACCCGAGGCTCAGAAAATACAACTAACCTAAGATCTCACCTTTGGCACATGACCAACATCCAGGTTGTCTGGCTCTGTGTTCAGTGCTATTTCCTATGAGCCTCTGCTCCCCACAAGACTTGGAAATGCCCTCTTGATTCTCAGGGTTTCCTTCATCGTCATCCTGGAGTAACAGAGGTGGGCTTATTTTATTTCATGAATGATAGTTTTATGTACATGACACATTTATTTTAGAGATGAGGGTCTTGCTATGTTGCCCAAGCTGGTCTCAAACTCCTGGCCTCAAGTGATCCTCCAGTCTCTGAAGTAGCTGGGAATACAGGCATGAGCCACCATGCCTAGCTCAAGAAGGGGGTTTATTTGTGTGGTTTTCTCACTGAAGAGGATGGTGCCTGTCTCAGTGTAGAATGACGGAAAAATAAACAGGCAGCAAACAATGTTCTCTTTTTAGCGCTCTCAAAGTCCACTCTAGTTATAACAGGCCAATAAAAGAGAAGACATTTGTCCAGCAGAAACATTTGCCAGTGAGGAACATTCCCTGTGAGATCCAGGTGTCTGCTTTGTTGGATGAATGGCAGATTTGGAAAGATCTTCTCTTCCAGATCCAAGCTATAGGCCATCTAGTGTAACCTTGGAGCCACGATGGCTGAGTTCAAACCCCACCTCTACTGTTTACTAGCTGCAGGCCTTTGAGCAAGTTCATAACTTCTCCATGCCTGCTTTCTTCAGCAGCAAAATGGGGACAATAATGATGATATCTGCCTCATAAGATGATTTAAAGGCTTAAATGAGTTAAATCTAAAGTGTTTAGAACAGGACTTGGCCATGTGCCCAATGAGAGTGGCTATTTTTATTTTCTTAACCAACGAATTCCTCAATTTCTTTATCTATAAAGTGAGAATGATAGAGCCTCTAACAAGAATCAAATTATATTCTGTTTTGGAAAGTTCTTTATAAATCATAAAATTCTCTGAGCATGTAACAAATGCCTGCTGTTAACTTGAAGAGAATATTGCAATGTCAGAACCATACCTAACCTCCTATTGCAAGTAATTTATTCTTTCTCATTAAATCGAGAAAGTAAGTCATTTATATTCAGATTGCTAGCCTGACTCCATTGGTAGCTTGTTATCCAGGAATCAAGGGGTTGGGGGTGTTGTCTAGCCAGGGGTGGGTGTTCACCCAAGGCCTAGTAGGCCTCCACCTCCCAGGGGAGGATCACAGAGATCATGCCTGCTGAGACGGGAGGCAAGTCCCAGCTGCGTGTGACTGTATCTGTGTATAGATCTGGAATCAGAGAGCCCTACTGGTCCCGCAGGATTACCTAGACAGAGCCAACAGGCAGCCTGGAGCCCTGAAAAGTGGGACAACTGTTTACTGTGTGGGTGGCTACTCAGGGGAGCCTATGGCAATACCAGGCCTGAAATCAGAGCAGCATCTGATAAGGAAGCAGATGTGTTGACTCAGGATTAAAAAAAAATAGATGAAACTGATTTTTCCAGAGTTTGAATAACATGTCATTTCTGAAAGGATCAGGAGGAGTGCAGTTGGTGCAAATGAGGGAAATTTTTAAAGCATCTCCTCCTTCTTCTCTAGCTCTGTCCCAGGTTGTATCATGGTCTCACCCAGTGGCACACACAGGGACACCAAGTTCTAATGGTCTTTAAGAAAGAAATGGAAGCCAAGCAGGACAGTTGTTTCCAACAACCTTTCCTGGCTCAGTGTACCCTCAGGACTGATAGTCCCCTCCAGCTCCCCTAGCTGAAGTTCTATCCAATTTTTCACATTCAGCATCAATGCCATCTCCTTCATTAAGCTTCCCTGCAACCCTCCACCTAGAAGCGATGTCTTCCTATCACGTTCTCATAAAGCTTTTCTCTGTGTACCTTTAATGCAGCGCTTTCAAAGTTTGCCTCATTTCATAATCAGTTATGTCAAATGTCTCTGCCCTACTAGCTTATAAGGAATGGCTTCCTGTCATCTCTGTGCCAATATGACACCACTATGACACCTATACTGCTGCTCAAAGGAGTCATTCAATAAATATTCATCATGTGAATAAATATTTGTTGGTGATAATTAACTTGAACCTAGAATTTCATGGCCTCCAAGAAAGGCTCTGATTTTTTAAAAATAGAGCGCTGCTCTTTTTCCCCCTCTATTATTCTTTAAGGTTGTTTCATAACATCTCCTGCTGGGACAGCTTCCAACTCTCATTATTGAATTATTAAGTGCTAGGAGAACAGCACCTTCTGTGAATAAGAACTGGGTGAAACTGTGAAGAAGGGAAGCCCCCATTGCTCTTAGTTTCAGAGGTGAGAACTGTAGATGTTATTTATGTGCTTCCTCCATCACAAACCAGTGTGATTCAAATGGTGGATTCTGGAATTCTGTTTTCTGCTCTCCTTTCCCTGTTCAGCCCCTCAGTCTTAGCCACTGTTAATAATGAACACACCCACAGTGGAATATAAGATGCACTAAAGAGAAAGTAGGATCCATAATTCCTATTTGGAACCTGAAACTGTCCTCAAACCAGTCCTCATACTTCTGACCTGTGTGCATTCATCAGTTGCACGGGTAAAAAAGAAATGGGAAATGGGTTGAGAAGGAGGGATCACAGATCAGGTTTTCGTTTCTACAATTTCAGATCAACATTATCATATAAACAATTAATGAGCAGTCTCCAGATGTTCTAAATTGCTCTTCCCTCCCAGGGATGTTGTTAAATACTCCCTAAGCTGGCTCTGCATAGCAAACAGACTTTCCATGGGGAAAATTCCAAGTTTAGCTCTCATGTACCTGGAATCCTTCTTGTGGATGATTTTTAGAAAGACTTCCAAGAATTCCAGGATCCTTTCCTCAACTCTGTGAATTTCAGGCTGAGGCTTCAAGAATGGTACCTCCAAGTGATCCCCAAAATGTTAGTGCCTACAATGTCTACGCCTAAGCTTTATGCTTTATAGGGACTTAGATAGTACAAACACTTGTTTAAAGAATGGAGAAATAAATGAACTATTGAATTAATAAATGAAATAATGCATTTTTAGAAATAACACTTGGTATCTGTTGGTCATCAGATTGCTAAGTTTCCTAACATGGACTTGTTTTTTTAAATCATAAATGAAAATCATAAACTGTTTAAGCTGAAAGATACCTTAGTAATAAACTGTACACAATTTTTTAAGGCTGTAGCTTTATTTGTTTAAAACAAATAGAAAAAACTGCCTCTCTGGTTGGAGTGCAGATAGAAGCCTGGAGTCCACTAACTCTGAGAAATTATACAGCTTGTCCAACATCATACAGGTGCCAGAGGTTGAGTCAAGACCCTGGAGACCCCTGTTCTGGAGTTTTTCTGCTGCTCAATACCTCCCTTTATGGGTGAGGTTTTATTTCCTATAGTTGTTTCTGGGTACCCATTAGGTTAAAAAAAAAAGGCATCTCTCTGAAACCAGAATAAATGGGTCACACGCTTGAAGAAGTATTGAACTGGAATTCAGGGTAACCAAAGAGTTGATGAGGAGAAGGTTCTCTTCATAGAAGTACTCCAGCTAATAAACAAAGAATGAATGACAGAATCAGACTTCACCATTTCATAATCCCTAAAGAAATAATGGATATAGACCGTGTCAGTGACTGCCAATGGCCCAAAGAGAAAAACAAGCCAACCATTGGTGCCTCCTAATAGAAATGTGCCATACCACATGGGAAGTATTCCTGCCAAAAATTTGAACTTGACTCTAAATCAAACCTAAAAGCCCCTAATTACCAGTTTACAAGAGATACAAGAAACAGAGAAACTTATTAAACTGACACTATGGAAATGCAATCAGAATACTCAGATTGTACAAAACTCTACAGGCTGTTGCACAAATAAATTGTCAGGAAAAATGATGGAGAACTCAGATCTGTGATTTAAGAGTTTTAGAAGACATGTCAACCAATTTTAAGTATGAACCTTATTACAGTCTTGATTCTCTGAGAAAATACCAGTGACAATGACATAGTTGCTACTCCGGGGCCCTGTAATGAGAGGTCATGGCAGCTCTGTGGAGGCTTTGGCAGCTGTGTCCAGGGCCAGGGTCACGAACCTGGCCTAGACCACAGAGGCAAGGCCAAGGCCAAGGAGTGGTTCTGGGTCACCATGCGGGACTGCCTGCCCAAGGAATGAAGATCAAGGCCCTGGAGGTTAGTCATGATTTCTCCTTGCCCATTGAGGAGTCTAAAATCATTGACTTTTTCCCAGGGAGGTCCCTCAAGGATGAAGTTTTGTGGATTAAGCTCATGCAAAAGCAGACCTGTGCCAGCCAGCAGACCAGGTTCAAGGCATTTGTTACACTCAGAGACTGCATAGCCATGTCAGCCTGAGTAGCTGCTGTCATGGGCAAGGCCAACATCCTGGTTGAGCTCTCCATCACCTGTCTGCTCGAGGACACTGTGGGGAACAAGATAGGTGAGCCCTAAGTGGTCCCTTGAAAGGTGACTGGCCTCCGTGGCTCTGGCGCACCTCCTCCTGACTCCCAGAGACAATGGCATCATCTCAATCCCTGTGCCTAAGAAACTGCTGCTTAAGGCCAGTATCTATGAATGCTACATGTTGGCCAGGGGCTACACTGCCACCTAGGGCAATTTCACCACAGCCACCTCTGATGCGGTCTCCAAGACATTGAGCTATTTTACCTCCCAACCCACCTCTGGAAAGAGACCACATTAACAGAGTCTCTTATCAGGAATTCACTGACCAACTCCTAAAGACTCACACCAAAGTCTTAGTGCAGAGGACCTGGCTTCCCACTGTGGCCACCATATGGTGTTTTTACACATGAAAAATAAAGCAAAGTAATTCAAAAAATAATAAAGGACAAAAAAAGAGACATCAAGGAAATTCGAAGGGTGTTTTCAGAACATTAATATAGTATGGGTAATATTTTAGGTGGAGAAATGGTATTGTGGTTACTTTTCTTTAAAGACTACTTATCTTTTATATAGCCATGTTAAAATATGAATGAAATGCTGTGATAACTAGGATGTGCTTCGTATAACCTTGAGAGAGGCTAAAAGTGAGTAGAGACATGGATGAAACGTGATTGTAAGCTGATAATTGTTCAGGTTGGGTGATGGAGTTCATGGGATGGGGACATTAGCCTAACCTTTCTGCTTGCATAACATGTTTTAAATTTTCCATAAGAAAAAAATTAAGAAACTTTGTCCACAATTATAACAAAAGGCTGTTTTTCTAAATTCTTAAAAATTAAATTAAATCAAAAAGCTGGAAGCTAGGAAAGAATTTCACACGAAAGTAAGAGGTTTTTGGAAGTGCAAGGGGCTCTCATTAGGGGTGAGGCATAAGCAGTGTCTCAAAAAGTTTCCAGTCTGACTGAAGCCAGACTAGATCAGAACATGGAACCTATTGGTGGGGAAGGTGATGTCTCCTTGGAAAGAGCATAGTCTCACTTAGTCTTGGTCTCATCCATGTTATAAGTGACAATGGCAGCTTTGGCTCTGTATCTTTAAACTATTTATAGGACATTCTGAAACATACATTTTGCAATGTCATTAAAAGATCATCCCATAACCAAAAGATCAAATCCCAAATGGATATAGCACAAATGACTGCCATCTGAACAAGCTTTAAAATATTCTGCCTGGGTACAGTGGCTCACACCTGTAATCCCAACACTTCAGGGGGCCGAGAAGGACAGATCGCTTGGGCCCAAGTGTTTGAGACTGGCCTGAGCAACATGGTGAAACCCCACTTTATAAACATACAAAAAATTAGCTGGGTGTGGGGTTGTGTGCCTGTAGTCCCAGCAACTCAGGAGGCTGAGGTGAGAGGATCTCTTGAGGCTGGTAGTTCAAAGACCGCAGTGAGCTGTGGTTGCATCACTGCACTCCAGCCTGGGTGACAGAGTGAGACCCTATGTCAAAAAACCAAAAATTAATAAATAAGTAAAGACTGAAATGTCATTCAAATAACATCTAAGACATAACATTCCTGAAGCTGATCTAAATGTTCCAACTGGAAGAAGCCTCTCTGGACTGCAGGTTGCCCCTGAAAGGATCCACTTTCTTGCACTTTGAACTCTGACTCTAAGCCACCCTGAACCCATTTGTGAATTACCGCGGAGGCCATTTACTAAAATTGAGATTTGATGACCCAAAGAAATCAAGATTTCCACAAATGCCTACTGAGTTTGTTGGCGAGATCTGGTCCAAATATCATGAAATATCAAATACAGCAATTTTCAAACGAGACACAGGGCAGTTAATGACCAGTAATCGGTGAATGAAATCAAAGCAGAAGGAGTAGTCCCAGAGCTTATCTCTAACTTTGTCCTTCAGAAACCCAAATCTAAGGTCGCAATCATTCTTCATTCAATTCACATGAAGTCGAAATACTCTTTCATTCTGGGTGTAATCACTTGATGATTTGACACCTATGAGTCATAAGTCGTAAAGAGGATAGGCTCAAGCCGGGTGGCAATGTGTTAGGTCACAATTTAAGCCTCAGTTGTTTCACAGTCTGTTCCCACTCAGGCTTCTGCCTTCACTGCACCTGGGGCAGGATCTGGGCCCTGCCTCAGCAAGTGCCATCAGTTTCAGACCCAATATATTGCAATGAACCTTAAAAATTCTTAGACGGTCACACATTTGCAATGCGAATACTTTTCAAGGGGAAAAATATATTTTTAGTTGTTTGGCCAAAACAAGCAAAAGTGCTCAAAATGTTGAAATAGAGGGGCCCCTGCTACTTCACGAATGGTTTGCTGAGGTATAGAGGTGAAACTGCTTTCCTCTGTAGTCCCAGTAAGCAGGCACACACACGTTTATCGATTAGGACATACTACAGTGGACGTCCAATCAGATACACTAGTCCCCTGGGTAACTCCAAATTCCTGCATGAAGTTTGGCTTCTTTTCCCATAACGACTACATTTGAGGGATGAATTAAAGTGGCCAAAATTTTCAATACATCTTTGAGAAGGGATAAGTACAAAAATGCCATTAAACAATAATGGGATTTGTATGTGAAACATTATACTCTTTGAACATTTTTTAGAAAGTCACTCTTCTCTTTCCCCTTCGACTAATAACAATTCAACATTATTTAACATAATCCTACTGACAGGTAATTTCTGACACGAAATTTATTACTGGCTTGCCCTTTGAGGGCATGTTTCACTATTAATGTTTCCTTTTAAAAGCTATAGCATACATTAGATTCTCATACAGAGTTTCCCCCATGTTTTCCTTGGAAACCCCTACTTTCTGTGGTATTTTACATTACCCAAGTCTGCTTTAACTGTATCCTTACACACACACACACACACACACACACACACACACACACACACACACCCCTTCTCTAAATGGCCAGGAATACACTTAATATTGAAGGATTTTATTTCACCATTATTGGATTTACCTATAACTGAATAAACAACATCATCAGCACAGCATACATTTTTTTAAAGTGTCTCCTGTACCTAATTGAGTATGTGATTAAGTGAGCTAGAGGGCTTGAATTTACCACTATCATTCTGGGAAATGAGAGACCCACGGCTTGTAGGTGTTGCCCATATAGGACCACTGAGACCTGCAAACAGACATTCTGATTGGTGCTTCAGGCCCTTCCCCATGCAGGACATAGGAGACTATTCAGAACATATTTGTGATTCTGACTCATTCAGAGAAATGATTTTTTACCTGGTGAGTCAGCATGAAGCTAGGTATTTCCCTACCTGTGTTAACCATACAAGGTCATTGCTACCTGGAGAGCTAAGTCATCTCCCCCAGAAGGAAACACACACCATCTCTGCTTTTTCTAGAACAGCTTTCCTGGCATCATGAGCTCATAGGTTGGAGCTGACTACGTGGTGTCCTTCCTTCGCATCATCCAGATGGCTTGCTGGCTGGCAAAGTAGCAAGGGGACATGAGAAAGTATTACTTACTTTTCCTTCTTTTCTTTTCTTTGTTGCTTTAGGGAGGTCAAGTTTGTCAAGTTATAATTTACATATAGTAAAATTCACCCTTGCAACATACAGTTCTATGAGATTTGGCAAATGCATACAGCCATGTAACAACCACTGCAACCATGATATAGAACAGTTTCATCACCTCATTCCCTTTCCCCATTTGTAGTTAACCCCTTCTTCACCCCACTCCCTACCTCGCACATATATATTTTATTTATTTATTTATTTATTTATTTATTTATTTATTTATTTAGGAGACAGAGTCTCTGTCGCACAGGCTAGAGTGCAGTGGCGCAATCTCAGCTTACTGCAACCTCTGGCCTCCTGTGTTCAAGCGATTCTCATACCTCAGCTTCCTGAGCAGCTGGAATTACAGGAATTACAGGGGCACACCACCACACCCAGCTAATTTTTTTTTTTTTTTTTTTTTTTTTTTAGTAGAGATGGGGTTTCACCATGTTGGCCAGGCTGGTCTCAAACTCCTGGCCTCAAGTGATCCTCCTGCCTTGGCCTCCCAAAGTGCTGGGATTACAGGTGTGAGCCACTGTGCCCGGCCTCTACCTGGCATATGTATCTTTAAATAATATTTAGGTGACTTACAAGAGAGGCACAGATTCCTCTGCAGGTTGATTCATGAACATCTTTGTAACTTATCCTTAATACAGGGGTGCGATTTACTGGTGATGAGCTCTGGGACCTTCAATACTACCAGAAGATTGAGGACATATCAGGGGAGACCTGTTGCCTCACTTTTGTCCCAATGTATGACCTGTTTCCACAGAGAAACATGCAGGAGAAATTGCACAGGTAAATTCTTAACTTCCTAACTCTTCCTGTAAGTTTAAGAGGAAGACATATTTCCTCTCTAAGTATAAGGGAAAGACAGTTCTCTTAAATGTCTCACCTCAACCAAATTCCAATAGGGAAAAGCTGGGGACTCACACACACACCCCCCTACCTTGGCCCATGCCTCTCCTCCCACAGACAGCCATACATAAACGACTCCCTCTCTCTCTCACACACACACACACACACACGCACACACACGCAAACCAAAGAACAAAAAACAAAACAAAACAAAAAGAAGCAACACAAAAATTGCCAAGACAATCTATTCTCTATGGATTCTCTATGGTGGTCATTAACTTTCCAAGGCCACTTCCTGGACCTTCCAGGCCCAGAACTGTGCAGAGATCAGTGATGAAAATCCTCCATTCCAAGAAAGTGAACCTTACCTGAGGTCCCTGAGCATTAGGGAAGAGTTAAATTTTTAGGTTACTGGGCCATTAGCAGCTCAGCCATCCATTTTTCATTTGAAGAAACCTTTTTAAAGGTTGAATTCTTATCTTCGGGAAGCCTGTCAATGCAGTTCTTGTGTTTTCATTGGGTTTATTTAGCCTGGGGGATTTAGGTCCCTCTGTTTAGGCAGTAAATTTTCCCCTTTGCGTGAATGTATGCGGTGAATATACTTAAAAATCCATCAGGCCAGGCTGACAAAAATGTAGCTGCCTTTACACAGCAGTATTTGGCAAGTATATAGTCACTCAGGATGGTTGTGTGGTGCTTATAATTGAATTGTGGTCACTAAGCCCAATGCTATCAACTTCTGTAAAAACCCAAAGCTCAGATACCTCTGAGCACACCTTTCACCGCCTTCCCTCTGGCCCCTCCCCTTGCTTCCAGCTCCCCACTGTTCACCCAGCTGGCAGAGGGGGATGCAGAAAGAACCCCAAGATGAACAGGAGACATCCCTGTAGCTCTGAACATATACCATAAAAGCTGTACCCCAGGGCCCAGAAGGACAGAACGGAAGACCTAACAGCATGAGTTACAATGCTTGAGAAGCCAGGGAAGGAGAAGCTCTTCAGAAAAGAAAAGCTACAAAGTCTGCCTTAAGAGGCCCTGGAAGGCTTCCAATTCTTGGTTGAGAACCATGCTGACATTTAGCCATTTGAACCAATGTTGTCTGGCACTCAGGGCACAGATTCCAGGCCCCTCAAAGTCCTCCTCACAATAGTAACTCACACAATCTGTGGCCTGCTAGCTAACCTTTTCTCCTTCCTCTTCTGACCCCATGTGTCCACCTCTCTAACATCATCCTCCACGGCACTTGTGCCAGAGTCCTGTCAACCACAGGCGAGTGTGCTCAACAGCTGTGGGCTCCCAGCAGACAAGTACACGACCTTTGCAGCTCAGTATCCACTCTTCCCTGCAAGAGACCAAACTACCTCCATGCACCTGGTGCATCAAACTCAACAAGGTAGACTTGGGTCCTGTCAGATTTGAACCAAAAGGAAAAGCCAGCTCATTGAACAGAAATGCAGGAAGACAGAAAAAGAAAATTTTTTCATACAGTTGTCTTTAAGCTGAAGACAAAATCAAATCAAAATAAAAATACATGCAAGAGGATTGTTCTATTTTAAAACTACCTTTTATCATCAGGCTAAGGGATAGCAAAATATTTTCTATCCATTCCAGGGATGACATTCACTTAACAAATATTATTCTTAACAGGCATTTGTTAAATGTAACATTAGTACTAGGGCCCCAGTAAGCCCGGAAGCAGGTAAGGTCAGGGCTCAGAAATTCAACAAGACAAAGAACTTAGGCAGCCCAGCACTGTCCAAAGCAATGGACAGACTGCCCCACAGACATAGGACCCCAAAGAAACTAAGCCATGTCTAAAATGCATGTCAGAGAAGCACACGTTTCTCAAAAAGTAATTTAACATACAACTTACTATTCAAGATCTACATATTAATTCAAATTATTGTTGCTTACCACTAATAGTGACTACATACCTACCTCAGGTCTGCATTTTTAGAAAAATGTATCTGCAAGGCTATTTAAAGCTGTACTTCTGTCATCCTGCCTTAGATGGTAAGCTCCAAGAGGAGTTCTTTGACTTTCTTATTACAACTACAGATATACCGTGATATACAAGCAGGTCATAGATCACGAATGAACACTGATGACTAATCGCTACTGGTTAATATTTATGCCAACAATTGCAAAATCTCCCTGTTAAATTAAGATAATTTAAGAAGAAATGTCATGATCCTCTTCTTCTCTTATTTGAGCCAGACAATACTTAGCCTTACACAAAACCAACAGTCCCTATCATTAGCCTTTATTGGCCTAAGGATTATTCATATATCAACACATGTCAACCATCAAGTTGGCCATGTCTGAGGAACTTCAGTGTCCTGGTTTTGTATGGTAATGATTTCTGAAGGAGTAAATGATGAAGTCTGATTTTTAAAATAGTTTTAAAGTTACTGATGTAAGTCCTTATGCCTTGGACTTTAGCCTGTTCAATGTGCTGTGCTGGTGGGGAGGGAGATTGGGAGGAGGGTGGAAGGGTGGGAGCCAGGGAGGCAGGGAGACTGGGACTGAATAATATGAAGTTTCAGAGCATCATCCTTAACAACCAAATTCTGCTGGCTCTGACCACAGGCTCATTAACAGTTTCAACTACGTACTGTTTCCCCTTTAACAACTCAATTTTCTCCCATCTGTTTAAAAACAAAACAAAACAGAATTCCCAAAAGGATCTTTCTGGTATTTTACTGCTGAAGTCCTTTATTTACCTATTACACCCCTCACCCCTACCCCTATCAAAAACTCACAACCAAAAGAAAAGTGAAAAGAACATGGGAAAATATGAAACCTGTGGATACATATCAGGGGGAAAAAGTCTTGGTCCTGCCTTCTCCTTTAGGAGTAAGGAAAGACACAAACCAAAATGAAGGGCAAAGAAAGTTTGAGAGTGTGTGTGTGTGTGTGTGTGTGTGTGTGTGTGAGTGTGTGTGAGAGAGAGAGAGAGAGAGACAGAGAGAGAGGCATGGGTGTGAAATCTGTATGGTATAAGGGGAAGTCATATAAGATCTCTCAGTGCCCTGATGCCACGATTAATAAACCAAGCTCACAGCCAATGACATTACCCAGGAAACACCATGTACGGCGCTGTTCAGTGTTTGTTTCGAAGGGCAAAGTCTGGAGGAAAACAGAGAAAGCCAGAGGGAGGAAGAGAAATTCTGTTTAACTCTTCTACTGTGAGCCTTAAAAGCAAGCCAACTCCCAAGGCTGGCTTTGTTAGAATACTATCTTTCCAAGTATGCACATGGTAAAACACACACACACACACACACACACACACACACACACACACACACACACACACACACACAGCCCTGTGGGCACTGGTCTTATTTTGGGTAAGAGTCAATGTTCTTTATCATTTTGTGGTTCAACAGATAAAACGACATTAAACCACTTTCCTTCCAATGCACTACACTTCCAGAGTTTGGTGCTGGAACCACTGAGCATTGTGTACTTCATTTAAACTCTGAAATACTACCTGGTTTAATGTTTTTCAAATCCATAAGGCAAATGGTGAAACACACACCTTTCTCCTATGGCAGCAAAGTGAACCCAGCTTGTTATTATGGATTGGATCCTCCTGTCAATGAGCACGCTCCAGATGTATTTGCACGTTCCAGTGCCTGGAAGGCCTCATTCCGCCCCCAGTGAGTGTATGCAAACACTCATTCACGCCCACTCAAGGGATACTCTGTGCAACAGCTTTCCTCTTCCTATTTCTCCTTGCATTCAGTCTTGGGGCCTCACATTGTACACATTTCTCGGTTAGTTTTATCCACAAGCTCAGATTTCTTGAATATTAATTAAAAGGTTGCCAATCAGCTACACTCTCTGTAAAATAGGTCTAAAAAGATGAGCAGAAAATTACAACTTTTAGTTGATCTCATAGAAGTAAGAAGTAGAAGAGAGGATACTGAGTCTGGGAAGGGCAGGGAGAAGGGAAGGATAGGGAGAGATTTGTTGAAGGATACAAATTTACAGCCAGATAGGAGGAATAGGTTCTAGTGTTCTATACCAGTGTAAGATGATGAGAGTTAGCAATAAAATATAGTTTCAAATAGCTGGAAGGAGGATATTGAATGTTCCCAACACAAAGAAATGATAAATATTTGAGATGATGAATATGCTAATTCCCCTCTCCGATCACTACACCTTATATATATTCAAACATCACTATGTACCCTATGAATATGTAAAATTACATGTCAATTAAAAATTAAATTTCAAAATATGACCACAACTTTCATATTTGTCTCAGAAGCCTAACTAGAGAAATCATAACCTAGCTTTTCAAAAGGATCACTCATTTTGTCACCAGATAAACTTATATCTGTTTCTGACAATCTTGTATGAGTAACATAAGATGGTCTCCCTGAGCCAATTAAAAAGAAAAGAGGAAAAGGGGCATATAGATAAAAAAGCCATGCTGCAACAGAATTTGCAGGGGCTAAGTAGGAATCAGTTCTGATAAGAGCCTTTTATAACTGAGAGGCAGAGGGAAGATGGGCATGAGCCACTTCTGACTGCTGAGGGCCCTATTCCCAGGGATGGATGACTGTTCTCACACAAAGGCTGGACAAACACACCAGAAATATCTGCCAGGAGGCTCATATGAAGGTGTGATTTGAATCAAGAGGATGTGGGGGTAACTCATCAGGTAATTATTCACACTTTTTAATAAGTAGGACAGCAATAAAATTGTAAAATTGTAAATAAATTTTTGTAAAGTAAAAAATTAATAATTCTACCCACAAGCATGAATATATCTTGAAGAACAGAATGCAAACAACTCTAGTTAAGTAGGAAAAATCTTTCTTGGTGAGACAAGTTGTTTTTCAGTGGTATTTCATGGACATTTTAATCTTATGAAATGTGAAAAGTGGTGGTTGCTATCAAAATGTTACCACAACCATTTTCTCTGTATTGAGGGCAAGATCAAAGGACAATTAGAGAGCTGGTAGTAATGCTTTCCCAATCTTATTCTAATTGCAATTTTTAAAAAATCAACTTTATTGAGATAAAATTGCATATAGTGAAATTTATCCACGTCAAGTGTTCAGTCGTTGAGTTTTAGCAAACGTATACGCCCATGAAACCACCAGCATGATAAAAATATAAGACATTTTTGTCACCTCAAAAAATTCTCTCCTGCCTTTTGGCAGCCAGTCCCCCTTCCCAGGCTCAACTGATCTGCCTCTGTCACTAGAAAACATTTTGCCTGTTCTAGGGTTTCATGTCAGTGGAATCAAGGACCGAAGCACTCTTGTGTCTGGCTTGTCTGATCTCAATTTTGTGAAACCCCTCATTTTGTTCAAAGCACTGTGCCCCTCACTTCTTTGTCTCATGGGCAGGAAATCAACTTCAACTCTGATAACAAGACCAGAGATGGACGAGTGCCATTTTTGAGAAAGTTGTTAAAATAGCAGGAAACAAGGAGCAGGAAGCAGTGAAGGTCAGCTCCAGTTCATTTCCTCCTGGAGTATTAATTTTAGCGCATTGTTTGGGTTTCCCCAAAAAGATATTTTTGAAATAAGGGAATTCCATGCATGAAGGCCAAAAATAGAAAAATAGGAAGACTGGATACTCTTTTCCACACAGTCCTGAAGTGTCATGTCTTTGACAAAACAAATGAGAGATAAATGCTTGGTGATGGAATCAGAGGAGAAGGTGGGTCTTCTCACAATATCTAGATGGATTCAGGCAAAATACAAAAGTAGAAAGCAATTACGAGCTGTTTTTGAATCTATCAACATTGCTCTCACTTAAAGTAAAAATTTCCAATGTTTACAAATTAGTAGTTTACCTACCACCACGTCCACCAAATATGAATACTTTCTTTTTCTTGTCAGAACCAGGCAAAGGTATCCAGTTCTTTATAGACATGGTCTTCTCTACGTAAGTCATTTCAGTGTTACAAGAACCCAAATTATCAAAATTTTTAGGCTCTTGTTCCTTCATGTCCTTCAATACCTTCCTGTGCAATGTTATCTCTTTTTTTTAATGAGAAAGGGCATAAATTTTTCTGTATCCTACGCCCTTATATAAACCATCAAGTTCTGGGTTCTAGTTTCCATCAAGCTGCTGTCACATAGTGACTGGAAGAGAATATATTAATTCTCCCAGGTCCCTGGGGTAGGATGCAAATACTAAATCATTTACATCTTTTTAAAAATAAAACAAAGGAAAAACTTAGTTTAAAAACACTTTATTTAAGAGTAATGTTTGTCATTAAAAACCTTTCTACATCAATTAAAATAATTTTGGCCCCAATGATAGGGCTATTTTGATCTATAGTATCATAATGGACAAAAAAAATCTTGGACAAGAAACAGAAAACAATCAACATGATATACATCAAGAAGAAATACAGAGAGGGCTGTGCTCATGACTTTTATTATCTTATTATTTTATTTTATTATTTAATATTTATTATTTTATTATTTACTGAGAAATTATCTATTGGGTTCTTGCCCTAGGTAGAGAAGTTCCTCAATTGGATACATTATCTGACCAATGAAAGAAGCAAGGAGTAGGTTAATCCAACCACTGGAATATAAGTGGTTATTTAGAAGAAGAAAGTTTTGATTCTTCTGAATGAAATGTTTGCACCAAGCACTATTTAGTAGGCAGTGTTGCCTCTTATTATCTAGCTCTATAAGAAAATGGTTATTATTAATCTTTCATCCACAGAAGTATATGATGGCAGAAAATAAACCCAAATCTCACCATAAGCATAGATTCCCTCAGATATCTATATCCAATATGAAAAAGAAATGGAATTTATCACATTTTTTTAGTATCAAGTGTGCAGAGGTGGTGAGATCTAGTCAAAAGGGCACCAAAGCCAATACTTCACAAATAGTTCTTGATTCCTCATTTCCTGTGGTGGTGACCTTGAATAAGTCATGATCCTTCTAATTTTCTTTTTTTCCCTTTATTTGTTAAAAGAAATCCTGTCTTACCTGGATTTTGAAAAAACTAGAAGATGCACATGAACTGGTTTGAAAACTTTCAAGTGTCACACAGATGCGGAGGATGGTGTCCTTTTACGCACCCCATCCTGCTAAATACTATATGCTACATGTATTCTTACATAAGCACTGCCCTTAAACTTGTGAAACAACCCAGCTCTCAGCCACAGATCCCTTGAGGACACATTTCTCCTCACATCAGCAATGGTTACACCTCTGTGAATACTTTTATGTTACCTAAAGACTCCTAAATCCACAGCAAAACTTCCACACTGTTTTCTAAACTAAAAGCACCACTGGCTATAACTTACCAACCAACTAACGGACTAAGTAACGAACTAAAGCGTAGGGGTATAAAGCTTACCAGGTTTTGAACCACAATGAGGAAAATAAATTCAAATCCAAAATGTGGACAATGTGTATGACACATTCAGATTGTACTCATTGCTCATTAGCAGCCACTGTCAACAAAGACCTCCTTTGAGACAACTTCCACCTGGTTGGGATGTCCAAGTTGTGCACAGCCTGCTAAATGTATTCACCTCTTTGTTCTGCATCTGGTTGAGATAGGAAGGTTACAGGAATAGTGATGGGGAGCTGGTACGACATGGAACAAAGATTCAGATGAGTGACTGCCCAATTTTACTTTCAATGTGATCAAAAGGCCTCAACAAATAGGCCGTGATCAAAACAAACATACCAGATCATGTTGGCTAAGTTCTCAAAGGCTGTGGGAAAAATGATTCTGCATGTTTTTTTAGATTTCATTCAATTATACATAAAGTTTTCTACCGTTGAATACTCATCTGGTAGCAGTGGAGTATACTGAATTTATAAATTTGGGGATAGGATGCAGTTGCTGACCTTTGGATGCTCACATTCAAAGAGCAGTCAGCCAATTAGGCCATCTTTTGAGTGATTATCATGAGTGCCTGTAAGGGAATTACCTTATTTTGTCATGGTAGGATTGTGGAAATCAACCAAGTTAAAACTCAAATTAGAAATAAACAAATCCTTAATTCTTGTAACTTTTTATTTGGAGAAAATTATAGATTTACAGGAGGCTGCAAAAAAGTGTACAAGGAGGTTGGGTGTTCCCCTCACCCAGTTTCCTCCAATGGTAACATCTTGCATAATTAGAGTACAAGATCAAAACCAGAAAATTGACAGTGGTACCATCCACAGAGTTTATTCAGATTTCACCGATTTTACATGCAGTTTTGTGAGTGTGTATATTTAGTTCTGTGAAATTTTATCACAGGTGTAAATTTGTGTAGCCATGACCAAATCAAGACACAAAACTGTTCCATCACCACAAGGATTCCTCATGATACCCCATAGATTCAACTCCAGCCTCTCTACCCAAACCTAATTCCTGATAACCACTAATCTGCTCTCCATCTCTATAATCTTGTCATTTCAAGAATGTTATATAAATGAAATCATATAGCATATAATCTTTTGAGATTGGCTTTTTCCATTAAGTATAATTCCTCTGAGGTCCATACAAGTTATCATATATATCAATTGTTTGTTACTTTTCATTGCTGAATAATATTCCATGACATGAATATACCACAGTTTGGTTAAATATGAATGTACCACACTTTGGTTAACCATTCACCCACTGAAGGACATTTGCAAACACCTTTATTTTAAAATAGTCCACTGTAATCCCAGCACTTTGGGAGGCCGAGGTGGACAGATCACCTGAGGTCAGGAGTTTGAGACCAGCCTGGCCAACATGGCGAAACCCTGGCTCTACTATAAGTACAAAAATTAGCCGGGTGTGGTGGTGTACACCTGTAATCCCAGCTACTTGGGAAGCTGAGGCAGGAGAATCACTTGAAAGCAAGAGGCAGAGGTTGCAGTGAGCCGAGATCGCACCAGTGCACTCCAGCCTGGGCGACAGAGTGAGACCATTTCAAAAATAAATAAATAAATAAATAAAATAGCCCAAATTTGTGAATTCTGACACAGATTAAATTAGTAGTATATATTTAAAAAGATTGCCCTTATGCAGGAAAATATACCACACCATAATGTATTCAGAAATTAATTGTATAAAAATATACATTCACTTTATGTCTTTCATGTGAAGTTCCTAAGAATATGTCTTAATCTTATTGTACTTAGAAAAACCTCTAGCAAAAGCTTTCTGTCCAAACATACTTTTTTTGTCCTAGATTTTTATTCAGTAACCTAACTATAGTAATGCTTCAATGGCTTCCACAGAATCCAGAATTTTAAAATGTATCTATTTTTTCCAGATAGAAGAACTGAATTAACAATCTCCAAGACTGCTGAGTGGTTTTGATCTGCCTTGCTTACTTTTTCAGCCACTTTATATGCTGAAATGTTTCCAGTGCAACCAGAAGTTTCAAGTGTAAAATTCTGTCTTTCCTCTTCTGTTATTTTAAGCTTTTAAGACACCATACATAAAAGCAAATAAATGACGAGCCCTTGCCATGTGCCCAATAATTGTGGGTTAACTCCTCTACACATTACAAATATCTTTTGAAATTGCCTCTATTATTATTTCCATTTCACAGATGAGGAAACTGAGGCCCATAGGGGTTGAGGTACCTTTTCTCTGGTCATGCCTACATCCAGCAGATGGTGTGTTCGGGATTCAAACCTGAGGGGCTGCTTCTAGAGCTCATGCCCTTAACACTGCACGACCTCTACCTTGCCAACTACAAAAAATCCATCCCTGCAAATGCCTTTTTCATTTCCAACTTATTCCTCCCTTCTTTGTCCCCAAATACTCTTGCCTTTATGGATTTTTGCTTCTCGTTATCTTCCATGTCTGTAGAACAAATCCCCTTTTCCACCACCACCCCACACTAAAATAGATTCTACTGAGGCTAACTATGTGGAGCCCCCCTTTCCAAAAAAAAAAATAATAATAATAAGGGAAATGAAGGAAGGTCCAACTTTCTCCCAAGATGAAGACCAACATGGTGATGATTTGGAGAGAGATAATCCATTCTTGAGAATTTTACATACTCCTTTCCTTTGGTCCTTTTGCTCTCTCATTTTTTAATTGAATGCCCCCAACTAGAAAGTGGACAGAGAAAAAAAAGAAAAATACATGAAACTCATATTGGTTGACATGATCCTTTACGAAAATCTTAGGGGGGCAGGGAAGCCAAAGAGGCTGTCACAACTCTTGGCTGAAAGTGTTCATCTGGGGTTAGCTATTTATTTCCCTGAATAGTGACTGAGTCCCACAACTCCTCTAGGAATAAACACATATTTAAAGACCCTAGGATATGTATTTAAATGTTAAACTTACTTTTTCATAGCTCCAGTCCCTGCTCCCTCATATCTTTGGCTTTGACACAATGTGGATAGTGCTAGGGGTACAATTATTTCACATTTTAACTTTTATTTGTAATAGAATATAAATAAACTGAAAATGTTGCTTTTGCCTCACTCCAAATCTTGCTGCAAACGAAAATCTTCAGAAGTCTGTCTGGCCTGCATAATTTTTACCTCTTCCATGAATAGCGCATTAGCCAGCCCCTCCTCCTCATCATCCCCTCCCTACCATCCTCAGTTTTCACATAATTAAATTAAACAAATATTAGCATTTGCCTGCTACAGCGAGTTTTCTCCCAAAAAGGATCCTCAGGAAAGCCATGCTAAAAAGACTCTGCATGTAAGAATTGCTCATCAGGTTCACTGAGCTTCGTGAGGCTGGTCTGCTCTGATTAAATTTAGGTCTTGCGCCTGCGAGTTTAGCTGGACACGGGAGGAGATGTCAGGACAGTCGATGGTTTTTGCACCCATTCTCCATTTCCTACTCAGCAATTCCTCCATTCAAATAGCATTTTCCCTTCAATCCACCAAGGCACATCAGGGAGCTCAAGGAGAGGTAAGTGTAAAAGAAGAGAGGCTGTGAGGACCATGGAGAAAGGAAGATCCAGGGACACAGGTATGTAAAGGGTGGGGGTACTGAATTGAAGGTGGGAAGAAAGGCGGTGGGGAAGCAGGAATCCCCACAATCTAAGTGCTGCTGTCCACCCTCACCACACTCCCACTCCTACACCCAGAGTTCTTCACCCTCTCAACGTCACCATGATTGCTTTTAATAACTCAATTATTGATCCCCTGTGGTCTTTATAAGAAGCAGAAATTAAGCCATAGGTGACACTGCCATAGATGCAGGTCACATCACAAAAGGGTGGACAATAGTATCCTAAAGATCACTGTGTAACAATTCTCATATCCTGCCTGTCCCTGACTTCTTAGATTGTGTAAAAGGACAACGTGATGATGAGAGGATGCGGTTCTAACTAATACAATAAAAAAACAAAACAAAACAAAACAAAACAAAACAAAACACCTGGGTCTCCCTGGAACTTTCAGGACTAAAGTTACTCATTCATCAGATAGAAATAGGTGTTGGAATTTTACTAATTTGCAGCAGTGCAGAGCTATGCGTGTCTTTATTATACACATAGGGGCGCATGGTTTCCGGAGGCTATGCTGTGAAATGGGGCATCTGTCTTGCCCAGATGAAGTGTCTGCAAAGGACCTTCTGTATACAGTGTTTCCCACCTCCACCCCCATACAGTCCCACTTTACTATTAGACCAAAGTGCCTGCAACTATCTTATGAAACTATTAGGTATTTCCAGACACTCTCATGGATGGAAGTTTAATCTGTGGGTAAGGATAA
Organism: Homo sapiens; assembly: GCF_000001405.40. Lineage (NCBI taxonomy): Eukaryota > Metazoa > Chordata > Mammalia > Primates > Hominidae > Homo > Homo sapiens. The sequence continues at coordinate 28,599,386 of NC_000007.14, read as the reverse complement.
AATCCAAGTATATGTATTTATGGGCTTATTTTCCCATCTTTTATAATTAGCATTATTTCAGGAAGAAAATCCCAAATAAAATCTGGCAATACAACATGTTCATTACAATCTCTTGCTCTCTCTCTCTTTCACATTTATATATGTTATAGATATATAATATATATATCCTGTATATATGTCAAATCAACTTAAACTTTGAGAGGCTTAAGCTATAATAATTTAGTTCAAAGCTGGAACTTCAATCACATCCTACAGATCAAATTACCAACACGATTGGAAGAAAAGGGAGTGTTTTTAATCTCATGTAATTTACTATACAAAGGCAAACATCTTTTTCTTACAGAACATTTTTTTGCTGAAATCTGTCAGCCAGCAAAACAGGATGAGAGCTGAAGTTCTGTATCAGAACATACTGAGTTGGGAAAGCAATGAGTTTCATTTTGCCTGTTGCAAGTCACTTAAGACAGCAAAGAAAAAGCAAGGTGTCCCTTGTTTAAAAATGAAAGCTTTTTAAAATACACCACAGCACAGAAGTAATTCTGCCTTACTTTAAACATAGACTCCCCCGCGTCCATCCCCCTAAACTCTGTAGGGAAAAGTTACCAGCTCTACCTATGCCGCTCTTCTTAACATCAGGTCACCTCACAGAATGTAAATTGAGCCAGGCCAACTCAACAGAGGGATAAAATAATGATGGATAGAGTGAGGCAAAGATGGAGTTTGGCACACAAGATGTTCAGTCACTAGTTCTAGGTTGGGGTGAGTGATATTACAATAGCTTAATGGACTCACCAGTGCTAATTAACCTGGGACACAAGGAATGACCCAATGCATCATGAAAAGCTGCTATAATTCTTCAAGCAAGTCTAACGATCATAGAAATAATCCACAGGCCAAGTGTCCAAAGATGCTTGATGGCAGCTTTAAAAACACCCCACCACACACAAAAGACCCTCCCAGCCCTCGGAATGGTTGCTCATCCCTTTCACACATTGTAGTAGTCCATTTTCATGCTGCTGATAAAGACATACTCAAGACTGGGAAGAAAAAGAGGTTTAATTGGACTTACAGTTCCACCTGGCTGGGGATCATGGCGGAAGGTGAAAAAGCACTTCTTGCATGGTGGCAGCAAGAGAAAAATGAGGAAGAAGCAAAAGCGGAAACCCCTGACAAACCCATCAGATCTCGTGAGACTTATTCACTATCACGAGAATAGCACAGGAAAGACCAGCTCCCATGATTCAATTACTTCCTCCTGGGTCCCTCCCACAACATGTGGGAATTCTGGGAGAAACAATTCAAGTTGAGATTTGGGCAGGGACACAGCCAAACCATATCACATGTCTTCTCTTACATGTGCCAAGTTCATAAATACATCCTAGTTCTAGCTCTCTTCCTTGCCTTTTCCTTTTGAGGGAAATCAACATTAGCTTGCCAAATATATACATATATATTTCTAGGTCCATTTTCTACCTTCTCAGAATTCAAATGTAGTGACCATGTATTGTCTCTTTTCCCTGTGGCAGGAAAAGGTCTGATGACAAATGTTCCTCTACTCCTGTTTTGTTCTCCCATGCTTTGGAGACCATCCTGGTCCCCACTTCGAGAGGGAATCCTCTCCAAGTGAACCCAGAAAGATTCAGCTAAGCTGTGGCTCATCAGGGGCCCAAAGTCAGGAGACTGGGGAGGCTCTAGAGTTGAGAGAGAGGTTGATGTCATTCTAGGATGAGACAAAGAGGATCAATCATTAATTCCACCTCAATCTGGTCCAACACCAAATTAAAAGAAACATCCATACTGACCTTGGACTCCTCCCAGGATTATTTGCATGAAATATGACTTGCATCTAAACCAGACCCTCCAGATCACTGTTTATCTTTCCTGATCTGGAATCAAGTCCCTCCAAACATTCCCCAAGGGCACTGTTAGCACGTTTTATTGGTGGAGAGTGCACTGGAAATGACATCTTTTTCAGGGTCCCCAGTGGACAGCTGAAAACAACTGTGGCAGAATAAGTGAGACCAAGACCAGGAGATCAGCTTTCCATTTGCAAAGAGGTGTGCTCTTCTCTTGTGTCGCTCCTGAGAGGATGGCTGCTCCTGGTGGCTAAATGGCTATGCCTCATCAGAGAGCAATAACAGAGGATCAAATGCAAGGCCTTATGCAACTCACATTTTTATCCAACTCTTGGGTTCCAGGATTGTTCTGTCAACCTGCATTTTGTAGCAGGGAAAAGAAAAGAACTGCACTGCTTATCCTGCCAAGGAGATAATGGAACCAATATATAACAGGACTAGTAATTTCTGAGTTTGCCTCAGAAAGGTTTAACTATCCATTAACCACACTCTTGAGCTCAGGCTAGAACGTCACACATGTCAGGTTTCATTCCAAATCATGGGCTTGGTCCCAGTGCAAATGAAGCACTGAGTGTGATGGGACTAGCATCCTATGGTATTATCTTGGCCCTAAGGTTCACATGACATTAAACAAACTGGGATCCTTCCCACTATTGAAAATCACTATTATGTGCTAATAATAATAGCAATAATAATAATAGCTAACACTTTGGCATCTTTATAATGAACACAAGGCTAACTAATTTACATATGTATTATCTCATTTATTTCTGATGACATCTATGTGAGTTGGTTGCTTATCCACATTTTAGGGATGATGTAACTGAAGCAGGAAGAAAGTAAACAAGTCCAAGGTCACATAGCAGTTAACTAGCAGGGCCCAGGCTTGGACCCAGGTCTAGCTGGCTACAGGTTCACGCTTTTAACTGGTTCAAAAGACTTCACTTATAGCAAAAGGAACTTGTTTCATTTGGATAGGAAAACAGGAAGAGACAATTCTAGTGCATTCTCCTTTCAATAATTTAATATGAACTGTTCAAATGAGCAATTGAGATGCTTCTCAGCATCTGTGACTCACTCCTTCTGGATCCCAGAGTGCTGTTATGGAAATAAGTTGCAGTGTAGATCATACTTTTGTTCTAATATATGCAATGCAATGCAATGCAAGAAATTCAGTTCTGAGATATCCAGGGTAGTTGGCTCCTTTCTTTTGTCTTTTGGAAAGAGTAAAATTTCAGTTTGTTTGAGTTAGAGCTTCTCTGACTTTGATGCTGACCGGACTGCTCAAATATTTAGTAAAAGTGATTTGGGAGAGTACTCGTCATAATTGATTTAGGGGACTGCTCACTTATCTCATTCTACAGAGCTGCTTCACATCCCAAAATCTCATAAAAATTGCACCATATCATCACTGAGGAGAGTCACCTGGTCAAAAAGGTGGCCTCTTGGGGAGAAGACAATGAAATCCCAACATTTAGGTTTCACCAGCTAGAGGGGATTGCATGATACTGTGATTTAGGAGGTCTCGGCCTAGAGTGCTATGGTAAGCACGATGAAAGTGAGACCAAATATCATATTTCTCCAGAAATCCAAAACACCACACCAGAGGGAGGCATATGATATCTGTCTGCCGAGGTTAAGATACCAGAGAACTTCAACTGGGGTAGCATGAAAACTGGCCTGGCCCCTCTGATTTCAAAAGCCTCAGTTCCTATCCACTTTGCTTTGATGGTGTGCAAAATGGGTCTGAAATATGATCTCTCAATTATTCCCAAAGTTGCTGCTGCCAGAAGAGCCATAAGCCAGACCCATTTCCATGCTCTGTCTTCATCATCAGCTTTGAAATTAAGACCACGCTGGTGAGAAGCGTTGAGAAGTAAAAAGAAGGGGCCTCTTTTCTTTCAGACTTTGGCTAAAATTAAAAGTGATTTACCCCTAAAAGACCTGTTTAGTTGCACAGTGGGGTACTTGCTATATCAACTGTGAGATAGAAATGGAATCCACCAGAGAAAGGGGTGCACCATGGGACTTGAGATAGAGGCAGAAAGAAATGTTGAGCTATTTAAAACTTCATTTCAAATTCGATCATTGACTGATCATTCATCATTTATATATGAAGAACCTACTATATGTCAGGCACTATGCGGAGCTCTATAAAAACGATGGAGGGAAAAAAACCAGACACAATCCCTGAGCTGATGGAACATCTGGCATAGTGAGGGTGATGGGCATTAACTGAATATTTACACGCATACTTATAAAACCACAACCCACCAAAGAACAAATCCATGCTGCTATGAGACTATCTAGTAGCAGGGCATGACTTTGTTAGGAAGGCTAGGGAAGATTTTTCTGAGAAATATTGCAAGTTGAGGAAAATCACCATACCACATTAAGCTCACCCTAGCTTTAAGAAGTGAAGGTCTTGTATTACTATGTAGCAGGCATAGAGGAAAACACAGACATTGCACTGTGGGGGCTCAGGGAGTGGGAGGGCTCAACAAATATTCAATGAATGACTAAAGTTAGAAATACCCAAAGGATGTTCAGGGTCTGAAGCAGGGTATAAGGGGATCTATGGCAACAGATGTTCCTGAACCAGGTGAAATTCAGAGAAACATGTGACCTTGTATAGTGGAAGTGGCCTGTAGAAAACAGAAGGAGGAGGAAGAATTAACTAAAAACTCCTTTGAAGTCAAGGGGTTTGGTTAGCTGGGCCTCACATGTATGAAGGGCCCTGTCTCTAGTGGGGTTCTCTGAAAGCAGATGCTACTACAGAGTCTAATATGAAAACTATTCATTAGAGAGAAAATGGATTTTTATCTTTAATTTAATCAGCATTCTATTTTGCCTTGCTCCATTCCCCATTTACTCTTCAATAATTATTAACTTATTGTCTATTGATCTCCAAGCACACGATGTGTCCACCGTCTAGTTGAGTGATTGACATGTTAAAGTCACACAGGCATGCTGCAGAATGAGCCAGAGTCAGCCTGGGGGAATCAGGAGGGCTTAAAACTTTTCTAGAAAGCTCACTCTAACTAGACCAATAACCCCAGGAATGTTTGAAAGACTAGGCAGCCTATATTTATCCAGGCCTTAAAGAGAGTTAAGTGGGCTGTAATCCTTGAAACCAGAGTTGTGGAGGGCGGTAACTAGATTTACCTTACCTTTAAGTTGAACAGACACCATATTCATCTAGTGTTTGAATCCACTCCTCCCTCTCAATAACAGAACAGAAGCTGTGAAAACAGTTACCTATTCTAAGATACTTCACCTATGAGGTTAAGAAAGAAACCAGTGATAAGCTTTCCCTTTTTACATATGGTTCACAATTCTAAGTTTTGCTAAGAGAGTCTAGCGGGTAGCATCAACACCAGTTTTCATTTGTAAGGAGAAAGGAGGCAGATTTCTCCTCCACTGGGAGGTGGGGGCAGGGGGCCTGAGGGAGTATTTGCTAAAGTCAGGGAGATGAACTTGGCTTTGCCTGCAGAAGTGATTGACAAGGCAGCTTCCCGCTGCTCCGGAAGGAACCCAAAGTCAGGGGCTCAGCAGAGCCTCTTCACCCACCAGTGGTTACTTGGCTCCCTGCTGCTGGGGATAACCTCCCAAAAGTTTGCAAATAAAGTTTCTTCCTATAGTTTTACTCTTTCCCACTTGGCAGGCTTTATGTCACTAACGGATCCAAAATTAATGGGTCCTCTCTCCCTTCCTCCCTTGGATCTCTGGCTAAGTCAGCACATTCTGGGGAATGTGGCAGGCAGTTAGTTATCACCTATGGCACATCTTGAGGGGCTGGGCCCAAGGTATTCTCATCACACCTACTGCTCTCCCATCCAGTGACTAGGATCATGTGGAAATAAATGCAAAGCTCATTCACCATTTCTTTAGATTATATTCATAGAAATGTCTCCACTTATGGATGGAGCACACCAACCATTCTTCTGGAGGCATCTTCTATGTGTGTATAAAATTCAATTCAGGCCAGGCACAGTGGCTCACACCTGTAATCCCAGTGCTTTTGGAGGCTGAGGTGGGCAGATCACTTGAGGCCAGGAGTTAGAGGCCAGCCTCGCTAACATGGTAAAACCCCATCTCCACTAAAAATACAAAAATTAGCCAGGCGTGGTGGCGCATGCTTGTAATCCTACCTACTCAGGAGGCTGAGGCAGGAGAACCGCTTGAACCCAGGAGGTGGAGGTTATAGTGAGCCGAGATCATGCCACTGAACTCCGTCCTGAGCAACAGAGCAAGACTGTGTCTCAAAAATAAAATAAAATAAAAATCTTTTAAAAAATCAATAAAATAAAAAAACTTGATTCAACCGACACAAATTGAGTAGCTATGGTGGTACACACACCTCATGCTGTGATATGTGTGAGTGTGGTTATCATCATGGTTAATTCTTTCTTGGCATGGGACCAATAACTCAGGTTGAGGCTTATGCCATGTGCCCTCATTATCTGCAACTGGATTTATCTTTGAGTGGTTTGACCTGCTAGAGCGATATGCTGTGGTTGTGCCATGCACACCCCACTACTTGGGTTTGAATGCTGGTCTTGCCATTTATGATTTACATGACCTTGGGCAAGTAACTTAACCTCTCTGTGCCGAAGTCTCCTCATCTGTGAAATAGGAATCATAATAGTATCCCTATTTTACAAATAAGAAAACGGAGACACAGAGGGATTTGGTAAGTAGGTTATTATGTGCTGGCACTGACTGCACCTAATACAGGGCCTGGCACATAGAACACATCAACTGATCACTATTGTTATCTCAGCCTCTCACTTCTTGGTGACCCTTTTGTAGACATTTGGGAAGAACAGGCCACGGCACTTGAACAGGTTTTGCTTCTCCACCTCCTCCATATGAGACTAACTGATCCATGCATGTTTGAACTCTTGACCTCTGCAAACTTAGTGCTGCGCCTCTGCCCACTGAGCTAACCATCCCAGCTGCGTGGGGGTGATGTAGAGCCACTAACTACCATATTCTCAGTTCAAAAGGATGTCAACCCCCCCTTGCTCCCTCATCCAAAATCCCTTCAAGATTTAAATACACCTTCTAAGTTAATCTGTTTCAAACATTTGCTTAAGAAATAAAAAAAGTAAAAGCGCCTGCTGCTTTACTCCAAGTTGAAAATGGAGATACCGGTCTCTCTTTCTGCATTCTATTCCCTCAAAGTTCTTTGCAAGACAAAAATTATGTTGGCCACAGTTGCAATCAGCTTTAATTCATTCTTTATTGCTGCTCTGGTTTTGTGTTATTTGAGCTGGTTTAACTGTTAAAAGCGTTTCAAATGTTCACATGGCCTGCATTAGGTTACCGAATTAAAACAGGAACAGCCCACCAAATGTAGCTCTCTGAAATGCAAACCACATGAGTTTGATTTCTTTGTGGTATAACTTTAATTGGGTTCAGAGGTCTCTGAGACTTACCTGTCTATCTGCTCTGTGATGGCCTGATCTGATAAGACTAACTTAAAGGGTCTGAGGAATCAGAATTGCTTCAGCTCTAATTTCAGAACCAATGACCATGGGTTCTGCATTACAGCTTCATCCAATTTATGACTATCCAAATTCAATTCAATTGGAAATCTCAGAATACCCCCTCAGGGCTTCTTCACTTGCTGTTCTAGCAAGTGTCTGGCACACACAGAGAGCCTATGAGTCCCAAGCACAAAGTGCTGGGAAATTACTAATATAATAGTATTACCAGTACTATATTAGCATTGCATATAGTCAGATTTGGCACTTACCTCCACTTCCTACACCCCACAATCAGATAGGCCATATAGTCTTCCCTTCCTGACATAATACAAAAGAAAGCTTTGGGCTCAGATTGTCCCTTTTTTGGTCTTCTGATAGCACTAACAACCAGTCTCCCTTAGCCCCTGTCCACCTTCTGGAAGAGCTTCTGTAGCTTCTAACATCCAGTCCTAAACTGGACTCCCCTTATTGTTTCTGAAGGCAGGTGGAAGCAGCAATTAACTGTGGCTTAGTTCTCAGGAAGAGCTGAACTTCCTCCGTGTAGGTTTCTAAGAAATAGTCTCAGGACATAGCAAATCTACAAAGGTTTTCTGAGTATTACAAGCACGGTACTAAGCAAACCACCATAAAACACGAGGCCTGGGAAGGACAGAGGGGGAAAAAAATCAATTGAACCTGTGGCTGATTTAATATGGAGGGCAATGGACATGAGAAGCTAGAGAGGACTCCTCTCAGCCCGACTGCTTGAAGGAATGGCGTTATGCTTGGGTGAAAAATAAATCACTCTGTGACTTCAAGCTACAAAGGAAGACCCAGAAGCTGTGTAGAGGAAACATGATGCCCTTTGGCCATTGCTCTTCCCTTGCTAAGACTCCAGGGACACAAGATAGAGACATGGTGAGGAAAATCAGTTGGTCATCCTGTTTGGAGTAAAAGTAGACATTTTATGTGAGACTAAACAGTGCTCATGTTTATTAAAACAGTGGGGAACAGGGACATTTTCAGTATTTCCTCAAAAGTTCATTGATCTTGCAAAAAATTAACTTTGGCAATCTGAAAGACATCAAAGTCTTTCTAAATTAACTATACACAAAAATACACTTACTCCTAACCACACATTGAGCAGGTAGTTAGTGATAACGATGATGATAATGTCATTGAGGACTTTTGCTATATGCCAGATATTTTTATCTGTTCTTATGGCATCATCACCACAGGCTTGGAGGGCAATATCTTCATTTTAACACATTAGGGAAGAGAAACAGAGGCACTGAGTGATTAACTATAACTTTTCCAAAGTCAGAGTAACTTGGATTTCAGTTTGGGTTTTTATTATTATTATTATTATTATTATTATTATTATTATACTTTAAGTTCCAGGGTACATGCGCACAACGTGCAGGTTTGTTACACATGTATACATGTGGCATGTTCGTGTGCTGCACCCATTAACTCGTCATTTACATTAGGTATATCTCCTAATGCTATCCCTCCCCCCTCCCCCCACCCCACAACAGGCCCTGGTGTGTGATGTTCCCCTTCCTGTGTCCAAGTGTTCTCATTGTTCAATTCCCACCTATGAGTGAGAACATGTGGTGTTTGGTTTTTTGTCCTTGCTATAGTTTGCTGAGAATGATGGTTTCCAGCTTCATCCATGTCCCTACAAAGGACATGAACTCATCATTTTTTATGGCTGCATAGTATTCCATGGTGTATATGTGCCACATTTTCTTAATCCAGTCTATGATTGTTGGACATTTGGGTTGGTTCCAAGTCTTTGCTGTTGTGAATAGTGCTGCAATAAACATACATGTGCATGTGTCTTTATAGCAGCATGATTTATAGTCCTTTGGGTATATACCCAGTAATGGGATGGCTGGGTCAAATGGTATTTCTAGTTCTAGATCCCTGAGGAATCGCCACACTGTCTTCCACAATGGTTGAACTAGTTTACAGTCCCACCAACAGTGTAAAAGTGTTCCTATTTCTCCACATCCTCTCCAGCACCTGTTGTTTCCTGACTTTTTCAGTTTGGGTTTTATGATGACAAAGCTGAGTCCCATACCACCAGATATAATGTCTTTCCTATTGTCACAGCAACAAAAGACTTAAGACAAAGGAGATGATACAGAGGGAGTAGAGGAGCTGACATAGTTTATCTGCAAGAGTGAGGCCCTTAACATGGAAGCTTCACACAGCCCTTTTCTCTCCTGCTCCTTCCTCACTTGAATAAATACTCCTAATGCAGAGAAAAAAATGGAATACTCACTACCTAAATATACAAACCGTGGATATTACAGAATCTTTTTTCATCTTCATGATTACCTTTCAATAATAAGAGACTCTAGAAAGGAAAATCACATCCTATATGAAAAGTGGCAGAAATATACTCAAGATTTATGCATTTCGCTATTTGTAAACAGCAACAAAAAGAACCACAAAGAAATATCAACTCTGTTTTCTTTTTCTTTTTGTTTTTGTTTTTGAGACAGAGTGTCGCTCTGTCGCCCAGCCTGGAGTGCAGTGGCGTGATCTTGGCTCACTGCAAGCTCCGCCTCCTGGGTTCACACCATTCTCCTGCCTCAGCCTCCCGAGTAGCTGGGACTACAGGCACCTGCCACCACACTCAGCTAATTTTTTATATTTTTAGTAGAGATGGGGTTTCACTGTGTTAGTCAGGATGGTCTCGATCTCCTGACCTTGTGATCCACCCACCTCGGTCTCCCAAAGTGCTGAGATTACATGCGTGAGCCACTGCGCCCAGCCCAAATATCAACTCTATTAATGATACATATGCTGAAGTGGTTAGGAGTAAAGTTACTGATGTCTGCAACTTACTTAGAAATGCATCAAAAAATAAGACTGATGGATGGATAGATGTACAGCTATATGATAAAGCAAGTATAGCAAAGAGCCATTGTAGAATGTTAGGTGGCGAATATACAATTCTTCATGCTTTTCTATGTGTTTGAAATGTTTCAAAGTAGAATGTCAAGGAAAAGTGACCATAGAGTGAGTCTTACATTTCTAAGCTGCTCGTTTTCTGACTCCACACTTATTTAGAAAGCTGGGCAGGTGGGAAGAGAGGAGCTACGTTGCTGGGAAGAAAGCCAGCACTGGCCAATAATAATGTTGTCCCTTCCAGGGAAAACAGGCTTGGAGAACAACTGCTTGACCACTTCTAATCCAGATTCACAATCTCAAAAAAATTCTCATGCCGAGAGAAAACAGAAGCCAAAAATAGGTAAGAAAATACAGCAGGGGCAAGGAGAAGATGCCAGATTTCAACATCGCCGCACATTGTGTCATAGGCAGAGCTGCAAATGAAAGCTAGAACTGTGTACAGTTTTGCATGGTTTTGGAACCTAGACTTGGAAGGCTCTAAGGCTTGTGTATCCCCAGAGAAAAACAGGTCCTTGGTAAATATTTGCTGAATGAAGGATGCGTATTTTGTTGAAAGGTACTGAAGAAGATAAAAACAGTTTTGCAACTACTTATCTTACCTATTGATCTCTTGCTGTTTAAATTAAGAAGCTGCACATATGTGATGTCTCTTTCAACCCTTTGTGCCCATATGTGTATGCATACTTACACCAATATAGTTCCTCCGTACTAGATAACATGCTGGGCGTTTAGGAGATTCAGAAATGAATAAAGCACAATTTCTGCTTTACAGACTTAAAACCTATGTGGAAACAAACCCCATGTAACTATAATACATGGGATCTGATGTAGTAAGTACCATGAACAGCAGAGGCCTTATATTGTTTTGTTAAGATCTGACTTTACAATATAGGTCCTACATACTGTATTCAAGTCACCAGAAACAGTACCGCTACGTATAGGAAATGGCCCCCTCCAAAAGATTGTGTGATCCAGGATACCAAGAGACCAAAATTAGAATGCTGTACTGCAGATCAGAGTCTCCTGGAGAGCCTGAGATCTTTCCTCTATTTTAACCCAAATGGTTGAATTATCCCTTTGTGTCAAGAACATGATATTGCACAGAGAGTTGGCCCCAAACAGCCCTGGACCCCTGATCTGCAGTGAAGAGCTCCCCATAGCATACTTGGGTACACTAATGTAACTAGACAAGTACTGGTAAAACCAGGTGGTAGAAAAGCAGTCAGGAAATGGGATGGGGAAAGGGCAAAATCTGTGCCCATGGAGACATTTTAGGTATTGAAAAGGAGGTAATGTTTTCCACTAAAGGGCATCCAGTTGGAGACTGGTCTGAGCTGGCTCTCGTTTTATAACCTCTCAACACATGTGTGTAGTCAAGGCTGAATTTAAAACCTATACCGTGAACCTTAGGAAAATAAACCACATTAAACAAGCACAAATTGAAAATATTACACAAGAGATTTCACAGGAAATTGGTCCAAATTTAGCCTTGCTCTTTATGTATTTAAGCCTCTTATTCATTGCTTAGAACTTTATATCAGGATTTTAATATGAGTCTCTCCTCCCCCACCCCCACCCCCAGCCCAGTCCACCTCCACAATGGTCTGCTTAGTTTTACAAAATGTATTTTTTTTAACTCCCGAAGAATCCTGCTACCTTTGGCCTGCTCTTTCAGTGCTCATTAACACATGTTCCCAAACAGCGCACTGATGACTCACAGCATCAATGGTGAGGTGAGGCTGAGCATGTACCCAGAAAAATCCCACTGCAGTACCAGAGACAAGCTCCACTGTGTGATCCCTGCATCGGTGGATTTCAATGCTGATTTTACATAAAAGGTGCCAGCAATCATGACAAATGTCATTAGCAGCAAACCATTTCAGTGTCTTTCAGTCTCAGAATTCTCTAATACTACTTTCCTTTCTTCTGTAGATTGTTTTGTCTTGCTTTTAATCTTGTTGTACTGTACTTTCTCTGAGTCTCCTCAAATCCTTTTCTTGGAATGAAGCCAAGTATAGATAAATACATGAATGATTTAGAATCCCATAAATGTAACAATCCACCTTTTGTAATGACATTTGAGTTGTTCTGATGTTATCTTGGTTGGTCACATAGCAAGAGACTTCCAGAAGCAACGGCTGGACCACTCTTTCCACCTTGGGTCTGGATTTTTGCCATCAGAAATGCCCTGTGGGATGCTGCCAGGACACTCTGGTCCGCAGCCCTTCTGAGCCAGGCATTTGCCAGGTGGGAAAAGTGATGCCAAACCAAAGGGTGGTTTTGTGGGATGGACAAACATGCCCTGAGGCCACGCTGGGACGTCCCATTCTTTCTCACTTGTTGCTGCCAGACAGAATGTGATTATTACTGGAGTTTGCTTACAAACCACTTTTAGAAGGCTTATTAAATTAGAACTTGTTTTGTATTTAGTTTGGAATTTTTTAATGATTTCGAGGTCTGGAATTCATGTTGCTTCCCCACTTCTCTCTATCACACCACAGGAAAATGCTTGCTGGTGAATGTGATTAAGTTTACTCTGATCTCTTTTCTTCGCCCTTATAATTCTCTACTCTTTATGGATGTGAGAAAGCTCCAAAAGAATAGAATAAGCCATGCAAAGAGCCCGAGGTCAGACTTCAGCTGGAGAGGGAAGGGGGCTGTCCAGAGGCCTGGCAGGGACAGGTACCCTATTGCTTTTACTGGGGTAGAACTGTGGGAAGTTTCTTTACAATTATTATCATTTTGCTAATTCCTATTTTAGAAAGATTAAAAGAACACCCTGGGCCCCTCCCAGAGCTCTGAGCTTCTTTGGGGGAACTCGCTGCCTCCTCCCCTTCTCCTCCTGTCGTGGCAGCCACCACACTCACTGAGGGGTCTTTCATCAGGGCTCTAGAGAAACATGGGTTTGGAAGATGCCCACACAGATTTCTGGCCCGTGACAGTGAGGACCACAAGGAGCATGGGCTTTTGGAGGTGTCCCTTCAAACCAACTCAGTGGTCTGACTGGGAGAATTGCTTCCATTTTCTGGCTTATTAAAAATAGTAAGGGAATCAAGATGACATAGTGATTTGATGAGCCCTTGAGAAACAGAAAACCCAGGATCACTCCATCCAAAAAAAGATGCAAAGTTCTAAAGATAGGAGAATTCAAACAAATAGGGAGGTTATGCAGCCAAAGGGGCCCTTTATTATCTGTTATGCTCAAAGGTAAATACACTTCCCTGACTGAAAGTATTAAATTTTCAAATGTTCAAGTAATCGTTAACCTAGTTCCGACCGCACAGGTGTCTGCAGCCTGCACCCATCCTGACTCAATGAGAGCCTCAGACAATGAATATGTCTAGTTGCTTTTAACACCCTCCCATGCGGGCTCACTCTGGGTGGTCATCTCTTGCCCCCTCATGCCCCAGAACAATTCTGGTGGTGGGGCTTTATTGGATTTCTCGGAGCATTAGGTTTCTGGGAGCATATAAACTCAAGGACGTTGCCTTTAAATCACTCAGAGCCAGGGAATAAGGCAGAGGACGCTTCAAAAAGAATTAGGAAAAGTTAACAGATCAAAAGAACAGTCCTGTCACATAAGCTACTTCCTTTTTCAAAAACATGTATTAGGAGCACAGCAGTTAAAACTCTGATCGGTCACGAAAATGAGCCCTAGCCCTCCGGCTGAGGGGCTGAGATGCATTAGGCACCACCTAAAAGAAATTTCTCAGTGATTAAGCTCAGTGTCTGCAGAAACACACAAACACACACACGGAAAAACAAGGCCCACCCTGGGCTCTCCTTCCCCAGGTAAGTCCCTGGTGTCCTTTCCTTCTGTGTCCACACAGGAAGTTGGTTCAGGGCTGCTGGAATGTTATTAGCTGCTAAGAACATCTTAGAAGGCTGAGTTGAAAAGCCCCCATACCTCTCTACAATGCTGATCTTCCATTCTTTGCAAATTATAGGGCAGACAGCTTAATCAACAAGAAGTGTGTGCTTCAGAATCCCGCAACTACTACTGAGCAGAACATTCGAGGCTAAAGAAAAAACTCCCTTGTTTGCCTCAAAGTGGATGTTTATGGCAGTGTAGGTTTGCAGCCCAGGTAAAATGCATCTCTACTAAGATCTTTCATAGAAGATAGTCACTGTGGATCTGTTTGATCTAGAGCAGGCCTCTTCGTTCCCTTTCTGTACAAATGGAGAACAAAGAACTGGGGGCATCTCACCAAACAGGTCCCAACAGCAAGATAGCTGTTCTCCAGAAAGTAGTCTTGTTTTTATTTTTAGTTGGCTTTTTCTCTTAATGTATTTATCCCCCACATCTGTTACAGTTCAATAAAATGAGAATGGAGTGATAGTTTTTTTTTTTTTTAACCACGATTCCGTTGGCAAAGCAGATAGATCCATAATTACATGGAGACACATGTATTCGTTTTCTAGGGCTGCAGTCACAAATTACCACAAACTGGGTGGTTTAAAAGCCACAGAAATGTATTTTTTCACAGTTCTGGAGGTTAGAAGTCTGAAATCAAGGTGTCAGCAGCAGGGGTTCTTTCTCAGGGCTCTGAAGGAAAGTTGCCCCATGCCCAGCTCCTGGATTCTGGTGGTGGCTGGCAATCCCTGGCGTTCCTTGGCTTACAGCTCTGTCCCTCCAATATACGCCTCTGCAGACACATGGCACTCTCCCTGTGTGTCTCTGAGTCCCCGTGTCTCCACATGGCCTTCTTATAAGGACACCACTCATTGGATTTAGGACTCACCCAAATCCTCCACAATGTCATCTTAACCTGATTACAGACCCTATTTCCAAATCAGGTCCCATCCGCAGGGGCCAGGGGTTAGGACTTCAACACATATTTTTGAGGGGACACAATTCAGATCATGACAACATACATGCAATAATTAAAGAGGAAAACCACAGGGCCTCGCCTGGGAGATGAGGACACTCTGAGCCTGTGAAGGAGGAAGAAGTAAAGGACTGTCCCAGGGGCTGGGCACTGAGAAGGAGGCCTCAGGAAGTCATCATTGCGTTCCGTGAGGTATTCCCACCGGCAGAGTTCGGGCTTGACTGTGGTAGAGGTGAAATTGTGAAGAGAGAGGAAAAGATAACAGTGAAATCCTGGCAGACTAAACTAAAAAGTGGAGTGGAAGTGTGCAGGTTGAAGGTGGAGGCTGTGCCCAGCGCGGTGGCTCACTCCTGTAATCCCAGCACTTCGGGAGGCTGAGGCGGGCAGATCAGCTGAGGTTGGGAGTTCGAGACCAGCCTGACCAGCATGGGGAAACCCTGTCTCTACTAAAAATACAAAATTAGCCGGGCGTGGGGGATCATGCCTGTAAACCCGGCTACTCTGGAGGCTGAGGCAGGAGAATCGCTTGAACCTAGGAGGTGGAGGTTGCATTGAGCTGAGATCATGCCATTGCACTCCAGCCTGGGCAACAAGAGCGAAACTCCATCTCAAAAATAAAAATAAAAATAAAAATGAAGGTGGAGGCTGAAGCACAGGCGGCTCTGCCCATGAATGCTGCCTCTCTGCTCCTCTTGAAGCTCAGTGCTGTGGGCACCTTCTTGCAATCATGTGTAAGTGTACCCTGCCTAAAAGGGTAGACTGAAATGATACAACTTCCTTTGTTATTGTTGTTCTACCCTTTCCTGAGAGATTGAAATGGACAGATCCCCATCAAGTCTCTATGTTTCCCTTCTGATGATTTTCTTCCCTCGCATCCAAATACTAGAAGTTATTTCATGTTTTATTCTCCCCTCAATCACCTATCACCTCAGAAGCCACAGCTTGCCTGTCCAATCTCATCCACTTTCCATGATGATGATGGCATCACTGGTTCTCCCGGAAATTGATCTTTAAGATGGTACTTGCTTTATCATACCCAATAATTCACTTTTCCTCTTGTTTGTGGTACATAGAGAAAAAAGCATCTTCCAATTTTGTAGTTTTCAAACTATGCTCTTGCTGAAGAGCCCTTTGTTCAAAGAAATGCTTATGTGGAAACCCAACTAAGTTCACATATGTGAAGCTGCTGTGGTTGAAGACATACCTGGGAAATGGGGAGCCCTGCCCACCTGGCCAATCTCCACACCCCTCATGCTTGGCAGCCCCTGGGCAGGCTCTGTTGGGCCCAAGTTAGTGGATTCGAGGTGCCCATATTTTAATAATTCATCTTTATATTATGGCACCTAGATTTCACATTACAATGTTCTGGGATCTGCCTGCTATTTACTTATTTAATTTTAAAAAAACCATCAGTTATCTTGTTTTTCCCAAGAAATTTAAACAGTTTCCCAAGAATTGTCATATGTCAGCCTGTGTTCTGCCCTCTTCTCCCTTGGGGTCTGCCGTCTAACTTTCCTCAAGGCTCTGATGGAATCCAGTTCTGTTTGGACGCTCCTCTAAAACTCACCACACGTCTAATTTCAGTACAATTAACAAAATTTGTAAGTTCTTTTCATTTCTTGACTGGAGATAAGGACTGAAAATTAAGTCAATTAGTAGAGAAGATAATGTATACTACAAGAAAAATGAGACCCATCACCATAAAAACTGATATAACAGTTAGACTTTGGAAAACTCCCAACTTTCCAGAGAAATCCACCACGGAAATATGAAGGATCAAATGCTTTTCATGGAAACACCTTGAAAACAAGCTTCCTATCATAAGACTAAAAAGAAGTTGATGCAACAGGGTCTTTGACGTAAAAGTTAACAATGGAACTCATTAAGAACTGATACAAACAATACACTACTGTGACTTAGTAAAAATGTGGTTCCCCGTGAAGGTTACCATTGAGAATGAACAAATTAAAGTTCTGTCTTTATTAAACTCCTTGCTGATGAAGGCCATTTCCCTTGGCCTTTCTCTACCCCTAAATTCCAAGAACAAATGAAAAACGAAAAAGCAGCAACTCTATACTCCCATGAAATTTTACCTAAGGACAGGCTTTAATACTACTGAGAAAGTGTGGGATTTCTGTTTCTTTACAGCACTATTTTGTCACCTTTTATAAAAACCCAGACAGGAATGCCCCTTTGCAATATTTTCCCACTAAACAGTTTTTCTATATAAATATCCAGGACCACAAATCCCCGGAAATCACTACAGTGCAACTTTCATTTACTTCTTATTCGTACAGGGGCATTCACCCAAAGAACCTTTTGTGCAAAGGGTAATAGCAAAAGAAGTATCTTTCCAATGCCTAGAATGGGAGAGGAGGTTCTTCTTTCTCACCCCACCCTGGCACTACATCTGTGAGAAGGTGTGCACCAAGTCACCTGCATTCTTGACAGGCAGACAGGGCATTGATTACCCAGACATGGCGCCTCCCTTGCTTCTAGTGAGGTCACCCGGGTCTTCCCTGCCCTGTCTAAAAATCACAGTTGGCTTTGCGATGCTTGACAGATTGTTTGGGTGCCTGTGGAGACAAAGCTAACTTTCACTGTACTGTAGTGGGCCTGATACAATAACTGGAGGCTGTTGGGTGTTTTCTTCTGATTCAGCCTTTCTTAGGAAGCTCTTGAGGGTCTGATTCAACCACTTGAGCTACAAACAACCACTATGGGAGGAAGAGGTAAAGGGGAGGAGAGAGACACCCATACTTGAGGGCGTTTGTGATTCTCTTTAAGCACCCGCAGGCCTCTGCCTGTGACTGTGGTACAGGCCTTGGCAAGGAACCAACCAAGTCTACGGGAAAAATAACGTCTGGAAGAATGTCTTGTCATACTCTTTTCTCTTTAATGGCTTGGTGAGCCTTTTCACCAGGCGCAGCTTCTGTTGTGAACACTCCGCTGGTTAAAAAATCCCCTGGCCACACTTTCTCTGAGATCCCTAAAGAAGGCTGGAGGAATATTCGGGCACAGTTATTTCAAAATGATACAGCAAAGGAAAGAAGAAATAATACAAAATCTGGAATCTGGAGTTTGTGTGCAAGAAGGTTAAACACATTGGGAAAAAGTAAAGTTCAAGTTGTCACTGTTCTGCCTCCTAAACAGCCTTGCTGCTTTTTGGCTGGGGGTTTCCTCACTCTTCTGCACTTTGTCTCTCAGACTGTTTCGAACCTAGCCTCTAACTGAAGACCCATCTTGTTATTCATTTTTCTATTTTTAATTAGAGGAACACAGTGTCATGAAAAAAATTAACTTTCATCTCCAGACTTGAGAAAAGCCAAGAATTCAGACCTCCAATCAAAAAAGCTTCCTGAGTACCAGCACTCATTCATGCTGGTTTTGTATCTGATGCAGTTTTCATTCAATTTGAAGCTCAATGGGTATGAAACCCAATGAAATGAACCAAGAGAAGGACATCGTCCAAACATGTTGAAGCACTTGTGGGTGATTGGTCGGGCCTTTGTGTTCTGTGGCTCCTTTGAGAAGCCTCTGTCTCAGGCAGGCTCCAAACTGCCAACTCAACCAAGCAAATAATAATTATTCCTAATGGCAATAATAATTATGGAATGCAGTGGCCCCAATATAAGGCTGTTTGTCTGTGGCTTCAGGTGGGGTAGCCAAAGTTTCACACACTCTTTTTATAAAAATCTGTCTATCTCTCTCTCACACACACACACACACACACACACACACACACACCAATTTGCCAAATGAGATTTCGACAAACTCACTCCTCTGGTTCTCTGCAAAGTGCCTGACTACAGAGCTGCGTTAAATAAGTAGCAGCTATCTATTGTGTGTGTGTGTGTGTGTGTGTGTGTGTGTGTGGTGGGGGGGGATTGGGACAAATCTAGCAGTTGACACCACATGCCCCCCCCACACACACAGACACCCCTCATTTTCCTTTTAGTTAAAAGTCTTCAACTTTCTCCAATTCCAGACTTTTATTTCATCAGATTTTTATTTGGGTGTACCTGGTCTGTAAAATTCATCAGTCACCTCTAACAGCATGAAGCTTAGTTGAATTATTTTAAATTAATTCTTTCAATGTTTTAGAAAGTCTATGATTTGGAGTAGGCATCTATAGGTTGCCTTTTGTTTAGTTTTGGCATTTAAATATACACTGACTCAACATGGGGCTTTGGAAGGACTTTAGAAGTAGACTGGTTTCACTGAGTTTGCAGATTCATCCAGTAGGCTTCCCTCCCACAACCCAAACAATACTGGAATGGAATCAGCTACTACCTCATTTACCTTCTCTTTAATCTAGTACCTTACTGCTTATCTCTTTAAATATGCAATTTGAGCAAGACTCTTGAGAAAAATGAGATGAAGTGACTTGCTAAGCAGAGATCCCTGAGAGTCGGTCAAATGCTTAGCCTCCTGCCCCTATAGATTCTAAGAATGTCATTGCTCATCTGACAAGTGTTCAATGGCTCAGTGATTCGGGGATGGGTATTTGCTCTTCCAGGTTCCAGTTATCATTATGATTATTCATGTAGAAAATGTTCATGCATTCCATAGACTAAAAATAATACATTGGAGGTCAGCTGTAAAGTGCTGTGTGTTTGGCTTGTGAATTACCATCGCTGGACCAAGATATGATGGGCATGTGGTTATTCAGGAAGTCATTTCTAGCATTTCAAAGATGTTTGGGGCCATCTGTTCTCTGCAAAGTTCTGTGACCCTGCAAAAGCAAACCAAGCACATTCCATCATGTCGCTACCCAATGCTCACAAGGGTCCTATCATTTTACAGACTTTACTGGCCTAATCATCAGCCAAAATGCACTTTGCCAAAGGGGGGAAAACTATAAAACTCCAAATTCCTTGAAATGTGTCTGGTACCATTAAGAATGTTTATTACACTACAGGAACTTTTAGTTGATATTTGCCAAAAGCACAACATACCTGGCAAATGGATTACTAGACTACCTGCTAAATGTGAATGAATGCGTTTTGTAGAATTCTTCTTCAGCAGTCTATGTCAGCCAAGTAGTGTTGTTGTAGGGTGTGAGCCATGATAAGGAAACACACTTGTTCCTAAGAGCTTGTTTCAGAATTCCTGGGAATTTGAGCTACGAGAAAGCATTTATTAGACAACCTAGTTTCATTCTTTCTTTTTACAAGATGGAAAAGTCAGGCCCCCAGCAAGGTAAAGAAGCCTGTTCAAAGTCTAGAGCTCATGCATGGTACAGTCAGAGTCACCAGCCTTGGCTTTCTATCCCTAGAGCAATGATGTTGCACTGCCTCATTGAAATAGGATTCCATCTGTATATACCAGAATCTTAATATCAAGGATTCCCTTTACATTCAAAATTTGAGATCAAATTGGATGTTTATGTGTTATTCTGATTCAATCAAAGGTAAAATGCTAATGGTGTTTATGTAATCTTTAAATCTTCATTAGAAAGGATATAAAAGATGATTGTAGAGAAAATTTATTTGGTGAAACATAAATGAAAAATAGATAGTAAAGAAGCTGTTGAATGAGCTATCTTTTGAATCTCAAAGTATCTGATTACATGAATATATCATACATGCAAAGGGCATCATAGGCTATCTCCAAATTTCTAGATTAATGCTTCTTTTTTAATTCAGAATCTATCAAACAGTTCAGACAAGAGTTATTTACATTTTAGGAGACATATAGTATTATAGAATATAAAAGCTCCAAATATCTGAAATGCCCGCAGGGACACCGCCCTATTACTTGGACGTGTTCAATCTTCAAAAAAGCAAAGTGTACTTCCAGTTCCAAAGGACCAGCTCTGAATAACCAGGTTCAATTCAAATTTCTCCTAACATGTTCAGTTCACACAGGGCACTGCACATACTAATCATTTTCCCATGTTAATTCTCTTTTTGATATTCTTCAATAAATGGTTATATTCAGTCATGGGACTCTCTCTAAACACCACAAGCCATGTGAACCTGCTAGGTTTTCATTCTTGCTTCTGGATTTGTAAACAGGAAATACTGAGCCAATCTTGATGTAGGAACTATGACAAGTACAGAAAAGAACAGCTAATTTTTTCAGTTTGCGTTATGGGAGACTACATACTCTCATTCCCAAATATTCACTCACATGGCACCTTATCCAAGGCTTACACAGAGGAAGACACTAACCAGTGATATGAGCTAAAGCTGTGTTTCAGATCTTCCACAAAATAATTCCCCAAATAATAATAATTCTAGAATACAAGACAGTGGACTGCATTTTCCCATAGAACTGTCTCTGGCAAAACCATCATCCAGATCTCTTGCGTTGGACTTGTTTTACATGTTTACTATTTTAGTTGTTTTTCTAGTTAAAGCTCCGAAAATAAGCCACTGTTAGCAGAGTGAGAATAAAAGAACAATTTCCTGATAAGATTACTTCAAGAGAGGAAGCTATACCTAGTCACACACGCAGCACTGAGTCCCCAGAGAAGTTACCTTACCAAGTAGTTTACAAAATTAAATTCATTATGAAAATAATTAACATTTTAGTGCTGAAAAGAACTTCAAGAATTTTCTAGTGGTACCCCACCCCCCAATTTTAAAGGTGAAAAAACTTAAACCTGGGAAAGTTAAGTTTCTTGGGAACTGTGGGATAGTGCATGGAGTAGGTGGTCTGGATTCGAGTTCTGGCTCTGGCCATTATCACTATGACCTGGGGCAAGTCACTTAATCTCTGAACCTTACTTTACTCAACTGCAAAATGGGTGTATTAATTCCTGGGTAACAGAATCATGCATGCCAAACTAGTAGAGATGTGCCTTGTAAACAGCACCTGACAAAGAGAAGAGGTTGCTGTTATTCACCTAGGAGTTGAGCCTAGAAGTCAAGTGTCTCTGACTTCATATGTTAGGACCCCTCCCTTTTACTGCCGTGGGCTTCTCTTCCCAAACCCTATTCTGTTCTCACTCTCTGGGCTATGTGAACATATCTAGGAGGTCAGATAATCTAGAGCTTCTGCCAAACTTGGCTCCTGGAAGAAAACAACCAAAAGAGAGAATAAATTTGAGACAGAAAAGAGGCAGTGAATGAGAATTCTGGAGCTGAGACTGACTCAATTAATTGGCTAACCCCTTTATATGTAGGTAAAGGAAACCAGGCCTGGGGAAGCTGAGCGCTTAGCCAAGGTGGCAAATGTTTTAAATGGCAGAGCCTGAATGTCTAAAATCCATGAACTCTGAACCCATGACAATGCTTTTCCTTGACTCCCCTCTGACTTGCCATGGTTTTGCTCCAAGCAAGCTCTTGTATTCCAGGCATATCTTTTCAATATGCTGCACAAAAGAACAAATGTCTAGATTTACTGTAAGCACAGAAAGAATGATTCCAGGCTGGTTGCTGTAGAAGTAGTCCCTCATTTGTGCCTATCTTTTCCAAAAATAGGAGGGAGGAAATGCACACTGAGACACTTACATGGAAGCTTCAGGAACTCTGAGGGCCAGGTTCTGTGTAGAAGTTCCAGAAATGAAGTCTTCCTCCAAGAAAAGCTCACAGGCAAAGCCAACTGTCCCCTCAGGAAATGGAACAAATCTGGAAGTTGAATTGCATTTGGGCAGGGAATAGTGGTCTTCCTGCAAGCTAAGAAGCCAAATATAGAGCAACCAAATGTTGGAGACAGGGCCATCACTTCTCTGTGATGCTATAGTTTTCTTACACATGAGGGGATGAAGTGTTTGACACTGTAAACAGATAGACTGAGCATTAGCTAACTCCTGTAGATGATTCTGCCAGTCTCAGGCACAGTCATGGGTCTTCCACGGCACTGGTATTGCCACGGTCAGGAGCATGGGGAAACATGTGCTTTTGAGTCCAATAGACCCATATTCAAAACTCTGTTTATCTCCCTGGCTGGGTGACTTTGGACAAGTTACTTTTCTTCTTGGAGCAATAATATTGGGGTAAATAACAGCTACCTCTCTGAGCTATTGAAGAATTACAGGAAATAACATGCAAAGCTAGCTCAATGCCTGACACGTAGTAGATCCTGAATAAATATTAGCTTCCTTTCTCTTCTTCAGTGTCAGTATCAAGGCCCTTTCTAACGAAGGGCTTGAGCCATTGGGGAGTTACCTCTGATTTTCTCTCCCGAGTAGAGCAGGCTTGCTGTGTTCCAGGTGGGAAGCTGAGATGACACTAAGACACAATGCTTGCCTGAAGAATCAGAGGCAAGGACCAGATTCGAAGACGAGAGCTGGGGTATTTTTCTGCCTCTCAGAATACCCAGCCATTTGCTCCCATGTTCTGGCTCTACCCCCTTCATCTGACCACAATACCATGTGGTGTTACAACTTTTGAATGTTAAGAAACATTATATTTCCTCAAGTATCAGTACTTTATGTTTCGTTCCACACATAAAACCCCGTGAGTGGAAGGCTGCCGGCCCCCTTGTCAGAGGTAATTTCTCAAGGCTCTGCATGGGATTTAACGGGAGCCATATGGTTAAGTCTGTCAACCCTCCCAGAAAGCATCCCCCAGAAGGGCCCTCGTAAATGTTCTCGGGGCTGTGAAAGATACAGCAACTTTCCAACAATAAAGCTATGTTCATAGCCGTGATATTCAGCAAAACACAAAGCAGGAAATAATGACTTCTGGTCTGCATTACTCAAAGGGGCTTCAAGTTGTCCTGGCTAAGGGCTGAGGACCAGTGACAAGCCGGGACCTGCTGCCCCGCTGTCTCCAGCAGGAAGGAGGCTGGCCTGAATATCCCCAGCATTAGCCTGTGGTAGATAGCGACAGTCTTACTCATGCTCACTTTGGTTTGAGGAGCTTTAGGAAGCTCTTAAAAATAGATTCATACGCATATGCATTGACAGGGCAAACACATTCTTAACCTGTAAGCTGCTTTGTCATTTAGGTCTTCTTTAAGCCATGACCTTCAGTGATGGCATCATTTACCCACTTCTCTACTGTTCTTTCCCCACCCCCAGCAACAATGACACAAAACCCTCAAATGTATTAACATTCCCATCTTGAGGGAACACTGGGCAGGAACGTGAACTCACACAGCAAAGCCACATGACTCGTAGCATTGCTTCTGCCACCAACAAATTTTGAGATGTAATCAGCTTTTCTTTTTATTATTATTTTTCTTTGTTTGCTTGTTTGTTTTCCTCAGCCATGTCCATTGAACTACATCTAATATTCTGCATGACACATAGCATCTGGGATTGCAAAGAGAAAAGGGATAAAGAGGCACAGAAAAGGTAAGAGGAGGTACAATTTATAAGTCTTGGCACCTTTTCATCTTTACATAAAACAAGATTTTCTTCTATGATATTTTATATAAATTTCTGGCTAAGTTTTATGTCTCTGTTGTCTAGCTACAGCCCCATGCAAATAGGGTTTATAACCAAATGCCTAAGTTACGCATCATGTGGAAATATATGTTCCAGGATTAAAATTGGTGTAAAATCAGGGAGGGTTTTTTTACGTAAATGTCTTCATATATGCATTCTGTTGAACATATTTCTGAGTTTCCTGATGCAGCTGGCCAATTCATTCTCTTAACCAGAATACTCCACATTTGTATATTCTAATGTTAGATATATTTGGCCAGTGCCCTACAAAGAAGTAAAAGGTAAGAAAAAAATATGTAGAATATTTTGGAAGCGTCTCCCATAACCCGTCAGAGCTCTGTACTGATATCCATTCTTGTAGAACTCCAAATTCCATATTATCTTCATTGCTCTCCTGAAGAATTACTGAGTGTAAATTATATACTATCACTTATCCATAAAGAAGAATCAACTTAGTTAAGAAAGCTGGGATCTATTAAGATTATAGCCATCTACTCAACGGATTATTGACTCCTACAAAAATGTCTTAGATGATAAGAAACAAAGAGACAGAGAGAGTGTGTTAACTTCCAGTAGTGCTACCTACCCTTCTGCCATTTTCCCAGGCTTTGCTGACTTGATCCTGAATTAATGAGCCTGTTACATGATAGCTAATAAAAATGACTGGAGGAGAGATACTGTTTGGATTCTGCCACATATTTGGTTCAAGGCTGGATCGATTTTATCTCTATTTAATACATGCTTGTTTTCTGTCTCACTTGTCTTCCCCACAGCCCATGGCTCACTCTTTTTTTCCATCTGGGAAACTTATCTCTGAAAACGCTACCATCAATCAGCCAAAGACACTCTTCCCGGCAGAGCGTCTGCCAGTTTGACTAAGCACAAGTAGTCACTAGTTTGGGGATGCCTCCCACACTCTCCATAGCTGTGTGTTTTTCTAGTCTGCCCAACCACACAAGAGCAATTTGAGATATTTATATTTACCTCTGGTTTCTATTGAGGTAATGGCACTACTTTCACAGAATTGAGCGCAGGGCATGGTATGGATTGCTGTGGTATGGAATGGAAGTTGCACGTGTTGTTTGTCTACTTCCTTTTAACATTACTTCTTTGGATTTTTGCATTTGCACTCATTTTGGTCTGGTTTGGCTCAGTGCCTGTTCAAAAAGCATGAAAATCAAATGCTTATGAGGATGCCTACCCTTTGTCCCCAAAGTCCTCCCTGATAACTGGCACTACTCCCATTTTCAAGTCCTTTATGTTGATAGCTCTCTCAATACATTCAAGCCTCCAAGCTTAAATTTTGTACTGTGAAAAGAGGGAGACAGAGAAGAGCGAAAACTTGGGGTTGCCTGCAGCAGCCAAGCACTGATAGAAGGGAAGGGAAGAGGGGGGAGCAGGAGCCAGGTGGCCCCTTCTCCCACAAAGTCTCAGCCATGAACACACCCGCTGGCCGCAGCACAAGAGCACTATGCGTGGGCACAGGTGGGTCCCAGCCTTTCTGGCTGGATGCAGCTTAAGCACTGAGCCTGAATGAAGACTTTCATTGCTGTTTGCTGTTTTTCTTGGCCAGTAGCCATGGCAAACATTTGCAGGTGGCTTGGCCAGATTTTGACACTTAAATATTTGAGGTTGTGATAAAAATCAGAATATTACTACAATATGGTTCTGTGCAGCCTCAAAAAAAATAAAGTAAAAAAAAAGCTATCTGCAATTTCAAATGCTCATTTAAAGACACAGTCTCCAGAGGGAACTCGTGTTTTCAAATAAGTACTCATTTCCTCTTTCCTGAGAGAAATAAAAGAGTCAACCGTCCCCAAATGTTACCACCTAGAGTTTCATACTGAATCCACTGGTGAGATGGGTTGGGTTATTTCTTGCTGAGTCTCCAGGATCATCCGGGCAAGGTTTTGGATGGAGAAAAATGGAAACGACAAGATGTGTGGGTTTGAATCAACATGGCAAACACACCAGGGAGGAATCTGAATAAAAGAAATAGCCTCCCTCGGGCTTGGCAATGAGACAGAGTCCTAAAAGTGACAATTATCTCCTAGAACACACCAGGAGCGACACACAACACCCCAGGCTGGAGAATAAATGGGAAGATGGAGTGTGTCCAAAAGGCGTCCATACCACAGAAACACCCGCCTCCATCCAGGCATGGTGACACAGCCTACAAATGTCACCCAAATGTACAGTCCTGGGCCAGCTGGGTAAATTATCAACAGAGTCAGCACTCATCTTAAACTTTATTGCTAGCCCTCAAAAGACTGTTTCATAAAGACCAGCTTTGTGCTAACAATGGCTGAATACTAAGGGCCTCCAAAAGGGTAGTTGGTGGGGGGTGGCAGGGAGAGGGAGGCAGGAGAACTCCAGGGGGGAAGGAATGCTGTAAAACTGCTAGTAAACTCTAGCACATTTTATGTTTTTTCCCCTTGAAAGAAAAATAAAATAATTATAATTAGCTGGCATAACTGTGAATTGTCTGCTGAAAGCCAAGCCACTTGAGAGAAGTCCCTGGAGATTTAGATGCTGTCTTTAATGAATCTACTCCACCCTCTTAGCACTCTATGGGTTCTTGATTTAGATAGCAGCAACATTTGCTCTCATGGTCATTTGAGAAGAAAAGAAATCTTTAGCAGAGACACTTACCAACCTAGCATTGACTCCTTTCAACAAAGCCGAGCATTCGAAGGGCCAGGTTAATGTTCTGTTTCTTGAATAGAAAACCAAACGCACCCACAGCAAACTCACAAAATGGTCATTACCCATTACCCATTACTCTCATTTCTTAAGGTGGGTCTTAACGTATCACAGCCATTCCTGGTAAGTTGAAAATGTGAGACAAGGTGCCCCTTCTGGAATATCCTAGGGAGGAATAAGCCAGTGTTCCCTGCAGGTCTGGAATTCTTATAACACCGAAAAACAAGAGGGAAAAGACCTACTGACAAATTGTGGAGCAGTTTCTAAGTTTTTAATTATCACTTCCAATATTTGACTGAAAATTCAAACAGAATGTTGATGCACATACCAAACACAGCAAGCGCCCCTTCTCATTTTAAACAGAATTCTGGAAGCATAGAGCAGCCAGTTCTCAGCGACCAGCAACAGAACTGTATCACAGCTCTTTGGCTTAAAGTTATTACCTTTTCTTCCTAAGAACCCATGTGCTCTTAAATCTTTTATTTCATCTTTACTCTCATGAGGCTGGAAAGAGCAGACACCATCCTCATTCTGGGGATAAGGAAGCTGGGCCAGAGATTCTGCGTTTCTGAGAAGCTCCCTGGAAATGCCCACGCTGCGGATCCTCAGACCACACTTGGCACATTGCGAGGGGCTAGAGCTAACACAGGATACCCAGAAGGGAAAGCTCTTTCCATCACATGACATGGAGTATCTGGTGTTCAATGACAGGATCTTTCTACCAATTTTTCCTCAATGCCTCAGTATTGACCATTTGCATAAATGAGAGAGAGGGGCCTGCTTTCTTTGCTTTGTCTACTCCAGAAATCAGCATGGACCAATGTAGAGGAAGGAGAGGGCTAATAAGGAGGCAGTAACAGGAAGGAGAGGGCTAGTAAGGAGGCAGTTACAAGAAGGAGAAGCAGGGAAGAATAAGCAGAGGGCGGGACGACTGTGGAAATATGGTGGTCCCCCTTATCCGTGGTTTTGCTTTCTACAGTTTCAGTTAATCGTGGTCCAAAAATATTAAAAGGAAAATTCCAGAAATAAACAATTCACAAGTTTTAAACTGCTCACCATTCTGAGTAGCATGATGAAACTTCATGCTGTCCCAAGCTATGCCCCCCAGGATGTGAATCATCCCTCCTGTCCACCGTGTCCACATTGTGGACACGCCCCACCCAGTAGTCACTTAATAGCTATCTCAGTTATCAGATGGAAAACACATATCACACACAGGGTTTGGTACTATCTGCACTTTCAGGTATCCATTGGGCAGCTTGGAATTTATCTCTCACGGACAGGGAGGGATTGCTGTACACAGAAGATGAGGTGATGAGTGTGGCAGCTCCCAGGAAGGGAAGGGCACACTCTGTTGGAGACAAGGCTGAGCTGGTAGAACTTCCCTCCACCATGTTTGTTCTGCGCACTATACTCTGGTCTCCATAACAACCATGGGTTTTCCCACAGTCATCTTAAAGTTCATAAATCTTGTCTGAAGAAATGATGACACAGAATGACTTGCTCCCCACCCTACCCCTACCACCCAAAGTCCAAGATCAAAACAGCTTCTACCAAGCAGAGACTCCTCCCTTCTCCCATCAAAAGCATCACTCTGAGCTCTAGGCAATATCATGACAGCCAGAAAAACCAACCAATCTGAGCACCAGAAACCAGGAGGAAGTCCAGGACATTTCCTGAGTTCCAGCCAGGACCCAGGGGCAGCCAAGGAGGGCTCCTTACCCGATCTGGCGGTTGGTGGAAGGTGCCTGAGTGATGACAGAGCTGGACTGAGGCGACGGCATGGCTTGCTGAATCACAACGTTGGTGTCATGGTTGGGCAGCCGAGCGCTGCTAAGCTGGTGAGTTCCGGGCCCCGTCATGGCCCCACCAACTGCATTATGCATCGAGATATTCTGCCCAGAGAAGACACAGGGGAAAGGTCAGGAGGAGTCAATGTTTTTATTCTACTCTCAAGCTCTCAAAGGCCAAAACTGGGAATCTAGTCATGTCAACTACATAGAGAGTTATGGCTTCCGGCAAGCCATAGGCCCATTCATCTTGTTATAACATACAGCTACGAGGAGATGAAAAATAACTACTCACCCTTAGAGTAAAGCATGTGAGAAAATGCCTTAAAGTTTCCTTACCACTCTGCTGCCATCCTGATGTGAGGTTTGCATCAGAGATATTTAGTGCCTGCCTTCTCTGACTTGAAGGATGAATATCAGATTTGAAAATGATTTTTGTGGTAAGTGCATAATACTGTGATTTAGTGAATAGTCACTCTGCATCCTGCTTTGCATGACAAGCACACTGGCTTTTTCCCTTTCATTTTTAGTCCTATAAGAGTGCCCAACCATATATATACATTTTTTAAGAAAACGACTACCTTTCCAAATCATAATCTCAGGACTGAGGACACAAGCTCAACAACCTGTGGAATGAGGATGCGTGATTGGAATACATGACAAGACATATGGGATCCAACGATCAGAATAAGAGTTGCCGCTTTCTGCTGTATTTTCATAAAATCCATCTCTCACAATGCATGGAGTAATGGAAACACAGAACAATAATCAAGCGTCTAGTTACTTGTTCCATGTCTTTTCCTCTGGAACATAGGATGTTTGTATTCACAACTCTATCCCGTGGTGCTTGGACCATAGTAGGCATTCCACAGATGTATATTAATAGCATGAATAAACCAGTGAAAGAACATGAGATGTCTGAGTCACTTATAGGACCTAATATCATGTATTTATTTCTGATGCCTTCAAATGAAGGCTTATATGTTTAAAATTCAAAAGTAAGTAAAATATGCGAGATAGGTCTTCATAGAAAAGAAAGTTACTCAGACACCCAGAGAAAATTCACACTGAGCAGAGAAGGCTGATCAACACATTGGGACCGAAAGGTGAGAAAGAAATTTAGAACCCAATAAAGAAAGAGAAAGCGGTGTAGTGCTTATGCCTGTAATGTCAGCACTTTGGGAGGCTGAGGCAGGAGGATCACTTGAGCCCAGGAGTTTGAGGCTGCAGTAAGCCAGGATTACACCTCTACACTCCACATTACAGACAGAGGGACAGAGTGAGACTCTGTCTCTAAAAAAGAAAAAAAAAAAGAAAAGAAAAGAAAGAGAAAGTGCTTGGCCAAACAAAGTAATAGGTAAGGGCAATAAGTAAGTCTTTATAAGTGGCAAGATACAGCTCTTCAGCCTAGAAGGGTGGGGAAATTTAAGAGGTCTATTGGACAATGGGTTGAAGATGGGAGGGAAAAAAATGGAGTGCCACTAGCAATTTACTAAAGAAAAAATATGTATCTGTCTGCGCTTTGGTGTTAGCAAAGAAAAAATAAATGTTACCCAAGAGAACTAGAAGTGGTCCTTTGAAGTTCTTTGGCAAAGAAAAGGATTTCCTGCACTACGTGTTAAACGATGGTGATAACATATACGGTATTTGGGGTGGCTGTGTCCATCACATTGCACCTTTCCCAGGTTTCTGATTTCTAAATCCTGACCACACAGTTTGTCAGGAGTCCAGATGGAAACTGGGCACCTGGCTTAGACTGTGAGCCTACTGTGTCGTTGTGGGACCCCAAAGGCAGGAACAGGCTTATATATACTCACAGTCCAAAGGCTTCTCTTATACACTGGAAAATTTTTCTGATGTGGGAAAACACTATGATTGGGTAAAGTAGGATGAAAGGAAATGGCAATGTGCATTGGTGGCAGTGCAGGAACACACTTTCGTTTTTTTATAGGATCTAGAGATTTAGAGAATTGGACTAAAAATGATTTGTGTTATTTCTTTTGAAACTGAACCTTGACAAACTTATTTCCCTGGGTCTTGAGGAGGTCAGAAACTATAGGTACCATTTAGTCCATTGTTTAAGTTCAAAGACACTTAACATTTTTCATCTTGTTCATAGTCACCTACTCTATCAATAATAGATCCAAGGCACAGAACCATTTTTGACTCTCCTTTTAGAATTATTGATGCTGTACAATTTAATTTTTAAGATCACAATCTTTAAATTCGCAAAGAAAAATATAAGACATATGACTCTCCTTGAATTATCCTGGATGCCTCTTTTCCATCACCCTCTTAGGCAGTTTCCAAGTCCTACAAATTTAACTAAGTGTCCCTCATCTCTTCCAATCTTTCCGTCCATCCTTCCACCAACCTATAACCAACTGCCATCATCTTCTATCCTTGTCTAGACAATGTTCTCCTTCATGCACTCTGGCTTCTTTTCCTCCTTTTTCCCATACTATAGCCACTGTGATCTCAAAATGCAAAAGTGATCACATTACACACAGCATTTGTGAGGTTCCCCTCCCACCCACTCCCCAGAACACACACCCTAAGCCATCGGTTTGGAAGACACTGTCAGCACTCCTTGTATGGCCTCTGAAGTCCGTGTGGGACCCTTCCTACCTCCCAGCTCAACTCACACCACCTCCACTCTTGCTCTATGTGATTCATTCCACATTCTAGATATTTCCTACCCTCGTACTAACCATGCTGCATTCCAGCATCGGGCCTTGTATGCTGCTTTCTAACGCCAATGCCCTTGCCCTGCCTCCACCTTCAGACCTCAGAATCAATCATCATGTAGGCAAACCTTTCCTGCCCACACTCACCGAAGTGATGGGCACCATCTCCTTTTCCTTTACAGTACAGTGGTTTACAATTCTTCTTGATTATTTGATTAATAGCTGTTTCTCCCCTAGACGGTAAGCCCAGTGAGAGAAGAAACTAAATCTGATTTTACTCCCCATTATGTCTCCATTGCCTAGCTTAGTGCCTGATATATCAGAGTGCTCAATAACTATTGAGTGAATGGGTGAACTATAACATTCCTAGAATATTCCATATGATGAAACATTACCTTTTTGTTCCCTGGTCAATTTTCGAGAGTGCTAATGTCCTGTCTGTTCATCTTGCAATCTGCAAGTATGCAATAATGCAGTTTTAGATATTAAGGTATTGTTAAATTACGGTTCAGTTATGGGCTGAGGAAAAAGAGAGGATCAGGATTAAGAAGAAAGCCACAAGCCTTGAATATATAGTAAAAAGTAAAACCTTTTTTAAAATGTTACAGGGGCCAATGAAGGAAGATGCTGAGAGTTGAGCTTCCAATCTTTGAGCACTTTGGCTCAAATGATGACAACCACCATTGTTTACATCCACCATGGAAAAAGACAAAGAAAACTGACTTATGCTGCGGCACAAAGAATAGGTTTAATTTCTTCAGAGTAAAGCATGTTAAATAAGAGAAAGAAGTAATCCCCTCTCCCCCAAAAGTTTAAGAATCTTCTCTGAGAATCACCAAAAAGAATACTAATCACTATCTAGGAATATATCCAACACTCTCCTTCATCAACACTTTAAAGGCATCTCTTCATCTCTGTGATCTCTACCAGAAATGGAAAAAGCTCCTGAAAGACATATTCTAACTCTCCTGTAATCTCTTCTCTACCCAACACACAAAATCTGCAAATTCTCCAGTCTTCTCCAAAACCCAGAGAGTAATTTCAAAACATTTTGGAAAAATAAACAACCCAGCAAAAGCATTATCACTTCACATTAAGAGAAGGCGATTTTTTTTTCTTTAAGCTTTACATAGTAACTCAAACATGAAATTACTTCCTGAGTTCACATTGTCCCAATTATGGGTTCAAAACCTGTCTTCATTGATAAAGAAATAGCGTTTTACCTCTAGATAAATTAAGTCTCCAATTTCAAAAACACAAAGAGTGACTCTATCTTGCTGAGTTATTTCTGATAGTACAGAGGGGTAGATGTGAAGCTGGTGAAACAATGTCACCAAACTAGTGGATGGATGGATGTCAATATGCAGGGAAAGACCAGAGGTGTTCCTCAAAGCTGCTTTTGGCCTTTTCTTCTTCAACATTTTTTATCAACAGTTTGGATGAAGATGTAAAAATCATGCTTGTCAAATCTGCAGTTGACACAAAGTTGGGAGGCATAGCTAATGTTCTGGATAGGAGAATCAGGTTTTACTTGAGCCAACTGTATGATCTGGCCTCCAAAAATGCTAACATAAATCTAGGTTGCTTTAGGAGAAGTGAAACATCCGGATCTAGAGAAGTAATTATTCCATTGTAGAGTGCATTGGATTGGCCACATTTGGCCACCACATTTTAGGGGGAAAATTGACAAATAAGTGTGAATAAAGGCATCCAAAATATATCACAGGAAGAGCAGAAGAATCAGAGAATATTTAGTCTGAAGAGGAGATTTAAAGGGTCATGCTAACTGCTTTAAAATATTTGCAAGATTAGACATAGTCTGTGTTGCTCCAGATGGCATAATTTCTTTTGTTTTTTATTTTCAGACAGAGTCTCGCTCTGTCACCCAGGCTGGAGTACAATGACGCAGTCTCGGTTCACTGCAATCTCTGTCTCCTGGGTTCAAGCGATTCTCCTGCCTCAGCCCCCTGAGTAGCTGGGACTACAGGCACGTGCCACCACACCTGGCTAATTTTTGTATTTTTAGTAGAGATGGGGTTTCACTATGTTGGCCAAGCTGGTCTTGAACTCCTGACCTTTTGATCCACCCACTTCCCAAAGTGCTGGGACTACAGGCATGAACCACGGCACCCAGCCAGAGGGCATAATTTCAAAAATGTAATCATGATGATAAAAGTCAATAATAATTACAATTTGAATACCTACGTTGAAGCAGGCACGATGGTAGATGCTTTATAAACCACATCTCTAGTCTTCCCAATGATCCTTAGAGGTAGGCATTACTATCCTTATTTTAAGATGAGAAAAAGAGTAAAACTTCTCACCATCACCAATACCATGCCACTCACCTCTGGTCACCCTCACTCCTAATGGGGTGATACTTTCAAGGTACAGATATGACCTTCTGTCCGAACAAATTTACCAATATGTAGAGATTTCCAAAGACACAACAAGCTGCCTGTAACATACTGAGCTTCCTGGCACTAGAGTTAAGCCAGGATGAGTGGCCATTTGTCAGCTACGTCACCAAAAGGATTCCTGCCTCAGAAGGGAGATGGCACCAGATGACCTCCAAGGTCTCTTCTATTGCTAAGATTCTCTCATTTATGATACATGGTTCCTGCTTTGGCTCAAATGTTTCCAAATGATTAGTAATGTGTAATAGTGTTGAAAATATACAGGCTTGGGAGTTAAGAGGTCTATTCTAGTCCAGTTTGTCTACCCTTCCTTGTAGCCATGTAACCTAGATGAATCATTCAACCTCGCTGGGCTCAGTAGTCTCATCATTAAAGGAGGGGGCTGGACCACATGGTCTTCATGATCTTTTCCAGCTGTGACACTCCACAAGTCTCTTCCTATGTTATATTTTATGAGACACTAAATATCCAAACAGACTTTTTAGACTCTGATTCATGGACCTACAAACGTTGATTTTTCTTCATAACCATAAGCTTTTGTAGAAGTGAGCCTCCCAAAAATTATAGCTTTCTGCCAAACCCCAAGGGATCATGATTCAAGAAACAGATCTAACAAAAAGTACAATCTCCCAACCACCAAAGATGAAAGCTCCACTTTAAACAAACGATCTTCACCGAAATTTCTCCCTCTTTGATTCACATTTCTCAGCATGTCCTTTGACTTCTTCCTTTCCTCAAGTATCTTGGGATGCTTTGCTCTCCATTCATTATTGTTCTGAGACATAAAGGGTGTGAATGAAATGAGAAGCAGGAGAATAATGAGTCTTGATTGCATACTCCTGAGCTTGAGGTAGAGTGGTAATTGTCTTTCTGCATGCATGGGCTTGGAATACAAAATGCAAAAAAACAATCTGATGCACATAAACATACATCCGTGTTTTTAAAAATAACTATAATTTCAGGGTGTGGTAATGAAGGATGAAGGGAATGGACCACAATTGAAAGTGAAGGTTGGAGCATATAGGCAAAATGATGTTGATTCCTGTAAGGTCTCAAAATGTTATCTGCAAATCTATATTCCATCCAACTGCCACTGTGTAGAGACTTTATGGGATTTTCCATAAAGAGCCAGGGTCATCTTAACTCGCATTTACGAGTTGTGCAATCTTAGAGTTGTCTGCATCTTAATGATGCCTGGGCAGTTATGAAGACTTTCAGAAGTTCCCAGATGTAAACATCCCTGAACTGCATCCAAAAGATATGCAAGACATTCACAGAATAACAAAGGTTCTAACCCTCTGGAAGCTACTAGGCTTTCTGGAGGTATAGAAAAGATGTTAAAGAGCCCTGATTCCTCCATTTGGTGCTCTCAGGAGCTATCTATCAGGACAGGTATTTTTTGGATCTTGCTAAGAGGACAGGCTGCCCCATGACCAAGGGGGTAGTGAGGTATCAGAGGACACATGGAGTAGAGGAGGGCACCAGGGACCATGCAGGCCACCTCTCCCTCCTAGCATTCTCCGCAGCACTGTAACACAGGGCAGGTAAGAAACACACACAAGGTAAGAAACCATCTCAAGTCACCTCTTCAGAAAGGAGAGGAGAGCACAGGGGGGCTATGAAAACTCTAGCCTTGATACACATATTTAAATTCTGCTTTTTCACTAAGAAAATTAGCTAGGCATGGTGGCACACACCTGTGGTCCCAGCTACTTGAGAGACTGAGGCAGGAGGATCACTTGAGCCCAGGAGGTTGGGGCTGCAGTGAGCCGTGATTGCACCACTGCACTCCAGCCTGGGTGACAGAGTGAGACCCTGTCTCGCAGTTAATTCATTCATTCATTTTGCTTTTTCAGTTTGCTACTTAACTCTGACAAATTCCAAGAGGTACCATAGTATAAAAGAAAAACATAAGCACTAGGATGGGCCAGACCTAGGATCAAGTTTGCATCAGCTCCATCATGTCTGGGGCACAAAATTTAAGTTCTCTGAGCCATACCTTTCTCATCTTTAAAATGGAGATAATCATCGAAAGGACAGGATTAGCATCAGAATCATGTGAGATGACGGATGTCCCAGCACAGCGTCTGAAAACAAAAATGTACTTCTTTCCTTTCAGTAAAGTCCAGAACATGAGGCTCAGAGACAAAATGTACAGTCTGGTGGCTGCTCCCCATGACTGATATTAATATTAGTAATATTAATAATGGCTAACACTGATACAGCATTACTGTATGTCAGAAAACTCATTTAACTCTTATCATCAGTCTAGAAGGTAGATATATGGTTACTATACAGTTGAGGACATTGAGGCAAAGAGAGGTTAAGTGACTTGTTCAAAATCACACAGCCAATAAGTGGAAAAGCTCAGCTCTAGGCAGTTTGGCTTCAGACGTCTTAACCAGGCTCATCACCACTAAGCCCTGCTGCTTCTAAGTCTTGTGGTACAAATATTTTTTGTAGAAAGTGACTTGGTAGAAAATAAGGTATGCCTGTTATTCTTACAAATGGGCACTATAAATAAGTGATTAATTAATATTGGTATGTGGTCTGAGAAATATACAACAGTATATCTGGCATACCACTAATTTGGATCAATGTCATCATCACCACTTTTACAGCTGGAAAAACTTGGATATACACCATGAATTCATTTCAAAATGTCTGATTAGTGTCCCTTATCTAAAAGTCATGCTGCATGCATAGGCAGCTCCCCTTTGACTTGAGGGAAGACATCACAGTAGGTAGAGAGGCAGCTTGCACACTGATATAATCATCAGTGGCCTTAGCCCCCTCACCCATTGCCAGAAGCAGACGGCCCCCATAAGTGAGGTTCTAGACTTGAGGCTGTCAGCTCCTGAGCAGCAAGATCTGCCCAGGTTGCTGAGGCTCCCCTCCAATCCCCAGAACTCTGTCATTCTTTCTAATACTGGGTTTGAGGCAATGGAGCTCTGAACCATCCCTGTGAGCATTTTATAGCTATTCATTTAATCTTGTAGTCGAATACTCAAGACAATAAATATCTTCTCAGGTGCCACCCTTGACTGTGAGAAACAGTTTCCAAGTGTCTCTCAAAGAAAGATTCTGCCCCTTCCTGGTCAGTTTCTTAATGCCTTGAATTGTCCATGTTTCTGTTCTCATCTCCCACATTACTGTCTTGGTTGTCTTTGCTAAATATAATCATATGGGTTAAAAGGAGAGAAATAGCTCTACTTTATTCGGGTTACTGGAATCAAGATTGAGCAAATTTCTGTGATTGACGTATCCACCAAAATCTTGGACATTAGAAACTAGTCTCGTGCCATTAAAAATGATGTAATTGGCAGGGCTGGTGGCTCACGCCTGTAATCCCAGCACTTTGGGAGGCCAAGGCAGTCGGATCACCTGAAGTTAGGACTTCAAGACCAGCCTGGCCAACATGGCGAAAACCCATCACTACTAAAAAATACAAAAATTAGCTGGGCATGGTGGTGGGTGCCTGTAATCCCAGCTACTTGGGAGGCTGAGGCAGGGATAAATGCTTGAACCAGGGAGGCAGAAGTTGCAATGAGCTGAGATTGCACCACTGCACTCCAGCCTGGGCAACACAGTGAGACTCCATCTCGAAAAATAAAAATGACATAACTGTTCACTGTTCTTGCAGCAGAAAACATGATGTGTTCACCTGAAAATAACCAGTGCCTGCCTCCATGCTGTGTGCTTGGTAGATAGCAATGGATTCAATTATTCTGCAAGTAAATGAATGATGTCTGATCTTCAGCAAGCTTATAGCTTCTCTGTACTTCAGTTTTCTCAATTGTTAAATAGAGACAACCCTATCTGATAAGGTTTTTGTAAAGATTAAATCAGGTAATACAAGCATAGCATTTAATGCAGTGTTGGATAATTAACTGTCCAATAAACGTTAGCAGCCATTATTCTAATTATCACTATTCTCATCATCATTACTATCAATGCTAACACCAGATAGTATCAGCTAACTACTCCTTGGTCCTCCACCTTATCCCACACACACTTCTTTCAAAGCCCTTAGAACACACTGGTATATATACTATGTTTCAAGTCAGTCTTCCTTCTAGCTCTGAACACTTTGATGATGGGGACAGGGTCTGATTTCCTACCATTGTCCTCAGGGCCTAATACAATGCCCACCACATAGATGTTTGCTGAGTGAATATATAGAACAGTACAATGAGTGCTGTGGAACAAGAGAAAATAAAAAGTCAGCACTCTCCTTACTACAGTTAGCCTCCAGCTTAGAAGGAATATGAAAAGTAGGGAAGAGAAGGGATGAAAAACACATGAATCTGAAAAATACCTTCACACACACACACACACACGCACACACGCACACACACACGCACACGCAGGCACACACACGCACGCACACACGCACACACACACGCACACACACGCACACACACGCACGCACACACGCACGCGCACACACGCACACGCACGCGCGCACGCACACACACGCACGCACGCACGCGCACGCAGGCACACGCACACACACACGCGCACACACACACGCGCGCGCGCGCACACACACACACGCGCACACACACTGTGGAAGCAGAGAAAGATGTGTCACCGAGAGCCAATTATACCATGTTCTGAAGGGCAAAGGGCTGGTCAGCAGGTCTGTGTTTTCATCCAAACTCCACCACTAAACACATGATCCTGCTGAACTTCTCCAGTCTGTCGATTTTGTCTTCATGGTTCCCACATCTGCCTTGCCTCTTCTTGACCATCCCACTAGCTTTAGAGGTCTGTCACCTCCTGTCCTGATCATACAATTGCTTCCTACTGATATAGGAGCCTGGTTCCTGGCTTCCAATCCTTTTAGTCCCTCCCAGAACACTCCAGACCCTGTTCTCCAATTAATTGATGTAATTCAGCACTTTCCTAATGCTACTCTCCAGCTCTGAAACCTGCTATAGCTCCCCATTACCATCAGTAAAAGCCCACACTTAGCCTTGCCTTCAAGACCCTATATTTCCAGCCTCATCTCCTACCACTATCCCCTGTGCAAACCCTAAACTCCAGCCACACTGGTCTATTCATTACGCAACTAGTGACTTCAAATTTTCACCTTCATACCTTTGCCTGTACATGCCCCAGGCCTAGAATTTCCTCTCCTTCTCTCTGCCTAGCTAAATCCTGTCCTCTAAGCAATAAATCTGTTGATTGATCAATCAATGACATTTTCTCAAGTACAAAATGAGGATCATGTACCTTTGCTTCCTTTGACCTACAAAGTAAAGATAAAGCAATGGTTTGAAAAGAGCTTTAGTAACATACATATTATCTTACAGCCCTGCTCTTCTCTGCTCTGACATCCTCTTATTCTTAGAATGATTAGCTTCCTCTCCCCTTTTCAGGTTCATCTTAAACGTCACCTCCCTAACTAAAGGTATTCCACCTGTTATCTTCTACTCAGCACCCCAGTCCTTTCACCTATAGCATGTTTCACAATGTGCGATTGTTATTACTACTATTTCCAGTTCACTGTACAATCAATTCCAGGAAGAAAGGAACACAGCCTCTTGTTTTCTCTTCTATCGCTAGCACCTAGCTCAGTGCCTGGCACAGAACTATATAAATTACCATTGGTTGGATAGATAAATGAACTGTGATTTTTGAGGCGTTGAAATGTGACTAAACAGCAACTGATAGACAATTTCCTCTTGTCTAAGTCAGGCACGTGGTCATCTTAAGCCTATGATCCTAATCTAAAAAGATAACATTGGCTGGGCGTGGTGGCTCACGCCTGTAATCCCAGCTTTTTGGGAGGCTGAGGCGGGCGGATTGCCTGAGCTCAGGAGTTTGCAACCAGCCTGGGCAACATGGTGAAATCCCGTCTCTACTAAAATAC
Source organism: Homo sapiens (assembly GCF_000001405.40). Classification (NCBI taxonomy): domain Eukaryota; kingdom Metazoa; phylum Chordata; class Mammalia; order Primates; family Hominidae; genus Homo; species Homo sapiens. The sequence goes on along the minus strand of NC_000007.14, from coordinate 28,559,487 downwards.
AAAAAATTAGCTGGGTGTGGTGGCACATGCCTGTAATCCCCGCTACTCAGGAGGCTGAGGCAGGAGAATCGCTTAAACCTGGGAGGCAGAGGTTGCAGTGAGCTGAGATCATGCCACTGCACTCCAGCCTGGGTGACAGCCAGACTCCGTCTCAAAAAACAAACAAACAAACAAACAAAAAACCTATATGCTGATTTGAGTTATCCTAAGTCATATCAACACGCAGAGGCCAGCAAGCAGCTTAACAGTCTCCTCAATTTGCCATGTGTCTGGTCAACCAGAGCCACTGATGGAAGTGAGGGCCCTTCCAAGTGACTGGGAAACCGACAGGAAAAACCAAAGCAAAGTGACTAGAAACAAGTGAGGAAAGGAGTCCTGAGGCAGGTGTGGGGCAGATAAACAGATGGCAACAATGACCTTGCCAAGCTCTCACACCTGTGTAGTGTGGGAGACGAAAGGGTATTTAAAATCACGAAAGGGGCGCAGCACATGCAGAGAAATGCTGAGCATTTGCACACTGCAAATCTAGTCTGGCGGTGCAAGAGGCAAATGGCCTATTCTAGAATTACTAAACAAATGTCTCTCCCTTCCTTACCAGAAATTGGCCAAGTTACTAAAAATAAGGACACGTATAAAAGTACCACAAGGATGCTGAAGGGTCTATTTCTTCAGCATTTCAAAGAGACTCCAATGCATACCTACTTAATGACCAGAAATATAAATGTAGCACTCTCTGGAAAGCTGCTAATGATATATTACAGAACTGAGAAGAGACTTGCCTTTGCCTTTCCCTTGCCCAAGCCCCCCTTTCTCAGCTCCTGTTCTCTCCTGGCCAAAAGAGCTGGAGGGTAGGGCTGGCTAAGTTGAAATTGCTTGAAAACTCCCTTGCCTGGAGCATTGGTTGGGCACCTGCATTCTGGAATAGTTGGCAAATTATACTCTCAACATAAAACAGAAATGCTATCTTCAGTGGAAAGGAAAATGTGCTACAAGTTAGACTTCCTCTTCCAAAACAATAGAGAAAAGAGATGCTTGCTGCTTCATTTCACTTCTGGTGGAACCTGTCAGGTAGCTCTTCATGAATGGCCTTGCATTGTAAATTGTCTAGTACTTGCAAATGTAAGTTACTGCTGTGCTGTTCTAATGATCAGTGTTAATTCAGCAGCCTATTTCTACCCTGGGAAGTGGGTGTTTTACTGGGGAATAAGTACCTTTGAACCACCATTACTTCCAACCAAACTTAGTCGTCATTAACAGTATTTCTTTTTTCTTAAAGCAAAAACCAAACTAAGCAATGCAACAGAGAAACTCAGTGAGAGGCTTAGTCTGTCTTATTTTATGACATCTGAATTTAAAGAGATAACATTTTTCTCTTGATCACAGCAAACAAAACAGCATTTGTTATGTAGCACAGGGGATAATACACTGGCCACAACTGGGCATGACAGTGCCCAAAGAAACTTCCAGAAATCCTGTCTGAATATTGAAAGCAAACTTCATCAATTTCTCCTAGCACAACTTGGGTTCTCTGGATCCTTAGGGGTCCCTGGTGCAATAGGAGTCACTGAGGTAGTTTTCATTTTCACAGTTCCCGTAAGGTGCTCCAGAAACCTGCATGCTATAACCTATTACCACTGTGATTTCATTTCCTGCTACTCTACCCCATCACTCTGTTGTTGCAGACTCACAAGGACCTCCTTGATATTCTGTGAGCACACAGGAGCCTTGGCACCAGCTATTCCCCTAAACTGGAAGGCTTCTTCCCACATATCCCCAGTTCCTTCCCTCATCTCTTCCAAGTGTTTCCTTAAATGTTACCTTCCAATGAGGCTCACATATGAGGCCTGACCACTTGATCAGAAATTACAGCTCTGCCTCCTTGAAACCAATTTCACCCTTATTTAATCTATCCTTTCCCATTCATGACATCCTCCCTCACTTATTCTGGTCCAAAAGCACCAGATCATTTCTGATCCTTATTCTTCAAATAAGAATTAAAAAAAACACACACACAGAAAACCTAATGGTTCTATTTTTTTCTTAACCATCAAGGATCTCTTTTATGATTTCTTTCTCTGGGATCTCATGTCTTTAAAATACTTCTTTAAAAGTCATGAATTCATTTTCGTATATAATCCCCTGCCTTCTGAAGCTATCATATTCCTTAATTTTTAAAATTTCATTTCACTTCATTGTACCGTGAGATTCCACTGTTTCTCAGTATTGTTAAAATTGCACTCAAACAGAAAGAAGGTGATGCTTTAGTCTGAGAAGACTGCATATAAAAGCACAATTTCAATTAGAGAGTTTGACTACTTTAACATCTGGGATCCCAGTAGGAAACAGCTAGTACCTTCAAACTGGGTAATGTGAGGAGCATTTAATAAAGAGACTTTTTGCAAAGGTGGGAACAGATTGTAGGAAAGCCCTGGGGCCAGTTTCAGCAGGGAGCTGTTAGTATCCCTAGGCCTACAAGAGTAAGAGAAGGAAGAAGTTACCAGGACTCAGGAGAGAGGAAGCTGGGGAGAAGTCAGTAAGACCAGGGAAGAAGAGAGAACCATGTGGGGAGAGGGCACGTGGCCAGAGCTGTGGCTCCTGGTCAAAGAAAGCAGCCAACTGAAGGAGCTAGGAGAATAGATGCCCAGTGTCTCCCTGCTTCCTTCCTGGAACCTGCAGTGATGCCTCCATAGCCATATGCCCAAACTAAACAGGAAAACACCAGTTAAAGGTGCTCATTAAGATTGTGTGTACGGGCCAGGCTTTCAGGGCAAGAACAGAGTCAAAAAGGGACAGAATGGGCTTGGATAGGTGATCAGAAAATACCCAGTACAATTATGTGTTCATCAAACTTAGGTTATTTTTATTTTATCACCAGTATATCCATAATACACATGTTCATTAGAGAAAATTTATACAAGAAAAATTAAGTCAGAAGGGTAAAAAATCATCCATCAACCTAACACACAGAAAAATAAACTGGCTTTGCATTGACCCACACACCTAAAAAATCATGATTGGGCTGAAAAAAACAATAGACGGCAGAGCTAAGACGCACCCATCCCATGGTGTGCCCAAGTAACCTGGCTCCACCCCACAAAGATGAGCTCGGGCAAGCGTGGCTCCTCTGAACCCAGTTACACGCCCTGAAAACCAGGTCTCACTTTAAGGCCACAGCTTCCTATCTGTCTACATTCCTCCTGGTGAAACAATCGGGCTTAGAATAAGAACAGCTTTATATGTGGGAGTCACAGAAGATGGAATTTGGCACCTGGTGTTTATGTACCATAAAGCCATTACCGTGCCGAGCTCAACTCTACTTTCTGCCAAAATTACTGAGCAGGAGGAAAGTGAGCACATCTAGAAGCTGCATTTCTCTACCTAAGACAGCCAGGATATATGGGTTGACTCCCTAAGCAGAAGCGCTAATGTCAGTGACATCCGTATTTTTATTGAGGCACTCTCCCTGGCAACCTCTCATTCCTGTGAAAAACCACTAAGTCTGCAGGTCCCTGGTCTTCGGCAACTGGAACATTCTATAACATTCCATTTTAAGTTCATTTTCATTCTATTGTGCTCTACTGATAACTTCAATGTGGAACAAATTTACTGATTCTTTGATAGACTAAGAAATAATATTTCTAAACCTAAACTCTAGATGAGATCTCAGGGGAATCAGGGATTCACATAAGAACAACACCCATATTGCTGGAGCTTTCAGTAAGTGAATTCCTGGACAAAAGGCTTTGTAACTTTCCCTTTGTGATGATGCTTATGTTCTTATGCTAATGATAGTTATGTGTTTGTTTGCCTGTTTTTTTTATTTTGCTCTAAGATCTGTTTTGTAAATATTTGAGTGTTGTCCAGTTACTTTAAAAAAAATCAAATTACAGCCCTATATGTAAAGAAATACGTTTTTCAGATAGATGTCTTTTCACACCTATATAGTTTGCTAGTCACTTTATGAAACAGTTTTCAAACCCTATGGATGGATTTAGAAATTTAAATCTTCCCTAAAAAGTCAAATAGAATCTCAGTACAAAACGCCTTTTTAAAGGTTTATAATCATTGATAAAAGGTATGGTCAGGGCAAAAGATAAACCACAAAGTATTTGAATTTCTTATATTATCTTCACATTTGTGAAGTGGCTTTGCCTACAAGTCAATCATGCAGTTGTACCTAGTATTGATTTCTCTGGGTAGCTAACTACTAATCTCACATCTGCTGGCACAGGAAGAGAGAACAGTTGCCAGCCCTCATGAATGCTTTGTCTTGTATGTTGCTCCATTTATTCTAACATCCTTGCACACCACCATGTTTGATAAAGGTTTAGGTAAACCCATATGCAGGAAGCTTTTTATTTACACACACACACACACAATGCAGCTTATAGATCTATGACAACTGGAAGACCTCTAGTGTGCTGAGTCCTACCACCAGCTGAACAAAACTCCAGTGAAGGCGGAGGAGAGGGGAGGAACACTGAGCCAGAATGGGGTGCTTATGGTCTTTTATCTTAATTTTTGTGACATGATCCAATTATATCTATTCAATAGTGCCCTCTAATTACTAGCAGAGATGAATAATGAAAGATTCTCCTTGTATTCAAGCTCTCCCCAAGTCCGCTTCCCTCCTTGACTCGCTCATGTGAACAGTCTAGATTCACATATAGAGCATACCTAGAGCTTGTGGCACACTTAGCCAAATAAAGGGTCACTTAAAATACTGGAAACGCCCTCCGGGCCTCCAATAAGAGGCTGTGGCCCAGAGCTGACCTTGTGAATAGCAGGGTGGAATGGAAAGGGACCCTGTCCTGCCTCCAGGCACAGTGTCTGTAACCAAATGGGTGCTGCCCAGTAGAGTTACACTTTTAATATGCAAGATTTGATTGTTAGGTTTCAGTGGTAACTTAGGAAAATGAAAAGAAAAAAGCAGATCCATGGAAGTTAAGATAATTATTAACACAGAGGAAGCCAAGGCAGTGAAAAGGAAGGGAGAAGGCTCCACCCCAACAGGAACAGAAACAGGAATTCAGATAGATAAACCCAAAACAGGGGGTCTGGCTTGGATGCAAGCTGGGAGACAGGAAGGAAGAAATTCCAAGTCTGAGGTGAAGATGTCTTTAATGAAACTTGTCAGTACCTGCACCCAGAACTTCAGAGTTGAAATATACCATGGAGAGCCTTGAATCCAACTCCCTGACTTGACAGAGAAGAAGGTGGAGGCCAAAGAGATGGTGTGACCAGACCAGTGGCCCACATCTAAATGGAGGCAAGAGTAGGACTAGAATCTGGATCTCCTGACTACTAATTCAGTGATTTTTTTGTGACGATGGGTGATTTTAGAGAGTGTCATTTCTGCAAAGGGGAAGGAATTACTTTATTTCATGTTCCTATTTGGATCTCCATACACTGGATCAGTAAGGTAATTATTTCACTTTGGGGAAGAGAAAAGCCCAGGGGTCCACTCAAAGGAGGCAGGAGTGAGGGTCAAGTTCAGCAGATATCCATCTGCTGGATATTACTGTTGGAAACTGGAGTGAAGGGAAAGGAATTCTGTTTGATGGACACACTGACCTTAGGGTCCTCTCAACCTCCCATCAGCCAAAGAATCTCTGACCACAGAAGCCTGAGGACATTTTATTCTGGAAAGACATTTCAAGCTTCCCCAAAGCATAGCCCAGTTATAAGGCTGAGTCCCAGTCGGCCACTTAACGTATTTTCCTAAGAACAAACAAGAAAATACAAACAAACAAAATCCAGCAAAGAATCACTTTCATTCTGACAGTTTGTCCTCATACTAAAAGTGCCTAGTACGATTAAGACCATTTCCTCTGTGCACACTGAAATAACGCTCCGATAAAAAGCTTAAACTGCAGTGTGGCTGCAGGGACAGGAAAACAGGACTGCCTCTATGGTTTCATATACAGATTGTGTCACACTTAATGCTGAAATCATAAACTATATATTTTTACCCCCTCCAAGCTGCCTATTGTGTGCATATAAACAGGAACCTGGCAGCATGTCAGGGGTGCAAATTGATTTCCTTTCCCAAATAAAATTTTAAAAAGCAAATAAACAAGGTTATGTTGGCTAATGAAAGATTACATGCCAGGCTGGGGAGAATTCTTTTAAAATGTATTTTCTTGAGCAAAGGCAACACAAGGCATCCATGAAAGGCTCTTTCATAAGCAACATGTTTACACAAAAATGCATTACTTGAAAGTCAGGAAAAGGCCTGGTGCATCTCCCATGATATATTTGGATCATGTTTTATAAAAAATAAATTAGGGGTGGGTAGAAAGTAGGGAGTCCCTGCAGTGCTGGGGAATTTAGAAATTAACTGAAGCTGCATAGAAGTAGGATGAAGTTGTTCTTGTTTAGAGAATGTTATGACCTTAGTGTTTTTATAATTTACCATCAAGACCTAAGTAGCCCACCTTGAAGGTGTATTATTGGCATGAAGAAAGCTGGGAGAGAAAACTGAATTGCGCCCACCACGCTCAGAGACATATGAATGGCTATTCTGGTTGACTATCATCAGTGGAAACATCTGCTGGAGAGTGGCCTATTTCCTAACAGAGATGTTGAGACCAGCTGGAAGCAGTTTTAGTAATCTAATGTGTAAGAAACATTTCCAGGATCATGCCTACCTCGTACTTCATCGCAGATAATTCATTTCAACCTTGTCCTGGGACAAAAGCCATCCCTAGTGGACTGTGACCTCCAGATCAAATCATCCTGTACCATCTCCTTCTTTCTCCATCTTCCCATCTTTAAATTCCTTTCTGCCAGTGAAGCCAGGTAGCATGAACCCTGATGGCACTCTAATGAGTAAAGTCATAAGACAACATGACATGTGGCTGAAAGATGGGGCTAAAGAGCGTCAAGGGGAAGGCTCAAGACTGCCCAGGAGACAGATGAGTTGCTATCTGCTGATGGCCATTTATGAGCAGGAGGCATTTTGCTTGTTGTTTTGAGCCCCCGTGATGTACCCTTCTCTCACAGTTACTGTCCCTCCTCAGGGGATGGGCATGGTGTACCAGAGACCAGAAACATGGGAGGAAAGTCTCCATAGTCTCGGGATGGCCTCGATAATAACAAAAGGAGATAAATCTGCACAGGAAGTGTAACTCAGCAAGCTAGTTAGAAATAAATTGGTGGCTCACTCATGCCTGTAATTCCAGCACTTTTGGAGGCCAAGGCAGGTGGATTGCTCGAGCTCAGGAGTTAAAGACCTGCCTGGGCAACATGGCAAAACCCCGTCTCTACAAAATATACAAAAATTAGCTGGGCATGGTGGCAGGCGCCTGTAATCCCAACTTGGGAGGCTGAAGCAGGAGAATCACTTGAACTGGGAGGCAGAGGTTGCAGTGAGCTGAGATTGCACCATTGCACTCCAGCCTGGGAGACAGAGTGAGATGAAAGAAAGAGAAGAGAGAAGAGAGGAGAGAGAAAAGAGAGAAAGAGAGAGAGAAAAGAGAGAGAGAGAGAAAAGAGAGAAAGAGAGAGAGAAAGAGAGAATAAAAAAGAGAAAGAATAAAAAAGAGAGAAAAAAGAAAGAAAGAAAAAAGAGAAAGAAAAGAAAAGAGAAAGAAAGAAAGAAAAGAAAGAAAGAAAAAGAAAGAAAGAAAAGAAAGAAAGAAAAAGAAAGAAAGAAAGAAAGAAAAATCATAGAGGTGACCCTGAGACCCTGCAGACCCAAAGGTCCTACGCAGGTTTTAGGAGTGTGTGGCATGGCAGGTGTGAGAGCTGGGAGGCCTGAGACAGTGAGTTCTCCTCCCTTGTCCCCTCCCGACTCACCAAGCAACCTTGGTCAGGTCTCGGGACCACTCAGAGCTTTCTTTTTTCCACCACTTTTAAATAGAAGGTAAACACTGTCAGGCTGATGGCTGCAGTGATTAATGGGGTAACATTTGTAAAATGCTAAGAGCTTTCCAGAGCTCAAATGCAAATGCTTTAGACCAAATATTCTGGATAATAGTTAAAACACAAAAAGGGTTAGTCACCAGTTGGCTGAGAATATGAACCCGGGAAGGAATTACAGAGGGGAGGTGTGTTTTGTGAAAGGATTTGGCTAGGGGTGGGCGGACATCAGAGGAAAGGAAAAAGAAGGGGAAGGAAGCTTGGGGACTTGCAAAATCTGAAACACGAACTATTCTGTTTCCAAAAGAAGCCATTAACTTTTAAAACTCTGCACCTTTTTCAACAACACCAAAGATAATTTAATTACAGAAAATGTTTTTCTATACACATAATCCTATAGGGTTTAATCCAATGTATGTGTGAGAGGAGATTATACTGATTTTTTTTTTTTTTCCTATCCCAAGAATATAATACTTGAATCTGTGGGAGATGCCATATACCAATCGGCTTGGCACTGGTAATCATCAACTTCACTTGCCCCTTTTTCTGTGGAAATGGAAGAATCAAATTAATCATTGGCAAATTTGATAACAGATGTGTTTCTCAGCAAATCCACATCAAGTATTCAGAAAGTAATTACCCCCTAAAGCTTGTTGTGTTCCTATGAACATTTGGCATCAACTGAAGCCTTCAGCCGGCGTTGTTTTTATCTGACTTGAAGCTGAAGCCTCGGGGTGATACTCCAAGTGCTGCTTTAGATTATAAAATCTTAACGGCCCCTGGCTTTAGGGCACTGTGTTTATTGATGCTATGTAAGCAATTTACAGTCCCTTAATAGCGCATTCACCACAATGTTACAGTGTTTAACTTGTTAAATTATATTTAGAGCTTCAGGGAAAATTACCTCATTGGCTTCACTAGCATGGGTTATTGATATCACACAGGAGTTAGGCAATATCCACCTGACTGGGGACAGCCCAAGAACATTTTATAGGTGGGAGGCGGAGAAGGTGAGGAAGTAAGGGATGGATGAGGGAGATAGAAGAGGCAGAGATGCAGGGAAAGTAGTCGGGGAAGAGAGAAGAGGCTGAGGAGAGCTCGACCGACATCTTACAGAGTCACTTTTAAACTGTAAAGCAAAGGAATTGGCAATGGTGGCCATTTTGAGTCCAACTTCTCTTTCAGCCCCCTCCACAACCAGGCATTGCTCCATTCCCAATTCCCAATCTCCCTGTCCCTTAGAAGGGTATCCTGCATCTAGGGGTCTGGGAGACAGCACTGACCTCAGCTACTATAACCACTCAACCAATAGGCTTGGTGTTTAGTGTTTAGCTCTTCAGGGCTAAAATATTCCAAGGGAAACTATGAAAACGTTAATAAGAAGAACAAGAAGACAGAGAAGGAGGAGAAGGAGGAAGAGGAGGAAAAGAACAGCAGGAGGGAGAGGAGAAGGAGAAGAAAGAAGAGAAGAGGAGGAGGAAGAGAGGAAGAAGAGGAGTAAGAAAAGGAGGAAGAGGAGAAAGAGGAGGAAGGAGAAGCAGCAAAATCTTTGTCAGACTAAGAGTGCCATAAAGTATGGATAAAATATCTTCGAGCCTGAAGCTTAGTGATGTCATGAGGCTTCTTCAGAAAAGCAGCCAAAGGCCAAGGTATTAAAATCCACTGAAGAGGCTAGAAAACAGGCATGTGAAACCAACCAAGTGGCTGATGTGCTCTAGGGTCTTAGTTCATGTGACATCTGCTGGCTCACAAAGGGCTAAGGGTTTGAAGCAAACCATCAGCAATGACACGCTTTGCAGCATGTAACCTCTAAGAGAAAATAGCATTCTTTTTCCCCCTTATGTAAGCTCTGTATTAGGTTTCTCATGCTCAGGATACTTGATAATAATTAATAACCAAAATAAAACAGGATGTTAAAAAAAAAACAGGCATCCAGTGAAATAAACAACATTTCTCACCAGGTCATTTTGGCCAGCATGATTACTGACAAGGAATTAGAGAAGGAAACAGCAGGCTGTGAACATTTCCAAAGGTAGAAAATTAGAAGAGGGGAAAAATGCTATCCTGAACATAAGCATATAGCTTCCTAAGGAAGTGAAGAACAGCGAGGTGTGTAGGTACTAAATACCAGATGCGATCCCTAGGAGAAATTTCAGTCTTAAGTATAAATCAGAAATTCCCATTCTTTGTAAATTTGACAGATTTGAGTGTTGGACCTAATCATTCATGTTTAATGTGTAGGGTTGCAGTTTCCAAACTGTGTGCTCCAGGATGCTGTACTGAACTCACAGGGATGCCACAGAATATGTTATATTTTGAAGAATACACAGCAGTATTTGACATCTGTTGGACACTGAGAAAACTCAAGATTATCAGCATTTCAACATTAGATCATACTTATATGCTTTTAGATTATTTCACATCTTCACAAAGCTGAATTTTTGGCAATTGCTGTTAAAAGCCAACATCATGCAAAAATAAATGTGGAATGGAAATGAGGGTGGTGGTGTCCAATTCGATTCTAAGATTTGAAAAATTGTGCAGAGCCCAACAGGTACCTACATGTATTCCATTAGGAAGTAATTATGCTTATTTAAGAATGAAATAAGATGATTCCTCCTTAATCTTTTAATATCTGTGTATTATTTATTTCAAATATCTACATAGATGCTTCCATGCTTATTAAGTAGTTTTGACCTAATTATTTAATAAGCAGAATAGTATGGTATTTCTTTTGGCCTAGGCATGCCAGAAGAAAAGTTATTGAAATACTGAGGATGTCTGGAACTGACAAAGTTTGAGAACCTCTGATCTAGGGAAAACTGATACAGAAAATTAATAACGGTAATATTTAACAAATACGTAATTAGAAAAAAACATAATTCGGGCTAATTGGCCCTTAGGACAGCTGGTTGTGTGATTAAAAGAAGAATCTGCTATGTTTTCCAAAGGTCAGTAGAGATTCCAATGGCTTGAAAATTTACTGAGCTAGCATCATGGGAATTTCTATGCTCTGAATTTTGGAAAGTTCCCAACACATATAAGACCTAGAGCCAGATATTTCTGCATGTTTAACTTTCTCCACATTCGTTTGGCCCCATCAATGCCCTAATGCCTAATTATCTTACTATAATTATTCTTTGCTTTTAGGGTGGTACCATGAATGTCATCTGTCACTAACAACGGTCATTTTCTGGGTAAGCCTGAGACAGTTTAACACATTTTAGAAGACATTTCAACTGACAGCTAAGAAAATTACAGAGCTCAGGTCTATTGGAGTTTACAGAAGTTGGGACCCAATATCCCAAAGTCTACTGGGACATCATGCATTTAATTGTAAAAGGTATGGACTAGGAATCTAAAAAGTGATAGAGGAGATGGAGCTGCACGTATTAAAAGTTTCAAGGCACAGAACGTCCCACCAATGGCCCAATGTTTCAGTTGTGAAAAAGACCAAGAGAACAGCATCAAATTCATGGGCCAATTTCAAAGAGTTTAAACTCAAGCTGATGAAAAGCCTACCTGGTCACAAAATTTACCCCACTAAAATTCCAATCAAGAACTAAATGAAGAATGTGTTGAAGTCTTTTGGTGTATAACTGAGGAGTAAAAGAATGGGATGCAAAAGACCCAAGTTCTATTCTTAACTCCAAATAGTTACTTCGATGTTTTCTTCAAAAAGCTGCTTCTCCTGTGCATTCATTTGTGGACAGTAGTTTATTAAGCAAGGTCTGTGTAGCACCCCACTAGGCATTCCAGGAACCCCATAAGAAGTATAAGATATGGTCTTTATCTTCAAGGAGTTGGAAAGGCAAACCTACACACTTCCAAAGCTACATACCGAAAGATGACAATGCGAGAGATGTCATTAGCCTGCCTTCATATAATTGTAAGACAAATAAGTGGTTCAGGGAAGAGTTCAGAGGTGTGATGGTTAATTTTATGAGCCAACTTAGCTAGGCTATGGTGACCAGTTGTTTGGCCAAGCACAAGTCAAGACATTGCTGTGAAGGAATTATTTAGATGTGATTAGCATTTAAACCAGTAGACTTTGAATAAAGCAGATTATCCTTCATAATGTTGGTGGGCCTCATAATGCCTCACTTGGAGGCATTAAGAACAAAGACTGAGGTTTCCCAAAGAAGAAACAACTGCCTCAAGACTGCAACATAGAAACTTTACCTGAGTTTCCAGCCTACTGACTTTCTCTTTTTGGATTTCTATTCATATTTTGTATCCGTGAAGAGATGCTCAAACTTACAGTCAGAGAAATGCAAATTAAAACAAGAAAAACAATGAAAAAATAGAAAGGTGAATAATTACAAGTGTTGGTGCTGATATGGAGATCTAAGAACCCTATATTATTAGTGTAAATTTCTATGGTCATTCTGGAAATTGACCTAGATGAACTCAGGGAAATTAAATACGCATAGACTAAATGTCCCTATATTCTCACACAGGTCGATACAAGAATGGTGATCTTGAAAAAGCATCCCTATAACATTTGTGGGACCCAGGGCAAGAATACACATGGAAGCCCACATCCCACATAACTAAATTATTTAAAGTTACCAATCAAGTAACAAATATATTCTACCTTCAACCTTGACAAATACATACATTCATAATGGCCTGGAAGGCCAGGTTTTAATTAGTTAATTGTAACTCCTTGGGGTCCCTATTCTCTAGTTCTGACCCCCAATACACCCCTATTTTTTTCCCAACCCCAGCTCTATCCACACCAAGAGTGGCCCCATGTAAACACACTTTATAAATGAGGAAGCTGAGGCTTGGACAATTTATTCAAGATCACCAAATAAGTAGCAGAATCTGGGCTTGAATTTAGGTTTCCTGACTCCAAATCCTGCAAAGCTCAGTTATTTTCAGTGAACAAAGTTAACCAGAGAATTGCTCATAAAAATAGTCCTAAAATTGAGCTCTCAAGATGAGGTGGGATAACCCTGGATGATAATCATTGCCATAAATAAATGGCAGCCCACATATACAAGATCTATGCACATCCCTCTCATACGAGCAGGTCTTGGCCACTACACAGGCCAGTGATGCAGTCTGTCCTTACAATACTGGATCCCAACGGGAACCCTCAAATTGTTGGGATTGTAAAATGGTGCCGCCATTTTGAAAAACAGAAAACAATCTGGAGGTTCTACAAAGAGCTAAACATAGAGTTACCACATGACCCAGAAATTCCACTCCTAAGTTTATTCCCAAGAGAAATAAAACTCATGTCCATACAAAAATGTGTACACAGATGTTCCTATCAGCATTATTCATAATAACCAAAAAGTGGAAACAACCCAAATGTCCATTATTGAGGAATGGATAAACAACATGTGGTACATCCATACAATGGAATATTATTTGGCCATTAAAGAGAATGAAATTCTGACACATACTACAACATGGATGAACCTTGACAACATTATGCTAAATAAACAAAACCAGTCACAGCAGATGACATGTAGTATGAGTCCCACTTATATGAAATGTCCAGAATAGGCAAATCCATGGATACAGAAAGTAGATTCTGGTTGCCTAGGACTAAGGGGATGGGGACGGGGAGTGATGCCTATGGGCACTAAGTTTCTTTTGGGGAGGCTGAAAATGTTCCAAGATCGATTGTAGAAATGGATAAATAAAATGGGTACATTCAGATGACGGAATGCTGCAGAGCAGTTAGAAGCAATGAAGAAGTGTGCAACAAAAAGAAATCTTTAAAATGATGTTGCGTGAAAAAAGTAATAGCACAAGAAACGCACAATACCATTCACTTCACACACACACAGCTATGAATTTTACATGGATCCATGCAGAAGAAGAGAATGGGCGTGGAAACTGAAGATAGGAGAAAATAGAGCAAGAGTGGAAATTTTCTCTCATCTGTGATGACAATGATCTCTGATCTGAGAAGTTAGTTTATAGTGTTAATTAATTCAACTCTCTGTACCTGAGGTTTGAAAACAATTTTAATAAAGTAAAGCAGAAGACACTTAAAATATATATACATATGTTTCTTAAAGAAGCGGTAGGTGTGGATGATCTTCTAAGTTTCTGAAAATAGCATGAACAACAAAATGACCCAGATGTAACACCCCTGGAAGAACAAGGAAATGTGTCTGAATCTTTCTCTGTATAGGCTAATGTAATAACTAGGTGAAAAGAAAAGAAATGTACCATAGCTTTGCTTAGAAAGGATAAGGCACTGCCTGCACAATAAGTAGGCAATCAATGAAGTAACTTACACAAATCAATCATTCTGAGAAGTGTCAGTCAAAAGATATGCGATCCCCAAGTTCCAGGAAGAACTTCCAAAAGTAGGGGAAAGAGTAGAAAGGAAAAGGAAAACCTTCTATTCTTTCTCGATTGTTTTCTTTTGTTTGGCTTTGGTTTAGACTTTGGCATGGGCAGTGAAGTGGAATTCTTAGATTTTATTTTTAAGGAAGAAATTTTTCAAAAATGGGAACTTTACTAATTTGAAGAGGGCTGTCTCCAGGGCCATAATATTGATCTAAGCAGTGCTGAAATGAAAACTCCTTCCTGGTGACAGACAAAACACTGCCCTCCAATTCCTTATCTGCCTCTTCCTACCTTCCCCATGGCTAATGCTCCAGGAGAAGGGCTGACCCTGCCAGCCAATTACATTATGATAATTTGTCAGTTACTCAAACTCTGGCAGAGGCATTCACCAAGCAGAGCTGTTCCCAGATTTATATTTTCTCTTGCAGCCTCTGCACACTGACTGGATTAATGGATCTTTCCGTCCCATACTCTCCCATTCCCGCCCTGACACCTCCCACCTCTCCAGCTCCCTTCTCTGTTTCCAGCCCTGGTGATGCTCTGCCATAGGTAGCATCTGCAAAGAGGCAACAGTGTGCTTCCCAAAGGTCAGTTCTACAGGCTCAGTGCTGTGCAGAGGCGAGCCTGGGCATTATCCTGTATGGCTCCTCAGATTGTACTGTTTATCTTAGGAGCCCTGTCCTCTGGAGAAATTTGTTTTTCTAAGAAAATATGTTACTGCCTTAAAAAAAACCATATTGCAAAGTACTAGGCAAGTGTGTCAGCCTGATGAAGCCTCTGTGTTTTATGGAGCACATATCACTTCACAGGAAGTCTAATGGAGCAAAAGTTAAATTTAAAAGATGTGCATACTAGGAAATTTGCAGGAGACTGTTATTATATTAAAAAGAGATGGTGCCAGGGCTTTGGAAGGCAGGTTGGAACACACATTTCAGAATGTGGACTTTTCTTCCAAATTCGGCAATTCATTGACAGCCTCACGTAGCCAGCCTCTCAATACAACATCCAAAGCTCACATATCTCTGGATCAACCAGGATTTACAAAGCCCCGGCCATGTGCCAGGCTGTGAGAGAGAAAATAACAAGCAAATGAAGCAAAATGTAACTATAAAGCAATGAGACCAGCTCCTATAAGTCACATTTCAAAGTCACTTTCATTACATTAGAAGCATGCAATCTATGGGACAACAATAAATGCTAAGTTATAAAAAGACAATAACCATTAAAAAATGAGCCTCCTGTAAGGAAAGTTATTTCATCAGTTATGGTGTAGGAAGAAGCCTCAGAATACTCATAAAACTCACCATTTATCGAGGCAAAAATAATCATCTCATTTAATGCTCATGGCACTCATACGAGATAGATATGATTAACCCCATTTTACAGGGGAGAAAGCTGAGCTCAGATGGGTTAATATGGTGAATCACATATTATGTGACTGGTCCCCAGGCACCTGGTCCAGAGTGCTTCCCTCAACACCATGCCCACTCCCCGTGTGGACTCCGACCAGCCTCACAGGAACGTGGCACTGTGATAACATTTGCAGAATGCCCTGCTGTTATATTAAACACAGAGCATGAAAAAGAATTTTCAAAACAAAAGTTCCATTTTCTTTATTCTCCAGTGGACTGGATTGAGATTTATTCTGATAAGATCTGGCTCATTCAAGCCCATCTTTTCAACCAGAGTCATCCTTAACTCACACTTTTTTTTTTTTTTTTTTTTTTTACCTAAAATGATATTTGAAAGACAGACCTCTAAATGGCTGGTATTGTTATGTACAAAAACTGATGGAAAGCTACTTGTAATGATATGGACAGATGCCTAGGATATATAATTAAGTATTTTAAAAAGACATTGGGCAAACAATCTCATTTGCATAAATCAAAAAGGAGAAGTGGATAGACAAATGGCTAGGCAGGCAAACATAAATGCATAATATTTTTTGTGGAATGCTATAAGTTTTAGTATATGAATACATTTTTTGGAATGATATGAAAGAAACCATTAACAAGGATCACCTGTGGGGGAAGCACTTTGGAAGGCAGAAGGAAAGGAAACTTTACTTTTCATTTTATGCCTTCCTGCACTGTCTGAAAGTTTTCAGTGTGCACACATTGCTTTTATTCTTAAAAAATGGCCAACAGACATTTGTTCCATATAACACAAATAACTAAATTTCAGATGTTCAAGAGGAGAGAGAAAAGCAAGTATTGAGGCTCATAGGATCATGTATGAAAAACACTCTGTAAACTTAAAAAAAAAGTTATATGAGTATAAGGTATGCATGATGATGATGATCAGGGCAATTATGATGATGAGGAAAATAAAAATCAGGAAAAGCAGGGTGACGGAGAACAAAGACCCAAAATCAGGGTGCAGCTTGGAGACCACTGTGGAACGGGAACAGCCAGATGGCATCAGCTGATTTGTTTTTAACAAGATTTAACATTAAGTAATGTACCTCCCAAAATGTACACCCAGTAAATTAAGGCTGTAATTCCATCTTGGTGTTATGGTGACATGAAAATCCACTCAAGCTTTTCTGTCAGGGTTTATGAAGTTATCAAAGCCCCTTGATGGAATTACAACACTATTATGTACAGCTGGAGGGACATTACTCCTTATCTTAACAGCAGTTAAAAGCACAGTGGCACAAAAGGGCACTAAAATACCAGTTTCTTCTTGGTGAGCAGCAGAGAGAGGGTCACACACACACTCACACACACACCCGTGCACTCACGTCCCTCTGCATTACTGATGATTGGTCTGAGGTGCTAAGTGTTACATTTTCCACTCTGTCTCTTACAAGATTTAACAGAGTTGTTCATAGATAACAGTGACGGTGCAAAACAACCAGTGTTTTACCACCTTCTAGACATAAAGGAACATTGGCAGGTAATCAATCTTTGTTTCCCTCTGCCCCTGCCCCCCGAAGAGGGGTCATAAACATATTAAGCAGGAACAACGACTTAAGGTATCTAAAAATAAATAGCACAGTGGTTATGAGCACAGGGTCTGGATTCCGTCTGGCTTGGAATCTGGCTTCACTACTTGCTAACTGTGTTACTTTAGGCAACTTACTTTGCCCTTCTGTGCCTCAATTGCCCATAAAACAGAAATAATAATGAAACTTACTCTTCGGTAGTTGTGAAGATTAAACAAAATAATATCAGTTAATGCTTAGTACAGAGTCCAGGTACAAAGTAAGCCCTTGTCAAACGTTGGCTACTGTGATGACATCAGCTGCATTTTTATTTTCTTTGCTTAGTGGCAAACAAGCATATTTGATAACATAAGCCAAAACTATAAATAGCTTTAAGTCACACACTAAGGAATTTAAGAATCATGGATCCACAATAAGATTCTCCATAGAAACAAGAGAGAATGGTCAGGATAGCCCTAACCTTTGAATTGAGCATAAAGAACAACAACAATGACCTTTTCAACCACAGTAGAAGCCATTGAGACAAAGTTGTTAACTGGTTAAGTAAAAAGTTGAATAAAGGGGAAACACCATAAACATGACAGGTGTATATTTTCAACATCTTTTTAACTTGAAATGTGTAAAAGCACCTGACTGCCAATCTTTTGATACAGGACTAAGGTTTTGTTTTTTGTTGTTGTTGTTTGTTTGTTTGTTTTTTGTGATGGGGTTTTACTCTGTTGCTGGAGTGCATGGTGTGATCTTGGCTCACTGCAACCTCTGCCTCCCGGGTTCAAGTGATTCTCCTCCCTCAGCCTCCCAAGTAGCTGGGATTACAGGTATCGGCCACCACGCCCAGCTAATTTTTGTATTTTTAGTAGAGACAAGGTTTGCCATGTTGGCCAGGCTGGTCTGGAACTCCTAACCTCAAGTGATCCACCTGTCTCGGTCTCCCAAAGTGCTGGGATTACAGGTGTGAGCCACCGCACCTGGCCAGGATAAAGGTTTTTTCTCTGAGTGGGGTCTGCTGACTGGGTTCTGCGCATTCTTTCTTCCATAAGCCACACTCCTAATATATGGTCGATGACTTCTAGTTTTAGATTTTTAACAGTAGAGCAAGAACGTAAAGACCAGTGAGAGTGCAGAACCTGTGTGTATTTCCCTAAATACTTTCACAAGCTTTTATACTTCTCATCCGTACTTAATTTAATAGCATTTCTAAGAGTTTCTCCTGTATCATGTTTTTGCAAGCAATCAAATTAGGTCTTTCTTTTCATGCTCATATTTTATTCATTTACGCATTATTTAATTAAGTTATTGAGTTACAGCAATAGACACAACTAGTATTGACAGTTTGGAAATACGTCTGATGTTGGTAAGCACAGGACAGGACTGGTGGTTGCAAGCATTCAAGGTGGCGTGGGTATCAGTGGGTATGTTTTCAAGAGAGAATGAAGAGCATCAATTAATTCAGCAGGTGGACTCCATGTGGGTCCATGAAAAGAAGCTCTCCCACATGCTCATGGGTATCATGGCAGAAGGAGGTAACAGGGATGAAAGCGCCCTAGGTGTCTTTTACTGCAAGAGCTCCTTTCTGACCTTCTTACAATCACACCTTACTTTCCTGATCTCAACTCTTCTTTTCCATCAACACCTAATCCAACCCTAAAAGCTATCTAAGACCAGGGAGGAAAACAAATATGCCAGAACAGAAAAAGAGCAATTTTTAATATAATCACAGAATTTTGTGACATGAGAGTAATGGTGTTACTTCTAAAGGCTTACAATAATTACCTAATGGAATGGTATAGAAGAATTCATTTGGATGTGTGGTGAGAAGATGTGGGCAGAGGCAGCCCAGGGGAAATCATGAAGCCTCCTCCCGTATCCCTTGTGCAGCCTCAGACTACTGTGCTCTTTTACCCAGCACTTCCAAATATAGATGCCTATTAGAGCTATCATCTCCTCCTTCCACCCTGCCCTCCTCAATCTAACTCAAAACTTGTTCTTAGGAGCCAATCTAATAAACTCATTCACCCACACTATTAACAATTAATGGGACTTAATATTATTTTTCCCAAGGGATTGTATATTAGAACCAATAAACAAAGTATCAAGATGACATGTTAAAAGAATAAATTTCAAATTGTGGATTTACAGGGCACCCAAGGAGATTTAGGATACTCAGAAAAATTATACTAGGCCCTTTGAAATCACATTGAGCAAAAGACCAGGTGGTCGATATTATAAAATAAGCTGAGAAACTGGTATGGTTTTGGAAATGCCCTTTATAAAATATGCTAAAGTCTTCAACGTTCCTTAAAAATATAAACTAGTCTCTCAAGACTCTAGGCTTGATGTCAAATTTCCCTGAAAGACCCCACATTACACGTGTACCATGCATCCTTGGAAACAGCCATAACAATTTATGCCCAATGAATGAGAAAGAATGTTGATTTCACTTGCTTTACAACTTAGGCGATGGTGGGCTGGTTACCAAAAATGTCTGTGCTTATTTTCAAAACTGATACCATGATGGTTCATCAACCACCATTTGTTGAGTTCCCACAAGGTGACGAAGGCAGGTTTTGTCTTTGGAGGATGTTAAGGGCTGGGAACCTTGACATATGTTCAGCCCTCAGGGACTGTGCCTTTACTCAGACTGAAACTTAGTGACTGAGGTTAGGCTAACCTACTGATTAGGGAGCAGACCTTCCCATGGCCTGAAGGCTGTAGGAGTCCAAAGGCAACACCTGAAAATGATGTCAACCACAAAAACACTTAATTGCAAAACTATTACTTCTTTTATTTGTATAGAATAAAATATGAGCAAGGAATATAGATGTGAACCAGATAACAGGCTGTTGCTAATATCTTGAGAAACAGGCTTTCATTCAAGTCTTTTACCGATTTTGTGCCTAAATTCCCTTATTTGTAAAACACAGAAAATAATACTTACAGTGTCTTGGAAATTCTGTGATACTTAAGTGATATTTAAGACATAGGCCTTAAAGTTTAGCAGCAAGTAAGAGCAGACAGCCAAGGTGGGCTGGTGACAGGCAGTGGATGTTTATATTTGATCCAGCAGGATAATCAGTCATAATTTTAATCAACTAAGTAATAACAGCTAACAGTTCCTGAGTATTTACTATGTGCCAGGTACCATTCTGAAAACCTTTAAAGAATTACCAAATTGAATGGTCACAGGACCTCTTTGAGGAAGACACTGTTATTATCTCCAGTGTACACAAAAGAAAACTGAGACATGTAGAGATTAAGCAACTTTCCAGTGATGTATGCAATAACTTTCCAGTAGATGTATAGAAAGATGTCGAACTATTAAAGTAAAATACCATAGCAGGTTATTAGTTTCAAGCCATAATGTATGTCTCAGCAAACAGCAGAGAATTAAAATCATACTAAATACATTCTCCTGATCACAATGGAATTAAGCTAGAATCAATAATAGAAAGATATCTAGAAAATACCTAAATGTTTGGACTTGAAACAAGATGCTTCTATATAACTCATTGGTTAAAGATGAAATCACAGTGAAAACAGACACTATTTTAACTGAATGATAATAAAAACATAATATATCAAATTTGTGGGATACAGCTAAAGTTGTGCTTAGAAGGAAATGCACAGCTTTAAATGCACATATTAGAAAGGAAAAGTGGCTGAAAATCAATGATCGAAGTATCCATCTTAAGAAGTTACAAAAAGAAGGGCAAATTACACCCAGAGAAAGTAGAAATTATAAAAAATAAAAGTAGAAATCAATGAATTAAGACACAAATATACAATAAAGAAAACTGACAAAGCCAAAGCTTGATTCTTTAAAAACACTAATAAAATTGATCAACCCCTAGCAACGTCGTGAAAGAAAAAAAGAGAAGAGTCATATATTATATCAGGAATAAAATAGGGGACATAGCTACATATGCCACCAAAAGATAAAGACTTTAAGCGAATAAAGGTTTCATCACAAGACAGAGTCCATGTGTCTAGTTGAAATGGAGTAAGAGGCCAGGCACGGTGGCTCACGTCTGTAATCCCAGCACTTTGGGAGGCCGAAGCGGGCAGATCACTTGAGGTCAGGAGTTCGAGACCAGCCTGGCCAACATGGCGAAACTCTGTCTCTACTAAAAACATAAAAATTAGCTGGGCGTGGTGGGGAGTGTCTGTAATCCCAGCCACTTGGGAGGCTGAGGTGAGAGAATCACTTGGACCCGGGAGACAGAGATTGCAGTGAGCAGAGATCGCGCCACTGCACTCCAGCCTGGGCAACAGAGGGAGACTCTGTCTCAAACAAAAATAAAAACAAAACAAAACGATAACAACAACAACAACAAAAACCATAGTTAAGAAACCATGGAGGCAACATACAGATTTTTTCCCCCAGTGTTTTTGTAATTGACGTTTCCCTTGAACTTGGTCACATTCGATTACAGAGAATTACTAGTGAAAGGTCTAAACCTTCCTGTACATCAAGATAGAGTAAGGCTAGTATGTATGTGGGTAGAAACCCAAACGGTATTCAAATCTGCTAAATATAAACAAAGAATGGATGCCAAAAAGAAGAATGTGCATGTACTGACTCCAATGTGCAGGGCTTGAAACTGACATGAAGTTCTCCTTTCTCATGACAGACTCCTGTTCTTATTTTTTACTTTGAACAAATCGGTTATGAATTTTGGGGATTTGTAAGCATACCCTGTTGGAAATTCACATTTCTTTAATCTGCCTCCTCCTTTTCACTCCCCACAGAACGTCAAGCAGCTCCCAAGTTCTGCCTCTGTTAACTCCCCCTGTATTCATGTAAATAGGCTATGATTCAACTCCATCCAGTAACCCCAGCTGTCTCTGCCATCTCCCATCTTTGTACACCTCCATGTCCATTTCTGAGGCATTTGCATCAGGTGAGCTGTCTCAGAGTATAATTTTAAATGGCCATATGCTCAACATAATTGCATATACTGTGCTATGTTAAAAAAAAAAGGCTTTAAGTGCATGTTGTAGGAAATTCTTTTGTGTTTTGGTGGTAAAGTTCAGAGCTGTTCTAAACATTTATTGGGGAAAAAATGGGTAACCATATGAGATGACAAATATGTTAATTTGCTTCACTACAGTAATCCTGTATCATGTATCTCATGTATCTCATAACATCATGTCATATTTCTCAAATATAGACAATAAAATGTATTAGAAAAAATCTGACTGGACTTCAATGAATATACAAGAACAGCACAATTCAACCTCTCTAAATCTCAGTTTCCTTACCTTAAAAATGGAGCCAATCCTCCCATCTTGAAGATGACTGTGAGAATTAAATAGGACTGTAAGCATTAAGCTTCCAGCACAATTGTGGTATGTAGTACGTGCTTAGTACAGTACAGCTAATATTGTAGGGGATCAGCATGGTTAAGCAGTGGTACCACTTTTGGAAAAAAGCAAACCAGTGTTAGTTAGATTTGGGCTTCTCCACTTACTGGTAGAATGACCTCAGGCAAGTAACTTAACCGTCCTGGGCTTCAGTATGCTAAGCTTAAGATGGATATAAAATAGCTACTTTTTTAGGGTTGTATGAGAATTAAGTGAAACTAAATAAGATTGTGACTATAGACAATACTGATGGACAACATGTAACACTCACAAGTCATTAGTATATGTTCCACACCCATGTTCAGTAAACAGTAGTAGATATTATTAGTAAAGGCACTAATGCTATCAAAAATGTTAATTTAGGATTGATGACCGGCTCTTGCCTGGAATGCCAGAGGTAAACCTGATTCAGTAGGTGATTCCACAAGCCCCAGGCTGGCCAGGCCAGTACAGTGCTGCCTCGTGAAGCTGCCAAACCCTAATGCAAGGAAGTTCAGGTCTGAGCTGGGTCAGGCTTGAAAACAGCAGAGACAGAGTTCCTACCACTAGGAGAATCACTGAGCTTCAGAGCTGGAAGGGAGCGCTGCAGTTGGCAAGCAGGCAGCAAGGACAACATTCCAAGGAGATGCGCCTTACCTCATGATAGAGTGGGAGAAAAGAAACAGACAGACTCTGAGAGGGGATCAGGAAACACAGGTGCAATGTTAGACGGCTCTGCGAAGTCCAAGGCACGCTTTTCCCACTGTTCTTTTGAGACTATTCTATGACTTTGAAATAGAAAGAGAAAACTAAACAGCATCCCCCTTCGTGTACCTTATAGGCTCAAGGTGCTTTTTGAACATTGTTTGCTGGTTTCTCAGCAGACATAGGCAGACAGCGTGTTTTCTCTGCAACATAGATGGGGAAATCAAGACACTCTATGAGGAGTGACTTGTGACAATAAATACTTCAGCAGGCACAAGAAAGACCCAGGGTCTCTGAGGGACCCATTTACAGCTCTGGGCTCAGAATTATGATTTGACCTGATGTGTTTTAATTAAGTTGTAACACAGTTTTCTCTTTTTTTCATTTTCCGTCCTTTTAGATTGGAAACCTGAAGAACATAACCAAGTTCTACCATGTAGGCTTTTGGTGGGACAGAAGTTAGCACAGCCCAACCAAGGAGAAAAAAAGGAGTGCAATAGAAATGGTTAGCCTAGGAGGGCAGAAAGAACCTTTCCTAGAAAATTCATGCTCACCACATCAATAGTATTCTTTTCTCCCTTTCTTCCTTCTTTTCTCCTTTCCATTACTTCTCTTCCTTTTTCCTTCCTTCCTTCTTGCCCTTTCTCTTTTCTCTTCCTTCCTTCCCTTCTCTTTTTCCTTCCTCCCTCTTTCTCTCCTATACAAATTAATTTGTATAACCACTACATAAATATTTGTTAAGATGATATAGTGTCTGAAAATCCAGGGTTTTTAAACAAGCATAAGTGAAGGAAAGTAAGGTAAATGAAAGAGGAAGTCGAGATGAAGAGAAGGAAATATTATGAGACTTCTACTCCCATTTTTTCCTTCCTTCTCTCCTTCCTTCCCTGCCTCCCTCTCTTCTTCCTTCTTTCCTTCCCTCCTCCTCCCTTCCTCCCTTCCACCTTTCCTCCCTTCCATCCTTCCCTCCTTCTTTCCTTCCCTCCCTCCCTCCCTCCTTTCACTTTTCCTAAAGAAATTGGTTTAACCACAGAGGACTATTTGCAGCCAGTAGAGGAAAAACCTCTACTATGTAATCCACAAGTATGAATGTTCCTGCAAAAAGACTTGAGTCTGTTACCAAATTGGGCCCGACCTAGCCTTCCTTGTAAGGCTGCCTTCGTGTGACCACACTGGGCCTTAAAGAGCCGGTGTAGATGGGGTGACCATGGGACAGCAAAGGGGCCACAATATCCCATTGCCTAATTCACCAGGACCAGCAGGAACCAGAGATGCGAGCTGCAGTCCGCAAGCCCTCAGGTAAGAAACACATGGCCAAGGATGAGTACATTTCTAAATATAAATAAATAACTGGGAGGTGATACGGGACATCAGGGCCTTGAGAACTCAGACTCCAGAGTCAAACTATTAGGTTCAAACCTGGGCTTTCTCACTTAGAAGGCCTGTTACCCTGAGAAAGTCACTTTATCCCTCTGGGCCTGTTTTCTGGTCTCCAAAATGGGGACATAATAGCGTGTACCTCATAGGGTTATTGTGAGGATTACAAAAATTAATTTCTATAAGCACTACATAAATATTTGTTAAGATGATGATGCAGATGGTGTCTGAAAATCCAGGGTTTTTAAACAAGCATAAGTGAAGGAAAGTAAGGTAAATGAAAGAGGAAGTCGAGATGAAGAGAAGGAAATATTATCTGAGACTCCTGTTTGAAAATTCTCATGTTTGGAGAAAAGTGGCTGCAGAAGAAGTGCCCTGTTACACTGGGATGCTGGCTGGAATTGTCATCTTGCTCAGTAATAACTCTGAGAGGCCCCACGATTACAGGAGGGATTGCCTCAATTGCTACATAGCTTACAAGATGTTTTCCCTTCAGCCTAAGGCAAGGGGTCCACCCAGCCCTTCTCCTCCACTGGGAGAGGGAGGGGCTGAGCTGGAGAGGGCTCGCGGGGGAGGACGCAGGGTGGGCTGAGACACAGAGGCCAGAGCATCTATTGCCCTTCCTAGAAGGCAGGGCCTCCTCATCCTACTCAATAAAGACTTCCTTGTTTTTCAGCACACAGAGTAATCTCTGAAAGACTGCACTCCAATTTGAAAATGAGCCAAGAGCCAGTGGGAAATTCTCCAGCAAATTGCACAGGGAGACAATAATACGAAGGGCAAGTGGATCAAAGCGTCCTTATTTTTTTCTTCTGGAAATTCCTATTCCTGAGGCCTGAGGCCCTGTGGGTCTGAGACTCTTCCCCCCAGTGTTGTCAGGATCATAGTGTTCACAAAATAGATACAGATTTGCTTTTCCAGGGTTGGGATGACAGGATCTAGGTTCTCAGAACATAACTGAAAATCAACTCATGTCAAAAGTAAATGTTGGAGTCCTGCATATGCCCTGTCATTCTGACTCATGTTTACACTTGGTTTTTATTTCAAAAAAAGATGTTAAGCCAGCCTATGTAGCACCATTTAGGAGAAGAGGAGGAAGAAGAGGAGGACAAGGATGATTCCCCTCAAGAGCTCTGACTTGGGATGGGAACCTCACAATATATTCAGGTTTGGTTGCTGTATCAAGAAGTAAAAGAATTTCAAGCTCCTTTAAAACAGAAGAGGAGGCAGCCTCTGCCCAATACAGGACTGAGCTCATTGAAAACTTCTCAGAGGACATGATGTAAAATGGAGAGCTCAAAAACCCGTAAAAATAACCCTTAGCCTTTTAGAAATTATAAGTGGGGAACTTAGTTCTTACCCAGTAGAATTTTAAAATGCTATGTCCTTCCGGAAATCCTGTGGTGCTTTCTGAAATGACTTACTGACAGTATGACTGAAGTCAGTGTCTCCATGCAAAGTGCAGGTACGCACGACAGGAAAGGACAGCAACTGTGCGGGGACAGGTATGGTCACCAGAGTGTCCATGTGTCTTATGGCCCGGAACAAGTTATGCGGTCTCGCCATCCCTTCTGTCACTGGGGACAATTACTTTTTTTCCCTAAAGTTTATGATGTCCACATGTTTATAAAGGTTAAGGGAGGTAGATTTAAAAAGTCTGGTCTTGCTTCGTTACACAAGCTTTGACTTCCCGTTTCCTTAAAGGCTGGCTCTTTCTTTTTTTCTTTTTGAGATGGAGTCTTGCTCTGTTGCCCAGGCTGGAGTGCAATGGTACGATATCGGCTCACTGCTACCTCCGCCTTCCAGTGTGCACCACCACACCCGGCTAATTTTTGTATTTTCAGTAGAGACAGGGTTTCACCATCATGGTCAGGCTGGTCTTGAACTCCTGACCTCATGATCCAAGCCTGGCTCTTTCAACAAGCATCCTATGTCTCTAACTGTGGGACATTTTATGTCATAAGTGGATCTTCCCACTCCTGTGTTCTCACATCTTATTATGTGCTAAACACAGTTCTAAGTTATTTCCCACAGTAACTCTTGTCTAAGGGGTTGGTGCTATTACTGTTATCCCATTTGACAGATGAGAACACTTAGGGTGAGAGGTATAGTAACTTCCTATGATTACATAGCTGGCAAAAGCTGGGATACAAACATAGATCTTTTGGCTTGGAATTCTGTGCTCTTACCACTATGTTATCCTGCTGATCAAATGAACAAAGTTCTTGCTTTAGCCTAATGTGTTTGTAGTTGTAGTAAATAAAATATACCAATTTTCAATTACTTTGTTAGTTCCTTTTTCTCCATTTCCTTAAAAAACAAAAACAAACAAACAAACAAAGAAAACCTTCCGATCCACGAGACCCGAGGCACTGTTGGTCTGGGACTCTTTCCCTCTGAAGTTGTCACGATGACACTGTTCACAAAGTAGAGGCAGATTTGCTTTTCCAGGGTTGGGGTGCCAGGAGCTGTATTAGATCTCTGGATAACAATTTTGCAATGCAGCTGCTGCATAACAAATTACCACAAAATTTCGTGGCTTAAAACAACATTTATTATCTCACGGTTTCTCTATGTCAGGAATTCAGCAGCAGCTTAGCTGGATGGTCCTGGCTCAGGCACTCTTATGAGGTTGCAGTCAAGATATCAGCCAGGGCTATATTCATCTGAAGGTTTGACCGGGACTGGAGGATCTGCTTCCAAGATGAGTCTCTCCTATAGCTGTTTGGCAGGGGGCTTCAGCTCCTGGCCACGTGGACCTCTCCACAGGGCTGCTTGAGTGTCCTCATAGCATGGCTCTGGCTTCCCCAACCCCTACAGAACCCTGTTTCACAAATGTTGGTGTCTTGCGTTGAAGTAATAATTTTCCACTGACAAAGTTTTAGCCTCAGTTTTTATTTATTTTTTGAGACGGAGTCTTGCTCCGTTGCCAGGCTGGAGTGCAGTGGCACAATCTCAGCTCACTGCAACCTCCGCCTCCTGGGTTCAAACGATTCTCCTACCTCAGCCTCCCGAGTAGCTGGGAGTACAGGTGCGTGCCACCACACCCGGCTAATTTTTTGTATTTTAATAGAGACAGGGTTTCACCATGTTAGCCAGGATGGTCTCGATCTCCTGACCTCGTGATCTGCCCACCTCAGCCTCCCTAAGTGCTGGGATTACAGGCGTGAGCCCCCACGCCCGGCTAGCCTCAGTTTTTAGTTAGGGTCTCCATACCCCTCTCTGTTGGCCTGGTTTCAGAATTCCTATGTAAAGTAAAAGTTTAATGAGTCTATGAGATGGTGTTACGTGTTGCATTGTATCCCTCCTTTTCAAATTCATATATTGATGTTCTAATCCCCAGGACCTCAGAATGTGACCTTGTTTGGCAACAGGGTCATCACAGATGTAATTAGTTAAGATGAGGTCATTCCGGAGGAGGGTAGGCTCCCAATCTATCATGAGTGGTGTCCTTATGAAAAGGGGAAATGTGGACACAGACACACACAGGATGAACACCATATGAACATGAAGGTGGAGACTGGAGTGATGCATCTACAAGTAACACCAGAGATGGCCAGCAAAACACTCGAAGCCAGGAGGGAGGCTTGGAGCAGTGCCTCCTTCAAAGCTCTCAGAAGAAATCAGCCTTGCCAACACCTTGATCTCGGACTTCAAGCATCCAGAGCTGTGAGGCAACACATTTCTGTTGTTCTAAGCCACCCAGTCTAGGGTACTTTATTACCGAAGCCATGGGGAATTAAGAGATGAAAAGAAAAAAAAACCTAGAGACCAAGAGACTATATAAGACAAGCAGGCCTGGTTACTTTGCACCCATGGATTGACCATGGGGCTTTCCCCAAAACATTATATTGTGCCTCTTCCCCGCCACCCACTGGGAAAAAAAAACAACATTTGACCTTCAAAAAGCACATTCCCCAGTAAAACTGGCAAAAACTCAGAATAGACAGTCAAGGTTTCCTGATCTCACCCAAGAAAATGGAAATTTTATTACATTCCACGACCACAAGGTTTTTCCTAAGCTCATTAAGCATATTTTTCCCGCAGAAGATCTTGTCTTAATAAGGCCACCACTATCCCTTTCCTCTGGCCTCCATCATCAGCCAGGATAAAAGGCAGGACTGCGGGTGGAGATGAGTGGGGACTCTAGAGAGTTCCAGCACTGCTTGTTTATTTTGAGACACACTTGCGCTTCTACTTGGGCCATCACAACTGTGGTCAAAGGACTCGGAATCTGAAGAACACAAACAAAGCTAACTATGGCGAAAAGCCAGGGTAAAGTTTTCTTCAGCAGCGTAGAGGGAGGGCCATTTTGCATAGCCTTTTATATGATAATCGCAGCTCCTTCATCTGTATTGAACTTTGCAGCAAGAAGGAAAAATAAATAAGGCTGACTAATGGCTTGTTTCCCCAAAGGCAGCTTTTTATGGGATCATATGTTTTTTCAGCTTTTCAGTCACAGTTTCCTGCCTGGACATTAGGAGCCCTTGACATTGGCTATGGCTTCGTGCACCCTGGACGACAGCCCAAGCTGCCCCTGAGCAGCTCGACTAGGGTCCAGCTGGACCACGGCCCCTTCCTAGGTCTCAGTGATGGTGAACCTTGTTCCCTTTGATAAGCTGCACACAGCAGCATGTCTTTCAACACCTTCCAGGTCAAGCATGGCTCCTCTTATCTGACGGGCGAGGAAAACCAATGTGGGTTGGATCAGAAGCCTGGATCCGGAGCCTGTGACAGTGTGTACCAATTCAAAAGCAATCACAAAAGCGACTCTGAATTGCTTTTGCTCCTGTTCTATTCACCACTGCTCCTTCCAAAGTCAGAGGGGACTTTTAGAATTGGGCAGTCTTGAGTTTAAATCCCAGCTCTGCCATTGGATGACTAAGGACAAATAGCTTAATCTCTGAGTTCATTTCTTATCAGGAAAATTATAAGTGATAAAACCTGCCTCATGGAGCTGTGATGATAAGAGATAATTTTGCAAGATATCTGGCAAATAGTAGGTGCTCAGTAAACAATAGCTGGTGTGATTATCAGGTGTCCCAAATAGCCTCACCGTAGAAGAAACTTTCCTGGCAGATTAACGTATAGAAAGGTAAAGCAAAGTGTGTTGGAGCTGAGCATGTCTTGAAGTTGGGTTGAGGAAACAAACAAGCAAAACATGACAGTCTTCCAGCTGTCTCTGTGCAGCTTTCACTTGATTTCCCCACATTTGGGTGGGAAGAAATTATTCTGGAAATCCTTCTGACTTGCTCTCCCTCTCAGAGGGCCATAGAGCAAGGAAATCAGGTTGGGAAGAAGAGAGACAGACAGTTTTTGTTCTTTATTTTCCCACCTTGGATTCTGTGTTTGAGGGAATGAAGGGGTTGATTAAAAGGTACCACCCTCTTACTCTTGAGTAATTGCAGTTTAATTATATTTAGGCCAGTGGTTTTATCATGTTAAATTTGGGGAGAAGGCACAAGATGAGTCATGGAAAAATTTTTGATAAAATTGTGGAAACTTGGGACATCTGTGATTTTCTTTCTCTCGTCTCACTCCTTCCCTACTTTCCTGGCCCATCCTTTTCTGCCTGCCAACAGGGTCCTCTGCAGGGAGCACAGGGAAGTGCTTCCCACCTTGGCACCTCCTTCGGGGCTTTGGCTATTGCCTGAGTGGTCAATTAGCAGAGCTCCATAGTCAGTGACCACTCTCGTGCATTCTTGGGTGGAAAAACTGGAGCCCAGATCCCTCCAGGGGTCAGCTGGTCTCCAGAACCTCCAGATGTAGCCCAGCAGGCCACAGGAATAAGCAACAGACACCAGTTGTGCTCCAGGTCATAGCTTTAGAGTTGCTCCCACAGAAGAATCAGGAATCTGTTGCTGTTGCTTTTCCTCATGAATCACATTCTTCCACCTCCAAGTTTGTTGCCTCAGAAGGACTGGTGTGTCTCCTTGGTTATGAGGAATCATTGCAAAGTCAATTGATGTTCTACCCTCTCATGACCTCTCCAAGGTCCAGCCTTAAAGCAACAAGGTTAGGATATCCCGGAAGTTGTGGAAGCCACCAGAGAGATTCTGAGATAATGTTCAGAGTATGGCCAAAGAAGGGAAATAAATATCATATTCTTCTTTAAAAGTGAGAAACACACCTATTCTGCATTGGCAAGCCTTTTTTTTTTTTAACCTAAAACATTGGTTAAGGTAATAACAATTATAATCACGCTCTTTTTTTTTTTTTTTTTTTTTTTTGAGATGGAGTTTCGCTCTTGTTGCCCAGGCTGGAGTGCAATGGCGCGATCTCGGCTCACTGCAACCTCCACCTCCTGGGTTCAAGTGATTCTCCTGCCTCAGCCTCCCGAGTAGCTGGGATTACAGGCATGTGCCACCACACTTGGCTAATTTTGTGTTTTTAGTAGAGACAGGGTTTCTCCATGTTGGTCAGGCTGGTCTCCAACTCCCAACCTCAGCTGATCCTCCCGCCTCAGCCTCCCAAAGTGTTGGGATTACAGGCGTGAGCCACTGCACCCAGCACATACTCATTTGTATAGCACACTGAAGTTTACAAACTGCTTTCACATAATTGAGAATTGAAATATTAAGCATTCAGGATGTCACAGCATCTTCAAACACTATCCTTTCATCATGAAATATTCCCCTTGACAATTACAGAGCAATTAATGCCGACTCAGTGATAGCCTATGTCAGGAAGATCTGCTCACTTGCACACAGGTAGAAGCGATGGGCCCCAAGTTTCAAGAAATCTTTGGACTGTACATTCAAAGTGTCTTGAAGTGTCAGTACATCCCAAGAAAGTGTGGGTGCAGCAAATGTCAGCATAGCTCTGGCCTGAACTAAACAAAACATGCTTTCCATTTAGTAAGTATATTCTATGTGCAAGGCAATTTGCTGGACCCGCACATGTAATTGTGCCCAAACCTCACTATAACTTTGCAAGGTAGATAAACATGGCGGCTCAGAAAAAGTTAAATGACTTGGTAAGGCCACGTAGCCAGTAGGTATGGATAGCTCAAGCTCTTTCCATTACAGTGGTGCAAAGTAGGTTCCACAAGATCCTGGCTTCAAGAAAGGAATAATATGAAACAAACAATAAGTATATTTCACAAGAGAATTTTTTTGAGACAGGATCTCTCTCTGTCACGCAGGCTGGAGTGCAATGATGCAATCAAAGCTTACTGCAACCTCAAACTCCTGGGCTGAGACCCTCCTGTCTCAGCCTCCTGAATGGCTAGGAATACAGGCATGCACCACCATGCCTGGCTAATTTTTTAAAAACTTTTTTGTAGTGATGATGTCTCACCATATTGCCCAGGTTGGTCTTGAACACCTGTCCTCAAGTGATCCTCCTACATGAGCCTCTCACAGCACTGGGATTACAGGCAAGAACCACTGCACCTGGCTGTCAAGAGAATTTTTAGACCAGTGGTCTTCAAAGTGTGGTCCCAGAC
This sequence comes from Homo sapiens, assembly GCF_000001405.40. Classification (NCBI taxonomy): domain Eukaryota; kingdom Metazoa; phylum Chordata; class Mammalia; order Primates; family Hominidae; genus Homo; species Homo sapiens. The sequence goes on along the minus strand of NC_000007.14, from coordinate 28,527,487 downwards.
CAGCAGCATCAGCATCATCTGGGAACTTGCCACAGGCTGGACAGAGTGAATTGGTCCAGAATAGGGCTTCAGAATTTGTATTTGTAGCACAGTCCCAGGTCACATTGGTAATTCCAATGCAGCAAGTTTCTCAGGAGTACTGTTCCAAAGAAGGCATTTGGTAAGCACTGAGATAAAAGCAGTTGTATGGCACTGATCTTGGAATATTCAGCTTCAGTAACAACAAGAAAAGCAGGATGGGTTCTTACTGGGCAAAGAGTTGGTCTTTCAGCTTTTGCTTAGGAAGGAGTGATAGTCATGGTGGTTATGATAGACCCAAACTACTTCTTGGATGTTGGAAAAGCCTGCTAAGGCATGGCTCACTGCAACTAACCAGGTTTTCACTAAAGGGTGTATGTCATGTCTCAGCTCCAATTCCCTGATGAGTTGTCCTCCTCAGATACACAATGGAAAAGTCAAGGTTCTGCCACCCACCCTTGGTTTAATATTTCACTCTTCATAAGGGGTGTAGAGTATGTGTCCAGGTGTCCAGCACCTGCTGTCACAGGATTAATAAAAGATGGATGAATTAGATACCATGAGTACAGGATAGAGGACCTCCCTGGGTCTGTGACATTTCTGACAAAGAAAGAAAACAGGAATGAATGATTATACCATTCAGTGCCTGTGCTCCAAGCTGTTTGGGGCCTGTGCACAGACCCCTATCCCAGGAGGACAGGATCACCAGGCAGGCAGCACCTCTTTTGTGCACAGTCGGCCTTTCGGCTTCTCAGCGTGGCCAGTCCATGTGGCTGCACAGCCTGCTTTTTCCAGGCAGTTCGAGTTTGCCTAAACCATGGACTCTGCTTTGATGGTAAATCTTCCCAAAGCAAGGATTTATTTTTCTTTCCCAACAATGTTCTGTAGTAACCAAAACTCTGGTAACCCTAAACAGCCAGACACAGCAAGAAGCACGTCTTTCCAGGAAGTTACTTAAATGCCACCAAAGAAGGCAAAGTAAGATGGTATAAGCAGGATCCACAGTTTAGAGGCTAAGTAACTGATGAATAGGTGAATGTGTTCCAAAGATGATAACGTTTCACTTCAATTTGTCCCACGGGGACTTCTATTATATTGCTCTGAACATTTTTTTCTGACCTGGAAGTCAGCCTACCTAACATCTGCCAAACCTTCCTAAAAATAAATACTGGGCATACTGCATTGCCTAGGTTGTAAAGCAAAACTTTGGGGAAGCCCTTGGACTTTTGATTTATATAATAATCACCTGTAACAACAGAAAGATTATTTCCTGCTCAGTATGGATCATAGACACTAACCCACCTCTGAGTTTTGACTAAGGCTTTTGGAAGGTTTTAGTCTCTGGGCTCACTGCAGTGATGAAAGGGATTTCTGAGTCACAACCACCACCTAAAATCCAGGGAACATTATGAGTGTAGAGTATTTGCCTAATTTCCCATCCCAGATTTGGCGCTGAAATCTCAGCAGTCTCTGATTCTTGGATATACATCCAGTGAAGGGAAAGAGAATTAGAATTATCGAGAACCCCTGAATACAAGCTACAGTACTTTATATATGAGGTTTCATTTATCACCACATCATCCTGTGAGCTAAGTAATTATTATTGCCATTTTACAGATGAGAAGACTGAGGCTTAGAGTGTTAGGTTAGTTAACTAAGACCTGCCATTGATATCTACCACTCTCCCCATCATACACACACAGACACACACACATACACACACACTACTGGATTAGGAAATCTTTAGCTTATGTCTATTATATTTATGGTACAAAATATTTGTCACACCTTATTATAAGTGCCTGTGGTCTGAGTGGTACCTTACTGCATGCCAATGAGAAGACATACAAGTGTCCAACAGATACATTTTTTTTCAAAATGCTCACCATCACTAATCATCAGGGTAACGCAAATCAAAACCACAATGAGATATCATCTTACTTCAGTTAGGATGGCTATTATAAATAATAATAATAATAATAAATGCTGGTGAGGATGTGGAAGAAAGAGAATTCTTACACACTGTTGGTGGGAATGTAAGCTAGCATAGCCACTATGGAGGACAGAATGGAGATTTCTCAAAAAAACTAAATATATAATTACCATAGGATCCAGCAATCTCACTACTGAGTATTTATCCAAAGGAAATAAAACTAGTTTATCAAAGGGATACCTGCTCTTCCACATTTATTGCAGCACTATTCACAATAGCCAAGATATGGAATCAATCAAATATTCTATCAATAAATAAGTGCATAAAGAAAATGTGGTATATATACACAATGGAATACTACTGGGCCCTAAAAAAGAAATCCTGTCATTTACAGCAACATGGATGGAACTGAAGGTCGTTACGTTAAATGAAATAAGCCAGGCACAGAGAGATAAATATCATGTGTTCTCACTCACTTGTGATGCCTAAAATGTTTATCTCATGAAGGTAGAGAGTAGAATGATGGTTACCAGAAGCTGGGAAGGGTCGGGGGTGGGGTTCGGGGAATGAAGAGGGGTTGGTAATGGGCACAATCACACAGTTGGATAGAAGAAATAAGTTCTACTGTTTAATAGCACAGTATGGTAACTATAGTTAACAACAATATATTGTATATTTCAAAATAGTTGGAAGATTTGAAATGTTCTCCAAAGAAATGGTAAATGTTTAAGGTAATAGCCTAAATAACCCTACTTGATCACTACATATTCTATGCATGTATCAAAATAACACATCTATCACATAAGTGTGTACAAATATGATGTATCAATTAGAAAATTAAATAGATAAAAAGAAAAATTAAAACTCACAAAAACGGTTGAATGAATAGAAGCATTTCTAATTAAAATTCTTCTTGCTTTCAATTCAAGATTCTCTACACAGCATGGCTATTAACCAATAACTATGTTATTAGGTATTTTTATCCTCAATAATTCTAGCTCTTTCATGAATTGGCAAATTTTTCATTCTTTCTTTGAGACAGAGTCTCGCTCTGTCACCCGGGCTGGAGTGCAGTGACACGATCTCGGCTCACTGCAGCTCACTTCCAGGTTCAAGCAATTCTCCTGCCTCAGCCTCCTGATTAGGTGGGATTAGATGTGTGCCACCACATCTGCCGTGTGTGTGTGTGTGTGTGTGTGTGTGTGTGTGTGTGTGTGTGTTTAGTAGAGGCGAGGTTTCACCATGTTGGCCAGGCTAGTCTTGAACTTCTGACCTCAAGTGATCTGCCCATCTTTGACTCCCGAAATGCTGAGCTCACAGGCATGAGCCACTGCACCCAGCCAGCAAATTTCTTTAAAAGGAAGTGTATACTAAAGCTGTCTAAGAGACATCTTACTTCAGAGGTAGAAAGCACTTCAGTCTTCCTTGTCTCAGATAAACCAAGTGATGTAATCTTGTTCAGTGAGGACATTCATTCACTATTACATGTTCATTCATTCACTCATTCCAGTAATTCTTCACAGAGCTCCTTCCACGTGTAAGGCAATGGTGCTGAGAATGACAGGTGGAGACAGGCAGAGCCCTGTGATAACATGGCTCACAGTCCCAGGAGGCAGTTTCAGCAAATATCAAAACACAAGGTAGGAGGTGAGGTGTGCCATAAGCAGTGCTGAAAAAGCACTGCAGGAATTCAGGAAAGATCAAGATTGCATCAGGTGAGGGGAGATCAGAGAAGGCTTCATGGAGGTGGCAGCTGACATGAGCTTTCATGCGTGGATTAGATTCGGTCAAAGATGAGGGAAGAAGACCTTGCAAGAGGAAATAACTGCATGGGCAAGCACAGCAAGGTGGTGAAGCCACAGAGCAGTTTCAGGGAGGATGGCTTATTTCATTTTCCTGAGCAGAAAAGACATGAGAGACAAATGAGAAAGAAAACTGGAAAATTAAGTTGGGGTCAGAGCATGAAGAATACCCAGCTAAACTGAGTAGCCACCACCAATGCTGTTTCTACTGTACACACGATCCCAGAAGAGTTTAGGACCCATCAAAAAAGCCAAACTTTCCTTTATATCACTAGCAGTTCCTCTAATAGAATGTAGCCTTGGCTCCTGACCCAACTAGCACAGCACCTGGGACACATTAAGACCTCAATAAACGTTTTTCGATTGAATTGGGAGAACATAATGGGAGTATTCCCAGTGGTAGAAGCTGGGCATAGGTATAGGGAGGGTGTGTGGCAGTTTCCTTTAAGAGCCAACATTTAAACAAATTAATACATAGCACGGCTTATATACCAGTAATTAATCTTTATCCCACTGCCAAAACTCCTATGACACCCAAAAGTGATGGCATAGCAACTCCCTGAATCCCAAGGTTATGCCCTAAGAGACCCAGGGCAGTGCTCACCCAAGCGTGCTTTCCTCAAGGCAGTCATTCAAGCAGACATTGGTCTTTTAGAATCTAATATAGGTTCCAAATACCTCTTCACTCACCAAATGTTCATTTTACTCTAGGATGGTGGCAGTCTGTACAACCAGGCACAGAACAAAACACCTCACAGCGAGTGGATGTCTCTCACAGAACTCTGGAGATGAGAGGATTCCCATGCTTGGTTGGGAACTGGAATTACGCATCTTGGTGAGCAGAGCAGTCGTGGTGGGTTACATGCCTTTGGTGGCATTGAAAAGTGCATTACGAAGAAAGAGCAAGCTACCTTTCATTGCTAGGTTTCAGGGCCAGCCACGCTGTCTCTAGCCACATCTGCAGAATGTGGGCAAATCCAGAGCTAAGACGAAGCTCAACAGAAGCCTTACGAAGGACTTTTAAAAGACAAGGTATAGCCAGGCACGGTGGCCTCACACCTGTAATCCCAGCACTTTGGGAGGCTGAGGCAGGCGGATCACTTGAGGTCAGGAGTTCGAGACCAGCCTGGCCGACATGGTGACACCCCATCTCTACTAAAAATACAAAAAAATTAGCCGGGCATGGTGGCACATGCCTATAATCCCAGCTACTTGGGAGGCTGAGGCAAGAGGATTGCTTGAACCTGGGAGGCGGAGGTTGTGGTCAGCAGAGATTGTGCCATTGCACTCCAGGCTGGGCGACGGAGTGAGACTCCACCTCAGAAAAAAAAAAAAAAAAAAAAACAAAGAGCAGGATATAGTCAGTGCAGTCAAGATATTTTCATGTGTTTGTCAAGGTCAAGCATGGCTTGATGTTCTGCAAAAGCTTCCACCGGACATTTTTTCAAGTAAATTATATTAAAATGCATATGCACACAACGAAAGACAGGAAGAAGCATCTGAAGTAGCGGGAAACACACTAATTTCCCAGCAGACAGTCCTATATACTCAATCTGCAACTTACTAGCTTCATGACTTTCAGCAAATTATTTAAACTCTTAAGCTTTAACTTCTCATTGTGTAAAATGGGGGCAAAAACATCTATCTTCTAGGATTGCTATGATGAACGGGGATAATATAAACAAAACTTCTAGAACGGCACCTGACAAATAGTAGGAGCCCAAGGAATGATGGTGAATTTTATTATTACTAGTTTATAATCTCAATTTTAATAATGTGATGTTATATTTCCCCACTATGTCTAAATGTGTATAAAACAGGCTTTTCATTTATCTCTCTCTTGGAAAGTGTGAGTTGGAAAGACTAGAAGTCATATTAACATAACTCAACGTAATCCTATAGGATAAATTAATATCCTTTCCTAACACATTCTCCTGGCACACAAACTCTCTGTGCACTTAAAAACAGCCCTTCTGTATCTGGTCAGAGACACCGTATTGTGCAGAAGTACCATGGAAGTGGTTTGAAGAATGCCAAGTAAGATTGGCATATACATGACTTCCCTGTAGAAGGTTAGTAAGAGCTATTTGCTGTTTTAAAATCTATTAAATACAGGGATTGAAGCAGTAGAAGGGTTATAAATAAACAATAAATCATGCAATTATTACTGTTTGAATTTTGGCAAGATAATAAAAAGAGCAGGGGTATAATCAGGAAATAATAGAAAAGATCTGCAAGGCACCCCTGCAATTAGTGATAAACAGAGCTTGGCTCAGAGTCGGAGCTCCAATGTGGCTCTCATTAAAGAGCCTTGGGACCTGTTCTTGGGGCAGACCTCCGCGAGCCTGGGGAGAAGTGAGGTAACCAAAATGTCAGTGCACACCCTCTTCCAACTTCAGATAATCTTTTCCTACAGTATTATAACCACCTGGGCTGAAATGACTACCTTATGCCAAGTGAAGACCAATCCACGGCCTTCCGAAACTCTAATTGAGATGTTTCCTGTTCTCAGCTTTTTTACTCTTTCCTTTGTAATACCATAAACACACACACACACTTATACACACGTGCACAGGCACACTTGCATGCCCACACACACACATGCACTGTGCAATGGGTGCCTTGGCTCATTTTTGCCTCCCCCTTTTCTTTTGCCTTTATTAATGGTACCTCTTAAGGAGAGACTGCCCCCACACAAGTGATACCACTTAAACAGATAAATAGTCTACACTGGAGAGACCCAGAGCACAGGAGAAAAAAACCCTGTCTTATTAGACTGGAAACAGACACACTATATTAATGCAAAAAAATCAGCATATGGTTCTAATAGGCTTTCTTAAAATGATTTATCAGCTGTGATTAAGCCCTCAACCAGCCTGTCTATCTTCATAAATAAAGCAAAAGTGCACCTTGCTCTAAAATGTATCTGCAGTATCTTATTACCCAACCCTGTACACTGTGCTCCATTTACAACACGGCTCTGGGGAGCCAAGAATTTGTGTGCAATCACAAAGTGTGTGCTCTGAAGAGACTGCCAAGATTTAGAACTCTTATCTCAGAGATAGTCTTTCTAAAAATCCTTTACAATGAAGGTTTATCCCCTCTCTCTGTGCCACAGAGCTCGGCATTGCTGAAATATGAACAGGTAATTAAAAGGATATGCCTGATTTTACAGTCAGCCCAGTGACACAGAATCACCAAACAGCCGTTGGGAAGGGGATTTGGCCCTAGGAGCAAGTTACCTCTGCCAGGGAGTTGCAGGAAGTGGGGATCACTTCAGAAATCAGACTTGGTCTCTTCTTTTCCACGGATAGGAAAGGAGAATGCAAATATGAGTAATTCTTGTTTGGACCTCATGCCCCAACTGGCTAATATGTCAAATGGTCTCAGTGACAAATGTGAAAGGGAAGAGGCCTCCCAAAAGCCTGAGGCAGGAGGATGCGGAGACAACTACGAAGGAGGAAGTTGGCATAAGTGTGTGAGCATAGCAAGTTATAAACTGATGTTTAAAAACTGACCTGAGTCAGCTAGTTCATACTGAAGGAACACGGCTCTATTGAAGTAGTACCTACTTAGCCTTTGATGAAAAGCCAGTAATCCAGGCGGATGAGCTGAACCCATACCACGATGCAACTAAACAAAGTATTTTAGTGGATCAGTTCCTTTCAAGCCATTCCTAGCACACACCAAAGCACCATTCCTATTTTCCCTTCTAACACCAACTCATGTGCAAAAATCAGAGACACACATGTCCTTCTTTATGAGTTCTTGTCCATTTTCAGTTTGGTTTAATGCACATATGTGAGCTCTCAATGCTTTTTTATAACAACAAACCACTGTTACGTGATTTGGTTATGTTTGTTTGGCATCCTGAGATTTTGCCAAAAAGCAATCAAATTTAAGAAGAGCAAAATGTAAAATAGAAGAGAAAATAATGCTGGGAATATTCCGTCAGTGTTATTAACAGATGTTTTTCCTGCGAAATACACCAGTACATTGTATAAGTGCAGCACTGAGCAGTTGTGGTCTATGACTGTCGCATTCAATTAGAAGGACTACTTTAATGAGGTCAAAGTAGTGCCTCTCTCCCACCATCACAGACTGCACCCCTGGCCCTGGCCAGCTGTCTTACAATATGTGCCTCTGGTTGCAAGGAAGTCTATGGGAGGGCACGTGTGTTTAGATTTGTGCAAACCCATTACCACCAAGGGTAAATCAACTCTAAGTTCACCTCCAGCTTATGGGTAAATCAGTGACGCCATCTTCAAAATCAAAGGGCAGCAGGTAGTTATACTTTGATAGCAATTATCTGTTAAAGCTGGTGTTGGATTGAACATTATAAGCAATTTAGGTATAATCAGAATGTCTGCCAGAACTTCCCAGAAATTGGCATGAAATTGTTCCCAAAGTCTGAATTCCCAACTTTGCCTAAAACATATACACATGTATGTTGTAATACATGTGCCTAAAACATATACACATGTATTGTTGTAATACAAATAAAGAAAAAAATCTAGCAGAGATCTGGATCAAGGAATTATTTCCTTACTGCTGACATGCAGGAAAAAGACGCCTCTTCCAGGCAGCAATGTCACAACGGTGTAATTGTCTCTGTGAACGTGGAGTTTGGATTCCTGTTTCCTGCTCGCTTTTTGGACACTTCTTGTAGTCAACATCAGAAAGAATGTTCAAAGTGAGATGCTCTAGTGATGTATGAATCTAACAACCCCTACCTAGGAACCAGTTTTAATGTCAATTCTTCAGATCTTGATGTATTCTAACTTCCTGTGTTTAGAACTTCAAAGTTGTCAAAAGGCCCATTTTACCAGTGAGAAAATAAAGTCATGTGTGACTTTTAGAGAGCGATGGAATGGAGCTGACTTCTTGCCCTCGTCCTGAGTTCAGACCACACTCCAAGTCACATCCTCACAATCCACATGGGGGGAGTGTGGATCGCACAGGAAGTGTTTGGAGGCCACTTTCAGGTGGCCTGGCAGCATGGGGAAGAGCTCTTGGGCACGACACACTGAGAAAGGGGTTGCCAGAATTCTGGGCCATCTTGTTTCCCTCTAGCCATTTGGAGACCAACCAAGTGGGGTTACAAGGGTGGGACTCGCATGCCCACCACATTCTAGAGCACTGAGAAGCCCAGGCTTCCTTATCCAAAGGCTTGTTGCTCTGGTTAGAGAGCAATGGACAGGAATGCCTGGGCCAACCATGCCAACAAATTCAGCAATAACCTTATGTTCATAAATCCTCTGGGAAAGTTCCTAAGCTCTGTGCATAACAAATCATGCTGGGAGAAGGCAGGAAGGGGACGACTTCTTTGAGAGAGGCTGTGATTCAAAAATGCCCAGTGCTGCATCACCTGTAGTCAATCAGCCTGACATTCACACAAAACACGACTGCTTTTCTTCTTTGGGGAAGTGACTGCTTGCAGAGCCTGAATAAACCCCCACCCAAACATAAAGCCCCAGAAAAAGGCTGTGCCCAGCACCAACTCAGGCAGGATTCGGTCAGCACTATGATTAACTTTCAAAGTTTTCTTAGAACAGATGGTGTATTCTGCACATACCTCAGATCTCAAGGGCTCCGCTGGCTGCAGCCACACTAAATCCAAAATATGAAGTCCTCATTTTACAGAGAGGACTGGGAAGCAAGCTGCTCCCCCACCCTCAGCACCAGACAATGAAGGGAAAGCTTGCAGGTGGGACAGCCTTCTTCTAGCTTCAAAACTCTCGAATAATAGCTCGAATGTTGTCTTACAAAATGTCATCATACACACCGGTCTCATCCTGCCAGCAGCAAGTGAGTTCTATTAGCAAATTTGTGCTTAGAGGAGATGCTGAAAGTAAAGTCCTTTTGGAATTCTGCTTCACCCGAGAACCAAACAAGAGGACTGGACTGGTCACACAGAACAGAGTCACAAGTTCTAACAAACTGAACAATAGCTTTGACTATCCCAGAAAGCAAAGCACAGAGGGAAACCTAACAACAGTCAAGCAGAGAAGCCTGCGACAGATATTCCACTGCAGACAGGAGGTGCGTGGCCACCCAAAGAAAACAGCCTAGCCTCCTCACCAACCCAACCGGCTTGTAAGCCCCACCTGGCTCACCAGAACAACTAGTTCCAAAAAGTACATGAACATAGGTACCAGTAATTCAGGGGGGAAAATCCACCGTTTGATCAACTTTCCTAAGTCTTTGGACTTTGGTGGGACTTGGGTGAAGAACAAGGGAAATGGCCCTGCATGGTTCTGATACTAAAATCAGTCATCGTACCACAGGTTTGAGTTGACAGCCAACGTGCTGGAAATGCAGATGGGAGGAATGCTCGGAATCCCAGTTCTGGCCTCAGACTTTTCAGTATGGAAATAACTTAACAACACACAAATGCTGGAGCAGAGTTCTCAGAGTAAATCACTCCCATACCTGCTCCAAGCCGTACTTAATGTTCACCTGGATTTATGAGATGATGGAGGCAGAGACAGTTTCTTGCAACTATTATATTATTTTCCTTTCCTCTTTTTACAATGTCAGTTTTTTTCACGTCTCTGTGAGGGGCCCAGGTAAGTAACTTAGCTACAGATGCTGAGTCTATCATTTGGTCCAGTTTTCCAAATGTGAATGCTGTTTTCTGCCTAGAACGGAAGCTTCATCTTTTAGTCATTTACTTTTAATCTGGCCCAGAAAACAGATCTGTTTTCCTGCATGCCTTTGGGAGTATTAATGCAGGGCCTCGCGGAGGACAGCGTGAGCTTCCTCTGCAGATGCAAGGGCCTCCTGAGCCCAGGTACACACCCCACTCTGTGTGCCTGTCTGGCACGTCAGAAATCCTGAATTACTCACAGCTGGAAATGGATTCATTCGGAGGAGAGTGTCCATTCGATGTTGTGATTCCATTTGGGTTAATACCTTGAAATTGCAGCCTGGCTTGCCTGCCTTGGGACAGGTAAGAAGCGATTTAAACAAGCTGAGTACCCGACCCAACCTGGAATTTAAAACAATCACCCTGATGAGAAAGTTCCCTGCTGGGAAAAGCTACCTTTTCCCCAGACCTTAAGGCGGAGCTTCCTAATTGTTTTAGTGAGGATCATCCCAACCACTAGAATCCACTTGGACTGATTTTCAGCTGCAGTAAGGCTGCCTGATGGGAGGGCAGGGCGGGCCAAAGAAGTGGCCCTTACAGGCTGCAGCTGAGCTGAGGGCGGTGCCTGCGGAGCTTCAGGGCTGCACTGTGGTTTTGGCTGTTTTGGGTTTCTTTTTTCGGTCATTTATTGCCCCCACTTCAGTCCCAATGTTGTAGCACCAGGATTAACTGACCACATGTTGCTGTAGTAAAATACAGCATGAGGCTGTGTTTATAAAATTTCCAAACTATCCCCTTTTTATACCCACTATGTCCCACACCGATCTCTCTAATTTTTAACAATGATAATATTTGGAGGAACTTTTCCTTTAACCACAAAGAAAAGGCAAACAGCTTCAAGAACAATTGTTTTCTTTACTTTTTTTTTAAAAAAAATACAAGGTGTCGCTCTGTCACTCAGTCGAGTACAGTGGTGCGATCACAGTTCTCTGCAGCCTTGAACACCTGGGCTCAAGCAACCCTCCTGCCTCAGCCTCCCAAGCAGCTGGGACTACAGGTGTGGGCCACCAACCCTGGATAATTTTTTTATTTTCATTTTTAATACAGAAGAGGTCTCATTATGTTGCCAAGGCTAATCTTAAACTCCTGAGCTCAAGTGATCCTCTCACCCCGAGGCCTCCCAGAGAGCTCAGATTTCAGGTATAAGCCACCACACCTGGTCATATATATATATATTTTTACTTTAAACATTTCTGTTAGTTTTTGTTTTTTTTTAAATGCATTCAATTTTACAATAATAATTATTACAATAATACTTATTACTAGGTATCTCTTTAAAGTTATGTTAAAGGTCATATAGCCTTCTTAGAATTCGCAGCAATAACCCAGTACGAAGTAAGAATGGTCTAGGCTTGAGGTAATAGAAACGGAAAATAAAGGGAAGATCTGAGGACTGTGTCTAAAGAAATTTGATTGGACCTAAGGAGTGGAACGAAAGAGGGTAGGGAGGGAGCTGAGTCCCAGAGTGGGAGGGTGAAACATGCCTCTAACAGAACCAGGGGAGTCGGGCATGGTGGTGAGTTTGTATGGGAAAGCCCTGGGTATGGTTTCCGGCATGTTGAGTGAGGAATAGCAGTGGTATGTTCAATGGGAACATCAGTAACAGCTAGAGGCTAGAGACCAATATTTATGCCAATGCAAGGGCTAGATGTACGATAAAGGAATTGTCTGGGTGGACTTGACTCTTAAGCTATGAGAATGTATGGGTTTTCTGAAGAGAAGGTGTAAACAAAATCCACCTAAGAGTGGATACATCCAAAAGACAGGGAGGCAGAGCTGGACACCCAGAGAGGTCAGAGAAAGGCCAAGACGGTCCACATAAACCACTGGCTCCCTTTTTGTCTCTCTTGACAGTTTATTTCTCTGCATTTCCAATGGAGAAAACTATTACTAGTATAACCACTTATAATTATTCCCAGTTAACTGAAGAGGCCCAAATCAAATTATCATTAATAGTATATTTAATGGACATTAATTCATGTCCATATGTGGACATGAATATGCTTTATGAATATGTAAGTCCTTTGATTGTTACCATCCCCAGTCACAACTGAACAGGAAATGCTGGTGCAAGAAAACACTATTTTACTCTGCAATATTTCCAACACAATAGTCTTTCCCAAAATTAACGTCCAGCTTCCCTAGCAATCATCATGATGGAAATAAAATAGGGTCCAAGCATTCTCCAGTCCCTCCTACTCTGTAGCTTCAAGGGAGACATTAGCACCTCCGATAACACCCGCCACAGGCATGACATGAATGCGCAACCTTTCTAATTCAGACTCCAGCCTCTGAAAACCTTGGGCCAGTTCTCAAGAAGACATCAGACAGAGACTTCTATCTTGCCAGAACAAATGTCCTGTCATAGCAAATATAAATAAAACCTGTGATAGGCCAGGCGCGGTGGCTCACGCCTGTAATCCCAGCACTTTGGGAGGCCGAGGCGGGCGGATCACGAGGTCCGAGATTGAGACCATCCTGACTAACACGGTGAAATCCCGTCTCTACTAAAAATACAAAAAATTAGCCAGGAGTAGTGGCCGGCGCCTGTAGTCCCAGCTACTCTGGAGGCTGAGGCAGGAGAATGGCGTGAACCCGGGAGGCGGAGCTTGCAGTGAGCCGAGATGGCGCCACTGCACTCCAGCCTGGGCCACAGAGTAAGACTCTATCTCCAAAAAATAAAAAATAAATAAAACAAATAAAACCTGTGATAAATAATTTAAATAATTAATACTGAACTCAGAGAACAATGAAAGCTGCCACAGGCTAGGAGACATTCGTCTGAAATTACTGTCACAACCACCTCCCCCCTTCACTTTGCCTGTTAACACTGGTTGAAGACAGAGCCACCAGCTGCCAAATAATCAAGCACTCAAAATCAAGTCCCCAGTCGCAAAAGATAAAATACTTTTTTTCTTTACTGTGAAAATTAGCTTGTAAGGATTCATCAATTAAGATCCAAATAACCCGAATATGCAAACTCGCCAAGGGAGATGATGAACAAATATCTGTCACCATCTTAGCCAGTATTCCTCTAAGCTGTCAGCTTCCTGAGCTGCTCTCATCATCTACATCGAACACTTAATATTAAGTGTCCACTCTTTGCAAGACAATAGACTATGTATATTGCTACTTTCAGGATACCCTGTCTTTTCACCAAAAAACCCAAAAACAAACCAAAAATGAACTCCTATGAGTTGAAAAGAACTCCACTCCATTTTAAAGTTGAAGCAGAACCTGAGATCACATTCATTCACATATGTGGAAGTAAATACCAACTCTTAATAATCCCTGCTAAGATTGTACTCATTATTCCTAAATCCTAGTGACCTAAAACACATGAAATAGCTTCCAGTTTATCCACTGGTTTAGTCATTCCCCTGAGTGGGATGCAAAGATCAAGTCAAATTCCCTTCCAGCGTCAAATTCCACCTAAGATGAGGGCATAATTTTAACCTGCAAGGAGAAAGTTGAACGTGATTTACATTTGTAGTGCACTGAAATGGGAGGACAAAAAGAATCCTTATAATATAAGCCTTAGGGTTTTCAGTCATTGGGGTGGTGGAAGAAAGAGGTTGTCATCTCCAATATCACTGTCAATGAGTGTTTCCTTTCAGTCATGCTGATAAAAAAAAAAAATGAAAAGATCAAAAGCAGCCTCATCTACTAGGATTAAGCAAACACGGGGACATTTTCAAAACCTGGATAAAACCAAGTTTAGGTTTCAGAATATTCTTTTTCTCCATACTTCTGGGGGGAGGGAAGGATTGTTTTACACAAATATCAGAGAAGCAACATGTTAGCATAACCGGAAATGTGCAGCTGTTGCAAGTTTGCTCAACTTGGCATCTTTTATTTTCCATCCAGCACCACTCATACCTTCCCCACAGAGCAGCGATGCTGGCTAGCGGCTGATGGGCACAAGATAGTGTAAGAAGGCAAAGTGCCTCTCCTTCCGCACCTTCTTGCCCCAAGTAATGGGTGGCATCGGGTAACATGATTTCCAGGTACAGAATTTAATCAGATTAAACAGCCTGCTTTGCGGAGCTGAGGCTGACCCCACCATGCCCTGTTCTGTGACTCCTGTTGAGCTGGGATCCAAGATCTTAAGACTGTAGCTTGTCCCTTGTTCCATGTGTTAAACAGTCAATACTCTCTGGGGATGGACTTCACTTTTAATCATTTTGGTAGGAATTCTAGAGCATGGAAATGTCCTAATTTCCTATTGCTGCATCAGCATAATGAGTCCGATTTAGGTCCTATGGGAGAATAACAACACTTAGCACTTATACACCACACTTTTCATCTTCAGGGTCTTTAACCACTTTAGGCTGTAATGTTATGTTTCTCTTAGCAGGACAAAGGAGTTCATTTCTAGTCCCTTCAATTACCCGTCCTTCCTTACACACACACACATACACACACACACACACACACAGTTATTATATGATAAATCTATTTCCCATCTCCTAGATGTGTATTATGCAATTTCTTTTTTAAGTCATTAAACATAAAAGGAAAATTCACACACCTCTTTTTTTCTTTTTCTGTTTTTAAAAATATTTTTGTTTTTCTTTCCTCTAACATGGAACACAAAATCAACATGCCAGTTGTCCATTCAACATGTCTGCTAGGGCTGGGCTTCCCTACTTGATTTCATTCTTCATACCTCATGGTCTCCTGCGTCGTCTCTGACCACGGAGGGGAGTGCAATCCTCTGTGTCAGAGAATTCTGGAAGATTCCGCCCAGCTCATGCTCAGACCTCTCTACTTCATCTCTATTCACTTCTGGCTCAGGTGACTCCACCCAATCTCAAGTACATAAACACCGTTTCTACATTAGTGACTCCCAAATCTGCATCTCCAGGCTGGTCTTCTCCCTTGAATTCCAAACCTATATATCCATCTGCTGGTCCAGCATCTCCACTTAGCAAATCTAAAAAGAAACCCCCAATTTTCCCCTTAAACCCACTCCTCCCACAGGCAATCCCATCCTTCCAGTTGCTCAAGCCAAATACCCGGGTTCATCCTTGGTTTTGCTGCTTCTATTACTTCCCAATCTAAACCATCAGCAAATCCTGTTGGCTCTCTCTTCAAAATGTATCCAGAATCTATCCACTGCCTCCATCTCCACCTTGAGCCAACCTGCTATCATCTCTAATCTAAATTCTTTCAATACCGTCTCAACTGGTCTCTCTCTCAGCCACTGCTCTTCGATAGTTTGCTTTCAACTCAGCAGCCAAAGTGATCTTCCTAAGATGTAAGTCAAATCCTCTCACTTTTCTGCTCAAAACTGTCCTGGCTGGGCACAGTGGCTCACGCCGGTAATCCCAGCACTTTGGGAGGCTGAGGCGGGCAGATCACTTGAGTCCAGGAGTTTGAGACCGGCCTGGGCAACACGGTGAAACCCCATCATTACAAAAAATATGAAAAATGAGCCGGGCATGGTGGTGGGTACCTGTAGTCCCAGCTACTTGGGAGGCTGAGGTGGGAGGATCAACTGAGCCCAAGAGGTCGAGGCTGCAGTGAGCTGAGATTGCACCACTGCGCTCCAGCCTGGGCAACAGAGTAAGAACCTGTCTCAAAAAAAGCCCAAAAAATTGTCCTATAGTTTCCCATCTCACTCAGTTGAAGCCAAAGCCCCTTTACAAGGCCTCCCAGGATCTGCCCTCCCAGACCCGGATCTCTAGCCTTATTACACCCGCCTTGGGTCTCTTTGTAATTCCTCCAACACACAGAGCACCCTCCAGCCTCAGGCCTTTGCACTTATGTGCTTTCAGCTTGAAACATTCTTCTCCCCAGTACGTACCTGGTTCAGACCTCCTCCCACTTTGGGTCTCTGCTTGCACATCTACTAACCATCAATGCCTGCCTGACCACCCGCAGCATGCCCTGTGCCCCTTCCCTGCTATTCCTTTCTCCATCACACTTATCACCATCTGACATGTTATAGATTTTTTTTTCACATATTTATTGTTTCTCTTGCCCCCTAGAGGTAAACTACCTGAAGGCAGGTATTTTTGTTTGTTTTTTATCATCTTTATTCAGTGGTATATTCAACAATGCCTTGGACAGTGCCTGCCATGTGGTGGGCACTTGAAAATGTTTCTTGAATGAAAAATGATGAACAAAATTTCTTATATATTTCAGGATATGAACTAGTCTGAGTTCTAAGCCATTGGCAAGTTGACATTTATGATACCTGATAGTGAATTACAACATGCTTTTCTAAGGGGAAACAATTCTCTTATTAAAGATTTATGAGGTTATAAGCTTCTATTAATATGGAAATTGAGGCTATTATGGAACGTGTTGTCTGCTATGTATAGTATTAATACAGATAATGAGGGCTTTCTCCAGTGGACATAACCTGCTTACAGCCTGCGCTGATTCTATATACACATTGGGATGCTTCTGGAAAAGGATGCTGGGATTAGAGACAGAGTCTGTACAACAGACTTTTCCCCAATGGACAGCCACATGGGTCAAGTAAGGATCAATTCTCTATTTGCTCTTTAACAGAATTTTCTAGACCAACTGCAGCTAGAAGTTTTAAAGGTGGTGTGCAGAACCAGTCCAATCTTTCCAATATTTTTTGTGTAAGACACATAGAAAGTTCAAGCAAGAACTTTCTTTAGCCAAATTCTCCAGATAAATTAATCCATCTTCCACTTTACTAAAACCTAATGAGGGAACCAATGCAAGTCTAAAGACTCAGAGGAAAAGAAATCAGAAGACAACTAGAGATGTAGAATTAAAAAGAAATAATTGTCAGAATGTAGACCAAAAGGAAAAAGAAAAGAATACTAAAAAATGATAAGATAGGCACTGAATAAGAACCTGTGTTTCTGCTTTTTAAGCAGGGAAAGAAGAGCTGGGGTGGCAGGATGCCAAGGATGTTGACAGCTGGAAAAACCTGGTCAAAGGGGTAGGTAAAAGAATATTGTCAGGCGGGGGAGCATTATTCCTACTCCTCATTTCCCTGCCCTGTGACTTCCAAAGAAATGCCAGAGCCAAAGCCACCAACACAGCCGTCTTTGCTGCCAGAGGAGTCATTGTGGTTTAGCCCTCAAGACAATGCCCTCTCGTGTAACCATGGCCACCTGAGGCTGGATTTGGCCCCTCTGGTTTGAATGAGGCAAAGGAAGAAGAAGCCTCAACAGCCTGAATATTGTCCAGCTTCCCATGCGTGCAAGTGAGGCTGAGGCATGAGACGGCGGTGTCCTGAGATGCTGGCCCTAGACCATGGGGAGGCTGGCCGTTCCCCACCCACACACCTATCATGAAAGCATCACATGGCTATGAGCAACACTTAAAAGAGAGAAAATAACATGTTTCTACAGCTGCAATAGTTCCTTTTCTTACTTTGGTTGCTTAATTATTTTAATTTTTAAAATTTAATTATCTATACTCTTTTTCAACCCACAAGAAATTTAAAGCAACTCACGAAACATGTATAGCATGACAATGTTTTTTAAATTAAAAATCAGAACCAGAGAAAATATAAACTAGAACTGAAAGTCTGGTCTAGGGAGGAAGTAAAATATGCTCGTCACAATGTTCGAAAAGGTTTTCAAAGTTTAGCAGTAAACTTGGCTTTGTGTTAACCTGGCAGTCAAAGCGAAAAGAGAAACAGAACCAGTTACATGATTCTCATGTCCATAAGGAGAAAAATATTTCAGTTCCTCAGGGGAAGCAAACCATTTCCTGGAATTCAGATCTGCAAGAATTTCCTCACACAGGGCTTCATATAAGAAATCATGAATAATGCAATGGAGAATATCTAAAACCACACCCCGACCACGGGCTTCACGAAACTGTTCTTGGAAAAATGTCTTTAGTAAAATCAAGGGCACACACTTGAGGTAAAACCATTCTATCAGAAATGAAGACAATATGGATGAAATACACATCTTTCTTATAGTTCAGTTTAAGAAGCCAGCTTTGACTATCTTGAGGAATGAATGAACTTAATTCCTTAGTCTTCTACATACACATGTCTATCAAAAAAAAAATTTATTACTCAACCAAAGGAAGTTGACTAGATGATGAGAATTTCTTCCTCTCTTGCATGCTATTTTTATGGTTTTAAATATATATACATATACATTTCTATTGCAACAAAATATAGAATGCATGTCTTTTATTTTTATTAAGTTAATTTTTTAAAGTGCTCAGAACCTTATTATTTGGCTGGCAAATAATAGTTGCTATGTAAGTGCTTGTTTAAAAAAGAAAAAAGGCACTTCATATCCTTTGAGGGGGAGTGGAGGAGAGAGTCAAGCATGCATGATAAATTAATTATAAATAAGTAAAACGAGTTGACTGAGATTTTGTACCCCTCTTGTAAGCATCACTTATTTTCATGGTTTCTCCTGAAGCCATACAGGCTAAATACAAGCCCTTGACTATTATGACATGAGAATGTGACAGGAAAAATCTGGTGGAGGGGGGATTATTATAATTTCACATAGACAAGGACTAAAAGGCTTTGAAACACTTAGAGAAATATCAGAACCTTTTAAAATTTCTTTTCCGGATGGAACAGCTGGACTTCAGAATTCATTACTACCTAACTGGTCTTTCCTTTCAATCACCTTTCACATTTTGAATTTCTGTTCACAGACTGTATCTAATTTGTTTCTTAATACAATGTGGGCATTCAATAATGCTGTATAATAACAATGAACAAAATACCAAAAAGCATCCTCATCACATTGACTTGTGACCACCATCTCCTTTCATTATTCTTGTAAAGTGATTTTAAATTTCAGCACATTCCCATAAACACCGAATATATTCTTAAGGGTTTCACAAAATGATTTTCCTACATTTTTAAGAACAAATGATTCACAGTTGTACTCAACTTATTTGTCTCAGCAACAACAGATGTTCAATACTAGAACAAGGTAATATGACCAGGAAATAATTATGAATTTGGTGCAGAATGACTGGAAAGATTATCGAAAACAGACAGTTACAACATGGGCCAAAGTCTGATGAAATCCCCTCTTCTACCATGAAGATTACTCGCCTGTTCTCTCACCCATTGGCTCTATTCTTCTGCACTCACTGCTCACAAAAGGTTTGCTATTAAATACTTAGCAAAGTAAAACAGCTGATTGAGAATAGAAAAAATCTGTAAGTTTGACTAAATTTTTGATTTATCTAGCTTTGAATTCTGCCATAATCAAGGAGTAATCTTTTAAAAAAAATTAGACAAATACTCACAAATGGCTAAAATACTTCAAGGCCACATCAACACAATCTGCAGTGCAGTGCCACCTAGTTTCCTCGTGGAAGTTTCTAGCAGGACACCTCTCAAGGCGGCCATCCAAGCAAACCTACCCGCTTGCTGCTCTCCTCTTCCTGAGCCTTCCTGAACTCGTGCTCCAGGGAGCAGTCCAGCTCGCTGAAGAGGCCCACCTCCTCGCAGTTCTTCAGGAATCTCGTTGGGGTCGGAGTTTGATCTGAAAACAGAGTCGGAGAGCTCATAAATGGGTCTTTTTTCTCAAAAGCCAGTAGCAAGCATGAGCTAGATTCACTAATCCCCTCCCCTTGCCTTAATTAAAATGTCCACTAGCCATCCAGTCTCTTGGCCCTTTAAATAACATAACGATATGCAAGAAAATAAAACCGTAAATTCCGAAGCAGGAATACAGTAGACAGAAGGCTGTAGTCTGCGAGGGCTTTTGCTGAACTCCCTCCAGACAACTTCAGGAGATCTCACTCTCCACTTGTCTGAAGTCTGTACCATTTGAATACACATTGAAACATGTGGAATGACCCTTTTTCTTTCTATATTTATTTTGAACTTTAAAAAGAAAATGATTTTGCTAAAATAAGGCCAAAAAAAAATCTGACCCAATGTTAAGCCTGACTTCAGGGGGCTGGAAAGAAAAAGGATTTTGCAAATTCTTATAGTAAACAAAAAGAAACAAACAAGCATGTTAATTCATTTTTCTTAATGGAGAAAGAAAACTTAACAATTCTGTCTCTCTTTCTGAAAATCATAGAAGGATGATAAAAAGTTCCAAGTCAAACACATTCAGCTTTCATCCTTTAAAAATGTCATTATTAATTTTATTTTCCTTTGCTATAGCCAAAAAAAGAATGTTCTGCAAATGCTCTTTAAAAGGAAAAGAATTTCTTTCATATTTTTTACTTTCTACAGAGCTTTCTACTTATAAAACTGATGGAGCTGAAGCCACTATTTGTAGCTTAATATATATGCAGCATTTGCAGTTTATAAAGTATTTTCATACAATTCTTGAGAATCTAGATCTCACAAGATTCCATTAAATAGAAGGTAAGTAGAGTAGAATTGCACTTCCATCGTCATTGAGTGCAATCATCTTCCTTGGTGAAGGTGTACTTGAGTTGAGACAAATAAAATTGTGTAAATGGTCTTTTCTCAGAAACAGGAGATATTAGAAGCAGAAAGGACCACGGAAGAAAGCCTAGCCATGCTAAATTTTTGCAGATCAGAAAAACAGAGGCCCAGAGTAATTAACAGTCTTGCTTAAGGTCTCCCAGATAAATGGTAGAGACAACAGGATTATAACCAAGGCCTCAATGCTATTTCCACTGTGTACATGTATTATTCCCACCTAACCCTGTAGTAGACTGGATTAGATTAATTATGGCATTTTCCCAGCTTGATCTAGACTGTCTCAAAATCTCTGCATAGTTCTCTAAGCCATTAACCAGTCAACTGAAGAGGTGCCCTCAAGTTGAAACAAATTTGCCATTCCTGCATTCTCTTTATAAATTCCTATATTATAAGAAACTAGAATTATATTTACTTTTCTAAATCATACAGAGAATAGTTAAGCCCAGTAAATCAGTAAATTGTCTGATTCAAAGAATATCTTAATACCCATGAAGCAGAAAATGGTGTAATATCCCCCACCGAATCAGCCCTTTAGAGGCAATGTCTCTTGATTCCCTCTGGGCAAGCAACTTTCAGCACCCAAATGGCTGACTTGGATTCCATGCAGCAAAATCCCCATCTGCATTTTTTCCCATTCTTGACCTAATCTCCAAGATACTGAGCTCCTTGCATTTCACAGAGAGCATACCACAGCTGTTCGTAAATTCGGCATTACAGATAAGGGATGTGTGAAAGAGTGGGTTTTGTTGAATATTGTTTTATTAGCAACTAATTTATTTATTAAGAGGCACACATATACACCTAGGTCCCTAATATACACATATAACTATTGTGTGTTTATAGAAGACAAAATTAATATTTATGCAGGATTTTGCAATTAACATTTTCACTCATATTGTCTAGAATCTAGATCTCGCATGATTCTATGAGGTAACAAGAGTCGATACTATTTTATAAATGAAGAAACGAGCTTCCTTGCACAAGGTTACACAATTTGTAACCATCTTATCACTACTAAGTCCTCTCTTACCTTCAGACACTATCCCTTTTTGATCTAAATTCAATGCTTTGCCCTCCCTGATCCAAAGGGCTCTGTTGTGTGTGTAGAAAACAATTTCAACAACCCAGAAATCTAGATTTGAGAATACTGTAATATGGGGGAATTTACCTACATTCTCTGGACTTCATATTCCTCATCTTTCAAAAAAATTTCTAAAGTTGTATGATCCTATAAATCCTAAAATCACCACCATAATGGGTTAGCTTTAAAAAGTCACTGTTCATAGCCCGAAGAAATATGTGACTAAAGGACAGTCAAATGGGAACATAAGTAACAGCTGGAAGTTTGATACTAACAGGTCAGAGGCAAGGGCTGGCTATATAGATAAAGGAGTTTTCTGAATAGAAAGTGTATGGACAAGATCTGAGAGTGAAAGTAAAAGGGTGTATGTGCGTGTGTGCGTGCGTGTGTGCATGTGTGTGTGTGTGCGTGTGTGTGCACGTGCATGAGCACATATTCTGCTAAGTGCTTTGCATACAGCATCTCATTAGTTTTTACACCAACCATATTATGTAAAAATTATTTTTCCTGGTTTACATATGAAGAAACTGAGACCTGCCCCAGGCCTGATAATGTGACTGATGGGGTAATTCCTAATTCATAAGGCCAAGTTTGTAGCACTCTGCTGGATCGATCCACAAGTAGTCTCAGCAAGGCAAGTATCCTGTACCAACCAATTTACAGAGGTAGTGATTCCATGAAAAGACACTCCTTTTTTTCAGCAAACCAACTCACCAAGGGAACCAGATACTGAAATATGACAAACGTTGCAAAGGAGGTTTTTTTAAACTCCTTTTGGTGCCAATCTTTCTTGTCAAAGAAATCCCCAAGGATATGCAAGACAGTGAGAGGAGTGGGTAACAGTTCCTACTCGCACTTGCCCTGGTGCTTAGGTCTCCTGGGAACCTGGTGTGCTATTTGCAAACTCTCTGGAGAGGGTAACACACGGGTGTTTATGCAGCGCCACTTCAGATTTACAAAAGCAGTAACAACAAAAAAAACTTTCAACTCTCAAACTCAAAAGTTACTTGTTTTTAGTTTGGTTTGAGATGGGTTTATTCCCTTCTCTCATTCAGAGGGTCCTCACTGTAGTTGAAGCACTAAAAGAACAGTGAGTGGAAGGCCTGAAACAATCGTCTTGGCTTTAAGTTCTTATTGAAACCAGCTCCTGTAAACCCCCCAAGGGCCTCCTATCAATACTCAATGAGCACACCTTAGATATTATGCACCAATGGAGCATCCGCCATTATTATTCAGGATCTAGAAATCACTGGGGCTGGAGCTGACTGGTGCCTGTTCTTGGCTCTAAATAAGGTGTGATTTACAAGAATTTTAATTTATGGCCATGGAGATTGCACACCATCTTCAGGTCTAATTTCAGCAGAAATAGTTATTTGACAAGGCATTCGTGTGTTGATAGATTTAGCTGTCCCCTTTTTTTAACATCTGCACATTTTCTGGCTTACTTGGAACTGGTACCGTGTGAGATCAAAGATAACTAGAGACCTTGTATTAATTCTCATAAATGTTAAAACAAAAGTTAAGCCCCATTTTCTGGTTCTTGTTGTAACTGGAAAGAATAGCTCACTCACAAAAAGAAAATGAATTTAAAATTTGGGACAGTGTGCCTTATCTATTCCAAATGTGGGTATCGACTTTGCTTTTCTCTAACTATATCCTACAGCAAAGAAAATCACATTTGGTAACAGCCCTGGGACCTTTTTCTGGTCCTTCTGCTCTGGGGGTGGGAGGGAAGCAGTTGTCTTTGCAGTCTGTGGCTCCCCTGGCCCCGGAGCTTTCATTTCTCCATGGCTGAAGAGGCTGGTGATGCTGGACTGTGTCAATCCCATGCCTATGCCATCCTCCCGCAACCTCCTTTGTTCATGTGTGTAGGTGTGTGCTGGTATCTGGGAACAATCTTTTTTAAGAGCAGACAGAAAACATCGCTCAACGTGCTTGGGGCTTGGGCTCTCACATGCCAGCCTGAATTCAATTTCATGGACCATCTCATGACCTCATCTCAGAGTTCAGGAGTCTGAGAGAGGCTGCTAGGATGACTGTTCTCTTTACCTCTCTATGAATCATGGCCCTCAATTTCTAAATCTCAAGCAAAGAAGCATAAAGGGATAAAAGGAAGATTAAAAACTGGCAAACTCAATTCCCACTGATGATGGGTAGTCTAATATTTCTGTTATCTTATGTGATTTTTCTCAGGTATTTTAATTGCAAAACTGTTCCTTTAAGATAGGAGAGAGTCAGTAGGATTGTAATGCAGTTCTATTGGTGAGGGATATGAATGATTCCAAAATATTTCAAAAGAACCGAAAGTTGTTAGGATTATCAATTACCAATCAAATTATATGACACAATTTCCAAATCATGGAATCACTGCCTCTGTAAATTGGTAGGTACAGGATACTTGCCTTGCTGAGACTACTTGTGGATCGATCCAGCAGATTGCTACAAACTTGGCCTTACGAATTAGGAATTACCCAATCAGTCACATTATCAGCTGGGCAGACAAGCATACGGCTCAATGCATATGCGACTCTTAGCGCTTCCTATCAGTTCATAGTCTGCCTAGCATCAAGAGCTTCAGCCCAGCAAGTGCAATTATTCCAAAGTAAAACTAAATGACAAGAAAAATGCTAAATTCTGAAATCTGATTCTTCTTTTAAAAAGCATTTAGTCTGCTCTACATTTAATAATTGATTGCTACCTTACTCCCTTTCAGAGCTGCATTTGTATTATGTGTTTTTCTGTTTCATTTTCCTCAATGGTTAAAAAAGTCAAAGTGACAAATCACCAATTTAAAAAAGAAAAGAAGGGAAAATGCAGGGGTCCCATCACATACCAGAAAATAATATTAACTTCCTAAGCAAAATTTTCTTTCCTATTGGTCTGATATTCTCAACTATGGTATTACTAAAGGACTGTGAAAATAATGTTACATCATATGGCATGAAACTGATAGTGGCTAGAAATACTATAAAAAGCCTCATTAGTTACAATAAAGGTTAGTCTGAATTAGCGGCCAGTCTAATTACAGGATATTCTTTAAAGGCAATGCATTTTTATTATTTGCATGACTCAGATTCAACCAAACAAAAAGGTGGCCTAATAGGATTCCTCAAGAGGGCTATTCAAATCAGTGGAGAAAAATATTGGAATTAGTATATCTATTTTAGTAAGAGTTAGAGTTATCTAAAAAGGTATTTTTCTTAGGTACTTTTCATATTTTTTTTTGGTTACATTTATCTCATAAATATTTCAGCAAATGCTTTCTTTAAAATATTCCAACTTAGTCCCTATCTAAATTTTAATAGAGCCCTAATTTAAGAAAATTTACATTAAATGAATTTTAATACACATAATCATTTGTAAGATCGATAATCAATCACAACACACAGAATTCCATGGAATTTTAGACTTCTTTGCAACAAATGTGCCTTTTATTGAGTGTGAATATATAATAGGAGTCTCTCAGTAACACTGATGTTACTGTTTCCCTGCATCTGTCCTGAAAGGCAGTGCTACAATGGGACAAACCAAGGCAGACCTGGTTTTTAAGCAACAGACATGGAATGCTTAAAAACCATCCTGGCCAGGGTGATCCAGGTCAGTGGGGAGATGGAACACCCTCTTACACTCTTGACTCATATACTGGGATCCATTCATTGCCAAGATAGACAACTGTGGGACTAGATGCTCTTCCAAGTGCCTGTGAGTCCATTAGACAATGCTCTGACAAAGGTGTCTCTTACAACGCATGCTCAACTAGCTCCAAAAGACATAGTTTTAAAGTAACCAATTATATATTCCACACCTACTCACGATCAACCATGAGCTACCCCAAGTGTTCCAACTGCAATCAAGCCACAATTTCAATTTGCATTACTGAGGCTAAGCTAGTAAGAAGGGTTATTAACACCAAGAGATCAAGTCTCTGCTGGCCGAGTGAGCTAGGGGACCCAAGGTGATTTTATTATCAAAAATTGCCCTGAATAGCAGAAGCTAATGCTTAACTTTCCACTGAGTCCCTGATTGCCTGAGTTCTCCTATACTCTTAGTCAAAGGGGACTGGTTTCCAGACAGAACGAAGACAGCAAGCAAGCTTTTCATATAAAAAAGAATACTGCAGAGCAAGGCCTCCAAAGGATTCAGGGGAATTATTCAAAATTCCATTTTGCTTGACCAGCTAAGAATACGGACGAGAAACGGACAACTCCTATAAATGCCAGTAACACTTACATTCTATTTGTCACAATGGATGAGACAATCTGATTTTAAACCACAACTCTTTGTTCTTTTCAATGCTTATGTGTTAGAAGAATCTCCTAAAAACTTTTGATTATTTTCTCCATTGGATGACTATTAAAGAGATACCAATAATATAAGAAAAAGTAGTTCAGAGATTTATATCCAAACATACAACTGAGACCAAAATGTGTTCTTAGTATGTACAGCTCACACATCTAGGTGTATGGTAGGAAAATTACAGACATATATGGACTTTGAGCAAACTACTTATTCCTTTGATCTTATTTCCTCATATGAAAAAAAAAGTGGTAAGGATTAAATGACCTAATGTATGTAAAGCACAGGGCGCAATGACTGGTATAAGGGAAGGCAGTAAATGGTAGCTAGTATTATTACCATGCTGCCCTCTGGTGCAAGCCATCTCCCCCACCCTCTGCTCCATAAAGATCCAATTAATACACACGGTGGGAAGTTACTATATACCTTTACTATCAATGGAATTGCCAAGAAGAAGAGGTAAGTATGGGTCACGTGTGTGTGTGCGTGTGATTTATTTACTCAGTTTTTACAATACCCTAACTCGTTCTAAAAAAGAATTTGGAGTGAGATACGCCATCTTCCCTCCAGCTTCCCCCTTAAAATGCCCAGGGATTATTAAGTAGACTCTTCTAGCAAAGAACCATGAGCAATGGATCTCAGTTCTGTGATTGGATGATCATGATTAGCCTCTTGAGGACAAATGTTTTACTTCCCTGAATTACTTTCTTGCCTTCTCCATGGTGAGAATCAGGTTTAGAGCCTGGAACTAGAGATGGGCCCTGATTATAGACCTAATCCAGGGACACAGTTGGGTTCTGAAGGACTATATTGTCATTTATGTTAGATGCTTTCTATCAAATGGTGAGTGCTGAGAATCTGATGAATAAAGGAAGACGGGATAAAGAAGCCAGTCTTTCCTGCCTCTCTTCAGCGTCAGCTCAAGATATAGTCAGCTGTGCCACACGTGGGCTTGTGGTCTTACCCACATCCAGTCCCACCACATCCAGCGGTCAGGGAGAAAGGACACCTGAGCATAAAGTACCCAGAGGCCTTTCCTGACCCCGCTTCCTGCTGGCCACTTGCCATCACAGTCATGTTTTATCTTCATCATAGCACTTGTCACTAACTGATACTTATTTACTTATCTGGGTTTTTTGTTGTTATTTATTATCTCCCTTCCTCTGCACCCCACTTGAGTAGTAAGTTTCATGAAAAAAGAGACCTCACCTGTCTTGTTCAACGCAGCAATTAACACTTATTGTAGGCACTCAGTGAGTGTTTGCTGAATGAATGAATCACATGGCTGTAGAAGGGCAACTTCAGCCCCTTTTCCTACACCTTGACTGGTGCCTGCCCTAACTTCCATCCAAGCACAGACCAGTTGCCTATAGCATTAGCTGGGCCATGACGTCAGCAGGTAGGCTACCAAGGCATTTGAAAGACACACAGTTGGCCGGGTGCTGTGGCTCACGCCTGTAATCCCAGCACTTTGGGAGGCCAAGCGGGGCAGATCACCTGAGGTTGAGAGTTCGAGACCAGCCTGACATACATCAAGAAACCCCATTTCTACTAAAAATGCAAAATTAGCCGAGTGTGGTGGTGCACGCCTGTAATCCCAGCTAGTCAGGAGGCTGAGGCAGGAAAATCACTTGAACCCGGGAAGCAGAGGTTGCAGTGAACTGAGATAGCGCCATTGCACTCCAGCCTGGGCAACGAGAGCGAAACTCCATCTCAAAACAAAACAAAAAGACACACGGTTCTGTGTGTCTTTCTTATCTTTCTTAGGCTTCCCACATGAGATGTCAATTGGGTTTTACCTTGCGGGAAAGATCCACAACACTCTTGAACTTTATCTTCCCCTCTCCCTCCAGGCAACACAATCTATCATCTATTAGGTCACACACACACACGTGTGAGCACATGAGAGGACACATGTGCACACACAGCCCTACCTTGGAGGGCTGTCTCAACCTCTCTCCACAGTAAAGACTGAACTTGCTGGTATCAAGATTTACAGTGGAGATGGAGAAAAAGTCATGTGCTCCATTTGAATTTTTGTTTTAATAGGAATTCTCATTTGGAATATTACTTGTCTGTTCAGCTATAAATAAGGTTGCACTTTGATTCTGATTCTGGGTCTTTTTTTTTTTTTTTTTTCCTGCACAGAACCCAGGAACCCTATAAAGAACTCAGGGTGGGGATATTTAACAAGACAAGATTTGGAAATTCCTAGGTTCCTACCCGTACTACCATGGAAATAGACTCAAACACCACCCTCTTTACCGCTCTGCTGAAATTTGATCATGATTTTCAAACCAAACGTTGCATCATATAATAGCTTGTAATTTTGAAAGCTGCCTATGGATGTGCATTGTCCTCTACACATTCCCACTTCAAACTTGGCACTCAAAAACCTTCTGCATCACAACTTCCCTTACTATGAAATTATCCTTTTTCACAATGAGAACAGCTGAAGAGAGTGATTCACATCTATCATCACATTAGGGCTCTAGAAATGCATCACGTGGACCAAATAAAGATGAGAAGACCCAGGCGAAGGGTTGTGCAAGTCTTTGCTCTCAAAATCCAACACTGTCATCTCCATTTGTGTCTCTACTCTGTCCCTTTGAATAAGGGGTCTATGTTTACTGTCTACCCAGAAGATAGGGCTTATTCTAATAAAACACGAGGACTGTCACTTTTAATACCCTACCTGGTGGCATGTCAAAAATCGTTTACAATCACTTTTTGGGAGTGACTCTACCTGTCCTAAATGAAATGAACCTTATGACAAAGCTATGAAATTATTTCTGATCTTTCAACCCGTTGGAAACTTAGAGTATATCTGTGACATCTTAACACCTTCCCCAACTACAATATTTACAACTAATTAAGGATAAAGTGATTTTCCAAAATTTTCCAAAATAAAGGTTAACCAGATATTCTGAAGTTTGTCATACAAATATCTATTATATTTTATCTTCTTAAAATATGATGAGCCTCAACTCATCTGAAATAAAATGTGTAATTGAATATTGCTTGAAAAAGTAGTCTAGGAGGAACTTGAAGATTTTTACCCTGATATTTTGATTTACATTATTTTTATTATTGTTGCTACTATATTACAAGTCATATAAAATCATTCATCTTCATGATAGGCCACAAAATATGATAAGGTAAATAAAATTTTAATGAGCATGTTTGTTTGTTTTCCAGGACCAGAAGGCTTTAGTGTGAGTTCTAGCAATCTTTTAAGAAAAAAAAGTATTATAATATCACATAAACATGTAAAATAAGAGAACTAATTCTAAAACTCATAAGATACTAAAACTCATCATGGACAGTATGACAAAATACAAATACAAACTAATTTGGCCTACAAACATAGTTTTAATAAAAGTATTCTCTGAAGCTTTTGATAAATTGAATTTAAATAAATCAAGCAACAGTCAAGTAAAATCTTGTCATATATGCAATCATAATCCAATATGCCACAATTAGCCTTATGGAAAATAAGGCTTGAGAAAAATAAACACTGAAGGATTTCCTGGAGAAAAAATTAAAAAATAACAAAGTAAAAATACCCAACACAATAGCCTATTATAATTCAGGATGGACAATGTTGGTATATTACACAGAGTTCTCTAAGTGCAAAGAAATTGAACCAGACTGTATAGCTCTGCATTCCCTTCCAGTAAGAAAATTCTATGAACCTAAGAACATGCAAAGTAGGTAGCAAGTTTTAAAATTTAGCACTTCATTTCATTAGGAGTATTAAATGGCCTCACACCAACCTCAACACCAACCTCAACATAAACCATGAGAAAGCAAAAGAAAATATGTCAATATAATACTCATACTGTTTTTCTCTTCATTTTCTCATTCCAAATTTGACATAATAAAAATTAGAATTACTTTTCCCCAAATAATATTCCACCTGGCACTGCCAGTGATTGGCAGGGACAGCCTCAAATTAATAAGGATCCGGTAAGAACAATTGCAAAGCTGCAAGAGATTAACCCAAAAAACCTGCTTTAGGCACTATATAGAAGAATGCTTCGTTTCAGTGTTCACACATCTTCAGCTGCTCTTTTTCAGACCTTCAGATGGGGCTCCTTAGAGGACCATCCTGGCAGCCTGCCTGAAAGGCTGCTCTGTCTGGTACTTACACTGTAGTAGTAATCTCCCTACATAATCATCATTCCCTAAACTCACCTCCCACTCCTTTACCACCAGGCAGCTTATTTGAGGGATCCAATTTGGGAAAAATAAAGGGAGAACTTTTGAATTTAAATATTGGGAATTGCAGAATCTACAGCCTTGCTACTTGTGTATCTATGCTCACTGATGAACCATTAAGTTATACTACATTGACTCTATAGAACATAACGGATACAAAACAAAAGAATAGGCCATCCTTCCTAATCCTTCTAGGCTGTTATAATTCTTATGAATTTGAGTTTCTCCATCTCTGTTTGTAGACTTAAAAGGAGACCAAACAATTTTTAAAGAGCAAGCTCATAAAAAAAAAAAAACAATAACAAACAGAGGCTGAGAGGTGGCGAGTGGTGGGTGAAGAGAAGGGCAGATGCTGCCTTTGAACTCGGTGTCTTCCAAGCCAGAGCACATTGGCACTATCAACAAGTCACTGGATGTGTGGGTGGCTCCGACACCGGGAGTATTGGGAGAATCTGACCGTGTCTATAAAGTGGCAAAGTCTGATGATGCAGTAGCCGTGTGCAGGTTAGTGGGTTAGGACTGCAGGATCAAGGGCCCTCATCTTTTCCCTGTGTTCTGAGCCTGGGACAGAAGCTCCATCACCTGTGCCCTTCCTCCCCTGTCAATAACAATGGGTTACAATAACCTGTCTGACAAAACCCTTAGAGGATTATTGATAACAGTGATAGCCTGCACATGTTTCCCAGAACTTAAAATAAAATTAGTAAAAAAGAATTTAAAATATTGTAATAATAAAGCACTTTTAAAATTAAAGTAACATAGAAACACTAAATTACATGAGCCAGGCCTGGCAGGACAGTTTGTTTCTCTTCTAATACATTTAAAACATATCCATAGGTGTGCTAAGGAGAGAAGTGCTAAGGTGAAATATTTCTAGCCTAAGAAGAATAACAGGAAACTATTTGATTATCCTGTTAGGGTTTATGCAACACTTTTCCTTACATTCTTTCACTGAATCTCCATCATAAGCCTGTGAAACAGGCTTGGCAGACACAATCATTCCCATTTTTTGGGAAAAGAAACTGAAGCCCAAAAAGGTTCAATAAGTACTCAAGGTCATGGCCAGGTAAGGCAAAGCCCAGGATAGAGTTCAGGTTCCTCACTCCTGTCCCTGCACTTTTTCTAATTTGCCGTACTACCTCTCAAAATTAGAATAAATCACAATTAGCTAATGGATTATTGGTATTATTTATTTCTGCTCACATTTGCTGAGCACTTGCTGTTTCCATACATTCTCTCATTTAATCTCCCACATATGAGGCAGATATTGTTTCCTAAGGACACCTTCACTGACCATCTCAATCCAGAAAGAGAGCTCATTCTACCAAAGTTGCATAGCACCTTTTCCTTAAAATACTCATCTGATGTATGTCATAGATGATCCTTTATTTTAGCTAAGTTTTCACATGCATGCTATATTGTGATATCCTTGAGGACAGGAAGAATATAAATCTTTGCATTTCCCATGGCTCACAGAACAGTGCAGCGTGCATAGATGCCCAATTCACATTTGTTGCTCGAGTGTGATTACAGGTATGTAATTTTTTTTTTTTTTGAGACGGAGTTTTGCTGTCACCCAGGCTGGAGTGCAGTGGCATGATCTCAGCTCACTGCAACCTCCCCCTCCCGGGTCCAAGCGATTCTCATGCCTCAGCCTCCCGTGTAGCTGGGATTGCAGGTGCATCCCACCATGCCCGGCTAATTTTTGTATTTTTTGTAGAGATGGGGTTTCACCATGTTGACCAGGTTGGTATCACTCGAACTCCTGACCTCAAGTGATCTGCCCACCTCAGCCTCCCAAACTGCTGGGATTACAGGTGTGAGCCATAGCGCCCAGCCAGGTATGTGATTTTTAAAACAACTTATATAGAGCCAAGTTGCATAGTAATACATATTTCATATCTAGAAAATGAGAAGTTGCCGCTCTTCAGTCACTTGGGTGAATATTACCTGATTATATTTCTGCTATACCTTAGAAATGTGTATTTTCAAGGTGCACAATTTACCAGTGGGACTCGCCTACCAAAAGAAGAACAAGTATCTCGCATGGAACAGATCTGATCACCCAAAGCTTCTTTTCCTGATGGCTCCTTACCTGATAACATATTGTCTGTTTTTATTGAAGGAAACTTCAAAGTCATTTCATGTTTGTGCCTATGAATCATCAGATGGTCCTCTGTTGGGAAGCGCTGTCGGACGAATAAAAAAAAAGGGAGGGGAGAAGAGGAGCCATTCAGTTTTAAAAAACATATTTACCATTATTGAGAAAAAGACTTATTTAGCATTGCAAACATGACAGGCAAAACAAAAAAAAAAAAACATTTCGAAAAAGTGTGAAAGCATGAGTAAGTGAAGTTGCAAAGCTTTTTTATGCAAGCAAATGTGCTGGGATGTTCCTTTAAATTACACCCAAATATATGCATTCTAATTTTCATTAAAGTTTACCAAAGGGGTTAACTACAATTGCAGAAAAATCTGGCTGAGTACTGATAATAAGCAGAAAATTTTTGCCTTCTATACCTTCCCTGGGAACTTTTTTTGAAAGCACTCTACTTCTTAGATAGTCCCTGGATATATCCAACTATGCTGATTAATCACTAAACTATATATTTCTTTAGGAGCTATGGGTTTGCACTTTAAACTTTGTATTTAAGGAATAAAACAGGAAGAAGTAAATGAACAATACTGAAGGTATTAAAATAACATATATATACAAAAAAATGAGCTGTGTCCTAATGCCTACCTAAGTAGGCAGCATTTTACAAAAAATAAGTGTTTAAATGAATGCTTATTTGTGGTCATGAAGAATAACTAATAATGGCAGCATGACGAGTTAAAATTTTTCCATTTCTTCTTATACATATGAGAAAACCATGTGCAAAACATGAAAGTGAATTTAGACCTCAGTAGCACTGGAATTTTGCAAAATCATTTGGAACTTTTCAAATGTAGTTAATGTTTTACACAACAGTGTAAAAGTTAAGTCTAAGGTATGATAAGTATGCTAGACATTATCTATGGATTAACCAAAAATAGGAGATATACATGATGAAAGAAGAGAATCGTGATTCAAGTCAGACTTTGGGAAAGAATTACATGCCATGCCTAATTATTTGACATATGTATCTACAAATGTAACTGTGAAATCTGTACAGTATATTTCCATTTATGAAGACCTTGCCCACCTATTATCTGATATTTTTAAATTACACATATGATTTTAGAGTAACATGACAAATTATTTTTAGTATTCTATGTTCTGTACAATGTAATAAACCAATGCTTATTTTTAATTTTCAGGGAATGATATTATGGTTATCAAAAATGCTGCTCCCAAATGTTTTTGGCTGTCTGACTTCTGGTCACATGGTGGGACTGAATTTTCTGGCTCTCTTGTGGTTGCATGAAGCCATGTGACTAGTTCTGCCCATTGAGTAATGAATGAAAGTGACATGTCACCCAGGGGCCAGCATCTAATTCCTGGTGTAAGACACTCTAGCATTCCCCCTTCCCCTTTGTTTTAACATGGCAACTAGCAATATTGGAAATAGTGGCTACCCAATCATCCTAAATCTCTGAGGCATTATGAAAAGCATTTCTGAATTCTAAAGGATTATGAAGAACTTCCTGCCAATCTACAATAGAAATGTATCCTTGGGGAATAGAAATAAGCCTTTGTTGCTCTAAGCCACTGAAGCTTTGGGGTAATTTGTTATTATAGCAGATCCTAGCCTATCCTGCCTCAGACTGGTATGTTTGTAGTAACTGAACTTAACAGAATATCCGCTTTATCAATGTCAAATGAAAATACAACAGAGGATGATATATTCTGCTGAACATTTCCAAATCTTCAACAATTTAGAAATCTTTCAGAGCTTTCTAATTCCTCAGGATAGTCAATATAAGTTTTAATTACCTTTGTTTACTAGGGTAGAAATGTTTTCTGCAAATGGCATGGATTTGTATTCATGAGAATGAAGGAATTCCCTGGGCTGAATTATACAAAATATTCTAAAAGTAGCTCTCTGAATAAATATCACTTATTTACTTGTCATTTGTATTATATAAATTGGAAAGCATTGGCTTTTGCAAAACATGGTAATTATGCCAGATTTCTGAATACACTGAAGTTTGCTTTATATGACATGATTTTTTGCTACTGGTTCATCCATTCTTTTGGTCTATAACACTGTGTAATGACTGCACCAAATACATAGCACTACCACGTGTGATTTAGAGACTGAGTTGCCTAGTCTTTCCGTCAAACAACTAATTATAATTTTTGTTTTATATGCGTATATAACACAAATATACTATAAAAATATTATATTTTATATATACACTATATTTTAAATATACTATATTTTATATATATATTTGTATATACAAAAATACACAACATGGTAATAGCCTTCATTTCATATCTATAAGCCATTTTTTGACTTTATAAAATAATAGCCTAAAGTAGGATATGAACCAGAATACTTCTTAAATAACAATTATTTCCATAATACCACATACTGACTATAATTACCTTCCAAGTGAGACAATAAAGGACATCGTGATTTTTTTTAATTCAGCAGGAACATAGCAGCAAATTGCAAATAACAAAAATATACAGTCTGCAATAGAGACAGAGCTGAGAAAGGCCACTGGAATTCAGAACGTGGTTCATTTAGAAGGCAAAGAGAGAGTGAAATTAACACTGAGCTCTGTGAGATTACAAAGGGCAAGAGAAACTCTTCCTTCTGAGACAAAGATAATGTCGAAGAAACGGTAACATAAAAAATCTCCCACGTGGCCACGGTGGCTCACGCCTGTAATCCCAGCACTTTGGGAAGCCGAGGCGGATGGATCACCTGAGGTCAGGAGTTCGAGACCAGCCTGGCCAACATGGCAAAACCCCATTTCTACTAAAAATAAATAAATTAGCCAGGCGTGGTGGCAAGTGCCTGTAATCCTAGCTACTCAGGAGGCTGAGGCAGGAGAATCGCTTGAACCTGGGAAGCAGAGGTTGCAGTCAGCCAAGGTCGTGCCATTGCACTCCAGCCTGGGCGACAAGAGTGCAACACCATCTCAAAACAAAACAAAACGAGACAAAAAACAAAAAAACCTCCCACGTATTATAGGCCATTCCTAACAGAGCTAAGTTTCTTTCCCATGAGGGAAAAGGAGAAAAAAATCATTTCTTCACCCCTAGCACAGTGCAAGCAGTGATAACTTATATTTATTCCCGTTTCCAATTCTCAGTCATCCTGTCTTCTCCATGCAGGTTCCCAGGCTGTAGGACATCCCTAAAGTAAACACCATGGCCACAACAATTGGCTTGACTGTGAGTTTCTAATAACCCAGGAGACCTTTGTGACTGCTGGGTGACTGCTACATTTTCTTAATTCTAACACCTCTTCCATTGAAAAATGCACATATTTTTATAACAGCTTGTCAAGGAAAAAATACACTTCCACATTAAATGAAGACATCGAGTTTTAGAAGCATCTTTACATTTAAATCTGAAGTGGGGGAAGCTTGGAATTGTTCCTTAAAATCAAGAAACTTTGTCAATCCCAATTTCCATGTCTGTCCAACCATTTCCTCAGTCCATTCAGCCTTCTCAAGGAAATGACCTGCTCCTTCACCAAGAAGTTCAAGGTCATTCAAAATGGACTCCCTTCAACCTTAATTAACCACCTCTACTTCAGCATTTTCAAGTCACTTCCTTGAATCTCTTTCCAACCCTTCCTTTCTCAGAGGAATTGGCACCCCCACTCCTCCCCAGGTTTGTCTACACCCTTTATCTTCTGGGGATTAGCCGTGTAAACCAGCATGCTCACCCCTTCTGTCTCACTGGTTTCTTGTTCTTGACAAACTCCAGCTCGGCTATCCTTTAATTTTTAAAAAAACTGTTTCCTTCTCAGGCTACCGTTATATCACTCCGCTTCCCGTCACTGCCTAGTGCTCTTGAAAGAGTTCTCTATGCTTGCCACCTCCGCTTCCTCACCACCCACTCACTCATTAATCCCTTGCAGTTTGGCCTCCGCCCCCGTTCCCCTCTCATAGGTTGCCGGCGAGCACCCAGCTGCCAAAGCCAACAGCCTCTGCCCAGGCCTCTAGCTGTCCCAGCTCTAGCGGTGCCTGACACCAGTGACCACACGTCTGTGGCATTCATTTCTTTCTACCCTGCCTGTTGCCAAAAAGAAGAAGGGTTTACAGCAATACATAAAATAGTTTGGGAGAACATAGA
Organism: Homo sapiens; assembly: GCF_000001405.40. Classification (NCBI taxonomy): domain Eukaryota; kingdom Metazoa; phylum Chordata; class Mammalia; order Primates; family Hominidae; genus Homo; species Homo sapiens. The sequence goes on along the minus strand of NC_000007.14, from coordinate 28,490,853 downwards.
TTAGAAGTAGATGATCCCCAAAGACAAGGGATCGAAAAGAAAGGAAGGCTAAAGCCAAAATGCAAATCAGAGGGTAGTCATTCTCAACCAGGGGCAATGTGGGCCCACAGGGGACATTTGGCAATGTCTGGAAACATTTTTGGTCATCACAAGTGGGGAATGCTTCTGGGATCTAGTGGGTAGAGGCCAGGGTTACTGCTAAACGTCGTACAACACACAGGACAGCTACCCAAGACACAGAATTATCCAGCCCCCAAATATTAACGGTGCCAAGCTTGGAAAATTCTGCCATACAGTCTAATGACTAATGTGCAGCTCTCTTCTCTCTGACTTACCTAAATATTAGATATGGCTTACAGCCCCTTCCTTGAAACACTCTCCTCTACTGTCCTACACAACCCTGGAGGTTGCTGGGAATCCTAACTCACCCTGAACCCTCTTTTGCCTTTGCTGGGTCTCTGGAGAGTCCCATTCCATTAAATGCCCCTTCCTTAGTGGAGACTGGCATTTACCTCCCCAAGTAAACTTAATCCCTGTATTATACTCTTCAAGGTGGCCTATGGCCTTCCTTCATGGAAAATTGCAATTGACTAATTAACTGATTTACTGATCATGTGATTATAGACTTGATTCCTAAACTAGAATCTCTGTGAGGACACGGACACATATGTCTTGTGATTACTGTTTCCCCAGAGCAATCAGATTGCCTGACACATAGTAGGCTCCCAAAAAGTGTGTTGAGAAATTTGAGTTGAATCAAACGTAATGTGACATTTTCACCACCAAAGCAAAGCAAACTGCTCAAATTATCTGATTCCCTTTGGCTATCAAGACTTCTCTTCAAAGAAGCTGAATGGGAATCAGCTCTACCTTAGGAATTAAGTTCTAATTTAGTTACTCTAGTAACTTAGTAGAGTGACATTCTGCATCCACAATGAAGAGTCCTGGTCTAGCAGGATTTTTACCAGTTACTTATCACTCTGTTTTTTTCCTAGTGTTTTCTACTTCAAAATCATCTCCAAACCAGTTTGCTTCAAAATAATTTTTGCACTGCTCTTCTTATTTATAAGTTGGAAATAAACATTGACACAAAGCCCCTGGTGAAACTTCTAGAACCTGAGCAAAGGACTCTGGTTGTTCAGTTAGTGGTTGATAACACCAGCAACAATGTCTTTTATTTCTATGGCCTCTTCCTTCCAAAAGGCTCCCAGAATCCTCCATAAACTCTCTAGGGAAGTTAATAAGAAGGGTCCGGCCGGGCGCGGTGGCTCACGCCTGTAATCCCAGCACTTTGGGAGGCCGAGGCAGGCGGATCATGAGGTCAGGAGATCGAGACCATACTGGCTAACAAGGTGAAACCCCGTCTCTACTAAAAATACACAAAAAATTACCCGGGCGTGGTGGCGGGCACCTCTAGTCCCAGCTACTTGGGAGGCTGAGGCAGGAGAATGGCATGAACCCGGGAGGCGGAGCTTGCAGTGAGCAGAGATCGCACCACTGCACTCCAGCCTGGGCGACAGAGCGAGACTCCGTCTCAAAAAAAAAAAAAAAAAAAAAGAAGGGTCCTCAATGAATCCTTCTTATCAAGCTCTCATCTGACTGCTAAGCATTGCTCCATGCTCTACTGCCAACCCCACCACATAAACAGGCAGGAGAGTGAGGGAAAGACTGTAACTCGCCACACCTGAAAGACCCCTGTGCTCTGGGTTCCAAACTTGTCCTATATCCCACAGAATGAAGATCTAGGCATGACAGCAACCACGTGTAGTTATTTTCCAATGACTAGAATGTGGAGACACCCAAAGGGTCAAGAGTAGAAAAAGTCACTGTCACCTTCCAAAGGTAAAGTGCAAAACTCTGATTTTAGGTGATGAATGTTTCTAATTTCTTTCAAAGAGATAGATTCCAATATAATAATAGTAGCAGCAGCAGCAGCAATAGTAGTAACAACAGTGGACAATAATTGAGCTCGTATTGTGTGCAGACCCTATGTTAAACACTCTACCAGCAGTATCTCTTCGAATTCCCACACTAATTCCACTTGATGGAAGCCATCAGAGGCTAAAAGAGATTTAATCCAACACAGCAGGACAATTTATCCTCTTAAAGTTCACATACGTAGGAAAACTGTAGACTCTAGAAGAGTTATAGGGAGTTTGGGGTTTTTTTACTCAAATTGGAAAACAAAACAAAATAAAATTTAACCTATGGTGTTAAGCTATTTCATCAGTAATCTCGAAGCCCAGCCAGTATATTCAAGTGGCTTTTGTAAAAGTAAGCACTCTCCTTCCCTCTTTCTGAAATGATGGCCCTGCATATTTGGTGGGCAGGATACACCTGGCTTGCTTCCAGGAGGAAGTAAAGGGCAGAAATGCCTAACACTGCTACCTTTCAGGGCATAAGAGGGAAGTATTTCAAACCATTCAAAACAGAATATAATGATGGCGATGAAAATGATGATGATCACGATACTGATGGGGAGGGGGACTTTGGTGGTGTCTTGGTAAAGAAGGAAAGCCCAGGGCAGGCATGATTGCCGGGTGAGAGTTGCTTCCCTTTCGGAAAGCAGGCCCTGCATGTCAGAGCAGGGAGGATCCGCACACTCACCTGGGAGCAGCCTGGGGCACTGCAGACAAACGGCCTCTCCTGCTCCAAATTCATCTTGGATTCCTCATAAATCTGAAGGATCAGAGGGAAAGGGAGGAAGGAAAAAGAAATCCATGAATATCTTCTGCTTCTACCTGAGCAACGTGAGAAAGGCAATCACTCAGAGCCCCCTTTCTATGCCAATACCAAAATTAGATGAGCAGAACATTAATGTGAGTGAGCACAGGCCCTGCTTGGCTGTAGTTCTTTGGGCTCACCTAGGCTGGGCTCCTACTGTCCTTTACTCGAGTGCATACTGACTGTACTTGGAAGAAAACTGCTATGGGGAGGTAGCAGCAGAAATCCTCCCTGTGGAAAACCACCTGGTGGGTGTTACTACCAGGAAAGACCACACCTATGCAAGAAGGTTCTCAGGCAAAGTGTACACCAACCCTTGTCCAGTCCTGCTGAAAGCTTTTGGGATTTGCTACTTAGGACAGCAAGAGGAATGGCAATCACTGGGTAACTGCCAGTATGAAAATGCTACCCCTGAGCAACAGGTGAAATGAGACACCCACAACCACCCCAGCAAGCTTCAGCATTCCCAAGGGACTACAAAGTAGCTGTGGCACCAGCTTAGCAAGTGATTCTGGTGGCGAACCGTGGTCCTCAATTCCCTCTTATCTCAGGCATTTGATATGCCTCAACAAAAGTTATCCAAGTACGCAGGAGTAAGTAGAAATCCAAAAATGCCAAAAACATAACGTTGGATATTTCATTAATTTGGCTTTATAAGCTGACTTGAAATTAACAGCAGATTAAGGTTGCTGCCCCTTGATCCAAATACATCATCTGGAATAAGGTAGCTTTCAGGAAAAAAACCTTATAATCAGACAGGCATGGTGGCTCATGCCTGTAATCCCAGCACTTTGGGATGCTGGGGCAGGAGGATCGCTAATGTTGGATCGATAATGTAATCTAATCTGAGGCGGTTGGATCACTAATGTAATCGGCACTGAAGTCAGCAGTTTGAGACCAGCCTGGCCATCATGGTGAAACCCTATCTTTACCCAAAATACAAAAATTAGCCGGGCGTGGTGGTGCACACCTGTAATCCCAGCTACTCTGGAGGCTGGAACAGGAGAGGCGTTTGAACCCAGGAGGCAGAGGTTGCAGTGAGCTGAGATCGCACCATGGCACTCCAGCCTGGGTGACAGAGCAAGACTCCGTCTCAAAAATAAACATCAGACACATGTTAAATTATACTGTAGTCTTTTCTTATGTAGCAGTTCAGTTTTTGTTTGTTTTGTTTTGTTTTTAAATAAAAATAGAGACAAAGTCTTGCTGTATTGCCAGGCTGGTCTCAAACTCCTGAACTCAAGCAATCCTCTCATCTTGGCCTCCCAAAATGCTGGGATTACAAGCATGAGCCACCACACCCTGCTGTAGTTCAATTCTAAGGTGCATACCTTAGGCAAAAATTGAATGTAGTCAAAATTACCTTTGCAAATCCTCCCAAAAGCCAATGTAAGTATAGCATACATGGTTTTGTGGTTACCAATCCACACAGTAACATATATATATATATATATATATAAAATCATAGGAGATACACGTTTAGTTATTTAAGTCACACAATTTAAATAATTTTCTATATCATACCCCCCCTCTTTTTTTTGTACCTTTCTTAGAGTTCGATTTGTACGTTGCTGCTAACAGTATATGGCTCTATTACTGAATTAAAACCTACTACTTCTACTGTGCACACAGGAAGTAATTTGCCTTCTTAAAATGCCACTTGTAGGTGATTCCAATAGGATTCACAAGTCACCTTGGACCCTGAAATAGGAAGTTCTGCTTGGAGTCATAGAATAATCACCCTTTGTCTGAAGGAAGCTTCACTATCTTTCAACCAAAACCAATTATACTGTACTTTGTATATTGTCACAGCTTTCCCCCACAAACACTAATGTTTTTGACAATATTCTTCGGGAAAATATATATATACTTTCACTTTTCTGAAGCACAAAGTGAAAAGACTTGCCTGAGATAACATTGTCAGTCAGATATTTTAAAGCAATATAAAGGAAATTTTAAAATGTAAACCTATTCAAACCACTATTTCTCACAATTATCCAGCTTTCACAGAGCGATGCATTTTCACTCTCCATTTGGCCACCCATGAATACAGTGATTACCATAATTTTATAGCTTTCCTGTATTAAGCATATTGTTCAAAATCCTTTACTGTCTTATATTTAGACACAAATATCTTTGGGATCTTTCTGCTTGCCCTTGTCTGGGGAGTGTTGAGCAATTAAAATAACTTCTCACATTTCACTGTTCATTTGATTTTGCCATCACTGATTGTAGAGCATCTCTCTTCCCCACTGTGAATACTGAGAAGGTACTACTAAGTCTCAAAATAAGAGGTGACTTTAAAGCTGAGAAAATGATTTTGATCCAAGACAAAATAAACAACAGAGTTGTCGGGCTATCCATTAATTAACTACATCTTAGTTTTCTAGTAAATTCGTTTAAATGCTTTCCTGGAACTTCTCTGTCTCTGTAGCTTTCATCTGCCTGACCATTGCCAGATCATTTAATTGCTCCATGCCTAAGGTCCATACCTTAATAAGAGGGGTATAAAGACCAAACTTCAGCAACCGCATTCCTTGTCATATTGGCTATGGGGCCTGGTAGATATTTTCAAATTATGGAGAGATGTCTGTATATTTGTGTGTTGTTTGGAGGGTTTTTTTGGGAAAGTGTTACCGAAACTTCACTCTAATATTAAATATTATCTATTTATAAAATTATAAAATATAAAGTACTATTTTATTTGCCTAAGGTGAGTCTTTCTTGGATGCCACTTAAGAGTTTTAGTTGCTACTGTAGAATGTTATTCTTACCAGGTAACATTAGATGATGTGACAGTAAAATGAGAAAGTTTCATATACGCACATTTATGGCCTACATCTGAAAGTGGTCATTAATGATAACAATTAGATTCATGTCCAAGCAACAGAAATGATCAAGACTGGAAGTGCTACTGCTGAAAGTTTAAAGAGATTCATTAATAAGCCAAAGTAGGGAAGAGATTGACCAAGCCCAGACACTTAAGTATGAGGAAAAAGTATTTTTCTACCGTAATCCCAACTCCATCCCAAGCCCTGGCCTACCAAAGTACTGACATTCCCCAGAAATTCAGGCCCATAATGCTAATACTTTGGCAATTCTGTCCGATATCAACATGGTTTGCCTTATCTTAATTAATGGCTGCATTTGCATATGAGCTACAGCAAATACCTTAGAATTACAGGATGATGCTGGTGCTTGAAGACAACGAAAGGCTCGGCCACATAGATTCTACTGTCTTAATTGAGTCTTCATGATGTGGATGATATGTTTAGAGGAATATGAGCAATCTAATCTGTTAGCCACTGAGATATGTCAGTATAAGAAATCATGCCTCAGAAGACACAAGTTGAGAAATACAGTCTGTCCTCAAATCACTTAGAGTTTAGTCATTGATAGGTTCTACTGGGTTACAATTGTTATGTTACTATTTTATTTTACAACATAAGTGAGTCTGTATCAATGTATTACATGCCACGGATCCCATGGACCAAATATGTTTTAGCAACGTAATACTGGAATAAAAGTCTTCAAGTGGAATGGCAGTTGCTAAAATAAGTTTTCAGTGATTAATAAGGTCTGAAGTGAGTGGGTGTGTATTTGTAAGTGTGTGAACTTCAACTGCTTTATTCTGATGCCCTGCAGTTCCCACATTTAGCCCTCTGCAAACAGCATTCTCTTGCTAATTCCTTTCTGTGTAGGTGTTTGCAATAGTTTTTCTAAATGGTACCTCTCTACCATGTAGGCTTTATTACTTTTATCAACGAGTATGATCTGGTCTAGTGTATTAGTCAAGAGCCATGGTTTATTTTTATGGTCTATTATTATGGTTCTTTTCTAGCACATATTGTAATAATTATTCTCTCAAACAGACTCTTATTAAATAAAGCCCTGCATAGATTCTTTAACCATTCATCAGGTGGGGGCAAATTACTCAGACAGGATTTGAACGAGGCTGTTCTCCCTGAGTCCTCATCCTCTCATTTCCCATTCAGTTGTTTTACTGGCTTGGATTTTTTAATGAACCAAGTTTTGCTTGGCAACTGCCATACCCTAGGCTCCACTGCATAGAGCTTACATAGTAGGCATTCAATAAATATTTGTGGAATGGATAATGATCCTGAATCATCACAATACACTGCCCCAAACAGCTTGCCCATTCTCTACTCCTGAGGCAGTGGTTTTCAAACACTGTTTGCCCTGAATCAAATTATTGGTGAGGTAAGTAGTTTTGGGGATCACTCAGTCTACCTGTTGACAGTTATGGCCAGAGAAGAAATCTCTCCAGATTTCATGGAAAAAAGTCAAAGGTGCTTTCAGTAGAAACAATGAGTGAATCTAATTTTATTCAATCTCACAAGTAAATGTATTAATTCATTACAAATTGTCTGTTAATGTTGCCATGGACATTGGCATCATTAAAGTCCAGTCTATTAACCACATGTGGGCTGAGTATGACCCCCATGAAGCAACATTTGAAAGACTCTGAGTAGTCCGATACCTTTGGTTAGACACTGTCATAATTGTGGCAGATGCTGCCTCATCATTTAATATTTTCTAAACGGTACTCATTTTTGTTCCTCTTTTCCAAAATTCAGCATCAACAGTCAACTAGAAAAAAATGCCTCCTGATTTTAATTTCCTTCAAATTTGAGGAAGATAACAAAAAAACTCTGATAACAAATCCTAATAGCACATAAAGTGAGTTGAGGTTTTTCATGGTTGACAAAGAGATGACAAGCTTGATTTACAATTCAAACCCTCGACTGCCACTGGATTCCTCTGGCCTCGCAATGAGCAAGAATCTCTTTCATTGTTCAGTGTCTGACCCCACAAATTCCTGGTCTAAAATGGGAAATCGTCCACAATGTCTCATGCAATCCATTCAAATGCTTTGCCAGCCATTTAGGGATATACTTGGAAATACCATTTCATGAAAGGCAAACACTGCAAAAAGCAAATGATACTGAAACGTGGACAGCCTACACAATATACTGTAAATACCTATTGTAAACTTAAGGGTAACAACTAAGCCCAGAGGGGGGATAAATTGACATCATCTGGTTTGCTGTAATCAGCCAAGAGTGATGTTTGCCCATGTAAATTGTAGAAAGCCATTACTAATCCCTAGTTAACATCAAACTCTAATCTTAGTGGGATGGCACAAGTTTCCTCCATTCACAGCAGATGGACTCATACAGTGATATGGAATTTGCAATAATAAATAGTAAGACACTAAAAGGGCTGTTCTAATCTGAAAGCCTGGCATGTATTCTTATAAATACCAAAAGTTATGGGAACTTCAAACCTACAAACTGAAATCATGAGTATCAGTGAGCACTAACAATATGGCTGTGTCCCTGTCACCTCTGATATTGTTAACCTGGAAATGAATGCATTATAAATCTGAAAGGGGGGCTTGAATTTTATTCGTGATATTGACAACATTTATCAGCATTTATCACTCTCCTGTGAGTGTGGGAAGAGCCTTCTTGGCAGGACTCACACGAAACAGATCTTTCTGCTTTGTTGAGCTTATGAGACCTCAAAAGGTTTCTAGAGGAGGAAACTGGACCTTCCTGAAATACCAAAAACAGCTGGAAAACAGGAGCACCTTGAGTCAGTCACACTGTATGACACTCCACATCAATCCTGCTTTCTTCCTAGGAACAAATGTTGTTTATTAATTATATTAGTTAAGGCCATGGCCAATTTGCACTTCGTGTTTCTGAAACAAAGCAAATATTTATCTCAATACATCTGTCAGAAGGGCAAGGGGACACACACAATAATAACCCAACACACATTCACCAAAAACACACTCTCGATTTATTTTCTTCAAAGATGCCTGGTTCTACTTTCAAAGCAAGGATGCAGGTAGGTTATCCCCACATGTGGCTAGCTGTTGGGAAGGAATTGCATATGCAATTTGGAGCTAAGAATTTCTTTCTTTGGGAGGGATATTGCATCTTTCATTATCTTATTTGCTCATCTGCAAAACAGTGCCATTGTAGTAAAACACTGTAGAACAGGACCATTCAAAGAGGTATTATGTGAAAACATAACTATTGGAAGCTAACTGTAAATTAAGAGAAAAGTAAGTCCTCTGGATTTCAAATATATCTTTATTTTTCAAACCTGAATATTGTAACTTTCCACAGAAAAATAAACACCTTGAATTTCAGTCCAAGAAAATCAATTACTTTGTGTTTGTCTTGGTATCTTTCTGTGTGTCTGTGTGTGTCTCTCTCTCTTTCTGTGGGCATCTTCCCTCTGTCTCTTTGCATGTCTATTTCTCCATGTGTGCCTTTCTCTCCTCTCTTTGTGTGTTTGTCTCCTTATGTCTGTCTGTCTGTCTCACACAGACACATGCATATACTCATTTTATCAGTAGTGTTCTTACCAGCGTTACTGGTGAAAGGATCTTGTGGTCTTGTTTCCTGTTGCAGTGTTATTCTTGAAGCGGGCTGCAGTCAGAATCTGAATTTCATTGGGCTATTATTATTTGCAGCTGTGTGACCTTTTTAACCCTGCTTTAAAAGTGACATTTCAGCCCTCAAGCTTGAAACGCCTGAATGCTACAAGGTTTTCAAACCAGAGATTTACACAGGGAACAAGACCAAGAGTGGGGCTGTACCTTATAAGTGAACATTTCACCAGAACTTGGCGTGAAGAGGGTGTGTTCCTGGGCAGTTTAGAGCCAGTAGTCTCCCCCAGAAGGCCTGAACTTGACACATAACACTGCGGTTAAATATTACTATTCTGTTCAAACCAGAAGAATATCCCTGTTCTTCAAAGATATTTGCCATCCCCTGGTATCCCAAAAGCTCAGAATCCTACAACCTGAATCACAGCCCCCTTTGGGATTGCGTCACACTTTATATTATGCTTAGAGGCTGTCAGAAGTTCCCTTCCAATGAGGCCCACTGCTCCCAGGAGGAAGGATTTCCAAACAGCTTTTGTCTCTGGAAACTAACCCGGGTCTTACTTCCCAGAGGGGGCCGTAACAGGAGAGAGTGCTGGGGGCTCACGTCCTCTCACGTACTTCTGCAGAGGTTTGTGGTTTTATTTATGTGGCGTTTATGCTGTGTATAGGAAAACATTCCAGTGGGATTGGGTTTTCATATGTTAGATTCCTCTTTCTTTCTTTTTTTTAAATTTTCCATATGTTTCTTTAGATAGGAGGTCTTTGTTCAAAGTTACTGGCTAATTCTGATTTTTGTTTCACATAATCCTGTCTTATAGCTTTCCTCTCTATGGGTTCAATAGTTCAGAACATACTTGGTAATAAGCACTTGTGTGAAGCATGAGAGGTGCAATGTTGAGTAAGTCGCTGAATGCGTATGAACCGCATTTAGGTCCTTGTCCCCTTGTTACCATGCAGTACAATATACTTTCTTGCAGAAGACATCACATCTCTAAAACAAAAGTTTATTTGACATGTGTGTGGTTAACAAAATACAAGTGTAGAGATTCTTAGGTTTTGAAGGAAATATTGAATGTAACCAAATAATTTAGCTTGTTTCTAATGGGACTAAACATATAACCTCAGAAAACATGCTGACTGGTGGCAAACTCTCTTCCTTTTTACCTGCTCTCACTGTGCACAAAAAGGAAAGAAAACAAAAAAGAAAAATTAGAACAAAACATAGCCAAGGTTTAGGTCGACCCTGTCATCTCTATTTTTCCAGAAAAGAAAGTATTTCATTGTCATTTAAAATAACTGCCCCCATGAACTCCTGAGAGAAAAGACTATGATAGCAACGAAATTCAGTGCAAAACTGGATCTATTCTTCATACTGGTGGAAAGCAGCTTGCCTTTTGGAAAATCTAAGAAAAAGGTCAGCAGTATAGTTTTCTCTTCTCCCTTTGTGCCCTACTACAGTAAAATTTGCCTCTTTAGAATTGGAACACGTTCCCAAATGGTACTACTCTGCCTCTAGATAGATACTTTTTAATGCAGTTTGAGTGCATTTGATTTTTAAACAATTTTCATGTAAAATAAATATCTTTAAATATTCTTAAGAGTCACAACTTTTTAGTCTAGTCTTAGTTTTCTTTTCACACATGCAGATGATTTTTATTGGATAATGTGGGGGGGGGGAGGTTTTGGATTTTTATTCTAGATAAGTATCTATATCTTCAGCAACAATATACATTTGGTCCACCCAATGTACGGGCTGAAGTCATACTCAAAACATCTGAAAATGTGTCTTTTTCTGCATGAATGTGAGCTACCACATGTGAGACTGCATCAAGCCCAGTGATGCCCAAGCCAGACCACTCTGCTTTCGGCGAAACCAGGAAGAGACTATTTCATCTTACTATTAACTCCTATGATTACCACTACTGACTTCCTCTTGAAAGACATTTGAGAATGATGGTATCATACTGGGTGCTTTTTTCCCACGACCCCAGCAGAAAGCTGGGGCATTCCCAGGTTGTATTCTAAAGTAGCCAGCAGTTGTGTTCTGAGCCTGAGACAGCTCACGATGTCCGTTGAACACAGGGTAAAAATATACCGAAGCCTTGATTCAGATTCCTCACACATTCTGCTTCAAATGTCAAGTGTGTGAACATTTGACAGTACTAGGAGGTCACTTAAAGGCCATGTTAAGGCAAAAATCTCATGCCATCTGAAGATTCTCTCATCATTCGAACAAGGTTCTCTTTCTAAATGTTAGCAAAAGGCACATTTCATCTGCCTGCCTAGAAAAGGCATCATTTCCTTGGGTGGCCCAGTAAGGGGATTTGGAAATACGTGAAACCAATTATTGTCTGCTATTATTAGAAGGGGGTCACCCTGGCATTTAGTGGGAAGGGGCCTGGGATATGGGATATTCTGCAATGCACAGAATGACTGGTTCTGTGCAACACTGGAGTCTCCTGATCTGATAGCCAATAGTGTGGCTTCTGCAAGAATAATTAGAGTATAAGTACCCACAACTGCCTCGCCCATGCCACCCAGTTTAGGGTAAAAGGCAGATTAAGAATAACACAACAGGATGAGTGAGACAATGAAAACAAAGACCACATACAGAAGAGGAGATGAAAGGAAGGGACTAAGTGCGTCCCCACCTCTTTATACTTTCCCAAGAGCTCTGAAAAACTCGGGCAAAGTTAAGCTTATGACAAGGCCAGATTCAATGCCAATTAAAACTTTATGAATATTCAAAAAAGTATGTGAAATTATCATTCCCTGTCAGTGTGAGGGAGGGCTGGGGTCTGTTGCCAACATTTAAGCTAAGCATAAGCATACCCTTGCAGGTTCAGTCCATAGAGGAGAGAGATGACTAAGCTGGTATCAATTAGGGTGGCTTTTTCTGGGTAAATTATCTGGTTTGGCCACCTACAGCTCCCACTGTCCAGATAACTTAACCTTTATCTACAGCAGTGTTGACTCAACAGTAGCAAAAGAAAGAGTTGCCCCAACATACAAATATATCTCCTACTCCAATGCCTTACCACTTGTGATAATTGCCTTGTTGATTTTCTATTATTACTGAGAGGACAGCTCCATCATAGAGAATGTGTTTTCCTTTCTTTTTTTATACTTAAATAGAAAACATCACAAGCTTCTAAATTCTGCTTTAACGTTGCTGGCACCATTAGCCCTCCGCTCACAGAATACTTATTAGGGAAACTTTTGCCTCTTAACCAGCTTCTCAGTAAGAAAGCTTAATCAGTCCAAAGGAGCAAAAATACACACACATATACATATTTTTTTCTTTTGGCCTGTTTTCTTATTGAGAAGTTTATATATAATATATATAAATATGTATATATATTCACACACTTTACAGGGATCCTTTCATCCTGATAAACAAGCTCAAGACTCAAAACTCATGCCTAGCTCGTATTGTACCATGAGGAGGATACTGATCTCATAAGGAAGCAACTACAAAACTCTTGGCCCACCTTTCTGCACAAGGTTCACCAGAATGAAGGATCATTAAATATGTTTAAAGTGCAGAAATAAGCCGTGTGGGGTTTTGCGGGGTTTGTTTGTTTGTCTGTTTGTTTTGAGACATGGTCTCTCTCTGTCACTCAGGCTGGAGTGATCACAGCTCACTGTGGCCTCAAACTCCAGGGCTCAAGGGACCCTCCCACCTCAGCCTCTCAAATAGTTGGGACACCACAGGTGTGCACCACCACACCCAGCTAATTTTTTACTTTTTGTAGAGATAGGGTCTCCCTGTGTTGCCCAGGCTGGTCTCAAACTCCCGGGCTCAAGCAATCCTGCTGCCTCATCTTCCCAAAGTGCTGGGATTATAGGTGTGAGCCACCATGCCCAGCTAATAAGCTGTGTTTTGGGGGATTCCTAGATTATTTCCATGGACTAGAAAAGTCCTTCATATCTTTCTCAACTTCCTACTAAACAAAGAATCACTCACTAAAGCCTGCAAATCCACTAAAACACTCTGGAAAAAGCACATGGAAGGAAAAGGCCTTTTCCTTGAACCCCACCACCCACGAGAGGTTAACACTGTGCCAGACTCCAATTCATCAAAAGGTCCAAGCCATTAATAAACAAACGCAGGGCCTTCTCTTTTTCTGCCCCAGGGCTCAGGCCCCCAAACAACAGCACCATTTTCGAATCCACACTTCAAATCAGTATGAAAAGGGAAAGAGGATTTCTTTAAATGCCCCTGTGATCCCAAACCTAGGAGCCCTTCCTACGCATGAACGTGGTTTCTTTGCTCAGGGGAGTGTAGATCATATGCTAGGAAAAACCCAGAACCTGGATCCTTCTGAAAGGGAAAGAAAAAAGGGGAAGAGGGTGCAGGCAGCACCCAGTGGGGACGTTGGAGAAGGCCTATGAGACATGCCTATTGAAAGGCTGAAGAAAGGGGAAGGGAAAAGGCCAGCCCCCAAATCCACACTGGGAAATTGTGGCTGCCCTTGATGGGGTATTGTTCACAAACTGCTTCAGGGAAAGTGGCCTGTGGACAGTGATTGATTACCCATCACAGTGAACTTGTTCAAATATGATTCAACTTGGGCACACACCAGGGGCAGAATCAGAAACCAAGGACACAGGTCTCATTCATTCATTTCTTCCCCACATCGTCACTGAGCACCTACCATGCATGAGGCCCCATGCTAGGAGAATGAAGGCTTGGCACAAACAGTTCCTGCCCTCTGGGCAATGATTCTCCAGAAGGAAAGAGAAGTGTACCCAGATGTCTATGGTGGAAAAGCAGAATTTTAATGGCCATAAAGTACTTTTAGTAAAGTGCTTTTGAGAGTTCAGAGGCCATGAGAAAGCAAAACTGTTTCATTAACTACATAAAATATCATATCATCTCCTCTTTCACAGCTAAATATTTCTCATAATAGGATGCCAGTTCAAGCTGCAAACACATATATAACCCCTGGAGCAATCTTTTAATTCTTTCGGAAGTGGGATTTTGTTTGTTTTTTAAATTTAGGCTTTATTTTGCTTTTAATGCTGAAAAGTAAAACTGTATTATTTATGGTAAACCTAATATCGTGATTAGTAAACCAGATTTTATGTTAGAAAAGAAACAATTAAATCTCCTTTGCTCATTAGCTGTGGGATCTTAGGCAAGTTACTTAACTCCTCTGAATATTAATTTTCTCCTATAAAAAGAGACTATAGGTGATATAGATTTTATCTGACTCAGGGATGTTGGGAGGATCAAGTGGGATATTTGGGAAAGCACTTCATAAACTGCAAAGTGCTGTGAAATGTTGGTTGCTGTTTTTATAGTACAATCAACTCGCAGACATGGAGTTGCAGAGATGGCACATGGCACAGAGTTATGTATACATTTGGTGGCATATGTCGAGAGATTGAAGATTCCAAAGGATGTTGAAGGTAATGTTCTTTAAAGAGATCCTGACTTGATGATTCTCTGATAATCCAGCAATTATCAAGCAAATCCTGATCTGCCAACTTTTTACTTGAAGGCTGCCAAGTAGAATTATTTTGTCTTCTATATGATCCCGAGAAGGACCTCGGAGACAGGTCTGTGTTCCAACTTGGCTCTGCCACATACCAGCCAACCTATAAGCTTGGGTAGGTTTGGTCTGTTCGTTTGTTTTTCATTCCACTGCGTTGGGCTCTTTTACAACAATGACAATACCTACTTCTCACAGTTGTTATAAAAGTTAAATAACTGCCAGACTAAGACGGGTTTAATAGGTCACTTGACTCTGGGGTGAAGTTTGGCTGTTGGTGGCTGAGCAAGCCAGGGAAGAGGGACTCCTCACCCTGGGCTTGGAGGGGCTGGAGATGGAGCTGCACGTGTCTGTTTTCCTTCCTGAAAACAGCTCCTAGCCATAGAATGCAAGTAAAGTGCTTTGCTGGCAAGGCCACGTCCCCATATGTGCCTGGCTACCCTGTCCCTGCAATCTGAACCCCAGCCAGGCAGGAAGAAAGGAGAGTTCAGAAGACACCTGGATAAGATGAGAAACTCAGCCTTCTTATCAGTAGGTGCTTTAGGTTTACCTGGAGGCATGGGAAATAAGACTGACACAGATTGTGACACCCTCTTTATACCCACTCTCCACTTGAACTATTAAAAAAAAAGCCAAATCTTCTTTTCATTATTACATTTTCCTTAGTACACTACATTTTCTTAATCTTAACACTTATTCTTATTTTCACTCTTCCTTATTTTTTTTTCTTTCTCTCCCTTTATTCCCCAAATAGCCCATGTGATATTTAATTTTAAAAATGCTACTTTTTCTAAAAAATAGAGATGGGGTCTCACTATGTTACCCAGAAGGCTCTTGAACTCCTGGACTCAAGCAATCCTCCCACCTCAGCCTCCCAAACTGCTGGGATTATAGGCATGAGCCACCACGCCTAGCCTAAAAAAAAAAAAAAAAAAAAAAAAAAAAAAAAAAAAAGAAACTTCTGAATAACGCATGAAGTGTTAGTTAGCTGTGAAAAAAAGGAAGTCATAATATAATCAATGATCTGGTCATTTCAGCCTCTTGAGAAAATGGAGAGATGACGTCTCCATAATAGCAACATTTCCTAACTTGGGGCACCGGGGAGTTAAAGATGAATAATCCAATACCTCTGTCCCTAAAATCTGGTCACCTCCCAATGCAGAAAGGTTTATATATGTGGAAAGCCTAACAGATTTTGAATTTTTTAATGCTTGGGAGTAGTCAAAATTTTATTTAATGAAAACATATCTTTCACATACCATCACATCCTATGTGTCAGGCGTTTTTAATCTCAAAGAAGTGTTTTCCTTCAAGGCTGAAAGAAAGCCTTGATTAGACAGAGCTTTGATTTATATCCTCCACTAAGTGCCTCTGTAGGAAACACAGCACAGGGTAAAGCCGTTAGAATACGAGTTAGGGTGCCAAAATTCCCAGTTATTTCCAAAGCCCTCAGTGTTCCTATCCCCCTTTTCAATACTGACATCAAAGGATTTCTGGTCTTCTCGAAGTGATAGCATTATTTAAATAGTGACATCAAGTTAATGTTTGGAAGATGCCTCAAGGACCTTAAACGCAGTTCTAAGTAGTAGTATGATCGTTATTTCCTCATCCGTCCTCTACTGTTTCCAAAGAAACAGAAAAAACCACTCACACAAACACACACAAAAATCCTCTGGACACCCCAGTTAACTAGTGTCTCCTTTCTTCGCAAACCACCAATCAGCCAGTCATAGGGCAAACAGCTCAAGCACCAGGCAAGGAAAACATGTTATTTTTCTGGGCAAGCCTTAACTTCACTGCCTACAAAACACAGCCCCACGGGGCACATCCCACACATGGGGAGAGCAAGACTCCCATCTCGCATTTGAAACCAATAGTTACCAGTCAACACCCGCGGAAACTGAGGTCAGGATTCCCCAGCACGCACCCTGAAGTCCAAACTCACTTATTCTCCAGATTTCCTACACAGACCAGTCCTGACATCCCAAGCCATTCCTGAAATCCCTCTCCTACTACTAGTAATACTCAAAGAAAGTTCCAAAAAAGTAGCTTAAGAGAAAACTTCCCCTCTCCACAGAGCCTCATTCCCCAGCTGCCCAACACCCAGCAGACTTCTCAGAGGGAGAGAATTTGCTCGGTATCAGCACTGGATGCCCTCTGAAACAGGAGAGTCAGTGGAGTAAGGTAAGAAAAGAAAGCAAAATCAAACAACAAAACCAGGCTTCAGATAGTCTGTTAAAAAATGAGGCTGTCAGGAGCCAAATTCCACAGTGCACAAAAGCCACTTAAAGGTACACCCTAAAACACTCGCTAGAAATCTTCAAAGTACAAGGGAGGCTCCCTGCCACGGGCCAGGGTCATGGACCCAAAGGTGACAATGAGACACTCCCAAGAACATCTGGCCAAATAAGCCGGGCACTGGGCCCTTCCAGACATGGGACAGCAGCCTATGTCTGCTCTCATCCACTGACCTCAGATCCCTGCCCGGGCTTGGCTGCTTCCAGCCTCATTCAGCCGAGCACAGTGCAGGGTCAGCGTTCTTAAGGCATCTGGGAAAGCCACTGTCTTCCTCATCTTCCCCATCTTCTGTCAGAAGACTCAGTCTTCCAGCAAAAGTCTCCCGAGGACCTACCAGGGCCAGGCAGTGTGTCAGATATGGGGCAGAAAACACTGAATGAGAAGGATGAGGCCTCTGTTCTCACAGAGCTTACCTTACAAGGCAAAGAAACAAAAAGCAAAACAAGCAAAAAACACAAGCACAGAAATCAAAAAAGTGACCAAGGAAACTAACAGCACATTTTGGAGAGTTCACTGAAAGAGATAAAGAGGGTGATGTGATAAAGAGAGAAAGGTGCACAAGGAAGCTTTTTATTTTTTTTCTCAGAGATGGGATTTTGCTCTGTTGCCCAGGCTGGAATGCAATGGTGCCTTCGCAGCCCGCTACACCCTTGATCCCCTAGGCTTAAACGATCTTCTCACCTCAGCCGCCCAAGTAGCTGGGACCATAGGTATGCACCACTGCACCTGGCTAATTTTTTATTTTTTGTAGAGATGGGGTCCCACTATGTTGCCCAGGCTGGTCTTGAACTCCTGGCCTTAAGCAAACCTCCCACACCCAGCCTGGGGAAGTTTTCTGAAGGAGGAGGTAATGCTTACCTCTCTGGACAGGTGACATTTAGTTTGAGGCCTGACAAATGCATATGAGCTGTTTGAAGACTAAGCAGGGGAGGGTGGTCCAGGCAGAAAGGAGAGCAAAAGCAAAGAGCTTGGCATGTCTGAGGGACTGAAAGAAGGCTGGCAAGGCTGCAGCATGGTCCACAAGAAAGAGAGAGGCCCCAGGTAAGAGAAAAAAGCAGGCAAGCCTCAAATCAACCAGGGCTAAGATTGATTCTCAGAGCACAGAGAAGCACTGAGGAATTCCAGGCTGCAGAGAGAGACCTTGGATCGTCGAAGTACCTGTTCCTCCATCCCCAAGTGAAACGTGAGGGTCCTAGTAATTCACTCTGGGGATCCTGGGAGGGTTAAAGGCATCTCAGGACCAAGATAGAGACTGATACAGAACAGATGCTCACCTTCTCATACAATAAAACACACAGCCTATCCCATGCGTAAATAAATATTTAGACTTCCCCGCAAAGTAAGAATGTTGTCCTAGCGGTGAGGGGTAGAAAGAACACAGCCCCTGTGACATAGCCACCACCGGCCAGCACTGTAGTTGCAGCTTGAGGTCAAATCACACCTGTGTAACCTTGGAGTGGTAACTTAACTTATCCACGCATATTTCCTCATCTATAAATAGAGATAATACCTATGTCATAGATTTTTTTGAGGATTAAATGAGCATATACACAAATACACATATACATATAGTGCAGAGAATAATTTCTAGTATATAGTAAATATACAATATACATTAGCTATAATTATAATAATAAAACTACTTTTCTCCTATCAGAAGACACTTATTCACCTTGAAAACAAGATGTGGAAGCCTTTTCAATCCCATATAACCAAACCTAAGACAATCTCATTACTATGTTTTTTTTTTTTTTGCTTTGACTATAAGATGACGTATTTTGGGTTTAGTGGCTAGAGACTGTTTTTGTTGGGATGGAAAGCATGTCAAATAAAATTTTTCTCTCTCCATAGGTTAGATTTGTTTTGGTTTTGGTTTGCTTTACAGAACTGAGTAATTTTTTTAAATGTAAAGGATTGGTTTATCCATTGAAGGTTGGTCAAAACTTTAATAATTGACAAATTGTGTTTTATCTTATTGTGATTTTATATGTAAGAAATGCCAAACATTAACAGATTAATAGTGGCTACAGTGGGACAATGAGATAATGCATTTTTTGTATCTATATTTTATATTTTTTCTATTATGAACATTGATTGGCTCTGTTCAAGATAAATTAAAAACTCAATGTAAGATAAAACAAGTATATCTGGAAGTGTGTGATGATAGCAAGGATACCAGGAGAGTCTGCAGGGCCTGCCTCACTCTGCAGATGATCATTTGTTTTACCTTGGACAAACGTCTAAGGTTCTTTTAGTTTTAATTTTATTATTTATAAAATGGACAAAACAATTCTTTTTCACACAGCGTTGTGATAAAGATTAAATGCAGCATGTAGTGAATGCCCAGTAAGCCCCAGCTCTGTAGTACTGTGTAGTGTTTTAGAGTATATGGGTTCACACAAAAGACCCCAAATAGCCAAATTATACTGAGCTATAGTAACCGAAAGAGCATGGTTTTGGCATAAAAGCAGACACAGAGACCAATGGAACAGAAGAGAGAACCCAGAAATGAATCCACACATGTACAGTGAACTCATTTTCAATAAAGGGGCCAAGAAGATACACTGGAGGAAAAACAGTGTCTTCAATAAAGGGTGCTGGGAACGTTGGAAATCCATACACAGAAGAATGAAACTAGACCCCCATCTCTCATCATATGTAAAAATCAAATCAAAATGGATTAAAGATTTAAATCTAAGACCTCAAACTATGAAAGTACTACAAGAAAACATTGGAAAAACTCTCCAGGACATTGGTCTGGACAAAGATTTGAGTAATACCCACATGCACAGGCAACCAAAGCAAAAATGGACCAATGGGATTATATCAAGTTTAAAAGCTTCTGCACAGCAAAGGAAACAATCAGCAAAGTGAAAAGACAATCCAAGGATAGGAGAAAATACCTGCAAACTACCCATCTGACGAGGGATTAATAACCAGAATATAGAAGCTGCTCAAGCAACTCTAGAACAAAATCTAATAATCCAATTAAAAAATTGGGCAAAAAATTTGAAGAGACATTTCTCAAAAGAAGACATACAAATAGCAAACCGACATATGAAAGGGTGTGCAACGTCATTTATCATCAGAGAAATGCAAATCAAAACTACAATGAGATACTATCTTGCCCCAGTTAAAATGGCTTATATCCAAAAGACAGGCAATAACAAATGCTGGCGAGGATGTGGAGTAAAGGGAACCCTCATACACTGTTGGTGGGAATGTAAATTAGTACAATCACTGTGGACAACCATTTGGAGGCTTCTCAAAAAGCTAAAAAATAGAGCTACCATATGACCCAGCAATCCTACTGCTGGGTATGTACCCAAAAGAAAAGAAATCAATATATTGAAGAGATATCCACATTCTTGTGTTTGTTGTAGCACTGTTCACAATTAGCCAAGATTTGGAAGAAAGCTAAGTGTCCATCAACAGATGAATGGACAAAGAAAATATTGTATTTATACACAATGGAGTACTATTCAGCCATAAAAAAGAATGAGATTCAGTCATTTGCAACAATATGGATGAAAATGGAGGTCACTATGTTAAGTAAAATAAGCCAGGCACGGAAAGACAAACATCGCATGTTCTCTCTTCTTCATGGGATCTAAAAATCAAAACAATTAAACCCATGGAGATAGAGGGTAGAAGGATGGTTACCAGAGGCTGGGAAAGGTAGTGGAGAAGTCAGGGGGAGATGGGGATGGTTAATGGTACAAAAAAATAGTTAGAATGAATGAATAAAGCCTAATATTTGGTAGCACAACAGGGTAACTATAGTCAATAATAACTTAATTGTACATTTTAAAATTACTAAAAGAGTATTGGATTATTTGTAACACAAAAGATAAATGCTGAGGGAATGGATACCCCATCTTCAATGATGTGATGATTATTACACATTGCATGCCTGTATCAAAATATCTCATGTACCCCATAAGTATATATACTTACTATGTACTCACAAAAATTTTAAATTTAATAAATAAATAAACATGATCACATTGGAAAAAAAGAGTACATGGGTTCAA
Source organism: Homo sapiens (assembly GCF_000001405.40). Classification (NCBI taxonomy): domain Eukaryota; kingdom Metazoa; phylum Chordata; class Mammalia; order Primates; family Hominidae; genus Homo; species Homo sapiens. Next base: position 28,469,872 of record NC_000007.14, on the reverse strand, counting down.
ATCTTGGTTCTTTCAATAATTAGCTGTGTGACTTTGGATAAATCACTTAACCTCTCTGTGCCTCCATTTCCTTGCATCTTATAATAATGGTGCTTACCTCCTAAGGATTATTAGTATGTGAGGATTAAAAGAGTTAACATCTGTAAACAATTGAGAACAGTGTCTGGCACATGGTAAGTGCTATGTAACTGCCAGCTCTTATTACATTATGAAATCTGAATCTAAAACTTCAGAAAAGCATATGGTTCTATAATCATGTAAATATGGCTTATTTTCTGGTGACAAAAATAACAAGCAAGAATAGTGTGGCATTTTAGTATCATTCATTGGCAGAGACATTAATTTTTATTCATGTATGAACTTATGTTTATGTGGCAAAAATAAAATCAAGGTCCTAATTTTTAAAATTTGTTTCCATATATTTAAACACAAGCTATAATTTCAGGACTACCCAGCAAACTCTTAATTGCCCCAGCTAATTTCTCCAATGAGCACTTCCTTTGCCATCACTCTGTCTCTATGTTGTTCCCCAGGGCACAACAGGATTCAGTAAATCCATAGGCGTATTTGTTAGATTATGCAATCACACAGCATGGCAGGTACACAGGTGGTCCACTTTCTTATATTTTTAATTTTTATTTATTTATTTTTTAGAGACAGGGTCTTGCCGGTTGCCCAGGCTGGAGTTCAGTGGTGCAATCACGGCTCATTGCAGCCTCGAACCCCTTGGCTCAAGTGATCCTCCCACCTCAGCCTCCTGAGTAGTTGGGACTACAGGCACATGCCAGCAGGCCTGGCCCTACTTATTTATCAGATATAATTGTTGTCAGCTGCCTATCTTGCCTGGAACTACGCTAGGTGTTGAGGAGTCCTAAATGAAGAAAAGATGTAGTCTCTAGGAGATCACATAGTAGTCGAGAGCGTGGGATTTTGAATTTGAGCTCCATCCCATCTGTCTGCTCTTTACATTAAGACCTACATGATCTTGGACATGCTACTGAATTTCTCTGAATTTCAATTCTCTAGTCTGCAAAATAGGAAGAAGAATAATGACAACTACCTCATAGGTCTGTCGTGAAGATGGAAGGAGAAGCTAGCTATAAAGCATTTAGCACGCGGTTGACTCTCAATAAATGTTAGCTCTTGATATGTGGCCTTCAAGGCAGGCAGACACAAGCTGATAACTACACATCTCCGTGAAAGTGAGATCCAGTCTCAAGGGAGACGATGAGAGTGCAGAAGAGGGAGTTCAACCGACCTGTAGGAGTCAGGATTTAACAAAGGAGAACTAGAAATGCTATTATTCTTAGCACCTCCTTCCCCCACTCTGGTGCCTGCTCAACCCATTGCCCATGATCCTTGGTCGAGCAGATCTGTCTCTGTCTCAGACAGCAGGTAAGATGCCACGTTCCATGTCTCTGGTCCCAGATCCAATCATCGAAGCTTGCCCTCGTCCTCATGGACTTGGACAGTCAAGGTTATCTTACTCAACCACACATCTGATGCTTTAGTCTATGTGACAACATCCCAAAGAACTTGCCATCCAGGTGCAGCCAGCAGACTGCAGTGACCGTGAACTTTCCCTGTGAGAGACTGGGCATTATCTTTAACGTGCTTGGCACTATTGGCAGACAGGACCTGGTGCTGGCCCTTGGAAGCAGCCTGTGACATGTAAACTCCATCCCAGAAATGAGCCCCCTATGTCCTACCCACGGCTTGTCTGCCACAGCCGTTCACAGGCTCATTCCTATTCCAGTGGTAAGTTCTCCTTACCACTCAGCAACTAATGACTTCCGTTCAGGAGGCTGGGCACCAACTCACACTGTACCCACGCACTGTGTTCTGGATCTGCTCTTGGCCACGACTTCTGAAGTTCTGACCATTGTCTTAAGCTGCTCCTCACAGTAGCTTTAATGACCTCCTAAGGCCATTTGACTATCGTCATTTTCTCTTATTGCTGATTCCTCCTCATAGAGAACTGTAACCCATCTCCCTGTAACTAGAGTTATCACGCCCATTCCCATCCTAGGGGCCATCCTGAAGAAGTTCCTTCTGCAGCTTGTCTTGGGATACTCTCCCATTAGCTCCACCTCTTTCCAGGGATGCTGTCCTGGCCCACTTGATATAGACATGAGGTAGATGATGGCTTTTCTGTTATCCATCCTAGGGAACATTTACATTTGCATGGTAGCTTCATAACAATGCGGGAAATTCTGACACACCTCCTATCGCCACACAACAGCAACTTCTCTTTCTGCTTGCAGAATTAAAATAAAGAACTGCAAACATCACCAGGAGCAGCAACCCATTTTCAAAAATCCTCAGCAGGGTCTTGTGAGCAGGTGTTAGGTCTGCAATATGTATTGCCAGAGTTGTACCCTAGAATGCACAGCAAACAGTAGACAGGACTTATTGGAATGAAACCTGTGAAGTATTACATCTTTTTCTTTCTCTGCATGCAAAACGATAGAAAAAAGCAGGGACGGAATAATGGGATGTGTTTGTGTGTAATGCCCTTGTCCTATAGTTCCAGGAAGCGGGGGTAATTCTGCATAATGGCATGGCCAGTCCTAATGACCCTCCCTCACTGAGAGAATGGCAAGTCTTTCTGCAGGCAATTCTTCCTCTGCCCTTCCAGATCCATTCTCTTCTCCTCTCTTCCCTCTGCCCTAGGAGGCTGCCCTCTACCAATTGCCCCTCCCCACCACCAGATTCCCTCAGTTGGAGGGCTAAAGGGTGGAAGGCCCTACACTGCCTGCTGGGCACTGGGTAGTAGTGACTGTGTGTCTCTACACTTGACAGGCAGCCCCTCTCCCACAGCTACGGCCCTCCCCTATGGGGTCTTCCCTTGGCCCCCTGTCCCTCCAGGCTCAGAGGTTGGAAAAGCCCCCTGCTGTGGCTGTGGCTAGTCCCCAGTTAGCCTGTGCACATTGCACTTTCTTTGATTACCCCTTCAAGTGTGCCATCTGTTTCTATGGGGACCTTAACTCACAGTGGTCTATGACTGAGGAATATGTAATCATGTTCTGACGCCCAGAACCATATGAGCACTACATTTTCCGGATCATAGCCCCGATTTGCAAAGCCTTGACCTTGGGGCTCAGAGAGACTCAGGCTCCACAGAGGAGTCAACACACCGGAGAGATGTCGTCTAAGCGCCCTTCCGGTATCTCTCAGAATCTGGACTCACTTGAACCGAGAAAAGTCAGACCATTCAGGGCATATTTGGGATGAGGCAGGAGTACTTGTTTGGAAATGCTTCCTGATTGGTAATATTGGTCTTGTGACACGAAAAGCTTAGTCAGAAAGAAGGAAGAGAAGGCAACTCAGATTTATTGCCGTTGACTTAGTCCTCACCACAACCCTACTGAAAAAGTATTTTATTATCCCCAATTTACAGAGGAGAAAATTTGAGGTAAACAATAGCAGGAGAGAGCCAGGAACCAAACACACATCTGCCAACTGCAACGCCTACAGGCTTTCCACCACCCCCAACACTTTTCTTTCAAGACTGATTGAAGCTTTCCCTTGCAGCAGTGAAAATTCCCTTGCAGCAGATGAGAGATAGGACATTATCTTGGAGAACATTATCATTCCCGATTTTTATGAAGTACCAACTAAGCTAAACATTTTGGAGCTTTTTTTTTTTTTTTTTTTTTTTTAACTCCAGTCATATGTTTAGGATAAAAGCGATTGGGTAAAAACTGGATGGAATTTACTAGAAAGACCGCAAGAGAAACATAAGTACTTACTTATAACATAACACTTTTTCTAAATGAAGGTGTTATTATGCCCTTCAGGTCTGTTTTTATTTCATTTCTTCAATTTACCTGAGTCTGGCTTCTCAGTTGTCCTTATTTTGACTGTTTCTGCCCCAGTGAGGTGCTACAGATCCTGTGAAATCACTACTTTTGCAGCTGTGCTTGCTACATTGCAGAGAGGCAAGAGAAATAGTCTCTCTGCTTCCCTTTTAAAACCTGACAGTCACACCTTCTACACTTCAAAGCCACACTGTATGACGTTAGCAGGCTGACATAAATGGACACTCATGCGAAAGATTATTCATTCAGTGGCTTTTTCCATATGGGAAAAAAAAATAGCCATTAGTTAACCTTTGTAGAGTTTTAACACTTTACAAAGCCATTTTCCAAACACTAATTTAATTTTGTTCTTAGAATGATCTATGTGATGGTTGTACTTTTTTCCCTTATTTGGCCAATGACGAATCTGAGACTTAGAGAGGGAAAGTAAAATGACTGAGGTCACACTATCAGTAAAAGCAGAGCTAGGACTTGAATTCAGGCCCTCTACCTCCAAATCCTATGCTATTCTTAGAACAGGGTGGAACAACCCATTTTCTAGTACTGTGGGATGGTCTCTGCACTGCGTGGAATTAATCTAAACACCTGTGAATCCTGGAAATACATTTATGATATAAATACAAGAATATTGCTCTAGAAGGCTCTGGATCCTATGGGTTATTTCCAAAGAATAGGTCTCAGGCTGTCCCCTTGCCCTGGAGACTGGAGAAACTTTGTCAAACACCTTTCCACGGCCTGGCAGCAAATTGCTCTGCACTGCACTCCCAGTCCAAGCTCCTAGCACAAGCCTAGACTTAAGTTTGAGGCAACCTCGAGGGAATAATTAGTGGGAATTCAAAATGTCTTCCTCACTCTCTACCTCTACAGTACCTACTAGAGTCTCATGGTCCCTAGAGCTCACCTGAAGCTGCAGGAGTCCTGATATCCCTCCCATTAGCATCCTATCCTCTGGACTTCTGATGTTCTATATAAAGAGGCACCCTCAAATTTTCTTTTCTCCTAAGCTAAGCCTTGGAGAGAATGGGAGTACCCCTACTAATAGTTTCTACTCTAAGTGTCCAGGTTATCTGAGTGCAATTACCAGTCCCATAACATACCAATTATATAATCATATGTGCCTCTCTTTCCAGAATAACATAGAACTTATCTCAAAGGGTTGTTGTGACACTAACAGCTACGTATGTTAAGTATTTTGCATAATATCCAGTATACGGTAAACACTTTATAACAGCTATTATCATAAGGCATGAACTGCAAAGAACCCAGAACTGCATAACTGCGTCATTCAGGAGCCCTCATGGTAGTATTTTCAAAAAGTTTAGCAGTCTTTTTTTTTTTTTTAAAAATAACTTGAAACAAAAGTAGATGCAGCAGGAACAACTGTATTGTGAACAAGTCAGATAATCCTGATGAAAAGGACAAATTCCTAGAAAGATACAAACTACCAAAAATGACTCAAGAAAAAATAGAAAATCTGAATAAACATGCAACAAGCAAAGAGATTGCATTAGTAACACACACACACACACACACACACACACACACACACACACACGCAACTTTCCACAAAGGAGAGATCAGGCCCAGATGGCTTCACTGCTAAATTCTACCAAATATTTACAGAAGAATCAACACCAATAGTTCGAAAATTTTTCCAAAGAATAAAAAGGAGAGACAATTTCCAACTTATTTTATGAAGCCATGATTGCCTGATATCAAGGCAATCAACAAGACAAGGATATCACAAGAAAAGAAAATACACAGCAATATTTCTTATGAATATAGATACAAGAATCTCCAACAAAATAAATGTTGGGATTTGCAACCCAAATCCAGCAACATATAAAAAGGATTATATACCATGACCATGTGGGATTCATCCCAGAAATACAATGTTGGCTTAGTATCTGAAAACCAATCAATATAATAATCAGACTCAATAGAATAAAGCATAAAAACTGCATCAAAGCTGCCTACAAAAAGAAAAACTACACACAACAAAAATCCTATCATTAATATCACATTTGTGTAACACTGAATGTTTTACACTTAGGTTCAGGAATAAGAGAAAGATATTAGCTCTCACTACTTCTATTTCACTGAAGGTTTTAGCCATGGCAATTAAGCAAGAAAATGAAATAAAAGGTATCCAGATTGGAAAGGACCCATTAAAACTATCTCTATTCACAGACAACATATTCTTGTATATGGAAGAAACTAAGGAATTATCCAACTAAAAAAAGAAACTATTGAGACCAACAAATGTGTTCAGCAGCCTTGTAGGATACAAGGTAATATACAAAACTCAATTGTGTTTCTATACACCAGCAATGAGCAATCAGAAAATGAAATTAAGAAAACAATTTTATTTACAGTAAGCATCAAAATATAAAATTGTTGGGACTAAATTTAACAAAAAAGCACATGACTGGTACACTGAAAGCCACAAAACATCATTAAAAAGCTAAAGTGTACCTAAATCTATGGAAAAACATTCATGAATTGGAAGAATTAGTATCGTTAGATGGCAATATTCCACAGTTGATCTACACATTCAGCACAATCTTAAACAAAATCCCGGCTTTCTTCTTTGCAGAAATTGGCAAACTGATCCTAAAATCGATATGAAAATTCAATGGGACTATAATAGCTAAAACAATCTTGAAAAGGAACAAAGTTGGAAGATTCACACATTCTGATTTCAAAATTCATTACAGAGCAACAGTAATCAAGACAGTGCGGTACTGGCATAAGGATAGACATACAGACCAATAAGATAGAACTGAGAGTCCATAAGTAACCCTTACATTTATCATCAATAGATTTTCAAGAAGGATGCCAAGATCATGCAATGAAAGAAAAAAACAATCTTTTCAATAAATGATGCCGAGACAACTGGGTACCCATAAGTAAAAGAATAAAGGTGGATCCCTAATTCAAAATATATACAAAAATTACCTTAAAATCAACCATAGAACAAAATATAAGAGGTAAAACTGAAAACTCTTAGAAGAAATCATAGACATAAATCTTTATCTTGGATTTGGCAAAAAATAAAAAACAAAAAATCCTTAGATAAGAAACTAAAAGTACCAGCAACAAAAGAAAAAATAGGTCAATTGGACTTCATCAAAATTAATTTTTTGTGTGCTTCAAAGGACACCATGAAGAAAGTGAAAAGAAAACCCACAGAATGAGATAAAATATTTGCAAATCATATATCTGGTAGGGTCTAGTATCCAGAATATGTACTAAAAAATATTCTTGCAACTAAACAATAAAAAAGCAAATAACCTAATTAAAAATGGAGCAAATGATTTGAATAGATACTTCTATACAGAAAATATACAAATGGTAAATAACTACATAAAAATATCGTCAACATCAGTAGTCACTAGGGAAAGGCAAATGACAGTGAGATACCACTTCATACCCACTAGAATGGTCAAAATCAAAATGACCCCGGAAAGTGTTGGTGATGATTCAGATAAATTAGAGTCCTCATATATTGCTGGTGGGTTTGTAAAACGGGGCAGCCACTTGAGAAAACAGTTTTGTAGTTCTTCAAAATGTTAAACAAAGAGTTACCAAATGACCCAGCCATTCCACTCCTGGGTGTATACCCAAAAGAAATGAAAACCTATGTTCATATAAAAACTTGTAAACTCATACATCGATGTTCATGGCAGCATTATTTGTAATAGCCAAAAAGTAGAAATAACCCAAATGCCCAACTAATGAATGGATAAACAAAATATGATATAACCATACATTAAATGTTATTTGGCTATAAAAAGGAATGAAGTACTGATACATGCTACAACATGGGTGAACCTTGAAAAAGTTATGCTAAGTGAAAGAACACAAACACAAAATGTCACGTGTTGTGTGATTCCATTTATATAAAATGACCAGAATAGGCAAACCCAAACAGACAGAAAGTAGATTAATGGTTACCGGGGGCTATGAGGGGAAAATAATGGGGAGTGACTGCTAATTGATACAAGGTTTCTTTTTGGGGGTGACGAAAATGTTCTAAAATGAGACAATGGTGATAATTACACAATTCTGTGATCACATAGTACTAAAATGCACCAAATTGTATACTTTAAAAGAGCATATTGTATGATACGTGAATTATATCTCAATAAAGCTGACATATATATTTATATTCATATATATATATAAAACTACAAGTGGGCTCTCTACATTGTACTCCCATTTTCCTGTTTGAAAAATGACAATGGATTTACATATCTTCTGAAACAAAATCAGGACACATTGTGACATGAGAATTTTCTGCTTTTAATTTATTTAAATGAAAAAGTCTACATACTCAATCACATTCACGAAATCGTTTTACTAATCATCTGTTGGGAAAGTGTTACAATGACATGAAATTGGAGTTGTCACAGAAAATCCTAGAGGTATGGCTTCATGTAAATCAGCCATTAGCTCACATCAGATATACATATTTCATTACTCAAAAAACACACCCTAATATATAGACTCCACTCATGATGAATTAATAGAAAATTATGACTACCAACAGGCTTTTATGCAGGAAAATAAATACCACCTATTTTCTACTCTAAACTCAGAGTCTGAACATCTAACCAACATAAATGCTAAAAAAGATACCCATCAAAAACTTCAGGAAACACATCTCGTCTTGCTGATGGCTGTCTAATATAATAGGCACTCCATAAACATTTGTTGAACAAATATGTAAATTCTCCCACTAAATCCTAGGTCTTCATTCTTGTCTCTGTCTTTCCTTTATACACCTTCTCTGGGGACTATATCTTTTTTTTTTTTTTCAGAGGCAGAGTCTCACTCTGTTGCCCAGGCTGGAATGCAGTGGCGCCATCACAGCTCACAGGTCACTGTAGCCTTGAACCCCTGGACCCAAACGGTACTCCTGCCTCAGCCTCCCAAGTAGCTGGGACCACAGGTGGGCACCACCAAACCTGATAAGTTTTTGTGGGGATTTCATTTTGTTTTTTTTTGTTTGTGTTGTTGGTAGAGGGGATGCGAGTCTCACTGTGTTGCCCAGGCTGGTTTCAAACTCCTGGGCACAAGCAATCCTCCTGCCTTCTGAGTAGCTAGGACTATAGGCACAAGCCACTATGCCCCCCCATAAGATCCACATCTCTTTTATACACTTTCTTCCAGCCCTTCCAGGCTTTCTTCTCCTTTTCCAACTACTTTTCTCCCCTCTCACTTCCTTCTTTCTCCTCTCTCTTCCCCCGACAACTCCCCGACACCTCACTAATGAATAGCTGACGTTTACGAAGCATTTACCGTGCAAAACAGCCTTCCTTTAATCCTCACAGTAACCCTACTAATGATGTTTTTCTTAACCCATCTGTCTTACTTATTGCCAATTCCTATGTTCTTTAGAAGTCATCTTAGCTATCACCATCTTCATGATGGATACCCCACCTGAAGAACTAATTAGGTGACTTTCCATGCCCTTTTGCCCTTACCCTCCTGAAAGCCATTGGAAGGCAAAACATACTAACACCGGAGTTAAAACTTCAGGCTCTGGAGTCAGACTGCTGGGCTTCAATTCTAGTTCTGCCAGTTACCAGGTATATAATCAGGGGTCTATGCTTCGTCTCTTTGTGCCTCAGTTTCCTCATCTGTAAATTAGGGGAAATAACAGCACTAGCATGTATATCATTGGGTTATTTTGAAGTTTAAATAAAATGACATGTGTAAAGCAATTAGATATGGTATGTCTATATTTATAGGTAAGTATCTTCCTTTTTATCCTCTCCCTTTTGCCTTTTTTCATTTCTATCTCTGCTCCCCCTGCAACCTTTTATTTCCTTTTATAAACATAATGACATTAATATGACTCCCTGACACTTGTAAAATATGTAATCCTTTTCAAAATTCTTCTTCCTCAAAGCAATTCTGGGAAGTTGGCAGGAGAAATGATTTTATAGAGCCATCGAATGTCTTCATACATCTCATTACAGTAGTGGAACAGTTGTAATCAGCAGGTAGTGAAGTTGGTATGAGTAACAGAAGATGCAATCGCAGGACAGGACCTGCAGCTGTAGGAAAATCATTCGCCTCAAAGTCCTCTTTATGTCATTCATTTACTTCTCTGAGCCTTGTTTTCCTCATCTATAAAATGGGGATAATGATGCCTACTTTGTAAGACTGTGGTAAGGATTAAACAAGATAATATATATGAAGCATGTGTTCAGCGCCAGAAACATACAAAACACTCAGTAAACATTAATTAATGAAAACAGGACCCCACAAGGGCAACATGACAGAGCCAGTCAAAGACGAGGCCAGCATAAACCCAAGTGGGAATCTCTGCACCCCCTTACGTCACCCTGCCTTCCCACCTTTACACAGCCTATTCACGTTTCCAGCAGACACATCAGCCAATCCATAAATGTGTATCCATGTCTGCCATCTGCCTCGGGCTGAAGCAAAAAGGAGGGAAGTAGAGGGAGAGGCTGGAGTGCAGAAGAGGGGATGTAACCCATGAGCTAACTCATAATGGCAAGATTCCAAACCTAAAATCACTCCATGGACCCTTTGAAGGGCCCTTTCCATGACCTAACCAAGAAACACCAGTACTACATGACTCTAATCTGACAACGAGCCTCACTTTTCTAGGAGGTCTTTGCAAAAGGAAAAGGGTTCCTTTGCCTGATCCTTATTTTCAGTGCTTTCCCACTCTTCCAACCCAGAAGAAAAGACAGCCAACCTGAAAACTCAAGTTCTGACTGATTAAACAGAAAAACTGGATCACTGGACAAAGGCTGAGACAGGTGGGGTGTGCAAAGATGGCTGAATGGAAGCTCTGAAGACAGACTCCCCCGCACACACACACAGGAGCGTGACCACCACAAACCACTCAGGTTGAATTTCTCTGGAAGGCTCAAATAAAGCCCACTTTCACTGGGGCGTTAGTGGATGGTCACTGGATGGGTGTGGGGAGCAGAATGGAGGCTCTGACGGCTACAGTTCGTCTTGGCAGGGAAAGCGACAGGGTGTGGATGTACTGTCATCAGATCTGCACAACATCGACCCAGCCCATTACATCAGCAAGAATCTCATCACTCAGGGAGCAATACAGGCCAGGCCCACCAGGGTTATCACACCCAAAGCATAGCATGCAAAGCCTTGGCTTCTCGCCTTCATGGCTCGTGCAGGACTCCCTATGGGAACTGCCATTTCCAAGGCCCACTGTGTCTCAGGCGCCACCTAGGTATTGCATTTATGTCAATCCATTTAATTCCCATGACACCTCTTCCAAGAATACTATCACATCCATATTTTACTGCTGACTAAATTGGGCTCAGAGAGGCAAAGTCATTGACCAAGATCACACAATCAGTGTGTGATGGAAGTGGGATTCAAACCCAGGTCTGTCTGAAACCACAGCTCAGGTGATTTTTTCAACAAACTACATGGCATCTACAGTAACTTTGGGATCCCTCTCTTGACACAGCCCTTTCCTGCCTGCCTATATTTGCGATTACATAACTTCAATGTTCAGTAATAGTAAAGGGCCTTTTGAAATTAAATAATAGTAAAAGGCCTTTTCTTAAATGTCCCTGTAAACTTAAATCCAACTTTACATAAGTTTGAATTGCTCTTTGACATGTTCAAAGCACACCCATGTCATGCACATTTGCAATCCATGAAGCTAGGCCCCAATTCTGCCTATCTTTTTTAGAAATTGTACCAAGCCACATTTGGAATCACAACCAAGTTATCAGATCCTAGTCAGTTTATATCTTCTCATCATCCCCCTCCCAATTCATTTATTCAACACATATTTGCTTAGTGAGTACTATATGGTCAGGCATCTTGCTAGGCACTGGAAGATATAAAATAAGTAAGACACAGTCTCAGGCCTTTCCCCAAAATCTAAAACGAAGTCTGTCACCAACTCTCAGTTTCTGTTCCAGGGTTCTGTCTTGGCCCCCCGTTTCTGAGCCTCTGTTCTAGTCACCTAAGTAGGAACACAGCTTCCTCTTATGGGGGATAGGGCCCTGTCATGCTCCACCAAGTCCCCTTTCCAGGCCTAGAGTCCTGTTCAATAACAAGAAATCTAAGGCGACAGCTCCTGTTCACCCTGAGGTCTTAGTATGCCTGCCTGTTTGTACACCCCACCTCCTCATGTTGGGCTCCCATTGCAAATCTCTCAACAGGACTGTGACCAGCTACCGCCATAGGCTCCAGGTTAAACCTTTTCTCAATAGGGCTGGCCCAAGATTCTGTCCTAAGTCAGGGACAAACCCAGTTCCAAGCCTGCCTACCCCCAATCCTACCTTAGCAACTGACGAGATCATATCCAACTGACTCCCAGGACAAGATGGAAATGGTCTCTTTGTTTCTCTGTCTGAAAGCCAGTCTCCTACAAACATAAACTTTTCTGCATGTATCTCTAATATACCCAAGCACATCAACATAAAATCCAATCCCTGGAATTGTCCACTGTCAGAAATTTAGAATTCATTTTATTTGCTTCTCATCTAGTACCTTCTCAAAAAAAATTTTTTTAAGTGTTAAAATTATTTTGGCGGAAAGATGAAGACTGTTTTCAGGTCAGCTACTCTCCAGATCCACCAATGAGCAGCAACTGCCTGCCCTATGCAGAACATGGGGGAGGAGCTCATCCCTCTGCTTATTTCAGTCACTTGTTTCTCAGCATGTATAAATTTAGGTCCTTATGATGAACAGGCCAGTCCAAAATCTAGCAATGGTAAAATTCATAATCGCGGGTGCTGTGGTTTGAATGTCCCCTCCAAAATTCATGTTGAAATTATATGCCATTGTGGCAGTATTAAGAGGTGGGACCTTTAAGAAGTGATTAGGTCATGAGGGCTTCATCCTCATGAATGAATTAATGGTATTATCACAAGAAGTGGGTTAGTGGTCGTGGGAGTGGGCTCCTAATAAGAGAATACATTCAGCCCCATTTTCTCTCTGTCTCGAGTGTTCTCACTCTCTCTCACTCTTCTTTGCCATGTGATGCCCTCTGCTATATTACTAAGTAGCAGGAATGACCCCAAAATGTAACAGCACCATGTTCTTGGGCTTCCTTGGCCTCCAGAACCATGAACCAACTAAATCTTTCTTTATAAATTACCCATCTGTAATATTCTAACAGCAGAAAATGGACTAAGACATAAGAGAAAGCTTCACTCAGCTTTACCCTTGTTCTGGCTGTTGCCAAACAAGAAGGGGGTGTGCCCAGGCACAATTCTGTAAAGAGAGAGCAAGAATAAAATAAGTGAGGTCTGTCTATATGCAAAATGGCAGACACAACACCCATATTTAAGGAAGACCTGCTTACCTGCCCCAGTGAAAGCAACATGATCTTTAAAGAGGATTTTTTATTTACCTAAGAATTTCACAAAGACTTTGGAACTACAACAACATCCAGGCTCCTTTCTGGAGAGAATTATTGCACTATCAAAAAGGTCTTTAGAAGCAGCCTCTTGGCTGGAGGAGTAGTACCCCCATTAGCAGGCAATCCTTCACAATGAAGCCCCCCACCCCAGCCAAAGACCATTGTCACATGGCTTTCAATGCCTAGTCCGTAACCATGAGTGAGAGCATCCGAAACAGCACAAGAGAGATTTGTTTTCCAAGAGCAAAGGAAATAAACTAGGGGACAAGTCTCCAAAGACTGAACCTTCATGACCAGCAAATGCCTGCTGGAAATTTATATGCTGTGAGTGTAAAAGCAGTGAAATTCGATAATCTCAAAGCCACAGATTTGTAACTTGCACTTATGTAAATATTTATGGATTCTTTGGGGGAAAAATCAATCCTCTCAGCCTTTCTCTTTAGTACATGCTTCAGAGGGAACATTTTTTTCCTCTTAAGAGGAGGATGTAAACTCTAGCTATGGCTTAGGAAAATTAAGTCAGCAGCCTGCCTAAGCATGATCTAAAGTCCATTTATAATTTCACTGTAAAAGATTATAACACATTATCTTCCCCAGTACCAGTGAGAGCACAGAGAAAATGCGATGGTCCCCTCTGTGGCCTGGCCTCATGGGGACTGAGGTTAAAAGTTGATCAGGTCAGTAACACTTCTCAGACAATAAGAAAAAAGAAAGGGAAGTTATCTGTCCATTGTCCATCCTTACCAAGGAGTGAAATGCATGCAGATCTCTACCCACATCCACCAGTGTCGGGCACAAGCACAAATAGGCCTCTCACCCAACCCTCTTGGCCAGAGCCATGGACAGTAGACTGTTATCAATCTCCTTCCTGCTTTCTCCCCTCTCTCATTCCTCCTTTACACTGTCCCCTGGGGGATCTTCCTAAAATACTGGCTTTGCAGTGTTTCACCCACCCCCCACTACTTTAACCCCGCATTCCTCCATGAAGCATCAAAGCCCCAAAGCGCAGTATTCACTCCTGAGCCGGAAGGTCCAGGTGCTCCACTCTGCAGCTTTGATTTGTATCCTCTGCCAGGCTCATACCTATCTGTGATTCTGAATCTCTTGCCACTACCTGAGAGTCTACCACATACTTAGAGGATTTAATTTACAAACAGCATTTTTGTTCGAATAGCTAGTCGCTATTTTCTTCAAATAGCTAGTCAGCAGTGCCCTTTCTGCCTTCTATGTTTAGCAAAATCTTGTTCTACTTAAAGGCTTGGTTCAAATGCTACCATGAGGAAATTTCTGAGCCTCCCACCTTCACCCTTGTTCCACTCCCAAATCATCATGAACTGCTCTGTTTGTCTGATTCCTCCAACAGGTAGGAAGCTATCCCAGTCTGTCCATCCATCTCCACAGCTCCTGCAGTTCGGCTCGGGGCTTCCACACTGTAAGCATTTCCAAATGTGTCTGGGAATTGACATGTGCCCACTGATAAGTGAATGATTTTTAATGCCTCAAGATTAAACGTGTAACTGATGACTTGAAGTAGGTTTCACATGTGGCTTTGCCCCCTTCTACTTCTTTTGTCAAAAGCTGTTTTAAAAAACTCTGTTCATTATTTGATAAACAGAACAGAAGTCAGTAGAGGTACCGTGTTCATGCACGTCAGGGAGGTGCTCAGATCCACTCCGCACAATTACAGGGGAAGCTCCATTTGAGGACAAATGAGGTGGTGTGCTGAGGCCACTGTAAAATCACAACTTCAGCATCCATGTGGAAGCGGGTACCAGTATACTCTGCTCTCCACTGCCCACCAGCCCTGGGTCACATTCCGTTAGAGTAGGTCGGATCTTCCAAGTGATGAAGTTACTGTTCACAGTGGCATACCAACTCAACTCAGTCCTTTTGAAAAAAAATTTTATATGCTTAATAGCACCCATAGAAATAATATTCACTCCAGTTGGATCTGGGGCCCTGGGACAAACACTGGCCTTAGCTCCAATATCTGCGTTCACTGACAACCAAGCATCATGGAAATAAGGTGAGGGTGGAGCGAGGGCAGACCTATCACGACATAAGCTGGTCATTAGACTCAGGGGAAGGTGAGGTATCCACAGGTGCTAGGAGGTGGCACCAGGAAGCAATCTGGCGAACATGGATGAGGAGGAAAACTAGAAAAGAGAAGTCCTGGGGGAATGCCCTGAGGAATGCCATAGGACGGCAGACAGCAGAAGGTCAGATGCTGCCTCACTATCCTCACAGGTGCCTCTGGAGCCACACTCAGGCCAATCTGGTGCCCCAGGAAGAACAGCTGGGCCATTTTACCTACAACTGTGGCAGCTTTGGAAGAGGAGGGCATGTTGGACAGGAATGACTTCCAACAGAAGTTATGAGGAAACTTACACAGGAATAAGAATTGGAGCCGCGCGTGGTGGCTCATGCCTGTAAACCCAGCACTTTGGGAGGCCGAGGCAGGCAGACCACGAGGTCAGGAGATCGAGACCATCCTGGCTAACACGATGAAGCCCCGTCTCTTCTAAAAATACAAAAAATTAGCCAGGTGTGGTGGCGAGTGCCTGTAGTCCCAGCTACTCAGGAGGCTGAGGCAGGAGAATGGCATGAATCCAGGAGGCGGAGCTTACAGTGAGCCGAGATCATGCCACTGCACTCCAGCCTGGGCGACAGAGCGAGACTCCATCTCAAAAAAAAAAAAAGAATTGGAGAGGAGTCTCTTTCAGTTAGGAATTTGTTTGGACCAGAGCCTCTTCCAGCAAAAAGGTTTACAAAACCTGTCTCACACACCAACAAAGTAAAGAGGGCAGCATTTTCATTTACAAAGATTTTATTTTGTTTCATCGCAATGCCCTTGGGGGCAGCTTGCACCTCCAGCAATTTCATCGGTGATGTTAAATACCAGATATATCTAGAACAGCAGCACATAGTAGGGCAGGCCCTGCTTCAAGGGCCTTGGGGAAATTGTTGGGGTGTTTCATTTTGTTTCTTACCATGATTGGAGGGGTGTTATGGGCCTTTAGTGGGCAAGGATCAGGGATGCCAAGTGTTTTGTCATAAGCAAGACACGCCTGCTAGGCACGTGCCTTGCACTCACCTGCTTAACTCTCAAGTGCCATTCATGTAGAGGAAACATACATTTAAAATCATATGAGAAGATAAGTCAATTTTATATGTATAAACTAAATGTCTCTGTGTGGGTTTTGTTGTTGTTGTTGTTTTGAGACAGGGTCTCGCTCTGTCACCCAGGCTGGAGTGCAGTGGCACAATCATGGCTCACAGCAGCCTCTACTTCCCAGGCCCAAGCAATCCTCCTACCCCAGCCTCCAGAGTAGCCAGGACTACAGGCGTGTGCCACCATGCCCAGCTAATTTTGTTGATTTTTTGTAGAGATGGGGTCTTATTATGTTGCCCAGACTTGTCTCAAACTCCTGGACTCAAGCAATCCTCCCACCTTGGCCTCCGAAAGTGCTGGGATTATAGGTATAAGCCACCACGCCCGGCCAATAAATGTATTTTTGCATGATTTTAAGATATACAGAAATTTTCAGAACTGCAACCTGGAAATTAAGAGATCATATTTGGTTTAATTTAGAACCTTCCAGAGAGTTACTCGCCATTTGGGAAAATCAGTGTTGCCAACACAAGGCACCCATGTCGGGCTGCACATTCACAGCTGTGAATTTCTGTTCATGGGAGATCTTCCCTTCCTTCAGTCTTCCAGTGTGGCAGCCTGGCATTTGCATACTGAAACACTGTACTGCTTTCCCCATTGGTCCCACCCCTCCTTGATCCATTCTCTGTCTTTCTCTGTCCTGCTCTCTCTGCCAGAGACTAAGCTCTGTGGACTGAGTCCCCCAGGCCTTTTCCCTCTGGTTTCCAGCTTTCTCCCAGTAAGAGGCAGTGGCAAGAGACCAGAGGGTGAGAAGAGAGAGAGGCTGGAGTATCCTTTCCCTGCCCCACACCTTGCTGCTTCCCTCTTTAGGCCCCAGCTCTCATGGGGCTCTAGGAACACCATTCCCTCCCCTGCTCCTGCAGGTCTAGGGATGGTAACAACTTCAAGCTGTTCCTAGTGCCTGGATCCTTCCTCATCCTCAGCTGGATCCCCTAATCCTACCCTCACCTTCATTCAAGTCTTTATAGTTAAACGCTTTTTACCATGCTGTTTCCTGTCAGGAACCCGACTGATACAAATACACATTATTTTATTAAAATTACATTTATTTTATTTCTTTGTTATATTACATTTAGGGCATTTTTATAATCATGTGTCTAGGGTGGGTTTTTTAGTCTATAAAATTCATTGCAAATTGTAATGATTTACTATAAAATATTTGTCAGAAAGAAGAATGATTTGACTCTGATAGGGTTTGTTTTTTTAATCTATAAAACTCATTGGAAAACTTATAATGGTTTATTATAAAATATTTGTCATAAAGGTAGACCATTTGAGTCAGATAGGGCTGGTGACAATGAAGGCATGATATGGAGAAACAAAACTTTGACTAACTACAAAGTGCTGAGATTCTGCAGTGACGCTGACATCCATGATAGAAAGAAATCGCCAGTCTAAGATGGGCTGGTGCAGCACTGAAATAGACCAATAGATGATGAAGGAAAAGCAGAGTCCAGGCAGGGACCTTTCTCCCTCGGTAAAGGGAGCTGGCAGCTAAAGTTAGTACCATGCAGAGTGACACCTTCCCGCAACTTCCATTGTTGTCAATATGTATATGTTCAATGTGAATATACTTTAAAATGCAGTATCTGCTTGGGAAACCATATGGAGCTTATTCAAGAATGTGAGCTCAGGGATCACTTTTAAAGTAAGGCAAGTGAATTGCATATAAAGCCAACCCACCTTTACATTTAAGTTCCCAGGACCCAGGATGGAGAGATCAATTTAGCAACACTCTCTAGACAATGGTACCCACATAGGGATGCTCCTGTAGGACCGCCATACTTCTGTGCACATGCAACCTTTTGTTCCCTTGTCCCACCTCCACAGCATATGTATTTGCACATGCACACACATACACATACATGTACTATGTACCATGAAACCTCTAGGCAGATTCAAAACACGCTATTTGTAAGCTACAACCTCACAAACCAGCTTCACTCAAGAATAATTTTCCAGGAAAAAAAAAGTACATATAGATATAGACAAACACACACACACACACACACACACACACACACACACACACACAGTTTGGCAAAGGGACAGAATGGCACCCCAGAAAAGTGGCTAGAATCCAGATTCATTGTAAAATACCTGAATAACCTGGGCCTTACTTGTTTATGCCCAAACCACAGAAAGACTTGCAGAAAGCCTAACATAGCTGGGATAACTTTAGATCTGAGGAATCTTAGATGCCAGCCACTAGTATAGAATAGTTACTTTCCAGTCAAGTTATTGCAATGAATGCACAAATTAAGGGGGAGTTCTTCCAGGAGGAGAATTACCAAGCAGAGACCCTCCCTCTGAATCATAATTTTACTTCTACTTCCCTTTGCGCACCTCACACCCACTCCATAGACACACAGCACAGACCCCTTTAAAGTTTTCCAGATCACAGCCAGTGCTGGCATACTTGTTACATCATTTACATCTGTTACAGCAACTGAAAAATCAGTAATATGTTTTGCCCAAATTACCTTGACTTGAGGCACAAAGAGCCAGGTTCCCCTCTATAGACCTAGAGTTCCTTCTAGACCTGCAAATGGTCTAGAATGGTGGATACTCACCACATTTCAGGGCTTCCTCTGCCTCCAGGTTATAATGCCATAAAGATATGCATCTACTTCATCACCAACCACTCCAAACACCCGATCACATCAGAAAGAAAATTACTATTTCAAAAAGACATGAATTGCAGAGAATATATGTTATAATCCGTTGTATAAATTTTGCCAAGACTTAAGACAAATCTGGAAAGCCAGTGCTTATCTCCTGCCACCCTGTGTTTCTCTTCTCCCATCTAGAACCCACAAACAGACAGAGAGCAGGGGGTGAAAACTTGTGACAGGTGGAGGATCCAGCCAAGTGGATTCAGCTCCTGTGGCAATCCATTATCTGGGGAAAATTATGGTTTAACATCAACCACTTGAGTTGTTGCAATGACTCTTTTCTAAATCTATGTTGGGCATTTCCTAATTGCATATTTTCTTCAGCATGAGAAATTGCAAGCTTGGTAAATTATCTATTTCAATATTTTGCATCATATGCGAGTCAAGCATCCAAATGGCAGTTTAGAACAGCAGGTATCACGCTTTAGAACTGGGATAATTTTTGAGATCTTCCAGGCTTTTCCTTCACCAGCTGTTTCTAGTGTCATATTATGTAAAGCCTTCAGATGTCCATGATTCAAAACTCAGCTAGGCATATTATAAGTACCCTCGGGCTTTTTATTATTTTGGTTCAACACAAAGCATCAGAATCATTATTATCAGTCACAACAGGATTCATCAATCAAACAGCAGCTATTATGCTGACATTCTCCTTTGTGAAGAAAAGACCAAAAATAAATAAAGACAAAGAAAATTTAAACTCATTAGCAATATCCATCGATTTTGCAAAATAACAGCTTCTCTTGTTATTGTAGGGAACGTGTGATTTCATTCCGGTGGTCCAAAGGAGGTCCAAAGATTCGATCTCACCATTGACTGAGCTCCTCTCACAGACTAGACCCTTAAATTCTGACAGCTCCTAAGTCTAAGAAAACTCAGTGGTACTTGACTATTTCACTGTGAAGTAAAGGATGGGAGGGAGATAGGAGAAAGAGGAAAGGTTGACAGAAACCTTTTTAGGAGAGACAGACAGAGTTATCAACCTTGGTCAAACAATTTTAAGCAACCAATGAAGTTTTTTAAAAAGTTAACCAATTCGACATTGACGTTAGGAATATTCTTCTTTGAGAGGCCCTTGAGTTACGACCTCAGGTCCCCCAGAGAAGGATCCTAACACATGATTTGGTCAAGCAACAAACACGAATTGCATAGTCATAATTATGAATGCAATTTACTCATTTTTCACTGTTAGAGTTAACCAAAAGCACAGAAGATATCATTGAGGTTGCAGGACAAAATACAGAGGAAAATCACTTAACAATGTGGAAGTAACTATGCAGATGCCAAAGGTGGAAATGTAGAAGAGAGGAGGGCAAGAAAAGGATCCTAAGAGAGCTTAGAACTCCATCTTACGCAAAACGATGGAAAGTTGATGGGCCACAAAGGGAAGGTTTAAGTGTACAGCCAATAGCGAAAGCAATAATGGAATAAAGTAATGAGAGAAGGCAGAGGTAGAGGAGGCACAGGACAACTGAGCTGAATCTGCATCTTTCAAGGCAGAGACTTAAGAGATGTTACAACAGCTAACAAATAAAGAAACAAAGACAGAAGCATGTTATTGAGTTTAGCAGTAACTTCCAAAAACAAAAACAAAACCAAACAAAAAACAATTTAGAGAAGATTGCCTTTAGTGAGTGGTCAGGGGAAATGATAATATTTAACTTAAGTTCTTTGGCATATGATATACTTTGCTTCCATGCACACATATTACATGGAAGAGGAGAAGAAGAAGAAACTTGAACAAAATAAAGAGGAGGCAAATGCCATTTTAAAAAAGGTAAGAGGAGTAGGTAATGCTTATGAATTGATTAAGAAGCCAGAGTTTCATTTCTACCTCATCAAGTCTAGGTGTGTGAGCAGAGAATAGAAAGAACCTCAAAGCAGAAGTCACAACGGCCTGCATCCCAGCCGTGGTGCTGCTCCCAGCAGTGTGAACAAAAGCAAGTCATTTAACCCCTCTGGGCTCGGCTTCTATGTTTGTAAAATGAAAAGGTTAGACTAAATCATCTCTAACACTGCCTGGCCCCAGGGCCCATGTTCCTGGATTTACACTGAAAACCTGAAAACCCAGCTAGCTCGTCAATTCCTCCTCCTGTGACTCCATCTACCCCTGCAGAGACTAAAATATTCAGGCCTTACATGTTCTGGAAGGCAAGGCTGGTGACCAGCCAAGCTACCTGAAGAATTTAGAAGGTTAAAGATTCACCTCAATATCTGAAAAGTCCTTCAGAGAACATATGAAGAGAGTAGTTAAATCCAACAGCCAAGCCCACCAGCTCCATGTCACTAACACTAAAGGTTCCTGGGCCCAGAAGAAAAACAAGGAGCCCAGAGAACCAAGAGCCTGCATTGGTGTCTTGCCAGGGCCAAACTGAGCTCTCCAACACCACATTGAGCAGGTCTAGAAAATATTGGAAGCAATAAAAAATAAAACCATACATACACTGTGTTAGTCAGGGTTCTCTAGAGGGACAGAACTAATAGGATAGATATAAAGGGAACTTTATTAAGTATTAACTTAGATGATCACAAAGTCCCACAATAGGCTGTCTGCAAGCTGCTGAGCAAGGAGAGCCAGTCTGAGTCCCAAAAGTGAAGAACTTGGAGTCTGATGTTCGAGGGCAGAAAGCATCCAGCACGGGAGAAAGAGGTAGGCTGGGAGGCTAGGCCAGTCTCTCCTTTTCACGTTTTTCTGCCTGCTTTATATTCGCTGGCAGCTGATTAGATTGTGCCCACCAGATTAAGGGTGGATCTGCCTTCCCCAGCCCACTGACTCAAATGTTAATCTCTTTTGGCAACACCCTCACAGACACACCCAGGATCAATACTTTGTATCCTTCAATCCAATCAAGTTGACACTCAGTATTAACTATCACATACACTCTCCCAAAAAGTCCTCTCACTAAAGTGGTTTCTTGCTACTTTTTGTGTTTTCTTTAGTGGATTTCGATCTTAATAAATATCTCTCTAAGTAAAAAAGAAAAAGCCAATGGGAAGAAGGGAAAGCCTGAGGTATACCTGAGACGGGCTGGGAATGTGGGGCAGTTGTGTCATCAGAAGCCACATTTTGGAAATGCCACGTAAAATAAAGGACCCCTGAGTCATCATGTTCTTTATCTTGCTCTCCTAGCTGTATTACCACCTCACCACTTCCCACAATACACACATACACACACACCATCACTCTCCTCCCCTAGCAGGTGCATGTGTAGGGTCCATGTTCAGGCAGCAAGCTCCATGAACATTCTCGGGTACTGCTTTCTCTCCAGCTCAGCATGGCTAAAGATCATGGAGGTTGGGCTTAGCTGAGGCAAATGACTACATGAACACACTAATACCCTAAGACACTGAATGAGTTGGTCCAAATTCCGTCACCCACTCCCCCGTCGGTGTGCAGCTACCAAATGAAGAAACTTGTTTGAAGGGAACTTTCAGAGTTAAACTCTAGAAAACCTCATCTTCATTTCTTGGGATCAGTCCCAGTGGAACATACCACCATGATCTGTCACATGTGAACTGCAAGACTATTTAAAGAAAGCTTATGAAAAAGAACTACCATTTGTTGAGCATTTACTGTTTACCGTATTTCAAAAAACAGATGTGCGCCAGGCACTGATCTCATAAATACAGTCAGAACAATTGCTAACATTCATGGTGTGCCCTGCAAGCCCTGTGCTATGTGTGTTATCTTATTTAGGTCTCACAAGAATTCTAGAGGGGAGGTGGTGTCCTGATCTCCACTTTCCAGGTGAGAAGTTAGTAACTTGCCCAGGGACACAGAGCTAGCAAGGTGCAGAGTCCAGCTCCAAGCTCAGCCAGTCAGATTCTACTACCTGTCACAGATGGGAATAGGAAATGGTCTTGCCTTTGAGGTGCTCTTGGCTTAGTAGAGGAGGTACTTCAATACACACAATCTAGCATATGGTAGGCTCTCAATAAATGACTTTAACACCGACACCACCTGTATAAAGTGGGTAAGACAATTATTCTTTTACTTTTGTTTTGTTTTGTTTTGTTTTGAGACAGAGTCTCACTCTGTTGCCCAGGCTGGAGTGCAGTGGCGTGATCTCGGCTCACTGCAATCTCCACCTCCCGGGTTCACGCCAGTCTCCTGCCTCAGCCTCCCAAGTAGCTGGGCCTACAGGCACCCACCACCACGCCCAGCTAATTTTTTGTATTTTCAGTGGAGATGGGATTTCACCGTGTTAGCTAGGATGGCCTTGATCTCCTGACTTCGTGATCTGCCCACCTCAGCCTCTCAAAGTGCTGGGATTACAGGTGTGAGCCACCACGCCCGGACCTACAATTATTATTTTATAAAGAATTGGATTCAGAGATGTCACCCAGCTATTAAAAGGCAGAGCCAGGACAGAAACCACCAAATGTCTAGTTCTTTTGTGCTCTCTGCTCTCAAAGAAAAGGGCGATGAAGACTTCACACCCTAGAACACAAGGAACATTTGGTTTGTATTTTCACTGGTGTCATATTGTGGGAGCTGCCAGAAGCCACATCATCCCACCAAGTTAGCTCCAAATGCTCCAGTTTGTGTATAGCTTCCTGGAGCTGGGGAGGCAGGAGATGAGTGTGGGGGAGGGGAGGGGCGGCTGGGGGGACCCAAAACAAACAGACCAACCAAAAACAACAAGGAAACAGTGGGCAGACTGTCGAAGGGAATAAAGTGGGAGGGGACGATGGTCTGCCTGAAGATTCCCTTGGAGTCACGTGTATTTTCTGGTGTCTGGTATAGTTGACTTCAGGAAAGGTGCTCCAGCTGGTCCAAGGGCTTCCTTCAGGGAATAGGGACAGAATCAGAAAATTAAGAAAGTAACATTCACATTCTTTGTTGGGTTTGTTTGGTTTTGTTTGTTGAGGTTGTTTTGCTTCTACCATGAACAGGCCTTGGATACCCTCAGCAAAGCTGCAATCATTCCCTCACCCTCTCAAGTATGTTAGAAGAATAGGCCGGGCGCAGTGGCTCACGCCTGTAATCCCAGCACTTTGGGAGGCTGAGGCAGGCGGATCATGAGGTCAGAAGATCGAGATCATCCTGGCTAACACAGTGAAACCCCATCTCAACTAAAAATACAAAAAATTAGCCAGGCGTGGTGGCGGGCGCCTGTAGTCCCAGCTACTCGGGAGGCTGAGGCAGGAGAATGGCGTGAACCTGGGAGGCGGAGCTTGCAGTGAGCCGAGATCGCGCCACTGCACTCCAGCCTGGGCAACAGAGCGAGATTCCGTCTCAAATAAAAAAAAAAAAAGAAAAAGAAGAATATTGGCTCCCGGGACCCACTTTCACTCTTCAGTAAAACCCTGCTCCAAGGTCCAAGGATTCTTAGTTTCTTCCTCCACTTGACTTTGCTGTTAAAGTGCAAAAACAAAGTAATTTCCTCTTTCTGCAGCCTACTGTAGAACCTGATAGGCAGAGCCTATCTGAAGAGAAAATCCTTTTGTAAGATAGATGGCTGTTGGAACATCTAAAAATAACTGCTTTCAAGGAGGCTGGCTCCATCAAAGAAAGTCTGAGTATAAATGTATTAGTCGGTTCTCACACTGCTAATAAAGACATACCTGAGACTGAGTAATTTATAAAGAAAAACAGGTTTAATTGACTCGCAGTTCCACGTGGCTGGGGAGGCTTTACAATCATGGCAGAAAGTGAAGGAGGAGCAAAGGAACGTCTTACAAGAGAGTATGTGCAGGGGAACTGCCCTTTTGTAAAACCATCAGTTCTCGTGAGACTTATTCACTATCACAAGAACAGCATGGGAAACGCCCAACCTCATGATTCAATTACCCCCTACCAGCTCCCTCCCACCACATATGGGGATTATGGGAGCTACAACTCAAGATGAGATTTGGGTGGGGACACAGCCAAACAATATCAGTAAACTTACTTTCTGGATTACCATTTAAGATTAGGAAGAAACTCATGACATTTATGACCCCACAAGAGTCATCACATCCCCACTCTGCTATGGTTTCAGGGTGATAGAGTTTCCTCTAGAATTCTTTCTTTCAAATTCTTCACTAATTGGATTTTCTCTGGCATCAGGGGGAATTGAAATGAGCCCAGAAAACAGAGCCAATAGCTTCAGGTGCCGACAGGGGCAGACCAGCAGGAGAGAAATTCTCACTGTGCTATACTAATCCATGAACACAGTGGCAGGGCTAAATAAGCACCAAGTCAGGCTTCTTTTCTTCCTATTTTTTAAAACACAGCTTCTCCTCTGGTGGAGAGGCCAGTGGAAGAGTCTTTCCCCTGCTGTGACTTGGTTGAAAGGAACAATGATTGACCAGCTAATTTTCACTTTGTTTCCCCACGACAGTTCAAAGGTAGGTATTCCAGCCACCAACCTCTTCATCACTCCATGTCCATCTTTATTATTTTCTCAGGAACCTGGCAAACTAGCTTCCTGAGTTGGGCCATGTTGAGAAAGGAGATAATTTGCAGCCTGAGATTCCTTCCTGTGGGCCGCAGGAGACCTCTTTGTTGGGAAAAGATGCGTCCAATCTTCTGTTGCCAAGACCTTATGTTTCTCCCCCAGATTCCAAATTCATAGTCATTTAATATTTTATGCCAGATCAATTCAGGCACATGGCAAGGGGACTCCCACAAACTAGCATGAACACTATCAAAATCTTTATAAAGCATTTAATGGTTTGCACTTTTATACAAGCATAAAACGGTGCTGATTAATTGATGGAGGGGCAACAGGGAAAAGGAACCTTCTGA
This sequence comes from Homo sapiens, assembly GCF_000001405.40. Taxonomy (NCBI): domain Eukaryota; kingdom Metazoa; phylum Chordata; class Mammalia; order Primates; family Hominidae; genus Homo; species Homo sapiens. Next base: position 28,444,077 of record NC_000007.14, on the reverse strand, counting down.
GTTTTGTAAAGACACCAAATTAATTCCATCTTACAAAACTAAGTTTTCCATTACAAAATTTTTTATGTTTAATCTAACTTTCAAATCACCTAGCACCACTGTCTTCTATGTGCTACTAAATTCCACCTCAAAACACCATTCTGACTTGTATCAGGATCTACCAATACCGCTTCCACATCTCAGGTAAATGACCTATGGCATTTGGGTATCTGGGGCTGGGTCAAGCTGCAGAGGAAGAATTTGATGGCAGGAGAAACATGTGTCCCAAAGAGTCATCATCATCGTAAGTGAATTATCATTTTATATAATTAGCCATAAGGTGGGGAGGCAAGATGAGACAGTGGCTGAGGAGGAGAGGGGTTAAGTGGGTAAGGGGACAAGTTAGTGGCCTAGAGCCTGTGTTGACTCCCCCTCCTCCAATTTTTAGCTAAGGAACCTTAACACATACAGGTATTCAATACATATTTCTGGAATGAATGAATGATTCCACCTCTCTAAATCCAGTTTTCCTGCCTGTAAAATAGAGCGACTAAGTGTTGGGAGACAGTCCTCTATGGACTATGTATGTCCTAGCAGCAGAGGTACAGATGGCCTTGGTTCTGGAATTTTTTCAAATATGTTTGCACAGCAGAGTTAGAAGACAGACTTAGTGTGTCCCTCTGGAGCAGATGGCAGGTTTGCTTACTGTCCAGTGTAATAAAGATATCTCCCTTGGGAGCAAAGGTCAGGCAAGGCTGCTTCCCCCAACATTAAAAGAGAATGAGATTTCTAAGCCCAGAGTTCTTCAGCCATAATGTAAACTCCCTGCATGTTCAGCAGCCACCTGGGTCACTCCACATCACTCTCATAGGAGCTAGGAACAAGAGGAAGTGATATGAACATGAGGCTGATGCTGCTTGCTGGCCATGAGTAATAAAGAACTTTGTGTCTGACCCAGGAGTCTCATAGCTACTGCCAGCATCCATGAAACTAGTAGACTAATTAGGTTGCAAGTAGGGGGAAATCTCAGCTCTTCACAGTTCTTGACTTTACCTTATAGAGTTGTTCTGAAGATTAAACGAAATAAGGCATATAGAGAGCTCTGCAGTGTCTGGTCCAAAGTAGGTGTTCAATTAAAATTAGCTTCTATTACTGTCCTACGTAAGGAATGATCTTTGAATGTCTGTATATTTGAATGACATATTTTACATATGCATTTACCCTAATTATTCAAAAAGAGAATGTAATAGAAAATGTGACTAAGTGATCTTAACAATATTAAGAGACTCAATGATGAGTGATACTGACTCAAGATAAACTCTGATATTGAGTCACAACATTACAGTGATTAATGTGACTTTAACCATTTACTATACAACTTAGTGGTTAAAACTCATAAAGGAAAATGCAAATCAAAACCACAACGAGATATCATCTCACCCCAGTTAGAATGGCTATTATCGAAAAGACAAAAAGTTAACACATGCTGACAGTGTGGATGCGGGAAAAGGGAACTCTTATACACTATTGATGGGAATGTGAATTAGTACAGCCATTATAGAAAACAGTATGAAAGTTTCTCAAAAAACAAACAAAAAAAACTACCATATAATCCATCAATTCCACTGCTGGAGGATTTTGAGAAACATATCAAAAGGAAAGGAAATCAGTATACCAAAGGGACACCTGCACCCCCATGTTTGCTGCAGCACTATTCACGATAGCTAAGATATAGAATCAACCTATATGTCCATCAACAGATGAACGGATGAAGAAAATGTGGCATATATACACACTGGAATACTATTCAGTCATAAAAAAGAATGAAATCCTGTCATTCACAGAACATGGATAAGCCCGGGGGACATTATGCTAAACAAAATAAGTCAGGCACAGGAAGATAAATACTGTATGTTCTCACTCATATGTGGGAGCTAAGGAAAAAAATTTTGTTTAATCTCATGGAAGTAGAGAGTAGAATTGTGAGTATTAGAGGCTGGGAAGGGGATGAGGAGAGGACAGTGGGAGAGGTGGGTTAACAAAGAGTTAGGAGGAATAAGTTCTGGTGTTCCACGGCACTATAGGGTGAATATGGTTAACTGTAATTTATTGTACATTTTCAAAAAGCTAGAAGAGGGCATTCGAATACTTACAACACAGAGAAATGATAAATGTTTGTGGTGATCAAGTTACCCTGATTTTATCATTATGTTGTATACATGTGATACAAAATATCACTCTGTATCCTGTATGTATAATTATTTTAAAATTTAAAAAAGTTTTTAAAAACCATAAAGAGCTTGACTTATATTCCAGCTTTTCTACCCATAAACTATAAGACTTTGAGCAAATGACACAGAGGTTTTATCTTCCAAAATGTGGAGATTAAAAGTAGCTCCAGTTCACCTGGTGCTATGAGGATTAAACATGATGGTAACTTACAAAAAGTCAAACATAGTACCTGCCACATACCAAATATTCACTAAAGGCTGAGTATTTATTATTTTTTTCAAAGAACAATAACATCAAGAAAAGAGATGTGATGCTTTTGGTATCTTTGGACTTTTATATTAGCTTCTTTAATCCTCTCAATCATTCTGGGAGGTAGGCAAAATAAATATTAGCCCGACTTTACTGATGGGAAGCTGAAGTGAAGGGAGGTTAAGTGGCTTTTCCAAGATCAAAGATGTAGCAAATGGCAGACATTTTATATTTTAGAGTTTCTTTCCATGTGGAGAGCCACCAGAGATTATCAAGTGGTAAAGATCTCTCTGTGCTTTTGAGTAACAGGCTCACACATTACCAGGAGCTGGAGAATGCATTTGGCCCAGCTCGACAGCCTCATGGGCTTGGAGCTTTCAACCAAATGCAAACTTTTAGAGTGTGTGCATTTAGGTTTTGCCAAGAGTAGATGGCTTTCTATTTTTAAAAGGGAGGGGGAAAGCACACTGGAAGGTATTTAAATCAAGCTCCGAAGTCTTCTTGGACATCAAATAACTCTTAGAAAACAACATTTTGATGAGTTAAGTATAAATGAATCAAAACCATATGAATTAAATTTCCCTTGAAATACACAAGGGTCTAAAAATTAAGGGGAAAAATGCATTGATAAAATACATTTGGGATTTTATTGAAACCAAAACATTTACAAAAGTCATTATATATCCCAATGCACCCAACCTCAGCGTGCCCTCTTCTGATGGCCGTGGCCAATCTCCTTGGACCTCCCCAATAACAGTCTGCCAAATATTTCCTTTCTTGCCAAAAAGAAAAGAAAAGAAATCCACTGAACTCCACGCCACCTGATGACAAGGTTCAAACCCTGTCTTGTGTGCAGTTGATAAAACACTTCCAGCCCAAATGGTGTGAACTCCAATCTTCCTGTATCTGGAAGAATCAGCCTTGATCAGATGGCTCTGTGTGCCCCATCATATGAAGGCCTAATAACCAATTTCTGCCTCAGTGGTTTTATAAGTGGCTATTAAATTAAGCTTCCAATTTGCAGTCCTAAAGCTAGTAAACCACCAGGTTACTTTTCAGGCTTGTTAAATTAGTTAAAGATAAACGGAAAAGCCAGGGCAGGACTGGCCTGGGAGAATAAGGCTGCAATATATCATGCAACTGGCGGTACCACTGCAGTGGCTTCCAGCAAGCTGGCAATAAGCATGTGATATTAACTGAAGCCCTTAATTTAAGGAAATGGGATCAACCAACTAGTAATTAACAAATTATTCTCAAACAGGCCTCGCTTAAAAATTAAGTTGAACTACCATTTTTCTATAACTCGTCAGGAAAACGCTGACTGGTACTTAAAGTAAACACAACTTAAGCAGATGGTGAGTCCTCACAGAGCACCAAACCTATACTTAAATAAATCAATGTTGTCGGACTGGAGTGCGACATGGATACTCAGCAGAATTCATGGGCATCTTTGCAAGATTTGGCAATAATTTACTGTCACGTGGAGAGGACAACTGAGAGTTCTAAGTTTTCCTGTTGGAATGTTTTGCACCCCTGAGACAGGTAAAGTCTATTGGAAGAAAGTGTTTTTCAACTGATATCCCAGAAGCATGTCACAGAAGGAAAGATGAGCCTGTTCCAGCTAAGCACAGACAAGTGTTTCTGCCTTTACTCCTTCACTCATTCATTCACTCATTCAAGACATAGCTACAAAGTGTTTAACCAGTGATAGGCTTTTTACTAGGCTCTGGGCATACAAGGCTGAATGGTACGCAAAATTACAGGTCACACAGGCACAGAGAAAAATAATAATGCAACTTGATAAATTCTATTGCAAGGATGCCTTAGAAAGCACTTTGAGAATCCTAAGAACTGAAGTGCTAACTCCAATTTGAGGCATCTGGGAATAGCTTCCTTCACCTTTGAAAGTGCCATCTTAGGAGATAGGCAGTGTGGCACAGAGATTAAGAATACAGGTCCTGAGTGATAGACTGCACAGGTTCAAATCCTAGCTTCCTCATTTATTGGCTCTGTGACCTTGGGAAGTCTACCAAACATCTCTGGGCCAGGTTCCTCCTCTGCAAACTGGGGCTGATAATGGCAACCACCTCATTGTAAGGATTAAATGAATGCCTAGTACATAATAAGTGCTATTGTCTTAACTGGCTATTATAGGGATTTATCCAACAAAGATTGAGCAGAGAGAATATTCCAGTTAGCAGAATGGCATGTGCAAAGGCAGAGATTTAAGAAAGGTCTGGTAGTTTGCAAGGATGATGGAAAATTCAGTCTAGCAGGTTCACAAAGTATACATGGAGAGGAATCAGGTGCAGATGATAGTTATATAATGCAAACCTTGTACATCAAGCCAAGGAGGTTAAATTTTACCCTATGGGCAGTGAAGAACCAACAGAGGGTTGATATAGTCAGGTCTGGTTTTTCATTCTGCCTGCAGTATAGAGCTTACGATACAGAGGATGGTGTAAGGTCTATTCAGGATGTAGACATAAAGCATCACATGAAGGGTCTGTTGTTTTGGTTTGGTTCGGTTTGGGGTTGGGGTTTTTCTTAAATCACAAGTAGATCTGTCTGTGGTCAAGGACAACAGAGTGGACATCACTAATTTTGGTTGTTCACCAAGGAAAATCATGGGACATAGTGAAGTGCAGCTATTCCCAGTCTTTACCCTGCTCTCCAAGTTTTAGAAGTATCTCTGTTTGCTCCTTTCCCACAAAAATGTTGGACCTGTATTTCAAAACTTGCTGTTGGAAGCAACATTTGTAACTGGTCGATTTTATTAGTTGTAATGCTGTGTTCACAAATCACAGAATGTTAGAAGCAGATGGGAACTTACGGCAATTGCTAAATCCAGTTGCTCCCCACTTGGGGGTCTCTGGATTCCTAGGAAGTCTGTGAATGTAATAACAGAGATCAGTTCAATTTTCAGTATTTCCAAAAGGTTAACGTGTATGTAAACATTTAGTTATTCACACACAAGAAAGCTTCACATGTCAAGTAAAATGGCAACTTTCTTTACTGTTGGCTGCAATTATTTTGATTCAGTATGGTAACATCAGACATCTCATGTTTATCACAATTTCTGATTGACAATTATGAATGCCATTAATTTAAAAAGAAAAATGAATTAATCAATACTTATCAGGTAGAAAAAAAATCTTTCAAATATAAAAGTAAGGAAAAACCGAGAGGCCCTATATGGTCAAGTTGGGGATCAGTGATCTCTAGCCCATCCTCAGTGGCCCCGACACCCCCCTTTGACAGCAACTCAGTCCACACTCTCATTCCCATCTCATACCCTGCCCGTTTTTGGAGTATGCAACATATTCTTCAGTGTGAATATCTATTGTAAGTAAAAATACAAATCAGTATGTTAAGGTCATCTACATGTTAAAGGAAACCCTAAACTCTAGCTCTAGAGAAATGAATGAGTTAAGCAATATCTACTCTTGGGTGAAAGTCTGTTACATAACAATCAATGTGACCCTAGGTAGTAAGGTCTTTGGGCAGGATTCTTGTGCTTTGTCTCTCACATGCTCTGCCCAGTAAACACTTAAGACACTACATAAATGATGCATCACGATGCATCCCGACCACAAATGGCTCCTGAAGAAAAGCCTGGTTGGATAACTGGAAAATGTCATGTAGGGATAAATGACTGGTGTTTGTAAATTCACCCTGAGCCCGAAAGTCATCAGATTTTCATCTCGCAAATGTCTCCATCGTCTTTTCTGTTCCAGAACAGATTTAGAACTATAATTCCAAATACATCATACAAAGAATAGTGAAAATGTTAATCCTTCAAGTGACTGCATTTAAGAAGTAGGATAATATGGCATTGTTTATAGTTAACTGGATCATATCTTTAAATAGAGTTGGTAACAATGTGATTACTAATAATAGCTGTAGTTCTAATTCCATTTATTTAGATTATAGGACTATCCATTTATTTAGATTATAGTACTAACTACACCTTAAGTTTCCTGTTGTTAGGTAAAATTAGCTGTGCTTTTATTGTACTTCTTGAAATTAATGTCACTAAACTTAGGTTTTTATAGGCACTCACTAAAATATTTGGTAACAGATTGAACCAACAAGCATCTAATACTGGTAGAAGATGATAGAAGGAAGATCTATGGAACTAAGATTCAGTGGGATTTGGGCCATACAGATAGCTTCATCTGAAGAAAATGAAATGGTGATCTCTCTTGGCAAGTTTCTAGAGTGATTCGGAGTACCAAGAAAGGAGGCTCCCATGACAGAGAGTGAATCCTGGCTCTGCAACTTAATAACTGCATGATCTTGAGTAAAATCCTCAGCTTCTCTAAACCTCAGTTTCCTCAGCAGAACAGAGATAATAACACCTACTAAATAAGACAATGTAAGATTTGACTTAGTACCTGGCCTACAATAGGCATTAACTTAATTGGCTTATCTATTTTCTCAACATGCACAAACAGTAGTGTGAAGTCCTTAGCCATGGCCCTTAACAGGTGCTCATCTCTGTCACTGCCGGTTGGGAGTGGGACCTTATGAGTGTGAGCTGAGTTCTCTAAGGGATGCAGTCAAAGTGGAGACAAAATCATGACTGAATTGCACCAAACCAAAGACATTCAGCTGCTTCTTCTCCTTTGAAACCTGGGGAAAGTAGAGCCAGGGGCTTTTCATCATTTGCCTCTAATACAACCTTTCAGTTACCTCAAGAGCATAGTACACAATTCCATCTGTAGAATTTTATGTAGCAGAGTAAATGCAACCTGTTCCCCCCACATCCCATTATCCCACTTTCTTAAATCTCACAATCAAATGGTGTGAAATGTGGGGCTGGTCCCCTTTATCAGAGGCAATGATTAGTTCAAGCAAAACTTAAGAGAATCTCAGTCTTTACTCTCATTTCAAACCTAATGCTAAAATTCAACATTTGATTATTTTCTAGAAAAAAAAATGCCTTGGAAATTGTACTTGTTTAGGAAAAAATGACAATTGCATCTAATTACAGGTAAATAATTTGCCATCATAAGTGTCAGAATCTTTGCACTTGGTATAGTTAAGGTAGTATAATTCAAGCCTGAAAAGGAATTTAGTGGTTTTAAACTTTTCTACCCCTCCAAAAATCCATCCTCTTCAGATCTTCTTGCCACCCAACCAAAGGAATAATACACAGATAAGTAGTAAGAGGGCCCCGTTCTGTGCCCACTTAATAGGGCAAACATGGTCGGGGGAGGGAACAACACTGCTGTTTTCGGGCAAACACACACAGGCTAAACACAAACCAACAGATTGTAGCTGTGACTGAGTTCTCAGATATGTTTAAGAAACATTGGAAAACATAAGTGGAAAGGCCATATGCACAAATGTACACAACACAGGCTACTAAGACCTCTGCAGCTTGAGCCACAAGGGCAAGAGGCATTGATTTTTACTGGAGAGGGCATATCAGGTTGCAGGAATGCACACATTTAATTTTTATGAGACTGATGGCTCACAGAAACAAAAAAAAATTCACTTTGTGACACATTAATGAAGCCAGTGAAAGGCCACTTTAAAATAAAACAAAAGAAAAAGGCTTGATGGTGTTTTCAAAAGGTCTTTGAAAATAAACCATCATGCCACAAGCCACTCTGACATGTTCTGTGACACTTTCAGTCTGCTGGACAGAGAAATGTTACACCCAGGTCGCTTCCTCAAATCCTCTTATATAAATATATGTATATGGTATTACTCACCCCTTTCTGGTTTCTGTAAAGAATATTTTTTCATTTTCTAGGTAAATCCAAGAGTCACCAATCTTCCAGCTCTCAGCCAAGAAGAACAAGTGAGCAATGGCAGAAATGTGGTTTCATACCAGAGCATCTTCTTCCAGCCAAATGTAATTTACATCTGAGTGTTTGGTTCATCTGTCACACGAGTATTATACAACCCCACCACTTACCCTGAAAATAAATATGAGCTCCTCATTCAGGTAAATGAGATCGTTTCAGAAATAAATTGACTCCACCACTAAAACTTGCCTTTTGCAAAGAAAATAAATGTTTGAAATGTTTCTCCTGATGAAGATGATGCAGCTGACACTTAAATTTAAGAGGCTGGTTATATGGCCCTCATTCATATTAAGGCCGGCCCAGCAGAAGCTAGAGGCCACTAGAGCTGGAAACGTCTGATCATAACTTTGCTAAATCAACTCTCAGCTCTTATCAGTATGCAAAATCTCCCAGACCAAAAAAAAAAAAAAAAAAAAATGGAAGGGAAAAGGTCAAAATGCACATCCCCACTGACAATCACACATCTGGATATAAAACAACCTTGCCAAATGACACTGAATTTTCACAAGCCCACACAAGGCTTTTAACGATCCACCCCCCTCCTAGGGAGTTCCCTTCATTTGAGCTTCAGAACAGCCTTGTAAATTACAGAAGGTATCATTTCGTTGTTTATAGATTGGGAAACTGAGGTGGCATGCAGTTACTTAAGTGTCCAAAACTCACAGCTAGTTATAGGTTGAGTGAGGGAGGAAAAAAAAAAAAAAAAAGCCAGGTGGCCTAGGTGATAATTCCAGTGTTCATTGAATCCCTCTGCTTTTAGAGGAATTACAACACATAGTCCCTACTCTTAAGGTGCGTATGATCTAATTAGAAAAATAAGACATTCACGTGCTAAATTAAATAACATTAAACAACACCATTCAAGAAAAATCATCAATGCCAAATACACATTGTTTTAACTATTGTCAACTCAGTCACATTAATTCTATGAATCTGTGGAATTGATGAAAAGATTCTTAATAAATTAACACCCAGTTCCAAACTTAGAATTGCACAATAAAAGCCAGGGCCATGGTTCAGCACAGGTCGTTTGTAAATTATTTGTATTCATATGACTTTCCTGCTGAATATCTAGGTAAACTGTAATAGTCTTAGATATAATTATTTACCAGTAAACTAACCACCTCAGACTATATGACTCACATTGAAGGAAAAAGTAGTTAATGTGGTTTAAAAATCAACAGCCTCAAATATTTAGCTATTTAATTATTGAGTTACAATAATCTATGGAGATACAACATTTTGTCTTGTTTTTTTCTGTATTGTCTCTTCTTGGAGCTCCAAAATTTCTAAATAGTTTTAAAATACTGTTGTTTCTATATTGTAAGAAATTCACCTAGCATGGGGTAAAATAATCATTATAAAGAAGCTGCTAAGATAATAGGCAGAAAAAAAGTTTACAAATAACTGGATCTGGGTGTTGAATTTTGGCATTCGATTAAAATTCTATAAAAGGAATGAAATTAATAATCGAATCATTATGATAATTAGTAATTACATTTTCAGAGAATTTTCCAAGAATAATTAATTAGTGCATACCTTTGAGGTATTATTATCTCCATTGTAAAATGAGGTGGTGGAGATGGAGCTGAGATGAGGAGTTGCCTCTGGCCACAGGCAGAAGCAGCAAGTGGAATGTCAGATACCTGGAATTCCTGAGCCCCCAAGCCCTTGTTAACTAATTCTGCTCACTCTGAGCCGGAATCAGGAAGGTCATTAGTTAAATGGCATAAACCAGAAGCCGTCCTTTCCTCTCCTGAACTCTTCCTCTCAACTGATGCTACTGACCCTCTAGAGGTCTCATAGGAGATTCTCTTCAGACTGTGGTTTCCTTGGCAGGCTGCCATCTAAAAGTGGAGTTGAGTAAAGTGAGATAAGTAGAAGTCTGGATCTTTTAAAAATTTTATTACAGTAGACGAAAGAGGAAAACAGAAAAAATATGAGGAAGATTATAACTGAAGCTACAGCAAGCAGAAGTGGCATGATTCTAAACGTAAACTGTGTTCACATATTCACAGACTCATAAATCAACCACAAGTAATGAAGAACCAAAAGAAATTTTTAAACCCTTTTTACACTGAAAATATATGGCTATACTTGTGCTTCTAGATTTTAAAGATAAAGGGTGCATTTCCTTTCCAGAATAAAAAGATGTAAATTTTGGGCGGGTGTGGCGGCACATGCCTGTAATCCCAGCTACTCAAGAGGCTGACGTGGGAGGATCCCTTGAGCCCAGGAGTTTAAATCTAGACTGAGCAACATAGACAGACCCTATCTTAAAAAGCATTTTTAAATTGTAAATTTTGATAGGCAAAATATTAATACTCTGAGAGAAAAATGGCCAAAAAGCAGAAACAAAGATGAACAATTCATAAATTGCCAGCAAATAAATGGAAATAATGTTCAATACCCCTTTTAATCAAATAAAAGCAAATTAAAACAATTTTTGACCTAATCAACTGGCAACTATTTCTTTTTGACTACAATACCCAATACTCTTGGCTGAAAATCAGGTGTGATAGGCACTATTGCATAGCCTGGATATTCGTGGGGCAATCAGTACAAGCTGTTGTGAAAGCAGTTTAGCAAAATGTATCAACACCTACTCGTTGGAATAATTCCTTTGGAAAAATAAGAGATGCAGATAAAGGGTTATGTGCAAGATGGCTTATCACAATATTATTTATTACCAGGAAAAAAATCAAAATAGATGATGCAACCAATATTAAGCAAAATGGCTTAAGTACATTATAACAAACAGAAAATTCTAAGGCTATTAAAATCACATTTTCAAAAAAATAAATCATGACCTTGGGGAAATGTTCACAAAATAATGATAAGTAGAAAAAATTCAAACACAAAACTGTAAATACTCTATGAAATATAGCTAGATGATATGGATGAAGACATAGATTATATGAAGGATATGTATCAAAATCACCATATGTGATCATCTTTGGTTAGAATTTTCTTCTTCTTTTTTATTTTCTACAATGAGTATTTTTGAATCAGAAAACAGTAAATTTATCTTTAAATTTTAAAAAGAAGAAAGTTGAGGGAATCCCTGAACTTGAGATATAGCTATCATTTTTTCACGATTTTTGTTCAAGCCATCTAAAATTCCTTTATTCCTTTCTGACTCGGACAGGAACACACTAGAAAGATTTTAGGATTAGAATTGGTTGAATTCCAGCGTTAAGACTTAAGAACTTTTCCTTTCCCAGTTACTCTTTCAGGAAAAATAGATGGAGAGTGTTCTTCTCACAAGGTCAGCTTCAAGGGAAATTTGGAGGAAAGAGAAGTTACCAAGACCACTAATTTTAAATGGTGCACTCTCATTTGAAAATCCCAGATGACCACTGTGTGCCTGCCGGCTTGCAAAAGAGCCACAAAACTGCGTACGAGCGACAGCCATAGATGACACAACCGAAAAATGATTGCTGCTTGTTTGAGAAAATATGCACAGATTATGCCAAATGACTCCTACACTGGGTGTTTTTCTGAATGAATTTCTTGTAAGTTCTGTCACATGAAACTAATACTAGGAATCCCTATGATCCAAGGACCTTGTTCCAGATGCATCTACCACATTGTCCTTGCCATTGGCTGGGCAAAACACACAACGCTCCAACTCCGTATAAAACACATTGCATAATTATAACATCCTATTACAAAGTTTCAGTGCATGTTTTTATCTTTGCCCAAACACGGCTTTTGGTTAACAGACATCAGAATCTCTTTCAGCAAGAGCTCACTGCAATATAGCTAATTCGATCAGAATCAACAACCAAAAAAAAGCAAAAAAAAAAAAAAAAAGGCATAGCTGTTTGCAGTCACCTCAAATCCTGCAAATGTTCCCCATTGCATTTAGATGTAAATCTAAACAGCTATCTGCTCACCATACCTCCAGTGACCCAGGCCCCCAACCCAGAGTTCATCTGGTCACACTTGCCCCTTGTCCACCACATTCTGCCCACACTGGACTTTTTCCTTTTTCTAAACCATGGCACAGCTCATTCTCATACCACCAGAACGCCTCTGTACCTAAAATTTTCTTTTTCTTCATCTTCAAGTGACTGGAAGAGCTTTGTTTTCAGGTGTGGGTCAAAAAAAGTAATCAAGTGAATGGAGGATACATCAATCTGTGAACCGGCAAGTTAAAATTAACATATTTTTAATTTTGCTACTCTTGCTTAGGAAAGACTGACCTTTGTTTACCTCCAATATTTGAAAGGTACCTTTCAAATGCTTTCTTGCTAAATAAAGAGTGTAAATGTCCAAGCATGAGCCAGTGCCACAAGCAAAAGAAAAAATCAGGGTTGTTTACTGATTGCAACTCAAAATCTAGGAGGCTTTAACGCCAATTTTCCTTGTCTATCTTAACTGTCTTGGGGGAACAATGGTGCTTACTTCTTTTATTTCTTTCGTTTCAAATAGTGTGACATTATGAATGCCATAGATACAGCATTAACTCATAGTCCTGTTTACATGTATTGCTGTGGCAGGCAGTCTTTGAGATGTTTCCAGTGACCCGTCCTCTGGTACAAACTTACATCTTCTTCTTGCCATAGGTACTGGCTAAACCCAATGATGTGCTTCTAATGAATAGAATATGGCAAATGAGATGGGATGTCACTTCAGTGATTTGAACCCAAAGAAAGTCTGAGACTCCCATCTCTCGCTTTCTCCTCCTTGGAGCCCTTGCTTGCTCCTGGGGAAGCCAGCTGTCATACTGTAAGCTCCCCTATGGAAAGCCCCCAGTAGTAAGGAACTAATGTCTCAGGCCAACAGCCAGCAAGAATCGGAAGCCAGCCAACAGCCATACAAGTGAGCTTGGTGTGGATCACCTAAGGCCTGCAATACCAGGTGAGTCTGGAGGGAGATCTTCCCCCACTGAGGTTTGAGGTGACTACAGCCCTGGCAGGTATCTTGATCACTGCCTTGTGACAGATCCAGAGCAGAGACACAAAGAAACCACATCCAGATTCCTGACCCACAGAAACTCTAAGACAATAAATGTATGTTGTTAGGGGGATGATGCTAATGTGTCATACAGCAATAGCTAACTGATCCAATTGTTTCCAAACTAAGTTACATACTTGACATTTTTGTTGTTGTTGTTGTTAGGATGCTAGCAAAAGAAAACTGAGCCCCCTAAATTATAAGGGTAAAACCTTAGATTGCATAGGGATAAAGAATATTCAGAACTACAAAAAATTAGCCAGTATTTATTCCCAAATAGCTATATTTTGCTACATCAATCATAACGGCCGCTCATAATTTGCATAGCATTTTAAAATCCAAGTGGTGTTTTCACATTCATGGCCATCGACTCCTCTTGAAGAGGCTGTGAAGTAGGCCTTATTATTATGCCCATCTTACAGAAGAAGAGATTGAGACTCATCAGGTTTCAAAAGTTCCTTGAAAGCAAGGACTTCCTCTCTCTTCTTGGCCACCATTTCCCCAGTGCCTGGCTCCACGCTTAGCACTGTAAATGCTCAGCTTGATACACATTCGTGGAGTGGATGCCTCCCACAGCAATGTTAACTATAAAGATGGGGCCTCTTTCATGAATTCCCCAACAAACATATTCACACATCGATCGATCAATAATGTCTGTACATACATGTGTAATGTGTAATACACAAATATGTATCCATGGAGCCAGGGTGTGTGTTTCCAAACAACACAGGCACCTCTGAAAGCTTACTCCAGCTTTTTTAAAGACAGTAGAGATATAATTCCCTCATGTAATCCTGTTTTACATACAGCCCTATGCTGACAAAGACAGAGACCAAGAGCTCTTTTGTGAGCTAACAATCCTTTCCTGGTAAATCAGATCTCTTTCTTTCATTATCATTTCCTGTCATGTCCCAGGATGAGGCTGGAGGCAGCGAAGGAGGTGCCAGCCAGCTCAGATCCCGACACAACGCCTCTAACCCTTCCCTGTGCCCCCAGCACCTTGATAAACTTCACAACTAGAAAGTAATAGGCCTTGTCAAAGGTCACTATAAAATAACCTCAGGCGATGTTAGATAAAGGTGTCCACAGAAATGCAACAAAGTAGCTGACCAGGAAACAGGAGATGGGGGATTTTCATTAGGAAGTTTATATAAGCCTTAAATTCCTTTTCTTTTCAGAGTTTCAGTCAAGCAATAATTCCACCCCCAATCACAGCCCAGTCCCTCCTCAAATATTACCTATCAAAAAAGCGTTTGTTCCCAAGGCATGTGGAGCCACTAAATTAAGAAGATAAGAAAAACAGTAAGGATGCTTCCTCTTACCAGGAAAGGAGGTGCGACGCATCAAGTGTAAAGTATTACATTAATAACAGTCATTGGTTCTTTCAGCAAATATTGAAGAAGTGTCTGCCATGTGCCAGATGCTGAGAAAATGGTGATGAACAAAATATGCTTTATCCCTGACATTTCAGATTTTAGATTCTGGTCGGAATGTGGATTTTAATTATTTTAGGACGGGCACAGTGGCTGGCACCGATTATCCCAGCACTTTGGGAGGCCTAGGCAGGCAGATCACCAGAGGTCAGGAGTTCGAGACCAGCCTGGCCAACATGGTGAAACCCCATCTCTACAAAAATACAAAAATTAGCTGGTCATGGTAGCAAGTGTCTGTAATCCCAGCTACTCAGGAGGCTGAGGCAGGAAGAATCGCTTGAACCAGGGAGGGGGAGGTTGCAATGAGCCAAGGTTGTGCCATTGTACCCTAGCCTGGGTGGCAGAGTGAGATTCCATCTCAAAAAAAAACTTTTTTTTAAATTAAACTAAACATCACACAAGGAATATAAAATTGATTTAAGTGCCTTGGAGGAAAAGTTCAGGACATATTGAGATTGGGAAACCCGGGGAAGCTTGGATGGTCTAGGCAGAAGGGGCAGCATATGCCAAGGCCCTGAGGCTGAGGAAGCTGTGGTCCCTGTGAGGACCTGATATCCCAGCGTGGCTGGGGCTCACTCTGGAAAGGGCTGTGTGCTGTGAGATGAGGCTGGCCTATTTGATGCCCAAGACTATGATCCTGATTCTAACTCTATCTGCAGCTGAGACCCCTTCCCTGAATTCCTCTCTCAGCATCTCACATTGATTCAGCATCTCTTCACATACAACATGCCCAAAACTGAACTCCTGGTCTCCCACACTGACCCTGTTCTACCTGCCGTCTTCCCCATCTCAGTCGATGACAACTTCATCCTTGTCTCAGGTCAAATACCTTAATATCTTCCCTGACTTCTTACTTATCTTCACAGCCAATCCCTCAGCAAGTCCTGCTAGGTTTACCTTCAAAATAAGCCAAAATCCAACTCTTTCTCACCACCTTTCCCAGAACCTACCCAGTCCAGCCCACCATTGTCTCTTGCCTCCTCATGGGTCTTCCAGCTGCCACCCTTGCTCCTACACAGTCGATCCTCCAACCACAATGGAGGGCTTTATAAGTGATAGATGCTCTACCCAAAACTATCCAATAGCTTCCTACCTGGCTGAGATTAATATCCAGAGATCATGGCATGGTTTAAAGCCCCTGGATGATCAGCCACCCAGCAGCTCCCACTGCTTCCCTCCTTGTCTCTACATCTGCTTCCTTGCAGTTCCTCAAGCACACCATCCAAAACAGCAGGGCCCTTGTACCAAGCAGCCCCTTACCTAGAAAGCTCCTTCTCCACATCTCCATAGGAATTCCTCCCTTCCCTGGTGGCTCTCCTCTCATATGTCACCTTATCTGAAAGTCCACCTTCCTGGACTATTCCAACTGAAACATGAAAGAGAACACTTGATCCACTTCCCTGGCTTTATCTTTCTTTTTAGCACTTACTACTATATTAGGTGTTATTTACCTATCTATGTGGAGATTTTGTTTGTTTGGTTCACTGCCATATCCTTAGAACCTGGAAGAGTCCTAACTAAAGAGCAAAGATCCACCTTTAGTGATGCACTTGGCTGGGTTATCACATAGCCATCTCCGGAAGTCCTTTTGTATAATATTATAAACCCAGGAAAGAAATAGATTGAGTGCCTAGTATCTTACTAAGATTGAGGCTTTGGAAATGCAAGAGGAGAGCGAAGTCTGGCTAGGAGGGGTGAGGAGGAGGGCAGAGTTCATGGGAGGCAGGTCAGTCTCTGGAGAAGGAGGGCAGACCCCAAGTCCCTGTGACAGGCACCGTGGGGAAATACAATGTGTTGAGAGGAGGAAGGGCAGAGATAGAAGGAATAAAGTGTGAGCGTATCCAAAACAAACTCAGTCTCTGTCACAATTGTGCCTAAGCTCAACCCTAAAGGAAGATTTTTCAACCAGCCTAAGGGAAAGGAGATTAATGTCGTCAGAGTATACATTTCTCTTGCCAAAAGTTGGTCATGTGTTTTTTAGAATCATTTTTTAAAAATCCACAGCAAAGTTAAATGTCAAACAATAGGGGTTGGTTAAGAAATTATGGCATAGAAACTCAATGGAATCTTATGCATAATCATAGTTTTGAAAACTATGTAGCGACATGAAAACATGTCTGTGGTATAGTTTTAAGTGAAGGAAGCAGAATTTTAAAATATGTCTATGCTCTGATTAAAACTATTTACAAATTATGTTCCTCTCTGCACAAAGAATGCAAGAGAATGTAAAAATGAAAAATCAGTTTTTCCTTAGGGTTATAAGACTCTTGGCGATGGATTCATTCACCTCCATTTTTGATTTCTAAAATATTATGACAGTTGTCTTTTAGCAACAGAGTTTAAAATTAATGTGATACTGAGAGAAGGGGACTTCATCCGTATACCTAAAAAATCTTCCTAGGGTGGTCCTCCAGGAACACTCACCAGGCTGGTTAAGATCTCATGCTGATTCTAGGAAGTTTATGGCAGCAATGAGTGAGTGTCTCTTTAGTCAGTTCATGCAAAATTAATTTGCCATCTACTGTGTGTCACCATCTACTCTATGCTAATTCGATGAAAGAAGTCAAAACTAGGCAAGATTCAGTTCTTGCTGTCATGGAGCTTACAATCCAGGAGAGGGAGTTTATGAAAAACACAAAAATAATCACAATAGAAGATACGTTTTCTTAAAACCATAAGAAAAAGATTAACAAAGCACTAAGGAATTAATTAATTTTGCATTCTGCTTTTGGTTTTGCAGATCAGGAGATGATGACTGAGATGGGCCTTGGAGAGTACTGTTTTCACAGGCAGGAAGTGAATGCAGCATGTCTAGGTGAATGTGTGCACGTGTGTGTCTGGAACCACTGTACTAGAGGATTGCAGATGTTCCAGGGAAGAACATGCCAGAGAGGCACTCAACACAAACCACAGTGGATCTGTCTTGAATATGGAGTACACCTACAAGGATGTGGCTGAGGGGCCTAGGGGCCTTGAGACAGGGCACCAGTGAAGGTTCTTGAAAAGGGAAATGGGATGTTCAGAGCTATGCAAGGGAGCAATTCTTGGTAGCTAGAATGGACAGAGTATGAGCTCAGCGACCAGACAAAACTGGGACCAAACCCAACTCCTCCATTTACTGGTTTTGTCCCACTGGTCAAGTCCCTTAACCTCTAAGCCTTATTTTCCTTAGCTATAAAAAAGGGTAATTGTAGCCCTTTGCTAAGTTTGTTATGAAGGTTGACATAGTAGAGCAAGAGAGGAGTCTCACTAAAGACTCAATAAATAATTCTGCTCCCCTTAATTCTCAGTTAATAGGGGGAATCGGGTTAGAAGGAGACAGGACAAGGACACTGCTAAGGCAGAGTCCAGAAGATGTGGCAATGATATGTTCAAGACTACCAAAGAAAAGGGCCAAGTCAGTGAAGGGCATGAAGCCTCAATCTGGGGGCCCAGAGGACAGTGGTGGCCCTCACTGAAATGGGTGTGTCAGGAGAAGAACTGGTATAAGGATGAGTTTGTGTTTGAACAATTTGAAAATTAAGGAAAAGCAGCAGTCCATCTAGAGGAAAATGTCAAAGGCGCAGTTGGAAAATGTCAAAGGTGCAGTGAAGGCCATTGCCAAGGAGAGAGGTGCAAGCTGGAGATACATATGATAAATGCTGTAAGACTGAGGTCTGAAATGCCCTATCAACAGCTACTCATCCCAAATATGCAGAGAAGCTGTTGGATCAACATGCCCTATTTGGCATGTATTCTAACTGAATTTAGCAGCCCATGTTTTCTTCCATGATGTGTTATCTTTTCTTAACAGCTTTATTGAGACCTAATTCACATACCATACAATTCACTCACTTAAAGCATGCAATCTAATGACATTAGAATATTCAGATTTGTGCAACCATCACTATAATTTTAGAACATTTTCATCACCCCCAAAAGAAATTACATACTCTTCAATGGTCACCCCTGAACTCCCCACCCCACCCCCAGTCCTAGGCAATCATGAATCTACCTTCTGTCTCTACGGATTTGCCTATTCTGGACATTTCCTATGTATGGAATTATATAATATATGGTCCTTTATGGCTGGATTCCTTTTCTGAGCATGTTTTCAAGGTTCATTCATGTTATAGTATATTTCAGTAGTTTTTTTTTTACAACCAAGTAATTTTTCAATATATGGATGCACCATATTTTGCTTATCTACTCAACAGTTGATGGGCTTTGAGTTATTTCCACATTTTTGGCCATTACAAGTAACCCTGATAGGTAGTGATGTTGGACATATTTTCATGTGCTTACTGGCCATTTGTATATTTTCTTTTAAAAATTTTCTGTGACAAAACAATCTGTACAACAAACCCCCAAGACATTGAATTTACCTATCTAACAAACCCACACATGTACCCATGAGCCTAAAATAAAAATTTTTTTAAGAACTGTCTAGTCGGATCTTTGCCCATTTTAAACTGAGTTGTCTTTTTATTATGATGTGTTTCTAAAATGCAGAATTTTGTCTTTTCATTGTGCAAAGCAAAGGAAGCACATAGACATAAATTATCCATCAACAACCAGAAAATCAGAATTTTTTTCCTTCCCACACTGAAACATTTATACTTAGCTTAGTGTGTGTGTGTTTATGGGAATGGGTGATTTTTGTCCTTGTCAGTAAATGTTAGCACATCAAAACAATAATTGTTAAGGCTGCCAGAGTGGCAAACTATAGTTGTATTTAATTCTTTCTTCTCATGGTTAAAAGTTGGTGTTAACCTTTCAGCGTTGCTCTTTTACAAATCCTGGTGACAAATTCAAGGCCAAACCAAGGGTAATGCCTACATTAGCAAAAATTTGTCAGTCAGTGCAACATGTATGTATCTATTTTTAAGAGTAGGCTTGTTTTGCTGTGTTTTGCTGGCTATGTCCATAGTTGGTAATTAACATATGGATCCCCATCTCCGAAGACTTGTTCCAGGTTTTTCCAGGGATCTATCTGAGGTTTATTTTCAGCATGTGCTAAAAAAAGTCTGATTAGAAAACATATCACTCCCAATCTGCTTGTTCTCCTAGAGTCCCATTATTACCTGACCTGGGTGCTGCCTTCTTGCTGGACACACCTGCTGTAGTGGTTTGAATTGTGTTTTCCTGAAAGGAGATATGTTGGAGTCCAAACTCCCAGTACCTCAGAAAGGGACTTTCTTTGAAGATAAAGTATTTGTAGAGGTAATTAAGTTAAAATGAGGTCATTAGTGTGGGCTCTCATGTAATATGACTGACATCCTTATGAAAAGAGGAACTTGGAGACAGATATGCGAAGGGAAGACCATGTGAAGTCACAGAGAAGACAGAAGAAGGAGGGAGGCCTGGAACAGATTCTTCCTCACAGGCCCTGGGAAGGAACCAACCCTGCCAATACCTAGATTTCTGACTCGCAGCCTCCAGAACTGTGAGAGAATAAGTGTCTGTTGTTTAAGCCCCCGAGTTTGTGCTACTTTGCTACAGCAGCCTCAGGAAGCTAACACTCCTGGCCATGCCCTAGACCCACTGAGTGCCAGAGATGTGGTCGCCCTGGGAGGAGGGGGTGCCTTTCTCCCTGTGGAGCCACTCTCTGGGAGAAGTTACCAAAGCTGTACTGCCACGGAACCCAATAATGCACTGTACCTTTCAGTTACAGTTGCTCTTGGCATTTTTGTTCACAGCCATTTTCTGTTCTCAGGATGCAGACACAAGCCTGTGGGCACTGGGCCAGAATCCATCCCCCAATTCACCATCCCCCAATTCAGCACCACAAAGGATGACCCAGACTTTCTTACTGGGTCAGGCTTATCCTGACTCCATCTTCCCCACTCTCTGGACCCCTCATCTTCCAGTTAATCAATCCCCAAGTCATACTGCTCTTGCCTCTTACATGGCTTTTGAATCTGGCACCATCATAACTCAAGCCCCCATCATCTCTTGTCTGGATAACCACAATAGCCCCTAACTGGGTTTTCTGTCTCCAGGCTTGCACCCCCTCACCCTCCTCCTGAAACACTAAATTGCAGTGACTTACCTGGTACAAGTTCTATGAGGAGTGGGACTGTGTCTGATTTTGATCATGTATCCCTGGTACCCAGCACATAATAGATGCTCAGTTAATATTTAATGAAGGAAGGGATGAAGGAAGGAAAGGAATTTAGGCTCAGACAGGGTGCTGATATTTGTGTTGGAAAGGAGTTGCTTGGTTTATTTGTGGTTGTTGCTGCTTCTTAGTAACAAAGAGCACACTTGGTTCCATAAGTGTATGTGGCTAGCATGGAGGCAGAGAGGATGGACAAAGAGAAGCAGGAGAAAAGGAAGAAGGGAGGGAAGGATACCTGAATTCCAGTTATATGTCTGGCACTTACTTTAGCTGGGACTGCACATACCACTTAAGCCCTGGGATTCTTAGTTTCTGCATCCACTAAAATGGGAAGGATAATATCTATCCTTCATATTTCACTGAGTTGTTATATCACCCTAATAAGATAATTTCTATTAAATTACTTTGAAACTCCTAAACAATGTAAGGTGTTATTAATCAGTGGTTGTCTAGGTATGGGCTATTGGGCAAACAGGCAGTTACTCTCATAGAGAAACATAAATGAGAATCCAATGAATGTGAATTTCCATTCCGGATTATACACTTCACCGGAAGTTCATTAGCTCTGGTTACTTTCACAGCTTAATACATGTAATGTATGCACCAACACATGTAGGATGAACCACATGAAACTGATCATATTCATTCAACCGCAGCAATTTTAAGTTTATGTGTCCATATAACCATAGCATTGTTAAGCATCATTATTGAGCCCAGACATTTTTTCATTCTGGAGTCCATGGCTTCTGGGTCCATGAACCTTCTCATGAATATTTGCCTATATGTTATTTTTATGAAAACTGGCTCATAGCTTTTACCTAATTGTTTAAAGTGTTCATAATCCAAAAAAAGCCAGGAGCAACTGGTCCAGCCCTCCTTCTTACTGCTTCTAGAAACTCTTCCTATAATAATTCTGACACCCCATGCCAGGGAGGTCACTAATTTCTGAGACAGTCCTTTCCATTGATGTATAGGTCTACTTGTTCCAAAATTCTTCCCTCTTTGGAGCCAAAAGAGCAAACACAGCACACTCCATCTCTCCACACAGCAAACCATCTCCTTCCTGCAATTTTCTCTGTTTTTCCCCGAAGCACAGAGAATAAGTCAGAAATAGTATCCTCTTGTCCACAGAATGTTCCTTGATATTATGCACAAGCCTGGGCCTCCTCCTTTCTGAGTCAAATATCTCTAATTTCCTCCACCATTCCCCCTGTGATCTGTCTCCAAAATTTTCAACTCCCAGGTTGTCCCCCGCAAAGCAACTTCTCATTGGTCAGTGTTACTGTGAAGTGTGGGTTTACATTCCCTGACATAAACTACAAGGCTTCTTGCCTGACTTTTTCGTTGATCTCAGTTGAGTATATATATATATACACATACACACACATACACACTCTCTCTATATATATGGTATTTTATATATATACCATATATATGGTATATATAGAGAGAGAGAGTGTGTGTGTGTGTATATATATATGCACACTATATATATGGTGTGTGTATATATATATATATGGTATATATATATATAGTGTGTGTGTATGTATATATATATGGTGCTAAAGGCTATCAAGTAAATTTCTTAAAAACTGCTCAAATAAGGTCAAATGCATTTTCAAATGGAATGATACAGCTTTCTACACACAGGGCTCACCCAGATCCAAGCCAGAAAAGAGGCATGCAGTGTTACGTGCCTAGCTTTTAGCTACCCTGGATTCTCCTATGTGTCAAAATCACATCACACACATACCAATGTCGTCTGTCTACATTATCCCAAAGTGCAAAAGTCCTGTTTAGATTTTTGACCTTCCCATTATGACAGTAAAGTGGATGCATCCCCAAAATCTCACAAATCACCATTAAAGAACTTACTTACATAACCAAATACCACCTGCTCCCCCAAAACCTATGGAAATAAAACATTTTTTAAATGTGGTATATGTATACCATGAAATACTACTCAGCCATAAAAAAGAATGAAATCATGTTTTTGTAGCACCTTGGATGGAACTGAGGCCATTATCCTAGGTGAAGTAACTCAGAAATGGAAAACCAAATTTCTGGATGTTCTCATTTATAAGTGGAAGCTATGCTATGGGGTATGTAAAGGCAGACAGAGTGGTATAATGGACATTGGAGACTCAGAAGGGAGAAAGTTGGGAAAGGGGGAGGAATAGGAATCACCTAGTGGGTGCAATGTACAGTATTCCAGTGACAGATGCACTAAAAGCCCAGACTTCACTGCTACATAATTCATCTATGTAACCAAAACCACTTGTACCCCTAAAGCTATTGAAATAAAAATAAGTGAATGCAAATTAAAAAAAAATTAAAGTGGATGCATCTAACTTGAAACAAATGGTCTGTACACTCTATTTTCCCCCATCTGGGGAATGGGTACAAGCAAACTTTTTCCCCATTTCTTATAACTGTGGTAAAATATATATAACATAAAACTTGCCACCCTAACCTTTTTTTTTTTTTTTTTTTTTTGAGATGGAGTCTTGCTGCAAAGCACAGGCTAGAGTGCAATGGTGCGATCTCAGCTCACTGCAAACTCTGCCTCCTGCCTTCAAGCGATACTCCTGTCCCAGCCTCCCGAGTAGCTGGGACTACAGGTGTGTGCCACCATGCCCGGCTAATTTTTTGTATTTTTAGTAGAGAAGGGGTTTCACCATATTGGCCAGGCTGGTCTTGAACTCCTGACCTCAAGTGATCCTCCTGCCTTGGCCTCCCAAAGTGCTGGGATTACAGGCATGAGCCACCATGCCCGGCCTCACCTTAACCATTTTTAAGTATACAGTTCAGTAGTGCTAAGTATATTCACACTGTTGTGCAACCAATCTCCAGAACCCCCTATGTTTTTAAACAAGCATTAAATAACTACAACTATGTGAAGGAATATAAGACTTTCTAAATAGATCTCCTAAAATATCTTCTAAATGTTAAATAAAGATAAAGCAGCCACATGATTTACTCTTAAGCCTTCCTTTTAAAGATACAACCACGTTTGTGCTTAAAAAAGGGAAAAAAGAAAGAAAGCACATTTCCTGGAAAGGATAAAAATGAACTTTAGGTTAAAGACTCAACCTGTCTGTCTTAAGAATGTCCCTTCCAAAGGGCATGTCAAGTAATTATATGTACTCTTTTTCTCCCTGATTTTTGTAAGTGCTTCCAAAGCATATGAAAAAAAAAAAAAAATTGTACTTTGCCCATGCTGCCTCCATCCAATCAGCAGACATTACTGTTTTGTTTTGGTTTTTTAGTGTTTGAATGGTTTGGAGATCAGCATTGGTGTTTAGCAAAAAGTACAATTTCAAATTACATGCTGCTTCATGGTGCCAAAACACTGCACCCTCATCTTTGATGACGTCAACACAGCACAACCCTGAGAATGGTGGTTGTTAGTCATCCGATTTTGCAAAACTGGAAGACAAAATTGTAAACAATGTGTGCTTAGACAGGCCTTCTCAGAAAAAAGGAGTGTCTTAAATATGGTTTCAATTTTTTTAATCTCACAATATCTTTTAATCAACAATATGTATCTGAATCAATGTTACAAATAGATATTTGGCCAATAGGAGTTACAATGTGTCCATGGGCATCCTAAAAAAAATGATAAGCACATTTGCAAGTGTATGCCCTACTAACATTCTGGTCCTCACTGGCCCAGGTTTTTATTTATATACATATTTATTTTCATATAAGCATAAACACCATAAGCATGTATATGTATGAATATTAAAATTGCTTTAAATTTAGCATGATGCTTGGAGGAAAGAATCCAAAATAATCGCCCCCTGGCACTGGTCGAAAATTGCACTATTAATCAACAGCTCACCCATCAAAGACACAGAAATGCAGACAGAGACTGCAAATGGCCAAGCCAACGTATCACCATTGTTAGGAGAAAACAAAAACCAAATACTTAAACACAGATGGCTCCAGACCAAGTGTGAAGACAGTACATTGGCACGACAAGGGCTAAAGTGTTTTATAAAAGATAATTTAGGAGGTAGGGCTAGAGTCTATCTTGCTCAACAAATGAATCTGTACAGACCTTTGCCTTCAATCCCCAAAACAGATGAGTAACTTACATCATTAATCTCATTGTCTCTCCACACAATACTTTTAACAGTCAATCACAAAGTAGCCTGAGAGAAAGTTTCCCTGGATACTACCAAACACACAGGTTTGCAACAGATGTCTCCATGCAACTTTTAAAACAGATTCCATGTTAAGAAGTTAATATATCCTTATGTATTTACTAATCAATCCAGCTACATGTAGCCTGAAGCTGGAAAGTAAGAGGTATTAGCAAGGAAACCATTTAACTGCAAATAATGCATGGGAAAGCACCCGAAAGAATGTTATTTATAAATACAAAGACAAGCGCAATAGTACAAGCAATTGGAAAATCCCTACCTGGAAGCAACCCAAAGCAGTGCTTCTATCTGGAATATCTGGAATACATGGCACTAATAAATGTGAGCTCTTTTCTCATACCGACCACCCATCTAATCAATGAGCAGGATGCCTAGCCTTGGCAATCTCTTAGTTTTCCCATCTATAAAATGGGGATTAGAGATATGTGTTAATAAATGAAAGCTAACATTCTTCCAATGAATGACATTACAGAAAACACAAATATCACCACAAAATGTAGAAAAACATGTAATTTTATATTTAAAACTAGTTTATAGTCATGCTTTAAAGGCGATATGGTTGAATAGACATGTATTTGGACATAGATGGCTCTGCAGGGGATAAGGAGAGAGAGGGTCAGAGTGAAATGACTCATGAATTTGGGGATGCAGAGGCTCTCTGCAGCATGAAGTCACAAGAGGCTGACACCAAGGTCTCTCCTCCCCTCCACAAACAATTCTGTCTGTAGACTTCACAAGAAGGTGCGTGAGGAGTTTGGAAATTATTTTTTATTTTATACTTTTTGCATCCTTTAGTGAATGCACAGACTGGTGTATTATAAAAAACAGGTATATTAAAATAAAGCATTCTGATGTGCATTGAAAAACATTGATTCTTCTAATATTTTAAAAGGTGACAAATAAAAATGAATACCTTAAGTCTAGGAGGTTATAACTAACATCTTGACATGAGAAAATCTGGTCTAGGCAATAACACAAGTTTGTTAAAAGCTTGGAAGGAAGAAAATTCTGGGGGATCCAGATGTCTCAACTGGAGTAAAAATTTCCCTCCCCAAACAACTAAAGGCAAGTATCTGGGGCAAAAGAGTAAGCTGGCAAAATACTGTAACTGAAATGTGAGAATCCTGACCTTTTCCGAAACAGAGGGTTTCTACGAGGTTACATGTAAATCAAATCCTAAATTAAGATTTCTAGTGAAGCAGACCATTTAAAACACCCACGTTTGAAAGTTACACAAAACAGAGCCCATTTGTGGTGCAAAGAATTATTGTCTAAGTTATTCATTCTGTAAATTTTAATCTTTATCAGTTATATTTTCTTAAATATGTGTTGCAGGGTGCAGCATGCTTGTAACAACTGCTTGCTGCCCTTGAACTCTGAATGAACGCTTTACTGCAATCCCTTTCCTGAAATAGAATCATAGAATATTAGAGTAGAAGATTCCTTAGAGATCAGTTAGAACCGTGGTTCTCAACCTCTGCTACACATTGGAAACACTTGTGGAGCTTTTAAAATATACAGAGGCTCAGGCCTTCACCCCAAACCAATTAAATCAGAATGTCAGAGTGGAAGGGTATCAGTGTTTTTTAATAAGTTCCACAGGTGGTACTACTGGGCTGCCAGGATCATAAACCACTGATTTACCCTGTGTTGTCTGATACCATAGTCACCGACCACACGTGGATATTGAGCACTTGAAATGTGGCTAGTCCAAATTGAGATATGTTGTAGTTGTGAAATACACACTGGATTTCAAAGATTTAGTACCAAAAAAAAAAAAAGAGAGAGAAAGAGAGAATGTAAAGTAGTACATTAACATTTTTATATGGATTATATGTTTAAATGATAATATTTTGGATATATCAGGTTAAATCAAAGTGTTATTAAAATGACTTCACCTGTTTCTTTTTAACCTTTTTAATGTGGCTACTAAAACGTTTAAAATGAAATGTGCAGCTCACATTTGCAGCTCTCACTACCGGACAGTGCTGGGTGAGCCCGACATTCTCATCACAAATGAAGAAACTGAGGCAGAGAAGCACAATAAGCTCAAGGCAGCTCTCTGGGAATTGCGTCCCTCCTCCAGTCTCAGGCTGCTCATTGTTGCAGAGCCACGAATGGACAGAGCTTGTTATGCCATCAATCTAATTTCAACTCTTCTTCCCCCCTTTTGTTTTGCTAATTGTTTCTTCTAAGATTTGATATAAAAATCTATTTTCCTTATGGAAAAATATCTCTGCTCTGCTGTGTACACATTTGTGACTTGTTACTGCAGGATTATTCATCAAGGCAGAGTAGTTGAAATGGATGTTAAAGAATGAATCTAGGGAAACACTACCTGAAGGAAAATGCAGAGAATAGACAAAGAGAACATTTTGTCATGCTGTAGTTTAGAAAATGACCCTGGAGGCCCCCAGCGTTCTGACAGTCACCTTCGACACAGGATCATTCCCTGATATGATTTTAGAAGCTTGAGCCTATAATATTGTTTCTCCTCCTAGGAGTCAGTGTTTTTCTGCACAATGTTGTCATTGCAGTGAGGCAAATCAGACCCTTCATGATGGTGCACCACACCATAGCTAGATACCCTGGTGGAAACGGACTTTATCCCAATGCCTTCTACTGTCTGATGCATGAATTAATACCTGGCCAGTCAGAAGCCAACTTACTTAAAGGAGAAGATCTTGTTTTGATAAAGTGAAATGGTCCTACCAGATCTGGCAAATAGAGATTACATGTATTTCTTCTAATAGTCAGCTAATTCAAACAAAAACAAAAATTTTGTTGTTGTTGTTGTTGCATGTATTTTTCCCCCTTAGGAAGCCAACAGAGAGAGGACTGCATAAAACTGGCTGAAATGTGTTCTATTGGAGAAATCATGCCTGCAACACAGGAGCTCCTCAGTGTAATAAAAGAATAAAAAGAGACCTGAATTCTGATATAAAATCGCATGCAAACAGCTGGAGAGGAAACCTGTGGGTGAGGCCAAACAACACATGCAGTAGGTGCATTCAGGATTTCTATTTAGACATTGTTATTCCCCATCTTAAATACAGCACAGACTAAATATCATCTTAAATCAAATGTGTGGTGCTCTAGAGCCCTCTGTGTTGCATGCATGAATTTTTTTGGTTATGATTGGTCAAGTTTTGCCAGTCAAACCTCAAAGAACATACTTCCAGACTCAATTCACTTCTCGTCACCTCCAAACACACTCATATATATCCATCTGGAAAGATAATGTATTACAGACAGATCCTAGGCAAAGGTACACCTTCTAGAGTGAAAACATCACCCGTTTCTCTATTTGACAAAAAAGGTTATTTATTTTAACTTTAAATAATATTTCAGATCCCGTCCTCACAGATAATAGAGAAAAGACAGGTAGTAGAGAAAGTCACTGCCTTGTTCTTGAGACAGTCTTTCAGACCATTTTTAGTCCTGCCTGGTTTTTACTCTCAAATGAAATCTGGATGGTGTGGTTTTACAGGGTATGTCTCATAACAATGATGAAAAAAGGAGAATTTAAGTTAAAATTAATTAAGGAGGCCCTTATTAGAAAAAATAACATTGCAGATATTATATAAGAATGAATGAAATAGAAACTACAGTTTTTATGATTAAGGTGTTCATTCCAAAGATCTGATAAAAATTTGTCTTTGAAAGATTAGTCATCAAAAGGCTTGAAAAGAGTGAAGGATACAAAGTCATAGGTTATGCCCCATTCCTGACAAGGGCATTTATGGCAGGAGCACCCGACCTGGAGGCAGGGACCAGGCTTCTCAGCCTGGTTTGGCTCTCTCTAGCTCTGGGCCTTGGGTGAGCCAGGGGTCTCTTCTGTAAAATGAAAAATTGGTCTATCAATCCGAGGCCCTCCCCTAGCCCTACCATCCGTGTAAAGCCATAAGCCTTTGTAACTCACCATCAGAATCTCTAGGCCTAAAAGAACTCCCTCTAAAATCAGTTCTAGTCAAACGCCAGCCTGGTAGTTTTCAATCCTTGTTAAGGATTGAAATCCTAAAATCTTTTTAGGGTTAAGATCAGAAATGTAACCTTAAGGAAATAGAAGAAAGCAGCTGAAATACATATTTTTAAAGTGATAAACTGATTCTGATCTATTTCTCAGGGGGTGAGGGGGAAGGCAATACAGTGAACTTGGAAAAAAGAAATATTGAAATGTCAATATAATATCTTTTATGGGTTCAAGAATTTATCCTAAACTTTATCTTTTACTGTGACAGTCCCAGAGTCCTCAATAAGAGCTTCAAAAATTTTAGTGGGGTTTCTGGAAGAGTGCTATCACTATCTGGAAATTTCTAAAAGGCTTCTCTCTTTTTATAAAAAAAAAAATTCCTATGTTAAATCTATGATTTGTGATTCTCAACAATGGAATACTAATGGATACTCAAAAAACACTAATTGCTCATTTTTTTCCTAATTACGAAATGTAATAATTCTTTAGTGAAAACATTAAACATGATGTCATTTTTAAAGTGCCAGACTTTGTATTTAAAGCATTGCCACAAAATAGATAGCTTACTTATTTTACAAATAGCAACACAAAAAGGGTCTTCTGTGTCTTTAAGTCTGTTTAGCATATCTGAAAGTGCTTCTTCCTCACACTTAGATATTTAAGGCAATTGCCCCCCAGTTTATTACCTTATCTCAATTGTATAATTTTCTTAAATAGAATTCAGAGAAATAGTCATAGATTTAAATTTTTAAACACTAATTAAGCATTGGTTGATTCCCATAATACAGCTGGTAGTCAAAGTGGACAAGATAATGAATTGACTGAGATCACTGTTCCATCTTCATCCAAGAAAGCTGCCTCTAAAAAAAAAAAAGACCTTAAATTGCTGTAGAAATCCAATTTGTAAGAAGCAAAAGAAGCATATAGATGGGAAACACCAGCCAGGATCACATTAATTTTGTGACTAACTGCATTGCTTAGAAGAAGAAGAAGGAGAAGGAGAAGGAGAAGAAAGAAAAGATGACAAAAATAATAAGTCCACTCAAATCCCAATTTTAATCCAACAACATAACCAGAAGAAAATGAACTACAAATACAAAGTTCACATCTTAGTGATCTAGTGAACACTACACACCGACAAAATAATTTTTAGCTTAGTAAGAAGTAAACTCCAATGACAAGAAAATATTATAGGATTGTGATACCTCATTGCTAAAAAGTAGATTATAGTAAGAAATTGGGAGTCTAGGAACTTGCCATCATGGAAACTCCATGATTGATTGGTTTTGAATGTGCAGGTGTGGGAAACTGACAAATCATTGTAACAAAAATCTTAAACTTACTAGAATTGAAAATCTATGCAGGAAAAGTCTCTGTGACAAACTACCATTCATTTAGCCACCTATTCAAATAAAAGCTGTGACATAACAGAGATCTAGAAATAAGGGCATGGTTTCCAATTTTTTGTTGGAATGTTCTAATAAACTATCTTCTCAGGTATCAACTATATAAGGTCACGACTGACCGCTAATTGACAGGCAATTTATCGGCACCAGCAATTTACATTAAAAATAGTGGGCTTGGAGATATTTTCAAATATGTTTACTATGAGTTAAGTTGAAAAATAAAAACCACTATAATCAGTAAGGATTTAAAAATAAGAGATCCATATAAAATGCTATAAGCAAAGGAAAATGAGAAACATTTCTGGGGAGACACAAGTGAGTTTTATTATACTTCTTCTTTTAAGTTTTAGAACTAAAGTAATAGTTGATATTCAACCCATAGAATCATCCTTCAGGGGCATACACATCTAGGTTTGAATGCGGAAAACTGTTTTATTGTTTTTTTTTAATTTTTAGGTTTCTTTTTCAAGAACTTTCTTATTAAAACTTAAATACTTATTGAAGTGATTCATGAAACCTCACAGAAAGGGGAATTCATGCTTGACACATTACTTAACATGCTCCATAGCTTCCCCACTGTAGTTCATATGCTTCTGAACATATTTTACCTGGGAAATAATAGTCTTATTCACACACACACACACACACACACACACACACACATCCTTCCACATAAAATGCTATAAGTCCCAGGAAACTGACAAAAGCAACATTAAAATTTTGTGCAAAATCTAAACTCCATTTCTGAATTCCATCTATGAAAATACAACATTGGTTCTATTTAACTAAGTGCAAAGTTTTCTCTCTGTTTAATATGCATAATAAACATCATCCTTACCATTATCTGTAGAATAAAAGCAGCAACGTGTTGCTTCCTGCAGTCACCAAATCAAGTTTTTTCTTCCTTTCTTTCTAGTAACTTCTGTTTCACCAGCAAGATTAGGAAGAAAATAAGTCTTGAGTATTTGCCTCAGTATTTCAGACCAGAAGATAGTGAAACTAGCTTTTAGTAAAAAGAACAGGTCTGGTATTTTACAATTACTTCTGCAACCCAGAGGTACCTCCTAGACTCTGGTACCTCCCTCGTTCTCTAAGTTTCTTTTAGTAATGAGACTAATTTTTCCAGTAGTCTTGAACTCCCTAGATTTAACTGACATGGAAAATGTGACTAAAAATTTGTGGAACTGTCTAGCCTCCAACCCTACACAGAATCAACTTTGTTGTAAATGTTGAAGAACACCTCGCAAGCAGCTACATGCTCAGTTTATACTCCTGCGCTACGCAGCAGAGAACACCAAATAACAGTGCGCCATCTAGTTAGCAAGCTGCAATCTCCATGCTAGAAGGGGGGACACTTTCAAACCCTGGGAGTTAAGAACTTGTCAGGGTTCAGCTGCTCTAAAGGTCCAATTGTTTGTTTAAATAAAAAAAAATATCGCTACTGAGATAATCCACATCTAGTGGATATGGGAAAATTTAGGTTATAATGGCACTACAAACTTTTACATCTAACTTTGATTTACAAGATAAAAGCAAGTTTTAAATTAAAAGGGCTTTCTGTTAATAGAGCTTATTATTCTGAAGACGGGAATGATTTTCTTCGAAAGTTGTCCCTGGGTGCATGCCTATTATCTTTGCTTTTCCCCTTCCACTAATGAGCATTTATCTAAAGAGCCTGTTAATCCTCTGATGTGTGCTTCTGGTCAGAGGTAACAGTTTGAATAAAACCACTAATCACTGATCACTAAATCACTGATCATTAATCACACTTTCCAGTGCCCATGACTGGGCCATTTTTTTTCCTTTAAGTCTATGCATCACAAACAAGAAGTTCAACATTTTCGATGCACATATATTGTGTGGAGGTTACACTATTTC
Source organism: Homo sapiens (assembly GCF_000001405.40). NCBI lineage: Eukaryota > Metazoa > Chordata > Mammalia > Primates > Hominidae > Homo > Homo sapiens. The sequence continues at coordinate 28,411,877 of NC_000007.14, read as the reverse complement.
ATCTCTAGATGTGAATAAATACTAAATCCTGCCACAGACTTGGGGAAGGATGTCAATTAGACCCCAGACAGGAGTTTCACAAATGCCTACCCTACAGCATGGCTTTCGCTTTGAAGAAAGTAGATCTAATTATAAGAAAACATGTGTTCTTCAAGAAATTCCCACATATTTGCAATATAAACTTTTCTTTATTTAGTTTTCACCAACTCCAAATCAGGGACCACTCCAATCCCCTCTCTCCCTCTATCCAAAACTCTGTTAATACTTTTTTAAATTTAATTTCTGCTGCACACCTCCCTCACGCCCCCACCCCCCCACCCCCCACACCGAGGGTTCTTTTTACTTTGATCCCTTGCAACAAGTCATACACAGGGTCTTTATTTCAACTGCCAGATACGGAGGTTCTGACTCAGTTCAATGACTTACGTATTCGACTTCCTCTTTCAACATAGAAACTTAAGGTTAAGAGCTAGAAACTAACGCACGCAGCAATTTATTGTATGGAAGTTTAGGTTCAACGACTCACATTCCCTCACTTTGGAAATGAAACGTTTAGTCTTGATCCTTTCAGCTAAACCTGATTTTGTCAGCATCCCTCTTCTGCTAAAGGGCAGGCACTACGTAAAGTGAAATACTTTGTTTGCAGTGGGTGTATTGCTTTCCTAAGTCACCACCACGAGGACAGAGTATTATCATAACGCTTGCAAACATTTCCTGATTTGCCTTTTCTATCAGGACTAAGCATTTTCGCCCTAGAGGAGAAGGCTTACTGGTGCCTTTCTTAAATAATACAAAAGGGCGGATTGCGCGCTGATCAGGTACAGTGGTCCCCTCAGACCCCAGAAGCTTTTACCCACACTCCAGGGACCGTGCTCGCCCCAGGGAAAGCTGTAAAAAGGCGGGGGCGGGGCTAGAGTGATAACGGTGTAGACGGGGGAGTGGTGGAGAGGGAGGGGCTGGGAAGAGAGGGCAATAAAGATGCCCAGGGAGCCGGCGATTGCACGAGTGTGTTGTGGGGAGGGTAGGGGGATGCAAAGCAGAGTTGCTTTGTCAGCATTCTAAGCTCCTGAACCCTTGAGGAGCTCAAGCCGTTAATCAAACACTTACTGGCCTGCAGAATGACGTAATGGACCTGTATCCAGTCTTTATTCCTTGACACATGTCAGAGAAGGAGGGAAAAATAAAAATCAAACACATTCTGCAGACTGACAACGAAATATACAAGTAGCCCGCTCCAGTCCCCGGCCTTGAGCAAGCATCAAGTGGGGGCGGCACCGGTCCAGGGAAAGTTGGGGATGGGGGTGAGAGTGTGGACAAGGTCTAGGGCTTTATCTACCAGACGCCCCTTAAAAATAAATCTATGGCAAAGAAGAAGCGGGATGCAGCTGCTGAGAGAAAACATCTCCTTGGTTCCTTCCTTCGCATCTTGCCCCTCTAAGAACTTCGTGAAAAGTTCAAGTGATTCTGCCGAGAATCTGCCGCAGGGGGAGACTCCGCCGCCAGGTCTTGGGAATTGCCTGGGCGCCGCCAAAGCTCGAGCCGGAGCTGTCATTTGGGGCAGCGGCCGGGAAGAGGTAACGATGCCAGCAAGAAAGCAGCGGAGGCAGGAGGCGGCCGGAGGAGTGGACTGGAGCGGACGGAGCCTCGCCGCTCTCCAGCCCGGAGCGCCTGGAGCGAAAGCCAAGCGCCCTCCGAGGGCGACCTCCCCTCCCCGGGCGCGCGCCCACCCGCTGCAGCCGGCAGCCCGGCGGGAGAGGTGGCAGCTGCAGCTCCGCACCGGGGAGAGCGAGCCCCCTGCGCGCGCGCCCACCCGCCCCCTAGGTGACCCGGCGTCCTCGCCGCGCCCGCTGGAAGTTTGCAAACTTTCTCCGGGGGTTCCGCCGCCACGCTGGGAAGCTGGGGACGCGGGGGGAGGTTCCTGGCTCGCCGTCTCCGCTGCCGCTTGACCGCACTTCTGGAGGGCTCCGCACCTTGCCAGGTCTCTGGAGGCAAACACACACCCCCGATTCATAACTGGTCCCCGCGTCAGGGGACTCGCGCGCTCCCACACACGCACGCACGCCGGGCGGACTCGGCGCCGGCTCCACGTTAGCATCCCTCCAGGCGCGCGGCGCGGCGGCCACCGAGCGCTCCGGCACTCACGCGGCGCGGGGTCTCTAGGGTGGCCTCAGGACACAGCCGAATTCCACAGTCTACCAGCACTCGGGGCCGGACTTCCCTCTGGTCCGCCAAAATGTTTACAAACACAGATCACCCTCCAGAAAAAAATGCATCGCATCTTCCCTACTCCTTGCCCTGTGACCTGCCCACTGGACCAAGTAACCTCGCGGCTGCTGCCGAGAACCAACCCCTGCAAACAAGTACACTCCCGAGATGGCTCCTGCGGCAAGTGCAACAAAAGTGGCTAAATGCAAAAGCCCCAGAAGTGGCCGAGCCGTATTTTTAGGAACTTACCAAACAAGTGTGGAGAAGGCAAGAGCGGAGCCCGGGTGAAGGGACCACGTTGGACTGAGCAAAGATTACAATACATTCTATTTAGAGTGCATTACATCACCCCCCCGGTGACGTCACGTGGGATTCCTGAACTTCTAAATCATTGCGGTCCGCTGGGGAGGGACGGAGCGAGGGGCGGGGCCGGCGCGTCGAGGGGGCAGGCCCCGCCCCGGTCCCGCCCCGACCCCGCCCCGCCCGCGCGGACCCTGGTGCACCCGCCCGGGAGCGGCAGCGGCGGGGGCGACTGCGCAAGCAACAGCTTGCAGAGCCCAGCGCCGTGTGACACGGCTCCCTGACATTAGTGGTGTGAGTCAGCTTGGAAACAATCCTTATGGTTTCAGACAAGACCACGGAGGAGGCGCGGGCGTGGGCTCTTCTGCGGGGAGGGCCTGATGGGGTTTGAAAGGTGTAGGGATGGGGGTAGGGGAGAGGTGGGGAGGGGGATGCTGAAGGATGTGGGAAAAGACTTTGCAAACAGAAATGCAGGACGCTCCTCCCTCCCCCACCGGAGGATGTCCAGCTCCTTTTTGCTTGCGACAGTCATGACCTCATTTCAGTGCTCCCTGCATCCTGGCTTTTCAGAGCACTCACTTGTCACCCCTTCTTCACCGCCCCCTCATCTCACCTCCTCCAGGAGAATAACTTCCTTATGGTGCACACTCTCATGAAATACACAGCCCCACCCTTCGCGGGACCCCTGCTTCATGCGTCTGAGAAGCTGTAGGGAGAGTTGCTCCTAAGGCGAAAGGTGAATCACAGCTAGAGCCAAGTGATGAGCCTGATTTAGACACGGCGTCAGAGCCGAAAGGGCCCTTGGCTGTCACTTCCAGAGCCTCTTCGGTAACTGGCCCAAGCTCACGGGCTGGGGAGCGGCAGAGCCAGGGCCAGACTGCAGGATCCGGGCGCCTGGTCTGCAGCGAGAGGAGCCTGGCGTCTCCAGTATCCGGCCGTCACCATCACTGTCACCATCCCCCTGCTGAATTTCCTTTCAGAAGTTCTCCCTTTGAGTAGGATTCAAAGAGAAGGCATAGGCTAAATCCAGCCCGATTCTAGACGACCAATGCCAACCTCGCAGCCCCTCACACCTTACAAAGCGCTTGCGACCACGTGATTTCCCTTGTTTCTCACACCAACCCGGGTACCAGAAGTAGGACAGGTATTATAATTATTCCCATTCTACAGGTGAGCTAAGGCAGACACCAGAAGGTTGGGGGCTGGCCTGAGATCACTTGATGAGCAAGGGGTGGCACTGGGCCCAACTCAATCCCTGTTTTCAAGCCCAGATCCCAACTGGGCTCCTTCATAGAGCCAGGGGTAAGCATTCCCTTCTTGTGGGTTATTGGTGGTTGGAACCTCTGCTAAGAACACATTGGCTGGGAGATGGAGCTTTGCTTAGAAACAGTTTAGCCCTCGTTAATAAACAATAATCATTTCTGACATTTATGTAACATCTGACATTTATATAGTACCTCTCATCCCAATGCATCACAACCATGACGGTGCAGTTTGCCAGAGAATCATGACTGGACTGGCTAGAAACTGTAATACATTGCCTGGATTGTCACATACTTCTGAGCTGGTTTTGACATACTAAATGGAAGAGCTTAGCATGTTGTTTCTGTTTTTAAGTGTTTAAGTGGCCCCTTGCCCTTTAGTGTTCCTTGAAACCACAGGGACTGATGACTGTTTGATCCTCACAGCCTTATTCAGAGTTCATCACTGAGTTTTCTACTTATTGTAGAAATAAAATCATTGCAATTTCATGCAAAAGGTTTCTAGCTGTCATATTACAGACTGAGATTTTTACATATTCCAGATCTCACACACACACACAAATCATTTCTAAATGTAAACTGAAGAAAAGAAGAGGTATTTATTAGTGTAGATTCTAGTGTCAGCCTGCCTGAATTCAAATTTTAGCTCTGCTACTTGACGCCTGGTTCTCAGTTGCCTCAACTATGAATGAGGATGGTGATGATAACTACAGCGACTCGAGTTAAGAATTTTATTACTTGAGTTAAGAATTGTGCTTGGGGCCGGGCACGGTGGTTCACACCTGTAATCCCAGCACTTTGGGAGGCCGAGGCAGGTGGATCACCTGAGGTCAGGAGTTCGAGACCAGCCTGACCAACATGGTGAAACGCCCGTCTCTACTGAAAATACAAAAATTAGCTGGGTGTGGTGGTGGGTGCCTGTAATCTCAGCTACTCGAGAGGCTGAGGCAGGAGAATCGCTTGAATCTGGGAGGCGGAGGTTGCAGTGAGCTGAGATCACACCATTGCACTCCAACCTGGGTGACAAGAGCGAAACTCTGTCTCAAAAAAAATAAAAGGAAAAAAGAAAAAAAAGAATTGTGTTTGGCACAGGGCAAGTACTATGGAAGCACTCACTCTCTTTTTATTAATAAAGGTATTTTGGCTAATGCTGTGATAGGTGGGCATTTGGTGATTTTTTTTTTTTTACAAACTTAACTAAATAAATGAAAAGGGAACCTTTACCCCATAATTCCCCCAGCCCCACATTGCCTTCTGCATGTGTCATCTGGACCAAGCAGCCCTCTCATCTGTCAAATGCGCTGGCAGAGCCCCTGTGTTTGTGGACTCACATTTCTGCCTCATGCTCACTCAGTCTCTCCCAGGATTTCTCAGAGCCAGAGTTTCATGGAGGCTGCAGTTGCTGAGAGCAGCTATGCAAGAGCATCTCTAAGGGTGCCTCCACTGGCGGTGGCCATGGCCTGGGGCATTTGCCCCCTGGGGTGCCAGCACCACCACTAGGAATGCCCTCTCACCCACCAGGACTCCATCCATTGTGGCCTGTCAGACGTGTGGAGACAGGGGCGCTTACACCAGAACCAAGGTAAACTGGCTGGGGTACCACCCACCCAAGATTCTCCCGATGCTCATCCCATTTCCCTCCACAGAACAGGAGTATAGGCTGGACACAGCCAACCCCCGAGGTACCATTGGCGGTGGCAGAGAGGTTGGACCTATGCAGAGCTGACTGGCACCTGCAGTGACCAATGAGAATAGATGAGACCCCTGGGAGACCTTTAGTTGCTGGATCCTGGGCAGTGGAAGGGAGAGGACTAGGCAGCTGGGCCAGTGGGGAAGCACTAGGTATTTACCAACTCCCATGGAAGAATTTTAGTATTTTAAGACATTTACAGCCTTACTAGTGCTTAATCAGGCCTGAATAAAACCATCCCAAGAGGCCTCAGATGGGAAGAAATTCTTTAGCTCTGTACTTTGGGTTCAGTCATTTCTCCAACATTCGGCAAACATTAGCAGATCTGCCCAGTGCTGAAGTCAGAAAACAAAAAATGGTCTCTTTCTTCCCAGCTCCTAGGCTCCCAAAGAACTTCTCAAACTTAGTGGAGTAAGCAAAAAACACCCAGGCAACTTATTAAAGTCAGTTTCTTGAGTCAGACGTCCCCAGGGATTTTAGTTCCAAGGTTTGGCATTGGGTCCAGGATTCTGCATTTGTGATTCTGATGCAAGCGTCTGGGGAACTCCCCACCTACCACCACCACACACACATCCTTTGAGTGACTCTAGTTTAATGAATTCATAGATGGGCAGGGATCCAGGAGGAAGCTGATGACGGAGAAGAAAAGAGGTCAGCCTGAGACACTCAAAAATATGACCCAAAGTTCATATGCTTGAGATCAAGGCCAGGCGCAGTGGCTCACACCTGTAACCACAGCTCTTTGGGAGGCTGAGACGGGAGGATAACTTGAGCCTGGGAGTTCGAGACCAGCTTGGGCAACATAGACAGCCTGAGCGTCTCTACAAAAAGTTTTTAAAAATTAGCCAGGCATGGTGGTGTGCACCTGTGGTCTCAGCTACTCAGGAGGCTGAGATGGAAGGATTGTTTGAACCCAGGAGGATCAAGGCTGCGATGAGCAGTGACTGCGCCACAGCACTCCAGCATGGATGATAGAGTGAGACCCTGTTTCAAAAAAAGGAAAAGAGACCAATCCTCTAGCAGCTTCCCAAAAAGATGAACATATCCCTAGAGAAGGCTTCTCCTCATCCCTTCTGCCCACATCACTCAGAGTGACCTTTTCCCACTTCCAAAATTTTATTTTAGGCTTTTCTTAACTAAATTAACAGTGATGGGGAAAGGGATGCTGCTGAAGCCCATTTTGTGGTTAAACATCTAGCTATCGTCCCATTGGGAAGTTTCCATCCCTTCTAAAATGGGTCTTCACCAGGTTTCTTCATTACCTTATTTGAAGGGATAAAGATTTCCAAATAAATGAAACTGCAAAATGCATCCAAAACTGTGAAAACCACAACACTGTTAACTAACATTTACCAAGCATTTGCTCTGTGCCAACCCTTGAGCTAAGGGATTTATGTGCATTTTCTCTGTTAATCTTCACAACTCTGTGAGGCAGCTGGAACCTTACTCTTAGAAAGGCTGAGTAACTTACCCAGAATTGCACAGCTGGGGCATGGCAGAGATGAGAAAAGAACCCACATTGCTGTTGCCTGTCCCAGTGCCTGCCTGAAGGCACCCCATACTTTGGTAGTCCTGAGCACAAGTTGGTTTGAGGATGCAAGAATCAGGAAAGTTGAGAACAAGCCAGAGATTGGCAGTGAGTAGGAAAAGCCACCAGCCTCCATGCAAACTCTGTGCCTGGTTAATCAAAAGCCATTCCAGACAGACAGGACTGGCTTCATGGCCTGTGATACCTGGTCACACAGGGCCTCATCTCATGCTCAGAATGGTCCCATATTTGGTTTAAGGCTCACTGTCACCATCTTGAAATTCTTAATAATTTTATCTTTGAACTTATGCTTTATAAAAGAAGCCTGGTGGAGCATGTGCATGAGGAGGTTGGTGATCACGGCATGTCTGCTGTTTCTTGCTCATGATGCCTCAGGAGCACCAAATTCCAGTGGACCCAAGGTGCATGGAAATCCAGCAAGACTCAAATCAAATACAAGGTAAATTCATGATCTCTCTGACTGAGTGGGATGGGAGAGGAGAGGTGAGGCTGACAGCCCTGAGAGGTCACGCTTTCCTTTCAAACCAGAACTTTCTTGGGATGCAAAAAAAACCAATGGCATCCCAAGAAACATAAACAACCAAGAACCCTATCTTACCTGCATTAGGCCCCTGTGTTAGGCAACCACATACACTGAAAATGATGACATAGAAGGCAAGAGAAAGATAGGGCGGCCCATAGTTCTTTTTCTTTTCCATCTTTCCTCATCACAAGTAAACAGAAAGCAGAGAGTTGGCAGAACGTGTGCACATCAAGAAGTGAAATAAAGGTGGTTGAGCTTGTTTTGTACAGTGTATCCACGTTCTGGTAAGAACAAAATACATATGTATGTACGGGCCATGACATACAAATTATGGGATTTGAGTGATTTCACATACAAGTTAAGTGATCTTATATTTACATTTAAAACTAGCAGTGCAGGATGTAAAGATGAACAGTAAAATTAATGCTAATAATGTAACATTTTAATTTTTTGCTATTTAAAGTGACATTAAATAGCAAATAAAACATACCATGACAAGTCAAGAGACTGACTTTGCAAGAGAGAAAAAACTTTCTATTTATTATCTTCGGTGGCACTTTTCCCTTGCCTTTTAAACAAGAGGCCCTGCATTTTCAGTTAGCACTGGATTCAAAAATTATGTGTCAGGTGCTGCCCACAGACATATGATTGACAGGATCCACCAGACCCCCAGCTCCATGCTCACATGCTGAGAGGAAAGGCAGCAGACAGCAAGAGATTTGACAGCCGTAGCCTTGTCACTTACTAGGTGTGTGATCAGGGCCAATTTTTTTTTACCTCTCTGAAGTTCAGATTCTTCATCTACAAAATGGAGATAATATCAGCATCTATCTCCTAGGATACTGCAAGGATTCAGTGAGTTAATATATGTAACATGCTTAAAACAATGTCTGACACTAGTAGTTACTGAAAAAATAGTCTTAGATATTATTATGCCCTGTAAGGTTTTGGGGAGAATTTAATAAAATAATTCATGTCAAGTGCTTAGCCCTGTGCCTGGCATTTAGAATGTGCTCAATAAATATTAGTTACATAAAATTGCATATAAGATGTAATATTGAAGTTCTGTGGGTTAGATGGAGGAATCAATCCAACTGGCCCTGAGTCCAGTTTTTGAGTCTTAGCATAAGCCAGCTGTATTTGAAGGAGATGGTACCTTTAGGTTAACAAATCTGCACTGAGTCTGTGGGCAACAGAGCAATTTTATACAAGCTGATGTTCTAGTTGAAGCCATCACACTTTACCCTTCCAGTCTTGACATACAAATGCATTTTTACACCAGTGGTTGTATAATTATTAACCCTAGTATGATTTAGTTTTCAGAATCACATCTTGAAATCCTAACAGGTGTAACTCAAAAATGCCATGCTCTTGGATTGGAGGTGCAGGTGCGTATCAACTTTGAAATGTTGTTTAACAAGAGACAACTAGACTGTAAAAATTTTCTCCCATGCTGTAGATTGCCTATACACTCTGATGGTAGTTTCTTTTGCTGTGCAGAAGCTCTTTAGTTTAATTAGATCGCATTTGTCAATTTTGGCTTTTGTTGCCATTGCTTTTGGTGTTTTAGTCATGAAGTCCTTGCCCATGCCTATGTCCTGAATGGTATTGCCTAGGTTTTCTTCTAGGGTTTTTATGGTTTTAGGCCTAACATTTAAGTCTTTAATCCATCTTGAATTAATTTTTGTATGAGGTGTAAGGAAAGGATCCAGTTTCAGCTTTCTACATATGGCCAGCCAGTTTTCCCAGCACCATTTATTAAATAAGGAATCCTTTCCCCATTGCTTGTTTTTGTCAGGTTTGTCAAAGATCAGATGGTTGTAGATGTGTGGTATTATTTCTGAGGGCTCTGTTCTGTTCCATTTGTCTATATCTCTGTTTTGGCACCAGTACCATGCTGTTTTGGTTACTGTAGCCTTGTAGTATACAGCTTGAAGTCAGGTAGCGTGATGCCTCCAGCTTTGTTCCTTTGGCTTAAGATTGTCTTGGCAATGCGGGCTCTTTTTTGGTTCCACATGAACTTTCAAGTAGAGGGTTAATATCCAGAATCTACAAAGAACGTAAACAAATTTACAAGAAAAAAATCAAAGAACCCCATCAAAAAGTGGGTGAAGGATATGAACACACACTACTCAAAAGAAGACATTTATGCAGCCAACAGACACATTAAAAAATGCTCATCATCACTGGCCATCAGAGAAATGCAAATCAAAACCACAATGAGATACCATCTCACACCAGTTGGAATGGTGATCATTAAAAAGTCAGGAAACAACAGGTGCTGGAGAGGATGTGGAGAAATAGGAACACTTTTACACTGTTGGTGGGACTGTAAACTAGTTCAACCATTGTGGAAGACAGTGTGGTGATTCCTCAGGGATCTAGAACTAGAAATACCATTTGACCCAGCCATCCCATTACTGGGTATATACCAAAAGGATTATAAATCATGCTGCTATAAAGACACAAGCACATGTATGTTTATTGTGGCACTATTCACAATAGCAAAGACTTGGAACCAACCCAAATGTCCATCAATGATAGACTGGATTAACAAAATGTGGCACTATACACCATGGAATACTATGCAGCCATAAAAAAGGATGAGTTCATGTCCTTTGTAGGAACATGGATGAAGCTGGAAACCATCATTCTCAGCAAACTATCGCAAGGACAGAAAACCAAACACCGCATGTTCTCACTCATAGGTGGGAATTGAACAATGAGAACACTTGGACACAGGATGGGGAACATCACACACCGGGGCCTGTCGTGGTTGGGGAAAGGGGAGAGGGATAGCATTAGGAGATATACCTAATGTAAATGACGAGTTAATGGGTGCAGCACACCAACATGGCGCATGTATACATATGTAACAAACCTGTACGTTGCGTACCTGTACCCTAGAACTTACATTATAAAAAAATAAAAAATTAAAAAAATTAATTAATTAAAAAAAAAATAACAATAGACAGCTAGATCACCTGGTTTAAGCTTGGGGAACCTCATCTGGAAGACCATTGGCTGCTAATGGCTTGACCTGGTTCTATAGGGAATTATTGTATTCACTACTCTATAAAATTTAATGTTTTCTCTTGAACCTGGCTGAAAATCAAAAGCTTCACCTATCTCAAAGAGTATTAGCATGTTAACATCCCTATAAAAGTTGCTCTTATCTTAATGTGTTTTTCTTTCTTTGAAAGCGACTCGATTAAAGGAAAAACTACTTAGTCTTTATTTTTTCTGCTTTGAGATTAAGTGAAAGAGATTGACACCTGCTCTGAATAATGACCCAGAATAATAGTGCCGTGTCAGCACACTCCAAAAATTTTAGTCATTTCCTTAAGATCAATGGTAAGTGGAAAGTAATGGTTTAACAATAATTAGGAATGTTTTATATACAGGGAAGTTTCATTTAGACTAAAACATTATTGATATCCCATAAATTAATATTGAGCATCATCTCACATGAACTGATATTTCACATAGCACTTCTTTTTGTATCATCATTAACCACATATTTAACTCATGTACTGCCGATGGGGAAGGTTATTCTCATCTCTTTAGGGGCATTTATAAGTACCTTTTTAAAATGATTCTTGAGAATTTCAGTAGCTTTTAAACCTAATTGATCAGCGATTCCTCCTCGTTCTTACATGACACAGAATATTTAAAATCTGGGAAGTTACTCTGAACTTCATTTGAATCTTGAATATTACCCACTGTGGATATCAGAAAATATAAAGCTTCCCTACCTGGCTCTCCTCCCCCTTCCTGGTTTTAAAATATTCTGCCTATAGCTTTCATAACAATGCCCTTACTTGACACTTAAAGAGACTGCAGTATAAACAGTACACTGGGACATTGTGCTGTTTAGCAAAAGCATCTATTTTCAGGACTGCTGTGGCTATTTAATGCTATGTCAAAGTCTGAAGGGAAGGAAAGAACACTATTATTTGTGAGCACCCACTCTGGGTCAAGCCTGTTATATCTTCCATCATGTTTAATCCTGACAACTCTGGGTGAAAGGTATGATTACTACTATTTTATTAATGAGAGAACTGAAGCTCAGTGAGGCTAAGTAATTTGAATAAGGTCACGCAGGTAATAAGTAAGGAAGTTGAGTTTCAAACCTAGTCCTGACTCCAGAATCCCCATTGTCCATCATGCTCTGCTGTGTTTTTATTTCAAGACACTTTGTCTCTCCTTTCACCCTCCTGCTTAACATTATTTAGCTTTATTGAGCAAGCTACCCACAAAACGTGTGTGTGTGTGTGTGTGTATCTGTTTCAGACAGAGTTTCGCTCTTGCCACCCAGGCAGGAGTGCAATGGCACTATCTCGGCTAACTGCAACCTCCACCTCCTGGGTTCAAGGGATTCTCCTGCCTCAGCCTCCCGAGTACCTGGGATTACAGGCACCTGCCACCACGCCCAGCTAATTTTTGTATTTTTTTTAGTGGAGACAGGGTTTCACCATGTTGGTCAGGCTGGTCTCGAACTCCTGACCTCAATTGATCAACCCACCTCGCCTCCCAAAGTGCTGGGATTACAGGCGTGAGCCACCACGCCCAGCTGTACTTTTTAATTTTATGTTTAGTAGAGACAAGGTCTTGCTATGTTGCCCAGGCTGATCTCAAACTCCTGGGCTCAAGCAATCCTCCTACTCAGCCTCCAAAAGTGCTGGGATTATAGGTGTGAGACACTATGACAGGCCAAATTTCTGTATATGGTAAGAGGTAGGGGTCCAGTTTCATTCTTCTGCATATGGTTAGCCAGTTTTCCCAGCACTATTTATTGAATAGGATATTCTTTCTCCATTGTTTATTTTTGTCAACTTTGTCAGAGATTAGTTGGTTGTAGGTGTATGGCTTTATTTCAGGGTCTCTATTCTGCTCCATTGCTCTATGTGTCTTTTTTTTTTTTTTTTTTACCAGAATGATGCTGTTTTGTAATATAGTTTGAAGTCAGGTAATGTGATGTTTCTGGCTTTGTTCTTTTTGCTTAGGATTGCCTTGGCTGTTGACTGAAGCCATTTTCCTATCACTTATTTTGTAGATTTTTTTTTTTCCAATTTGTCTTTTTACTTTTAGCTTTGTCTATGCTGTCTTTTGCCATATAGAACTTTTAAATTTCGATATAGTCAACTTTTTGTTATGATGTCAATACTTGGGTTCATGATTCTAGAAAGGCCTTCCCCACTCTTATATCAGCTCTCTGTTACATCTTACCTGGCCCCTTCAATTTTTCCCGTGCTCTTAGTTTAGCAACTGCAAAATGGTAACATAATGATAGGTATGTATAATAGAACATCAGACGGGAAGAAAAAATATTAGACCAGGTGCGGTGGCTCATGCTTGTAATCCCAGCATTTTGGGAGGCCAAGGCAGGAGAATTGCTTGAGCCCAGGAGTTTGAGACCAGCCTGGGCAACATAGTGAGACCCTGTCTCTACAACAAAATTTTTTAAAAATTAGCCAGGTGTGGTAGTGCATGCCTGTGGTCCCAGCTGCTCGGGAGGCTGAGGTGGGAGGATCGCTTGAGCCTCAGAGGCCAAGGCTGTAGTGAGCCATGATCCTGCCACTGCATTCCAGCCTGGGCAACAGAGCAAAACCCTGTCTCAAAAATAATAATAATAATATTAATTGTCTGATCTTACCAAATAATATAGTTGCATAAATTTACTTTAATTTCAAGAGAAGACTTTTCAACATCTGGGCATAATATACAGTTTAGAAAGACACTAAGTCCAGCATGCGATTTGCTATAAAGCAATATATATTCTCCCTATTAGCTATGGAAATAGCAGTATAGGAAGCTGAATGATTTTTAAACTTGAAGCCCCTGATGATTCCATTGATATGGGATAGCAAAGGTTCATATTTGTAAACTGATTCATCAGCTTAGCACAACATCCTGGCCTTCTTGCTTAGTTGTTAGAACTACCCGCAGGCTAGTAAGTGATGCTAAGTTAGCAGTGCTAAGGCTGACTTGCACCCTGATGTCTACCTTTGCCACAAAGCCTCCATTATTCTGGAACTATTCTATGGCTGCTATTCCTTCACCATGGAGCGCTCTACTCATGAGGCCCGACACAAAAAGCAAACACTAAAACCTGGAATTAAGTCAAATACACAATGAAGGAGAAAATGGTGGTACCATTAAAGGTGGTAGAGCCTGGTACTTAAACCTGGGGCTTTAATCTCAGGTTTCATGAGTTCAAATCCCAGATCCAAGAGGAAGGGGAAATGAGGAGTTACTGTTTAATGGCGACAAAGTTTCTCTTTGGGAATATGAAAATATTCTGGAATTAGATAACAGCAATGGTTATCTAACATTATAAATGTACTTAGTATCACTGAATTGTACATTTTTAAATGGTTAAAATGGTAAATTTTGTTATATATATTTTACATAATAAAAAATGATGAAAAAAAAGAATCCCGGTTCTACCTGTTACTAGCTCCATAGGCAAAAGTTAATACACCTCCCTCTCTATGCTGCAGTGCACTGATCTGCAGAATAGAAGAGATGACAATGATACTGGCTTCATAGGGTTGTCATGATTAAATGAGACACATGGGACAGGCTTTCAGTGGTTCATAGTCATCACGTTTAGGTGTTGTGATGGTTTAGGAGTACGGATCCTGTTTTTAAACTCTCTTGCATCTGTGGTATAGTCCTCCATTTGTCAGATTTCATGTACAAACCACCAATTTCAGTTTTGCTTATAAGACAGATTTTTATCTGTTTGATATCTTATGTGAGACTTTAATTACTCTTAAAAGATGCCAATGATTCTAGCCCAAATAAACTGACTGAGGGGCAGCTGTGGCCTGCTTGAGTCTCCTAGATGCAAATTCTCAATACCCCCACAATCTGGAGGGAGAGGGAGATGCTGTCTACTCCAGAGGCTGGCTCTAACCCAAGAGGGCCAAACAGATGGGATCCTTACGTCTCCTTATCTTTTCATGTCCGACCCACCCTATCCCAAGTTTTGTTTCCCCAAATAGATCCTTCTGGAATACAGCTGCCATCACTCATTTCATTGTCAAGGGGTGAATGGCTGCCTTCTGTAGAGGAATACCACTCTGTAAATCAGCCACCAGGCACTGTTTATCCCAATGATGGATGTCACACATCCTCACATATGGGACCTAAACCAAAGCTCTGGACTTCTTTTTTTTCAATCCATGTGTTGGAGTTTTTTTCCTCTGTATTTTCAACTCATTACACTGCGCCTTTAAAATAAATTCTTCCTGAGAAATCAGTTTCCACATATCATTTAACCGTCTAATGCTAGGCATTGTTATGAACAAAAACACTCCTCAAGAAAATATCTACATAGCCTTATGGCATCTAAGATGTATTATAAAGCAATCTTGCTTTATAAAAAGAGACTCAGGTTTGTTTCTTCCTTTTATACTGAAAGCCTAGTGAAATGAATAAGGGATAAATAATCCAGTGTATAAGGAGGAAGAGAAGGTAAAGGGAGATGAAGGCAGAAAGACATAAGACAAGACAGGGCCAGAGAAGAATTCAGAACTTATGGCTTTATTTTTGCAATGTTACTGGGTATTTCTGAACTTGCCAGAATAAAAATGAAGTAATAGCAGCCAAGAGTTATAGTCCTGTTTTAAAATTTTAAAAATTGCAATTAAAATGATTAAACTAAGTAAAACAGACACAGGAAACTTATAGAAAAAAATATATTTCCTGTGCACTAAGCCTCTGATCCCATTAAGTACTTAAATAATATCCTCCTGACATCATGACTATACAAATAATATGTTACTTTCATATTTATGACATCAAGAGATTATATTACTAGTTTATGAAAAAATATGTTTAATTTGCAATTTTTAAATGACACTGATATAGATTAGTATATATTATAGAATTAGATACGTATGCCATACCAGCTAGTTGTATATTTTATTATAAACATCCCCAACAGGTGCAAAAATACCACCTAAAATGAAACAAAAGATCATGTATCTTATAACAATAAAAGCATATCTGCCTTGCATCCAAAAAGAAGGGGAAGCATATGTATATTTCCATCCCACATCCTTCTTTCTAGAGCTTTATCTAACTCTTTCTCAGGCACCATGCCATGTATCTCTAAGCCTTTGTATCTTCTGATTAAAAGAAAATAGTGTAGAATCATGTTTGCTACAGTCTGCTGCCAAAAGCCCATGTCTATAATTCATCATTAAAATGTGACAGTGTATGGCTACAAAGAAAGAAAAATCTCAGTCGTCATGCTCATTTGCAAATGTTTCAGGGGCTGGAGATTGTTTGGCAATCCTGCTGTTTCTAGGTTATTTGTAGAATAACCAGTTTAATTGAGCTGATGATTGCCTTGTGTCTGCATCACACTTCTGACTTAGATCTTTCTTTCTGCAGTTGGCGTTGAATTGTACTATGTGGCAAGGGAATGGCATGCATTCAGCAAGCCCAAATTCCAGGGTTCCAGCCCACCCCTTCTTTTCCCTTGCCAATCTGATTTCTGAGGAATTTGCCTAGAGTTACTACAGAAAAAAAAAAGAAAGAAAGAAAGAAAGAAAAAAGAAACTCCTTGCCCTAGTTTGTAGACCATTTCATAGAATGCTTCCTTTGGGTTGAGATTCTTGGCCCCACCAGGGTAAAAAGGTTTTATATCTTTATTAAAGCAGAGGCCTGTTTCGGATGTTCTCTGTAATTGGAGCATATCCCACTGCATGTAGTACACAATGTAAACCAACCTGTTGCAACGTGGAGAATAGTGCAAGTCAGATATTTGCTACCCAAGGAAGCCAGTTGGAAAAAGAAAGGAGTAGGGGAGAACCTGGTTTCACACCAACCCTGTCCTGACATGCACTAAGGCTGTATCGTGAAGGAAATTGAAAACAGAAACATCAGGAAGATCAGTGAGAAGGCAGGACCTCTCTTTCTTCCTTTTCTTTGTTCCTAACAAATATTCATCTTCACCTACTGTAAATCATGTCTCTGGAATGAGGATTGTATAAAAGGGAAGTTTGTATCACAGAACAAGTGTGGAAAGAAACTGTCCTTGACCACTAATAGATATGGCTACATCCTCCTTTGGAATGGGTTTGTTGCCCTTGAGAATAGATGAATACTCCAAACTAATTGCATTTTGGAATCTGAGAGTATGATGAGATTGACAGACGTCATTTAAAATGGTTTTTGTTTAAATGAAGACCCTAATATAGACAATTTTCCAAGGAAGATTTAGACAATATTCTCGAATATATAGTAAAATTTTAAAACCCTAAATTTTTTTCTCCTAAGACCCCCAGGGAAGTAGCTGTCATCCTTTTCCCCCTTCAGGGAATAGAGATAATCTGTGTCTTTTCAAAGCAGAAAGGAAGATAGTTTGATGAACATTTCCCAGTACATAGAAGTCACTCCAATTCAAAGAAGTTCTAAAAGCAAAAGGTGTGGCAAAGCAACATAGGAAAATAAGATAATTATTTTATTCTTTCTTTATAAAAATCAATAAAATGCAATGGTTAGAGGATGAATTTCTAAATGGGCTTCTCTTCATGACAAACTTTTTAGGAACATTGTTCTATTCTTGGTGAAGCCAAATCAGACTTGAACACTCAACAGGCATGCATATCACTAAATTACAGTGTGCACACTGTCAAATGTAGGGGAAATTTGGCTGTGCTGAATGTGAAAAGGTGGGGGACCCTCTTTTAACATAAATTATATATGAGGAAAAAGCAAGGGCTCTTAAGAACACCTAGCCCTCTGCTTAACTGTTACTAGCCTTAAGGACTAACTTATCTGAAATTAATACAGCGACTCCAGATTTATTTTTAGTAGTATTAGCATGGTGTACCTTTCTCCCTACCTTTACTTTTAATCTACATGTGTTTTCATATATAAAGTGGGTTCTTGTAGACAGCATATAGCTGGGTCTTATTTTTTTTAATCTACTCCATTAGTCCCTGTCCTTTACTTGGCTTACTTAAGCCATTCACATTTAAAGTGATTATTGATGTAGTTGGATTAATATCTACCCTATTTGTAACTGTTTTCTATTCATTACCCTTGTTTCTTTTTCTTTGTTTGCTTTCTACTCTTTTTATGCCTTCTCTGTATTTAATGGAATATTTTATATGATTCCATTTTCTCTCTTCTCTTAAAATATCAATTATATTTCTTTTTTTAAAAAAATGTGGTGGTCACCCTAGAGTTTGCAATATACATTTACAACCAATCCAAGTCCACTTTTTTTTTTTTTTTTTTTTTTTTTTTTTTTTTTTTGAGACAGAGTCTTGCTCCATCCCCCAGGCTAGAGTGCAGTGGCATGATGTCAGCTCACTGCAGCCTTGACCAGGTTCAAGTGATTCTCCTGCCTCAGCCTCCCCAGTAACTGGGACTACAGGTGTGCACAACTGCACCTGGCTAATTTTAGTATTTTTGGTAGAGATGAGGTTTCACCATGTTGGCCAGACTGGGCTCAAACTCCTGACCTCAGGTGATCCACCTACCTTGGCCTCCCAAAGTGCTGGGATTACAGGCGTGAGCCACCGCGCCCAGTCCCAAGTCCACTTTAACACTACACCATTTCACAGGTAATGCAGGTATCTTGTAACAGAGAATTCCCAATTCCTCCCCTCATCTCTTACAATGTTGCTCTCATTCCTTTCACTTATTCCTAAGCTATAGTCCCCCAATATATAGTTGCTATTATTATTTAGAACAACCTGTTTTTTGTTAGACAGCTGTTGAGCTTCAGTTAAGAAGATGGCAGTGTTGACTGCCAAGCTCTTTTTATGTCAGACTAGAAGCCAAAAGTTGACCTGAATTTTCACCACAATAAGACTAGGTGAGAACATAGGACAGGTAATTAGGATCTAGAAGAAAAAGCAATGATACCAGAATCCACAATCAATCATCAAAATATCAAAGTAACCAAGAAAAGTTTAAATGAGTAGAGAGATGGGCAGAAATAGAGCAGAGAGAAGAAACAGGGGAGAGTTGTTTGAAAATCTAAACCTTTAGCTCGCTGCTTTGTGAAATGCAGTCTGAGGAAGCAATGATTTTGAGAGACGAGTCAGACTCAGTAAAAATATTTGAAATTTCTTGACTTAAAAACATTGCTATGGCTGGATATGGTGGCTCACGCCTATAAATCCCAGCACTTTGGGAGGTCAAGGTGGGTGGATCACCTGAGGTGAGGAGTTCAAGACCAGCCTGATCAACATGGAGAAACTCCGTCTCTACTAAAAATAACATAAAATTAGCCAGGCGTGGTGGCACATGCCTGTAATCCCAGCTGTTTGGGAGGCTGAGACAGGAGAATCGCTTGAACCTAAGAGGCAGAGGTTGCGGTGAGCCAAGATCACACCATGGCCCTCCAGTGTAGGCAACAAGAGCGAAACTCTGTCTCAAAAAAAAAAAAAATTGCTGCTTTGTGGGTTGAGAGAGATGGCTTTAATTAAAAAGGACAATTGAGTAAACAAAGAGGGTCTGAGGTGGCAGTAAACCTGCCCTCACCACAGCTGAAATCATGTCATGAGACAGATGAGGTCTAGTTACGGGACTAAGGTGTAACCTGTACCTCGAAAATCTCTTCTGTCCTCCTGATCTCCTTTTCTATATGTATAAAAATGAGGATTTGACTAGATGAACTATCAGATCACTCTAAACTGAAATTCTAAGAGTCTATGAAAGGCAGATAGGCAGTGGAAATATTGATCTATCATCAGTCAAGGTCAAGAGTGAATTAGAAAGACCCCAAAGTGAAACCTACAAGGCAAATATTGCAAAACCCATAACATGTAATCCCACATAAACCTGGGCTGTCAGAAGCAAGGCATAACATGTATTTGGTTGGTGCAAAAGTAATTGCGGTTTTTGCCATTGAAAATAATACCAAAAACCGCAATTATTTTTACACCAAGCTAATAGAATTACCCAGCCACTTGAAGAGAATCAAAGAGGCAACCACAGCCAGAGACCAGGATCTGCTGAGGCTTAGAGCAGTCCCTTAGATCAAGAATGGTGAGAAGCATGCTCTTTTTTAAAGAAATTTTTCTTTATTTTTTTAAACTTTTATTTTAGGTTCAGGGGTACCTGTGCAGGTTTGTCATATAGACAAACTCATGTCACAGAGTTTTGTTGTACAGCTATTTCATCACCCAAATACTAAGCCTAGTACCCAACAGTTATTTTTCCTGATCCTCTCCTTCCTCCCTCCGTCCACCCTCAGGTAGGCCCCAGCGTGTGTTGTTCCCCTCTTTGTGTCCATGTGTTCTCACCATTTAGCTTCCACTTACAAGTGAGAACATGCGGTATTTGGTTTTCTGTTCCTCCATTACATTGCTAAGAAAAATGGCCTCCAGCTCCATCCATGTCCCTGCAAAGGACAGGATTTTGTGAAAAAATTCCCTTTGGCATTCCTAGAACAGCCACATTAGGAAAGGAGAGATGTCCTCTGGAGGGACCCCGGCTAGGAATGCAAAGGCTAGTGGGAAGCAGACCCCAAAACAGCAAATAAAATAGCTGCTTATTACATAGAAGGTAAAGAGCAAGGAACACTGGGGGTGGATAAATAGAAAAGGAAAAAGGAGACAGAGATGGAAGATTGATTTGTTGTTCTGATATTTGGTGAGAAGAACCACATCCAGTCCTTCCCAGAGGACATGGGAATACTTAGATTGGGTTGAAAGCAAATTATATAGGTGGCTGTCACCAAAAAGCACACTGAGGGATGCCAAGTGATTGACCATCAGAATTGGAGTAGATCTTATATCACAGCAAAGTTTGTGGTGGCACAGAGCAATTCTTCAATGGCCAGTTGCTCTGATTTCATTTACTTTACGCTGTAATTATATTGGAAAGCATGAAAACATTTTGAATACAAGTTTTATTTACTCACATGATTACTTTTCAAAACATTCATTCTATGGCACATAACGGCCGATTAGTAGCTACAAATGAAATCCAATTAAACGACCAGTGAGAAAAGATGGAGGAAAAGGCAAAACATCTGTGAAGTGCTTATGTGCCACACTGTGTGTTGGCTACTGATATTTGAACTTATTTGATCAGCACGCCACCCGTTAAGAGAGGTGTGATTATTACCACAGGTCTGAAGACCATGCCAACGTATGTGAAAAAAATTTTGATAAAATTATGATGTAATATTAATTTGAAATAGAACAGAAAACTGAGCGATGATACAAACATATTTGTTTTACCTAGTGGATAATTTTAAACTAAGAAACGAATAGCCAATGTGCTAGGATGACAAGACTGAATAGATTGTTTTCTCTATTTTAAAATATCTACAAAACACAATTATCAACAAAGACTTGAAAATTCAATAAAAGTAAAATAAATATACCAGGAGGAAAGTGCTATACATATATTATATTATATTATATTATATTCAACCCATCTTTCAAAGAGTTAAAAGTGCATAAGGAAACGCTAAGTTTGAGTTCGAATCATAAACTTGACTTGAACTCTGTTGTCAATTGCCAGGGAAAGCATTCCAGACTCTAAGAACTGTTTGAAATTTTTTTTCCTTCAGAGCATCAAGAAAATGCTAGAGGGCTTACAGGGCTCCTGGCATGTAAATTGTAGCCATCAGGAGAAAACCCCACTGTACTACAATGTGACACTTTCCAAGTCTTTATCCTATGGTCCCTTAAAATGCTGCTATACAGAGATGGTAAAAAAGAAATACAGAACTCTTCTGGTTTGAAATCAGCCAAGTGGTGCGGAGGAAGAAGAAGCACTTTGCCAAAACCCCACGGTTAAAAGTAATAAAGGGAGAAGTTTCTGTCAGTATCTAGAAGAGTTTTGTAAACAATTAGCTGCAAGACATCAGAGGCTCCAAAAGGAAAGATTTCTTTTCAGTACCACGTTTGGCAAGTGATCAGTAACATATTTCATTTCTGGTTTAATAAGGTTATTAACAGTTTATTTTTAAAAAGAGTGAAATAATGTTTTCTGTGAAGGTTTGCCGATAAGCATTAGTGCAGTAAAGAATTGTGTGCCTTTTTATGAACGGACTGCACAGTAGAATAAAACACTATCTACATGAGCTTTCACACAGCAGAGCAATTAATTAACTTATCTCCGTGAACACCGTTCTTGCTGAAACTTATTAAAAGTCTGATTCATCAGCAGAGCCCCAGGCAATCATCAATTGCCTCATAATAATACAAAAGACAAATAAGCGATGGTTATGTTCTCATTTAATATCTTAAGAAGATCCTCTTTGCCCTCTGTCTTTGTTTGAAAATATCTCTATTAAGAGTTTGAAAAAAAAAAAAACCCTCCTACTTGACATGAAATACGTTATGACCGGGAACTGTAGGAGTAAATTACAGAGCCTCCAGGATACCAGATTAAGAGGAGAAGCTGGACTTTCTCAAAGACACACAAATCATTCAACATGTAGCACAACAGGGCATACAGTGTGTTATCGATGCCGAGTTCCAAGCACCATTGTTAATACAGACCAGAAGAGGAATTGTTCATTAAATAATACAAGGGGGAGGGGAGGGGCCGCTCAGACTTCTGCATTAAATAAGCCAGCAGAGGGACGCTTGTTTCAAAAGTATTAGACAGCTTAATAGTTACTAGTCCGCTTAGAGTTTTGGTTTAAATTTAACTCCCAAATATCAATCTAACGACTTCTAAGCAGAAACTGTAGTTTATGAACCCTTTAAAAAAAAAAAAAAAAGTTTAGTATAGTTGGCAATATCAATAGCGCCCTCTACAGGAAGTTTTAAACCCACAACTGGTTTTCTTGAATTTGAAGACAAAGGCTAAGTAAGGTGAACACCATCTGAGGACAAGATTAAATTGAAGAAAAATTTGGAATGTCCATGAGGTCTCCATTTTACATGGAGATTTGGGAATTTGGAACAAAGCAAAATAAAACCACAGCCAGTAGCCCTGGATTAGTGTGCGTGTGTGTGTGTTTGTGCACGTAGTTGTTGTTGGTTTGTTAACACTGGGTCATTTGAGAGAGGTCAATTGAAATTCCTAATCCATCTTATTTTCTTTATGTTGAAATCTCAAAATTAGTTTTCTCTAGTCTCAGATTTGCTAGTTGCAATATTATACAGCATTACTCAGATCTTTTTAAGATGCAAATAGTGTTCACTGTTTTCAGAATGCATACATAACTAATGTGCAGATTTTTCAAATTATTTCCCCAATATTCAGTAAATAATGAACGTGAGGCTTTTGCATGTGAGAAAGCTCTGACGCTGTTGATAAACTATGCCTGTATGAATCCTAAAGAGATGGCTGTTTAATTACTACAAATAGTTCCTCTCCATGATTAGTGGTTCGGCTTCAAACTTAGAAACCAGGATGTGCTTGAAGAAATAGTTACAACTAAATTTTCTACACATGTCACCACAGCCTTGAAAGTCAGAGATGCAGTCTTCTTATCTCACAGCTGTAATATATCAAATGACCTTGTGACAATGATTTAATCTCATCTTATTTTAGCAAGTTATCATAATTTGGGAGAAATTTACTACTGATTTCAGAGATACCTCAAGAGTTATTAGGACTGATACAACAAATGCCAGCTCTAAGAGTTGAGGCATTATGCGTGATTGAGAAAGAAGTAAGCAAGGAGTTCAGAGGCTCAGTTTTGGTTTTCTACTATTGCTGTGTCTTGTTAGAGTCAACTAATTTTTTTGCGCCTTAGTTTCTTCATCAGAAAAATGATGAAAAGCTTCTGTCTGGAGAAATACTTGGAACTAGGTACCTAGAAATGCTGGATGAAATATACTAAACAACCATTTAATTGTTGAGCTCATAAGAAAGGAAGGGTAAACAAATAGTTGAGCTCATTACGGGCTGGAAAGCAGGTGTTAGCTGAATCTATGGCTGCCCTGTAGGCATCTGCCAATCTTGATAACCAAGAGGTTTGGATTTTAATGGCCACACTGAGGCCTAAGCAAGATGGGGAATTGAACCGAGACCTTACATAAAACCAAAATAATGAAGGGTGCAACTTCCACAGAAACCACATAAAGAGAACGAGGAAATCTTCTCAGCCTGGGCTCTGGGTCAGAATATTACATATTCTCTGAAAATTCATAACCACAGGCTTGTCCCTCAAAGGTCTGGCATTAAATTGATACTACCTGTGCAATTCAGAAAACCTTAGGCCAACAAATTAATCTAATGTGGACTCAGATGGGTAGTGACCTGCAGGGCCTGGCAGAAGTAGATGTAGATTCTCTCTTAGGAACTCACCCTCAACTCAGGTCTTGCAGGATTCCTCCAGATACAGCTGAATAGGAACTTAAAATCCAAAAGTACAAAGTACATGAGGAAATAGGCTCCATGATTGAGAGTCAGCAAAAACAACAGCTGAATTAGACCCTCAAGAATTTGAAATATTGAAATGGATGATGCAGAATAAAATAACCAAGTGTAAAATGTTAGTGAAATAATACGAATATGAAATAAAAACCTGAGAAAGTAATAAGGTACTCTCAAAACACCACATATTTTTTTCTTTCTTTTTCTCTTTTTTGAAAACATTTTAAGTTCAGGGGTCCATGTGCAGGATGTGCAGGTTTATTACATGGGTTTATTACATGACACCATGTGTGTCATGGTGGTTTGCTGCACAGATCATTCCATGACCTAGGTATTAAGCCCAGCATCCACTAGCTCTTCTTCCTGATGCTCTCCCTCCTCCCCCTCCACCCTCTGACAGGCCCCAGCGTGTGTTGCTCTTTCACATGTGTCCATGTGTTCTCATCAAACTAAAGAGCTTCTGCACAGCAAAAGAAACTATCATCAGAACGAACAGACAACCTACAGAATGGAAGAAAATTTTTGCAATCTGTCCATCTGACAAAGGTCTGATATCCAACATTTACAAGGAACTTAGACAAATTTACAAGAAAAAAAAACAAACAACCCCATTAAAAAGTGGGCAAAGGACATGAACAAATACTTCTCAAAAGACATACATTCAACCAACAAACACATGAAAAAAAGCTCAACATCACTGATCATTAGAGAAATGCAAATCAAAACCCCAATGAGATACCATCTCACACCAGTTAGAATGGCTATTAATAAAAAGTCAAAAAACTACAGAAGCTGGCAAGGTTATGGAGAAAAAGGAATGCTTTTACACTGATGGTAGGAGTGTATATTAGTTCAACCATTGTGGAAGACAGTGTGGCAATTCCTCAAAGACCTAGAGGTAGAAATACCATTTGACCCAGCAATCCCATTACTGTGTATATACCCAAAGGAATATAAATCATTCTATTATAAAGATACATGCATGTGTATATTCACTGCAGCACTATTCACAATAGTAAAGACATGTAATCAACCTAAATTTCCATCAATAATAGACTGGATAAAGAAAATATGGTATATACACACCATGGAATACTATGCAGCCATAAAAAGAAACAAGATCATCTCCTTTGCAGGGACATGGGTGGAGCTGGAGGCCATTGTCCTCAGCAAACTAATGCAGGAACAGAGAGATATTTTAAAAACTAAAAATTAAATTTAAAAGCACAGGGTAACAATACATTAGTCAAAACTAAAGAAAGAATTGGGAAACTGGAAGATAACACTCAAGAAATTAACCAAAACAGAAGCAAGGGAAACAAAGTAATGGTAACTGCAAAGAATACTTAAGAGAAATGGAGAATAGAATCACAAATTGATAAATGTCCACTTGGAGTTTAAGAAGATGGTTTTAGAGAAATGCCAGTAAAAATGGCATAGAATTTTTGAGAATAGATGAAAGATAATACTTTTCAAGTTCAGAAAGCACAAGTCCTGAGGAGTATAAATAATAAGAAATTCACACCTACACCCATCAACGAAGCTGCAAAACACCAGACATAAAGACAATATTGAAAGCACCTAGAGGAAAAGGCAGATTATCTATAAAATAAGGATAGTTAAACCAGCAGCAGATTTCTCAACAGCGGCAACAAAAGCCAGACTGTAATGACATGAAGTCTACAAAATGTGTAAAGGAACGATCATCATAGAATTTTACATAGAGAAAATGTATTAGGGTAAAATACATTTTACACAAACTAAAACTGAGTCCATTTACTGCCAGAAGCCACTCAATTAAAGAAATTTGAAGGATGTACTTCAGAAAGAAGGATAATGATTCTAGAAGGAAGGTCTGAGATGTCAGAAAGGAAAATAGACAAAGAAAATGCGAATAAGTAGGTGAATCCAAAGAAACATTGATACTATAAAACAACAATATTAATGTCTAAATTGGGAATGTGAAAAAAGGTTGCCCCAAATTAGTGGGCAACAATATTATGTAAGATGGGAGGAAAGTGATTAGACTGGCAGATACATAAGTCTATTTATATACATATATAAATCAGATAAGATGGAGCCATTCTGATGGAAGTGCAGGCCAGAGACCATGATTCCTACCAGCGGGGTTCACTCCCAGGCTGTGACCTTGAAGCCACAGCACTCTAAAAAATGATCTAGAAACTCGTGTGACTGCATTATATCTGAGAAACCATGTGGTGCTAACATTCTATGTCTGTTATTTTGTTTTAGTAATAATTTATATTTTTATTCTAAAAACCAATTATAAAAAAAACTCATACCATTTTACCTCTTTTTTCATTCTCATATACATACTTTTTTTTTTTTGAGACAGGGTCTCTTTCTGTCACACAGGCTGGAGTGTAGTGGTGTGATCATGGCTCACTGCAGCCTCCACCTCCCCAGGCTCAGGTGATCCTCCCATCTCAGCCTCCCAAGTAGCTGGGACTACAGGCACGCACCACCACACCCAGGTAATTTTTTATTTTTTGTAGAGACAGGGTTTCACCATGTTGCCCAGGCTGTTCTTGATCTCCTGGGCTCAAGCTGTCTGCCCACCTCTGCTTCCCAAAGTGCTAGGATTACAAGCATGAGCCACCACGCCTGGCCTCATATACATACTTCTTCCACTGACTTCAAAGTTGAACAATTTAGTCAAGAAACCTGCAGAAGACCCATATGTGTAGATACTTGGTTAACTAGTAAAGGTGATATCTACGAGCAAGATTCTTTTTTTTGTAAAAATATGACTTAAAAGCCCAATTCTGCTGCCAGGTAAGAACTGTTTTCAGAGGACATCAATACTCTTTATCTTTCAACTGGTTAATACATACTTACACAAGTTAACATGGAACTGAGTGTCAGTATAAGCTATAGTACTATTTTATCATTATTTCTTTTAAACTATGAGTTATACATACTTCCCTTTAAAAATACAGATGCACGTAATAAATGAAACACCCTCCTCAAAGATAACTAATGTTAATACTTGGATTTTTTTTTAAAGAGAGAACTAATTATATAAACACTGATTTGGTATGTTGAAGTGAATTTGGAATATTAAACATCTCTGGACTAAGACAGAGAGCCACATTTGAATTTTCACATAAAATTATTTTAGTTTTAACAAGGAAACATTTACCAATTTAAATTGATTATAGTATTCTATGGCAAGAGTTTCACAGGAACTCAGATTAATATCTTTCTGTTTCATTGCAGTGGGAAAAATAAATACTTCTGCAGTGGCCTTATTTTAATGTTCTGCTTTTCTATTTGCACCAAATATGCTATCAGTGCTCTGATGATAACTATACTATCTTAAACTTGTCTCCTTCTCTGACTGCATCTAGTATACATATTAATTAATAAGTCCCCAAGACATTAAACAAATAATCTATCTTTTGGGTTTTTTTTTATTAGGAGAGGTAACTGCTTTGACAGCTCAGGTTGTCTTTAAAATGAAATGATTTGTTTTCATATATGAAGATCCTAATGCCTGTTTGTGCCAGGTTATCTGAGGGGCAAGGATGGGAACCTCATTGGAAGCATAATGCCACAATACTGGGATAGGCAAAGTCATGTTAAGCCACTAAATCTGTGGTAATTGTTACAGCAGCAGCAATAGGAAACTAATACAGACACTATTCAAAAGACAGTTGTAAAGCTGTCATACTGTGAGCTTTGAATGCGAATTTGCTGCCTTTTCTTACTCTGTTATGATATCATGCACTCGCTCTCCACCAGCAGTACTGCGCACTGGGGTTGCCATTGTTAATCTTGCAATTGTACTTTGCTAACTACAGACGCTCGTCCTTTGGCCTCTTTTTCATTCCCAGCATGTCCAGTGGGTGGCCTGTGATGTCTGGCTGCTAACCTTAAACGATATTTCATCCGATCTAATAAGCACTCAGCTCAGATGGCCGTCTGTGCAAATGCCACAAGGAACAGCTCCCATGGGACCCAGAAGAGTATTCATTTTCCAAAGAGAATTAAAACCTACATTGGTAGCAGATAAAATAAGGACTCCTTAAAATGTAAAGAGCAATGAGGTTATTTCACCCCTTCATTACAATTTTAGGAAAAAGTAAAATTTAAATATTAAGTGATTTGTAGGTGTACTTGACACTTCAAAGAAATAGAACGTCAACTAAGGAAATGCATCCTAACTTCCTTCCCCATCTTCTGTACTCCCCAAATTGGCTACTGACATGGTTTGGATCTGTGTCCCCACCCAAATCGCATGTCCAGTTGTAATCCCCCATGTTGGACGTGGGGCCTGGTGGGAGGCGATTGGGTCATGGGGGTGATTTCTCATGAATAGTTTAGCACCATCGCCTTGATGCTGTACTCACAATAGTGAGTGAGTTCTCTGGAGATCTTGTTGTTTAAAAGTGTGTGCCACCTCCTCCCACCCTTGCTCCTGCTTTCCTGCCATGTGAGATGAGCCTGCTCTCACTTCACCTTCCACCCACTTCACCTTCCGCCATTAAATCTTCCTGAGGTCTCAGCAGATGCTAAGTAGATGCTGAGTAGATGCTGGTGCCATGCTTCCTGTGCAGCCTGCAGAACCCTGAGCCAATTAAACCTCTTTTCTTTGCATATTACCCAGTCCCAGCTATTTCTTTACAACAATGCAAGAATGGACTAATACAGCTGCCCTTTTCCAACTAAGTTTTCCATCCTTCTGCCACTTTTCTGATCTAGCTGCTTTGAAATCACATTTTTTCTCCCTTTGATTTAGTCCTTTAGAAGAGGTTCTCACCAAGTCCTAGTTTTCTCTGCATCCCATCTTTCTCACCATTAACATGTACACATTATGCCTAACACGAATCCACCAATCCCTTGCAGCCACTGGCATGCTCATTGGTCTCTGCCTCCAGACCCTCCCACTTGGCTTCATTCTGTAGAATCTATGCCTCTTCCTGCCTTCATCACCACACCACTCACTCAACACTCTACAGTGGCTTCTAGGTGCTTCAACTTTAAGTATAAATCCCTCTGCCTTGTTTTCAAGGCTTAACCCTACATAGAATGTAGCCTTGTTCCCTATTCCTACTCAACATTTCTTCCCTCTTTCAGACAGCCAGGCGATTTTCACTGGTTCATTAAATTTAGTTTTTTTCTCATGATAACTTGGGAGAAAGGGACAAAGCTAAATAAGATAATGACCCCGTTCTCTTGATCTCGTATCTCCTCTGCTGCCAGGTGAGTATCATGACCCCTTTATCTGACAAGTATGTGGTTTGATGGGGGTGAGGGGGGTGTTGAGAATAGACCAATAAGCTACTCAGCATTTTAAGTGCAATTGTAAATGAGTACTGTGAGAGCACCAACCGGGGCTGACGGATCGATACTTCAGGTGAGGGAAGGGTAGGAAAGACTTTGGAGAGGAGGAGATGATTGAAAGATGAGTTGTCATTTTGAGAAGTGAACATTTTCCAGAACATTCTACAATGAACAATAGACTTTATTAATGCTCACGGAAAAAAATGCAGGATGGTTGCTTTTGGGTGTCTACCTCACTGAGTTAAGGGGTACTCAGATAGCTGGTAAAGCATTATTTATTCTCAATCATTGCATTAATTATTCTCAATGCTTCAGGAGGCCCTGAGCCTGCCACGCTTCTGCTGAAAGTGAAACCCAGATGGTTTTGCTTCTAAATTAGAATGACTGGACTGCCCCGGGTGTGTCTGTGAGGGTGTTTCTGGAAAAGATGGGCATGTGAGTCTGTGGACTGAATGGGGAAAATCTGCCCTCAACGTGGGCAGGCACCATCCAATCAGCTGGGGGCCTGGATGGAACACAGAGGCAGAGGAAGCATGAATTCTCTTTCCTGGAGCCAGGTCGCCCTTCTCCTTCTGCTCTTGGATGTCAGAACTCCAGGATCCCTGGCCTTTGGACTCTGGGACTTGCAACCAGTGGCCCCTGGGCTCTCGGGCCTTCCGCCTTGAACTGAGAGCTACACCATTGGCTTCCACTCTGAGGCCTTCAGACTTGGACTGAGCCATACAGCAGGTTTCCCTGGTTCTCCATCACACATTCAGTCTGTGGTGGGACTTAGCCTTTGTCATCAAGTGAGCCAATTCCCGTAACAAAACCTTTTTTTATATATACTGTCTCTCCATAAATATCCTGTCAGTTCTGTTGCTCTGGAGATCACTGACTAAAACACAATGTAACAAGACATAAGCAAAACTCAGCGACTACCAAGTTCCTCTTGGAGAGAGATTATCCACCTCGCTATGGTTCTATTTTGTACTTAGGAGTGATTACTTTCTCAGCTGGGTTAAGAAAAATTCCAATTTTATCAGGGATTAACCAATCAGCAAACCCATATAGCTCATTCTGCCAGGGTACTCTTGGTTTTATTAAACAATGAGGGCAGAGGAATGTGTTTTCTGGGCTATTGCCAATCATTCTGTAATGCTTCACAATTAGGCAAAGAAATAACTTGCATTTGAAAACAAACTTTTTTCTGTCTGATTCTTCTAGTGATCTATGCCAACCCTATGAGAAATCAAAGTCCGAAAGCTACATGATATTTTGAGGAGCTCTGGGAAGAATACTCCATTTCCCAATAATCTGATCTGTTTCTTAAATTTCACTCTCATTGGTTTCCTTCCCTTTAAAATGAGGATAATAGTAGCACCTCTTCTGAGGATTAAGTGACTGTGAATACGAAAGCAAACTTCCTGTTATGAGGAAGGCACTCAATATACATGGGCTCCCTTCCCTCCTTGGGGTTAAAAGATGTTTAACAACTGTTACATTGCATCTCACTCTGAAACACTAACACATGAAATAGTTGTAAGTCATGTTCACCCTAATCTTGATTAATACCTTAGCCCTCTTCTGACTGACCAATAAGCGAGGATGAGTTTCGGGAGGGTAAAGAGAGGTCAAGATCCTAGCTTGAAAGGGAGGAAAGATGCCATGAGGAAAAGGATTTTCTGGAACCGGGATGTAATGAGCATCTGTGAACAAACCACCTGCCCCCTAGTTTTATACTAATCCCTAGTTCTGAAAAATTCACTACAGACAACATTATAATTTCATGGAGGGTACATGGGAGGCTTATCAAATAACCACCCCTTACTATTGCTGTGCTGGGTATTTTCACATATAGGATCTCAGTTGATTCTAACAACAACCCCACGAGGTAGTACCATTGTCCCTATTTCTACACATGAGGTAAAATGTTTACACATTAGGTCAAAAAAATTATGTGGGCCATTGAAGTTCACACTGCCAGAAAGAAGAGTCAAAAATGGTGACAGCTTCCTTCAGTGCCCACCTGGCCATTGTGGCTGCCTTCTTTTGCTAAGACATGTGACTCTGCAGCCACAAACACTACAAGTCTGGGTCAGAGTTTCTCCGAACTGCCTCCCCACAACCCACCCCTCGGATGTGATGCCAAAGACCTTCCACTCACTTCTAATTGCATACTGATGTTTACCTTCTTTTTCTCAAAGTGCCTCAAATGGCTGTAAAACTTGTGTTTTAATGCCCACAGTGGGATTCTTCCTTTTGTTTCTTTGCAGCAATCTAGCACCATCGCAGCAGACCTGGTGTCAGCCATTATGGGTCAAAACCACTTGTCAGAGAATAAAATAAATGGCAGGAAGGGAAGGCACAGTGGAGTAGGCAGCAAAGGTTGATGAGCAGCCTCCACGAAGGATAGCATAGTAGTGTGCAGACACTAGATGGAAGCATTCCTAGCACCTTCTGCAGGGCCAGCTCACTGGCTGAGTGGAAAAGTGAGCACCCAAAGCTTCCTGTGTAACTTACCTATGGCTGTAGAGAACTTTCACTGGCCTCAGACCAGACGTCCTTAGGGTCAATAACATTTGACAGATAAGCTTCTTCCAAGGAGGAAGAAAGCCTACAGCAGTAGTCTTCAAACCATAGCATGCATCAGAATCACCTACATTGCTTGTTAAAACACTGATTTCCAGCCAGGCATGGTGGCGCACACCTGTAATCCCAGCTACTCAGGAGGCTGAGGTGGGAGGATCACCTGAGCCCAGTTTGAGGCTGCAGTGAGCTATGATTATATCACTGCACTGCAGCCTGGGTGACAGAGCGAGAAACAAAGCAAAACAAAACAAAATACTGATTTCCGAACTCCTCCTGCAGAATTTCTAACTCAATAGATCTGAGGTGGGGGCTCAAGAATTTGT
Organism: Homo sapiens; assembly: GCF_000001405.40. Lineage (NCBI taxonomy): Eukaryota > Metazoa > Chordata > Mammalia > Primates > Hominidae > Homo > Homo sapiens. Next base: position 28,379,824 of record NC_000007.14, on the reverse strand, counting down.
ATTTCTGACAGATTCCAAGTGGTGCTGAAGCTGCTGGTCTGGAACTCTGCTTTGAGAACCATTGACCTAGATCAGTATTCTCAATGTTGGCTGCACATTAGAATCCCTGGAGAGCTTTTTAAAATCTTGATGCCCAACTACATCCAGACCAATTAAATCTGAACCTTTCGGGGCATGTGTAACCCAGGCACCAGGATGTTTAAAGTTTCCAGGTGATTTTCACGTGCATCCAAGATTGGGCACCACTGGCCCTGGATCTGTGAGAGCAGAGCCTTGGCTTTCTCCACAACTCCTGAGAGTTAAGCAGAGGAAGCATCTGACATCTACTTTATCTGATAGAAGAGAACATGTTTATGATTATTAGTAGAAAAGAACTTAGCTGTTCTAGATTTTAAAACAAAATGGATATCTCAAAGACAATAGCTCTCAGAACCTTAAAACACTGAGGGTCAGCAGAACATATTGTGATAAACAAATTGAATTGCTTTGGGAGCGCAATTAGCTTAAATTGGTGGTTAGAACATATGAGTGTAGTAGATAGCGTCTGTATCCAGGCCCCTGTTATCCTGTAACTTTACCCTTTGACTTAATGCATCATTACTCAGCATCACCACTTTGTTACTGAGACTCAGATAATTTAAAAGCATGTTATTTTTCATTTTCAATCCAATATAAATTTAATTTTTCAACCACACCTTTATCAAGACAATTGTTCCAATTTTCAGAAAGCCATGAAAGTATGAGGGAAAGTAGATGCCAGAAACTGTGGCCTAGAGAGATTTATGTCAAACCTCTAGTAACATTGGACTTAACTATTTTAAGGACAGTGATCACTGGGAGCCAGCACAGGTTCCTCAAATAAGTCTTTCACCAAGCCAGTCACATTTCCTTCTTTGACAGGCTTACGGGTCAGGAAGATTGGGGGAATGCCATAGACAAAAATATATCTTCATTTCAGCAACGAATTTGACATCCGCTGGACAAGTTGAAGACACAAATGCCAGTAGAGTTGAGTAGATTTGTAGCTGGTTGAACAACTCTACCCAAGGAATGTTGACTACTTGATGAATCATTGCCTATCCAAAGGGCAATCACTATGGCAGACTCCCAAGTGCTATCTATGGTTTATGCAGTCTAAAATTTCAATTAGTGATGGATGAACACACAAAAGACATGCTTATCAAAATTGCAGGTGTGACAAAGCCAGGACAGAAGCCTAATTCATTAAATGTCAGATAAACCAAGAGAGGCAAAAGGTATCAATAAGCTAAAATAGAAGGGTAACAGGAACAGGTATAGACTTAAGAGGAATAAACATAAAATCATCCATTTAAAAAATTAAATGCAAACATATGGGAGACTAAAATTAAAAAGAGTTTTTTTTTATACTTTAAGTTTTAGGGTACATATGTACAACGTGTAGTTTTGTTACATATGTATACATGTGCCATGTTGGTGTGCTGCACCCATTAACTCGTCATTTAACATTAGGTATAATTAAAAAGAGTTTTGTGAGAAAAAAAAAAATCCCAGGAGTTGAAAGTGACTGTAGCCGCAATACAATCTAATAGGTCTTAACTTTTAAAAGCCTCAGATCTCTTTGAAAACCTAAGAGAGCTAAAGACTAACTTACAGACAAATGCCCATAGCTGTAAAATTTTGTTTACAATTTCAGGTGGATCATGGAAACCTGGAGCCCATCTATGACCAACCAGTGTTCACTAACCCTAAGTTAAGGAGCCTTGAATGGTATAATTGTGCCACTATACAAATTATAGCAAACCAGCTGTTTTAACAAAAGTGTAATATTAAAACAAGAGAGATAATAGCCCTAAAGGGCATGGTCCATCTTTTTTTTTCTTTTTCTTTTTCTTTTTTGTTTTTTTTTTTTTTGAGATAGAGTCTCGCTCTGTCTCCCAGGCTGGAGTGCAGTAGCGCGATCTTGGCTCACTGCAAGCTCCGCCTCTCGGGTTCACGCCTTTCTCCTGCCTCAGCCTCCCGAGTAGCTGGGACTACAGGAGCCCGCCACCACGCCCAGCTAATTTTTTTTTGTATTTTTAGTAGAGACGGGGGTTTCACCGTGTTAGCCAGGATACCTGGCAGGGCATGGTACATCTTAATTCTAATCTTCAGCTTACGGTATTCAGCTCAATGTAGAGACTGAAAAGCTAGAACACATTTAATGATGAAGGAAATTATGTTAAATAAATAACATTGAAAAGAACCTGAGAAGTCTACCCTTTAAAAATGTTTGAGGGAAAAACGATAGCAGTCTTTCAAAAATCTGAAGGCTGCATTTTAAAGAGGGTAAAGACTTATATTCTATAGTAGTGCTATCTAGTAGGAATATAATGCCAGCCACATGCGCAATTTAAAATTTTCTAGTTACTATATTGAAAAGTAAAAACAAACAGATGAAATTAATTTTAATAATATATTATATTTAACCCAATATATCAAAAATATTATCACTTCAACATATAATCAGTATAAAGTTTTTTCATACTGAGTTTTTGAAATCTTGTGTGTATTTTCCTCTTACAAAATATTTCAATTAGGATTTGCCACATTTCAAGTACTCAATACAGCCACATGTGGCTGGTGGCTACCATATTGGACAATACAACTCTGTAGCTCCCCAGAGCAAAAGAGAGCCAATTCCTATATGTTAGGAAGGGATACCTTTCTAATAGAAGTGTCTAAAATGAAAGAAGACCCCTTGTAGAGTAAAAATGCCTGTCATCGGATATGTTCTAATTCAGACTGGGAGATCATGAGTCAAGGGTTACTAAGGCATTGCCACAGAGGGCATGGGCTGGGATGGATAATCCGGTAGTTAATTCTCACTCTAAGCCTATAATTGTATGATTGGGAATAGAAATTGTTTGAATCATCAACTTCATAACATTCTGGGACAAGTGGCCAGCCAACCTTTTCTAAGAAGATCTTGCCAACCTAGTTATGTAAATACATGGCAGGTCTCAGCAACAGAGCCAATTTGCCCCAGCTTCTTCTGTTGTGGAGCCCAGCCCAAGCTATCCAAGAAGACAGCTCATATTATTGGCTCAGGCTCTGATATGAGGCTGAAGGGAGACTATTATCACAACACTGAGCTAAGGTGAGTCTGGAAATAACCCACATAGAACATGTGTCTAACATACGCACTTAACTGCTTCACTCATCCAACCACCTCACCTTTGGCTTCAGTTCTGCATTAAATTCATTAACATGTTGAGAACATAAAGGTACTTCTCTGGCCAGGTGCGGTGGCTCGTGCCTGTAATACCAACACTTTGGGAAGCTGAGGCAGGTGGATCACCTGAGGTCAGGAGTTTAAAACCAGCCTGGCCAACATGGCGAAACTTCGTCTCTACTAAAAATACAAAACATTAGCTGGGTGTGGCAGCACACACCCGTAGTCCCAGCTACTCAGGAGGCTGAGGCAGGAGAATCGCTTGAACCCAGGAGGTGAAGGTTGCAATGAGATGAGATCGCACCACTGCACTGCCTGGGTGACAGAGCAAGACTCCGTCTCAAAAAAAAAAAAAAAAAAGTACTTCTCTGGAAGAACTCCTGAAAGTGCTATTCAAAAAGGAAAGCAGTCCACAAAGGAAGACCATTTGCTTGTGTGACATTAACCAAGTCACAGTCCCAGGCCTCACCATCTGCAGCAGCTGATGATTGGCACCAGCATACAGTCAGCCTGACCAAAATTGAATAAACAATCAGTCTGATGAGCCAGCCTCTTATAATCCACATGCAACAGCAGTTGGGAGAAGCTGGAAGGGGCATGGTGGGAGACAAGATGGCCTCTGGAGGCCAACTGCGTGAGTTCAAGCTCCACTCATGCCTCTCACTAATTATGTGACCTTAGACAAGTTATTTAACTTCTTTGTGCCTCAGTTTTCCCATCTGTAAAATGGGAGTAATGATAGTACTTACCTCAGAGTTGTGAGGATTAAAGCAAATAACCCATGTGAAACACTTATTACAGATTAAACATTGTCTCTTTTCTTATTGTCAGTTGAAAAATCCCTGGTCTAGGAACATTCCAGGCCTCCATATTTGCTTTTTTTTTTTTTTCAATAACAGAAGTGGTCCATTTTGAACAGTACTCACTTCCAGATCAGAACAGCTGTATCTTTGTTGACAGCTGCACGGACAACCCATCTCAAAACTTAAACTATTTTCATGATGCCCTGAAGAAATCTGTTTTTTTTTCCTTTTTTCTTTTTATTTATTTATAATCACATCATGAAAAATGGGGTACCCATCCCCTCAAGCATTTATCCTTTGTGTTACAAGCAATCCAATGATACTCTTTTAGTTATTTTAAAATGTACAATTAAATTATTATTGACTATAGTCACCCTGTTGTGCTATCAAATACTAAGCCTTATTCATTCTTTCTAATTTTTTGTACCCATTAACCATTCCTGCCCCCAACCCCCACTACCACTCCCGGCCTCTGGTAACCATCCTTCTACTCTCTGTCTCCATGGGTTCAATTGTTTTGATTATTAGATCCCACAAATAAGTGAGAACGTGCAATGTTTGTCTTTCTGTGCCTGGCTTATTTCAAGAAATAATGTTGAAGGTAGATTTCCCATAACCAAACAGAACAAAATCTTAGATGTCCCAAACTTTTTTTTCTAAGGAGGTCTTAGGTAATTTTGGATTTAATTTTTTACAGCTTTATGGAGGTATGCTTTACATACCATAAAATTCACCCCTTTTGAGTTCAACGAGTTTTAGTAACACAATCCAGTTTTAAACCATTTCCATTACCTCCTGCTACTGCCCACATATAACTTCACAGTCTTCTGCTTCCTGGGGCAGAAGAGAGCCAACTGATAGATGTCAATGAGGGAAGAACTTTCTAACAGAATGTCCAAATATAGAATGAGTTCCCTTGTAGAGGGAAGAGCTCTCTGTTATTGTGCATGGTTTCACTGACACTGAGTGACCTCCTATCAAGGGCTACCTGGGCATGAGGTGAACCTGGGATGGATATTCCCAAAGGGATGAGCCTGGGATGCATAATCCCAAAGGCCTATTTCGCTCTGAGGCTATAATACTATGACTGACGAGTTGGGAACTGAAATTGTTTCAAACAGCGAACACCCACTCACACCCCCAGCTCCAGGCAACCAAACGCTGTCCTTATAGATACACCTTTTCTAGAAATTTCATACCAATGGAATCATACAAATGGAATCATATGTAGTCTTATGCACCTGGCTTCCCTCACTTATCGCAATATTTTTGAAGTTCATCCACATTGTTTCATGTATCAGTAGTTTGTTCTTATTTTTATCCTTGCTGAGTTATTCCATTGTATGAATATACCACATTTTTGTTTATCCACTTACTTGTTAATAAATGTTTGGTTTGTTTTCAGTTTGGGGCTATTATTAATTATACCACGGTGAACATTTGCATACAAGTATTTGTGTGGAAATATGTTTGGAATGAAGTTGCTAGGTCATACTGTAAATGTATGTTTAATTTTTGGAGAAACAGCCAAACTTCTCCATTGCACCATTTTACATTCCCACCAGCAATGTAGGAGGGTTCCCATTTCTGTGCGTCATCTCTAGCACTAGGTATTGTCAGTCTGTTTGATTTTAGCCATGCCAGTGGGTGTGTAGTGGTATCTCCTTGTAGTTTTAATTTGCATTTTCTGGATGACTAATAATGTAAAGCACTTTTTATATGCTTATTTGCCATCTGTATGTCTTCTTTAATTAAGCATTTATTCAAATCCATTGAAGCTCGGGCTTTTAAGAAAAAAGGCTGACCAGTGGTAACCTTGGTAACTTCTAATTTCCCCGTTTCACTTAAGGTACTGGTGTGTCCCTGCCGGGCATAAAAGTGTTTATAAAACTAGAAAGTTATACATATATATATATATATATATGGATGCAGAAACAAGTGTTGGATAGAGTTTGGTTCACTGGCGGCATTTTATGAATATTAACCACACTTATTTTTTAAGTGCTTTCATTTTTCCTGAATATATGTATATGAATACGTATGTGGAATACATTCATTACAGAAAATTTAGAAAATATGTAACAGTATTAAGAGGAAAATTTAGGCTGGACACGGTGGTTCACACCTGTAATCCCAGTACTTTGGGAGGCCAAGGCAGGTGGATTGCTTGAGCCCAGGAGTTGGAGACCAGCCTGGGTAACATGGTGAAATCTCATCTCTACCAAAAAGAAAAAAAAATTAGCTGGGCATGGTAGCATGTGCCTATGGTCCCAGTTACTTGGAAGGCTTAAGACCCAGAGGCAGAGGTTGCAGTGAGCCAAGGTCGCGCTACTGCACTTCAGCCTGGGCAACAGAGTGAGACTCTGTCTCAAAAAAAAAAAAAGAAAAAAGAAAAAAAGAAAAAGAAGAAAATTAAAGACCACATATCCTACTACCACTTTTTAACATTTTGTCACTTCTGTACATGTTTTAACTTAATGTGTACCATTTAAAAAACCAAACAAACAGCAATTTCTAATATACTTCTCAATTACAATATAACAAAGAGCAACTTACTGAAATCTCTGAAATCTCTGTGCCTTTTTGTCAATCCTGACCGTCATGGGAGGGACATGCCCCTACTCTTCTGATGTCCAGTCAGGAGGGACATCACAAGTCTGAATTTACTCCATGAGAGGGGATAGAACGCAGGTCTTATGCTAGGACTTAGTCGCAGATAAAAGCCTATTAGAGCTGGAGTCCAGACGCTGCATTTAACAGGTGAGGAAACCGAGGCCCAGAGAACCAGACTGACTTTCCTGTGACTACTCAGCAAAACAGAGCCAGGCAGGAGCCAGAGCGGTGTGTCCTTACCCCAAATAAACACCATCCCCGCCGCACCACACTGCTAATGCAGCATGACAAAGCCGTACACATTCTAGCTATCCGGAGCCCAAGTTCTGCTAGGCAGCTCTATATTTTAAGATCAAAATTAAATGTTTTAATACAATTTTTAAGAGAGTTGCATGGTCCTCAGTTTGATAATAGGAAAGTCATTTATTCCACAAAGAGCACTTTATAAGGCTGTCTTTCCAAAGAAAAAGCTGAAAAGAATTATCTTTGCCATGTGCAAAATATCTACTTAATTAACATGAACACTCATATTACTAGGCAATTAAAATGATTTATTCAAAGAGCTTTATAGTCATGCCTTAATACCAATCTATAATAAACTGGAGAAATAAGAGCAATAACACTATCGTCCCAGTTAAATATAAGCATCATAAATAATATTTACACCTTTATGCAATTCATATATCCTTCTCAAATAATACGATTGTAATGTGGAGCTTTTGCTTTTCAGTGAGATAAAATATATTGCTGAGCTTTATTTTGCTTTTTACCAGGCTAACACACAAGGAAGGACTTTTCCTGGTCTATTTTGGACTCTTTGTCTCCTTGAGGAATAAATAATTTTAAAATTACCAGGACGTCTCCATTATTACTTGGCCACTCCTTCTAGGGGAAACCCTCCCCAAATTCAGGAAAACAAAATAACTCACTCCCAGTCCCTGGTTCTCACCCTTTTATATTACTTGCTGCATTTTACTATAATTTATTTGCCATTTATTAGTAATGTATGTATCTGCCTCCCTCTTTAAATCATCAATCAATCTGCCTTTCTTGAGGGCAGAGAGTTGCCGTGAGAATTAACTAATTGTATATACGCCAGCCCAGCGCCTGGCACAGAGCTAGTGTGACCTGATGTTCCCCACTGCTAACAGCATCTTTATTTTCGACTTTGTTCTGGGCTCGATACTCCCCAGAACAGAGCCTGGCACACTCAAAAATAGACAGACACGTAGGTCCTTTGAATAACTGATATCTTAACCCTCTAAGTCCTGGGCCATTCAAATGGTACAGGTTGGGGTGAAGTCTTCCTGCCTTCTTAAGCAGATTTTACTTAACCATGATTGGGAGCGTGGTGTCTACCAGGCCAGTCACAAGCGCTCAGGTGGCAAAGACAGCCTGCCCTCGGGGCTCCCACTGGAGACTACTGGAGGACACGCATAAGCAACGGCGTCTTAGAATAAGTGCAGTGAGCAACCTGCAGAGGGGACAAAGGGGCGGGACTTCCAACTCCATCTGGAGGACCAAAAGAGGGAGGCATTTCAACCTGGCAGCCTCCGTCCTGGATGTAGAAGCAGGGCTGCCTGAGAAGGCCAGATACTAAAGGACTGCTGGGGCCATGGTGGTGCTGCCCGCAGGGCTTTCCAGGGCTGAAGACCTGTTCCAGCTCAGGCCTGGCCTCCCCACCTCCCAATTTTCCCTGAATCTTTTTTTTTTTTTTTTTTTTTGAGATGGAGTAGTCTCACTCTGTCTCCCAGACTGGAGTGCAGTGTCGCGATCTTGGCTCACTGCAACCTCCACCTCCTGGGTGCAAGCTATTCTCCTGCCTCAACCTCCCGAGTAGTTGGGATTACAGGTGCCTGCCACCATGCCCAGCTTTTATTTTTATTTATTTACTTTTTTTTGTATTTTTAGTAGAGATGGGCTTTCACCATGTTGGCCATGATGGTCTCCATCTCTTGACCTTGTGATCCTCCCACCTCGGCCTCCCAAAGTGCTGGGATTACAGGCGTGAGCCACCATGCCCATCCTCCCTGAATCTTCTGCTGCTGCCCGGTCTCTTTACCTCTTCTGGTTTCCCCCAGCTGTCGCTGTCTGCCACTTTCTGAACCTTTCCACTCCTGCTTTCCTTTGCTCATCCTTACTTGCTGTCTCCTGTCATTTATTTTTTCGCTTCTTGGCTTTGGCTCAATCCTTTGAAGGAAAATACTTCTTTCCTTCAGTCTAGGGAAGAACTCATTCCCAGGCCTCAAAGTTACCTTGCAGTGGTGGCTTCCTCAGAGGTTTTGGTTTGCATTTTTACTGCTGCTTCCTGCACAAAATGCCTCTCCTTGCCACCAGAAATGTGCTCATTTTTCTGATTTCTTGGGTTGGCAATGTTTGAAGTGCCAAAGTGCAATCTTTGAATAATTAAAGCCTTATGTAGGCAGCTCTGGGGAACTTTCTACTGCTAATAAATCCTATGAAATTCTGTTACTGCAACTCCCTCAAATAGTTCCCAGAAGTCACTGGAGCTACAGTGCGTATGTGTTCACGTGCGTACATTTTCTGCAGTGTCTGTATACTTTATATCATTTACAAAGTGCTTCTACCTTATTTATTATTATTTAAGTATAAAATATATTTTCCCCAAAAGTAATTTCTTTAAAACACAATACACATAACTCAAACACAATTTTCCCTATTTCTACATATTTAAAGAGGCTCACACTTTTGTGCAATATCTTAATGCATTTACTTTCAATTCTTGAATGAACCAGAACGTCACTTTTATCCTCCCAAACACCTCACCTTTATGAGGTGTTTTATAATTACCAAGCTCTTTCACATACAAGATTTCATTTACTTCACTCAGCAACTCTGTATTTTCTCACTTTACAAATGACAAAATGAGGCAGAGAGATGTTGAGTATTTCTTCCCAGAACTCACAGCTCAGCAGTGAGTGGTAGAGGCCTGGCTTCAGGATACCTGAAGCTGAGGCTAGGGCACGTCCTACCGTGGCCTTACAGATAGAAAGGCCTGAGCGTTTAAATTCTAGAGCCTCTCCTATTTCCACTAATGAGAAATGTAAATACTTACCCTTCCCATTCTTTCTTCTTTTAATAATAGGTGGCTGTTCTTATCAACATTAAACTAATGCAAAGACATTATAGTAATTCTCACTTCTAGCTATGGGTTTTACTATGAGCAGATAAGTACAACTAACAGACAGCATTACTAGGGAAAAAAAAGTAGCTGCTAGGGTTTTCTAGTGGAACAAGAGGTGATAACCACGGCCCTATTCAGGTTCCACAGAAGCAGAACATGAGCCAGGGATTCACGTACCCATGATTTATTGAAGCATTGCTCCTAGGAGAAAGTAATATGAAGTGAAGCAATCAGAATAGAGAAGGGGAAGGAGGTGGTGTCTGGTGAAGATTAGATTTAGCCTGAACTCACAGGAAGACTTGCAGACATAGAAGTCCTGGTCTCCTGTTGCAGGACTCCCCAGGGTCTGCCCTGCCTTGAGGCAAGCGAACAGGATTTTATCACCCTATCCTAGTCTGCCACTGGCCATTGGACAAAGCAGTAAAAGGAATCTCAGGGGAATCGGATGGGGTGATAACAGCATCTACCACAACTACGGTTAGTTGAATGCCTACTATGTGTCAATCACTTGCCTATATTATTTCCAATTCTTACAACAATCCTAGAAGTTATCTCCATTTTACATATGAGGAAACTGGGATGTAAAGAATGATGTGACTTGCCCACAATGTCCGTAGAGCTGGACACTGACAGCTCAGGGGTTAAATCCTTGAAAAGCCTCTTTTGACTCCAGAACCCATGATCATTCCCTGTTCTGTGATACCAGCTCCAATTCCACGTCATTGCTCAGTAGTGAGGTGAGCTGCAAGTGGTTACCCAAGCCTGCATTACTAATGTATTCTTCCCTGGAAATACCACTGGCCATGCTCCTGTGCTTAAATAAAACTGTAGCAAACAGTAAAAATTTCTGCGTCTATTCAACAACTACATATTGAGCACCTACTACTACATGTTTGACTCATTTTTAGCATTGGGTATACAGAGATAAATAACACAGGAAAGATCTCTGCTTTTGTGCAGTTTACATACATAACAACAGATATAATCAATTTATTTTGTTTGTTTGTTTGTTTGTTTTGTTTTTTTGAGGCAAGGTCTCACTCTGTTGCCCAGCTGGAGTGCAGTGGCACCAACCCAGCTCACTGTAGCCTTGACCTCCCAGGGTCAAGCGATCCTCCCACAACAGCCTTCCAAGTAGCTGGGACTACAGGTGTGCACTACCATGCCCAGCTAATTTTTCACTTTTTGTAGAAAGAGGTTCTTGCCATGTTGCCCAGGCTGGTCTCAAACTCCTGGGTTCAAGCAATCCTCCTGCTCCAGCCTCCCAAAATGCTGGGATTACAGGCGTGGGCCACTTGGCCCAACCAATATAATCAATTTCTAGTAGAATATTTGCTATTTAAAAATATAGGGTAATGAGCTAGCATGTGGTCAGGGAGGATTTCTAAAAGGGGATGTTATGTGAGCTGAGGTATAAGGAAAGAAAATGAGGTAGCAATGGGACCATCTGAGGGAAGAAATTTCTAGGCTCAGCGCACAGCAAGAACAAGGCCCTGAGTAAAAAGCAAGCTTGCCATGTTTAGGAACAAGGAGAGGGTCCATGTGATTGGAGTTCTGTTAGCAAGACAGCAAGACAAACATGAAAGTGGAATCAGAAAGGTAGGCAGGGCCCAGACCACAGAGCACTTCAGACCCAGATATAAAATCAGAATATTTTTCTTTTTTCTATATTAATTAATTTATTTTTGTTTCAATAGCTTTAGGGGTACAGGTGGTTTTTGGTTACATGGATGAATTGTATAGCGTTGAAATTTGGGCTTTCCATGTACTTGTCACCCGAATACTGTACATTGTACTCAGTAGGTAATTTTCATTCCTCACCTCCCCTTCCAAGGCTCCAATGTCCATTATACCACTCTGTATGCCCCTGCACATCCATAGCTTAGCCCCCACTTATAAGTGAGAACATGCGGTATTTGGTTTTCCATTCCTGAGTTTCTTCACTTAAGATAATGGCCTCCAGTTCCATCCTGTAATTATTTTTTGTATAGTGTTTTAGCCAGTGGAGTAACATGATCCAACTGACAATATGAAAAGACACTTTGGCTGCTTTATGGAGCATAGATCATTGGTGGGGTATGGCAGAATGAAAGCAGGGAGGTCAGTAGGAAGCATCAAGTCCTCCAGGCAAGCCATGATGGTGGCATCTTAGTCTAGGGAGGGAGCAGGGAAGGTGACGAAGAGAAGTGGATGGATCCAGAATATGTTTTGTGTTTCTTTGTTGTTTTTTGTTTGTTTGTTTGTTTGTCTGTTTGTTTGTTTTGAAATGGAGTCTTGCTCTGTCACCCAGGCTGGAGTACAGTGGCTGGATCTCAGCTCACTGCAAATTCTGCCTCCCGGGTTCAAGCAATTCTCCTGCCTCAGCCTCCCGAGTAGCTGGGATTACAGGCATGCGCTGCCACGCCTGGCTAATTTTTGTATTTTTAGTAGAGACAGGGTTTCACCATGTTGGTCAGGCTGGTCTCAAACTCCTGACCTCGTGATCCACCCGCCTCGGCTTCCCAAAGTGCTGGGATTACAGGTATGAGCTACCGTGCCCGGCCTAGGCTATGTTTTAAAGGTAGCACTGATGGAGCTTGCTGTAGGAAGTGATGAAAAAGAGAAATCAAGAATAACTCCTAGGTTTTTTCATTTCACAACTGAAAGAATGATGGTACCATTTTCTCAGATGTGGGAGATTGTGGAGGAACAGGTTGGTTGGATGTGGTGCCGGAGAATCATGACTTCTCTTTTAGACATGAGCAGTGTGGGATGCCAATTGGGCCTTCACACTGGGCAACTGAGCTTGAGGTTGTATGTACGACTCTGAGCTTGCAGGAAGACCATTAACCTATGGCCAGTAGTTGAAGCATTGGGACTGATGAAGAGATGGCCAAAAAGGAGATGGATGGGGACCCAGGAATGATACCCATTTTGCTCAACACTTAGGGATAAACAGGGAAGAAATCGCCAGCAAAGGAACTCACAAGGAAAGCTATGGAGTTAAGAGAAAAACCAGGGGTCTTAAGAGTATGCCGAAAATTTCCAAGGGGAATATATGCACAGATAGTTTTAAGGAGAGCGATTTTCAGATCTTCAACTTCTTATGTACTCTCTCCAAACCCTTTCAGCCTCAGAATGTACCTAATAAAATAAAGATGTTCTCCATCCCAACTTCCTTTCATGATTACCCCTCTACAACTTGCATCTGTCCCAAATCTTACTATATTGCAGTGTCCAACAGTGTAAAACATCCTAGACATGAAAAGAAAACCATTAGAAATACTGGTGTCAGTTTGATGAAGTTAATAACTGTAATAGCTAGGTAACGAATATTGGACATCACCTGACTTACACAAGGATTTGCAGAAGGATGTCCAATGTTTTGCTTTCCAGAAAATTGGAGGAGAACTTAACTGAGTTGAAAGTTGGTAGTTAAGAGCTAGATCATTAGAAAACTTTTTTTGTGATAAATTACTCTGATTTTGGATGTATAACTCAAAAGGAATTCAAAGAATTGGATAGCACTTCTATGATCAAGTTTCTATCTACTTATGTATATAAACAGTATTTCTCAGAGCTGACATCTTTTAAAAAGACAAAATATGGAGAGGATTAATGCTGAACTCTGTCTCACAATAACAATAAGTAGTAGTATCCTCACATACACAAGTTAAATGGGTGGGGAAAAACATCCTAGCCATGTCCTAAGAATCTATGTTTACAATACAGTTTTCTTTTAGAGTAATGCTTTTTCATCAAAATTTGTAATCTATAATGTTTATGTTATTTTGATCAAGTGTATAAATAATTAAATAACTACAATAATAACTAAATCTAAAAAAGTTTTGACTTACAGAGCCTTATAGGAAATTTTTCAAGTTCTAACTTCAATTTATATAATCAGTTGCAGAGAAGTTGGTGGAGTGATAAAATATATTGGGAAAATTTTTTGCGGGTGAAGTTGAGTGAAAATATAAATTTAAGGAAAAAGGAAACAATGTAAAATTTCTGTTAAAGAAGGCTGTGTATTTTCTACACGAATTATGGTATCAAATTTCTATGGTGTTTAGATTTCACTGGGCACATTTAAAAAGAACCATATAACAGTTTTAAGATGTCAATATTTGTAACATACTGGAAATTCTATCCCTAGCAACTATTTAAACTTATGATGAACAATATAGATGTCAATTCTAAAAATGTGTAATGGTCTACAAAATTTTACAAAATTTTTATAGGTGCTATATGAGTAAAAATGTTGAAAACAACACAAGTAAGCCAAAAGAAAAAAAAATATTTTAAAGAGGGAGCGTTTGGCTGCGTTGGATGTTGCTGAGAGGTAAAATGGGAATGCATTTGGATTGGCAACAGACAGGTCATGGGCGACCTAGAGGAGCGCAGTTTCTGTAGAGTGGGTGAAGGGGCCAGATGCCCAGTTGGAATCTGTTGAAGAGAGAATGGGAGGTGAAGAAGTAGGGACTGCAAGTAAGAACAACTTTCAATAAATGTTGCCATGAAGGAGAGCAGAGAAAGGGGGTGGGAGCCAGAGGAGTAGATGGGATCAAGAGAAGGGAGATAAAGATATCACAATGCCTTTGTTTGCTGATGGGAAGAGTTCAATAGAGATGGAAAAACTGATAATGCATTGAGGAAAGGGGATAATTCCGGGAGGAAAGGTGATAATTCCGGGAGCAAAGGTGAGGGTGTGGGATCCAAAGCACAAGTGAAGGATGAACATACCTTCCATTGTAGTAAGAAGGAAGGTGTGTGATGTATGGGTATAGACGCCAGTACCATTGTGTTCATTGAAAACAAGGAAAATGAATAGTGGAAAATGTTGTAGGGGTAAGGAATTGGCCATCTTGATATGGTCCAAAAAATTATTGCAATGACATTAATAGAGTAAACGAGATGGAAGAATAGAAAGGACCAGAGAGACGAATGTTTGAGACTGTTATTCTAGAGGAGATGCAATTCGTGGTTTGGTCAAGGAAATTGATGGTGAGGTGGAATGGAGGGAAAAGTAATTAGAGGTGATAAAGCTAAGGAGCTGAGATTCAGGGTGTTGAATGGTGTCACCAAGTTGGTGTCACCAAGAATAATAACAGGAGTAGAATGAAAAAGACCATGAACCAGGTACCAGTCTCATAAATAAAGGGGCATCACTGGGAGGCTAGTAGAAGAGGGCTATAAAAGAATGTTGGGTGAAATAGTAAGATGCCATGTGCTTTAGAAGAGTTGTGATTTCTGAAAGATGAAGGAAGACAGATAGTTTCTAGCAGATGACAGGTAGCCAGGAGGACAGCTATTCTACCTCTATGATCTGAGGCATAAGGAGCATAAGAGAAAAG
This sequence comes from Homo sapiens, assembly GCF_000001405.40. Taxonomy (NCBI): domain Eukaryota; kingdom Metazoa; phylum Chordata; class Mammalia; order Primates; family Hominidae; genus Homo; species Homo sapiens. Next base: position 28,364,737 of record NC_000007.14, on the reverse strand, counting down.
GCAGCTGCCACTTTAGACAAATATTGGCAAGGTAGGTGCAGATGGAGCAAGAGGGTCAAGATCAGTTCAGAGAGGAGCCTGAGGATAGGAGAGGGTTTGCTGATGACAGACTGAGAGTGCCAGCATGCATAATGGAAGAACACTGGAGGGGGTCTGGAGCATGATGGAGGGCCCAGGAGGCTTGAGCTTCTGTTGGTGATGTCAGTAATGAAGGAATTTGCCTGTTGGCCTCTACAAGGGAGATGCACTCTCAGTGCATTCTAAAGTCCTGAGGATTTAGCTAGAAGATACATGTTGTTGACACTCAACGTTTTTGTTTTACACTGATAGAAAAAGCAATAGATGTTGAGGAATTGGTCAAAGAGCAACTGTACTTAAGAACTGTCTCTTCATAACTTTCCTCAAAGAGCTAGAGTTTTTTCTTAATGTTCCTGCAATTTGGGTATGTCACCACCAGGGAGCAGTTGTGCAAAAATCATATGATCTTAAGGCTGGCATTTTCTCGTTTATTCCAGGGATCTTTCTGCCCAAGCTTCTGAAGATTTCCGGCAAAAAGTTTTTAACACCCAATTGAAGAAACATAAATTCATTGTGAGATAAACTGAAAACACCAAACATTAAGCCATTCACAGGTAAGACTTGAGATGAAATTTTAGAGAAATAAGCAATTAGGTAAATGTTTACTTATCCATTTCAACTAACTAAAACTTCAGTTGTAAGCCTAATTTGGCTCATAGATTTTAACTAGAATGTACCTTTACTACAAACACTGCTCTTGTAAATATGGGGTTAAAACTTCCTTGTGCATGTTAACTCAACTCAGAAATAATGCATATCAATGGAATATGATACATTAATATTTGAGACCAATGACAATTCTCCCCTCAAATTCTGGTATTATTCTCTCCATTTCACAGATGAGAACAAAGGGTTTCAGAGAGATTAAGTAGCATTCTGGAGTCCCCTAGCTAGGTAATGGGAAGCCAAGATTCGAGCTCAGCTCTGCTGCCCTCCAAAAATCTATCCTTCTTCTTCAATGGCACAGTGCTACTCTATGTGGGGCACTGTACTGTGAATAAGGAGGATACAAAAATGAGTATGATGTAGTTCTCACCCTCAAGGTGTTTATTATCTAGTAAGGGATTCAGACCCACAGTAAGTTCTGTAAGGAAGTTCAAACCCATTCTCGGTGGATGAGATCAAAGCTAATTAGAAGATCAGGAAAGACTACATGGAAGAGAGGCTGCTTGAGATGGTCTTCGAAGAATGGACAAGAAGGCAGCAGGTTGACAAGGGAAGATACATTCACAGCCACATTCACAGCCATGAGGCTCAGTCCTGAAGCAGCAGTCACACTCCATTCAGGGTCAGCATCCCAAAATTAGGTCATCCTAGCCAATTTCCTTTGCTTGCATTTAGCCCGATCAAAGGAAAATTATGTGCTTGCCTTCTTCATGGGTCAGGACCAAGAACACCTGCTTCGTGTTGCCATGTTAGGGAAAGACAGGGGAAGAAAAGTGAAGAGAGTTAGTTGTCCCCAGGATGTCACTAATAATGAGATGACCAAACTCTCTCCAGTCATAAATATCCTCCTGAAATATTTGGCTGCTCTACTAATGTCATCCATAATTCTTTCCTTTTTTAAATGGACCCAAAGTGATACACAATGGCTGCTTCTAGTGCTTAGTTGAGCTTATACTTAGCACAATCTTAACTTAGAAAATGCTTTCTCCCCCTAGTGTTAGATATTATAAAATCCTTCCCCATAACATAGCCCTTCAAATACATTTAAAACCCTGTGCACACATGGTCTCATTTAGTCATAAAAACAACCAGCTAGAATAATTACTATTATCATTCCCACTTTCCAGATGAGAAAACTGAGCCTCAGGGGTGTCAAACTTTTAACCAGCTTCATCAGAGACTTAATGATTTTATTTAAAAATATTTGCTAAGCTTGTTTTTCCGATTTTCATGTGTGTGTACCTCTACCCAAGGACGATGAGGATGGTAACTACTGCTACAGGCATGTATAAACACATAATTTGATTTTACAAATACCTATTAATTACAGCTCATACAATTCAATCTAAACTTGGAAAACTGCTAGTGTTATCTATTGAGAATTAGTGACAAAATCAAGAATTGCAATTCTATTTCTTATTTCTGTTCCAAATATTGTCTTTCGTGCCTTTGAAAAATAAAAGCTGTTTAAATCTCTCATGCACTTGAGTTTCACAGGTATATATTTATAAAGAGAAAAGGCATATGCACAATCTATTTTGCAAACTTAAAAATGACTAAAATATTTTAAGCCACTAAACACATGTGATTTCTTACTATTTTTTTCAAAACAGGAAGTGAAGCTTATCAGATTTTTCTTTTTCTAACAGTCATACTTCAGGTCCAGAGAAACAACCTAAATTAAAAATAAGTATTAATTAATTTGTTAATTTCTCTTTTTTGTGCTTATCACTAGCCAGTGCCATTGCTTGGCTGGACTATTCCCAGATGGACACAAAATGTAAGTTTCCATTCTATACAGATATTAAAATAGGGTTTGGCAAACACTAAAGGTAAAATGGGATGAAAAAAGATAGCTTCAAATGTATATTTTACAATAAGTATACTATGTACTTCTGAGAATTTGCTTAAATCAATATTTTAAGTCATATTGTTGCCCAATTCTATTAGCCAAATGTAAAGGGTTCACCACAAGGGAAGAGCTAAAACACTTTGCTAATTTATGTTTATTGATAAGGACCTGGCTGGAGGAAGAAGATTCAACTTTTACTTCAATAAAGAACTTAGAACTTAATATTCCTGCAGTGCTAGTGGGAAAATTACAATTAGAAGCTCTTTGCTGTTTTGTTAGGCTACAAATCCATGCCTCCATCCCCAGCCCCTCTACCAAAAGACACAATACAGAGTGCTATTGTTCTATGCATTGGGTCATTGGTGGGCAAGTGATCAGTCAAGAGTTTTGGCTGCAAGCAACAGAACAAACTCTGGAAATGTATTGAATGCTGTGGGAGCCCTGCTGAGTCCGCAGGAGGCTGAAAAGAGGCCCTGAAAAAGACAGGAACCAAGAGGCTCTATGGAGTTTGAAAGCAGGCCCCAGAGGAATAAACTCAAGCAGGAACCCTGAGGTCAGCAAACTGCTGCATGTTTTTATCACTTCTTCCACTCAAGAGTCAACACCCTGGAAGAAATTATTTGGCCAATGTCAGGTCATATGCCCACCACCTAGCTGGGCTGGGGCAGGGAAAAGGATGTGGCCTCTTTTGCTTCCTTAGAGAGGCATCTGGATTTATGTTGCCACCAAGGCCTCACAATGATTGGAGGGAAGAAATTCTCAAAAAGAAAACTGGTGTGTAGGCAGCCAAAGCAATATGAACATTGACTCATGTAAAATTAGGAAGGGTTGATGATGAAGGACTGCAAATATGTAGGAAGGATTCTAGAAAGAGCCATAACGGGAACACTGAGCATGAAATAGGCTATGAACGCAACATATGCCAGGCACTGAGCTATGAGTTAGTTGCGCTGCTTTATTCAACCTCCGTGCAATAAGTAATCTTATTATTACAGTTATTTCTGTCCTACAGTAAGTTTTTTTTTAGCTGAGGTTTATTAAAATAAATCAGAGGTGTTTAGCCTCAGGACTATTGACATTGGGGGTCAGATAATTTTTTGTTGTGGAGGGCTGTTCTGTGCATTACAGGATGTTCAGCAGCATCCCTGGCCCCTATCTACTAGATGCTGGTAGCACCCTGCCCCTCAGTGGTTACAACTAAAAATGTCTGTAGACATTGCCAATATCCCTGGGGTCAAACAAAGCTTCCCCCAGTGGAGAATCACTGACAAAAACTATTTTTCCCATCACACACCACTAGGAATGATTGCTCCCAGACCAGTACCAACCCAGAACACAAACTGCTAACTATGCTTGTGACAGACTACACGTTTTATAAGGCACTTTCTATTTTTTAAGTGTTATTACATATTGAAAAATTATATATATTTATGGGGCACAAAGTGATATTATATGTATACAATGTGGAATGATTGGATCAAGTTAATTAGCTTATCTATTACCTCAAATTCCATTTATTCCTCCAGTCTAACTGAAATATTGTACCCTTTGACCACATCTCCCTATTTCCCCCACTCTCTGCCTTTCGTAACCACCACAGTACTCTCTGCTTCTGTGAGTCTGACTGTTTTAGATTCAACATATAAGTGAATCTAAAACATGTAGTATTTGTCTTTCTGTGCCTGGCTTATTTCACTTACCATAATGTCCTCCAGGTTCATCCATGTTGTTGAAAATGACAGAATTTCTTTTTAAAGGCTGAATAACATTCCATTGTGGATAGATACCCTATTTTTTAATCTATTCATTCACTGATGTAAACTTAGGTTGATTGTATAACTTGGATATTGTGAATAATGCTACAAAAACATGGAAATGCCAATATCTCTTCAACATACTGATTTCCAATTGTTTAGATATATAACCAGAAGTAGATTGTGGACCATGTGGTAATTCTATTCTTAGCTTTTTGAGGAATCTCCATATGGTTTTTCACAGTGGTTGTACCCATTTCCATTCCCACCAACAGTGCACAACTGTTCCCTCTCCACATTCTCACCAACTCTTATTATCTTTCATCTTTTGAGAATAGTCATTCTGACCGGTATGAGATGATACCTCATGGTGGCTTTAATTCGTGTTTCCCTGATGATTAGTGATGTTGAGCATTTTTTCATATATCTGTTGGCTATTTGTATGTCATGTTTAGAGAAATGTCCCTTCAGGGCCTTTGCCTATTTTTTAAATCAGGTTATTTGTTTCCTTGCTATTGAGTTGTTTGAGTTCCTTATATATTTTGGATGTTAACTCCTTATCAGATATGTGCCTTACCAGTATATTTTTTCTAATTTGTATATTGTCTCTTTACTCTGTCGATTGTTTTCTTTGATGTACAGAAGCTTTTTAAGTTTGATGTAATCCTATTTATCTATTTTTGCTTTCATTGCCTGAGCTTTTGAGGTCCAATGCAAACGATCATTGCCTAGACCAGTGTTGTGTGGTTTTCCTGCTATGTTTTCTTCTAGTAGTTTTACAGTTTCAGGTATGATGTTCAAGTATTTAAATGATCATGAGCTGATGTTTGTATATGGTATGAAATAAGAGTTCAATTTCGTTCTTCTGTACATGGATATCCAGTTTCCTCAACACCCTTTATTGAACAGACTGTCCTTTCCCCATTGTGTGTTCTTGGTATCTTTGTCAAAAATCAATTGGCCGTAAATGCACGGATTTACAAAGTACTTTCACACAGATTATTTCATTAGTGTCTCTGACAACGCTCTTATAGGGGAGGTAAGACAAGTTTGGCTGTCTTCATATTTCTTTTGAGGAAATGCAGCTTCAAAGAGATTGTGATTTGCTTAACATATCTCAACTATCTCTTTATCCAGCCAGTACTTAAAGCTTTTTTTTTTTTATTTGTTTTGTGTGTGTATTCGCTTTTTTGGGTTTTTGTTTGTTTGTTTCGTTTTGGGTTTGGGATTTTTTTCTTCCTTCTTTCCCACCCTATCCAGTGTTTTTTCCACCTACCACAGTTTTACAAATGACAGAATTTAAATTGGGAATAAATTCATTGATCAAAATATTAAAGAGAAACAAATTCTCCTGAATGATTAGCTCCTATATTTTGAAAGAAGTAAAAAGTCAGAAAGAAGAAAAGAAAGGAGAGGGGAAAAGAAAGAAGGAAAAATGAGAATGCATCTGGCTGCCCTGAGGGGTTCTCCTCACCCCTATTAACAACTCCCCAATACGTATACCAAGTCACTTTGCACCTCAAAGAACTAAGGGGGAAGAATCCTTCAGGCTTCATCTCAGGATGGCTCTATATTCCCTCTAACATGCTGAGGCATTGTTTCATTTCTGACTCAGAGGGAGGACTGACTCACAAATACCACTTTACCACTTGGTCTTTCATTGACAGTGTCATGGCCAAGACCAGGTCAAATGTAAGGCAGCTTGGAGTAAGAGATCAGATGAGCTCATGGCCCCAGGCAGGACGGCTGCAGATGCTGGGGAAAGAAAGACTTCGACAGCTGGGATGTTCGTGACTTAAAAGCAAAACAAAAGTTCTGGCTAATTGGCAATCAAGGCAAAGTCTAAAAAGAAAACAACATGCTTTGGTTAACCACCAGAGCTCCCGGCCTGTCCCATCTGCTAATAAGTGGTGACCAACAGTGATATCCAAGAACCACTAATGGTCCTGATGCTGACCGCACACCATCAGTGGTCTCTCCAGCCACAAGTGGCCGTGTCAAGTCCCAGAGACACAGCAGCTGCCTCAGCTGGGGAATGTGTGATGGTTGGGGTCCACAGGTGGGACAGTGGGAGATCTGAGAGTCGTGTGAGCAGGAGTCCCCAGTTAAACCAGCTTAGCAGCTCTTCTCCTTATGTTTTAACCCAGTGTTTATGATAAGGTAGACAGAGCCTGTGAGGTCAGCGGAGCATATTTAAGCCCCCGTTCTGATTGTCAGAGGACATGACCTTGACCATGGTCCTTCATTTCTTTTGGACTTCAGTTGTTGTGCAGACTGAAAAAAAGTGTGTATGCAAGATGCCTCAGACAATGCATGACATACAGTAGGTGCTTAGTGAAGGCTACCAGCTCCTTCACTGTAGAACCCCCAAAACTCGGGCTCTTTTTTCCACACTGGCCTCTTCCTCTGCTATCAATAAGCACATACTAAATCCAATGATATGAGTTTAAATTCTGCCCCCACCCACCTTACACCACCCATAACACCCCAAAATACCCTTTCCTTTCACTTTAAAGATCTTTCCTTTCTTTCATGAACCACAGCCACTTCCAAGAATTCCTTAATAAAAGCTCTGACTTGTGTAGAGTGGTACTAAATGCTATTCCAAGCATTTGCCTCCACAGTTAACTTCTGGCACAATACTGTATTTACTTAGTTCTTGTACATTGAAGAACTCCAATGCATATACTCCGTGTTCCCCAGGAGCATGTGCTAAGTGACATACATCCATGCACACGAAGTCACGCATCTCTAAAGCAGAGAGATAAAAGCCTAGCAGGAAAAGGAAAAGAAGGATTGAGAGTAATTTTATTTTCTTTTTCTTCATTGCTTAAGTGAAAAAAGACCCACGAAAAAAATTTTTCTTTAAAAAAATCCAGATTAATAGAATTCTTATCCAATGACTGCAAACAGCAAAATCCTAAATAAATCATACAAACACTTAAATACCAAATTTACTATACCTCCCTTCATCTTCAACAAGTTATATGGGCAGGTCCAACCTGATTTTCTCCCAGTAAAGACGTCTGCTTGCAAGAAAAGAAAGGAAACTCAGAAACCCTTTCAAATGAAAATGTAAAAATCTGATGGACATTGAAAGTTATTCCCAGAGGAAGCTGCTTTTCAAATAAGAATCTAGATCCATGCTGAAGAAAGATGTGCTGTAGAATTTGGACATCAGCAAGGTGAGATTTAAGAAGCCAGCAACACAGCCTTCCCTTAACTCTCTCTGGAGAGTGGGAAATATTCTTCAATTTAGCATTTGTTTCTTGACCCACACCAGGTAACTCCTTCTGTGGCTTTAGCGAGGGATGCAGGGAAAAAAGAAAGAGGAAAGTGAGTGTGTGCCAGGGCCCTTGGCATTTTTGTCTTATTACTTGTTACAGAACAGCTTCCTCCGCTATATAATCACGTGTGGTAGAGTTGCTGGTTGTTTCCCAGTGTCCATGTTGCCCTTCTTTATGGTGATAACACTGTTAACCCCCAGGAAAGGAGACACACTGTCAGTTCCCTTGCAGCCACAGACGGCCGTGTGACTTAGCTCCGGCTGACGACAAGTGCCATGTGGCAGCATCCAGAAACCTAATTAAGAAACAGTGTGTGTGTGCCCTTTGTCAATTCTCATCCTGTGGCCGAAACACAGCACTCCGTGTAGCAAAGCCACACACCAGGGGCAGCCTGTCTCCCTGCCCCAGGAGTACCACAGCAGCCCTAGGCCATCTACCTGTACTTTTACATGACACATAAAGGAACTTATTCAAGTGATTCCTTTGGGTTTTATCTCACTTGTAGCTGAATGCAATGCTAACCAAGACAACAGGTGAGGGTAGGTTATCACGTTCGCCCCCAAAAGCCTATTGATCGGTCTGCCCGTGGGTTTATATCTGTGGGCCAGCCTGGGTAAAGGATCAACACATGTATCACTTCACCTCTAGTTAAGTGCATTCAGAGTACCAAACCATTGCCTAAAACGACGTTGTAAAAATAAAACCTATTGCTAAGTAGAGAGGGTGTTTCACACAAACCCATGTATGCACACACATCTGTGTGTTATAATACAAATACATACCCACTTCATTGAGATAGCAGCTGTGGAAGTGGAAATCCTTCTTTCCAGCATGCTACATCTGGGTAAACTCCAAGAGCCAATTGCCATTCACTTTGTCGGAGAGTAGAAAATGACTCATTGTATCTAAAATGGGCTTAAGTGCCCCCTGATTTATTTACCTATCTGCATTCAATTAGAAAAGTGCCGTTCTTTCCTATTTATTTATAGACGTCATTTTGGTTATGCTGGTGCTTTACTCTATGTTGTTCACTTCTTCCGAACAGAGAGGCGTGTTTACAAAGCTCTTACCCGTAATTAGTGTCACTCAGTGGAACAAGGCACCTCTGTTTTATACCTGCCACAGCTGTCATGCTCTCCTCACAACGAATTGCCCTGATGGACGACTTGAGTCACTCGTTTCTTCAGAAAGTAGCATTAAAAAGTGTTATTGCAGTGGGCCTGGCACTCAGGGAAGCCATATCAGGTGTTACGCTCTGTGACAGCCCCGAGCTCAGAGAGAGCCTCCTCTTATTACATTTCCAGTTAATTATTCCTGTACTTTTCAATAGCTGCGTGTCATAAAAATGCGGCAGGTAGTCGATTCGGATTAGCTTTATCCTGTCAGGTGATGGCAGACCTCAGATGACATGTTAATCAGTGGCTGTTGGCATGGGTATGCTGTACATGCGAATACCATTTAAGTGGTGGCAGGGGGAGCATTTTTATGGGTATATATTTCATTAGAATTTCAATAAAAGGGCTGTGTCTGTCTGAGAAAAATATAACAGGCTCCACTGCTGTGTTTAATCTTTTCTTTAGGACACTCTTCTATTAACATAAATTGCTTGAAGGAAAAGTATGTTGTAATATTTTTCTCCAAACATAAAGTCTTATTATGATTTTAAGAAATCATGTAATAAAAAAATTTCATGATTCTCTCTACTATGACTGCGGGTGTCTCAGATGAAATCACAGGCCAAATGGACTTTGTTTCATGCCATGCCAAGGGTCAGCAGAAAGAAACTGAGCCACGGCTGAAGGAATCCACCAGACCTCCTCTGTCCTGTCCAGAGCAGGTGCTGCACATGCACGCTTTCATCCCAAAGGGAGCAGGAGCTTCACAGAGCTCTGTCTTGTAACCTGTCACCATAACAGATGCACTATAGAAATGTCCTTCTCTTGCTTGAAGAATCCAGGCAGTGCATACACAGTCAAAATGAAATAGAAAATTGCAAGTCACTTGCATTAATGCATGTGACTTTCCTAGGGATGTTTTCTGCTGCAACGGAAGACATAACCAACAGTGGCTTAAACCAGAGGCACATTTACTGCTTGCTTAACAAGCCATGCGGGGGTGGCTAGGCCCCATTGGTTTAGAGGAATGCTGTCATCTGAAACCCAGGCTCTTTCCATCCTTTTGCTCCATGCAGGCATTCATCCTTACGTCTGTGACTTCACGGTTAAAAGATGGGTCCAGATGTCAGCTTCTTACACAGCCTCCTAGTGAGCTTCTCCCATTATCAACAAGTTAAACTCTCTCCCAGAAGCCTGCAGCCACACTGAGTCACATGGCTACCCCTTGCCAAATGGCTGGGAAAACAAGCATCTGGGTTCTTAAGTCTCTGGGATGTGGGCAAAGGAGGGAAGGGTTGATGAGTCAACCAACAGAGTCTGGCACAGGGAGGGCCCTGGCACTGCAGTGACGTGGGAGCTTGAATTAGGTTGTAACCTTTTGTATTAGTCAGGGTTCTCTGGAGGGACAGAACTAATAGTATAGAGAGATACATATAGAGGGGAGTTTATTAAGCATTAACTCACATGATCACAAAGTCCCACAATACGCCGTCTGCAAGCTGAGGAGCAAGGAGAGCCAGTTTGAGTCCCAAAACTGAAAAACCTGGAGTCTGATATTCGAGAGCAGGAAGCATCAGCATAGGAGAAAGACATAGGCTGGGAGGCTAGGCCAATCTAACCTTTTCATGTTTTCCTGGCTGTTTTATATCCTGGCTGCGCTGGCAGCTGATTAGATGGTGCCCACCCAGATTAAGGGTGGGTCTGCCTTTCCCAGCCCACTGACTCAATGTTAATCTCCTTTGGCAACACCCTCACAGATGCACCCAGGATCAATACTTTGCATCCTTCAATCCAATCAAGTGGACACTCAGTATTAACCATCACGCCTTCCTTCCATACTTAATTTAGACATGCAAGCACTCCTTAGTAGTACACAAATTTATTCTCTATCCTGCTGGCAGAAGGATCGTGCCTAAATTTTATTCTGATCAAGTCCCTCTTCTGCTAAAAATTCCAAATGACTTCCTGCTTATCTCCAGATATAGTCCAAGCTCCTTAATCTGCTTAATAATGTCTTTAATGGTGTCTTACTACCTCTAGAGCTTTGTGTGTCCACTTCATCACCCTTTGTGCTTGACACCTTGCTTATCTGAGCTACTTTCAGTTTTCCTACTGCACCCCATTCTCTCATTTTTTTTTTTTTGAGATGGAGTCTTGCTTTGTTCCCCAGGCTGGAGTGCAGTGGTGTGATCTCTGCTCACTGCAAGCTCCGCCTCCTGGGTTCACGCCATTCTCCTGCCTCAGCCTCCCGAGTAGCTGGGACTACAGGCGCCTGCCACCACACCCAGCTAATTTTTTGTATTTTTAGTAGAGACGGGGTTTCACCATGTTAGCCAGGATGGTCTCGACCTCCTGACCTCGTGATCTGCCCGCCTCGGCCTCCCAAAGTGCTGGGATTACAGGTGTGAGCCACCGCGCCTGGACCCGTTCTCCCATTTTTGTATGCTGCTTCCTTTCCCTGAAACACTTTATCTTATATGTATGCACATAAACTTTTCCACCCGGCTAGTCTTCCTTGTTCTTCACATCTTGCTGGAGATAATGTAACTCATTTCTGAGAAGCCATCACTCACTCCAAGGCCAAGTTAACTGCCCCTCCCATAGATTCTCCTAGAACCCTGTACTTTTCTTTCAGAGTATGGGATCTAGGACAGGACTTTGGAAAGAAAAAGAAGCACTCCTCAAGACCAGCCTGGCCAACATGGTGCAATCCCGCCTCTACTAAAAATACAAAAATTAGCTGGGCGTGGTGGCTGGCCACCCAGCTATTCGGGAGGCTGAGGCAGGACAATCACTTGAACCTGGGAGGCGCAGGTTGCAGTAAGCCAAGATTGCGTCATTAAACTCCAGCTTTGGCAACAGAGCAAGACTCTCAAAAAACAAAAACAAAACAAAAAAAGAAAAGAAAGAAAGAAAAAGAAAAAGAGGCACTTCTAAGGGAAAGAAGAAAGATAAAAATTGAAGAAAATTTTTACCCATTTCTTTCACTTCAACTGACTCCAGGGTCCTATTAAGAGGTAGGCATGTGTTTGCCATAGCCAAGTGGTTTGTGCAGTGGATGAGAACACGTGTAAAGTCTGAATGCCTTGGTTCAAACCCTAGCTTTCCACTTATTAGCTGAGAGACAGTGGGCACATTAATGAACCATTCCAAGACTCAGTTTCTTTGTCTGTAAAATGGAGATAATGATAGCCTCTATCTACAGTAGATGTGGTTGGTTTCCTACTCTACATCTATTCCTTACCTATTGTGAAAGTCTTCTGCAAAAGTCTTCCTACTATAAAGAAAACGAGATGCCAGGAAAAGTTTTTGCCCTCTGCTTCCTCTGGGGATTGACATGAGGAATGTGACTCTGAGATTGTGGCAGTCATCTTGTGACTTTGAAGGGAGCCAGCCCAAAGAGAAACTCACACACTGAGAAGAGCTGAGCAAAAAGAAAGAATCAGGTCCTTAACAGTGTCAAATGATAAATTTACCAATCCTGGAGCTGCCCAATCTTTAAACCTCTTATTACAAGAGAGGTTTCTTTATCACTTACGTAATTTCTGGTTTATGTTTTTCATACTTACAACTAAAAAATATCTTAGGTAATACACTCCCTCTGAGGACTGTAAGCAGAGGTGCGCAGTGCAGGAGCTGGCCCAGAGGAAGCCCTTGATACTTGATGTCAATCATCATTATCACCCAGGGGACTCTTCCATGCCAAGGAAGAGAGACCATTCCCAACACTGCTCAGGCAAGTGCAGATCATTATGGAGGATAAATTCCTCAAAGGAAGGGACCTTGTCTGAGTAAAACTCACTAATTTCCATCATTGTCCAACCCAATGCCAAAGACTCTATGAAAAATGATCAGAATAATGTTTTATTATAACAAATAATTTTTGATGATAACATAGCAGCTCTATGCCTTCAAATGATAACAGAATATTAAGCCTCAAATCATGTCTATTTGGTTTTTTAAAAATAATTTTTTTAAAACAACTAAAATCAGACACTTTAAAACTGGCAATTAAAACTAGTTGCATGTGGTTTCCATGAATGGCCCAATTTCCTAAACTGCTTGATTTATTTGGGGGATGTTAATTTACATTTGTCCCTTTCACTCATCACTATCCCTTTATTACCAAACTTTATTACTGTAGACTATAAATTCCTCTATAGCATATGGACCACATAACTTTCTTGAATACCTAATTAACAAGGATTTTTTTTTTCTAAACCATAATTATAACAAAATATGGTACATTCAGCTTAATTTTCAATGTAATGCTTGAAAGTGCATAGGAAATTCAGCTTCGTGGCTCAGAGATGGGGAAAGCTGCCATGTACACACTGTATTATCAAGAGGTCTGGGAAACAGATGTTCATAGAAGCAAAGGAGAGATGAGGATAATGAAAAAGTATATATGAAATGATATCAATGATTAAAGGCCAGGATGTAGTTCATGCTCATTAATAGATGGGAAGAAAGGAATAGGAAAGGAAAATCTCAGAGTTATCAAAGAACACAAGAGACAGTCTGATCTTGGTGCAGGCAACCTGCTTTCCCCCTTGGCTCCTTTGCAAACATCTTTCTTCCTCCTTCACGTAGTCTAGCAGTATGGATCTGCAAGCACTGGGTGTGTGTCCTGAATAGGAACTATCTCCTGTGAGTGGAAGAGGACATGGAGCACTTTGAAAAATCTATTATTAATAACCATATAATCCTAGGATCATTCTTATAGATTTGTTTCATGAAGATACTTGGGGGAATGGAAGCTATTCCAGAAAATCATATATTACTCCCCAAAATTGAAAATGCCATTTTCACTCTTCCATAGGTTCAGCTCTTGTTTCTCCTTACCATCCCAGCCACTTATCACAGTTACCAACTAATTTATTTGAGAAGAAACAGATATAATCCATCTTTAGAATGCATTTACTTCTATCATTACATAAAGGTGTCAGATGGAAATTCATAAGACTCATTGTATGGATGGCATTCAGGAAAAGCTCAAAGTCCATGGTAACTGTTGAGTCTCTTTTTGTCACAACTGACACAAAGTCCAACTCAAAGAGCCTTCAGAAAATAAAGCAAAATGTATTGGCTCATATGATTAGAAAGCAGAGATAAGGCTGACTTTACAGAAGGCTGAATCTAGCAGCGCAGTTATCACGAGTGATCTGACTTCTCTCCATTTCCCAGCTCTGCCTTCTGCAGCTTGGCTTCCTCCTCCAGCTCCCCACACTCCCCTCTTCTCCTTGCCTACCCTTGAAGCTCAGGGCTCTCCCTGGGATCGCAGAATGAATGTCTGGCCTCCATGCTTACGCACACTATGAAATCTAATAGATTTCATGGAGCAAAGAGAGGAATCTCTCTTTTCCAGAAATTCTAGCAGACGTTTCGTTTGTTTGTTTGTTTTTTGTTTGCTTGTTTTTTTTTCCATCTCAACAGCTACTAGATTAAGGGCCTCTCCCTGAATCAATCACTATAGCCAGAGGAAACAGGTATAGTAATTGGCTGAAGCCAGTTAGTACTCTCCTATGAAGTTTTAAGGAGGCAAAAATTCCACCCACATCACATGATAAAAATGGAGAAAGAGGGCTTTCCCACAAGGAAAGTGAAGGATGATAAGCTGTGAGGAGAAGCAATGTGTGCTGAGCAGGAAGCAATAACACCACCTCTACTGAGGTAGCTTCCCCTCCACAGGCGGCCAGTCTTCTCTCTCAGAGATAGCATGGGATGGAACACGTTGGAGGGTGTTGGAGGAGTAAAAAATGACCTATCTTTAAGATAATCAGAGATATAATTATGAATATGGATATGGATATATTTTCTTAGTTTACTCCTTGTGTTAACCTTTCCCATTTTGACTCTGAAAGACAAAAGTAAACACTTTGTCCTGCATCCCACCAATGATGGCTGAATGCCTGTATCCATAAGGTAAATTCAAGGTGCTAACCTTCCTGTTTAATTGCCTCTATATAGCAATCAGCCTATGACTTAAAAGGCCTTGATTAGAATTGAAAGCAATAATGTAAGTAATTCAACTGCAAATAAAATTAGAATTGGTGATTTTTGTGACATCACATCACCTTTTCCACAGAGCTACCACACAGGAAGCAAAACTCACAGCTATCTCTGAAGTGTCCAGCACAGTGTGTCATGTAGTAGAATAAATATTTGAACAAATAGTCATCTGACTGGATGATTGAAGATACAAACACAAGTATCAAAGTAAAAAGGAGCAATCATCATGGTGACATCCCCCAGTTGTACATCCTCTCCTGGTGTCCCTCCATCGCTGAAATTAAAGTCCCTGGTCAAGCAGGCAACTATTCACACTGACATAGGTTAAAAGTCTATATATTGGACTTAAGTTGTATGGGCCGATGGTGGTCCTACTTCCTTAGTTGGTTCATAGGCCGTAAGAACGTGGAGCAAAAGCAAAAATTATAAAATTATGAAATTTCACACCTCCCTATTGGCCCTTTCTCCTGAAATCAATGCCATGGCTTACATCCCCTCTTTCCCTTTTCCCACCACAACGGGATACTAGATTGAATGGGAATGGGGGGAATTTGTATCAAAAATTGAATTTTAACTCTGGATTTCAATATATGGCTAATTTGACTTGAAAATTAGGGAAAGCTAAGAACGAAAGACTGTTCGATCTGTCTAAACTTCTTCAGATGAAGAGTAAATTAAGAGGGAAAAATTGGAAAATATCGTTGGTGCACTTTGATATTTTCTTTTAACCTTCCTTATAAGGTTATAACTACTTTCCGAAAACCTTGCTGAGAGCTCTCGAAACTTCAAAATTACAGAAAAATCAAACCGTTCCTCTCCACCCAGGCATCACTGATGTGCGGTGGACTGTCTTCACTTAGGATAGTTATTGCCACCCCAGAGCCTGGAATTATGGAGCTGACAATAAACCGACAAGGCCCAGTGCAATTGCATTGGTAAGCCTGCACCTGGCAACGTTTGTCTGTGGAATTCAGTTTCCTACACCACATGTCTTTCCCCAGCACTAATACTATCATTTAAGAAATAAGAACAAGAGCTAGGCCAAAATCAGGGTTGGTTATGCCATAAATAAATTCATGTTTGAAGCAATTTATGCAGCTGCCTGGTGAGCCAGGCCTGAGAGGCTGGCACACACAGCCGCCATGTGGATGGCCTGGCTGGGGAGTGTTCTATGCAAGGAATGTGGCTCTTGGCACCACTTTGTTCTGTACCTGGACTGGCTTGAATTGCTGTCTCATTGCCAGGAAAGCTAGCGGACCTTTGGGAACCCTTTAGGAAAAAGGTCATATATTTCATGTGACTTGTGAATGGAAAGACGGATGCTGTTGGCAAGCCGTTTTTGCTGCCAGATTGGGCATAAGATGAGCATAATGGGAATTTCGATTATACAGAAAGACTCTTTCCACAGACTTTATTTAGTAATAGCTAATAATAATAGCTTCCAAGCATTGAGTCCCTACTGTGGGCCAGATAGTATGCTGAGCATTTTAGACATATCTCTAATTCTCACCACTACCATGCAAGGTGTCTGTGTGTGTGTGTGTGTGTGTGTGTGTGTGTGTGTGAGAGAGAGAGACAGAGAGAGAGAGACAGAGAGAGAGAGAAAGCAGGCGCATGTTGATCATCATTTTATAAATGAGGAAGCTGCTGTTTGGAGAATTGGCATGACTTGTTTAAGGCTAGTAATGTGCCAGCGATGAGATGCAGACTCAGTTTTCATCAGCTCCTGAGCCCACGTTGTTCTCCCTGAGTCACACTATCTATTGCCATGACCTCCTTCTGCCCTTGTGGAATAAGAAGCCACATGGATAACCGGTGATCCTGTGCACACGAAACCTCTGGATTGACCAGTGAGAGTGTTCGGCTGAATAACACAAGGAATCTCGGCACATGAACATAGCCCATGCCCAACCCAGGACAGCACTTCATAGCTCACACCTGGGAACCCTCTCTCCCTACAATTTCCCTGGCCAGGGCACCGGTTCCAGGATGAGTTTTCAAACCAGGTGGCTTGTTTGGAACACAACAATCCCTCAAGGACACCAGTCCTCCCCAGCTCAGGAGGGAGGGCTCTGCTTACAAGTGGTTTGAATTATAGGGAATTCGAATGTGCTCCCTTTTCTTGGACAGAGTCGATGCAACTATGAAATAACCACGTTTTTTAAAGTGTGTTGTCCATATGCTGCTACAGCTGAATCTTTTCATGAACAACAGACTCATGCAGAGTCACATCCCACATGCAAAGTGGACATACATAATCTGTGAAAGGATGCCAAAGTGAAATTGAAGCTATTGCATTGAAATTTCAAGCTATTGAAACCTGGACACTCTGGGGTGGGGAGCGGGGCAGGGTTAGTATTATTTAGAAAAGAAACAACAGCTGTTTAATGACACTCTAAGAATTAGAAAAATTTCATAATTTGCCAAGATGAGCAAAATATTGTGACACATTAAATGCTGGCATCGAAATATGCTTTAATATGAGTTCCTCTCTGCTTACTCACTTCATTTTTTAAAGGGGAAAGATTTTTTGATATAAGAATTTTCTATTCTTGAACTCAATCTAAACACTGTTGTCCTCTTTCCTGCCTTCTAAGTCGTATTAAATCAAAGATCACTTTGAGCTGTGCAGAGAGGGGACAGGTCTCCCTTAAAATAAATTAATCAAAAATCTCCTGCTCTGGTTTTGTAATGTAAAATGGCTGGAACAACACACTGGAAATCTCACAATCAAACATTAATATCAGTCTAAGGGAGAAATTACATCAGTGCCTTAAGAAATACTTCTTAAAATTAACATTGCATGTTTGCACATGATGAGCAGATTTGACTGTTTGAATATTTTTATGGCATGATAAGCCCCAGGGCCACAGTGTACAAGATTTGCTAGAATGAACAGGGAGAAATGCCCACAGATATTCACAGAGCAATTGGGTTCAAGTATGCAAATAGTCTTGGCCCGTTCCTCCCATTCTTTCTTTTCCACTTCCTCCTTTGTCCTTGCCTCTTCTCCTACCAAGGCCAACCCAGTGGTACTTAATATAATATTATGTCTTCCCTTTTATACTGATCAAAGTTCTAATGTCCCCATCCTACTATTCATGACCATTTGGCACTCAGATCTTTCAAGTTGTAGCTGTGGTGGATGTTGTGATGCAGTCCCCAGATCCCTTTACAGGAAGGATGGACGTATTCTCCCAGCTGCTGGGAGCTCAGCCAGAAGATGGCCCTCCGCTCTTAACCACCTTTAAGAATTGCTTCTGTTGAAGAAAAGTGTCTGGCCCAAAGTCCCACCTGCTTCCTGTTGCATCCAGACTTATCAATATAGGGGTACAAAGGCCTGATTCCTGATTCCCCTAACTCAGGGCAATTCTGAGGGGTTCTCTCAAGTTTCCCCATGGAGTTGGCTAAGGCCTTTGTTGGGATGGTGCTATGGCCTGAATGTTTGTGTTCCTCCAAAATTCACATGTTGAAATCCTAACCCCTAAGGTGATGGTATTAGGAGGCAGGACCTTTGGGAAGTGATTAGGTCATGAGAGTGGAGCCCTCGTGAATGGGATTAATGCCATTGTAAAAGAGGCCCCAGAGAGCTAGCTCATTCCTTCTCCCATGTGAGGATACAGTAAGAAGGCACCAGCTACCAACTGGGAACAGGCCCTCAGCAGACACTGAATCTGTGGATGCCTTGATCTTACACCTTCAGCCTCCAGAACTATGAGAAATAAATGTCTGTTGTTTATAAGCCAACCAAATTATGGTAGTTTGTTTTAGCAACCTAAATAGACTAAGACAGATGGTGTCTTAGCCAATTTCTTTTTCTGCTCGATATTCCAATTGCTTCCTTCCACAGGTGTTGATCACAAGAGCATTCCCAAATATGCTGATTTGCATCTCAGAATCTACTTCCCCAGTAAACCCAACCTGGGACACTTAAC
Organism: Homo sapiens; assembly: GCF_000001405.40. Classification (NCBI taxonomy): domain Eukaryota; kingdom Metazoa; phylum Chordata; class Mammalia; order Primates; family Hominidae; genus Homo; species Homo sapiens. Next base: position 28,346,038 of record NC_000007.14, on the reverse strand, counting down.
CCATCACTACGGTGCCCCCCTTCGGATAATGTGGTATCTGTGTCTGAATCTTGAGTTGAACAGAGGTCCCGCCCCACAGTTTGTAGGGTTGGGCTTCTGATGGGCCACCATACTAAAGTTGCCTGTCTCTTGCTGAGGATAAGCCCCTGCCATGCCACCCACCCTCATCACCAGCACTCCCTGTGTTCCTGAGCTCCAATGTGTCACTTTGGGTCACACCACCTCTGCACAAGTCCCTGGATGATAGCTGAGAGCCTGCATGGATTCCTGCCTCTGGCCTATCTTCATCTGGCATCAGCAGCTCCCACCATCCTGTTGGACAATCCCAATCACCTCCCGACTTGCCCAGTGCTAACCATCTGCCAGAACCAACACAAGATATTGCTAACTCCTGCCCCCTTGAACAGTGTGTCTAGTTCAGCCACTGGGCTGAAACTCTGCAATGAACAGGACACACTCCCTGCCTCAGTACCTCTCTGCCTGCAGGACCTGCCCTGCCCTAAAGGATAAATTGAGGTCAAGCCTGGCCCCTCCCAGCACCATTCACCCCATCCCCATCCCCCATCACAACAAACCCTGTTATACAGTAAGTGGCATTGTTAGCTCAGTGGGATCTCAAAAGTAACAACTGATATTGATTTCTAGTTTCATATCATTGTGGTTGGAAACAATACTTGTCATGATTTTGATTTTTAAAACATTTGTTAAGACATGTTTTGTGTTAGTTGTCACACTCAGAGAGAAAAGATAAAAAAAAAAAAAAAAGACTTGTTTTGTGGGCCACCATATGGTTTATCCTGGAGAATATTCCATGTACACTAGAGAAGAATGTATATTCTGCTGCACTTTGATGGAAAGTTCTGTATATATCTATTAGGTCTATTTTGTCTAAAGTGTAGTCCAGTTCCAGTATTTCCTTGTTAATTTCTGTCTGGTTGATCTGTCCATTGTTGAAAGTGGAATGTTAAAGTCCCCTACTATTATTGTATTGCTATCTATTTCTCCCTTCTTGTCCATTAATATTTGCTTTATCTATTTAGGTGCTCTGATGTTGGGTGCATAAATTATTTACAATTATTATGTCTTCTAGATGAATTGTACCCTTTATGCATTAAATAATGTCATTCTGTGTCTCTCGTGGACTTTGTTTATTGAAGTCTATTTTATCTGATGTAAGTATAGCCACCCCTGCTCTCTTATGATTACCATTGGCATGGAATATCTTCTACCTTTTTACTTTCAGTCCATTTGTGTTCTTAAGGCTAAAGAAGGTCTCTTATAATCAGCATACAATTGGATCTTGTCTTTTTTTTTTTAAATCCACTTAGCCATTCTGTCTTTAGATTGGAATCAATTTACATTCAAAATAATTATTGATAGATAAGAACTTACTACTGCCATTTTGTTACTTGTTTTCTGGTTGCAATCTTGAGCAAAAAGAAGAAAGCTGGAGGTATCACACTACCTGACTTCAAAATATACCACAAAGCTGTAGTAGCCAAAACAACATAGTACTAGCATACAAACAGACACACAGAACAGTTGAACAGAATAGAGTCAAGAAATAAATCCATACATTTACAGCCAACTGATTTTCAACAAAGGGACCAAGAACACATGCTGGGGAAAGGACAATCTTTTCAACAAATAGTGCTGAATAAATTGGATATCAACATGCAGAAGCATTAAACTAGACCCGAATTTCTCATCATATGTAAAAATCAACTCAAAATGGATTAAAGTGTTAAATGTAAGACTCAAAACTATGAAACTACTAGAAGAAAACAAAGGAAAATGCTTTATGACATTGGTCTTGGCAAGAATTTTTTGGATAAGACCTCAAAAGCACAGGCAACAAAAGCAAAAAAGGAAACAACATGCTGAAGAGACAACCTACAGAATGGGAGAACATATTTCCAAACTATACATCTGACAAAGGATTAATATCCAGAACATATAATGAACTCAACTCAATAGCAAAAAAAAAAAAAATCAATTAAAACATGGACAAAAATTCTGAATAGATACTTCTCTAAAGAAGACATACAAATGACCAACAGGTATATGAAAAAATGCTCAATATCACTAATTATCAGGGAAATGCAAATAAAAACCACAGTGAGATATCACTTTACTCCACTTGGAATGGCTGTAATAAAAAATACAAAAGATAACAAAGGTTGGCAAGAATGTGGAGAAAAGAGAATCCTTGTGCACTGTTGGTGGCAACAGAAATCAGTACAGTCATTATGGAGTTTCCCCAAAAAGTAAAAAGTAGAATTACCATAGGATCCAGCAATCCCACTACTGGGTATACATCCAAAAGAAATGAAACCAGTATGTCAAAGAAATACCTGCATGCCCATGTTTATTGCGCAATAGCCAAGATATGAAATCAACCTAAGTGTTCATCAACAGATGAATGGATAAAGAAAATGTGGTATATGTAGATATAGATACAGATACAGATATACACAATGGAATATGATTTGGCCATTAAAAATAATGAAATCTTGTCATTTGCAATAATATGAATGAAGCTAGGGAATACTGTGTTAAGTGAAATAAGCCAGGCAGGCACAGAAAGACAAATACTGTATGATGTCACTCATATGTGGAATCTAAAAACCCTGATCTCACAGAAATGGAGAACAGAAAAGTGGTTACCAGGGTCTGGGGATAGCATAAGCAAAGATTGTTCAATGGGTACAAAGTTACGGTTAGACAGGATTAATAAGTTCCGGTATTCTATTGTCCAGTAGGGTGATTCCAGTTAATGATAAAGTATTACATATTTCAGGCCAGGCGCAGTGGCTCATGCCTGTAATCCCAGCACTTTCGGAGGCCGAGGCAGGCAGATCACAAAGTCAGGAGATCGAGACCATCCTGGCTAACACGGTGAAATCCTGTCTCTACTAAAAATATAAAAAATTAGCTGGGCGTGGTGGCGGGTACCTGTAGTCCCAGCTACTCGGGAGGCTGAGGCAGGAGAATGGTGTGAACCCGGGAGGCGGAGCTTGCAGTGAGCCCAGATTGTGCCACTGCACTCCAGCCTGGGCGACAGAGCAAGACTCCATCTCAAGAAAAAAAAAAAAGTATTACATATTTCAAAATAGCCAGAAGAAAGGATTCTGAATGTTCTCACCACAAAGAAATGATAGACTTATAAGACATGCTAACTACCCTGATTTGATCATTACACAATGTATACATTATCAAAACATCACATTGTACCATATCAATATGTACAATTATTATGTGTCAGTTTTTAAAAAGTGACAACTGAAATTGGGATATGGTTTTTTTCCTCCTGTAATCTGTTCCTTTCAAGGCCACACAGGCCCAGCATGAGGTGGAACAGACAGAGGGGTTGTAAATAGAGATGGAGTGATATTCTAGAAACAAAGAGTTACTTTTTAGTATTACTACTGTATAGAAGTTTGAAACTCAAGAAATCTTATGTTTTATAATCTTGCCATTTTAATTCTGCAACTATGATGCTGTATTATAATGAACATTGCAGATGCAAGCATTTGTTAATTGAGTTGTTTGATGTACTGATCACTTACAAATCTCCTTTTTTCTTGAGTATTCAGTAATTTAAACTTTGCACTTTTACCAGTATTAGTACTAATTAGTCTGAATCAATGAAGTTGATATCTTGTATGGTTATTTTCTTAGCCACTCTCAGCTCATGGGAAAAAGGGGGCTTCTGTACCACTTTGATCTTCCTACTAACCCTCATCTATCCTTCCACACCGTGACCAAGGATGATAGCCACATCTAGGCACCAAATGGAAGAGAGGAATGGTGATAATAAATGCATTAATATTTTCACATACTTGAGGCCTTACATTTAAGGATCATGAGTGTCAATGGATATAGATGGAGAAGAGCAGAGGGGGACAGGACATTCTCTGCTTCCAACACAGCTTTCACTTTTTCAAGACTGTCCAGGTGCTGGCTGAGCTGAAATTTTACTAATATAAAATGATTCTCTATCTGTGAACAATTCTGTCTTCCAACCACATTTACTAAGAAGAGCTCCTGATTTCCAAATGGCCTTTTCCTTCCCTTCCCTCTCCTCAAATTATAACTGTCCATCAATATCAACTCAAAACCTCACTTTCTGCACAAAACTTTCCCAGCCCTCACTGCTGACTTTCAAGAAAGGGGTAAAGGTACATATATTCTAGTGAACTTGGGATCAATCCCTTGTAAATTTTAGAATGAATTATTGAATAAGTGATAAATGAGCAAGGGCAAGAGAAAGTGCTAATTGTTAAGCGGCTGTGTGGCTCCACTACATACAATTCACTATATTCTCCAGGACAATTCAATGTAAAACAATAAATGGTTATTGGGTACATCTTACGTTGCACATCCAGCACTGTACTAAGTACTACAAAGAATGCAAGACAAAATAAAGTGCAAACCCCTTCCTACATGAGCCAAGATGAAAGCCGATACAATCAGTTGGAGGTAGTATATGGATGATGAAGACAAGGTGTCCGTTAGAAATTTAGTATCAACCAGGAAGTAGACATCTTGAGGTAAGAGTCAGAGTTTCATCTCTTGCCTTGCACTAGTCAACACTACAATCCCTAACATAGACAAAAATATAAAATACCTGCTTATTGGGTGTGAATGACTGGTATAATTGAGAACAAAGTTTAGTTCCAGAATTATCTCAGTGAGTTGAAATGATGGAATATTTTTCCAATAATAAACAGAGATAAATATAAAATATTATAGGTTTAAACTAATGAAAATCAGTAGAAAAAAATGCTTATGATATAGTGTAAAATTTTAAAGTAGAAACTAGAGGAGGTGGAGCAAGATGGCTGAATAGAAGCCTCCACCAATCATCCTCACAGCAGCACCAAATTGAACAACTATCTACCCAACAAAGCACCTTCATAAGAACAAACAATCAGATGAGCGGTCACAGTACCTAGTTTTAACTTCGTATCACTGAAAGGGGCTCTGAAGAAGGTAAGAAATACAGTCTTCAATTGCCAATGCCACTCCTTCCCCATCCCCCAGCAGTAGCCATGTGGCACAGAGAAAATCTGTGCAGAGAGAGAATCTGGGGAGAGACAGCACAGTGATTATGGGACTTTGCATTAGACCTCAGTGCTGCCAACAGAGAGCAGAACTCAACTGATGCCCACTGAGGGAGCATTTAGACAAACCCTAGCCAGAGGGGAATCACCCATCCCAGTGGTCAGAACTTGAGTTTTGGCAAGCCTCACCACTGCAGGCTAAAGTGTTCTGGGGTCCTAAATCAACTTGAAAGGCAATCTAGGCTACAAGGACTGCAACTCCTAGGCAAGTCCTGGTGCTGTGCTGGGCTCAGAGCCAGTGGACTTGTGGGGACACACGACTTAGTGAGATACCAGCCAGAGTGGTCAAGTAAGTGCTTGCACCACCCCTCTTCTAACCCCAGGCAGTGCAGCTCACAGCTCCAAAAGAGACTCCTTCCTTCCACTTAAGGTGAGGGAAGACTACAGAGGACTTTGTCTTGCAACTTAGAGACCAGCCTAACCATGGTAGGATACAGCACCTATTCTGAGGCCCTCATTCCAGGCCCTAGCTCCCAGACAACATTTCTATATACACCCTGGACCAGAAGGGAACCCACTGCCTTGAATGGAAGCACCCAGTCCTGGCAGAATTTATCACCTGCTGACTAAAGAGTTGTTGGGTCCTAAATAATCAGCATCAGTACCCAGGCAGTACTTGCTGTGAGCTTTGGGTAAGACTCAGAGCCATGCTGGCTTTAGGTGTGACCCAGAACATTCCTAACTGTGGTGGCTATGAGGAGAGATTCCTTCTGCTTGAGAAAAGCAGGGTAAAGTGTAAACAGGACTTTATCTTGCACCTTAGGTACGAGTTTGGCCACAGTGGGGTAGGGCACAAAGCAGGCTCCTGGAGTCTCCAATTTCAGGCCTTGGCTCTTGGATAGTATTTCTGGAACTGCCTTGGGCCAGAGTGGAACCCACTACCCTGAGGGGTAAGTCCTCCACCCGGCATTATTCACCACAAGTTAACTAAAGAGCTCTTGGGCCTTAAGTGAACATTGGCGGTAGCATGACAGTACTGCCCGTGGGCCTGTGGTGGCACAGGCCATGGGGAGAGACTCCTTTTCCTGAGGAAAGGGGAAGGAAGAGTGGGAAGGACTTTGTCTTGTGGTTTGAGTGTCCACTCAGCTGCAGTAGAATAGAACACCAGGTAAATTTCTAAAGTTTATGACTCCAGTTCCTGACTCCCAGACATCATCTCGGACCAGCCTGGGGCCAGGAGAAACTTAGCAGCATGAAGGGAAGTACACAAGCCTGTCTGGCTTTGCCACCTGCTAATTGCATAGCCCTAGGGCCTTGAGTGAACATAGGTGGTAGCTGGGCAGTGGTACAGTGGACCTTTGGGCAGGACTCAGTGCTGTGCTAGCTTCAGGTCTAAGCCAGCACAGCCCAAGTAGTGGGGGCCACAGGGGTGTTTATGTCACCTTTTTGCCAGCTCCAGGCAGCTCAGCCCATAGAGAGAGAAAGACTCCATTTACTTGGGAGAAAGTAAGGGAAGAGAATAAGAGTCTCTGCCTGGTAATCCAGAGAATTCTCTCAGATCATCCAAGACCACCAAACTGGTATCTCTAAAAGTCTGCAAGAATCGTAGTGTTACTGGGCTTGAGTGTCCCCAATGCAAATATGGCTGTGATGACTAAAAACTTAGATCACAACACTCAGGTCCCTTTGAATACCTGGAAAGCCTTTTCAAGAAGGATGGCTACAAACATGCCCATACTGTGAGACTTCAACAAATAGCTAACTCTTCAATTCCCAGACACTGACAAACATCTACAAGCATCAAGACCATTCAGGAAAACATGACCTCACCAAATGAACTTAATAAGGCACCAGGGACAAATCCTGAAGAGACAAAGATATGTGGCCTTTCAGACAGGGAATTCAAAATAACTGTTTTGAGGAAACTCAAAGAAATTCAAGACAACACAGAGAAGGAATTCAGAATCCTATCAGGTAAATTTAACAAAGAGAATGAAATACAGAGAATCAAGCAGAAATTCTGGAGTTGAAAAATGCAATTGACAAACTGGAGAACGCATCAGTCTCTTAATAGCAGAACTGATCAAGCAGAAGAAAAAATTAGTGAGCTTGAAGACACACTATTTGAAAATACACAGTCAGAGGAGACTAAAGAAAAAACAATAGAAAAGAATGAAGCATGTCTACCAGATCGAGAAAATAACCTCAAAAGGGCAACTCTAAGAGTTATTGGCCTTAAAGAGGAGGTAAAGAGAGAGGAGTAAAAAGTTTATTCAAAGCAATAATAACAGAGAACTTCCTAAACCTAGGGAGAGATGTCAATAGTCAAATTCAAGAGGTTATAGAACACCAAGGAGATTTAATCCAAAAAAGACTACCTCAAGGCATTTAATAATCCAACTCCCAAAGATCAAGGATAAAGAAAGTATCCTACAAGCAGCAAGAGAAAAGAAATAAATAACATACAATGGAGCTTCAATACATCTGGCAGCAGACTTTTCAGTGGAAACCTTACAGGCCAGGAGAGAGTGGCATGACATATTTAAAACGCTAAAGGAAAAAAACTTTTTCCCTGGGATAGTATGTCTGCTGAAAATATCCCTCAAACATGAAGGAGAAATAAAGACTTTCCCAGATGAACAAAAACTGAGGGATTTCATCAGATCAGGCCAATCCTACAAGAAACGCTAAAGGGAGTTCTTCAATCTGAAAGAAAAGGACATTATTGTGCAATAAGAAATCATCTGAAGGTACTAAAGTCACCGGCAATAGTAAGTATGCAGAAAAACACACAATATTACAACAATGTAATTATGGTGTATAAACTACTAATAACTTAAATAGAAAAACTAAAATATGAACCAATTAAAAATAATAACTACTACAGCTTTTGAAGACATAGACTGTATAATAAGATAAAAATAGAAACAACATAAAGTTAAAAAGTAGGGGAATGAAGTTAAGTGTAGAATTTTTATTAGTTTTCTTTTTGCTTGTTTTTTAGTTTGTTTATGCAGTCATTATTAAGTTGTCATCAGTTTAAAGTAATGAATTATAAGATATTGTTTGCAAGCTTTATGGTAACCTCAAATCAAAAAACATACAACGAATACACAAAACATAAAAAGCAAGAAATGGAAACATATCACCAGTGAAAATCACCTTCACTAACAGAAAGACAAGAAGGAAGGAAATGAGGAAGATAAGACCACAAAACAAACAGAAAACAAATAACAAAATGGCAGGAATGTTTTTACTTATCAATAATAACATTGAATGTAAATGGACAAATCTTTCCAATCAAAAGACATACAGTGGCTAACTGGATTAAAAAACAAACAAGACCCAATGATCTACCGCCTACATGGAACACACTTCACCTATAAAGACACATATAGACTGAAAATAAAGGATGGAAAATGATATATGCCAATAAATAACAAAAAAAAAGAGCAGGATAAGCTATACTTATATCAGACTAAATAAATTGCAAGATGAAACTATAAAAAAGAGACAAAGAAAGTCATTATATAATGATAAAGGAGTCAATTCAGCAATAGGATATAACAATTGTAAATATATATGCATCCAATACTGGAGCACCTAGTTGTATAAAGCAAGTATTATTAGAGCTAAAGAGAGAGACAGACTTCAGTACAATAATAACTAGAGAAATCAAACACCACGCTTTCAACATTAGATAGATCATCCAGATAGAAAATCAACAAAGAAACATTGAACTTAATCTGCACTGTAGATTAACTGACCCTAATAGATATTTCAGAACTTTTCATCCAACAGCTGCAGTATACACATTATTCTCCTCAGCACTTGGATCATTCTTGAGGCTAGACCATATGTTAGGCCACAAAACAAGTCTTAAAAAAGTTCAAAATATTGAAATAATATCAAGTATCTTCTCTGACCACAATGGAATAAAACTAGAAATCAATCACAGGAGGAATTTTGGAAACTATAAAAACACATGGAAATTAAACAATATGCTCCTGAATGACTAGTGAGTCAATGAAGAAGTTAAGAAGGAGACTGGAAAATTTCTTGAAACAAATGATGACGGAAACACAACATATCCAAACCTATCAGATACAGCAAAAGCAGTACTAAGAGGGAACTTTATAGCTGTAAGCACGCATCAAAAAAGTAAAAAAAAAACTTCTAAGAAACGATCTAACAATTCATGTTGAAGAACTAGAAAAGCAAGAGCAAATCAAACCCAAAATTAGTAGAAGGAAAGAAATAGTAAAGATCAGAGCAGAAATAAATGAATTTGTAATAAAGAAAATAATACAAAAGATCAATGAAATGAAAAGTTGGTTTTTTGAAAAGATAAACAAAATTGACAAACCTTTAACCAAACTAAGAAAAAAGAAAGAAGACCCAAATAAACAAAATCAGACATGAAAAAGGAGACATTACAACTGATACCAGAAAAATTGAAAAGATCTTTAGAGGCTACTATGAGCAACAATATGACAATAAATTGGAAAACCTAGAAGAAATGGATAAATTACTACACACATACAACCTACCAAGATTGAACCATGAAGAAATCCAAAACCTGAGCAGCCCAATAACAAGCAACAAGATCAAAGCCATAATAAAAAGTCTCCCAGCAAAGAAAAGCCCGAGACTCAATGGCTTCACAGCTGAATTTTACCAAACATTTACAGAAGTCTAAATATCAATCCTACTTAAACTGTTCTGAAAAATAGAGGAGGAGAGAATACTTTCAAACTAATTCTAAGAGGCCAGTATTACCCTTATACAAAAACCACACAAAGACACATCAAAAAATAAAACTACAGGCCAATGTCTCTGATGAACATTAATTCAAAAATCCTCGACAAAATACTAGCAAACTGAGTTCTATACCATATTAAAAAGATCATTCATCACGACCAAGTGGGATTTATTCCAGGGTACAAGGATGGTTCAACATATGCAAATCAATCAACATGATACATCATATCAACAGAATGAAGGACCAAAGTCATATGATCATTTCAATTGATGCTGAAAAAGCACTTGACAAAATTAAACATCACTTAATGATAAAAACCTTCAAAAAACTGGGTATAGACGGAACATAACATAATAAAAGCCATATACAACAGACCCACAACTAGTATCATACTGAATGAGGAAAAATTGAAAGCCTTTCATCCAAGATCTAGAAAATGACAAAGATGTCCATTTTCAACACTGTTACACCACATAGTACTGGAAGTCCTAGCTAGAGCAATCAGACAAGAGAAAGAAATAAAGGGCATCCAAATTAGAAAGGAATAAGTCAAATTATCCCTGTTTGCAAATAATACAATATTTTATTTGGAAAAAGCTAAAGACTCCACCAAAAAAAAAGAAAACTACTAGAAGTGACAAATTCAGTAAAGTTGCAGGATACAAAATCAATGTACAAAACTTAGTAGCATTTCTATAGGCCAACGGCAATCAATCTGAAAAAAAGAAATTTAAAAAGTAATCCCATTTACAATAGCAACAAATCAAATTAAATACCTAGGAATTAATTTAACCAAAGAAGTGAAATATCTCTACAATGAAAACTATAAAAGATTGATAAAAGAAATAAAAAAGGACAGAAGAAAATGAAAAGACATTTCATGTTCATGTGTTGGAAGAACCAATATTGTTAAAATGTTCGTATTACAAAATCAATTTACAGATTCAATGCAATCCCTATTAAAATACCAATGACATTCTTCACAGAAATAGAAAAAAAAATCCTAAAATTTATATGGAACCACAAAAGACAAGAATAGCCAAAGCTATCCTGAGCAAAAAGAACAAAACTGGAGGAATCACATTACCTGACTTCAAATTATACTTTAGAGCTATAGTAACCAAAACAGGATGGTATTGGCATAAAGACACATAGACCAAGGGAACAGAATAGAGAACCCATAAACAAATCTGTACATTTACAGTGAATTCTTTTGGATGAGAGTGACAAGAACATACAATAGGAAAAGGACAGTCTTCAATAAATGGTGCTGGGAAAACTGGATATCCATATGCAGAAGAATGAAATTAGACCCCTATTTCTCACCATATACAAAAATCAAATCAAAATGGATTAAAGACTTAAATCTAAGACCTCAAACTATGAAACTACTAAGAAAAACATCATGGAAACTCTCCAGGACATTGGACTGGGCAAAGATTTCTTGAGTAACACCCCACAAGCACTGGCAACCAAAGCAAACATGGACAAATGGACAAATGGGGATCACAAGTTTAAAAACTTCTGCACAACAAAGGAAACAATCAACAAAGTGAAGAGACAACCCACAGAATGGGAGAAAATATTTGCAAACTATGCATCTGACCAGAGATTAATAACCAGAGTATATAAGGAGCTCAAGCAACTCTACAGGAAAAATTTGATTATCCAGTTTAAAAATGGGCAAAAGATCTGAGTAGACGTTTATCAAAAGAAGACATACAAATGGCAAACAGCTATATAAAAAGGTGGTTAGCTGGGCATGGTGGCTCACCCCTGTAGTCCCAGCACTTTGGGAGGCCAAGGTGGGCAGATCACTTGAGGTCAGGAATTGGAGACCAGCCTGGGCAACATGGTGAAACCCCGTCTCTACTAAATATACAAAAAATTAGCCAGGCATGGTGGTACATGCCTGTAATCCCAGCTACTCAGGAGGCTGAGGCAGGAGAATCACTTGAACCTGGGAGGTGGAGGTTGCAGTGAGCCAAGATTGCACCATTGCACTCCAGCCTGGGCAACAAGAGTGAAACTCCATCTCAAACAATCAAACAAAAAAAGCTGCTCAACATCAATGATCATCAGAGAAATGCAAATCACAACTACAATGAGATATGTTCTCACCCCAGTTAAAATGGCTTATATCAAAAAGCCAGGCAATTACAAACGCTGGCAAGGATGTGGAGAAAAGGAAACACCGTTGGTGGGAATATAAATTAGTAAAACCACTATGAACAACAGTTTAGGGGCTCCTCCAAAAACTAAAAATAGAGCTGTCATATAATCTGGCAAGTCTATTGCTGGGTATATACCCAAAAGAAAGGAAATCAGTATATTGAAGAGATAGCTGTACTCCTATGCTCCTTGCAGCACTATTCATTACAGCTAAGATTTGGGAGCAACCTAAGTGTTCATCAGCAGATGAATGGATTAAAAAAATGTGGTACATATACACAATGGAGTACTATTCAGCCATAAAAAAGAATGAGATCCTACCATTTGCAACAACATAGATGGAACTTGAGGGAATTATGTTAAGATAAATAAGCCAGGCACAGAAGACAAACTTCACATGTTCTCACTTATTTGTGGAAGCTAAAAATTAAAACAATTGAACTCATGGAGATAGAGAGTAGAATGATGGTTACCAGAGGCTAGGAAAGGTAGTGGGTGGATGGAGTGAGAACGGTTAATGGGTACCAAAAAAAAGGTAAAAATAATGAATCAGATCTAGTATTTGACAGCACAGCAAGGTGACTACGTCAATAATGATTTAATTGTACATTTTAACATAACTGAAAGAGTATAATCGGATTGTTTTTAACACAAAGGATAAATGCTTGAGTTGATGGATATGCCATTTACCCCAAGATGATTATTACACATTGTATGACTATATCAAAACATCTCATGTAACCCATAAATATATACAGCTACTATGTAACCACAAAAATTAAAAAGTATAAAACCAACAGGCTAAACAAAATATAAAAGTAGAAAAAAGACCATGCTGAAGGTTAGATTACAGTTACGTAAAAATCCCACATGAATTCTTTAACTATATAATCAATTATTTAAACACAAGTTAGGAGCATTCCCACTTCATAGCTGTTCAGGTTAAAAGATGTAGGGGTTTTAGTTAATTACAGAGTCAAAAGACAATAGCAGTCTGCTATCAAAAGAAAGTAGCCACTATCTCACAAAGCTAATGAAATTGTCAGTCACAATAAAACTAGTGTAGTGTTCAAGTCAAAAGCAAAAATAGTCTCATTATATTGGTGATATATACAGTATCTTATGTCAAAATGACTATTCCATTTCAAGAAAGACATTAGCATCCATCAATAGGAGATTGGTTAAATACATTATAGGAATCCATACAATGAAAACCAGGTAGCTAGTAAAATGATGATGTATAGCTACATTTATTCACATGGAGAGATGCCCATGATAAGTTAGTTAGTGAGGGAAAAAAGCAGACTACAGAAAAATGTACATGTTATTATCTAATTTGCATAAAGTTGTGGGTTTATATATTTTAACATTTTTTAAATGTTTATTTCTAAACATAAAATATAAGACACAGGGACTGTGCCACTGGCCCAGGAGAAGGTTGCTGGGGGTGTGAGGAGACGGGAAGGTGTACAGGGTTGTAATCTTCAAATACTTCCAAGTGTATGTAGCAGGGGAGGCAGCAAGCTTAGAGTCACTTCCCACTTACTGTTTCTACCACGCAAACGTAACCTGAGCGTCTACTATATGCCAGTCATCAGGCTATGCACTTAGGAATACTTAAATCAATAAGATGCTGTGCCTTTTGGAGACTAGGGTAGAGTGGAGGAGAAAGACAGTATATTTGTTTCCTAAAGCTGCCATAACAAATTACTTCTAACTTGGTGGCTTCAGACAACAGAAATGCATTATCTCACGGTTCTGGAGTTCAAAAGTCCACAGTCTAGTTTCAGTCCAGACCACACTCCTCACAGAGGTTCTCGGGAGAATCGCTTCCAGTTTCTGGTGGCTATTAACTTCTGCTGGCATTCTTTAGCTTGCAGCCGCATCACTCCAATCTCTGCCTCCATCTTCATGTAGCCTTCTCCTCTGTATCTGTCTCAAATACCCTTTGCCTTTCTTTAATAAGGACACTCACTTGTCCTTGAATTTAGGGCCTATCCAAATAATCCAGGATGGTATCATTCCAAGATCCTGAATTACATCTGCAAAGACTCTTTTCCCAAATAGTTATATTCAAAGGTTCTGGGTAAGACATATCTTTTGGGGGAGGGTCATCATTCGACTCACTACAAATGACTAAGCAAATAATTAAAATAAGATATGAAAGAAGCTTTTTTTTTTTTTTTTTTTGAGATGGAGTTTTGCTCTGTCACCCAGGCTGGAGTGCAATGGCACAATCTCGCCTGACTGCAACCTCCACCTCCTGGGTTCAAGCACTTCTCCTGCCTCAGCCCCCAGGGTAGCTGGGATTACAGGTGCGAGCCACCACACCCAGCTAATTTTTTTATTTTAGTAGAGTTGAGGTTTCACTATGTTGGCCAGGCTGGTCTCGAACTCCTGACCTCAAGTGATCCACCCACCTTGGCCTCCCAAAATTCTTTCTAAAAGCATGTGCAAAGTGTAGGAGTAAAAGAACAAGGACAGAGGGAAGAGTATGCTGGCATCCCCATACAAGATTTTAGTCATTTGCACACGTCTGTAGTAGTTCCCATTAGACCATGCATTCTCTTCCCCAAGGGGCAGAAATTGGTTCATGAGGGGCAAAAAAAGACTTTACTTTTTTATATAATAAGCACAGGTATACCTATAGCACATAAACAGATCTACAATATTAAGTTTTCATGAGATGGAGAGGAAATTAGGGGAAAAATTCTAAAACGGCTCCTTAAGGGAACAATAATAAAAAATGTCTTAGGAACACCAAACTATGGTATTGAATTTTCATGGGATGGATGGGTGATTAGGGAGGAAAAAATCTAAAAGGGCTCCTTAAGGTAGCGATAATAAAAAAAAATGGTTGAGGAATACTGAACTAGAACTCCCTCAAAACTAAGAACCATGTTATGGTCATTAATGGGTAGTGCTCAGTAACTGTGAACTCAATTATTGAATAAATGGATAAAACTTCAGGGGAACAAAGTGGGCCTCACTAATGAGAAGAAGCATTGTAACTGATACAGCTGATTCATAGTGAACCAGGTCTGTCCCCACAAGGTAGTAAATACCCTGTCCTTGGAAGTTTGCAAGCAGGGGCTAGATGAGGATTTTCATGAGATAAGTGTCAGGATTAGCAAAGAAATATTTGTTAAGCTTCACAAGCACATGACGCACCAATGTCATAATACCACAAATTTCCTTGGATATTTTTCCAGCCATTTTGGCTTTTAGGAAAAACAAGTCCAATTACTGCAAATTTGAATGTGTCTCTATGACCATACCTACACCCTAACCATCACTTTGGAATTTGTACCACGAAGGAAAATACAAGAACCTGATAAAAATTTGTGCTGCTGCTTTCAACCTGCCCTTCAGCTGGGAGACTCAGTTCATAGTCTGTGGTTGTTTTTTTTTTTGCTGCTTCACTTTCACTATTCTGTTTTGCAAAGATCTAAGCGTATTACAAACTAAATGAATCATCAAAGAATGCAAAACTTAGATAAGTCACTCTATTACTTTCAATCTGTCATTAATAATATTTCCAGTCTGGTCTACCTGCAAAGCACTATGGGATATCATTAGGGAGAAAAGGTTCCTCTGACGATGCAAACTAAATATGCAAAAAAAAAAAAAAAAAAAAGTAAGGTTCTCTTAGCACAAGCTAAAAGACAGAATTTTTAAACAATTAAGTCATATTTACATAAGGAGAGAGTTTAACCCTCCTCTCAATTATCTAGCAATTGAGTAACATGACAAGATAATTGATCAAAGGATCTATAAATTTGAGTCACTTAGAGCAGCTGGCGTTTCACAGCCAATGTACGATACCAAGGAAACCTTCAAAACAGGAAATATCACATGCAACACGAGAGAATCGGGCTGTGGTGAATTTGTACTTTTCAGTTTTGCACAATGATTTGCAGATGTCCTTTGAAACCTGTGGCCAAGCAAGGGCATCTTGGGCCACGCTCGCCCTTCAGGGGACCTAACCTTGCAGGCATCAAGAGTAGGGAGGTCCCATGGAGCTGCTTAGCTGCTGCCAGAGTGGATGAACTGGTGGGAAAGGTGTTTCAAATTATTCCATCCTTAAGAGAAAACAGCTCCACAAACCCATCAGTGTAAAAAGTACTTAAGCATCTGCTCTTATTGGAATTGTTTGGTTTGGTTTTACTTCTCTGACCAGTGCCACATGGGATGGCACAGCTAAAGTTGTGAGAACTATTTCTGTATTAACAACAGAGAATTCATGCCCCTCTGTCCTGTTAACACTGTAAGGTGCCAAGGGCATAAATCATCACATTATGTGGGGAGAATTACAGTGTTATCTTTGACAGAGAGCTGAACCCTTTCATGGCTAAAACTGGATGCAAAAGTTCTCATTCTAGGGAACTTTTTTCAGTGGTGGGAAGAAATGCTGGCTCTAAAATCTCACACACCATATTCCAGCAATTCGATTTTTTAAAAGAAAGAAGTTGAAAAGTTTAAACAAGTCGGCGAGAAGTCAAAAATATCATTTTGATTTTTGGGAATGTTTACAATTTGAATTTACATTTGTTTTCCAAATGCAAGAACCTTGGGCACTGAGCCAGCCTGAGAGGCTTCGGCCCCAATTCAGTCTATTCTTTCCAGCGTTACCCCATTCTGCAGCTGGAAGGCCAGTAGGAGGATGAACTCTAGAAATTTCTGGAAATGCAAACACAGCCTCTACCTCAGTCTGTGATCTGCTAGCAGCAAAACCAGAACCACTTCTGTAGTGATGAAGCGCATGATGCCAAAAAAGGGAACCCCAGTGATTTCAGCTCGTAGATTTGACAATTGTCATGGTTCCATGAGATAGAATGGTGGTTCCCTTTCTGTGAGAAATTTCCCCATATGCTAATCCCTATTCATCTATTAAGGGTGGTTATTTACCCCAGAAACTGATTCTCAGCTTTACAGAATGAACCAGTGAGATATTCCTCTGAACAGAGAGTTTCATGGGTTACACTGAAGTGATGTTTACAGACACCTGTGTTACTTGACATAACAAAAGAACAGATGACACATACCTCTCAGAAAGGAGAGGGTAAGTCACCGGCAAAATTCAACTGGCTTCACCAAAAGTGTACTTGCATATGGCTCTCCAGCAATACTATCCATCACATCATAGTGTATACAGTGACAGCCAAGAGCCCTCTCAATACCCTAAGCCGTGGTTTTCAAAGTTTGACCCATCATAGCTGAATTTTGCCAGCCGCTTGTGAATATTTTCAGTTCCTGAGCCCCATCCTAAGCACACTAATCAGATATCTGGTAGTGATCTGCCTTTTAAGCAGGTGATTACTTTTGATAAGTTTGAGAACCACTTCCCAGAAGCAGAGTGCCTAATGACGGTATATGGCTATACATATAGCAGACGCCCTCTAAACTTGGAAGAGTCGTTGCAGATAATAAGTGCTCAGCAAATATTATTCTTATCATTATTTTTATTATTTAGAATAAGCATTTAAAAGCCTTTTGACAGGGCATCCTAATGGAAAAGAAGAAAAGCCAGGTGGAAACATGGCCACACCTTAAAAATACACAGCACTTAGTCATTCATTCACACACCTTGTTTGAAGGCTTTTCTCTTGCCAAAGATACTTGAAACGATTTGAAAATGAGGTCTGTGCCTTACCAAAAATGACAGTTGAGACACAGTCATAACCCTTTTGTGTGGGAATCTGTCTCAACTGCTCTGTTTCTTAGTTCTTTCTTGTGGCCAACTATAGACATGACAATAAAGTTTATAAATTGGATTTTACTAAGAAGGGAGGCTAAAACTGAATGAGGATGATGGGCTTAGATTGAATGCAGTCATGAAAAGTTGCCACGCAAAAGGAGTAGCTTGTTCTCATCCATTCTTCTGAGTTCACTTGATATTGCAGACAACTGACTCTGGTTTGCAGGAAATCCTAGAAGCAAGTAGGAGATAGGCCCATGTGTTTGAGGGGTGCTGCAGCTATTTAAACAGCAGGCTTGAAAACCGGAACATTCTCAATCTACACCAGAAGATTTTTATTTTTTGATCTTTCAGCTAGTAATTTTGATGGATTATGAGAGCAGAGGCTAAATGTAATAAGGGGTCTGAACAAAACCAGACTTGTTTTTTGAAAAAGGAAGTGGAATATAAAGTAACTCATTTATCCCCAAATTGAGTCTTGAAGAAGCCATCTTATCTGCCACACATCAGGCCTCATAAACAATTTCTAATATCTGTGTTAGCATTTTCTCTCTCAGGGGGAGGTACAAAAATTATTTCAGTGAAATTCTGAGAACCTATATTTACAGATGTTAAAAGGAAGAAGAATGTTTTTGCCAAGACTGTTCAGCAGGAAGTGCGGCCATGATAAAAAGAAAAAGGCAAAAAAGAATTAAAAACTCTCAAGAGATCAGATTGCAAAGGCAACAGAAATGCCCAATTATGGGAGAAGTGGGAAGGGCAGAGACAAATAAGTAATGCTATTAATAAGTATCTTAACACATACTACAGCAGAAGATGAGTTATATAAATGAATTTTAATTCAAATAATCATTTTTTATCAAACACCTTCTATGTGCAAGGAATGCCGCTGAATTGCAGATGAGTGTTAGGCCTATATATTTAAATCTCATTTCCTTTAGAGCAGCCCATGGTGTTTTACTACAATGTATGAGGCAGGTCATCAAGTCACTCTGAGGTACATGACAAAATGCAGATTCATGGGTTGGAAGCATTTCTTGGAGCCAAAATTTACAACTCTTGAATATGGCTAATGCATAACATACCAGAGATAAATAAGCATTTCTCACTTGGTTGTGCCTACTCCACATTCCAGAATCATATTCAGATAAAATCTACTAAATACGGTTTCCTTTTTTTTTTTTTTTTTTTTGAGATGGAGTCTCACCCTGTCGCCCAGGCTGGAGTGCAATGGGTTGACCTCAGCTCACTGTAACCTCTGCCTCCCAGGTTTAAATGATTCCCCAGCCTCAGCCTCCCAAGTAGCTGGGATTACAGGCATCTGCCACCACGCCCGGCTAATTTTTTGTATTTTTACTCAAGACAGGGTTTCGCCGTGTTGGCCAGGTTGGTCTTGAACTCCTGACCTCGTGATCTGCCTGACTTCATGACCTACCTGCCAAAGTGCTGGGATTACAGGCATGAGCCACCGCACCCAGCCTAAATACAGTTTCTATATGTTTATCCACCTACGTCTACCTAGGATATTCTTTAACTTAGAACTGTATGGACATCCAAAGGTATATTAAAAATAATTGAGCCCTAATTCTATAATAAGAATTATATGCAACCTCAACCTATTTATGTTCAACAAACTTTCAAGTTTAATAAAGATGAATTGTGAAGAGCAGAGACACAAGGTCTAGGGTAGTAACCATGAGGACAGATATTCTGGCCACCTTGTTCACTGGTGTCTATGCAGCATTCAGCATTGTGCCTGTTGTGACTAAATACTCAGTAAATATTTGATAGATGAACAAATGAATGAACAGACAGAATGAATGCACCTACTGGAAAGTTATAAGTTGTTAATATCAAACAGCAGTGGGGCTGGAAGCATGGATTCCCAATTGGCATGAGCTTGTGTGAACCAGCAGTGCTGGGCCAAGGAGACAGTCCATGTAGGGAGATTGGCTACATATGGAGGGACTTAGCAAATAAATATATTAAGGATAATGGGAGCCAGGATTCTCACTGCTAGAAAAATAAAAAGCTATAAACATGGAAAGGAGGTTGGTTTAAAAAAGTATGTAGTATTAGGCTGGAACTGTGGGTATCAGTGTGAACTCATGTTTTTCAAGATAGATAGGTAGATAGATAGATAGATAGATAGATAGATAGATAGATAGATAGATAGATAGATAGATAATGTGTGTGTGTACCAGTTCTGTCTCCTGAGAAGGTCTAAAATCAATGACATCACAGTAACAATGAGTACATCTAGAGCCCATATCTTGGTTACTAAATGCCATCCTCCACTAAAAGGAATTAAAGCTCCTTGAAGAACTGATTCCAGAGAAAGAATAAAATGAGCCTGAAACATCTTTCTGTGGCAGAATATAATAAAGTACTCAAAGAATGACAGAGCTGTGTCAAAAGGACACAGAAGCCAGCTTGAAGGGATTCCTAATACCCAAGTTTGGAACAATTTGAGCATCAAAATGCATAATGCTAGTAATTGATTATAACCCATTGAATACAACAGGAATTCATTGCTACATAATGACATAAATAACAAGGGTGACATTTAAGTCAGCATCTGAGTGAGAAGAAGAAGCTGATCATATGGAAATCAGAGGTGTGAGCATTCCAGGCAGTGGGAACCTAGAGTAAGGGTCCCTTAGTTAAGATGACCTTGGCATATTAGAGGAACAAAGAAAAGGCCAGAGTGGCTGAAGTATGCATAGCAGGCACAGGAAGAATCATATGAGATAGATGGAGATGTTGACAAGGTCTAGACCAGGTAGGGCATAACCAGTGCAAGAAGGTCAGATTTTATTCCCAGCATCAAGGGAAGCCTTCGGAATGGTTTAAGCATGGTTTGATTTACATTTTTTTTTTTTTTTTGAGATGGAGTCTTGCTGTGTCGCCCAGGCTGGAGTGCAGTGGCACGATCTTGGCTCACTGCAAGCTCTGCCTCCCGGGTTCACGCCATTCTCCTGCCTCAGCCTCCCGAGTAGCTGGGACCACAGGCGCCCGCCACCATGCCTGGCTAATTTTTTGTAGTTTTAGTAGAGACGGGGTTTCACCGTGTTAGCCAGATGGTCTCGATCTCCTGACCTTGTGATCCACCCACCTCGGCCTCCCAAAGTGCTGGGATTATAGGCGTGAGCCACTGCGCCCGGCCTGATTTACATTTTTTAAACATCTCTCCAGTTGCTGTGTAGAGAAAGGACTATAAGTGTATAAGTGTAGAAGCAAAGAAATTAATTGAGAAGTTATTGCGGTTGTTCAGATTAGAAAAGATGACAGTATGTAGTAGAGTGATGCATTGGAGGTAAAAGAAGTGGGCAGTTTAGGGATGAGTTCTGAAAGAAGCGTTGACAAGTCTTGCTAATACATTTGACATAGAAAGGTAAAGAAAAGAGAACATCAAGATAGTTCCTAGATTTTTGGCTTCAGTAGCTAAGTGGATGACAGGGCTATTTACTGAGATAGGATGATTGTGAAAGAACCAGATTTGGGAGGGAAAGAAAGTATCAACCGTTCTGTTTTGACCATGGTAATTTGAGCTTCCTAGCAAACATCCACGTGAAGATGATGCCTGTGACAATTGGATATAGAAAATCTGAAAGTCAAAGCAAAGAGCTAGAGACATGGATTTGGGAGTCATTGGTGTGCAGATTATATTGAAGACCTTACGGTTGGATGAGATCACCCACAGGAAAAAATATTGCTTGGGATTAGAAGAGGGCTCAGGAACGTGCTCCAAAAGCCTCCAGCATTTACAGCTCTAGCAGGGAGGAGGAGCCAGTGAAGGAGACAGAAGGAATAGCTAGTGAGGTGGGAGAAAAACCAGGAGTATGTGGCATCATGAAAGTCAAGATATTTTTTTAAAGGCATATCAAAAATGAGGCAATATTATATAAAGTAAAACCACTGGACTTGAGAGCATGGAGGTAATGGTGCCTTGACATGAGCAGCTTCAGGAGGGGGAGTGGGGACAGAAACTCAACCGGAATGACTGAAGCAGAGAACTGAAGTGAGGGAGTGAAGATAGTGCTTACAGACAGCTCTTAAAGAAGGTTTGCTCTGAAGGGGCACAGAGAAATGGAGCAGAAGCTAGAAGGATAAAATGGGATCATGTAAGGTTTGTTTTATATTATGTTCTTTAAACAGGAGCTTTCAGGGCACATTTTTGGCTCTAGTTGTGTATCCCTTCGACCAGGGTTCCTCAACCCCCATAGGGGACCGCACAGCGTGAGGTGAGCGGTGGGCGAGTGACCAAAGCTTCTCTGTGTTTACAGCCGCTCTCCATCATGCACATTACCTCCTGAGCTCCACCACCTGTCAGATCAGCACGGGCATTGGATTCTCATAGGAGCATGAACCCTGTTGTGAACTGCATATGTGAGGGATCTAGGTTGCATCCTCCTTATGAAACTCTAATGCCTGATGATCTGTCACTGTCTCCCATCACTCCCAGATGGGACCATCTATTTGCAGGAAAACAAGCTCAGGGCTCCCACTGATTCTACATTATAGTGAGTTGTATAGTTATTTCATTATATATTACAGTGTAATAATAATAGAAATAAAGTGCACAATAAAGGTACTGCACTTGAATAATCCCGAAACCATCCCTCACTCTCCACCCAAAGTCCGTGGAAAAATTGTCTTCCATAAAACTGGTCTCTGGTGCCAAAAGGCTGGGGTTCACTGCCCTAGACAGAGTAGGGATGTTGGAGATACAGTGAGTGACACAGGAGGGGAGATACTGATAAGAGTTCAGGAGCCGAAAAGTGGTACAGAGTAAGAATAACTCCTTGAGAGGATGAAGGGGCACTTTGTTTATGACACAAGAAGGAAAGGAAAAGGGTATGGGTAGATTAACTGCTGAAAAAAAGTAAAAGAATTACTACCTAGTTGCTTCTATTTTTCCAATGAAGAATGAAGCAGGGTCCCAAGATAGGAACACGGAGGAAGGGAAGAGGAGAAGGGATAAAAAGAGTAATTTTGAAGCATGGAAAAGTGAAGTAAATAAGATTTGCTGCTACGTTGAATGTCCATTTGAGATTTGAGGGCAAGGATTTAAAGTGAGAACAGTCAGCACAGTTGTGGGTTTTTCTCCAACCAAGTGCAGGCACATAGTAGGTAGTTGTGGGTTTTAACCAGGATTGGGGCTCTCCCAGCCAAGTTCGGTGAGGGGAGGGTATGAAAGAATTAGGGTGCTAATGTTCCTAGTGACAGGGCATGGTCATTAAGCTGGATACAGAAGGAAATGAGGGCACTAAGGGAGGTATTAAAGTGCTGGTCAATGATTTGTTGGTGGTCAATTCGTCAACAAGGCAGAAGAATTACTAGTGAGTACTAGAGTTGGTTAGCTAAAGGACAGAGGGAGGGGACTAAGAATATGGTCTTAGGAGTGGATAATTATAGAAAATGATCATTGGAGGGGACATGGTGGAAGAACTGAGAGGCCAGTTACATTTAAGATTAAAAATTCATTTTGGATACACTGGATAAAGACAATGTGGCACATATACACCATGGAATACTATGCAGCCATAAAAACGGATGAGTTCATGTCTTTGCAGGGACATGGATGAGGCTGGGAACCATCATCCTCAGCAAACTAACACAGGAACAGAAAACCAAAACCAAACACTGCATGTTCTCACTTACAAGTAGGAATTGAACAATGAGAACATGTGGAGACAGGGAGGGGAACATCATACACCAGAGCCTGTCGGGGAGTGGGGGGCTGGGGGAGGGAGGGCATTAGGACAAATACCTAATGTATTAGGGGGTTAAAGCCTAGATGATGGGTTGATAGGTGCAACAAACCACCATGGCACATGTGTACCTATGTAACAAATCTGCATGTTCAGCACATGTATCCCAGAACTTAAAGTAAAACTTTTAAAATAAAAAAATTAAATTTAATTTTAAAAATTCATTTTGAAATTTGACAATATCTCAGCTTGCTAAATGGACTCTGCTTCCATGTTTCCCCTCACCTTCCAAAGTCTAAGATGATTAATTGGAAAAGAGTAAGACCTAAGGTAAATAAACAGAAAAACAATTAGACTACCCACTTAGTAAGTGGGTAGTCCTGAATTTCAAAAATCCGTTAATTCTGTTTTACCCAAGGAGCCAATTGTTCCTCACAGAACCCTTTTCTCAAGTAACACACTTTGGAAAATGCCCATCTAATGCTTTTGGGTAGAAGAGCACAAAGGTCTTTTTAAAAGCTACTTTTTTACTACATCTCTGGGGTAGACCAGTTGGTTAAAATGTGCATTTTTCTCCCTAAGTTTAATAAATGGATAAAATGAGTTACCTAATTTGTGTTCGTCTCACTAAAACTGATAATAAAATCCAATTTCTACATCTTAAGCCAAAGAATCACTTAATAACCAAAATGGGATTTCGTTGATTGCTAACTTCACATCTTTTCTGCTACTGTCAGTGCCAACTTCATGTATCTGACACAGGGTCCCACACTCAGAAGGGGGCCACCCCTTGGAGCATCGGCGCTCTGTGATCATGTTGAAAATTCTTAATAATTTTACCTTTGAATGTGTTTCTCCTAAGTGAAGTCCAGTGGAACAATGAAGTGTGCACTAGGGCTTGGGGCCTCTGCTCCTGTGCAGTCCCCCACTCACCACCTCCCTGCCTCCCTGGGATGGGTTCTCTGCCAACCCTCTCCTGCCCCTAGCCCAGTGATCTCTGTCACCTCACCCCTGGCAAAAGGCTGGACACAAACACAGCAAAGGGTGGAGTTGGGCGCACACTCACACACCAAATTTCGAGGAGGGACTCCAGGCACTTGTGAGTCTATACTTGCCCAGAGAATATACGTGCCTGAGAGAAGATGGGTCAATAAATAGCCAACAAAGAACCCTGTGATAGATTGGGTATGAGAGAGAGATAGAAGAAAAAGAAATGTTTTTTCCCCCTGATTTTTGGACAAGAGGCCCTGAAGTTTCATTTTGTCCTGTGCTCGACAAATTATATAGCCAGCCCTGGCCATTTCGCATGTACAATCATGCTAATAAAGAAGGACGAGGAGGAAGAGGAAAAGAGACAGAAAGAGGAGAAGGAAAAAGAAGAGGAGGATGAAGGGTACAAAAAAAAAGAGGATGAAGAGGCAAAGACAATGCTTGCATTAGGAAGCTAATACTTTCACAACACTTACTAAGTGTCAAGCAGTGTGTCCAAGTTCTTTACATGCTCTAGCGTGTTTAATCCTCTCTACAATCCGTTGAGACAAGTTCTATCATTGCCCCATTGTACAGATGAGGAGAGAGCAAGGCCCAGAGAGGTCAGGTAATTTGCCCAGGGTTTCCCAGGTAGTCAGTGGCAGAGCCATGCTCCACACCTAGGCCATCTTGCTCCCGAGTCCGTGTTCTCCTCTGCTCTCCCATTCTGCCTCTCTGCATTACGTATCAATTACATATACTTGCACCTGCACCTTGGTTTTTACA
Organism: Homo sapiens; assembly: GCF_000001405.40. Taxonomy (NCBI): domain Eukaryota; kingdom Metazoa; phylum Chordata; class Mammalia; order Primates; family Hominidae; genus Homo; species Homo sapiens. Next base: position 28,320,871 of record NC_000007.14, on the reverse strand, counting down.
TAAAACTTTCAGAATATGTATCCACTTTGCTTACATTTGTCTTTTCACTCATAAAATTTTCTTAACTTAAGAATTGTCTTCTGCTTTGGTAATCCACAGCTAATGGAAGTGCTGAATAATGTTGACTCTGTAGAGTGAAGTGGACATTCTTCTAATATTTAAAATGCTGTCTTTGCTTAAACAGACAAGTGTCGGCAAGCCTAATTTATTCACCCACCAATAATTATCTTAGCTGAGGATATGGGCCCGTACTTGGCTTGGAACCTTAACATAGAACAATCTCCACCATATTTCCTGTATTCCAGAACTAGATCTTTATGTAACACAGGCCAGTAGGATGCAGGCAGGATCAGGAGCTGCAATTCAGCAAAGGGGAAGGGAAGCCTGGTAAAGCGGAGCTTGAAGCTAGGCTCCTACGTGGTCCATGTTCTTATAGGTGTTTCTTTCCAAACTGCTGGCTTTTATCCCTGCAGCCACCAGCTTTCCTGGGTGGGATCCTCTGGCATTGAACGGCCCCTAGATTCCCTGTAATGGAATTATCTTCTCTTTGAGAAGGGCATTATTTTTTCACCAGTCATTTACACACTTTATAATTTGTGCCGACTACATGGGATTGGTGTTACATCAAGATTACATAAAAGCGGCCAGGCGTGGTGGCTCATGCCTGTAATTCCAGCATATCCGAGGCCGAGGCAAGCAGACCACTTGAGGTCAGGTGTTCGAGACCAGCCTGGACAACATGGCGAAACCCCGTCTCTACTAAAAATACAAAAATTAGCCAGGCATGGTGGCACGCAGCTGTAGTCTTAGCTACTTGGGAGGCTGAGGTATGAGAACCACTTGACCCCAGGAGGCAGAGGTTGCAGTGAGCCAAGATCACACCACTTCACTCCAGCCTGAGTGACAGAGCGAGAACTTGTCTCAAAAAATTTTTTTAAAAATTAAGAAAATTACATAAAAGAAAAAAAAACACTATTTGTAGCAAAAAGATTTATAAAGGGGAATGTTTTCCATGAGAATAAATATGAAAAAGCCTAGCCACCTTCCCAGCCTCCTGCCACCTAGAGTTTTCATCAATTAAACAAACACATTACCCCAAGCACATGGGATAACACTTGAAGCAGACCACGGAAATAATAAAGACACAGACTTCGGGGATGCTCACTCTACCCTTCTGGTGCTGCCTTTGGACTTGATGGGGAAATGGTGGGGCACTCTTGAGAAGAGTGGGCTGGGCTGTGAGCATGGGTAGAGCGGAGGAGTCACCTGCATCCACCTTCATCACCTCCAGATGAACACCGAAAGGCACTGTGTGGATGGAGGGCTAGAAATAGCATTTTCACAAATACTCCGAAGTCCAGCCTCCTCTTTATCTTTTGTTCAGAGAATAACAAAGAAAATACTTCCACTAGGAATCTTGGGAATCAAAGGACGACACACCTTTGCTCTCTTTTACCATAAAGCTACCCTGCAACTTGCCAACATTGAGGGGTAAAAATACTCCAACTTATGGGCAAAGGTATTCTATGTAAATGAGTGGCACAAGTGAAAGATAAATAAGATACACAGGAATTACTCTATAAGAGAAACAAGCCCTTTTTGCCCTTACTAGTGAGTTTTTCAGTTGCCCTTTGACCCACCGATCTTCTATACAGGCCATGTAATATGGCACACCTATTAGGAGATGCCATTTTCTTCCTTTCCCTCCACTGGAGTTTTTCCTTATGGCTCCCTCTCCTTCTCAAGCTGGGGAACAGGTCTCAAGGTACATTCTAGGCCCTGACCTTAAAGAAACCAGAAAAGAGTATTGGAATGACCCCATATGTCACTCCACCCACTGACTTAGTACATTTAACATACAGATAAGCGGGCTTCCTTTAGTCGAATTGCTTGAAGTGCCACAGATAGAATGTCAGTCCAGAATCAAAATCTATTGAGTAGATGATATTTGGGAGGACTTTTCTGGTACTTTTTGTTTTTCTTCCCCACATAATTATTTCCAGGTGTTATATTATCAATCTACAGAAGCCTAAGCAATTTGATTTTGATGAGCCTTGAAATTCTTCCTCTTCAATGTAGCAGCATAGGATGCTGTATTTACGATGATATTCTGTGCCTCTTCTAAGAGTCTAGTATTTCATTCTGTAGAACTAGATGCAGGACATTTTAGGCACGATCCCTGAACCAGGAACTGGTTCTGTCTCTCAGTCTCTTTCAGCCTGAACATGCCTCCTGGGTCAAGCCATGTGGTCCAACTCCTGTCTCAGGCAACCCTGAGAGTGAGGCATTGTAGCAGAGAAGGGAGGCTCTATAGAGAATCAGTGATGTTGGAAATATGTGTATTGTTAGTCATACTTTTTCTAAAATGAATAATACATTTTCAATTTAACCCACCAATGCCTCAAGGCATGCAGTAAACATATTTTGAAACTTAGAAAATAATTTTGTATACTTTTACAAGTAGCACCTATTCATTTTTGCAGCACACTTTTGTCTTGCATGGATATTCCTAGAACATCTGCATCTTATTTGCTGAGGCATCATTATTGCCGCCTGTTCTTGGAACCAATACATTGCAGATTGGCTACGTCAATAATACAACATTCATGTATCAAATTGAACAGCCCTCTGTGGTAATCTGAACTGAGGGAATGAGCTTAATATCATAGGATTTGTAGAAGAAACATAGGCTGTGGTAGATTGGAATGTCAGAATCATTCCAAACTTAAAATTCTAGGAATAAATACTAGGAATGTCTGGCAGGTTTTAAAATCAGATAACTTCATATATTTGGAAAACAATTGGCTAGAAATATAAGAATTTATTGGAAATTTGGGAATATTGTTTTGGTATTACTGGCAAATTTCAGAAGTGTATTTGGAAATTTCTTTAAAGGACTTAAAGAGCTTTAAATAGATTCAAGAGCCATCTTTCTCTGCTGATAGTTGACCAATGTTTCAAATACTGAATGGCCATCTACTCTATGGTACAATTACACTGCAGTCATTCCATACAGAACTCAACAAATAGAGACAGTGTCCTTCTCCTAAGGTGCTTAGAGCTGAAATGAAGAGATTAGCCTGACATGTACGGAACAATAATATAAAACACACTGTACATTATTATTGAAAAATATTTACTGATGTTTACCAATGTGCAGTGCACTGTGCTAATTACATAGATTACCTAATTTAATTCTCTCAACACAATGAAGGAAGAAGATAAATAGGAATCAAACAAGTAAATGAATATGCCCCAAATTACATAATTGTAGATTGTGAAGCTGAGCTTTAAGCCACGTCTGTCTGAATAAATGCAAATCCATTGCTTTTAGCTCCTGTGTTCTTTTGCCTCTTGATGCCTATACCACAGCGTCAACTATTGCTGCCTTAGAAATTCAGAGATGAGGAAGTCAAGGCTATTAGGAAGATGCCTCTTCCCCTGCCCACTCAAAGTGTGTTTTGAACTTTGAAGTTTATGGGATACCCCAGGTGGAATGAAGGAAAAACTGCCTGTTTGCTCTTTGTCACGTGGTAAACAACAGCCAGAAATCCACCTCTGATTCAAAGGTTTTCACTGCTGGTGCCCACCCTGGTTTCACACTGATGAAGAGTTCTCTGCATTACACTTTCCTGGGGTAATCTGAACCCTCCTTTTCTGTGTGAGATGTCAGTTTACACCATGCAACAGGGAGAAACTGAAACTGAACCAGAAATATGGGCAGCAGAATGCAAAAAATCATCAGATAAATACTGCCAGGGAGGAGATGGGATGGGTCTCCTTTTGTATTTCTGCCAAGTACCTATGTGGGCGTCAGTTCTATAAGTATCAAGTATGCCAGCCAGAGAAGACAACCATTAAATCAAGACTTACCTTCAGAATGAAAATCTTACATTTTATGGTAGGCGAAGTCATATTTATTGTTGACCCAACAGTGTATCTGCTCTTTCAACAATCTTCAAGACAAGTATTATCATCCCCCTTTTAAAGGTTAGGATATGGAGGCTTGGAGAAGCCACAGGAACCCAGCTGCCATGTACCATATACATTCTGCACTGTGAATCAGTGAGGAGATTTTGAAAGTATTCTGAAATGTAACCACAGTTAGAGCTGTTGACTCAATCATGCTGTACTAAGCAGTAGAATTTTCAGCTAGAAAATAGGATGTAACTCTGCCAGTTATACACTAAGAAAAATGAAATGCCCTAGTTGAGTAAATCTCTGAAACCACACACTGGGGACTTCCTGGGCCTTGTTGCTCAGGCTTTTGGCAGGAGCGATACGAGATGCCCAATGGATGGCAGACACTGCCAGGATCTGGCGGTGCATTTCTGCAGCATTCACTGACTCCTAACAAAGACAATATTTAGTTCCCAAGCTCCCTATCCTGATTGATTTGTCTCTTTCTTTTTTTCCTCTCTCCTTTTTGCTCCCAATTTAAATTATAAACTATTTATTACTGACACATCCTTTTTTTCTGGCCCAGCAGTGTCCCCGGGCCAGCTTTTTGGCTCAGGTTTTCCCAGGCATTGTCAGGCATTTCCCTGGCTCCAATGACTCCAATGTTTGTCTGCAAGTGCTCCAGGCAGATGTCTGAAAATCACCCACTGACAGATTTACGTTCATCAACCTCTGCAACACCCTCCACCCCCAGCCCAAACCATATCATACTTGTGGGTGAAAGCACTTGAAGGCCAAGTTCACCAAGTCCTCTCAAGCACATGCAAAACTAAGCCACAGAATCGCAATGGCATCCCACCCGCCTCCTCGGCAATGCACATTTCCCCGGCCTGTTTTCTACTCAAGATCTGGAACAACTTGGGTCTCCAGGTTTTTGAAACAAGATTAAAAGGTCTCTTTTACAGCACTTGCCGAAAAACTCCCCGGAGGAAATGTGGTTGGCAGGTAAAAAAAACCAGGACCTGTCTCCTTGAAAATCACAGCTGTGTTATCTTTTTCCTCCACTGATCACTTCCAGATTATCACCAGGGCAGCCAGCCAGTGAGCCAGTCCTCCGTGTCCCAGAGCCCGACTCTGGCAATAGCTCATTTCCCCACAGAAGGGAACACATTGGAAGATATATAGCTGGGTGATGTGCAGAGCCCAGGGAGGAAGAACTTGTTAATGAGTGTGACTTTGCCACCGAGGCAAGTCCACACAGGAAGGTGAATTAAGAGCTGGTGCAGCAGGACGTTTTCCAACGCGTCGGGACGAGGTCAAACACAAAAGAACCCTTTCTGGGAGGAAAGAAGATTGAAACTGTAGGGAAAAACAAAATGAAAACACACCCCATGTGAACCTCACAATGATGAAATCTGTTGTTGGAGAACAGAGTCCTTCATTCAGTGTCTCCTGTCTGCTTTTGCAGAACAAGTTTTCTGCAGCACCCGGCTGGAAGCGTCTTCTTGTCCAGAGTTCTCTGGCACCTGCCCATTGCTCAGGTCCAACCAAGAGAAGCGGCTAACAGAAGGCAACCTCAGCTTCGGACAACTGCTGCAAACAGAGTCATCATAGTGACTTTTTCCGAAAAAATAAAATTGTCAAATCAGGACCCTGGCTGGTCAGAAGTCTGTTTTTAACAAAATTCATTAAACTGGCAACATAGTAGGAATGCCAGCTTATGTGGGAAGGATTTGTGCTGTAGTCCCTGTTGGTGGTGACAATACAAATGAATTGTGCCCACAGGAAGTCGTTGCCTTGGCAAGAATCATCAGGAAATTGACATATACATTGAGCCATTTATTCACCCAGCGTCTGTTCCATACCTTGTATAGGCTGGGACCACACTAAACACCAAGGATAAGATAAGATACCCTTATCTCCTACTGACTTCAAGGGCTTGGATTAGCAGCTCCCAAACAGTGCTTTGAGGCATACCAGTCTTGAGGCAGGAAAATATGTTCCTGTCACTGGAATATGGTTAGAAAAATGCTACATTAAACAAAGTTGAACAGTTTTCTCTACTGTTAGGCTTTCTACAGCCTTCAACACGCTGATGTGCCCATTGGCAGCAGTTGCCAAATTTACTGACCGTACAGCACTTTTCTACAACATACTTCTGAAGGTCAAATTGCACACCGGTGATCCAGTTGGGGAAGAACTGTCTCAGTAAAGCGTCTCAGTAAAGAGACACTGGGGACCTGGAGCAAGATTCCCCTTCAGGAAGTGCCCTTCTGGTTTTCTTTCCCTTGGGGTAGTGTGTCGCTGCTCACTAAGCCTTACCCCAAAGTATATGAACTATGATACTGGCATGTCTTGGTCATCAGACACTGTGCTGTGTGTGTTGTCTGTATCTTCACATTATATATCACAATAATCTGTGTGGCAGATGTTACTCTCCTGGTTTTGACCAGACAATGAAAATGAAGCTCAGAGATACTGAAGAACACAAAGCCATCGTGCTTTCAAGCTCCATAGGACTAAGATTCATGCCCTATAATCAGCAGCAAGAAATCAACCATTTTAACTTGGAGCAAGTGATGAAGATGGATGATAAAGACAGCACCATCTCCAAGGAAAAAGTAATGAATGTTCTAATACTTGAATTTCCAGCCTTTGAATGTAGGAGGGCACTGTCATCTCATCTTGAAGTGTTTTCCTAAAACATGTCTGGTTTAACAGGACTGTTGTGCTTTTAATCATTAATTAAGCTTTTTCACCAAACCTGCACAAAACAATCTCCATGATCTTTCTTCACATAGCTACAAGAAACATCAGGATCGCTGCACTTCAAAGGCAGTGAATACCTGCTTTTTCCTTGGAAACATAGATATGTTTCCTTAAAAATGAGACCCTGGCCAAAGCTCCACTAGAAAAATCAGCCCTTAATAATTCTCTTATTCTTTTCTGAAACATTCTGCAAACTTTTATGGGGGTTGCTTTGGCATGGCCAATATTTTTTCAGTGGTGTCAATGTTTTATGCTTACCTATTTCTATTAAAATTATATATTTTTGCAGCTCCCAATAAAACTCATTGTATGGTATGCTAGAATAAATCTCAAAATCTCCCTGAAGTGCTAGAAACTTTCAGATATATGTCTATTAAATTTTTATTTCTTCAGCAAGTGGCGTGTGTGCCAAAATATGCATTTCGTTGCTGAAATGGTCACAAGTCCACAAAGCTGTGTTAAAACCGTGAAGGGGTATTGAGTTGTCCATCACTAGAAATCTACATCCATTGAGTGAGGAGTGGTTTTTCAGTGGTTATTCCCACCTTCCACAGAAATCCCTGAACTGGTTGTTCACCTGTACATCTCCCATCCCCGAAACACACTGGGCACTCAAAATACATTTGCTCAATTGAAGTTGTTTTCCCAGGAATAGATCAGATTCTTTCCTCCTTAGAATGGCTTGAGGTTTTTGCCATAGTATCAGACTGCCAATACAGTCAGGTTGTCTTTTATCCTTAGGACAGTGAATCACAGACCAAAAGTAATAAAAATACTTTCTGTTAAAACTATGATGAATAAAATTTAACTCTACTGTCAAAAGGGCAAGACAAACAGCCTATAGGTAAAAGGGATAGGAAAACAGGTTTCAGGTTCATATGAGAAGGAACTTTCCATCAGATTAAGTGTGTTCGTGCTTCAGGCTCTCGGAAGATGGCATGAGCAGGCTCATGAAGCAGGAAGTTCTCTGACACTAGAGGTATTCAAGCACCATCTAGATCAGTGGTTCTCAAACAGTGGTGCCCAGACGAGCAGTATCAATAACAGCTGCGTACATACTAGAAATGAAATTTCTCAAGACCCGTCCCAGACCTACTAATTCAGAAACTCTGGGATTGAGGTTCAGCACTCTCAGTTTTAGTAACTCCAATGTCTGCTGGAGCTTGAGAAACACCGACCTAAACTACCACTGGTCAAGAATACTGCAGGGAGCATTCAACCATCAGATAGGAGATTGAACTGGATGGCCATTCAATTCTGTAATTTCACAAGTCTCATAAGGTTCTTTGGTCTGCATTATTTTCTTTTTGGAATGAGAAACTGATGCTCTACCAACACTCAGGCTTGACCACTGGCAACACTATGAGTTATGGAAAGAGAACTGGAATACATTACTGCAATTGTTATAAACTCTGACATTAGAATGGCCCGAGGAGCTTTAAAATAAAACAAAATACCAATACCTGGGACTAATTTCTGGAGATGACACCTGGACCTACCTTTACCAGGCACTTTCACGTTAATTATCTCATTTAGTCTCCATAACAACCTTATGAGATGGGTATTATTACCATCCCCATGTTTACAGATGAAAAAGCCTCAAAATGGTTGAGTGACTTGTCCAAGTTCACAGAGCCAGTAAATGCCAGACTCAGCACCCACGTTCCTTCGCCTCCACCCGCTTCCCTCCCCCTTTGTACACCAGAGACTTTCTGCATGTCCATGGTCTCCCAAGCCACCTCTGGCTGCACCGGTCTTGTCACTGAGCCCCCTCAGCTCCTGCCAGCATTCCTTGCAGCTCCACCACTCTGTGCCTCCCCCTCTGTGAAATCCGAGTAGGTATCATGGGTATTTCATTCTCTCGCAAATATGCTTTCATTGGCTGCCCTCAAAACTCACCATCCATGAGCAGAAAAAGAGGCTGCCTTTGGGTTGTGATATGAGGGCCACCAGGAAGACCCTTGTAAGCCAACTAGGCACTGCTAGCTAAAATTCCACTTTTTTTTTTTTTATCAATTAGCTAAGTATTTCCTTTCACTAAAATGAAATGAAATTAAAATGACCCCAAAGGAAGAGCACATCAAGTTGATAACAGCTAATTACATCTTAGGGTGTGAATTCACTTAATTAGATCATTTCCAACTCAAAAAAACGGTCTTTACATGAGGTAGAAGAACAAAAGGGTGCAGAACACAGGAGGACTGGCTCTGCAGGACGTGGAAGAAAGGAAGGAGAAGTCAGGGTCCTAACAGCCCAAACCTCTGAGAAGTACAAAGGGCCTATGGGAGGAGCCACACCAGCGCAGGGAGACCGACACTGGGGAGGGAGGAGTGCAGACGGCAGAGACAGTGCCTGCCACGTGACGCTTTTGCTGCGGAGAAGGTTCTGGTCAGCAACTCCATGCACTGGTTAGTTTAGTCAGGGTCTTCAATGACAAGCCACGGAAGTCCAGAGAGGTGCCGTACCTTGCCCAGGAGTACACCGGCCAGGCATGGCAGAGCCAGGACCAGCGCCCAGGGCTCCTGACTCCCTGTTTTCTAAAGGAATGTGTCTTAACACAGTATTAAATCAGAGTCTGTGGCAAACTGGTCAAAATTAAAGAAAGAGACTAAGAACATCAGTGGCTACACTAATTTCCTGGGGTAGAATATAAAGTACATTGTGTAGGACCGAAAAACGTTTTAAATGTGTAAAAGGAGGACAGCTCCAAAGGTCTGTTTCTGATCAATGTTCCACGGGAAGAGGGAAGAGAGGACAGTGGGGGATATGTTTTCAAAGCACTGCCCAGGGTTTTAACTGCTCAGTTCCCATTGGTTTTAATGATGCAGAAACAGCTAAAGTTCAGCACAGTTCTTTGAAAATAGGTCCTAAGGGCTCAAGAGTCCATGAAAAAGGAACTGAGAGATAGAAAGAGTACCTGCCTCCCTTAGATGGGAAGCCAACCCAGAGGTGACTGGTCACAGTGCCGTTTATATTGCCTCCTTAAATGCAGTGTAGGCTCACTCTTACTGGTTTCACAAAACCGCTTTTGCATTAAAATATTTATTCTTTTTTTTTTTTTTTTGTATTTTTAGTAGAGACGGGGTTTCACCGTGCTAGCCAGGATAGTCTTGATCTCCTGACCCTCGTGATCCACCTGCCTCAGCCTCCCAAAGTGCTGGGATTACAGGCGTGAGCCACGGTGCCTGGCCTAAAATATTTATTCTTTAAAAGAGATTAAAGAGACATAATGACCAAATGTCCCGTGTGGACTCTAACTAGATCACAATTCAAACAAAGCAACTGTAAACAGATATTCTTGAGACAATTGGGAAAATTTGGTTATGATCTGCATATTGGATGATACAAAGCTCTGTTCATCGAGTGTAATAATGATTTTGTAATTCTTCTTTTTAATGTCTGCATAATTCAGAACACTGAAGCACGTAGAGGTAAAAATGACATGAAGTCAGTCTTTTAAAATAATTCAACCGAAAAGAGGGAGACAGGACTGAATAGATGAAGCAAATAAAGCAAGATCTTAACAATTAGGTAAACATACTTTCGTATATGTTTGAAATTGCGTAATTTAAAAATCCTTAGACAAATATATAGAGAAATGTATCACCCTGCACTTGCAATTACTCCAAAGAGCAAAATTGATGTGAAACGCTAAAAATTTCATAGTTGAAAAGAATGTTAGACTTTGTCCAGTCCACTCCACCCATCTCTGTCTTCCAGATGAGGGATTTCAGACCCCCAAAGCTCTTCCAACTATTTAATAGTCCAGCCAGGACTAGAATCTGGTTCTCCAGGCTTTCTGTCCAGAGCTCCTACACCAAACACCAACAGACAAGCATAAGAATGTTGCTTTCTAATCTTTGTGCTATAAACTCTCAGACAAGGTACTATTACTATTTTACAGAAGCAGGTCTGGTCAAAGGCCAAATGAACACTTCCTTTGCTCATTCTGAGTAAAAGTTTGCATGAAATAACTCTCCCTATTCTCTGCAGCCTCACCCCCCACTACTCCCTTCCACTCCTTTCTCCATCCGCAAGGACACCCCATCCTCTGGGCTCCTTGCATTCTTTGCTGCTTTTGACCTCATACTGCACTTTGGGCGTCTGTGTCCACCCTCCAATGTCTAGCTCCTCCTGCTGAAATGTTGCTTAGCTCCAAAGCCCAGGACAATGCAGCTACTCCATGAACCCTTTCATCCCTCCTCCAGTAGAAAGTGTTCCCGCCCTTCTCTGGACCCCCCACTTAGCCCTTGTTTTGAGCCTCACTAATGTCCTTATCTCCTTCCTTGTTAATGGTTAAGCACATGTATGACCTGCCCTTTCAATGATCTCATGTCAGGTGTGCTGAGATGCAGTGGCAGAAATCAGAGAAGGAGGAAGCCAGAAGCAGAGAGGCAACGTAGGGCCAGGAGCTATGATGTGGCTTGTCCTGGAAATAGCAAGGGAGGGATAGAGGTTTGGACCAAAATCCAAACATCATTTCTAAAGGATATGAAGAAAACCTGAACTTTTCCTAGCTGGGAGCATCAGTATCAAAAAGGAGCCAGCCTGAGGGGTTAGGGCTGGTAGGTGGGCTCTCCTGGCATTGGCAAAATCAACTCAGGCAGCTCAGCAATGAGGGCAGGGCAACACCAGCCTGGCTCTCAACACCAGCTGGGAAGCTGGTGAGGGTTAAGCAGGATGTCATCCAGGAGGCCTGGGTCCAGGGAAGCCTCTATCCCTGGAAAGGAAATACAGAGGAAAGTGGACACAAATCAGAAGCATGTGCCAGAAAGCCAGGCAAATCCACTGGCCATGGTTATGGCATCAAGAGAAAAGAGGGGCCTGAGACAAAGGCTCTGTGAGCGGGTGTTCTAGGTGCGTTAATTTCACCTGTATTTATTAAGCACATACTCTAAGCCAAATGCCAGGGATACAGGGGTGTATTAGTCAGGGCTCTCCAGAAGAACAGACCAATAGCTTGTGTGCATTGAGAGAAAGAGATTTATTATAAAAAATAAATAAATGTCTCACATGATAATGGAGGCTGGCAAGTCCAAAATCTGCAGGGTGGACTGGCAGACTAGAGACCCAGGAGAGCCGATGCTACAGTTCCAGCCATAAGGCAAAATGGGCAGTCTGGAGACCCAGGAGAGCTAATATTCCGGTTTGAGTCCAAAGACAGTCTGCTGTAGAATTCTCTTTTGCTGGGGGGATAGTTGGTCTTTTTGTTCTACTCAGCTGATTGGTTGAGGCCCACCTACATTATGGAAGTCTCAAAATCCACCCACTTAAATGTTAATCTCATCCAAAAACACCCTCACAGAAATATCCAGAATCATGTTTGATCAAATATTTGGGCATCCCATGGCCCAGCCAAATGGACATATAAAATTAACCATCAGGGACAAACAGAAAAGATCTCAACTCATTGCCGAAACCGGAAGTCTAAAAGGTCTTATACCTGGATGAAGACCTAGGTCATTATATGATTCCTGCAATGGGCAAGAAAGGATGAGACCAGGAGTTTGTAGGGGTGGCTGTGAAGGGGTTGTGCCGGGGGACTGGCATAAGACAGGCAGCTTTTTAAGCTATTGGAGGGAAGGGAGCAAGGGAGCAAGCCATTCACCACCAGCACACAATACCGGAACCAGGCAGCCTGGGTTTGAGTCCAGGTCTACCACTTGCTAACTTGAATAAGTTACTTCACCTTTTTGCATCTCAGTTTTCTCCTCTGCAAAATGAGGCTACTAGTAATACCTAAATCAAATATATCTAAATTCAACAAGTTAAGTAATTGTAAAGCACAAATAATATTTGTAAAGCCTGGTACATGTAAGTGCTGTGGAACTGTTTGCTAGTATTAGTCGAAAGCACTAGAGCGGCTTACATATTGTGCTCTAAGCACTCGGGAAATTTTGAACTGAAATTTTTCTTCAAATAATACAAAATGAAAAGGGACTAAGCCATATAAAGACTGTCTTATATTTCAGTCCCATTTTTTTAAAGGCAATTTTATTTAAGTTGCTTAATTAAAATTCTTCCAAGGTTTCCTGTTGCCTTAGGAAACGGACTCATGTTCTTATCAGGGCCCCTAAGGCTGCCTGATTTGCTCTGGATGTGTCTCTGCATTGACTCACTTCTTACCTCTCTCATCCAGGATGCCCAGGCACCAGGGATGCCAGGTTTCTCCATGTTCCCTGAATTATCTTCAGGGCCTCTGCAGTGCTGTCACCTATGCCTGGAGCAGCCCTCCTTGGGCGCTGCCCTGCTTATCTACCAGCTCCCATGCATCATTAGGGGCTCCGTTTAAGGAAAAGTCTCCCCAAGGTGTGCTTCTGTAGCCCCTGCTCTTCTTCACATCAATCATTCAAAGCCTTGGAATTAGATGTGCAATCATTATCTGTCTTCCTCCTCACCCAGCTCCCTAAGACTAGGGATCAAGTTTGTATCATTCACAGTTGAACCTCTGGGACCCAGCACAGTGCCAGGCACATTGTGCTCAGCAAATACATGTTTGCAAGAATTTAATAAATCTAGAGATGACAGGTTTCAGCTCTCAGCTAAGTCCAACTAATTTCCAGTGGCATTTTAGAAGCCAGGTTGAGAAGGATTCTGGAGCTTTGCCAGATGGCAACTGTCTAAGCCCATTTGTGCTGCTATAGTAAAACACCTTAGACTGGGTAATTTATAAAGAACAGAAATTTATTTCTTATAGTTCTGGAGGCTGGGAAGTCCAAGATCAAGGCATTAGCAAGTTCAGTACCTGGTGAGGGGCCCAGTCTCCCCTTTTGTGACAACACCTTGTTGCTGTGTCCTCTGGAAGGGATGAACACTGGGTCCTCACATGCTGGGAGGGATGGAAAGGCAAACTTGCCCCCTCAAACCCCTTTATTAGACACTAATCCATTCATGAGGCTAGAGCCTTCATGGTCTAATCAGATCCTGAAAGCCCCACTTCTTAGTAGTACCACCAGGGGTATTAAGATTCAGCTTGAATTTTGGAGGGAATGTATTCAAACCACAGAGCTGGCTGAGTGTGAAAGCATCCTATCACAAGCAACATCTGCCATGGCCAAGGGACATTAGAGGAGGGGCAAGGGCATCTGACATCCATCTCTTTATCGGCTGAGAGTGAACATTTCATGAAACACTGTTAGGTTTCATAGCAGCCAATAAAGTTTAAAGAAAAAGTATGAGGGTAACTCTTATCTGAACAGGTAAAAACTGCTGGAGCAATAACTGTACTGCAAAAGCAAGTAAACCAAAATGTTGTCATCTATTAGATTCCTACTCCAATCATCATTCTCACATTTCATATGTATTCATGAATACCTTTTTATATCTATAAAACTGTATCTGTGGCCGGGCGCGGTGGCTCACGCCTGTAATCCCAGCACTTTGGGAGGCCGAGGCGGGCGGATCACGAGGTCAGGAGATCGAGACCATCCCGGCTAACACGGTGAAACCCCGTCTCTACTAAAAAATACAAAAAATTAGCCGGGCATAGTGGCGGGCGCCTGTAGTCCCAGCTACTCGGGAGGCTGAGGCAGGAGAATGGCGTGAACCCGGGAGGCGGAGCTTGCAGTGAGCCGAGATCCCGCCACTGCACTCCAGCCTGGGCGACAGAGCGAGACTCCGTCTCAAAAAAAAAAAAAAAAAAAAAAACAAAAAAAACAAAACTGTATCTGTATGTACTGGCACCAGTTTTCTTCATCGCCCATTTAAAATCTTGTGCCATGATGAGCAAAAAATATTTTTGATTTGGGAGTCTACCCTGGCAGACATCAACCCAATTAGGAATGGGCTATAGTTTCAGAGGGAAGCTGGAGTGGTGGAATAAAAAAATGGCAGAGGTCAGAGTCAGATATTTCAGAGTTTTGTGATGGTTCACAAGCTATTATCCCTTCTAAGCCTCAGTGTCCTCCTTTGTAAAACGAAGGTGTAGAAAAGAGTAACACAGCAGGCACATAAAGAGCTCTCCGTAAACAATAAATATTACAACTAGTATTAGTTTCACACTCTGTGGGTTTCTGCCTACCCTAGGCATGAACAGCAAGTGTTACAATTATGGACGCTTTGGCTGGTTGCAGCTAGAGCACAGGAAAGAGTCTGGCTTTCTCAAACAGGTGGCACAAAGATACCATCCAGGAATAACTGTAGCATTGGTTGTAATAATGAAAAACTGAAAATAACCTACATTGCTATCAATAGCTTATCACTTTTGCAAAAAAAAAACTAATTAAAATCTGTACACGTGTCCATACACATATGTGTAAATGCACACACACACACACGCACACACTATTTTTGGTGTATAGACAAATATCTGGATGGGTTCATGCATAATGTTAGTTGTTACATCTGGGCAAACTTTATATACTTCTGTATTGTTTGAATTAGCTCACAAGGAGAATATGTTACTGGAATCAATCAAAAGTAAATAATTGAATGAATGAAATCATCAATTAAAATGAAATAATGAAGTTTAAAAAAAAAAAAAAAGAAAAGAAAAACAAGAAGACAGATGATATTCACCATGAAGGCTAATGCTGAGTGATCCAGGAAAGGATGAGAATGTGTGGCTACTGGGAGCTCTGAATAGCAGAGTCCCCATTAATTCAATGGACTCACTTCAGGAGGTCTTCTTAGTCTCACTCTTCACTGTGAGACCAAGAATGCCCAAAGGGAATGCAGTAGCTTTGGGGTAAGTGTCCATTTCTCCACAGCACTGGGGCAGCTCTACTGAGCTACAGAGCTAGAATTCCCAGGGGAAAGCTGGGTTCCCCTGACGTCCACACTGATGTCGAAGGAAACAGTGGGTTGGCCTCCAGGCATGTCCAGTAGTGGACTGTAGGTTTTCCTGGGATGTTCTCTGAGAGATTCAGAGAAGAAGAAAGAAAGAAGGAAAGAGCAAAAGGCTGGACAAGAGATACTGTAAAGACTGGAGATGAGAAAGCCAAGGTGTGGATTCAGAATTGTGTTTCAACATGAAATCAAAGGTATTGTAAAAAAAAGACAGTTCTGCCCCAGAAGAACAGGGGAGACTATGAATGTGAATTTTAAGAGAAGTGTATTTAAGAACTTCGCTGAAAGAGAGATGCTAAATATTCCTAAGTTATGTTTTAGGACAAGATTGGCAACTCATAGCTTTGTAACTTAGAACAAGAGGCTGGAGGAGCTAAACTTTTTTAAAATGTATTTTTTCCTAGTTATAAAATTTGACAAACATGTTGCAAATTTGGGAACTATGAAAGATTTCAGTGAAGAAATACTTCCCAGAGTACATATCCTGCCCGGAGATAATTACTGTGCACACTTCAGTGTATATTCTTCCAGCCTTTCATTTCTACAAATACATACTTATTTTTATAAAAATCAGAACCATACACTATTTTCTGTCCTACAGCCTGCTTTTTCCCACTTAATAGTCTATCATGGAAATGTTTCCATTCTATTTGATTTTTTACAATGTGAGTTTTAATAGCTATAGCATATTCCATGGTGTGTGTATACTGTACTATAATTTATCTACTAGTCCACAATTATTGGATATTTATGTGGCTTCTCTTTTTATGGACTTACAAAAACATTCATCTTTATGCATGCCTCTCATTGCTTTTGAGATTTCCTAGGTGAAAGAGATAGGAACAAGTTTGTGGTTCTCCATAACCATTGCCTAACTGTACTCCAGAAAAGAATCAACAAATACTCCCACCAGCAGGCTAAGAAAGTGCTTTTCCTTCCATCCTCCACCCTAATCAATGGGGTATTAGCATTTGAAAGAGGAGATGAAAAGGGAGAAAATGAAATATCTACTATAAATGGAAATTGCTTACTTGTGAAGAACATTTTTCCACATACCTGTCATTAGATGGATTTTTCACATATCCTCTTGTACTATAAGTCTATGATTGAGACAGAGCCAAATATATACATTCATTTTCTTTTCTTATAAATCTTCATTTATTTAAATAATAGTTTGGTGGATGGTTAAACCATGATATTCTTCTATGTTCTGGTCACACGCAAAAATTGCCAGGACTCTCATTTATTTTTCCCCTGAGACCAGGCTCACATCTTTAATAGAAGACTTGTAGATAAAGAAAACAGGATGAAGCCTTATGTTTATTCTTGCTATCATTAGGTACTAGAATAACACTGTTTAATTTATACATTTGAGCCACATTATAGCATTCCAAATGGAAATATTGGAATCATAAAAAAGCAACTGTTCTTTTGAGCTATTTATTATTCTCTTATTAGCAAGGTTGCCTGATTTTTATTCTAAAACTATATTTATTTTATTCCACTTTTACTGCCAATGTAAATTAAATGTGTGTTTTTCTTTGCATATATTTAAATTTTATTTTTGAACACTTGTGCAAAAAATACTATAAAATCCCATTAACATTAATCAGGTCCACATTTCTCAAATTCTTATCTGCAATAACATTAAGTTAAATATGTATGTACATGTGTATATTTTGGATTGTATCCATAAAGTTTTAGAAAGTAAGAAATTGGCCACAGGGAGGCAAAACTAGATATTTATATCAATCCTATTATTTTACTGCCTCATAGAAGGTCCAACACAATATAAAATTCCTGTTCATCTTCAGCAACCATGCAAATATTTGTGTGAAGCAACCTAATCAAAAAGCACATATGCATTTATTAGGTGTTCATGTATTTTTACATCGGCAAAGTTAGAAAACCAGAGGTAAGAGCCTCTCTACATTAAAATCCTCAAATGTTAACTAGATAAAGGCTGGCTAATTTCCCCCTCTTGATTTATTGTTATAGTATTTCTTAATGTTTTATTGCTTTTATCTTGTAAAATGAAATGTAATCATATGTTACTTTGTTTTTCTATTGGGTCTTAGTTAACTGTGCCAACATTTAAGTGAGGGCCCAAATTTTCAACTGGCCTCAAAAATTATGCCTATGAATTGGGGCAGTCCAGAACCAATCGCACTTACCCAAATAAATAAGGTTCATCGTAGTCTGCTTACTAAACATATATTGTACAAACATTTGGAATTAGATAAGCTATAACTAATTCTTTTTTTTTTTTTTTTGAGATGGAGTTTTGCTCTTGTTGCCCAGGCTGGAGTGCAATGGCACAATCTTGGCTCACCGCAACCTCTGCCTCCCAGGTTCAAGCGATTCTCCTGCCAGCACCTCCCAAGCTACAACTAATTCCAAGATTAGGACTAGCAATATAGACCTATGCTCTGAATTTTCTTAAAAATATTGGTGAGGGGTGATGGGAGAGCAACCCTATATTCCGCCATCATTCTGTGAACAGCATTGCTTTTCTTTCAAGTTTGATTTTTATAGTAATTTAATCACCATAATTGGTGGGCAAACAAGAGGTGATTTATGTAATTCTTGTGGGTCCAAAGCCAAACAGATGTGGTTTTCTGTTCTCCTAAAGTAATTTTCCACATTGGTCTTTAAAGGTGGTGTTTTAGTGGTTGTTTTCCATGCTGGAGAGAGGGCTGGCTCTCCATGGAAGGTGAAAGCGGGCGTGCACAAGCTCCTGAGCAGGACGTTCATGGCCTTGCCTGCCTCTTTTGGCCCCAGCACATCACACCCTAAATCCTCCTTTCTGGGACTTTGGAAGAGGCATGAAAACTTTTTGGCTTTCAGCTTCCCCACATACAAAATGAAGGGATTGGATTCAAAATCTAATATCTCCTCCAGCTCTAAATCCTATGAATTCATCATATTAAAATCCTGCAATTTAGATAATTATGTTCCATGTAGTTTGATTTCCAAACAGTAAACATGACAAAAACACATTAAAGTCCATTGTCAATTTCAGCTTTAACATGTGTGAATCATTTGAACTAAGGCAGATTTTTAACATGTAATATTCACTAGAGAATTGCATAAATGTTTGTTTGGAAATTAATTTGACATGGGTATGTCTTCTCAGTAGAAACCAAAAATCAGTCCAAAAAAACCCTCAAATTATTAATGAAATACTTAATGTGATGCAGCTATTTATTTGGTGCTTTAAAATTAGAGAATTAATATTTTAATGTGATATATAGGGATACTGAAATTTCACATTTTGTTATTTTTAGCTTAAATAATATACCACATTTATTATGAAAGAAATTAACTTTTCTGATGACACATAGGCCACTCAAATATTCTCTGAGTTTATCTATTTTAACGAATTTCAATTTCCAACCCAATTGCTTATTATTTTCTGAAGTAGCTTCCATTTAAAACACCCTCTCCAGATATCAAAGCTCTGACTTCACTCAGTCACTTTTCCTATTTGGCAAACCTCCAGAGAATTTGTCTCAAGGTGAAATTTTTTAAGAATAGACATCAAATCCAAAGAAATTCTTTTTAAACAATTGTTTCTGTCACATTAGTAACCCCGGGAACTCAGTCACATGAATATGCCTTGTGCATCCTCCTCCTCTGAGCTAAACAAAACAAACCTGTAAACAACAGAACAAACATTTGGAATCAGACAAGCTACAATTAATTCTAAGATTAGGACTGGCAATACAGACAACAGAAATTCATAGCCAGGCTGTGTCTTCCAGAGATGAGAATGCTTTCTCTTTTTCTAGAATATAGAGTCCCTTTAGACAATAAGGATCTTATTAAAATGCAGATCCTTATTCAGTATATCCGGGGTTGGACCTGAGTCATAATTTCTAACTCACTGCTCAAAGTTCCAGAGCTTACAACATCAGCACCTCAGAGTTTGTTAGAATTGCAGACTTTCAGACTTTCGGGCCAAGCCCAGGCCTACCTTGGCAGACTCTGCATGTATAATAACAAGATCCCCAGGTGATCTGTATGAACATTTGTGTTTGAGTAGCACTCGTCTACCTCAGTTTAGGAATTATTTCCCAATGGGTTTTGGTCAACACTAAAGTTTGCTCCCACACACACTAGTCTAGAGTGAGTGGATTCTTCCCCTCATGTACTTGAAACGCATGAAAATCCCTGCCAGACAGGTTGACCACAATCCAAGGACAGCTGAAATAACTGGTTCTCTGACGTCACACCAACCTGAACAGTTCCTAATCAAAAAGTAAGCTTGAGCAACTTTTCTGTTAGAGCGGTGGTTCTCAAATCTGTCTACATATTAGAGTCACCTTTAAAAAGAGCCTTTAAAAAGATCAAAATGTAGATCCTACTGTGAACCAATTAAATCACAGTCTCTAGAGCAGTGGTTCTTAAATTTCTAAATATCTGAATCACTGAAGGAGTTGTTAACACACAGATTGGTGGACCCCAAACCCAGTCTCTGAGTCAGGGGTCTGGACCAGGGCCTGAGAATCTGCATTTATGACAAGTTCCAAGGTTTTGTGTGTCTGTGGACCATACTTTGACAACCACTATTCAGGAGTTGGCCCTGAAGAGTAGTATTTTTAAAAAAATGCCCTTCGTGAGAGTTTAATGTGCAGCCAAGTTTGATAACCACTGTCCTACAGAAAGATGAGTCTATAAAAAAATCATATTAGTTCCCTAACTCCGTGTGAAATGTGTTTCATCACATTAAATCACACACACTAATGCTCAACCAGTTTCGGCACAGACTATCCATGGTTTCAAAACGTTTTGGCAACAGGAAATGTTCACTGGGATTTTTGTTTAAATGTGTATTTTTTTTACTGCTAGTATGAAAACTCCTCAAAAGCATGGGCTGTTTTGAATGCACCTTTGTCCCCACAGGTACTACGCACAGGGGCATGGCACATAGACATGTTCAATAACTGTAGAATTGAATCTGTTTATTGTCCACCCAACACCAGCCACCTGGAGATGGACATACGCTCTGTTGAGAAAAGGACAAAATTGCCTGAAATTTTCATTTTTCACCAAGCTGCCTTGACGGCATATAAATGTAATCAAAACTCCTGAATGTTGACACAAATATTAGACAAGCAAATTATCTTCTCACAGCCCATTCAGTCAGTGTGTAAATGTGATATTCTCAATGGGAGCCAAAACTTGAGAACTAGCACCATATGAGGAAGGTGAGAAGCCTAGTTCAAGCAATCCTTGCACGGGTAATGGAGGGTCACAGTTTGACAAGGTGAGCATCCCTCCCTGTATGAGTGAAATGAAACACCTAAGGTAGTAATAAATAAATAAATAAATAAATAAATAAATAAATAAATAAATAAATAAAGCTAAAAAGCAGTATAAATAACAAAACGGAAAACAGGATGAAAAGGGCAACACATTACACAAAAATGGATCCGGAGAAATTAGGACTGACTGAATAATTACATTTAATTATCAAAATCTTAGTGGTATAGATTGATTCTTACAATACGCAACATGTAGATTCAATTTCAAGACCATGTTGATGTCCATCAAACACATTATCCAATGTGTATATTAGTTTGCCCTGGCTCCTAAACTTTGGTAACACAACATTGCAGCATTGCAAAATATATCTATCTAACATAGGGTAAATGTTAAATAAATGTTTGTTGGGTCACATTGCACAATCAATGCTAGTGAATAACACTTCCTAAGGTTTTCAGGTAGCATGAGCAAAAAACATCCAGTATTTGTCTATTCTTTTGAGGACAATAACAAAAGAATATCAGTAGCCTTGCCTAGAGCTTTCTGCAATGAGGGAAATGTTCCATATCTGTATTGTACAATATGGTAGCTAGTAGCCACATGTTGAGCAACTGAAATGTGGCTAGTATGACTGAGGGTCTGAATTTTTAATTTATTCAATCTTAATTAATTTTAATTTAAATAGCTACACATGGCTGTTGCCTACCTTACTGGACCTCCAGAAACAGGGACGAATGCCAGAGCATAAATGCTTTAGGCAGTTTCTGTCATTCTCATAACCGTGTCCAAAATCTGCCTCTTGCTCCACTCCTTGGATTCATCAGATCAAAAATAAGACAAACTTAAAAAATACTCCAGTTAATTTCCTATAGAATAACAACACAGAGGCTTCCAATGTGAAATCCACACTCTTTGAAAGGCCACAGACTCCCTCACTTTTATAAACAGTCCCAAAGTAAAAGCAATCACAATGGCCGGCAGCTTTAGTATTTATAAATCCCAGTCCTTCGGACAGAGGGAGAGGCCCTTTTAAAGCCCAGACCTCTTTAGAGACTTCCAATTGTGCCACCCAGTGGCAATACGGTTGGTTGAATTTCTGACTCCAGCAAAATCCTCTCTGGCCAAGGAAGAATCCTGCACCGTCAGGATGATAAGCAGTAAGCAGTCAGGTAAGACAGTGACGATGATGGGATGGGGGACCTAACCTGTCCATTCACACTGTGACTTTGTCACATGTATTTCCATCTTCAGTCAATCCATGCTTTGTCTTATAGCCTTTCTCAGAAGGAATATAAAACACCAGTGATCATCATCTTGGTGGGTTATTAATTGTGTTTAAGATTCCAGAAGATTGTCTCTGAATTCCTTCAGCCGGATGCATTTACATTTACATTACAAGAAATGTATCTCCCACTCATCAAATTTTATATGAAGGTGCCGGATGAGTCTTTGCCTTTGATTAAGAATTTTTTTAAATAGAACATTTAGTGAGCCAGAAACATTTGGTAACATCATTTTCTGAGGATTTAAAAACACTTCAACATAAAATCAAACGCAGATGTATAATTTGAGAGTTCATGAATCATTAGTTATGTACATTTATAATTACGCTAAACCTAAATATTTGAAAAGCCACATTAGTTTCTGGCTATTGCAGCTAATTCTCGGGTAAAGAATTTGAATGGCATTCTAGTATTGCATTTTACCTAGACTACACTGTTACAGAATTGTGTGTAGGATTAGTTGATTTTTTTTCAATTTAGAATTTCCACTCATGGGAAAAATACTCAATATGAAATATAGCTAAGCTTCTTATAGATGTAGGTTCCAAGAAACAAATGTCTAAGGAACAGAAAGTTATATAGAAACTGAAAATAGAGGAACAACACACACTGGGGCCTGTAGGAAGGTGGGTGGGGAGGAGGGAGAGCATCAGGAAGAATTGCTAATAGATGCTGGGCTTAATACCTAGGTGATGGGATGATCTGTGTGGCAAACCACCATGGCACTCGTTTACCTATGTAACAAACCTGCACATCCTGCACATGTACCCCTGAAATTTAAATAAAATTCGGAAATAAAAAAAAAGGAACTGAAAATAACCAGTTCCATACAGCATTCACTGTGATTTTAAAGTAAGCAGATGGCGCACCTCCGGCTTCCACAACTCAAGAGGCCCCAAGACTGTACTAAGTTTGGCAGAGAATCTTGCTGGAGCTCAAGATCTAACAAAATGTAACTCCAGGGGACATTTTAAAGTGATAGGAGCTGCAAATCTTCCCTGGCACAAATGCAGAGAGAGCAAGCTTAAACCTAAGAAAATGACATGAACACAACATTGGCCCACTTAGCAAGCGTTGATACTTTTGTTGGCAGTCCTAGCAGAAAGACAAAGACTGAACAAACACAATTACCCAGATTGGCACTAGGTAAGTAGTGCAAAGACCTTTGTTACTTCTTGAATTTTTTTTTATTTTTTTATTTTATTTTATTTTTTTGAGACAGGGTCTGTTTCTGTCACCAAGACTGGACTGCAGTGATGTGGTATAGTCCCAGCCTCCAAATCCTGGGTTCAAGTGATCCTCCTGCCTCAGCCTCCAGAGTAGCTGGGACTAGAGGCCCACACCATCAGGTCTGGCTATTTCCTGAGGATCTTGAAGTCCTTCTCAGAAGGGCTCCGCTCCAGTTTCTCCATTGTCATCCCCAGAGCCTGTTCTCAGCACACAATGGGAACCTAGCACATTTGTTTTTTGACAGTAAATCAGTCCTTCATTGACTCTACCACTTACTGTCTGTGTGTCCTTGGGCAGGCCACTTTCTGGAGGCTTATCTCCAGAGAAGTCTATGAATCCAAAGAAGGTACAAACAGTCACCAGAAGTATTTTGGATCTTGGGACAACCCTTGGATAAGTAGAAGAGGGAGATTTTACCAGACATGAGGCTACGTGCCAATTCTGAGTTTAGGTGAAGAAGCATATACTATAAGAAACAAGATTTGAGGTGGAGGATTCAGCTAGGAAGTCTTCCCTGAGGCCCCCAGGCGCCCCCTACTGTGCACCTTGAACATGCTTCTTTCATAGCCCTTATCTTACAGCACAGCAATTGCTTGTTTACTCCTCTGTCTCCACCAAACAAAAGTCTTATCTCAGCCATATTTTTATTCCCCACATCTAATTTAGTCACTGGCCCATAGAAGGTGACCAACAAATGCTCGTGAAATATGTTAATATGATTCAAAACACTGTCATCTAATTTCTCAAATAGCAACATCATTTGAAAAGCTCACAGTCTCTCCTTAGGATGTATTTTTTATTCAAAATAGAAATAATTTATCAACAGGATAAAACATTCAGAATTTTGTGACTAAGTAGAAATATAGCTGGAATATTCTGGCAATGGTGTAGCTGAGTCAGAGAAAAATACTGTAGCTATTAAGGAGAGACTCAGGAGAAAAATAGAAGACATAGCACAAAAGGAAGGAAGGAGAGAAAAAAGGGAGAGAAGAAGGGAGGGTGAGAAAGAGAGAAGGGAAGAAGGAAGGAAAGAAGGAAGAGAAAACAAAAGAAAAACAAAACAATCTCATTTATGGGCTTCAATTTTTTAAAATCCTGAATATAGTATTAGTAAAAAGAACCCAACAGCATTTTAAAATAATTAAACCATAACCTGGTTGAGGTTATTTTGTGAAATGCCAAGAAAGACTCAATATTAGGTGATCTGTTGATTTAATTCATCATATAGTTGCAGCAAAAGAGAAAATTCATGATCCTTTTTATAGATGCTGAAAAGATATTTGTTAGAACTCAATATCCCCACTTTTTGTTGTTATAAAATATATATAATACAAAACTTACCACTTTAACCATTTTAGGTGTACAGTTCAGTGGCATTAAGCACACTGACAGTGTTGTGGAACCCACACAACAATCACAAAAATCATTCATCTTCCCAAACAGAAACTCCATACCCATTAACATTAACTTCCAATCCTCCCATTCCGCAGCCTGTCTCTACATCTCTATGAATTTGATTACTCCAGGTACTTCTGGAAAGTGAAATCATACAATATTTTCTTTTTGTGACTGGTTTATTTCACTTAGCATGTCTTCAAGGCTCATCCATGTTATAGTATGTGTCAGACTTCCCATTTTTTAAGACGAAATAATATTCCCTTGTGTGGATATACATTTTGTTTATTCATTCATTCGTTGATCAATACTTGGGTTGCCTTCACCTTTTGGCTATTGAAATAATGGTGCTATGAACATGGGTGCACAAATAGTTGTTCAAGTCTTTATAAGCCTTAAA
This sequence comes from Homo sapiens, assembly GCF_000001405.40. Lineage (NCBI taxonomy): Eukaryota > Metazoa > Chordata > Mammalia > Primates > Hominidae > Homo > Homo sapiens. The sequence continues at coordinate 28,295,839 of NC_000007.14, read as the reverse complement.
TATTTTGGGTATGTACCCAGAATTGGAATGGCTGGATCATAGGGTAATTCTACTTTTAATTTTTAGGGGAACTGCCATACACGAAGACATGAAACATGACACAATGTTCAAGTATACTTGAGAGATATAAGTTAAAATGACACTAACCATTCCATCTACATCAAATCATCCTCCATCCATGCATCCACCTCTTTATTTATCCAGTAAACATACGTTGCATGCCTACTGTGTGTTGTTTGTGACTTCTGTATGAGACTCTGGAGGGAAGAGTTCTGGACTAGAAGACAGTAGACCTGGATTCTATCTAGATCCAGCCCCTGATCTGCCTTCTCCCAACACTGCGAAAGCATTAAGATACAATTTTCCACTTTCAGATTAGCAAAAGTCAAAAAAGGCTGTCATACTTTTTTTTTTTTTTTTTTTGAGACAGAGTCTCGCTCTGTTGCCCAGGCTGGAGTGCAGTGGCACAATCTCGGCTCATTCCAACCTCCACCTCCCAGGTTCAAGCAATTCTTCCATCTCAGCCTCCCAAGTAGCCGCGACTACAGGTGCCTGCCACCACACCTGGCTAATTTTTGTATTTTTAGTACAGACGGGGTTTCATCTTGTTGGTCAGGTTGGTCTCGAACTCCTAACCTCAGGTGATCCACCCACCTCAGCCTCCCAAAATGCTGGGATTTTAGGCATGAGCCACTGCACCCAACCATGGCTGACATACCTTTAACATGCTATGTTATTACATGCTATGTTAGGGTGGATATGAAGAAATAGGCATTCTCATACCTTGTTGGTGGAAAAATAAATTAATACAGCCCCTGTGGAGGGCAACCTGTCAGTGTTTATCAAAATTGAAAATGTATGAATATATCCAGAATTGGAATTGCTGGATCATATGATAGTTCCATTTGTAATTTTTAGGGAAACTGCCACCCATGAAGACATGAAACATGACACAATGTTCAAGTATACTTTTTTTCTTGAAATGGAGTCTCACTCTGTTGCCTAGGCTGGAGTGCAGTGGCGTGATCTCGGCTCACTGCAACCTCCACCTCCCGGGTTCAAGCAATTCTCCTGCCTCAGCCTCCCAAGTAGCTGGGATTACAGTGCATGCCATCGCGCCCAACTAATTTTTGTATTTTTAGTAGAAATGGGGTTTCACTATTTTGGCCAGGCTGATCTCGAACTCCTGACCTCAAGTGACCTGCCTACCTTGGCTTCCCAACATGCTGGGATTACAGGCATGAACACGGCACCCGGCCTCAAGTATACTTTTGATAAGAGAGATGTAAATTAAAATGACACTAAATCATCTACATCAAGTCAGCCTCCATTCATCCATGCATTCATCTTTCCATTTATCCGCTAAATACATGTTGCATACCTTTTGACTCAGTGATCTCAATTCTAGTAATTTATTCCCCTGTCGCTATGCTAGTGTATAAGAAAGGTGACATTTATGCAAAGTTATCCATTGCACTTTGCTTGTAAAAATCAAGGCAGGAAACAAATCCAACCATAGAGAACAAGTTAAATAAATCATGGTACATCTATGCAATGGAATACTAGGGGATCATTAAAAAGAACAGGAACATTTCTCTTTGTGCTGCTATAAAAGAATCTCCAATAAATATTATTATTTGGAAAGCACATGTATATAGTATGTCACTATTCATATTAAAATAAAATAAAAAACAAATATTCTTTATGTTTTTGCTTGTTTATGCATTTCATATCTCTGGAAGGACATAAAAGAAAACTGGGGACCGTGGACACCTATGGGGACTGGAATGGCACCTGAGGGACTGGGATGGGATGGAGGATTTTTACTGTGTATCCTTTGTACTTTCCTAGTTTTTGTAACCTGTGACTATGTTACCTATCATTTTATTCATTGTTTTAAAAAGAGGTATCCATCCTGATACTGGCCTAAATTACCAAGAGAACTGGCATCCACATTCAATTGCTAAGACTACAGTTTTGGGTTAAATAAATTTTTCAAGTTGATTTTTTCCACACTGTTGTCAAGACAACCTTCCCTTTCTCCACAATATTGAGAGAATTAGGTGTCAACCTGGCATCTAGACAGAAATAGCTGCTTAATTCCAAACATGGATGGGTTAGGAAGGCCAGAAAGTTATTGTTCTTATAGATTCATGTAACACCTTGTAAATACTTTTTGCCCAGTGGGGGTTCAATAAATGTTGCTGACTCATCGGTCACAGGGAAGCAATATTAACTCAGAAGGACTAACTGAAGTCATTTAATCAGAAAATCAATTTCATTTTCCTTGTCATGGGGAAAATATTTCTGCTAAGTCAAGAAAAATGTAGAGTTAATTATTTTGTGTCAAGGAGTCAAATGGAAAGCCAGGAGTTAAAGTGTTGAGAACAAAACAGTTGCAAATCAATTTGCTTTGCATTACAGTTGGCAGTCTTGGGCACACTTAGCCACATATGGAAGACATGTTTACTATTTCAAGAATATAGTATCACTTTACAGTGCTTAGTATTCAAAGTCCCACATTGTATTGCTTTTTTGTAATTTTTGAGCAATTTCTGTGCCAACATTTGGCACAAGGGGTACTAGAACCCTACAATAATTGCAAACTTGCTTCCCTCCCTCTAAGCTTTACTTCTTGTGGCCCTAAGACCATGATTGTATCAGATATTAATCTAAAACCCAACCACCAAATGGATTTTATTGAAGCTGCTGTAATTCCACCACCAGAAAACATGACAAATAGCCAACCTGTCACTGAAGATTTATGTTTGGTTTTGAAACCCATTATCTTTCAGGAAATATTGCCTAGTATGATTCACTGAGTAGCAGCAGTTTCATATAGCCCAAGGTTTTTCGATATTGATTTCACGGCATCGTTATTGCAAATCAGAGTGTCTGTGCTTTGCTCGAATCACACGATTGAAACCAGTCAGCTTCAGGGATCATTAGCAAAAGTAAATGTACCCTGCAATACTAAGAATCTCAGACAGAGCTTCTACATGCTGGGAATAATGCCGCCTACATTTCCCCCTCTGTTGAAGGTAAATTCAAGAAGGGGAAATGTGTTGCTTTGACTAAATTGACGGAACAGCTGAATGCACGCTGCTTTTCACTGCTGGTAAATGAAATGGAACCACTTCAGATCTATGCAATATTGGAGCCTGAAGGGGCCTTAAAGATCCTCTAGTCCCAAACTCTCCCTTAACATAAACCAAGGCTCAAAGAGGTAAAGTGGCTTCATACCAATGCTCTGCCACTCCGCCATGTCTAACAGCCCTGCCCATAACCAATGTAGTGAGGGCATGGTGTGGAAAGGAGGCAACTCAAGGGACCATGAGCACAAATCACTCAGGGCCATGGTTCTGTCACGTCTCCCTTTCTGTTTCACTTGGGGGAATCCTCTTGATTAGTTAGGTGAGGGCATTAAACACTCTTGTAATGATGAAAAGCTCAGGGCCTTGCAATTTGGGGTGAGATGAGGGAAGTGAAGGCAGGGGACAGTGGTAGAGGGTGTTCAAAATTACCTTTACAGACCATTTCAGCAGACTGTTATTAATCAATATACTGCAGCCAAGGCACAAACTCTTACCATCGCCAAGTGGGTGTCCTAGCTGCCTGTTCCTTTCTCATTTAATTTTCTGAGTTTGGGAATCTAACTTTCTTTCTCTGTTCTCACTTTACTAAAACTTCTCTTCAGCATTAGACACAGCTCCTCCTTCTTAAAATACTTTCCCCTCTTTGTCCTTAACCCTACAATCTACTAGTTTTCCTTCTATCCCACAGGCAGTTCAATGTCAATCAGATTTTCTCTCTGTCCCTGACCTCTCATTTCCTCTCACCCACTTTCTCTACTTCATGGCTAATAGGTATCTCATACTTGACATGCGCAAAAAAGGACTCATCATTTATTTTCTGCCACCACATATTTTTCCCCCACCTCACCCTCTGAATGAAAACAATTCAGAGAACCGTAGTCTAAGCCCCCAAGTGTGTCTCATTCCTGAACAAATGGGAGAGGAGGAGTATGCAGAAGTCACCAGCTGCCTGGCCCCCACTGGGGTGAAAGCTTTGATTCCTCGGGGAGTCAGCATTGGCCTTCAAAGGCAAATCACAGTCTGCAATGTCAACTATTTGCTGAATGTGGCACGTTTGTAATGCAAACTCAGTCTGGCCTGATTTGGGTCAAGAAATAGCTCCAGTTCATGAAAGCATGAGACCTCCCAGCACTAAGTCAAGGAGCAAATCAGCTATTTCTTAGTTAATGAAAAATTCCTTCCCAAAAAGCAATAGGTGAGTAGAGTCATTATTGATGTGGAAAGCCAGGGGGATGGGGTAGCAGAAGCAGATTGACAGAGGAAAAACCTCATTTAAAAAACACTATCCCAGCCTGGGCAACATAGGGCAAACTTGTCTCTACAAAAAAAAAAAAAAAAAAAAAACAATAAAAATTAGTCAGGCATGGTGGCACACACCTTTAGTCGTAGCTACTTGGGAGGCTGAGGTGGGAGGATCACTTGAGCCCAGGAGTTTGAGGCTGCAGTGAGCCATGACTGCACCACTGCACTCCAGCCTGGGCAACAGAGCAAGACCCTGTCTCTAAAAACAAACAAAAAAAAAGGAAGCAAAGAAACACTATTAATGAGAAGTGCTGCTTCATATTTTCCAGTGTTGTCTGCTGTAATTGGCAATAGGAGAAGTTCTGGGGCCTTACTGCAGAGGGCATTTTTAGAGCAAACTGGTATCTGGAGTCAACAGCCACATGGAAAGAAGAAATGAGGCTGGGGGAGGGAAGCTGGAGCTCATGATCATAGGTTTTCTTCTCACCTTAAGCACTATTTGATAATTTGAATTACAACACTTATTTTCCATCTTCCCTCTTATACTTGGAAATAAAGAGCCATGATCAAAACATATATAATCCAGGGTTTCTCAACCTCTACTCTATTACATTGTGCGGTGGATAGTTCTTTGTTGTGGGGGCTTGTATTAATCTATTCTTACATTGCTGTAAAGAACTACTTAAGACTGGGTAATTTATAAAGAAAATTGGTTTAATGGGCTCATGGTTACACAAGCTGTATAGGAAGCATGGCTGGGGAGGCCCCAGAAATCTTACAGTCATGGCAGAAGGCAAAGGGGAAGCTGGCAAGTCTTACATGGCTGGAGCAGGAGGAAGAGAGAGTGAAGGGGGATGTGCTACACACCTTTAAACAAACAGATCTCATGAGAACTCACTCACTATCACAGGAAGAGGAAGGGGAAATCTGCCCCCATGATCTAATCACCTTCCACCAGGTCCCCACCCCAACATTGGGAATTACAATCGACATGAGATTTGGGTGAGGATACAGAGCCAAACCATATCAGAGCTGTCCTGTGCATTGTAGAATGTTTAGCAGTATCCCTGGCCTCTACCCACTAGATGCCAGTAACACCCTCTCCCCACTGCCGCCCTATTTGTGACAACCAAAAATGTCTCCAGACTTTACCTAATGTCCCGTAGGTGCCAAAATTATCCCAAGCTGAGACCACTGGTCTTAGGTTATTGAAGTCTCAGAAGGTAATCCTAGAGAAGTATCTTAGGTCAGGTTCCCTATGTAAGGGGTTTACTGGGAGTAACACAAACAGTATCTATAGAAGGCAGGTTGGACAGAGAGTAACACTGAACAGAGATGCAGTTACAATAAAGGTTTCAACAGATCGCTCGAGGGGCTCTGGAGCCCTTCAGTGTTGTCCCAAATACAGGCAAGAAGTTGAGTTCTTCCCTCTCCACCAGCCCTCCCCTCCCCCCACCATTGGATGGGCATGACCTTGTCAAGGCTGCTCTCTTCCATTAGTGGGCCATTCCCAAGGACAAACCCAGCTATGAACATGCTCTTGGCAGTTGAGGGGATGAGCCCCTCAATCCTGAATGGGGGATCTGAAGAAAGTACCACAACATTAAATATTAGAAGAGAATAGCTTCAACTGCTTTGAGGCCATGGTCATAAAGATCGAGCTTGGCTGTCTTCAGAATAAACCCCGAGAAGGCCTCAATTTCACAGTCACAATTTTCTTTCATAATCCAATGCTGTAATGGCCCAAGAAAATTAGAAGAGCTACTTCTGACCTCAATTATTTTTGAAATGTATCTAATTTGACTGTGGTTTTCATAGATTCATAAGTTGGTTTTTATAGGTTAAAATGCAGCTAAAACCTGCATAAAGCTGCCTAAAGCCATGCCAAGCTCTTTTTCAAGAAGTGTTTAAAGGCCCCCTTGGAAATGATCCGTGGCTACTGATTTTTAATTTGTTTTGTGAAGGAATAAAGTTAAAAGACTCTTTTTGACTCTCTGAGCCAAAGTGAGTGTTCCACAGGTGATGGGATTGTTCCAAATCATTCCTGGAAAAATGCTTGCTGGGCTGGTCATAACAAACTGTAACTTGCCCCTGTCACTGTATGTAATTTAGACTCTTCCACTCAAAATGTGGTCTGCAAGCTGCAATTCCACAGCACCAAGTGGTTGGCTTTGCATTATCTCATTTAACTGTAAAAGGACAATCCTATGACCACGTAAGGCACTGTTATTCGTTCCATTTAACCAAAGAGAAAGCTGAGACTGAGAGCGTTTATGCAATTTACACAAAGACACCCGATTGGTAAATGGCTGGGTAGGGACCAGAATCCAAGTCTATCTGACTACAGAGCACCAGCTTTTGTTTCATGGTATAAATATTCTGAATCACAAAGTCACTAGTTTCCTTTATATGCAAATTTCTGGACCCTGGGACTCCTGAAGGAAGAATCATTACAAGCACTGATTTTTGTTCACCTGCCAGACATATATTCCTCAGCTGTTCCTTGAGATCGTGACAGACTATAGGAGCTATGGTTATGTTTACAAAACACTTTCCCTTATGTTTTCCCAATCCTTATTACAGCCATCTGAGGCAGGGAATAGTATCCTGATGTCTTAAGTGACAAGAAAAGGCCCAGGGAAGGACTTGGTCAATCAACAACTAAATGGTACAGACTTCATTCTGGCTTAGGCTTTTGTCCCTGACCTCTGTCTTCTCAGCACCACTGGCAGATGCTCCAAGGCCATAGTCCTGACAAGTCTGTATTCACTTCCAATGAGCCATGGAGCATTTCTCCCTTCAGGAAAGCCCTCTTCAAAATGGGTTCAATTTGGAGTTGGTCAGACCCACTCTTCATCACCAGCCTGGTTTTGGAGACATGATTATCACCTTGATCTGTCTGTTTCTATAGCACCTATAACTAAATAAATATCATATTGAAAAGATCAGGGTGTAGAAATGTTACATAGCATACATTGTGCAATGGAAAGAGAGCAAAGGGAAGTACTCTGTGTGATACCACACAGACCAGGTAATAGAGCAAGAAACAGAAAACAGGCCAAGCTGTTCTAGTGCCTTTAACCCACACTGCTTCAAGATGCAGGTAAATTAGAGCATTTGACTTTTACTTGTGGTTACAAATTATGAAGATTTTATGTATCATTTGAAATTCTTGGGATTGAGAAGGAGCAGGTTAACTCTTAACAACTGTGATACACACACAAAAGCTGTTTCAATAAATGAAAGAGAAAGAAAAATGATGGAGCTTCAATCCTCAAAGATGTGAATGCTATGCCTACAGGCAATCGGACAATGTAGGACAATACACACACACACACACACACACACACACACACACACACACACATGCACACATGCATGCACACACACACACGGCAAACATTTATTGGGCAATACTATGCCAGAGCATGTTACATATATCTTAGCTCATTTAATATGGTTTGGTGATACTATTTTCCCCATTCCACAGGTGAAGAAACTAAAGCCCAGAGAAAATAAGTAACTTGCCTATGGCCTTTCAGCTAGTAATTAGCAAAGCAAGGACTTCAATCCAGATCTAATGACTCTAGAATCTACACTCTTAATCACTGCCCTGTACAAAGACAATGTCTTTGCTATGGACAGGACCCACAGCACAGACCCATTTCATGGGCCTACAACTTATGCAGTCTCACAGGGCCCTGGGCTCAGAGGGAGCCACACTTGGATAAATGCTCTGCTGTTGCTGTCTCTAAAATTCTTGATAATTGGAAAAAGGGACACTGCATTTTTATTTTTTACTACACCTAGAATTTATGTAATCAGTCCTGGGTAGGGAATACTGAATTGCAAAATCATTAGGTTAGCTGTGTCTTTATTTTAAAAGAAAAAGGAGGAGGAGGAGATCAAAGTAAAGTAGAAAGAAACTAAATATTTAAACCAGAAAATCTGAGACATAATTACTATTATAAAAATTAGCGGAATCTGGGGCTAACAGTTAAGAAGATACATGAATAATGAAAGATTGAAGTTGATATGGTTTGACTCTGTGTACCCACCCAAATCTCATCTCCAATTGTAATCCCCACATCTCAAGGGAGGGACCTGGTGGGAGGTGATTGGGTCATGGAGCCAGTTTCCCCCATGCTGTTCTCATGATAGTGAGTGAGCTCTCACGAGATCTGATGGTTTTTAAAGTGTTTGGCAGCTCCTCCCTCATGCTGCCTGTCTCCTGCCACCATGTAGGATGTGCCTTGCTTCCCTTTCACCTTCCATCATGATTGTAAGTTTCCTGAGGCCTCCCCAGTCATGTGGAACTGTGAATCAATTAAACTTCTTTTCTTCATAAATTACCCAGTGACAGGTATTCTTTATAGCAATGTGAAAATTGACTAATACAGAAGTCAAAATGTGCAAAATTCAAATGTTTTCCTTTATTTAAATAGAAAGAAAATGATTAAATGAATCATGTGGAAAAAAAAAACAGGTGTTAATTCTTTTTGCATTCAACCACATCCCCAAAAAATGTTAATTGGAAAATTAAAAGTTGTAATTTCCTATAGAGTTAGCCTGGATTAGAATGCATTTTAGTGAAAACAGGAGCTTTATGCATTTCTTTTATTTATTCATTTTTTTAAGACAAGGTCTGGCTCGACTGCCTAGGCTGGAGTGCAGTGGCACGATCTCGGCTCTCTGCAACCTCTGCCTCCTGGGTTCCAGCCCTCCTCCCACTTCAGCCTCCCAAATAGCTGAAACTACAGGCATGCCCCACCACACCCAGCTAATATTTGTATTTTATGCAGGGACGGGGTTTCGCCACATTGCCCAGGCTAGTCTCAAACTTATGAATACAAGGGATCCACCTGCCTTGGCCTCCCAGAGTGCTGGGATTACAGGCATGAGCCACTGCACTCAGAACATTTCTTTTAAATGGTATGAATACTCAGTGAGCATCTGTAATGCTGTGATCACGATGCTAGATACCCAGGAGGATGCAGAAAAATAGACACAACCCCTGATGAAGATAGACATAGAAGCACAACCAACATAGCAAGAGTTGTTAATATCTAAAGCCACCATGCCAAGAGTGTTATGCCTTATCACATTTGATTCTCACAAAGATGTAATTGAGGACATTGAGGCCTAGCAGTCACACACGTCGTTAGCATTGGAAGTGGAGTTTATCATAGCAACAGGGTGAGCAATGATAACTACCCACATGAGTAAGTGCTGTGAGTACACAAAAGAGGGGCCATGGAAGGGCAGTAATTATTTTATTAATTGGTTTCTTTAGTTTGAACTTGGCAGTGTCTCTAAGAATTTTCTCCTTACCCATTCACTCCCATACCCTGCCTTGTTCCTCCTAAATCATTCCTTCTTCCTTCCTCCACTCTCTCAAGTAATAGCATTTCAGACTCTGAGAAAGGAAAGAGAGAGTGCGTACCACTTTTTAAAATAGATATAGCTTCATTATCTGCAAGACATTGATTAAAAATTGCCCAATGTTATATTGTCAATTTTGTGTGTGTGTGTGTGTGTGTGTACATAAGTAAATACACAAACAAATGTGTGCCCTTAACTTGTTCTTTCTAGTGAAAAATAGTGTAACACAGTCGAATCTGGAGATTGGAAACAAACCAATATCGTGCTTGCAAGTGGCTATGAAAACCAAGGAGCCACGTCCAAGGAGAAAATAAAGAAGTAACACAGGTCACCTCTGCCAAGTTAGAACAAAGGTCTCCAGAGAACCTAAGGGCTTCCTAATGTAAAGACATATCAGGAAATGAAGATCTAAGATTAGATATAATTTTATCTCTGAAACTTTTCAAATGATAAAATCCATCCAATATGTTTTCATAAATTTGATCCAGAGCCCATTTTTTGACACAATATTTGGTCTATATGGTAGAATGTGTTGTTTGGATGCCTACCAAAGTATTGAAATTCCTTTGACAGGAGAAACTGCAGATTTCTACATTCAATTCTCACCCAAAACCTAAGATGAAAAAAAACTCCAACATAAAAGAAAGAGTTTATCCAACAAAAAAATACAGAATAAACTTTCAACCATAGAAAAGAGTGATGACCTGGGATTTAACTGCAGATGGGATGTCTTCCTTCACAGCATAAGCTTGTGTGGAAGTGAATGACAGCATCTGAAACCTAGAAGGTATCTTTTTGATTATATCAGTCATTTTATTTTTTGTAGGAATGAAAGTTTGAAATTCAGACCAAACATTCCAGGTAACTCTCATTCACTCAAAAAAACTTTTATTCTTCTAATAATATGAGAAATATTCTTTTTATGGAATGTTTTAAAAATACACATAATACAATTTTTAAATAAGTTTAAATAAATTTTAAAAGGAGCCACAATTAATATTTTGGTATACAGTTTTCTAAATATTCTTCTGTGCATTAGAGAAAAATATAAATATATATATATTTTATTTTTACAAAAATATATGCTTACTGAAACTATATGTCAATAAATATATTTCTACAACACCACTTTGATTACCTATGTGATATTACTTTGAATGTACAAATCATAATTTATTATATTGGTCATTTTTAGATACTTATTTTTGTTCCCAATACATTGCTAAAATTTATCTTACTGTTATTTAAGTTGCAATGTGACTAGTCTTGACACACATCCCTAATTATTTTCTTAAAATACATTCCTAGAAATAGGATTACTGATTGAAAGGATATACACATTTCTAAGGCTTTTCACCTCTTTTGCCAAGTTAATCTCCATTTATTCAGTAAGCAAATATACATTGATTGCCTATTATCTGTTTGCTTCTATACCTAAGTCTGAGTTACAGTTGGGGGACAACATAAATACAGTCCTTGCCTTTATAGAGTTTACAATACAGGTAGAGAGAGAGAGACAATAAGCAAATACCCAATATTCATGACAGTAATAAATCATGAGCAAAACCAACAGAATACCATGAGAAAATATAATACAGTGACTTCACTTAGGCAGAGCTCGAGGAGGAATGCCAAGGAAGTTCCACTGGGACACTGAAGCTAAGACCAGGAGGTGAAGAGTGGCAGGACAAGCATTCTGAGAGAGGGACTAGCAATGTCTGCTGGCCCCACAAGAAGAGCTCCACAAAGGAACTGAAAGAAGCCACGGGTCTGAAGTTCAGTGACAGAGAAGATGGGAGCTTGGCAGGGGCCACACTAACTGCAATGAAAGCTATCACTGAAGGGTTTTAAGCAGAGGAATCATGTGGTCTGACTAATAATGTTTTTTAATGATTCCTTCTGGCAGCTCTAAGCAAGGTAAGTAACAACACTATTTAGATTAATTCAGCAGTCTAAAAAGTCAACAACAAAAATTTTGTCCCATTCAGTAGGTTGCCTGTTCACTCTGATGATAGTTTCCTTTGCTGTGCAGAAGCTCTTTAGTTTAATTAGATCCCATTTGTCAATTCTGGCTTTTGTTGCTATTGCTTTTGGTGTTTTAGTCATGAAGTCTTTGCCCAGGCCTATGTCCTGAATGGTACTATCTAGGTTTTCTTCTAGGGTTTTTATGGTTTTATGGTTTTATGGTCTTATGTTTACATCTTTAATCCATCTGACAAAGAGTTAATATCCAGAATCTACAAAGAATTTAAACAAATTTACAAGAAAAAAACAACCCCACCAAAAAGTGGGCAAAGGATATGAACAGACACTTCTCAAAAGAAGACATTTATGCGGCCAACAAACATGTAAAAAAAGCTCATCATCACTGGTCATTAGAGAAATGCAAATCAAAACCACGATGAAATACCATCTCACATCAGTTAGAATGGTGAGCATTAAAAAGTTGGGAAACAACAGATGCTGGAAAGGATGTGGAGAAATAGGAATCCTTTTACACTGTTGGTGGGAGTGTAAATTAGTTCAACCATTGTGGAAGACAGTGTGGCAATTCCTCAAGGATCTAGAACCAGAAATACCATTTGACCCAGCAATTCCATTACTGGGTATATACCCAAAGGGTTATAAATCATTCTACTATAAAGATACATGCACACGTATGTTTATTGCAGCACTGTTCACAATAGCAAAGACTTGGAACCAACACAAATGCCCATCAATGATAGACTGGATTAAGAAAATGTGGCACATATACACCATGGAATACTATGCAGCCAAAAAAAGGATGAGTTCATGTCCTTTGCAGGGACATGTATGAAGCTGGAAACCATCATTCTCAGCAAACTAACACAAGAACAGAAAACCAAACACCGTGTGTTCTCACTCATAAGCAGGAGTTGAACAATGAGAACACATGAACACAGGGAGGGGAACATCACACACTGGGGCTTGTCAGGGGGTGGGGGGATAGGGGAGGGATAGCATTAGGAGAAATACCTAATGTAGATGATGCGTTGATGGGTGCAGCAAACCACCATGGCACATATATACCCATGTAACAAGCCTGCACGTTCTGTACATGTATCCCAGAACTTAAAGTATAATAATAAAAAAAAAAGTAAACGGCAATGACAATGATGTCTTAGAAGGAAGCAATGGCAGAAGACGTGGAGAGAAGTGGAATTACTTAAGATATATTTGGAGATCATATCAACAGCTACTGGTGGTTCAAGCCCAGAAGAGGGCCTGGTTGTCCTAAACTCACAACACTGTATTTTTTCCTAATTAAAATAACAAATATAATAAGATAAAAATAGCATTTCAATGTTGTGCTCATTTTGCATTGCTTTGATTACTAGCCCTTGAACATTGTTTATTTATGAGCAATTTGCATTTTTTTGTGCACTACCTATGATTGGGTTTTTTGCCCCCTTTGCTACTAGATCATTCTTTTTCTTGTTGCTTATGTATCAGTTTCCTAGGGCTGCTGTAACAAAATACCACAAACTAGGTGGCTTAAAACAGCAGAAATATATTCTCTCACTGTTCTAGAGACAGCAAGTGCAAAATCAAAGCATTGGCAGTGCCATACTCCTGCTGAGGTCTCTAGGGAGGTTCCTTCCTTGCCTCTTCCAGCTTCTGGCAGCCCCAGGTGTTCCACAGCCTGTGGCTGTTATCAGTCGAATCTCTGCTTCCATCCACACATGAGGTTCTCCCTGTATGTCCATGTCTCCTCCTCTTATGACACCAGTCATATTGGATTAAGAGCCCTCCCTACTCCGCAGCTTAACTAATTATTTCTGCAATGACTCTATTTCCAAATAAGGTCCCATTCTGAGGTACTGGGGGTTAGGACTGTAACGTATCTTTTGACAGACCCAACTCAAACCATAACAACTCATAAGAGATCTTAATACACTGCAAATATCTTTCTCAGTTTATCATTTGCCTTTGTATCCTGTTTATGTTGTTTGGTATGGATAAAAGGTTTTAATTTTGTCAATTTAATCTATCAGTTTTTCTTTTATCCAGTATTTGTTGAGTGCCTACTCTGTGTGTGTGTGTATCTGTGCGTGTGTGTGTGTGTGTGTGTGTGTGTGTGTGTGTGTGTGTGTGTACCAGATGCTGTTCTAGGTGCCCTTGATCCAAAGATGAATGAGAGTTGGCTGTCTTATCCCTACATGCTCAGAGTCTAGGAGGCAGACAAGTAAACAAATAAATATCATTCAGATGATGACTACAACAATAAAACATTTGAACTAGGGGAAGGGGGCAAAAATAAAGAATGCTCAGCGAAGTTTGGGCAGTTGTAGAGAGGAGATCAGTCATGCCAGACCCCTCTCAACTCCAATAGGGAATGCACCAGCTTCAAGAGCCCGAACAAGAGACCCAGAGCCAGCAAAGCAGACATGGGGTTTGTTGAGAGAAACTTACTTACATACAGGGATGGTCCAGTGACAGTGGGCTACACAGAACTGCTCTGCCCAGTGGCAGCAGACAGGGCAGGAGAGCCGCTTGTAAGAAGCATGCAGTCGAAACAGCGTTTTCACTTAGCACCGTCCTCCTAACAACCTCCAACTGGTAACCTTCATTTAACCTAAAACACAGGGCTTTGATCTCCTGTACAGCCTGTGTTCCTTGGGATGGGCGAGGGGCTCAGATATTCCTCATAGATAAGGAATGAATCTCCAGGTTGGCAACTTCTGGATTCCTTAGCTCGGAACTCCAAATACACGTTTGTGTGCATCTGCCATGCAGGGTCATTCTCAGGGTATGCTGAAGTCAGGTTATCACTGTCAGGTGCGTCTACCAAACACAGGTGTGTCTACCATTCAAGGCCCTTGGGCAGTCGTTAAGGAATATGAAGTTTCAGTAATTATGCCTCAAACTGAAAGTTTCCTGGCTGACTGTCCATCAAGTAGGGTCTCCTCAAAGTGCAGTCCAGCGGACCACAGCGTCAGCCTCACCTGAAACCTTGTTAGAATGCAGAATCTCAGGCCCTGCCTTAGACCTAGGGAATTAAAACCTGCATTTACATGACATCCCTGGATGATGTGTATACACATGAAAGTCTGAGAAGCACTGCCCTATGCTTTGGAAGTCATTTTTTCAGATTTACAGTCACAGGCTTTTGTCTGTGATTACAAGGACATAATTAGAAAATACCCTAGAAGCCTTGCAGTGCAAAAGCAAACTTTAAAACTCTTCCCATGTGTTATGTCAAGATACTGATTAGTACATCAAATGGGCAGCCTTCACCAAATAGCTTCATAATCCATGGGAAAAGAGACCCAGTGTGCACATTTCAGGGTAAGCTCAGTGGAAGCCAAGGGGACAATTTGCTCTAGGGATGACCCTGGCATGACCCTGTGATTCAGACCGAAGATAAGCCTCCAAATCCATTCCCTGGATCAGCTGTTCAAAGGGGATTTGTCTCCTGGGTTATAATTGGTCTCCCGCTTGTATTTTGAGCAGGTGGTTCAGGGGAAAGGGAAACTTTGTTTTATTTATTTAAGCAGTTGAATAAAGGAAGTGTCTCTTTGGGAAAAGAGATAGGAATTGTTTCTGGCGTGGTAATTGGGTAGAGTAAGCTGGAAGAGGTGGGGGTACAAGAGAAAGTGATGGAGAGAGAAATGGAAAACAAGACTTGGGTGGAGAAGAAAACTCTCACCAAAGTAGAACAGCTGCTGGATCACTCAAAAACCTGTATTGTTTTACTTCAGAGCCAAGTTCAATTCTGCATGCTGAAAGGAAGGAATGCAAGGTACACACAAGGTAGATAGCTAGGGACAAAAATGTGAGACACCGTAGCCTCTAGATGTAAGATATTCCTTAGGAAACATGGCAACATGGATGAAGCCAGCCTCCTGGCACCCTGCAGAGTGTGCACTACAAGCCGGCAGTCTCATCCTTGGTTCACTCAGTCGTGGGTTTTACTAGAACAAGGCTAGGATCCATTTTAATGTATGCTAAAAGATATAAGAGAGGCATTCAATGCAAATATTAACCTGGACTAGTGTTTAATGCCTGTCTCCAATGCATTCTTCCCACCAAAAATCTGGCGGTGGTTTTAGAGGGAACTTACTGGAATCATTTTAACTCAGCAAATAAATAAAAAGACTTGCTGCCTGCAGTTTATTGTGACGGTCCGGGCTTCCCTGTACAGTGAGACAGACGTGCACTGTTCAACCCTAGGCACTCTTTAGAGCTGTGTGCTACACAATCCATAAAAGCAAACACGGCTGCCCTGGGGACAGAAAAAAATAAAAACAAAGGGGATTAAGACAAGGTACCTACAGTCAAGAATTTACCACTTAATATAAAAATAAGTAGCTAAAACATACATCTAGCAGAAACTCTCAAATTTCTATGACCGGCTTTGCAGAGGCTACTGCCGCCAGGAGTCCCAGTACTATCAGCCATGGTCAACCACACCATGTTCTTCGACGTTGCTGTCGACAGTGAGCCCTTGGACCACGTCTCCTTTGAGCTGTTTGCAGAAAAGTTTCCAAAGACAGCAGAAAACGTTCGTGCTCTGAGCACTGAAGAGAAAGGATTTGGTTATAAGGGTCCCTGCTTTCACAGAATTATACCAGCATTTATGTGTCAGGGTGGTGACTTCACGCACCATAATGGCACTGGTGGCAAGTCCATCTACGGGGAGAAATTTGAAGATGAGAAATTTATCCTAAAGCGTACAGGTCCTGGCATCTTGTCCATGGCAAATTCTGGACCCAACACAAACTGTTCCGTTTTTCATCTGCACTGCCAAGACGGGGTGGTTGGATGGCAAGCATGTAGTCTTTGGCAAGGTGAAAGAAGGCATGAATATTTTGGAGGCCATAGAGCAATTTGGGTCCAGGAATGGCAAGACCAGCAAGAAGACCACCATTGCTGACTGTGGACAGCTCTGGTAAGTTTGACTTGTGTTTTGTCTTAACCACTGGACCATTCCTTCTGTAGCTCAGGAGAGCACCCCTTTTGCTTGCAGTATCCTAGAATCTTTGTGCTTCCACTGCAATTCCCTTTGGGTTCCATGTTTTCTTCGTTCCCTTCCATGCCTAGCTGGATTGCAGAGTTAAGTTTATGATTATGAAATAAAAACTAAATAACAATTGTCTGTCCTTGTTTGAGTTAGGGCTTTGATGTAGGCCTTACTTGAAGCAGAAACAGGTTACTTCTGAAACGTTACTTACATGCTTGCTTAATTCTACACAGTACTCAGTTTTTTTTTTCACTTTCCAGACCCAGGAAGTCTCAATGTTATTTGTTGAGTGGAATATTGAAAATGTAGGCAGGGGCTGTCCATGGTGGCTCACTGCCTGTAATCCCAAAGCTTTGGGAACCTGAGGCAGAAGATCACTTGAGGTCAGGAGTCAACATCAGCCTGGGCAACATAGTGAAACCCTGTCTCTACAAAAAATAATTAGCCCGGCCTGGTGGTGCATGCTATAGGCCTAGCTAATCAGGAGGCTGACCTGGGAGGATTGCTTGAGCCCAGGAGTTAAGGCTGCAGTGAGCTATGATCATGCCACTGCACTCCAGCCTGGGTGGCAGAGTGAGACTCTGTCTCTTAAAGGTAGGCAGGGGCAGGAAAAGCAAGGAGCCAGAAATTAGAGGTTGGACCAGTGCTCAATGAGTTCTTGCATTTAGAGGTGTTCTTCAAGGTGACTAGTGTCACAAACTGAGAAATCTGTTATGGCTCATTTTCTGTAACAAACCTAACTTGAACACTGCTGGTATTCCTTGAGGGAAGGCTATTGGGCTTTAGGCTCTATGGGGAAGGGTCTTGGGCCCTTTGAGTAATTTGAGTTGGAGGACGTAGGTCAAGTTTATATATCTTTTAATTATGGTGGAATTCCTATGTAGAGACTGAAAAGCCAGGTACCTGGTGCTGTAGTCAGTCTCCCTGTAGAGGGTTAAGGCCCAGACCACATGCAGTGACTAGTTACTGCTTCTAGCATATAGAGCCTCTCCCTAGCTTTGATTATGGAAACTTTGAGGTCTTGCCAGCCTGATGAATCTGAGCCATAAGATCTGGTCAAAGCGATTCCCTTCCCTTAATTGAGGACTTGGTTTCTCATGAAATTAAATGTACAGTGCTGGCAATTAGATGTATAGGCTGAAATATACATATCAGAGGACAATCTAAGCTGAGAAAACCCCACCACTGCCCACCTTAACTGACCTCTAAGGTTCTTAACCCAGCAATCAAGTTTGCCTATCCTGAAGATGTGAGAATTGATCACTTGGTGTGTTCTGCAAATTTTTGTTTTACTGTCTGCCTGGTTCCTTCTGCGTGAATTACCGATGCAACCCCCTCTACAACCACCACCACTTGTTCATCTCAGTCTTGTGTGTTGTCTGGTTACATATCCCTGGGTGACATCATTCAATGTCTTAATGTACTTTAGCTCAGGCCTGAGCACAACATGGAAATAAATATCCTTTCATTATCAAAAATTTTTTTAATGTCTATGACCTCTGAAAATGAAAACCAGAAACGTTAAAATCCATTTATCTTCATATAACATGCATAAAAGTTATTTGGGGATTCCTGGACCATTTTCAAATATGATTTTAGTTGGATATTTCACAATCCTGTTATTTTTGAATTGCCTGTTGGCTTAAAATTTATCACCTAGATCTTTATGACTGTTTTAGCTTTCTTGTGAATAAATGAGATTGGCTGTTGGGAGGACCAAAAAACCACATGCATATACATAGTTAATGGAACAATACACAGGTAGCAGCCATCTGACAATTACATTATTTGATCTTTTTAAAAAGGAAAAAGCTTACTTTGTTTTTGTATATCTTTTTCTAATTCAGTCTAATGATGACCAGTTTAAATTTCTAGGCTACAGGCATACAAATTTTGAAACAACAAATGTTAGGACTTTGAAAGTTCATTATGATCATAAACTTATTTTTAAAACTTTTTATTCTTAAAAACATTTTATTCTGAAATATTTTTTCTTAAATATCTTTATTCTTAAAATATCATATGTCCCTACCTCATACCGTATGCAAAGATTAACACAACATGGATCATAGATCTACATATAAGAATTAAAACTATACAACTTTCCTAGAAAAAAACATAGGCATAAATCTTTATAACCCTGGATTAGCAATAGTTTCTTAGATGTGATCCCAAAAGCACAAACAACAAAAGAAAAAAATTAATTAGTCTTTATTAAAATTAAAACATTTGTGCTTCAAAAAACATCATCAAGAAAATAAAAAGACAACTCACAGAATGAGAGAAAATATTATGAATCATATGTTTGATAAGGTACTTGTCTCCAGAATATATTAAGAATTCTTAAAACTCAACAATGAAAGGACAAATAACTCAACTAAAAAACGGGCAAAGAATTTGAATAGACATTCCTCCAAAGAAGATACACAATTTGGCCAATAAGCACATGAAAAGATGCTCAACATCATTAGTCATTAGGGAAATGCAAATCAAAACTATGGTGAAATTTCATATACATTAGGATGGCTATAATCAAAAAGGTGGACAATAACAAATCTCAGTAAAGATATGAAAAACTGGAATGCTCATGCATTGCTAGTGAGATTGTGAAATAGTACACTGCTTGGGAAAACAGGCTGGCAGTTTCTCAGAAAAGTTCCTCAAAAGATTAAACGTAGTTTCCAAATGACCCATTCCAGTCCTAGGTATATTCCCAAGAGAATCGAAAACATATTTCCACACAAAAAAACTTGTATGCAAATGTCCACAGCAGCATTATTTATGATGGCTAAGACGTGAAAACAATGTGCATGTCTACCAACTGATGAATGGATAAACAAAATGTAACATACCCATATAGAAGAATATTAATTGAAGTTTTGATACACGCTACAACGTGGATGAAACTTGTAGACATTGTGTTAAACGTAAGAAATCAGACACAAAGAGCTACATATTACATGATTCCATTTCCATAAGATGTCCAGAATAGGCAAATCTATGGAGACGCAAAACAGAATGAGTGACTGCCAGAGACTACAGAGATGTGAGAAGGAAAAATCACTGCTGACAGGTACCTTTTTGAGGTGATGAAAATTTTCTGTAATTAAGTAGTGATGACAATTCAACGTGTGAACATATTTTTTAAAACCCACTGAATTATGTACTTTAAAAGAATGAATTTTATGTTAGAGGAGTAATATTTTAATAAAGCGGTTATTTTTTAAAACTATGTATATGTTTCAGAAAAAGAAAAACCAGAATGAGAAAAATTTACTCCAATTCTAACACTACAGAATCCCTGCAAAATTTATTTTCTATAAGAAATAGTTTTCTTTTATAAAAATGAAACAACTGAAGAGACTGTGTAATTTGTCAATTTATAGTATAAAAATGATCCGATAACTCCACAAACCACTCAAATGAACTGTACATGGAAATGTTGCATCCAGCAGACCCTGAGGGTCCTTGCCCCAGACTTCAGTACACATTAAAATGAAGATTCCTAGCCCAGGTGCAGTGGCTCACGCCTGTAATCCAGCACTTTCGGAGGCTGAGGCGGGCGGATCACAAAGTCAAGAGATCGAGACCATCCTGGCCAACATGATGAAACCCCGTCTCTACTAAAAATACAAAAATTAGCTGGGCTTGGTGGCACACACCTGTAGTCCCAGCTACTGGGGAGGCTGAGGCAGGAGAATCGCTTAAACTCGGGAGGTGGAGGCTGCAGTGAGCCGAGATCACGTCACTGCATTCCAGTCTGGTGACAGAGCGAGATTCCGTCTCAAAAAAAAAAAAAAGAAGAAGCTTCCCCAAAAATGCACTTACACACTGGAAGATCAAGGAGTAAAGAGTCATGATGTCTACAATTTATTCTCATATTCTTCAGCAATAACAACAATATTAATAAATATCAGTATTTATATAGAGAGAAAATAAATATAGCAGTAGTAACTAGTGAATCTGGGTTGTGGATATACAGCAATTTATTACATTATTCCTGCAGACTTTCTCTAAATTTGAGTTTTGCTTTTAAGATAAGAAGTGCAAAAAGTAATAAGGTGATTATATACAGTGACTCTCATTTGGAGGAGCCTAAAGCAGGGTCTCTCGAATTTACTATATGTATCCACCTGTTACCTGAGAAATTAAGTGGGGAGGTGGCAAGGGGCAGTAAAAGGAGCGTCCACACCAATATCATCTTCCCATTCCTGGTTTCTGATGTGAGTTTCTTGGTGATCAGTGCTATTTGAAGAAGAAAACGTATCCTACCCTAACTAGTAACTTAGAAGGGGCCCAGTCCTCACTCTCCATCAATTAAGGCACCAATCTGGAGTGCTGTCATATGCGCTCACATTCTAGTTTCTTCTCTTGTTCCTTTATTCCAAAATTATGTTTTAAACAGTTAATCTAAGTTATAAAAAATTTATTCCTATATACATAAGAGAATAACTGAAAGGATACCCACTAAACTGGCAGGGGAGGAGGGGTGAAGAGAGGTGAAAAAGGGATTTCTACTTTTTACTTCAAGTATTTACACATTCTGTGTTGTTTTTATGTGCTTCAATACTCATCATGAACATGGACTAGTTTTATAATATTTTTGAACCTGATTCTCTGGCAAATTGTTTTATAATTTTTTTTAAAAAATGACTGCTCAAGTGGGATGGAATTGTACAATCTCTATTAATTTACTTTCAAATATTTCAACAAAGGGAAATATTAACTAAATGTGGCCAAATCTTGGTAATTATTGAATCTGGATGATGGACATATGGCCATATTGTACTCTCTATGTATATTTTAACTTTTTATAATGAATATTATTTAAAGGACCATTGTAAAAGAAATGTTTAAAAGCAGGAGAATTAAGGGAATAAAAGTTGAATTCATCCACAAAATTATATGAGCAATAATTTTGGTTTTTTTTGTTGAGACAGGGTCTTTCTCTGTTGCCCAGGCTGGAGTGCAGTGGCTCAATCACAGCTCACTGCAGGCTCAACTTCCTAGGCTCAAGGGATCCTCCCACTTCAGCCTCCCAAGTAGCTGGGACTATAGGTGTGCACCATCACACCTGGCTAATTTTTAAATTTTTGGTAGAAATGGGGTCTCACTATGTTGCCCAGGCTGGTCTCAAACTCCTGGGCTCAAGCAATCCTCTTGTCTTGGCCTCCCAAAGGGCTGGGATTATGGCATGAGCCACCATGCCCAGCATTGCTGTCTATTTTTGAAAAGCATTTAAGGGTATTAGAAAATGCTTATTCTGTACCAAGCGTTGCCAAACTTTCTGTAAAGGGCCAGACAGTAAATATTTTAGGCTTTATAGTGCTATAGTGATATGGTCTGGCTGTGTCCCCACCCAAATCTCTTCTTCAATTGTAATCCAAATTGTAATCCCCACATGTTGGGGGAGGGACTTCATGGGAGGTGACTGAATCATGGGGGTGGTTCCCCCATGCTGTTCTCCTGATAGTGAGTTCTCACAAGATCTGACGGTTTTGTGAGGGGCTTTGCTCTTTACCCACTTTGCTTCATTCTTCTGTCTCCTGCCACCTTGTGAAGAAGAACATGTTTGCCCCCCCTTCCACCATGATTGTAAGTTTCCTGAAGCCTCCCAGCCCTGTGGAACTGTGAGTCAATTAAACTTCTTTCCTTTATAAATTACTCAGTCTCAGGTATGTCCTTATAGCAGTGTGAGAATGGACTAATACATATAGTCTCTGCCACAACTACTTAATTCTACCACTGTGCTGCAAAAACAGCCACAGAAATATATATAAATGAATATACATGTGTTCCAATAAAACTTTATTGACAGGAACTGAAATTTGAATTTTATGTAATTTTCACATGTCAGGAAATGTTATTCTTTTTTTTCAACCATTTAAAAATGTGAAACCATTCTTAGCTTACAGGCAATACAGGCCCACAGAATGTGGACTGGATTTGGTCCACAAGCCATATTTTGCCAGTCTCTGCTCCCATCTGAAAACATGTATCATATATACAATGCAAAACTGTATATTTCATTTTTCTCTGTCAAAAAATATGAAGAGGAGTTAAACCCTTAAATAGTAACTATCTCTGGGTGATGGGGTTATAGATGACTTTTATTGTCTACATTATATTTTTCAACATTTTCCAAATATCTTAAAATAAATATATTTCTGATAAATAATGTTTTTTAAAAGAATCCTTTCACTATCTTCAAAAAGAGACAGGAAGACAAAACATGGAGATTAGGAGATTGCCCATCTGTCTTGAATGTCTTCTGGAGTCCAGATTGGATTAAATAACTTCTGAGGATTTCCTTCCTGTTCTGTGATTCTGTCTCCTCACACAATCAAATGCCTGTAACATAATTCTCTTTAATTTGGAAAGCAATCCTCTCTCTCGCTTCTCTCTGAAAGTAAATTTCCGAAATTAAGTCCGTAGGCTGAGGGACCCCCTTTGCCATCTGGGCAAATGTAATTAGCAACCCGTCTGGTGTTCAGGGAACCAGGCAGCCGCGCTCTTCTCAAACCAGCCTGGAAATGCAAAACGCAGTAGCATTAAACACGCACTCCCCCAGAGGAAGGAGGAAGGCCACAAGGGGGCAGAGAATCTGCAACCCAAAGGAAAAGCAGGTTTCGCCCCAAATAGAACATACTCTTTTGTAAATTGCCCAATTATCTAAATGTCTTTCAGAAACCAAATTAAGAATGCTATAAAGACTTCAATTTGTTCACATAAAATGGTGATTCACAAAATTGAGCATGCCTTTTTCTTGGAGCCTAGATAACTAGGGTCTTTCAAAAAGGTCGAAGCAAATTGTGTTTTTTGTTTTTTGTTTTTCTCTATGGTAAAGGATCAGGAAAATTTATACATTTTTCTTTTCAGATGGAGTTTTTTTTTTTTTTTCTAGCTCACAAGCAACCATTGCTTTACAAACATAGTCTGTTTTATTTTTTCCTATATAGCAAAACACAACCAAATCAAATTTGAAGGGGGAAATTCCTGTTTATTATAACTCCCTCATAAAAGATCCAGGAATCAAATAGAAAAGTATAAGGGATATGGACAAAGGAATCTCCACTAAATCTGTTTAATCATATAAGTCACTCTAATAAAATAGCTAACATTGTCTCCTAATTCACACATTTAAAAGTAAAGATTTAACTTTTGCCTTTTCCAAGTAACAGATAATGAAGAAAAACAAATAATAATTGTACCTACCACTTATTCAGCACTAACTGCTCAAGAAAATACTTTTCATGCACTTTTTAATAATCACCACTACCCCAGGTGTAGATAATATTATTACTCCATTTATTTAAATGCAAAAATTCATCGGCCCATCTCTCACCTGGACATTCCTAACTCAGACCTATTCATATGCACACCCTGCTCTCTTCAATTTTCCCACTAAAAAAGAAGGAATCTATGCAAGCATTCTTAGATTAATAAACATAATTCTTCATAAATATGAACAGACAACCTAGGTTCACAAGAACAAAACACTCTTGGCCTTATTTCTACCTCGATTTTTCACCTTTCCTTCACAGAAAAACTCCTCAAAAGATTCTATACTTTCTGTCTCCAGTTTCTGTTTCTCATTTCTTTAACTTTTTAAATTTCTAATTATGATAAATACACATAACATAAAACGTACCATCTTTTTAGTGTACAATTCAGTAGTGTCAAGTATACTCACATTATTTTGCAGCCAATCTCCAGAGCTTTTTCTTCTTGCAAAACTGAAACTCTTACACCCATTAAACAACTCCTCATTCCAACATTGTACTTTCCATCTCTATGAATTTGACTGCTCGAGGTACCTCATATGAGTGGAATCTTACCATATTTATAATTTTGTGACTGGCTTATTTTACTTAGGATAATGTCCTCAAGTTCTATCTATGTTGTAGAATGTGTCAGAATTTCCTTCCTTTTTAAGGCTGAATAGTGTTTCATTGTACGTATATGCCACATTTTGCATAGCCATTCACTCATTGATAGACATTCACGTTCTTTCTAGTTTTTGACTATTATGAATAATGCTGCCAGAAACATGGGTGTACCTCATTCTGTCTTGAATCCACTCTGATCAGGTTTTCATCCCCATGACTCCTCTAAGACTACTCTTACCAAGGTCCCAAATATCCTTGATGTCACTAAATCCATTTAATGTTTCTTAGTCTTCATATTGTCACAGAATTTTTAGGGTGTTGCTTTTCTGGCCAGAAACCTCTGTGGCCAGTGACACCTTTGCCCGAGTTCTGCTCAGGCCCGCTGGACTCATTCTGTCCACTCAGCCTGGCAGGTTTCCTTTGACTCATGGTACCAGCCTGGATCCCACGCCTGCCAAGGGAGACTGCGTGGAGCGGTAGGGGGTGTGTAAGCGAGTATGGGGTCTGGCCACCGCACAGTCATATGTGCCAGCTGCTGCAGCGGAGCGGGCAGCTCCAGGTGCCAGCACAGGCGCCAGCTCTCTGCAAGGCTGCAGCTGGACCAGGTGCACCGCAAGCAGCTTCCACAGTTGGCACCAGGGAACACAGTGGCACCCTGAAGCTTGGAGATGCCAGGAACCTCAGGGACCCAAATACCACTGCTATCAATATTACTTGGCCTGTCATCAGCATTTGACATTCCTTGATTCACTTGCCTCACTTGGATTGTAGGACACCACAGTTGTCTGGTTTTTTCCCCTACTTTCCTGGTTGGTCTTTCTTGGTCCTTTTTCTGGTTCCTTCTCATTTTCTTGATTTCTAAGCTTTAGAGAGTTCCTGGGCTTAGACTTTAGACCTCTTCTCTTTTATATTTTTTCCTTAGTAATCTCATCCAATCTTATTGCTTTAAGTACCATTTCTATGCCAACACTCCCAAGTTTATATCTCTATTCTAGATCTCTACCAGAACTCCAGACTCATATATGAAACCACCTACTGGCCATCCCCAAACGGGTGACTAATCACATCAAAAATTAACATGTCTAAAACTGAGCTCTTGACTTCCTCTTTTCATTTCACAAACCTCTCTGCCCATAAGCCTCCTTCATCTCAGTTCCTTGCAATTCCATCCTTCCAGTTGCTCAGGCCCATTTGGGGTTATTCTGAACTTTTCCCTTTCTCTCACACTCCCCATCTAATCCTAAAAATCCTGTTGGTTCCACCTTAAAATTTAAAACTATAGATGTAGAAAAATGTGATAACTTCTCACCATCTCCATTGCCACTACCATGCTTCAAGCCAATTCATGTCCTGTCTGTATTACTGAAATAGGTTCCAAGATGGTGCACTGATTCTACATGTACCTCCTTGTCATCTATTCTCAACACAGAAGCCAAAATGAGTCTGTTAAAACATAAGCTAAAGTGGTCATTCCTCTGGACAAAATACTCCAGTGGCTCCCCAACTCATTCAGAATGAAAGCCAAAGTCCTTATTTTGACCTACAAGACTCTATATAATCTGGTCCTCCATGCCTCTCTGGCCTCATCTCCTAGTCTGTCCCCCATTGCTCACCAATGTAGCCACTCTGCCCCTCACTGTCACCTGGAACTCAAGAGCCCTTAGGGTCTTCTCACCTACTATTTTCTCCATGTAATGTTCTCCCAAATATCTGCCTGTCTAGATTCTTCACTTGAGACGCCTACCCAAAATTCATCTAAATGAAGCCTTCTTGGCCATCCTATCCAACTTTTCAAACAAACAAAAAACCCATAACCCAACACTTCATACTTTATATCCCACTTATTTAATTTATCTTTAAAATTTGTCATCATATAACATATTATATATTTGACATACTTATCTTGTTTATTCTCTCTCTCTCCCTCTGCTTCTCCCTCATGTAAACTCCATGAAGGGGATTTTATCTACTTTGTTTACTTCTGTATGCCCAACATACAAACAAAGGCTAGAGAGAGTATGCATTCAATATCTATTCACTGAATGAATAGAATAATTGACTAGATAAAATATGAATTAATAAACAAAGATCAACAAACATGCAAGAAAGCAAGACACTATGAGTGAGAGTTCACAGAAACCACAAAAAAAGCATATTTAGAACCCCTTCTCCAAAAGACCTCAGATATTGAAGTTATCCGCACAAAATATAACCATATGGAAATGTTTCTTAAATTCAAAAATGAAGTATTTACAAATAAGCAAGGAAAAAATATCAAAATGGCCAGTCAGATTCATAAAATAATCAGATTAGATTTTTAGTAAAAACATAATAATTGTTAAAATGTTAAAACTGTGAATCGGTTAAACAGAAATTAGACATAGCTGAAGAGAATATTAGTGACTTATTTTATACCACATACAAAAATTAACTCAAAATCAATCAAAGACCTAAACATAAGAGCTAAAACTAAAAATTTCTCAGAAGAAAACATAGGAGCAAATCTTTATAGCAATGGATTTCACAGTGATTACTTGGATGTGATACTGAAAGCATAGTCCACAAAAGAAAAAAGTAGATAAATTGGACTACATAAAAATGTTAAAACTTCTGTGCATCAAAAAACACAGAGAACAGAACAAAAAGGCAGGGAGAAAATATTTGCAATTCATATTTCTGATAAGGGTTAATAATATCCAGGATACATAAAGAACTCCTACAACTCAACAACAACAAAAACCCTGATTTTGAAAATGGGCAAAGAGGCCGAGCATAATGGCTCATGCCTGTAATCCCAGCACTTTGGGAGGCCGAGGCAGGCAGATCACAAAGTCAAAAGATTGAGACCATCCTGGCCAACATGATGAAACCCTGTCTCTACCAAAAATACAAAAAGTTAGCTGGGTGTGGTGGCACGCACCTGTAGTCCCAGCTACTTGGGAGGCTGAAGCAGGAGGATCGATCGCTTGAACCCAGGAGGTGGAGGTTGCAGTGAGCCAAGATTGTGCCACTGCACTGCAGCCTGACGACAGAGCGAGACTTGTCTCAAACAATAAATAAATAAAAATGAAATAAAAATAGGCAAAGGACTTGAATAGATATTTCTCCAAAGAAGATCTACAAATGGCCAATAAGCACATGAAAAGATGTTCAACATTACTAATCATCAGAGAAATGCAAATCAAAACCCCATACTCATTAGGACTGCTGCTATCAAAAAAATCAGAAAATAACAAATGTTGGCAAAGATGGGAGAAACTGGACCCTTTGTATACTGTTGGTGGGAATGCAAAATGGTGCAGCCATGTGGCAAACAATATGGCAATTTCTCAAAAAATTAAAAACAGAATTACCAAATGATCTGACAATTCAACTTCTGGTTATATAACCAAAAGAACTGAAAGCAGGGTCTCGAAGAGATATTTCTACACTCATGTTTATAGAAGCATTATTCACAACAGCCAAAACAAGGAGGCAACTCAAGTGTTCATTAATGAATCAATGGATAAACAAAATGTGGTGTATACTATACACACAATGGAATACTAGTGACCTTTAAAAAGGAGAGAAATTGGCCAGGCTCAGTGGCTCACGCCTGTAATCCCAGCACTTTGGGAGGCCGAGGTGGGCGGATCACCTGAGGTCAGGAGTTCTAGACCAGCCTGGCCAACATGGTGAAACCCTGTCTCTACTAAAAATAAAAAAAATTAGCCAGGTGTGGTGGCAGGCGCCTGTAATCCCAGCTACTCGGGAGGCTGAGGCAGGAGAATCACTTGAACCCGGGAGGCGGAAGTTGCAGTGAGCCGAGATCGCGTCACTGCACTCCAGCCTGGTGACAGAACATGACTCCATCTCAAAAAAAAAAAAGAAGAGAAATTTTGGCATGCCATAACATAATGAACCTGGAGGACTTTATGCTCAGTGAAATAAGCCAGTTACAATATTACAAATACAATATGATTCTACTCATATGAGATATCTAGAGTAGTCAAATTCATAGAGACAAAGTAGAATGGTGATTCCCAGAAGCTGAGGGGAGGAGGAATGGGAAGTTTTAGTTTAATGAGTATAAGAGTTTTGGTTTTGCAAGATTAAAAAAGCTCCAGAGATTGGTTGCACAATATGAATGTACTTAATACCACTGAACTGTACACTTAAAGATGGTTAAAGTGGTAAATTTTATGTTATGTGTATTTTACCACAATTTAAAAAGAAAAACTAAGTGTGGGAAAATATTGTCTATTGTGGTTTTTCAGTGTCCCTGACCATATAAAATAGCTTGCAGAGGTTATTTGTCCCTTGAGGACAGATGATGGTCAAATCAAATGAATTTCTAGTTGGTGAAATTTCATACAGTAAAGCAGACAGTGAAAAAATTCAGTCAGAAAATACCAGTCAGGTTTCATTTTACATATGCTCATAGCACTTTGTACCTTGTTTTCCTAGTACTTGCTCTAGCTGTTATTTTATTTAATTTGACTGTGTTAAATTAAACTAAATTTGGCCTGAGGCTGTCTCTGCACCGAGTCCCTAAATAACAAATGCAATCCAATTCAGTACCTAAATAAACCAAAAGCCTAATTTAAGAGTATATTTTATAACAAATAGCTGCACTTCAGCCAATCATAGCAGCTGAGCTTCAGCCAATTACAGGCTGCCAACTGATCAGACCACATCCAAATAAGGCAAACGCTGAACTGTAATCAATCAAGCTGTTTCTGTACCTCATTTCTGTTTTCTGTCTATAAATGCTGCCTGCCTACATTGCAGAGCAGAGTTCTCTGAACTTCTTCTGGTTCTGACAGCTGTCTGATTTGTGAATTGTTCATTGCTCAGATAAACTCTGTTAAGTTTAATTTGTCAAAAGTCTTTCTTTTAACAACTGATTATTTTATCAATATCAAACAGTAAAGTCCATGAGGACAGGGAGCAAGCCTGGCTTTCATTCACTTTTATATTCCTAGTGCCTAGATACATCTCAGTAATACTTCAGTAGATATTGAAAACAGAGGAGCCACAATGTAACAGTATCAGTAAAAGCTACCATTCATTAGACATCTAAGTGCTTTACATGTAATTTCTTATTTGATCCTCATCACAATTCTAGCAAGTAGTTTCTGCTGTTTTCTGTGTGGTTTCCACAGGTAAATAATAGAATTCATCTATCTTTAACAATTCATTCGTCTCTTTTCCCATATTTTGACCTCAAAGACTCTTTTTCTTTTTCTTTTTCCTTTTTTCCCAAGACGGAGTTTCGCTCTTGTTGCCCAGGCTGGAGTGCAATGGCACTATCTTGGCTCACTACAACCTCCACCTCCCAGGTTCAAGCGATTCTCCTGCCTCAGCCTCCTAAGTAGCTGGGATTATAGGTACCCGCCACCACACCCGGCTAATTTTTGTATTTTTAGTAGAGACAGGGTTTCACCATGTTGGCCAGGCTGGTCTCGAACTCCTGACCTCAGATGATCCGCCCACTTCAGCCTCCTAAAGTGCTGGGATTACAGGCGCAAGCCAGGCTGGCTGACCTCAAAGACTCTTAATCAATGGTTCTTAATACGGGAGCCCTAGATCAGCAGCATCAACATCACCTGGGAACTTGGTAAAAATGCAAATTTTGGGGCCCCACTTGAGACCCACTGAGTCAGAATCTCTGGGGTGGGATTACCAATCTGTGTTTAAACAAGCCCTGAGGGTGATTCTGAGGCAGGCTACACTTTGAGGACTACTGCTCTAAAGTCTCCAGTTGGATTTTTTTTTTTCTTTTTTAGACTTTTCTTCCAAAAATCACTCTCCTGAGTTATTTTATAATACTGGTTATAAAAGTTTGAGGGCTCTGAAAAAGGTTAGCTGTTTGGTTTGTAATTCGTAAGTCAGGTGTTTGCAAATTGGTAACTATACACACATTATGAATATTTCAGCTAAAAGCAAAAGAAAAATGCTTTGGGCTTATATTTTGCTACAAGGCCAAAAGTTATTGTTTAATTCACTTTACTGAATATTTACGCTTTGGATTGCCTCTGTAAAAGGTTAGTTCTTATAAGAAATTCTCTCCATAAAAGTTTATATTTCACCAAGTTCTTTTCCTTATGTGGTGCCCCCTACCCAAAATAAATTTAAAAGTTGTTTAGCAACAATACTAATGTCAACAATAATAGCTTCCTTTGTTTTATAATTAAAGGAAGTTTTTGAAGATTTGTTTAGAATTTTAATATATCTACTGCAGAGATCCACTTTTGTAGAGATAACTTTGTTATGTTAATATCTGGTGCTGTGAGAAAGGCAAATATGTATGCATGAGAAGAATCAACTTGATATCAGGCAAAAGTGAATCTGAGAATTTCTTCCAAAGAAGCTTAAATTTTTGCAAAAGTGAGTTACCCACTCATGGCAAATTCTGCCAAATTATGTTAAATTGTGATTTTCTGAAATGTGGTTTGGAAAATGTATGCATCAGGGAAATAAATTAATTGAAAAAGAAAGGATTGTATTCACAATGTGAAAGGATGCAAAATGGACTAGCTCCCTCTACTCAGAAGTTATATGTAAAGAGTACTGGCAGAGAGAAGAAAAAGACAGCAAAATTCCTCCAACAACATGTTGATAAGCCCCAGCAAAAGTTTTCTGGTCTCTCAAGTTGAAACAAGTCAAAATAATCCAGTAAGTTGGCTTTAACTGATGTGTGATATTATTAAGTGCTGAAGTGAAGTAACTGGTGACTTGGCTTCCATGATCTGATCAAAATTAAAATCCCCCTCACTCCCAACTCCTTTTTGTAAAAAAAAATTATATATTTTTCTATTACTTTTCAATTACTTTGCTTTTTAAATCCAGTTCTCAGCTTTGTGTTATGTTTACTGAATACTAATAGCTCACTTGATTGGGCCATTGTTCTGGGCCAAGTATACACTAAGGACTCTCCTTACATTATTTAATTCAACTCCCACAACACCCTTGTGAAATAGAAGTGTTACTAGTGGAGGGTGTCCAGGTTCTTGGCATCTTGAACAAAGAATTGGATAAAACGCACAAACACAGCAAGGAAAGAATGAAGCAACAAAAGCAGAAATTTATTGAACATGAAAGAACACTC
This sequence comes from Homo sapiens, assembly GCF_000001405.40. NCBI lineage: Eukaryota > Metazoa > Chordata > Mammalia > Primates > Hominidae > Homo > Homo sapiens. The sequence goes on along the minus strand of NC_000007.14, from coordinate 28,264,156 downwards.
CACAGTGTGGGAGCGGCCCTAAGCACAGGGGCTCAAAGTCCGCATTACGGAATTGTTGGGGTTTTAAGTGTCCTCTAGAGGTTTCCATTGGTTACGTGGTGTACGCCCAATGTGAATGAAGAGGATAAAGTAAAGTTACAAAGTCATTTACTTGGCGTATGCCCTATGGAGAGGATATTTCCTGTCACAGCTGAAGTGTGAATCCGCCATAAGTTCCCTGCCTCCAGACCTATATTCCTGCCTCAGAAGATGATACCCTCTTTGCAGATGAGAGAACCAAAGATAGATTAGAAAACTTGCCCAAGATGACACTGTGGTAACTGGTGTAACCACTACCAGGAAGCAAAAAGTGATCTGTCTTATGCAAAGTTAATGTTCCTCACCAAATTAAAAAGCAAAACAAAACACAAGACAAACAAAACACCAATGCTCTAGACCAGAGATGAGCGGTCTGGGAAGTACTTGCAGACAAAGTAAAGTAGTAATGGAGATTTTAATTCAATTAAAGAGATCAAGTTGTTTATAAAGAATACTATAGTTCCCAAGAAACCACAGGAAGGCTGTGTTCCTCACAGAAAAAGAAAAGAAAAGAGGAGGATTTTTCCTCTATACAATTACCATGACCTCCTCAATCCTGTAAAGCAGTGAGTGGTTCTCAAAGTGTGGTATGAGGGCCAGCAGCATGGGTAGCACCTGATGGCTTGCTGGAGAAGAAAGTTCTAAGTTCCCTTTAGAGCTACAGAAATACAAACTCTGGAGTGAGGCCCAACAGCCTGCGTCTTAAGTCCTACAGATAATTCTGAAGCACATTCAAATTTTAGAATTACTGCGCTAGAGTTTCTTTTGTTGAAGTACTGGGAAAACTGATCAGTACAACATACTACAAACAACATTTGCATGTTTAAGTCTTGGACCTGCTTACAGTGAAATTAATATTAACTCATTTAAGAATATTTATCCAATTCAGCTAAATGTTTTACCAAAAATACCTAAGCTAATGCTTTGATCCCCTAGGTTTAAAATCACAATAGCAAACACTTTTCAAACATTGACCATCACCAGAGACTGTTCTAAGAGTTTTACATTGATTAACTCATTTAGTCTTCATGAAAACCCATGAGATATGTACTATTTTTACCCTCTTTTTACAAATAAAACACTGAGGCTGAGACAGATTAAGTAACCTGCCCAGGTCCCAGAGTGGGTAAATGACAGTTGAGATTTCAACCCTGGCCACATGAGTCTAGAGTCCCTGTTCCTAACTGCTAGACTATCTTGGGGCAAAAACTTTGTAAAATAAATCGATTTAAGGGATATTTCTAGGAGAAGGAAGGAAGGGAGGGAGGGAAGGAAGGAAAGAAGGAGGAGGGAGGGAGGGAAGGAAGGAAGGGAGACAGAGAGAGAGAGAGAGGGAGGGAAGGAGGGAGGGAGGGCGAGAAAAAAGAAACCTACCTATGAAATTTGAATTTTGAAGAATTTTAATCATACTTGTCAAACCAGTCAACATATTAGAGGCAAAAATTAGAGTCTTTCTAAATATATTTTCATGATGCTGAAAGAGTCTTCTGAAACATATGTTAGTTCCTCGGGACATTTGGAAGAAATATTAAGCTTAGGTGACTTTGTGGCTCTACTGATTTTAAGATTCTATGAAGGTATTTCGGAAGCAATTTCTTTCTCTTCTTCTGTTTCCAAATTATATGGTCATCTTCATCCTGTGGCAGTATATTTATACTCAAGTATAACCAAGAACCACTCCAGAAAGCAAATTGCACTGACAGATGAAATATCCACTCAGTTTATCACGTTTTGGCCTACACGAGGACCATAATAAGTAGAGAGGAAGATTTTACTATGTGTCCCACAACTCCTATTCTCAATGTTTAATTACTGCTTTTTCAGACTCTTTCTGAATATCTGGCTTATTGGTTCTGTACCAATATTAATTTTTGCTGTACTACTATATATTTAGTTAACCAGAAAACTTAAAGTAAGAGTGTTGTGAATTCAAAAAGTTTGAAGAGCTCTGCTCCTGGTCCCTGCCTACTCCATGGAATTTCTGAGGCTCTGTTTACTTTGAGGGTCAAAGCTGGATATCTTCTACCCGCTGAAACTTGGAAAGTTTTCATCACTGCTGCTTTGCAAAAGAAGTCAGTTTCCTGGTGACTGAGGAGGAGAAGAAAGGCTGGTATAGAGGGTGGGTGCCAGGAAAGATGGTGCCCAGGCAATCCCAGGGCAGCAGCCTCTCCACATCACAAAGAATGTACTAGGATTTGGTTCAGTGCTGAAAGGAAAGACATATCAAGAATAAATTTACTTAAAACAGTGACTTTGCTTTTTACATGACAGGAGTATTGCCCTTGCAAAATTCCCACCACCACCATCACTTCATCTGGGACTTCTTGAGACATGGATAACAAAGGTATATATGGCCACTTGGGAATGAGAGGGATGAGAATGCATGTCATTCTTTGGGACTAGAAAATAAAGAGGCCTCTGAAGTCACATGTCTCATCCTGTTTCCTCTACCTGATCTTCCATCCTGTGTCCTACCTAAGTGGGGAGCTTTCCCAGATCTTTTGTGAGATCTTTGGAATCTTCCTATTTCAAACATAAGATGCTGGTCTCTTCCCACATATTGGTAACTGTCAGTGGTTTGCTCTGGTTCCACCTGAAATATGCTCTGAACATATCATTGTAATATCCAAAGAATTACCCATAAATCCACCTCCCAGTGCATAACCAAAGTTGGAGATCTTGCTGAAGAGTTCCAGGAAAAGAAAAAAGAAATTTTATGCCACAACCTTGACTAAGGTAGGTTAATGGAAGATCCCTTTTAAATGATAATATTCTGAGACCTAAACATTGAGAAGGACTCAGGACAATCCAGAGTATGAGCATTCCAGGCAGAAGAAATGGTAAGTGCAAAACCCGGAGACAGAAACCAGCCTGGCATGTTTGAGAAACAGAAAGGTGAGTGTGGCAGGGCAGGGCTGTTCAGAGCATTGCCTGCAACAGGTTGTCCACAACAAGGGAAGGGATTTGTGCCAGCATATAAATCAAAGTACTGCTCTTTCGGCAAGAAAATCTCGCCAAAAAAAAAAAAAAAGAAAAAAAAGCTGAACTAAACAGTATACTTAGTGATGTAATTGATTGTTTTAAGGTACTTTTTTTGACATTTTGAAAATACATGAAGAATCAGTTTGGTTTAAGATTACAAATATTTGACAAAATTTCTGTGGTTTTGCAATTTAAAGATACCTTAATATCTTTTACTGTTAAAATAATGATTAAACAATAAGCTGGGCACAGTGGCTGATGCCTGTAATCCCAGCACTTTGGAGACCAAGGAGGTGGATCACTTGAGGTCAGGAGTTCGAGACTAGCCTGGCCAACATGGTGAAACCCCGTCTCTACTAAAAATACAAAAATTAGCTGGGCATGGTGGCAGGTGCCTGAGATCCCAGCTGTTTGGGAGGCTGAGGCATGAGAATCCCTTGAACTCCGGAGGCAGAGATTGCAGTTAGCCAAGATCACATCACTGCACCCCAGCCTGGGCAACAGAGCGACACTCTGTCTCAAAAAAAGAAACAGATAAAAAAGAATTTAATATTTCAAAAATCTTCTACAATTTGATCACCACCACACTTTTTAGTAACATTTCGTTCTTTGCTCATATAAATAAATATCCTTATATAGTTTCAATCATATGAGACACACATTTTTGCATGTTCAGTTAATATCAAATCACAGGCATTTTATGTATCTATAAATAGAAATAATAAGAGTCACTTTAAAACTATAATCACCCCTTGCATTTTTAACAATTGATTTAAGCATCTATCTTTCATGAGAAATTTATCTCCTTTCTTTTCTGTTACAAACAGCCTTGCTATGAAAATATAGGTACACACTCCTTTTCCTTCTTTTGGATTATATCCTTTAAAGAATTCCCAGAAGTTGAATTACTGAGTCAAAGAATATGAACCCACATTTGCTATATATTGCCTTGTTGCTTTCTAAAAGTGTTATAGATATTTGATAATTTAGAATTTTATCTGCAGAATTTTTAATGCAATGCAAGACATTTGGTAACTGTTAAACTGTTTTCTTTAGAGTTCTCAGTTCTGTGACAGCTGGCATCCACAAGTGAACTTATGCAAAAGATTGTATTATTTATATGCATATGTATATTTCTACAATTCAGTTAATAAAATGATTAATAAAATTGCTTATTGCAACAATTTCTGAGAAACATTAGTCATTAACAGCTAAAATTGTAAGCACAGTACTCAAAAAGCAGACATAATCCCTTAATAGCTACTGGCCCTTCTGGAGATTTTCTGTAACCCTGCCATTTAAACCTAACCACACGGGCCAGTAACCAGTGATACAGGAGCTAAAAAAAAACAAAAATTATTTAGGTATTTAGTAAGGGTAAGAGAGTTCTTAGTGGAATTATCTTTTAACAAAAAGCAGCCCCCAAATCATTTCTTTTCTAACAAAGACCAGCTTGTAAAATTGAGCTACAGACATAGATAAGCAAGCTGGAAGCTTGCATAGGTAAATGCCAGCAGCTGTGCCAATAGGAAAAGACTACCTGGGGGCCAGGTGTATTCAACATGGAGGTTCCCTCTTCCCTTTTCTTTGTTGCCACGTGTGTGCAGTAAAAAAGCAGGCAACATGCCGCCAGCCAGGTAGAGACTCCATCTGCGTAATAAAAAATTAGGGTGGAATATGTCCAGCTTCTTTGCAGGCTATGTATATGATACACCTGGTCCAACCAGTCTTTGGGCCCTATATAAATCAGAGACCACCTCCCTAAGCTCATCTATAAAACACACTGCATCTCACTGAGAACCCAGAAACCTGTTCAGGACTCCTTCCTTTGCACAAGAAAGCTCTCTTCTTTCTTTCGCCTATTAAACTTCTGCCGTTAAACCCACTCCTTGTGTGTCCACATCCTCGATTTCCTTGGCATGAGACAACTAACCTCGGGTATTACCCCAGACAAATGAAGCCGCTTCACCAGGATGACTTCGGGTTGTGACTCAAGTTCACTCTGCTACAAAGGAGATAGTCTTGTACCTGCAGAACTGGGAAGAATCTAATTCATTACACACAGAAATCGGGAAATTAGTCAATAGAGGAATTCACCTAGATACACCCAGGAACGAATCAACCAACTAAATTGAGAAAGAGGAAGCATTTAGTTAATCTTATTTAGGTTTTTAAATAGTAACATTTAATTTTGATGTATTAACTAAATTTTACTAATTCACAGAGCTAGGCTTGAAGAGTCTTCTATTTAGTTTTTCAAGGATATTAAGATCCTAGCCATTCTTGCATTGCTAACAATATCATGGAGTTTCAAAGTACATCTTTTCTTTTCATACTTTTCATAACTTCCCTGTCCTGAACAGTTGTGGCAGGCTCACACAGGCAGAAGTAAAAGGTATCAATTACCCTGTGTATGGTCCTTGTCTCTGTGACTTTAAAAAGAAGACAGAGTTTAAAGACAGCCAAGCCCAAAGCCAAAGTGGGATTCTATTAGGTTCCCCTCAATGTCAGCATTCCAGCCCATTTTGGCTTTTATCAGTCCTGAAAAGACTGATAATTTACTGTGTTCAGCAGTTTTTGTAAATATCATGCTTGGCATTCCATAACATCACTCCTTTTGTTCTGTGTATGACTTTGACCTAACCCCTCATTAAATCCATTATGTAGAGGACAGAAAATATCACTTATCTGTTGAAATGTTTACTTGTGGGATTCTGAAGTGTTGGCTGCTGCTTGACACCTGCTAAGTTGTCATTTCAAACTGTAAGTCACACTGTATTTTGAAGAACCTTCCCCAGAAAGGCTGACTTCGGGCACAGGTTCAGCAGTGCTGAATGGAGTTGCTGTTTGTGGACAAAGTTTTCAGGCCAATAGTGGGAAAAAAAGGTAGCATCATGAACTGCAAAAGGCCTTAGCTAGCAGCCTCTTCCACAGTAGTAACTAATCAAAGGGCTGGCTCCCTACGTGCACAAAGTGAAAGAGCCTTTTCATTTCCATGAGGTCTCTTCAGGCATACATATGCAGGCACACATGCCCCATAAATCTTAATAACCATCTTCAAAGATGAGGGAAAATTAAGGTGCACCTGCTATGTCAACTCAACTTGCCATGGGCAAACTGCAGGCAGACAACGCCAGTTGTAGAAGCTTTCTCAGAGCCTATATAAAAATAAGTCTTATTACAAAATACCACACTTGAAGGTTTTGTTTTTAAATGCATTCATTGAGTAAACAGGAATTTTAAGAAAAAGGAAATTACTAAAACAATATTCCTATTGAAATTTTAAAAATAAAGCAAGTCTGTCTTAAACATGTTTTGAGATCTATATTTTCAACTCAGTAACATCAAGTGTTTTTATATTTAGAAGCAAAATTTTCTCTGCATTGGAAATATCCTACCTGGTAGTTTTCATGCTGCTAAGAAAATTGACTAATGGGTAGATCGATTTATCCTGTGGCATACAGCCTGGTTAAAAAAATAAGATTCAGGCTGGGCGTGGTGGCTCACGCCTGTAATCCCAGCATTTTGGGGGGCCAAGGCAGGCGGATCACGAGGTCAAGAGATCGAGACCATCCTGGCCAACATGGTGAAACCCTGTCTCTACTAAAAATACAAAAATTAGCTGGGCATGGTGCTGTGTGCCTGTAGTCCCAGGTACTTGGGAGGCTGAGGCAGGAGAATCACTTGAACCCGGGAGGCAGAGGTTGCAGTGAGCCGAGATCGCGTCACTGCACTCCAGCCTGGTGACAGAGCGAGACTGTGTCTCAAAAACTAAATAAATAAAGTTAAAAAAAAATAAGTGAGGGAAAACAGCCACATTCTCTCATTTAAAAAGACAAACACTACATGATCTCATTTATATGTGAAATTGGCAAACTCCTAGAAGCAGAGAGTAGAATGGAAGCTGGGGATTCAGTGGGGAGGTAGCTGGTGAGAGAGATGAGAAAAGGGGAGATGGTCAAAGGATACAAAGTATCAGTTAGGAGGAATAAGTTTTAGAGATGTACTGCATAGCATGGTGAGCACAGTCAATAACAATGCATTGTATATTTCAAAACTGCTGAAAGAGTAGATTTTTAAAATTCTCACCACAAAAAATGGCAAGTAGGTGAGGTGATAAATATGTTAATAAGCTTGATTTAATCTCCTATGATATACACATATATCAAAACAATACATTGTACCCCATAAATGTTTCAATTATTGTTTGTCAATTAAAATTTTTTTAAATAAATAAAATTTTTAAAACCCCAAAACTAAAACAAAAAAAAAGTTCAGATGAAGTAGTTGAGATATATCTTATATAACTTTCAATAGAGTATTTTAGAATGGTGATATATTATTGTTAAAAAATAATTTGAGGGGGTGGAGGTGAGAAGAGGGAACTTAGAGGATGGGTCAATAGGTGCAGTGAACCACCATGAAACATATATACCTATGTAACAAACCTGCACGTTCTGCACATGTATCTTGTTTTTTTAGAAGAAATTTTTTAAAAGTATCATAAAAAATAATTTGCTTGACCTCATACAAATAAAAAATAATTTGCTTGACTTCATACCATATGAAAAGGTTAACTCGTAATGAATCATAGATGTAAAATGAGAGCTAAGACTAAAAAATATCTAGAAGAAAATCTTTATGAACTTGGGTAGGCAAAGAATTCTTAGATATGACACACAAAGCATGATCCTTAAAATAAAAATATTAACAAATTAGATTTTATCAAATTAGAAAAGTCTACTCTTTAAATAACAAGATTAAGAAAATGAAAAGGCAAATGACAGACTAGGACAAAATATTTGCACACCACTATCTCATGAAGAACTTTTATTTACAACAAATAAAGAATTCTTACAATTCAGTAATTCAATAAGAACACAAAAATCTGATTTTTTAAAAAATGCTTTAAGTTGCCAAGTCAATCCTAAGCCAAAAGAACAAAGCTGGAGGCATCATGCTACCTGACTTCAAACTATACTACAAGGCTACAGTAACCAAAACAGCATGGTACTGGTACCAAAACAGAGATATAGATCAATGGAACAGAACAGAGCCCTCAGAAATAATGCCACGTATCTACAACTATCTGATCTTTGACAAACCTGACAAAAACAAGAAATAGGGAAAGGATTCCCTATTTAATAAATGGTGCTGGGAAAACTGGCTAGCCATATGTAGAAAGCTGAAATTGGATCCCTTCCTTACACCTGATACAAAAAATTAATTCAAGATGGATTAAAGACTTAAATGTTAGACCTAAAACCATAAAAACCCTAGAAGAAAACCTAGGCAATACCATTCAGGACATAGGCATGGGCAAGGACTTCATGTCTAAAACACCAAAAGCAATGGCAACAAAGGCCAAAATTGACAAATGGGATCTAATTAAACTCAAGAGCTTCTGCACAGCAAAAGAAACTACCATCAGAGTGAACAGGCAACCTACAGAATGGGAGAAAATTTTTGCAATCTACTCATCTGACAAAGGGCTAATATCCAGAATCTACAAAGAACTTAAACAAATATACAAGAAAAAAATCAAACAACCCCATCAAAAAGTTGGCATAGGATATGAACAGACACTTCTCAAAAGAAGACATTTATGCAGCCAACAGACACATGAAAAAATGCTCATCATCACTGGCCATCAGAGAAATGCGAATCAAAATCACAATGAGATACCATCTCACACCAGTTAGAATAGCAATCATTAAAAAGTCAGAAAACAACAGGTGCTGGAGAGGATGTGGAGAAATAGGAACACTTTTACACTGTTGGTGGGACTGTAAACTAGTTCAACCATTGTGGAAGTCAGTGTGGCGATTCCTCAGGGATCTAGAACTAGAAATACCATTTGACCCAGCCATCCCATTACTGGGTATATACCCAAAGGATTATAAATCATGCTGCTATAAAGACACATGCACACGTATGTTTACTGTGGCACTATTCACAATAGCAAAGACTTGGAACCAACCCAAATGTCCATCAATGATAGACTGGATTAAGAAAATGTAGCACATATACAACATGGAATACTATGCAGCCATAAAAAATGATGAGTTCATGTCCTTTGTAGGGACATGGATGAAGCTGGAAACCATCATTCTCAGCAAACTATCGCAAGGACAAAAAACCAAACACCGCATGTTTTCACTCAAAGGCGGGACTTGAACAGTGAGAACACGTGGACACAGGAAGGGGAACCATCACACACCGGGGCCTGTTGTGGGGTGGCGGGAGCGGGGAGGGATAGCATTAGGAGATATACCTAATGTTAAATGATGAGTTAATGGGTGCAGCACACCAACATGGCACATGTATACATATGTAACAAACCTGCACGTTGTGCACATGTACCCTAAAACTTAAAGTATAATTTAAAAAATGCTTTATTAAAGAAGAGATGCAAATGGCAAATAAACACATGAAAAGATGCTCAATGTCATTAATCCTAAGGGAGATACAAATTGAAACCACAATGAGATACCAGCACATACCCATTTGAATGTTTTTTTTAAAAAAAAAACACCGATAATACCAAGTGCTGGTGAATGCAGAGATATGGAAATCTCTTATATTGCCGATGGGAATCACCAAAAACTGAAAACACCCCAAATATCCTTCAGTGAATGATGGATCAAATTGTGCTACAACCATATAATGAAATACTATTCAGCGATAAAAAAGGAATGAACAGACTACTGATTCATACAATGTGGATGAATCTCAAATGCATTTTACAAAGTGAAAGAAGACTCAAAATGCCATATATGTATGAATCTGACATTTATAAGACCTTATAGAAAAGGTAAAACTATAGAGACAAAAATAGAGCAGTGGTTTCCAGGGATTGAGTCAGGGGAAGAAGTTGATTACAAAGGAGGCTGGGGGACTTTATGAGGTGAGGAAATGGTTCTATATCTTGATGATGGTGGTGGTTACCCACCTGCATTTGTCAAAACTCATAGAACTATAAAAGGTGAATCTTACCAGATGTAAATCACACCTCAATAAGAAAAATTAAATCTGATTCCTATTTCATACCAGATTAAAAATCAGTTTTAGGTACATTAAAGATTAAAACATAAAAGACAAAAAATGTTTAATACCCAACACAGGAAGATGTGACTTAAGATCTTAGAGTAAGGAAGAATTCCTTAAATAAGACACAATATAGGAAAAGGTAGATATATTTGATTACTTCTGTTCATCTGTACATCAAAAGAGTCACAAAGAGAGTGAAAAGTCAAGCCCCAAATGATAAGAAGATATTTCCAACACTTGTAATTATAAAAAAAATCAATATCAAGAATATACAATTAACTACTACAAAAGAATAAAACAAATAATCAAATAGAAAAAACTGGGCAAATATCAAAGTCAATTGACTTTAGTTATGCACTTTAGAGTGCACACATCTAAATGTTGTGTTGATGCCCTGGGATGTTGAGTGAATAATACAATTAAGTCACAGAAGAATACCTAAAGTATAATCCCATTGGCATAAAGTTCCAAAACAGACAAAATTAACAATGTTTTACTTAATAGTACATATATCAGTGATTAAACAATAACGAAAAGCAAGGGAATAACAGCACAAATTTCAGGACGATGGTTAATTTTGAATTGATGGGGGAAAGGAGGGAGTTACAGGTTATTTTCTATTTCTTAACCCAGGTGGCAGGTTCACACATCTATTTTTTTATTATATAAAGTGTGCATATGTGTTTTATACACTCTTATGTTTGTGGAGTTGTGTTTGCTCAGGTCCTTTAAGAAACAGATGCCAAAATGGGGTTAAACATGCAAGAGACTTATTAGGGAAATGCCTGGAAGGGACCACGGTGCAGGTCTGCTACCTCTGAAGGAGAAGGAGAAGGAAGCAGGATTAGATAGTCAGAGCCTTGGACTGCAGCACAGTTCTAAGAAAGTTTCAACCAGATCCATAAGGAGTCAAAATCACCCATCAAGGAGTCCCCATTTTGCAGGGACAGTGTTCTTGTCATACCCAGCCACCAGTTAGGACCAGCCTTGGAAATCATGGTCTTGGTATGAATTCAGAGGTGCTTTCAGAAGGCAGTAGCTGCGATGTCAGTCACATTACCCACAGTGGGAGATTTGAAAAGTGCATTTTTGTGGCTGCCACGATAGTATGTTTCAAACTTTTTAAAAACTAAAGGGTAATGAAAATGGGCAAAGGATATCAACAAACTGTTCCAGAAAAGAAAAGCAAATGGCCCTTAAACAAATAAAATAATGTTCAACATCACTCAAACCAGGACCGTTAATTTTCAGATTAAATTGCATTGAGGATCCAGGTGATTCCAAGCCTAGGGCAGGGAAAGTACAAAGGCAAGGCTAGCTTTTTGTTTGTTACAGAACAATGTCATCTAGTACATGTAGAAGCAATACTGGAATTAGAAAAAAAAATCATCCTTTTCTAGTCCCCAAGGTAATAACTGGTTTGGCAAAGATAGCCAATGGATGCTAAAACACGGTGCAAAATCTCACCCCATCAATTACTGACCACGTACAAAGACAAACTGTACATTCCCAATGGAGAGATTCAGCGGTCACCAGCCTTAACCAAGTAATCAAACCTGAGGATGGATTCAGTGGGAAAACCTGAGTGTGTGTGTGCCAGCTCACCTCACACTTACAGGGCCTGGAGCTCAAGAACACACAGAAGCCCAATGCTATTGTCGAGACATTTAAAACTTGTGAATTGAACTACCAACCTTCGTAAAGTACATTTCATTCTCATATCTTGACAAATATACCTTTATAATGTGTATTAAATGCATGTAAGATACATGTAAAGCTATGGTTTTCAAACCAGGATTTTTAGATAACTGAAAGCTGGAAAAATATCAAAGACAACTGAATTTTATGATTAATTTTATTTTTATTTATTTATTTTTTGAGATAGCATCTTGTTCTGTCACCTAAGCTGGAGTGGCAGTAACATGATTATGGCTTACTGCAGCCTTAACTTCCCGGGCTCAAGGGATCCTCCAGTCTCAGCCTCCTGGGACTATAGGCATGTGCCACCATGCCTGGCTAATTTCTGTATTTTTTGTAGAGACAGGGTTTCACCATGTTGCCCAGGCTGGTCTCAAACTCCTGAGCTCAAGCAATTCGCCTGCCTTGGCCTGCCAGAGTGCTAGATTACAGGTGTGAGCCATTGTGTTTGGCCTTATTATTGTACACATGTGAATGTTGTATTGCTATGCTGTGATATTGTAATAAAATAGACACACATAGTTTTGTAAGTTATATATTTATTTGGACAAAATTAATATATGTTGCCCTCACTTTAATCTCTAACTAGGTTGTTATAATTAATAATTTCACATGAATTGCAGTCTGTAGAAAGTAATAATCTAAAAGATTAAAAATATAAAATGTAATGGTATTAAAATATCCAAAATTTGAATATTTTATCAAAAAAATAAGTTAAATAAATATAAACATAAAAAATTTAAATTTACTTTTATATATGCTTTCCAAAAATATTTTATTCTAAATATTAAAAATAATCTATTAAAAGGCAAATGCAATTTATTATTAACAAAAATCAAAGTTTTATATAGGGTTAAATGAAAAGTATTTAATAAAGCTGAAAGCATATTTCATTTTTTTTTTGAAAACTTAGTAAAAGCTTATTACATACTTTTATAGAAATAAGTGGTTTTTTTGCAATTCAAGTGTTTAATAGTCATCCATTGCCCACATAAATATTAGATATCACACTTCACACATATATATGAATTGTTTGATACTAAAACATGCAACTGTTACAAACACCACACAAAGTTATGAGGATTTCTGGAACCTCAATTTCCAAGGTTAAGAAAAGCAAGAAAATGGATGCTTGGTGGTACTGGAGGCAATCCTTCATTATGCAAGATTTTTTTTGCATTCATGCTGAGAATGATTTGGCGAGTTAATTTGTCTTGTCTTCTAAGTACTTCTACCCCTCACCTCCTCCTTGCATGCTGAAGCAGTGTCCCTCCATCATTGGCAGTAGGCACAAATCTAACTTTTCAGGGCACTGGAAATGGATGCTATTAAGGTAGTGATATAAAACGATCTCTATTACAAAGTGAAAAAAAAAAGCAAGGCACTGAAATTATTATAGTATGCTCCTACTTGATTAAAAGAGGAGAAATATTTATGCATAAATTCTTTTTTGGCAGGATGTATAGGAAGTTAATCACTATGGTGTCCGAAAAGAGGAGAATTAGGTAGCTGGGATGAGAGGGATACTTTTCCCTGATGACCCTTTCGTACTTTTTGAATTTTAAACATGTGAATGAATCACTTACTCAAAGCAATTTAAAAGCTATCCACAAAATGAAAGGGCAGATATCATGAATGTCAGACAAAGGTTTAATGACTATAATATATAAAGAATGTATAGACCATTAAGAAAAGAAAAGAGAGGACTGGGTGGAGTATTTTATCATTTACATTGTTTAGAAAGCTGGTGTAGGTTGACCTTTAACAGGTTTCATTACTGGTTTTAAATTGTCTACAGGCAATATACCCCCATATGGCCTGTACCCAGGGTAGGCTGATGCCATTGTCCTGCCCTTAGTGTGTGTCTGTCCCAACAGAACACTGAGCAAATGTCATGGGCAGGCAATTGACACACAGAAAAAAAATGAAGAGATGGGGGTCGGGGGGTGGGTAGGGGAAGAGAAAAAGAAAAGCCATGTCGAAATACATTCAACTTCATCACTAATCTTTGAAATCCAAATTAAAATATCTACGGAATAGCATTTTTCATGTGAAAAAAAAAAGGTTTTTAAGATAGTAACATGCCATGGTGGCAAGTAATTGAAGAAGTGAGAATCCAGATTTTTAAATATTTTTAAGTGTTCATAACCACTGACCTCAAAATTCCATTTCTGGAAAATTATCTAAAGAATGTAATCAGAGGTGGGAACAAAAGTGTATTATTTACAATAGAAAAAAATTGAAAAAGTAAATGCCCATAATAAGAAATTAAGTAAATTATATCTACATTATGAGAAACTATATAAGCAATCATTAAAAATAATGCTACAGGCTGGGCGCGGAGGCTCACACCTGTAATCCCAGCACTTTGGGAGGCCAAGGTGGACGCATCACTTGAGGTCGGGAGTTCGAGACCAGCCTGACCAACATGGAGAAACCCCGTCTCTACTAAAAATACAAAATTAGCCGGGCGTGGTGGCACATGCCTGTAGTCCCAGCTACTCAGGAGGCTGAGGCAGGAGAATCGCTTGAACCCATGAGGCAGAGGTTGCATTGAGCTGAGACTGTGCCATGGCACTCCAGCCTGAGCAACAAGAGCAAAACTCTGCCTCGAAAAAAAATAAAAAATAAAAAATAATTAAATAATTAAAATAATGCTACAAAATAACGTTTATTGACATGGAAATGTTAACAAGGCAATTAAAACCATATGTAGCAAAGGAAACCATTTTTATCATGATAAAATTAACATAAAATGTACCACTTTAACCACTTCTATGTGTACAGTTCAATGGCACTAGGTACATTCACATTGTTATGCCCCTTTTACCACTACCCATCTCCAGAATTTATCTCATCTTGTAAAACTGAAACTTCGTATCCACTAAACAATAACTTCCCATTTCTCCCTCCCCTCAACCCCTAGGAACCACAGTTCTACTTTCTGTGTCTATGAATTTAACTATTCTAGGTACTTTATATATAAGGGAACTCATATTTGTCCTTTTGTGACTGGCTTATTTCATTTTGCATGACGTCCTCAAGGTTCATCCATGTTGTAACATGCATCAGAATTTCCTTCTTTTTTAAGGCTGAAAAATATTTCCTTGTTTGGATATACCATATTTTGTTTATCCATTTGTCTGTCAGTGAACACTTGGGTTGCTTCTACCTTTTGGCTATTGTGAATAATGTTGTTATGAACATTAATGTACAAACATCTGTTCAAGTCTTTGCTTTCAGTTCTTCTAGGTGTACACACAGAAGTGGAATCGCCGGATCACATGGTAATTCTAGTTTTAATTTTGTGAGGAACTGCCATACTGTTTTCTGTAGCAACTGCACCCTTTTTCATTCTCATCAATAGTGCACAAGAGTTCCAGTCTCTCCACATCCTCACCAACACTTGTTGTTTTCTGTTTTTTTGAGAATAGCCATCCTAATGGGTGTGAAGTGGTATTTCATTGTGGTTTTGATTTGTACTTCCCTAATATTAGTGATGTTGAGCATCTTTTCATGTGCTTATTAGAAAGAACCCATTTTCATAACAGAAAAAAGTTTTTATACAAATATTATATGGGGAAAAAAGAAAAGACTAGACATCAAAATCTTTACAGGGTACTGATATACTGTTTAGCAAATACTGGCTCCCTTCCCCCAGTATCACCATGAGAGGAGTATGCTTCCCCGCCCATTCAAGTTGGACTTCTCCATGTGCCTTGTTTTGGGCCATGGAGTATGGCAGGTCTGATGGCAGGCCTTAAGAAATATCACATTTCCACTAATCCTCTGAGTAGACATGTTCCAAGTAATTACTGAGTTTAAGAAATAAAGTGACATCTGTGAAACAAACCTAAAATTGGCCTGTAGCATGAAACAGAGCTGCCCAAGCCTACCCATAGAACTATAAGCAAGAAATAATTGCTCATTGTTTTATGCCACTGAGCTCTTTGAGGCCATTTGTTACACTGAAAAAGCTAACTAATACATAGAGATTATCTCTGGATAGTGAAATTAAGTGATTTTTAAAATTATTTGTGCTTCTAAGTATTTTTCCCAATTTTCCACTATAAATATTTATTGTTTCTAATATGATTTAAAAACCTGAAATATTTCATGCCAAAATATAACAATGGTTTTTTTTCTGCTACAAATCACATATTTTAAAAGTATTTTTCTTTAAATTTTGAATTTGTTTCACAATAAGCATGTCTTACTTTTATAACCAGGAAAAAAGTAATAAAGGTTTTGTTTCCTTTATTTTTTTCCTGGAATGATGGTCATTCATGAATCCCAAAAGGGACTTTGAGGATTTAGTAGTGAAGCCAAGTAGACTAAGGATAAATCATCCTTCTTTATTGGTTGCCTGGGGCTGGGGTGGGACTGGAAAGTGATTAAAATGGCACTGGGTTTCTATTTGGGGTGTTAGAAATGTTCTAAATTTGGATTGTGATCATGGTTATAGAACTCTGTAAATTTGCTAAGAATTATTGAATTACATATTCAAAATGGGCGAATTTTGTGGTATGTGAATTACCTCTCAACAGTTTTTTTTTTTATTTCCTTTACATGACAATTTAAAGGAATAGACTTTAGTTTCAAGAACTGGAACTACAAATAACTCTTTGTCCTAATGAAAACACAAACAACAATAACAATAAAAACAAAAAATAACTATACAGACTCTCAATGAAAAGGTAGACTAAGAGTCTTTGTTGGGGGTTTGGGAGGGGGAAGCCACAACCCTGAATTTAACAGGAACACGTTCCTTTCACTGAGAAAATTATGATTTGCAATCACATTCAGCCTAACAGTCCCAGGTAGTCCCAGATAGTGTGTAAGAGTCAGGCTTCTGGACAGAGGTTTAGTAATGGGATGGATTCGTGTTTTTGGAAGCCAGTAAAACTTGAGGACGAGTTAGGAGACATGTGAAGCAAAAGCACAACCGCACCCAGCTTGCTAACAACGGCAAGATGCAGACACCGTCCACTGCCCCCACATCTATGGGCTAACTAGTTAGCTGCTAGTTGAAACTTACAGAATATTAATGAATGAATTGAGTAGTTCCTTGTAGGGACTTGGAATGTAACCGAACACTGTATGGTTGGTTCAGAGGTTAGCTTACTTGAACCAAAACAATTTGCAAATTATGTAAACTAATTCAGAGTACAGTAAAAGCCCTGTGTCCCCATCCAAAACTCCTAAATCAGCCCCTCTGTCTGGAAGTCATCTGTTTGTCAAACCTCTGGGCTGACATCTAACTCTTGCAATTTGAAAGTTGCCATAACAACCACGGGGAAAGTTTTGCTCAACAGAATATAATCCAAAAGCAATTAAAAAAAAAAAAAAAACCTTTTGAGCAGCTTCTAGAAGCCAAAGGGAATGTGAATGATGCACGCCCAACAAGTAAAATTTCTCACAGGTATAAAATCTGGGGATCACAAGGCAAGAAACAGAAAACTAGAAGGTATTGTCAAATTAACAAAGCTGGAAACGTGGCTGGCTCAGCCACCTCTCTTTATCCTGGGCACCTTACACATAAGGTGTCCAAGAAATGTTTGTTGATTTGATCTGATTGAGAGCAGTTCAAATCCTTATTTCATTTCCCAAAGAAGAATGAGCCTATCTCATTTGAGCTGGGACCCAAATGCACTAAATGGATGTGAATTTCAGAAATCCCTGTACTTGAAATGATTGGGCTTTTATCATTGTGCTCCCTCAACCACCCTTGAGTTAGTATTCGATTTGACATCAGTTCAAAAAAAACTGCTTTTGCAAAAATTAAATTCAATTAAGACAAAATAGAAAATAAAACATTTTAAAACAACTTCTTTTTGAAGTGTATCTTAGGGGAAATTCTTTCTCTGTGGGCAATGCGAATTTTCTTATTTTTCTGTGCATCATTTATTCTGTCTTGTCTGATGAGGGCCCTTAATTTTTTTTTTTTCATCTCCTATTTTTAGCTTTGTGTTTCAGGGAACCTCTCCACGTTTCAAGGGAAGGTTGTGACTAGGTCTGGCCAATCAGAAATTTTACACTGCCCTTGCCACAATGATTGGTTCAGAGTTATACACATGACCCAATCAGAACTAGTAGAGTCAATGCTGGCCGATTGGCTGAAGGAACTGAAAGAGTTCACATAATCTCATCAGGTTTATCCCTTGGATTGTGAGGGACTGTGGCATGCTGCAAATAACACTGCACCAACAGATAAAAGGACTTGAGTTTTAAACTTGGCCTTGCTTCCTGTAAGCTGTGTGGCCTTGGACAAGTCACTTGACCTCCTGGGATCTCATTCTCCTCATCTGCAAAATTCCTTGGAAGTTTCTGGGAGGATTTTATAAAGGATGCATATGTGAAGCCACTTTATATGTTATAATGCTTTACTGAAACGTCAGGCCTTGCCTTTTGTCTTCACAGCAGCCCAAACTGAAATTAGCAGGTAGGGCTGTTTGGGTTCAGTGCCCTAAAAACCAAAAACCCTGCCCAAGAAGAAGAGAATCTGAAGCCACAGAATGTCACAGCCAAAAGGGAGCTTGGAGGATATCTGGTCCAACCCCCTTCATTTCTCAGATGAGGAAACTTGCTCTATCTACACTTGAAAGGGAGGAAATGACATAAGGACAACTATTGCAACCATTCATGCGGGTTCCCCACGTTAACTTAAAGCAATCAGTTAACAAACTATGGCCTTTTAAGACAAAGACCATGCATGTGTTTCCCTAATGTGCTTATCTTTTTCTGTGGTAAACAGCGTCACCTGCAGATAAGTGACAGCTACAGAAAAAATAAATAAATAAATAAATAAATAAATAAATGGATTTACCGGACAGTTCAATTCCTCCGCACAGCTCAGCCATCTGAGTTCAAAGATGGAAGGAAAAGAGATTTGCAGTTGAAAAAATTGCTGAGCCATGTGTCTGAAATGCGTTAAATAATTGCAATAGGGATTTTATTTGTGTTTTTTCGTTTTCCCTGTTGGTGAGAGCCACTCCTGCCAACAAATTATTTGCCAAATGGTGACTTCATTTATGATGCCGGTAACGTGATGTTTAACAGCTGACATGTGACCAGTACTTCAAAAAAACTGTGTCCCTTAGCTTACATGGCAACTGAAGTGTTGCAAAAATTCAGAGATCCACATGTAAAATTCAAGAATTTAATATGAGTAAGAGTTATTGAAAGTCACATCTGGTCAATTTTTCCTCATTTATTTATGTATTATTTTATTATTATTACTTTTTTAGAGACAAAGTCTTGCTCTGTTGCCCAGGCTGGAGTGCAGTGGTATGATCATAGCTCACTGTATACCTCAAATTCCTAGGCTCAAGAGATCCTCCTGCCTCAGCCTGCTGAGTAACTAGGACTACGGGTCTGCACCACTGTGCCCAGCTAAATTATTTTTAAAGATTATACTAATAAAAACCTCTAGTACTCATTACGTACAAAAAGCAGTTTATGTATATTAAATAATTTAATCCTTCCCTTTCTGGAAAACTGGGACTAACTCTATGAGGTAGGGGCTGTTTTTATCATCCACAGGTTTGAAGTGAGGCCCAGAAAAGTTGAGTAACTTTCCCAAATTCTCATAGCAGGAAGATAGTAGAGCTGGGATTTGAACCTAGGAACTTGGCTCTATGGTCAGAATGCTTAACCACTCTATTATATTGATCTTTTTGTGATAATCTTGCACATAGAATACCTTGTATTTTCTTTAAAAAATAACTTGTATATGAAATTAAAATGAATTAAAATAACTGTTCAAATTTATCTTTCTAGAACACTTTTTTAATGACAGCATCAAGAAAAAGCAGAGTAAGAATGCAAAATTTGGAGCCAGGTCACTTGAGTTGAGGCAACTGACTAGTAGCTGTTATGACCCTGGGATAAGTGCCTGAAACTCCTTATGCCTCAGTTTCTTTGTCTGTAAAATAGGGATAAGAGTGGTACCTAAATCCTAGAGTGTTTGCTGGAGAGTTAGTGAGATAGAAAGGGAAATAGTTTATGTAAAGTGCATAGCCCAGTGTCTGGCACATAAAATATGCTCAATAAATATCACCCAGTATCAGTATCCCTATTATCAATACCATTATTACCTTGAGTATTAGACACCACTTCAGTTCTGCTTTTGCTCCTCCCAGCTTTACCTGTCTCCCCTCCCCACCTCTCAACCCCTGCAGTCCACTTCCGCATAGGCTCCAATCTGCTTCTCACATCTGCCACCCAGCTGTGCTCCTGTCATCTCCTGCCCTGGGACATCTCTGTTGACCTCAATGCATGAGACTCCAGGGGAAATTTCTTCATACCCAAGCATATGCAACCCAGAGTGCTAGGCAACGAGCCCTCTAAGAGTCAAAACTTGAAGTCTTTCTTTTTCCCTGTCAAAGAACGTATGAGTTGGCTAGAGTTGCTATAACAAAGCACGATAGACTGGTGACTTAAACAACAGAAATTTATTTTATCGTACTTCTGGAGGCTGGGAGTCCAAGATCAAGGTGTCAGCAGGTTGGTTTCTTCTGAGGTCTCTCTTCTTGGCTTGCAGATGACCGCCTTCCTGCTATGGCCTCACCTGGCCTTTCCTCTGTGAACATGCATCCTTGATGTCTCTGTGTGTGTACAAATTTTCTGTTCCTAAAAGGACACTAGTCAGATTAAAACAGGGCCCATTCTATCAGGCTCACTTATCTTAATCACTTCTTTACAGGCCCTATCTCCAAATGCTGTCACATTCTCAGATACTGAGGGTTAGGAATTCACCATATGAATCCTGGAGAAACACAATTCAACCCATGACAGAGGGTCCCAGGCTACAATTCATTAGGCTCCTCACAAGGTCCTGATGGGCAGAACAACCAGTTGACTGTAGTGGCTGACTTACCCGTCTTTCCTGGTTTACAACCCTACTCCTCTTTGGGATCATACTCACCAATAAAGACTTCATACATAGGCTTGCTCTCAAGCCCTTCTTTCTGAAGAATTGGGACTAAGGCATCTAATGGAAATTCTGGATGATGTCCTACTGCAGGGTCAACCAGACCTGTCAAATGTGGCCCCAGCCGTCCTTTCTGCTCTCACTGCCCCATCTGCACAGGGCTTGGCCTGTGCTCACCACACCAGACTCTGCATGTTCCCTTGCCCTCCTGGGACACAGAGTCCTCACCTGTAAATGACAGGGCTGGGTCCCTTCCTCCCTTCCAATTGTATAAGAAAGACATGCTCCACCTTCCTATGAGTGACCTTGTTCACTCTCCTGGAGATGAGTTATGATCTCCATAGAATTCTAAATAAGAAAATATTCCAGGCAAATTGAAAAAGAAAAAAAAAAGATGTCCTAGATTTACACAAAAAGGAGGCAGACAAACCACACAGTAGTTCAAAAGCTCTCTAAATTAGTGCTCCAGCACTATATGGGAAAGTTAACAGATATGGAGCTGGCCAATCCCAGATTTTAATTAAAACCCATCTTTTAGGCCAGGTGTCGAGGCTCACACCTGTAATCCCAGCACTTTGGGAGGCCAAGGCAGGCAGATCACCTGAGGTCAAGAGTTGGAGATCAGCCTGGCCAATATGGTGAAACTCCATCTCTACTAAAAATACAAAAATCAGCTGGGCATTGTGGTGCATGCCTGTAATCCCAGCTACTCAGGAGGCTGAGGCATGAGAATTGCTTGAACCTAGGAGGCATAGGTTGCAGTGAGCCAAGTTCACTCCACTGCACTCCAGCCTGGGTGACAGAGGGAGGCTCGGTCTCAAAAAAAAAAAAAAAAAATTAATTTTAAATTTTTTTTAAAAAATCTTTTATTAGTCAAAATATGACTAGTATGGCCACCCAGCCAAAAGAGAGAACTAGCTTAATACAAATGTGCTCTCACACACATACACACAAACATGTACTTCTTAGCATTTTGTTATTTTATTCTATGTGGAAGCAGCAGTATGTGGATGCAAATGGATTTTTCAAGTATTTCTCTTGGCATTATGGCCATATTTAATGTAACATCCAGTAAAGCAGAAATTTTAATTAAGTTTATGGCCTGACTATCTGTATTTGTTTGGAATTTCTGTCTCTTCAAAGCAAAATGTGAACCTGGCTTTAGACCTGGAAATATCTCAGGCTGCAACCAAAAACATTATCAACAAACGGCAAATGTGTGGTCTGAAATATAAAATAAGTTTAGAAGAAGTTGAAGCCTATTATCCAAATATCACAAAATACCTGGATATTAATTATGTAGTCACTAACTTATTTGGATATGCTTCAGGGAAGATGAAAAGAAAATTTTATATATTTTCAAGGGGAGAAAAAAACTATCTCAGCATCAATAAACTACCAAAGAGCCATTTAAATGCATTTTATTTATGTCTCTGGGTTTTGATGTGGTTTTCCTTTTAATCTTAATTTCTTTGCATTTTATAAATGAATAAAGCCTATGTACAATTCATATTTAAATGTTTTAGTTAATCTGGAGGTTTATTTTCTTTAAGAGAGTACAAAGTCACTAATGAGTACCAAATAAGAATAGTGAATGTGACCAATATAAATTAGTAAGAAGCATTTGTGTGAACTTGGAAGCAATAACAAAACACTTAAAATAATCTCTACTGTGTAATATAGGCATAACTTGGACCTGCCATCTCTTGTCTGCCTTTGGGGGGATGAATTGAGCTGCCCATAATTCAACTTTGTATTCTCTGTGAAGTATTTGTTACGCGAATTAAAGGTGCAAATAGATGTCCAATTTGAAACGGAAAATCTGGATGGAAACCCTGAAACAGCATTGCTAAACTCCCTACTTAAATTCATATGAAGGCAAAAATTCACAATGCTAAAAACAAGTACAGTCAACTCACTGCCAGAATCTGGTAGGCCTTCTCAATTCTTGTCTCCAGAAAAAGAAACTGTCTACCCAGGTAGAAATGCCTTTATCTTTTCACCACCACTGTCTTGCTGCATGAATTCAAGTTGAAAGACCAGTACAAGTCCTAGACCAGGCAGAAAAATAGAAACTCTGTCCTCTTATAGTACTGCTGCTTTTTGAGGTAGTCAGGGCCCTGTCTCTCCCACTAAACTCTCCCGTTTCCAAACTAATTATCTTCTCCCAAACTTGTCCATTATATATACTCATAAATTTACTCATGCCACTGATTGCCATGCCAGGCACTGTTCTAGAAGCTAGGAATACAGCAATAAACAACAACAACAGCAACAACAATATAGACTGCTCTGGTGAAGCTTATCCTCAGGCAGGGCACAAAGCAGTAGATTTTCCGTTCAGAGACTCATGCTCTGAGAAAATAGCTCTGCACAAGGTAAGAGTGAGATGGGAATAGAATATTGCACATGGGGAGATGTGGTATCCACAAGAAAAGTGCTGTAGTGGGAACAGGAAAATCCCATTTTCGTGTGTTCCACCCATGCTGAGTGATAAAGCCCAGGAACTGAGACTTACTTAATACAGTCCGGCAAAGCAGAACTGGATAAAAGCCTGCTAGACAACAGGGAGATAAACCTGTTCTATGTCAGGTAGGATAAACCACAGCAGAGTGAGAGGGACAGGGAATGCAGGGGTAAGGGGTGGGAGTGAGGACAGGGTAGTTGGGGAAGGCCTTCTTGAGGAGGTGACGTGTGAGCAGAGCCCTGAAGTAGGTAAGGAAGTGAGCCACGTGGACATGTGGAGAAGAGCTGCCCAAGCCTGTGCAAGGGCGTCAGCCTTCACCCGGTTGCCTCTGCTCCTGTAGGAACTCTTGGTTTGTTTAGTCAAGGCCAGTTGTTTCTGCCAACAGCATCTCCACAACACATCTTCCTGCTTCTGTACTCCAAAACCTTCTTTAATACAAACGTCCCCAATCCCTGGGCAATAGACTTCACGGCTCACCTTCACGGTAGAAGGGCTGCAAGAGAAAGGGGGAAAACAAACTGGATCACACAGAAAGTAAGTATAGTTGAGGGGTTTACAAAACAAGTATCCACAATATATATATTCTAGAAAAATTATTAAACTAAAAATTAAAATAAGAAGAACAAAAGGTTCTATAAAAGGATGCAAATCAGGTTTTGCTCAGTCTTGACATCTATAATAGTAAGTTTCAGAAGACAATAAAGACTTTAGGGAAAGGGTCATGACACCAGAATGCATGCATATGTATGTGTGTGTGTGTGTATGCACACACACACATATACGAAGACAATAGTAAGTCATTCTCAAGTTTGTGACATCTCAGAAAGTGAATCATCACAGTACCTTGAGGAAATTTCTAGAAAATATATGCAGACGACCAAGACATAGATGACAAGTAAGACCTCCAGAAGAGGAAGTTGTAGCTAACAGGCCAGAGGAATCCTCGTGTACTCAGGCTGGGACCTAGAATCAAGAGCTCCAGCCGAATGCCCACGTCGGGGGCCACGCATGGCCCTGCACTGCTTCCTTCACCACCGCCTCTCCTGCAGCTCTCTCTCCGCTTTCCAGTGCCAGGAAATGGGCTTGTTGCACCATATCCTTCAACTCTCAGTTCAGAGGAAATCTTCTGCATGTTTAGTGGCCACTTAAAGCTGTAATTAATAGTGTTCTCTTCCAGTGCTTGCTAACATTGGCTATGTGGGTCACACTGTTAAGAAACTGAACCAGGAGAATTACTTTCAAAAGGTATTTTCCCTGCACAAAAGTAGAATGACATAGTGCAACATAATCGTCCTTTTTTTTCTGCCATGGAACATAAGTGATGGCTTTCTGCACCTTTAAAAGTCATACTGAGAGTCCTGAGTCATTGAGGTTTAATTGGGAAAGACTACTAAACCACCAATAACAGATATGATCTGCAACTGAGCCTCTTGAAACTCTTTCTTACAAGATCTGTGCATATTAACAAAACTTTAATCCAGCATAAACACAACTATGTGTTTAAAAAAAAGGAATTATAAGAAAATGCACCCAGATGTTAAAGGAAGGAAGGGATAGTTTCTCTGGGAGGTAGACTTTTTATTTATTTATTTATTTATTTATTTATTTATTTATTTATTTATTTATTTATTTATTTGAGACAGAGTCTCTCTCTATTGGCCAGGCTGGAGTGCAGTGGCACGATCTTGACTCACTGCAACCTCTGCCTCCCCGGCTCAAGCAATTCTCCTGCCTCAGCCTCCCGAGTAGCTGGGATTATAGGGGTGTGCCACCATGCCTAGCTAATTTTTTTATTTTTAGTAGAGGTGGGGTTTCACCATGTTGGCCAGGCTGGTCTTGAACTCCTGACCTCAGGTAATCCACCCACCTCGGCCTCCCAAATTGTTGGGATTATAGGTGTGAGCCACCGTGCCCAGCCTCTGGGAGGTAGACTTCTAAGTGATATTTTTCCTGCTTTATATAGTTAGCAGATATTTTAAAAACAGATTTTTAAGAAACCAGCCTATGCAATTGCACATATACCATGAAATTGCAACTGTTTAAAAATCAATACAGATGCTTCTCAATTTACGATGGGGCTACGTCCCAATAAACTCATTCTTAAGTTGAAAATATCATAAGGTGAAGATGCATTTAATACACCTAACCTCCAGAACATCATAGTTTAAACTTGTCTCCCTTAAACATGTCCAGAATATTTACGTTAGCCTACAGTTGGGCAAAATCATCTAACACAAAGCCTATTTTATAATAAAGTGTAGAATATCTCATGTAATATATTAAATACTGTACTGAGAATTGTTGGGTGGATACTTGGAGTATGGTTTCTACTAAATGCATTTCATTTTTGTACCAATGTACAAAAAGTGAAAAATTGTAGGTCAAACCTTCATAAAGTGGCAACTGTTTGTATGTCAGAAGAAGAAAATAAATCACAATGTATATGTAAGTGAAACTATTGATAATCTTTTTTTTCCTTCTCTTCATTTTTATTTTCTAAATTTTCAATAGGAGCATACATTACATCTGTAATTGAAAGAAATTTTTCTTAAAGTAAGATGGTGAGTGATTTGAGCATGCTTCAAGAGAGCAAACAGGCTGCTATTTGGATGCCAATCAAGTGATTGCTAATTACAAACAATTCTCATTTTCATCAAGTCAATCAGGCAGTTTTTACTTATACTTCAAGTAGAAGCCAATGTTTTTAGTTGCAAAGAACTGAATTGCTTCTGTGATAGAGTTCAAACTGCATATGCCCGTTCTTTGAAGACATTAGTAAAGCTCTATAAATCTTTAATCCAAATTTAAAAGGATTTTCTATAGGGGAGAAGGATAACAGACCATCAGTGGTAACCTCAAGGTGGATTGAGTAGTCAGATCTGTGTCGCTCCAGGCAAACTCCGCCAGGTCCACAGCAGGAGTGCGGACCCTTTGTGTAGCTCACCTCATACAACCCAGTCCAATTTTGGATGCCAGCTCATTCCTTAATTCCCTTCAGACCTCAGGATCTAAAGTTAGAAAGCCCATAAAGATAGGACACTTGTCTGCCATGCTAACTTCAGTATCCTAGAATATGGGAGGTGCTCTTCAATTTGTGGAACTGAAAAATCTGTTCAAGTGCCCAACTTTACTGAAGGATTGGAAATAACAAAAAAGAATAAAAGATCAAAGAATAACAAAGACCTTCACACTGGATGTGACTGCCAGCAGAATCATAAGAGGAGCCCTTCCAGAGGAAAGTGGCCTACTAGCACTTTCTCCTTCATCCCTGGCCTGCGCCCACCACTTTGCAGTGGCCAGCGCCTTCCCCAGCAAGAGCCCCTAGACCAGTTGTCTTCTCCCAGAGCCCAGGCCCCAACCAATGTTTGAAGGAAAACTTCACTGCTCACAAACTTCTGCCTTCCAGGATGGCCAACCACCCAGGAAGCCCTGACATTCAGGAAGGCCCCACCTCCTATTGCGAAAAGGACAAGGCATCCGAATTCAAGCTGACAGTAGCATCTTTTTCACATTTTGAAACATCTGGTATAAAAAAACACCAAGAGGGAACTGCGCACAGAACTGAAGGTGCTGGGCTCTGGAACTACCAGGCCCACCTCTGTGTTCCGTTCACATTAGCAAAGAGAAACTAGACTCCTTCATCCTTTGTTCATGCCCACCTCAGCTCTAGCCCTCCTGGCGTAATGATTTGGTTCTTTGGGAACCAAAAGAATATCCAGATTCGTAGCAGCCCAAATCTATATTAAGAACAAGAAGCATTTCCTTAAAGAAACACATTGCCAAGATTTCACTTCACAATGAAAACGGCCTTTACTTTACTTTGCCAATCAATTTAGTTGTTCATTGTCTTAAATCCTTCCACTTTGGAAAGGAGTTTTGCTTTCCATTTACATTACCAAATACCACATTAAAGAGACTCTCAAACACTGTGTTCTCAAAGTGGAAATCAAGGCACTCTCTCTCCAGCCCTGTTTCTCCAAGTTTGCCCACAGCTGCCCTGCCTCGGAATGACCTATGGAACTTTTTAAAAATGCAGATTCCCAAAGATCTTCTGAATCAGAATTTCATAGGAATGGGCCCCAGAATGTGCATTTAAAAACAAATTTCCTGAGGAAAAAGCTACCTGGCTTACATGTTTCCTGTTCATTGTGATAAATAAATGAACATTTAAAGGTGGGGAGGAGTTTCTTGAGTAATTCTAATGCAAACTAAAGACCCCACTGTTTTGCTCTAGAAAAACAAACTGAAGTTTAAAAAAAAGTCTGCTTTTGCCGGCCCGGTGGCTCACATCTATAATCCCAGCACTGTGGGAGGCCAAGGCGGGTGGATCACTTGAGCTCATGAGTTTGAGACCAGCCTGGTCAACATGGTGAAACCCCATCTCTACAAAAAATACAAAAATTAGCCGGGGTGGTGGTGCATTCCTGTAGTCCCAGACACTCGGGAGGCTGAAGCATGAGAATCGGTTGAGCCTGGGAAACGGAGGTTGCAGTGAGCCAAAAGGGCACCACTGCACTCCAGCCTGGGTGACAGAGGGAGATCCTGTCTCAAAAACAAAAACAAAAACAAAAACAAAACAAAGTCTGCTTTTCCCACTCTCCCTTCCATGATTTTCCATCGGTATTCCAAATTATTGGGGTTCAGACTCAGCTGAAAATCCTGTTGTACCTCATTTTACGGATAGGAAAATGCATTCAGGAAGTGCGCATATGCAGAATTTGCAAGCACTTTTGTGGTCTGACTTCATGATGGCATAAGCTCATGTGGTCCATGTACTTTACATACATTATCATATTTAATCCCATAAATAGAAAAAATCTTATAGATGTCATTGTTCCCACTTTGTAGTTGGAGAAACTGAGGCTCAGGAATAATTTGAACCCAGGTATGTTCTTTCATCCAGAGTTTGGGCTTTCCCTACTACACCCAGATGCCTGTCATCCACCCACCAATGTTTAACTAGTTTTCTCTTATTTTTGTTCTAGAGTTATTTTATATCTGGACTTTTCTCCTGCCCAGATATATTCTATATGCTAATTAATACCTTAAATTACATATGTAGAGCTATCCCTTTGATTTAAAGATTTGTTTTCTGCTAAATTCACCCTTTTGACTTTCGCTAAAATTCACGTTTTATTATTCTTTGGACATTAATACTTGATCAGTTCCTGAAAACCTTTTAACAAGGAAAGGATGGCACAAGTATGAGATGCTGGATGCAGAGGGTGGGAAGGAGATATCTCGTCACTCCAGGGAGAGGCAACAATGATCAGCGACCGTTACCTTCACAGTTTTACCCATGACCAGCTTGCCCTGGGAGCCTATATGGATCTTTTAGGATCCATGGTCACTGACAACAGTCCTGTTATGCCCTTAGCTGAGTTTTTCAGAGGATCTTTATGTATAAAATGGCAAGGGAAAATATTAATTGCCTGGAGAGGGACTAAGAATACAATTAACATCCATTAAAGTAAGTATGTTTGTTATTCACACTACATCTTCGTTTTATGCCATAAAAATGAGATGCATTTGGGTTGTGAGTCAATCTGGCAAATCAATTTTATGAGCTTTTCCTTATAAGTTAGGCCAGTAGCAGGCCCTTCATTGTTCAAAAAGGAAATGACACAAAGAGTTGGTTTAACAGCTGAGAAGGCAATGGAAGACCAGAAGAGCAAGTAGAGGTCTGGGCATTTGCCTCTTTCTTTCCTTATTTCCATTGGAGTATGGTTTTTAATTGCAAGCTCTATGAGGCTAGGGATGGTGTCTGTCTGGTTCACTGCATTATCTCTGGTGCCTAGCACTACAACGAGACCAGAGAAGGTGATTAGTCAACATTTGTGACAAATGTTGAATTAAAGCCTTTCAGAAATCCCATGTTGGCTTTGTTACACTGATTTTGTGTTTTCTAATTTC
Organism: Homo sapiens; assembly: GCF_000001405.40. Lineage (NCBI taxonomy): Eukaryota > Metazoa > Chordata > Mammalia > Primates > Hominidae > Homo > Homo sapiens. The sequence continues at coordinate 28,235,036 of NC_000007.14, read as the reverse complement.
TTGCGTGCGATAGAATTCAATGCAGTACGAATGTCTTAAGTTACTAAATACCCGAGCACATATGCAAGATTTCAAACATTATTTTTTTGTCGTTAAAGATATGACTAGGAAAAAAAGTAATCAAATAGAAATATGATAGTTTAGAACAGTGTTGAAGGATCAAATCAATCCAAATTCAAAAATATCACAATGTTTGTTACTATTTTTCTCTTTCCTTTTGTTCTGGAATAATATTGCTTTGCTCCAGAAACAATGAATCATTTGTCATCTGCGTTATGCTCTCTTCCAAATAAAATAGCTATGTAGAATGGACTTATAGACAAAAGCCTTCTTGAGTCTGAAGACATGAGGATAATATATTTAAGACTGGTGATTAATAGCAGTTATAGAAATGCCTTAAGTTTTAAAGTCTAAAGAACTCAATTTTTAGAGTGCTGCAAGTTTGTTTTGTTTATATGAATTATAAATATGGAAAAACATTATTTCTTTGGGTAGAGATATTAAAGTAAAGTAGCTTTGTTTTGTTTTCTAAGTATGTACTATTCAGGGCTATTGGATACGGAGTCATAAGCAATCTATTTACTTATTGTGGTTCATGCTAGTCTTACAGGAATCGTTGATACTTCGGCATTGGAATGAGAGAATTATAGAATAATAAAGTTAAAGGCCAGGCATGGTGGCTCATGCCTGTAATCCCAGCACTTTGGGAGGCTGAGGTGGGCAGATTGAGCCCAGAAGTTAGAGACCACCTTGGGCAACATTGTGAGATCCCTATCTCTACAAAAAATACAAGAAATTAGCCAGGCATGGTGGCGTGCACCTGTAGTCCCAGCTACTCATAAGGGCGAGGTGGGAGGATCACTTGAGCCTGGCAGGTGGAGGCTGCAGTGAGCTGTGTTCGCCCCACTGCACTCCAGCCTGAGTGAGAGAATGAGAACTTGTCTGAAAAAAAGGAAAGAAAGGAAGAAAGAGAGAGAGAGAAAGGAAAAGAAAGAAAAGAGGAAGGAAGGAAGGAAGGAAGGAAGGAAGGAAAGAAGGGAGGGAGGGAGGGAAGGAGAGAAGGAGGGAAGGAATGGAGGAAGGAAGAAAGGAAGGAAGGAAGGAAGGAAGGAAGGAAGGAAGGAAGGCAGGCAGGCAGGCAGGCTAGAAAAGACTTCGAAAGATCATAAGGTGTGGGCTTTGTTGATACACATATTCTAGGCTAGGCAATCTGTTCGAAAGTCTTAGAAATAGGCATGCCCTCTGACCCAGTAATTCTACTTCAAGGAATTTATCAGAGGTATAAAGATATATATACAAATATGTACATCATGGCCCTATTTGTAATAGCATGAAATTGAAAACAGACCTAGGTGTGCAACAGTGGAAGATTAGAAAATACTCTATGGTATATCTAATACTTTGCAACCACTAAAGTAGCATTTGTTTACATGGAAAATGTTCACCATTTATTGTTAAGTAAACATAAAAAGCTGAGAAGGAGACAAAGTATAGTTGGTATGATGCCATTTTAGTAAGTTTAAAACTGTGTGTTTTTATATGTGTGCATGCACATGTCCATGAAAACTGCCAAAACATTAATACTGCTTGGATTAGACATCTCTGGGGCCTTACAGCCCCTCAGCCGTCCATTTTACTTCAGTCATTGCTGTGGAAAGCAGCTACACAGGTGTAAACTGACAGCCTATTGCCTCGGCTGGGAGGAGGTCCTCTCAGCCCTGTGGGTTGTCTGCAGAAACCATCTCAGCCTTCTGATGTCTGTGCAAATTTAGAAGAACAAGGGAGTTCATGCCCTGTGGGGTGACCCTTGACTAAAAGAAGATGGGAGCCAGTGGATCAATATTTCAAGTGATATGCCAATAAACTTTAACAACCAGCTGTCTAACAAAAATAGCCCTGATATGTGGCTTTCACCAATTTCCACGGTGTAAACACTCCCACTGTGGTCAATTTCAAGCTACCAACCTGATGTCACTGAGCACAAAGTTGGCACGACATATGCACAACAGGCCATGCCAAGCTGGGCAAGCAGGTTCCAACACACCATTGAATATATTCACCTCTTCCATCTCTCTCTTATCTCTCTCTCTCCCTCTCTTTCTCTCTTTCTCTCTCTCTCTCTCTTTTTAGAGACAGGATCTCACTCTGTCACCCAGGCTGGAGTGCATGGCATGATCACAGCTCACTGCAGCCTCGACCTTCCATCTCTTCAATGGACAATCTGAAGCTCATTCTACAGTGAGACTAAGCCTTAGTTACCCAGAGTGGTGAACGATTTGATAATACACTTTTGAATGGCCTTTCCCTCCTTCCCTGCTTCCCTTTCTCTAGCCCTCCACTCCCATTCCCTGGGATCACTTCCCAAAAGACAATCTGCACATGAACCCTTGTCCCAGGGTCTTTCTGGGGAAACCGAAGTAAGACAGAGGTTATTTTGGGATATGACAACTCTGGATAATTTAGATTTTTTTTTATGTGTGCTTTTAAAATATTGTCCATTTCTGGTCTGGGCTCAGTGACTCATGCCTGTAATCCCAGCACTTTGGGAGGCCGAGGCGGGCGGATCATGAGGTCAGGAGATCAAGACCATCCTGGCTAACACAGTGAAACCCCGTCTCTACTAAAAATATATTAAAAAAAAGAAAAAATTAGCCGGGCGTGGTTGTGAGCACCTATAATCCCAGCTACTCAGGAGGCTGAGGCAGGAGAAGGGCGTGAACCCGGGAGGCAGAGCTTGCAGTGAGCAGAGATTGCGCCACTGCACTCCAGCCTGGGTGAGACAGCCAGACTCCGTCTCCAAAAAAAAAAAAAAATTGTCCATTTCTTCTATCAGGCATGCCACTTATATAGTACTGATATAAAGGAAAAATGCATGTTATTTATAATTGTGGCAGAATTTTATATATCATAACAGGTATCCTGGTAAGTTGGAAAATATTACACAATTTAGAAAGATTTAGCCATCCCTAGAGTACACGTTTGTTGTTCTCCACACATGCTGTTCCTGTTTTCCTAATATTGCAGATATGAGACTGATCCATAGGAGTGGAATAGAAAGAAGGGTGGGACCAGAAAGGCAAGGATTAAAGACAAAGACAGTTTTCCTTATTTTTTTTGTTGGCTTATTTTTCCCTTCATCCCACCAAGGATCCATTAAAGATAATGAAAATAACAGCTACTGATGAAAAAACTGATTCACAAAGTTTAATGAGCAGAAAAAGTGTTTTGGCATACTATTCATATTTAGAGATAAATGCTATAGATAACAGTCTTAAAAACATGCTCATCAACAAGGAGAAGATAATGTTATTATATTCAAGACATATTTCATTCCAAGGAAACCTTCACAAAGAAAAAAAAAATTATTATTAAAAGAGAATTTAGTTAAGCAGCCAGAGGCAAAAAAAAAAAAGGTATAAAAATCTATAGATATTAGAAATGGCCAGAGAAAAATATAGTAGAACAAACATTTTTGTTCACAATATAAAAAATAACACATATAGTAGTATTAAACTCCACAAGAAATAGGTGGTGTTTATATGTGGAAAATTACAAAATTATACTGAGAACTATGAGTCTTAGAGAAACCGAGGGACAGCCACATGAAGGGACTCGGAGTCCTTAATTGCCTTTCCACCCATGGATAAGACCAAAGAGACCCTATTAAACCCCCTGCGGTTACACTGCAGGGCCTCGAAGAATCTTTTCATCTTACCTCTTTTCAATTTGCTTTGTCTGTAGATAGTCTCTCTCTCTTTTTCTTTCTCACTACATATATGGATATAGCTGTATATAAATATAGATATATATACACACATACATATACACATACACATACTCACACTTATATGTATACACACACACACATAAAACCCTAACTGTGGAAAGAAATACACCCAAAGCCTTGAAAAATTCTACATACTGTACTTTTTTTTTTTTTTTTTTGAGACAGAGTCTCTCTGTCACCCAGGCTGGAGTGCAGCATCGCAATCTCGGCTCACTGCAACCTCCGCCTCCCAGATTCAAATGATTCTCCTGCCTCAGCCTCCCAAGTAGCTGGGATTACAGGTGACTGCCACCAGGCCCAGCCAATTTTTGTATTTTTAGTAGAGACAGGGTTTCACCATGTTGGCCAGGCAGGTCATGAACTTCTGGCCTCAAGTGATCTGCCTACCTCTGCCTCCCAAAGTGCTGGGATTACAGGCATGAGCCACAGTGCCTGGCCTTATACACTATAGATTTACAGTGATATTTTTCTTCCTTAAAATTTCCATTTTCTACAAGAAGACTATTATATATTACTTTTTTAATTGAAAAAGATATTTAAAATCAATTGAATTTTATGTGTTTTTCTTAATCACAATAGGAAAAGTTTTTAATCAAGTTCATCTGAGATACACTTTCAGACTCTCAGGTATTTACACATAAATTCTCTCATCAAGGCTGTATTTCTACCCTCCTCATGGTGGTCATCAAAATTCAGCCATCTAGCATGAAGCACTCGTGGGGCCAGGCGTTATGAAACCAGCCGATGTCAGTGGCAGCACTTGTCACAACAGCGAAGCTTGAAAGCTCCGCAGTAGAGGTCAAAGTGTAACTTAGCAATATCTTGGCATTCAGGGACAGACACGGACTCACTGACAAAGAGTGCTGTTCTTCCCTTAGGTAACTGGTTTTTGTCTTGCAGACGCTATGGATCAGGTGCTGTTTTTTATGTCCTGCCTTCCTCTGGCCTTGAGGAAGTTCAGAGTCCAATTGTGTCACATCTTTTCCAACTCCATATGACCCTAGGTACACATTTTGGGGACAACTTTATTTTGTTGTTTATACTTCCTCTTTGACTTGATTTTTTTTTTTGTTTTAATTTTGGTGTTATTCCACTGTATTTGATGTCCTTATATAACCTGCCTAAAATCGTTTTGGAAGAAAAAGAACACAAAAATTAACAAATTAAGCAGAGTCAGGAACACACTGCATTCCCTCAGGGCCTTTGCAAGTTCTGTTGAGCTCCCTGAGAAGCGCAGCTTGTGCAGTGCAAAGAAAATTCAATGGAAAGGGGGAAGATGAGACTTCTAAACACACCCTTCTCACAAGCAGGGCCTGAGTCAAGCTACTGACACTCTTGGACCTTAGTCTATGAAAGATTTGCTTTCTTCCCTAAGATTCTTTGGAACTTTCTCTTATCCTAGTTTCTCTGACTTGTAAGAGCCGTAAATATTACCTGCCATAAAGTATTAGGTTGATGCAAAAGTAATTGCGGTTTTTGCCATTACTTTTCAATTTAATATATTTGATGAGGTCCATTCATGTAACAAATATTTAATGATGGCCTACTATATATAGGGAAGGGTGTTACATTAAAATTCTCACACTCCTGATGCCCAGAACACAATTTCTCCAAGCTAATTCTACAGAATTTCTTTCAAGACCTGCTATCAAGATATTTACAGCCATTTCATTTATAATGGCAAAAGGATTTGATACAACATAAATATTCCACTATATGGAACCAGGATAAGAAGTTTCTTAATTTGAAAATTATAAATATTAAGATGGTATAGAAACATAGAAAAGAATATAGATAGAAACATAAGTATATTTCTATTTTTTTAAGTACAGATATATTTTATTATGTCAAAAGTAGATATAATCATATTAATAATTATTTAATATAAATATATTTTAGTAAATTATGGCTATATCCGTGTATAAAACCAGAAAGGTGTGCACAAGAATTTAAATGGCTGAGTTTGAAGTAGAGTTTTTGTTTTGTTTTGTTTTTGTTTTTGAGACAGAGTTTTGCTCTTGTTTCCCAGGTTGGAGTGCAATGGTGCGATCTTGGCTCATTGCAACCTCCAATTCCCGGGTTCAAGCAATTCTCCTGCCTCAGCCTCCCAAGTAGCAGAGATTACAGGTGCTCTCCACCATGCCTGGCTAATTCTTCTGTATTTTTAGTAGAGAAGGGGTTTCACAATGTTGGCCAGGCTGGTCTCGAACTCCTGACTTCAGGTGATCCACCCGCCTCAGCCTCCCAAAGTGCTGGGATTACAGGCATGAGCCACCATGCCCAGCCTGAAGTAGAGTTTTAACTGTACTTTTTGAGTATGTATGACAGGTCAGAAACAATTAAATGATTATTACTAATATCAATCATTAGTTGCTTTGAACCTTTAGGTTCAAAATTTTGGAAGGACTTTAACTTGTAAAGGTATTAGTGCCCATAAATATGTTCAAACCATAAATTCTTCAACAACTGATCTAATAATTATTTGAGAAAAATTCATGATAACTTATTGCCTCATGAAAAACTTTGGACAACTTTGCTTCCAGTTTTAATAGTGTTAGTCTTCTTTTAGTGTCAGCAAGACTGAGTTATTTTCCAAGAGTTCATTGGCTTCTGCTGCTTATTCTTTACTGTAGGTCATAATTCTGTGTTTGTGGCAAAATAATCATTTCCATGGCAACCAACTGGGATGTCTCAAGGAGAGGATTAAGACTTCAGGAAAGGACTAAGCAAGAGGAGCAGATGAATAATGAAAATAATCATGATCCTTATTCTCAATCAGAACAGAAGGAATATTAGGATGAGAATGTACGCTATAGGTCTTTCGGAATTTCTTCAGCCTTCAAAACAACTACTTCAGTTCAGTTTTCTAGGAGACCTCACCTACCCTAAGATGCAGCTACTCCTATACTGTAGACGTTGTATAAACAAAAGGGGCAAGGGGAAGCCTAATCAAAGCTCCAGAACATTCCAATCAGGTACATGCCAATTGTACGGAAATACTCTCCAATAGCATCTTGGAAAGAGATTTAGAGGTGTATGTGAGTTTTTATGTGTAGCACACTACAGGGCCAGAGTTAAACTATTTTATTGTGTTAATTTACTTTTTTTGTAGCAAAAGTGGTATATAGGGAGTAGCTTAGAAAAGTGTAAGTTGGCAGGGCGCGGTGGCTCACGCCTGTAATCCCAGCACTTTGGGAGGCCTAGGCGGGCGGATCACCTGAAGTTGGGAGTTTGAGACCAGCCTGACCAATATGGAGAAGCCCCATCTCTACTAAACATGCAAAATTAGCTGGGCATGGTGGCGCACACCTGTAATCCCAGCTATTCGGGAGGCTGAGGCAGGAGAATCGCTTGAACCCGGGAGGTGGAGGTTGCGGTGAGCCCAGCCACGCCATTGCACTCCAGCCTGGGCAACAAGAGCAAAACTCTGTCTCAAAAAAAAAAAAGAAAGAAAAAAAGAAAGAAGGAAGGAAGGGGAAAGAGAAAGAAAGGAAGGAAGGAAGGAAGGAAGGAAGGAAGGAACGGAGGGAGGGAGGGAGGGAGGGAGGAAGGGAGGCCGGGCGCAGTGGCTCAAGCCTGTAATCCCAGCACTTTGGGAGGCTGAGGCGGGCGGATCACGAGGTCAGGAGATCCAGACCATGCTGGCTAACATGGTGAAACCCCGTCTCTACTAAAAATACAAAAAAATTAGCCAGGCATGGTGGCGGGTGCCTGTAGTCCCAGCGTGAACCCAGGAGGCGGAGCTTGCAGTGAGCTGAGATCGCGCCACTGCACTCCAGCCTGGGCAACGGAGAGAGACTCCGTCTCAAAAAAAAAAAAAAAAAAAAAGAAAGGAAGGAAAGGAAAGGAAAAGAAAAGAAGGAAAGAAAAGAAAGAAAGAAAGAAAGAAAGAAAGAAAGAAAGAAAGAAAGAAAGAAAGAAAGAAAGAAAGAAAGAAAGAAAAAGGAAAAGAAAAGAAAAGAAAGAGAAAGAGGTAAGCCATTTGAAGAATGGATTTAAATGAAGCACAGATTAAATATGGACCACACTTTTCCTATTAAAAAAACACTCTGGGCCAGGCGCGATGGCTCACGCCTGTAATCCCAGCACTTTGGGAGGCCGAGGTGGGTGGATCAAGCGATCAGGAAGGAGATCGAGACCATCCTGGCTAACACGGTGAAACCCCGTCTCTACTGAAAAAAAAAAAAAACTAGCCGGGAGTGGTGGTGGGCGCCTATAGTCCCAGCTACTCGGGAGGCTCAGGAGAATGGCGTGAACCCGGGAGGTGAAGCTTGCAGTGAACCGAGATCACGCCACTGCACTCCAGCCTGGATGACAGAGTGAGACTCCGTCCAAAAAAAAAAAAAAAAACCACACACACACACACACACACACACACACACTGAATAAATAAAAAGTTCAAAAGAATATTGATGGAATTTGCTTGTGTTGCCTGTATTTCAGAGCAAGTATTACATAATAAAGTGATTAATAACATCACATGTGAGCAACCCTAAATGTTTAGCTCTTCGACTTAAAGCAATTTGCATGTTACACAATCTGCAGTTTTGGCTTTATGCTAGATATACCTATGCTGTTAGTTACCTCAGACACCAAACCAACATGCAGTCAGCCAAGGAAAGCTAGCTCAAAAAAAGGCCAGGAAATGTTTTTTAAATTGTTTTCATTGTGTTATAATTTACATGGGGCTAAAGGCACATATCTGAAGTGCACAATTCTAGTAGTTTTGACAAACGTGTAGATCCTGTCATCAACACCCAAATCAAGATAGCATTTCTACCTAGCTAAAAGGTCCCCTCATGCTTTAATCTTCTCCTCTTACCCCCACTGAGGCAAGCACTATTCAGATTGTTTCTTTGTACATGAGTTTTGTCCATTTAAGAACATGTGAATGGAGTCATACAGTGTATATTCCTTTGTGTCTGGCTTCTTTTGCTCAACAAGTTTTTAAGATGCATCCACATGGTTGTATAAATTGGTAATTCCTTGTTATTGCTGAGGAGTATCTCATTGTGTGAATAGGCCATTTTAATTCATGCATGCTAATTGATCATCTGTGGCTAGTCTGTATAATACAAATTGTAAATCACAAGCCAGCCTGCGTATATAACCCACACCCTCTCTCTTATCTATCACTATTTTGCACTTCTAAGCATTAAAATGAAGTTACAACCTCATCATTTGGACTGATAGAAAAAGCCAAAATGGGATAATTTTTGTTAAAGCAATGAGTTTCATTACTTTCATATTTATACCCAAACTACTGTCTAGACAACCTAAGTGCAAAGCAGGGATTTTCTCGGTATTGCTTTAATGAATCTACAGGGATTTTAATTAGCACATCAATTACTTCAGGGCTACCACAGGGCAAATGTTGTGGAGCAGATAAACTTTGATTTGGAAGGTCTTCCACTCCTGCCCCTCTCATTGCTCCCTCCCCTTTCCAGGGCCCTCCCCAGGACAGCTATCCTGATGCCAGTCTCACACGGCCTTGATCGCAGCTGGCTATGACAGATGGAAATGGTTCTAATAAGTTAATTCTAGGGGTTAGATAATGAGGGCTTAAGGGTTTTTCCCTGCCAGAGGGAATTTACATTTTAAAAGGGGCCTCTTGGAAAGTGATGCCCAGCATGTGGAAGGTTATCAATAAATGCTATCTCCATTCCGTTGAAGAACCAAAGCAAACTTAGAAGGTAAGAAAGATATTTTCAGATCCAGAGGGACATCAAAGCATCCTCTGAACTCGACTGAACTCTACTGATAATGTTGTTGTGGAACTGCCAGTGTCCATCCTGCTGCTAAATAAAGACAAGCAGGAGAGTAGACTAAGACACAAAGAAGGAGCAGCCTGCAGAGTCCTCCAAACCCTGTGTCCAGACAACTCACTCATAGCTACATGCAGTCCTTTGCAAATGGGGAAGAATGGGGATTTGAAATATTGACTTAGGCTTATTCTTTCCCCAGTATTCCAGGCCTACCCTCAACCTTCCTCCAATTCAGGCAGCAGAGATGTCGGGTGTATGTGTGTGTGTGTGTCTGTGTGTGCATGTGGGTGTGCGCCTGCCCTCACAGTAGGGTTGCTATGGCAGAAATGCAGAGATAGAAAAGAGAAATAACTTTGTCTTAGTCCATTTGTGCTGCTATAACAAAATACCACAGACTAAGTAATTTAATTGAAGTTTATTTCTCACTGTTCTGGAGTCTGGAAATTCCAAGATCAAGATGCCATCATTCAGTGTCTGGTGAGGTCCTTCTTGCTGTGTCCTCACATGGCAGAAGGGCGGAAGAGCAGAAAGGGACCTAAGCTAATTTCCTCCTGCCCTTTTATAAGGCACTAATCCTTAATCACTCCCCAAAGGACCACACCTATTCATACCACCACAGTGGGGATCAGGTTTCACAGTGGGGATGAAGAGGAATTTTGAGAGACATTCAGGCCATAGTAGAGTTTTGAAATAGACTTTTTAAACTAGAGACAATAAACTCAAAAAGTTTAACTCAAAAAAGATTTTTGAATTTCAAAAGCCTGGATTATGAGAATCAAAACCAAGGTACTTAAGGACTAGAGGCATGAAGTTTATACTATTAGCCACAGATTTGGAAACAGTGCTTCCCAAAGGACATACAGACCCTCCATACTGAGGGAGGAGGAGGAGGAAAGCTATTGAAACACTGGTGGGTGTCCCAGAGAAGGAGTGACTCCTGCCCCTGGCCGAGTCTGGCTAGATAGAACCCCCTAGTAAGTTTGGGAATCTGAGCATGATCAAGGGCTATGTCTCACTCCTTAGTTGGGGTTCACAGAAGAGCCAAATCTTCTTGCCCTCTCCCACAGCAGTGTGGTAGAGCAGCAGCAGTAGATAGTGATGATAGCACAGCCTGTCTGGGCAGAGTCACCCTGAGGCAGTCTCAATCCCATCTACCCCCAGTGTCATGAGGGAAATTACCTTGATGCCATGATAGCCTCTATGCTACCAGTACACTGTTGCACAAGCTACCCCAGAGATGCAGGACTAAAAAGGATCAGAGACCAAATTAAAATACTCAAAGCACACAATTTATTAAATCAATTTATCCACACATCAATAAAAAGGAGAAAAGAAATGGGGTCGGGTAATGTACTTAGGAAAGGGTGCAGGAAAGGTAGAAGGACCACACTACATAAAACCTGGGTTATGAAAGACCCATAGACATTGCTCTCCCCACACCATCAGTCTTCCCTCTTGATGGTGAGGCTATAAGGACCAAAGATGAGCAAAGAGGCCCAAGACACAGAATATGCCTGGGACCAGCACAGACATTGTTTTCTAGGAGAAACACATGTATTTATTATATCTGGCTACAGCTATTCCTCACTAGTTAGCCTGTTGAGCAGCTGTGGATTTTATTTGGCAGAGGACATTTGGAGTCAGAATGGGTGTCACCAATGGGTTATCAATTTCAGATGTCATAAATATAAAGGGTTTCACATACCTCTAGTATATTTAGTGTATCATGAAAATTAGATGCCTCTGGTACCCCATGTATATTTAGCGCTTTGTGAAAATTAGGTGTCTCTTAGTTCTTCCATCTCTCCCTATCTATGTTCAGTATGCATAAGCCCTACTTATTTTATCTACATTTAACACATCTCACAAGTTACTAACTTCCTTATCTATATTTAACACGTCTTAAGAGTATCACCATCCATTTCTATTTTCTATAGCAGAATTGAATATTCTCAAATTTAGAGCAAATGCATATTTATCTAGCACTCACACACACACTCACATACCCCATAAGGTCACAAATAAAAACACCTGTAGTGTACATTCTCATCCTAAAAAAACTTATGGGATGGCCGGCAAACCAGAAGATAGTCACCTGAGAGACCAATGACCAGAGATCAATAAGAACTCAGACTGCTCAGCAGATGACAGAGGATTGAGAACCAGAAACTCTCAAGGAGCCTTGTAAGACTTAGATGCAACCTAGGGATAAAGAGAGGAGGGACGTCCCCTAAAATAACAGAAATCCTTGTTTTGATTGAGTTTGCCCTGCACTGATTATGTTTTCCACCACTGGGAGGAATGGGGGCTCTGGATCTGTCCTGTCCAAGAAACTAGATGGCTTCTCTATTTGACACTGCAGACAGCAAATGCTTCCATCATCTCAGAAGGTTCTACAGGATGCACACTGCTCTAGATATAAACTGAATTGTAGAAAAATAAAGTTACATCTTTGGAATATCTATGCTTATAGACTGAGATTATTACTTGCTGTACGTATACACATTCCTCATTAATAGGGTATCATAAATTCTACTCTTCTTTTAACCTTTTGTTTGTTTTTAGCAGATTAAAATACACTGATTCAGCCACTTCCTTTCACTGAATTTTCTGTGTTCAGTGGCCTATATGTTCAAGATAGCTAGCGGCAGGAAAAGGATTTATCAAGAACAGAGTGAAACCAACACTGATTAGGGAAAGAAAACCATGGTATTGTTTGCTAGATAAGGCCACAGCTCCGGGGAATATGTAAGGACTTTAGCTTTCTCTCTGAGTAAGATGGAAGTCATGGGTGATTTAAGCAGGGAAGTGGCAAGATCTGGTGCATATTTTAAGACACTCACTCTGGCTGCTATGTGGAGAATTAGTTGAGAAGGTACTAAGGTGGATGTAGGGAGACCATTTATTGCAATACTCTAGGCTGAAATGATGGCTGCTTGACTCAGGGTTGTGATAGTGGAGATGTTGAGAAGTGGTCATCTTCTGAATATACCTGATGGGAAAGCTGCAGTATGACTGATGGATCACACCTAAGGAATGAGAGGAAGAGAGGGACAAAGAATGAGTCCATGTTGACCTAGGCAGCTGGAAAAAGGACATTTCCACATATTGAGCTGGGAAAGCTTGCAAAAGAATAAGAGTTTGCAGAGGGAGTGTTTTGGAACATGCCACATTCGAAATGGGTACTTAAACACCCAAGTGGAGACATGACATAGACAGCTGGAGGTGTAAGTTCAGAGGTAAGGGCTGGAGATAAAATGTTGGTTGTTACCAGCATATAGACAGTATTTAAAGTCATGAGACTTACATGAGATCATTTGTGGAATGAGTAGGTGAGTGAAGCTAGAGAGGAAAGGAGATCTTCAGACTGATCCCTAAGACTCAGCAAGGTTCAGAGATGCAAGCAACACAGAAGATTAAAAAGAAGCCATCAAGAAAACCTGAAAACCAGGGTAGTAGGGTCCTGGAAGCCAAGTGAAGATATAGTCAATGAATAAATGGTCAGCTGGGGTTGGTAGGTTGAATAAGATGTACACCAAGAAATGAGCTTTGAGACTGGAAGCACAAAGATTATTTGGGCCTTGAAGGGACAGGTTTTGGAGAAATGATGAGGCTGAAGGCCTGAGTGAAATGCGGCCCAGGCTTCCTGGGATGCTCATCTCCATGAAGTATAATAGCACAAAGAATTTAGCACCTGAAGGAACCTGTGGATGCTATTGACTTGGGTGGACCCAGTGAAACAAATCTCTTGAGAGAGATGTTATACACCTAAGAGACAGGACAAGAGCAACTCAAATTAGAGAGAAAAATAACTAGAACATCATGAGTCTTCAGGTACTAACTCACACCGAAAAGATACCAGCTATAGGGCTTTAGAAACACCCAAGATTATTTGTGTTACTGTTAGATGACTTTTTTCTCAGATTAAATTTAATTCTCTGGCGTTACCTCTTAAAACTCTTGGTTTTTCAAATTTACTCATAAACTGTAGCTGATGTCTTAAGGGGGATCAGATTAGTGAGACTAATAGTATAATCTACCTAGAGAGTTAAGTGGTTGTTTTTTAAATAAACATTCTATTTTTGCACTTTTTTAAACGTGCAGGAGGGCAGATAATTAAAAGCTCCACCCTGGCCACCTCATCAGAGGAAACCTAACCATTTCTGGGTTTAGTTCTTCCTTACATAATAAGTTTATATATTTTTTCAAAAATCTACTTGTCAATTTAAGAGATTATTGTTCAAAAGATTCAAGAATATTCAAGAGATTGCCAGAAAGGCAAAAACGTCATTCATTTTCATTATTCTTTTTCTACCCTCCTCCAAAATGTTAATGACTATCACTCTAGTTCCTTTATAGGTTACCTTCATTATATGCTTACATAGACTTCTAGTTCTTTTTCATCAGTTTTGGCCATTACCTCCTGATTCATCACTTTAATAGTTAAGTATATTAAGACCCTTTTAGAAGTGTTTCCAGCTATAGCTAATAATTCCACATCTGTCTCTTTATCCTTACTTGAAGCCACCAGTGTTCAGTGTCACCAGTGTTCACTGTCATTTCACTGGTGTTCACTGAAGTAACATCCTAAATGCTCTCCTTCAGTCCTTTCATATTTTCTAATCTAGAAACTCAAATTTGAGCGTGCATTAGAATCCCCTGGTAGGCTTGTTCAATCACAGATTGTTGCTCGCACCCCCAGTGTTCCTGACTGAGCAGATGAAGAGTAAGGCCTGAGGAGCTGCATTTCTAACAAGTTCCCAGGTGAGGCGGATGCTGCTGGTCCAGGAACACACTTTGAGAACCACTGCTCTAATCCATTCTCTGCACTGACACGAATCTCCTAAGCATTGGCATACAGACTCCTTTCTACTCTGGCACACATTGTCTTTTTAAAACAGTTTTACTGAGATAGAATACATATCATCCAATTCACCATGTAAGTGTACAATTCAATGATTTGTAGTATATTTATAGAGTTGTATATACATCACCACAATCAATTTTAGAATTCTGAAAGAAACCCTGCATCCCTTAGTCATCACCCTTAATATTTATTTTGATAATATCGAGTTCCTATTGTGTCTTATTGGTCTTTGCATCCCTAGCACTTAACACAATACCTACAGTAGGCATCAATTAGTGTTTGTCGAGTGAATGCAAAAAATGCAATCAATTCAGTTAATAAGCTGTAGCTAAGATTTTACCATATAATTAAAAAGCATAGAATATATTACAACAAAGACTGTTAGTTACCTCCTGGTAACAAGACTCCTCTTCTTAGTAACAGAACCTCAATTCACATTTGGGTACACTGCTCTCCAGCTAAAAGATCACACTTTCCATTCTTCCTTGTAGCTAGGTTGGCCATGTGACTAAGTTCTAACCAAGGAGATGGAAGTTAAAGTATTATGTAAAACATTTGAGAAGTCTTCCAAAGGGAAGGGGCAATGCCCCTTTTCAGCCTTTCCCTTCTCCTGCTGCCTGGAACTAGGATGTGATATCTGGAGCTCTAGCAGCCATATTGGACAATGAGGATAAGGAAACAGAAAGCTGGAAGAGCCTTTGACCCTGAAGACCAAGGAATTACATGCCACCTTTTACAGGAAAATACTTTTAAATCTTAAGCCTCTATTTTTGGAATTTTAATTGATTGGAGACTAATGTGATCCTCACTGATTTATCAAAGCCTATGCTGTTTCCACCACGCTACAGGATTCAAGGCACAAAAATGCCTTCTGTTATTACTGTTGAATTGAACACACTTTTTGTTGTCACCTGTTAGTGCTCCTTTGGGCATCCCTTGAATTTGGGGTCAATATCAAAGTGTTTCAGTTTGTTGGAGTAGCATTGATTCATTGAAAGAGAATAGGTAGACAGTCTTAGAGTCAATCTTGGTTCTGTCTCTTAATAAACCTTGCTGAGCCTCAACTTCTTCCACCAGAGAGTTGTAACAAGACCCTACCTGTAGGCTTGTCAGGAAGATGAAAGAAGAAAGGCATGTGACACATCCAAAGGAGTGGCTGACACATAGCACAGAATGCTTCTTCCTGCTCATGCGGGGTCTGTCTAGGGAGCTCAGGTCAGAAACGAGTTAATTTGAGACATCTTGATCATTTCACAGCATCCACAAGAAACATTAGACAATTCTGATTTAGAGGAATCTGAGCCAGATTATAAACTACACGAGGGCAGGGACTGTCTTGTTTAATGCTATATCCCTATTGTGTAGAAACAGCAGCATTCAAGGAACGTTGGCCGAATTAGTGGATAAAAGCATCTTAAGTTCTGTGACTTCAATGCCTCAGAATCAATATTTCCCTGCATGTAACAGAGACTAAGTATAGACCAGTGTTCCTTGTAAAGTGACCAATCAAACCTCTATCAGAATCTTCTGAGGCCATTGCTAGACCAGGGTCCAAAACACCCCCTACAGCTGTTTCAGGGTCCTTGAACTCTGCACCCAAAAGATGGGACATTATGCGCAACCATCATTTATAAGCATCAGGCAATGGGATGCACGTGAAAGTCACAACATGGCAAAATAGAAGCAACCAGATTAAATCAACCTTAATCCCGAGCGCTTGGGAACATTCACATTCTTTTTTTTTTTTTTTTTTTCATTTTTTTCTCCTCTTGGGAAGAGCATTGGCGGGGTGATAAATTCTGTACCCAGACCCTGACTCACCTACTCTGTTAGGAAAAAGAACTCTTCTCACCTCCAGAGCTCTTATGAGCTAACTGCTGAAAACTTTTATGAGCTTTTTTACAAAATGCAATATCCCTACAATGATTCTAGTAGCTGCCTCAGGAGAGAAGCAGCATTTTTTCCTTTTTCTTTTCTTTTTTTTTTTTTTTTGACACAGAGTCTCGCTCTGTCGTCCAGGCTGGAGTGCAGTGGTGCAATCTCGGCTCACTGCAAGCTCTGCCTGCCGGGTTCACGCCATTCTCCTGCCTCAGCCTCCCGAGTAGCTGGGACTACAGGCATGCGCCACCATGCCTGGCTAATTTTTTGTATTTTCAGTAGAGATGGGGTTTCAAAGGTTTAACTGAAGCGCCATGCAATCCCCTTGGAAATTCCCTCTTCAAGTCTGTAAAATAAGCAGGAAACAAATACAAGCGTCTCAAACTTCAGATACTCATTTTGAGAAACAGGTGCAAGCCTTGTGGCCCTCATATCCAAGAAAAGCATCAGTGTTGATCCACCAGCAATTTTCAGGAAGCAGATTTTGCAAAGGAGATCAACTCTGTGTGTGTAAAAAGATTTGGAGCCCAAACCATAAGAAGTTATGGAAGAAAGGAAAGAATATGGCATTTCTCTCCCAGGCAGGGCATTTCCTATCCTAGTCAAGCTCAAGGATCCCCAGGGCACCAACTCACCACCCTGCCCTTCTTTACTTTCTTACCTTCCTGGGCTTCTGTCCATCTTTAAAACTTTAAAGGAGTAAAGTACTAATAGATGCTATAACATGAAAGCCTTGAAAACACTACGCTGAGTGAAAGAAACCAGGCACAAAGGGCCACATACTGTATGATTCCATTTACATAAAGTATCTAGAATAGGCAAATCTATAAAGACAGAAGATGGATTAGTTGCTCCTTAGGGGTGGAGTGGAGGGATAGAGGAATAGGGGATCATAGCTAAAACGAATGAATTTTCTTTTTTGAGGCGATGAGAATGTTCTAAGATTTACCATGGGGATGCTTGCACAACTCTGTGAAGATACGAAAAACCATGCAATTGTACACTTTGAATGGGTGAATTGTATGTTATATGAATTATATCCCAATAAAGCTCTTACCAAGAAAAATCCTTTTATGACTAGTTTTAAAGCACATTATGCTTTATGTAAAATTTTACCTAACTGTTATTGCAAGGCCATTCCAGAAAGGACACTGTGGATGAGCGGGGCAAGTGAATGTATTTAATTGACGTCATTCAGAGCTTCCCAAGAAGTACTCCAAAGGACAGCATGTTTTCAGCTGTTAATAGGTGAAATAATTGTTTTAAAAGGCTCCACAGTCAAGGAAATTTAAGAACAACAAAGTTAAATTTCAACAGGATCTCTACTGCTGGAGCACTCAGAGATTTAATAGGCAGACATGCATTGTGCATCTCCAAGAAGAGGATTTACCAAACCGGTTTAATCTTGAAGCCTTTTGTCACAGAGCATGGTGCAGAGTCAGTCTTCCATGACATGTATGCTGGTAAATGCATTTACTTTAATCTCAACAGGAACCCCTGGAAACAAACGTTATGCAAAAATTAACATAGGTCCTCATACAATGGTAACATTTTCATTTACATGTCTGCGTCTGATTTTAAAAGTTCACTTATAAACATTGTTTTTGCTTTCTAAATTCTTTTCATTCTATATTTAATATATGTAAACATAAGGAGTGTGATTTAGAGTAGAAATTCTCTTTTTCGCTAAGTAATAAGAGATTTTCTGGTATAACTTGGCTTGCTTCTATGAAGTGGAGTTTGCTTTATGTTTGTTTTATTTTTCTCCTGAAATAGAAAGGCATTCTAAGAACATATAAAAATCCTCAGTAATCCTTCTGTCCCTGGCCCATAGATCAAATCGTTCTCTCAGAATTCCACTCAACTGCATTTCTCAGCAAAGATGTATTGGCAAGCTAAATGGAGAGGTTTCAAATTACTCAGGCTTTATTAATTTTACAAAATATGCTTTGAAGTATTATAATAAATAATTAAAAGTAAATAGCACTTTTGAGATTAGTGAGCAGATGCTTGCAGGCATTACTGTTTCTTTCCTACCCTGTTCTCCACTTGCAGTGCCACAGAAAAGACAATCCATTGCTGCATCTTCCTCCCATCACTGCATCACGGCTTGAGTTCCATTGCCCAGACGTATTGAGAAATAACAATTCAAGAAGGGAGGGAAGGAGACTAATAACTACTGAGCATAAAAACTGGATAGATAGAATGACAAGAAAAAGTACTCTCAGCCGGGGAAGGCGCCAGGTTGAGAAACTTCAGGTACTCATCTAAAGTGTGACACCTATCAGTAACTCTGTTTGGCAACTAATATTAAGAATTGTTTGCAGTGGGCTTTGCACTTTACAAAGCACCATCAGATGCAATATCTTAACCTTCAAAACAATTGTGAGAGGTAGCTCCTTTTTCCCTGTTTTACAGATGGAGAAATTGGGGCCCAGAGAAATTAAGAAACAGGCCTAAGATTCTCAGATAGAATACTGTGGAACAGCAATTTGACTCTGAGGCTTCTGAATTCAAAATGTACTCTCTTTCCACCTTCACTCAGCTGGGAGAAGTTAGAAAGGCAGGCTGGGAAGAGATTGCAAAGGTCTTTGAATAACAGAGAAGTTTATCCTTTACCTTGCAGGCACTATAATTATTATCTAAAGGCATACAGCTACAACATGCTTAGGCAAATAGATTAGCCATTTCTGATTATCTTAAGAAAATTTCCCAGTGTATTTAACCTGTAAATGAGTTCAAACAATCATTTTTGAAAAGCATCAAATGTTTACTTGCTTCTTGTTGTTGTTTATTTTGCCATTTTTGTGGGTTTTGTTTGTTTGTTTTTGGTTTTGTTGTTTTTGAGACAGGATCTCACTCTGTCACCCAGGCTGGAGTGCGTTGGCACAATCTCAGTTCACTGCAGCCTCAACCTCCTGGGCTCAAGTGATCTTCTCGTCTCAGTCCCCTGAGTAGCTGGGACCATAAGTGTGCCACCACGCTGGCTAATTTTTGTAAATATTTTTTGTAGAGACAGGGTTTTGCCATGTTTCTCAGGCTGGTCTGGAACTCCTAAGTTCAAGCCATCTGCCTTCCTCAGCCTCCCAAAATGCTGGGATTACAGGCATGAGCCACTGCACCTAGCCTACTTTCTGCTTTTACTCCATCTTACAAATGTTCATTGTGTACATAGTCCGGGATCATTTTAAAAGAGGTCCATATCTATCAGTTATTCATAAAGGATCCAAATAAACTAATTTCCTAACCCTATGTCTGTCCTTCCAAGCTTTACACTGGAACAGGAAGCAATATAAAGAAAGTTCTAAATCCAATATTATGTATTAATTATTCAATGCACATTAATTGAGCATTTACTATGTGTTAGGTAGGCATCTATGTCAGGGACTGTGCATTCAAAAAATGAAGACCACATGTCCCTACCATTATAGAGCTTACAGCTAAATATAGCAAAGCATCCAGGCAAACAGAGCACAGTGTGATAAAGAATAAAACAGAAGTCCGGATGCGGTGGCTCACACCTGTAATCCTAGCACTTTGGGAGGTCAAGCCAGGTGGATTGCCTGAGCTCAGGAGACCAGCCTGGGCAACGTGGTAAAACCCTGTCTCTACTAAAATACAAAAAAATTAGCAGGGCATGGTGTCATACGCCTGTAGTCCCAGCTACTTGGGAGGCTGAGGCAGGAGAATTGCTTGAACCTGGGAGGCGAAGGTTGCAGTAAGCTGAGATCGTGCTCCTGCACTCCAGCATGGGCTACAGAGCGAGACTCCATCTCCAAAGAGAATAAGACAGAAAGCATAGAGAGACATAGGAGCACATCACTAGACTTAGGAGTTGGTGAGGTTTCCTTGAGGAAGTGACATGCAGGCTGAAGGACCAGTGGGAGTACAATGGTGTCAGGGCTAGAAGCAGAGATTCCAAGCCTGACTTTTGCATTAGATTCACCTGGAGAGTTTTAAAAACTACTGCTGTCTAGACCCCACCCAGGCCAATTCCATCTGAATCTCCAAGAACAAGGTTCATTCAGGCAGCAATTTTTATAAATCTCCACAAGTGATTCTAATGTGCAGCCCTATTCTAGAATCAGTGACTTCAATCTTTACTAAAAAGTGTTTCAGAGTGGAAACGATGTGAACCATCTCTAAATTCAGATTTCAGTTCCATGTAAAGTCAAAGTAAATAATTTTCAGATGATTTTCTTGGTATCTATAATGTGACCTTTATCTTAATTATCTTGGGTTTCAAGAATATTTATGGCAAAGGGGACATGATAAAATTTTTTTACAAAAAAAAAAAGATGACTCTGAATAGTCTCAATATTGCTAGCTTTTCCTAACAGTTGGGAGAAAACAGCTTTTGTGGTAACTATCCCTGTGCTTACCAGCATTTTCTGTTCTGCTACTATGGGCAGTGGGAAGACTATTCTTCCTTGCCCCTTTAAAATTATGAGTGGTCACCTGACTCTTTAGCCAATAAATAGTGAGCAGAATTGATGTGTGTCTCTTCCATGAGGAAGTATGTAAGAGCTGGTCACATGTTCTCTTCCCCCACCTCAGTGATCCCTGAAGGCTTGGATGGCAATGGTAACATCTTAAGACAGAGGGATGATGAGGTCAAAGCACACTGGAGCGCTGAGCACCCCACAGAGAGCACTTACCTTGCAGAGCCACTCATGACATGCATTGTTTTAAACCACTAAGATTTTAGGGTCTTTATCACCTAAAATTCAGTTTATTACTGCAGCACAACCTAGTCTCACCTAGTAACTACCTTCTCAACCAGGCAGATCCCTAAGTTTGTATTTTCTTTCCCTAATTCATGAATTTTCTACTCACATGCTTTTCCATGATCAATATTAACAATTAATATCCATCCTTCCTTCTTTATTTTTATTCTCTCTTCTTTTCCTCCTCCTTTTCTCACTACTTTTTTCTTTCCTTTCTACTTAATCACTCATTTTAAAAATCACTGGAGATGCCCAAGAAGAAGGAAAGTTAGAAAGTAGTTGAGTGGGTGGTGGCCCAGCAGGCTGAAGGATTTGTTGCATACAGGGGGACTGAACAAATAAATACAGTCGGCCCTCCCTAGCTATAGATTCCACATCTGTGAATTCAACCAACTGTACATCAAAAATATTTTTTAAACAACATCTGCACTGAACATGTGCAGACTTTTTTCCTTGTCATTATTCCCCAAATAATATAGTAAAACAAGTATTTACATAGCATTTACATTGTATTTAGTATTATGAGTAATCTTGAGATGATTTAAAGTATTCAGACAGGCTGGTCATGATGGCTCATGTCTGTAATCCCAGCACTTTGGGAGGCTGAGAGGGGAGGATTGCTTGAGGCCAGGAGTTTGAGACCAGCCTGGGCAACATAGTGAGATGCCATCTCTATAAAAAATTTAGACAATTAACTGTGTATGGTGGCACATGCCTGTAGTCCTAGCTACTCAGCAGGCTGAAGTGGGAGGACTGCTTGAGTTCCAGAGGTTGAGATGGCAGTGAGGCATGCTTGCACCACTGCAATCCAGCCTGAGCAACAGAGAGAGACCGTGTCTCCAAAATAATTTTTTAAGTATTCAGGAGGATATGATTAGGTTATATGCAAATACTATGCCATTTTAGATCAGGGACTTTAGCATCTGCAGATTGTGGTATCCTTGGGACGGCCTAAAACCAATCTCCCCATGGATATGAAGGGATAACTGTATATTGAGGATTATGCAGCCGGGTTCCTTTGCTGCCTGATAAGAGAATTTTAAATATGAAAAGGTGAAACGATTGTGTTTGAATTGAAGTGGAGGAACTGCTATAAACTTATATATATATATATAATTAGATAGATATAAAAATGAATCTAGATGTTTCAATGTTCTGTCCTTGTTCTGTCCACTGAGAGATCCTGGAAGCAGCAATAGGCCAATAGCAGTAAGCCTACATAGCTTACAGATTTCTAGAAACCATTTTCCACTAACAGAAGAGATCTTAGAAAAAAAGAAAGACAGATTTCAGGGCTGGTGCAGCAAAAGCACAATTTGCTTCTGCTTTTTTTGAGTCTGAAAAATAACATATTATTATTATTATTATTATTATTGAGACAGGGTCTGGCTCTCTGTTGCCCAGGCTGGAGTGCAGTGGTGCAATCTCAGCTCACTGCAACCTTTGTCTCCCAGGCTCAAGCCATCCTCCCACCTCAGCCTCCCGAGTAGCTGGGACTACAGGTGGGCACCACCACATCCAGTTAATTTTTATATTTTTTGTGTGTGTGTGTGGAGATGGGGTCTCGCCACGTTGCTCAGGCTGGTCTCAAACTCCCGAGCTCAAACAATCTGCCCACCTGGGCTTCCCAAAGTGCTAGGATTACCGGCGTGAGCCACTGCGTCCAGTCTAAACAATAACTTAATGTCAGGAAGTAATGACGTACTCAAAAATGATGGGGGCATGTCAAAAGGACATAGAAGCCAGTTTGAAGCCAGTTGAACCATTAACACACTGAATAAAGTATCATTGAGTCCAATCATATTTAAACAAACTAATAAATAAATGGAAAAAAGAGAAAGTTCCTCTTTTTAGCAGATGCTAGCTATTAAATGTAGAAGAAATAATAGAAAATCACCATTTGGCAATGATCATAGTAATAACTGATTCAGGCAAGAAACATCAATGAATGCTAACATTTGTGGGCAAGAGTTAGAAGACAAATGAAATATTTACATAGTCTCAAAGTATGTTTCCACAAAAGACATTCATTATAAAGGAAAAAGAATAACTTTCTAGTAAAGTAACCTGGCAGAAACCACCTTACTCAAGTATAACATCAAATGTAACATCACCAGATTGAAATCATGTGCCAACTGACAGGATGTAAGAACTTGGGATTGCTTTTGTAATATTCCCTCAAAAATGCATGCATAACCTGGCTCTAATAATGAGGAAACATTGAAGTCCCCTAAATTGAGGAACATTCTACTAAAATAACTTGCCCATGATTTTAAAATTTTACAGTCATGAAAGCCAAGGAAGGACTATGGAATTGTTCTGGATTGAAAGAGACTGAAGAGGCATGACAACCAAAGGCCACACATGACACTGTATTAGATCATTTCCCTAAGGACATTATTCAGACAATTAGTGAAATGAATGGGATCTCTGAGTGATGTACATATAGGAGTTCTTTGAACTGTTCCTGCAACTTTTCTGTGATTTTGAAACTATTTCAAAATAAAACATATTGTTTTTGCAATTTGTAATAATTTTATAGACTTCCAATTCAGGTTTATGTTATAATCTGAAAAAATATTGGAAGTTTGAGAGTAATCTCAAATTATTTGGAATTAGCTATGGTGTGTTTTCTTTATTTTTAGTAAAGTTATTGAAGTTTGATAATAATATGGTTTGGCTGTGTCCCCACACAAATCTTATC
Organism: Homo sapiens; assembly: GCF_000001405.40. NCBI lineage: Eukaryota > Metazoa > Chordata > Mammalia > Primates > Hominidae > Homo > Homo sapiens. Next base: position 28,211,308 of record NC_000007.14, on the reverse strand, counting down.
TTGAATTGTGGTTCCTATAATTCCACATGTCATGGGCAGGACCTGGTGGGAGGTAATTGAATCATGAGGGCATTTCCCCCATGCTATTCTCATGATAGTGAGTTCTCATGAGATGTGATGGTTTTATAAGGGGCTTTCCCCCGCCTTCACTCTGCACTTCTCTTTGCTGCTGCCATGTGAAGAAGGATGTGTTTGCCTCCCCTTCTGCCATGGTTGTAAGTTTCCTGAAGCCTCCCCAGCTCTGCAGAACTGTGAGTCAGTTAAACCTCTTTTCTTTATAAATTACCCAGTCTTGAGTATATCTTTATTAGCAGCATGAAAACTAATATAAATATCTTAATTTTTTTAAGATTGTTATTATTCAAGTTTGTCTTTTATATTTAAGTTTGCACAATCACTTAATGGTTTCAGAACAGTGATATGCTCTAGGGAAATATGGGTATGACAATTAGGCATGTGTACCAAGAAATTATTTTCACCCAGGTCTTCAGTAATTTGAATGGATATCTATAGTACATGCCAACAGAATATGACTCAGAAAGCCATTAAATTCAAAATATAGAAAGAGAAAGACCCCCAAGCACTGAGCTTTTTCCCCATGCTTAACAAAAGTAAATTCCTTTGGCCAGAAGAATATGAAATGAAGATTTTTAAAAATTGTCTTCAAAAAAAGGCAAAATATTTTCTTAAAAGCAGTCTGTAAAATAAAAGATAAGTTTATTAAGCAAAGATTTTATTTTTCTATATTCATAAACATATGTCAACAGTTTGCAAATTGTGCCCAAAGGGGCAGCCCTTCAACTCACTGGTAAACAGGTATTCTGTGGACCATCCCAGCATGCACTTCCTGACACTGCCTTCTGGGCCAAATTCCACCCTCATCTACTGAAAGAGACACAGTGAGAAGTTCAAAATCTTAGCTTAACAGGTGTAGGAGCTGGTCTCTAAGTAATCCTTTAGAGAAAGGATTCAGGTCCCAGATCACCTCCCTCAAAAGAAGCATGTGTAATCCATCCCACTCAAATGGCCAGTCGTACAGTGTGGGGTTTGTATTGAATGTGTACCTGTGCTAGGGACCAAGGGTCAACCTGGACTCTGCTTTCCATGATGAGGGAGCACAGTGCCCAGAGAAGTATTAAGTCCTGCCCTGTCTATCTTAAAATCATACTCAAAAAGTTCTAGTTGTCATGTGTCCATCATGTCATTTAATATCATACTACTTTCATAAAATGCAAGGATAATGAAATATCACAGTTCTGAAAGTCTCAAAAAAATTTTTTTCATTCATCTCAAAATTATTCGGTTGGTGCAAAAGTAATTGTGGTTTTTGGTTTTGCTTTCAATGGCAAAAACTGTAATTCTTTTTGCACCAACCTATAAATCACTCTATGGACTCCTTAAGAACTGTATTAAAATAAGTAGAGAAGAGGCAGGCAAGTAAGTTATGAAATAAGTTTCCACTCACCATATTTTCTTTAACTCAGAGTTTTAGGCAGTTTAACATCAGATAGGATGAACAATTCCTCAGCCATGCTTAACTTTCTTTGTTTGCCAGGGGTGCCATAACAAATACCCCAGACTGGGGGGGTTAAACAACAGAAATTTATCTGGAGGCTGGAAGTCCAAGATCATGTTAGCAGTAGGGTCGATTTATTGTGGAGCCTCTCCCCTTGGTTTGCAGACGGCTGTCTTCTCCCTGTGTCTTCACATGGTCTTCCCTCTGTGTGTATCTATGTCCTAATCTTCTCTTAGAAGGACAGCAGTCACATTGGATTAGGCCCCATTCCAGAAACCTCATTTAACCTGAATTACCTCTTTAAAGACTATCTCTGAACACAGTCACTTTCTGAGATATTGGGGATTAGGCTCATGCCTGTAAACCCAACACTTTGGTAGCCTGAGGCAGGCAGATCACCTGAGGTCAGGAGATCAAGACCAGCCTGGCCAACATGGCGAAACCCCGTCTCTACTAAAAATATAAAAATTAGCCAGGTGTGGTGGTGGGTGCCTATAATTCCAGCTACTCAGGAGGCTGAGACAGGAGAATTGCTTGAACCTGGGAGGTGGAAGTTGCAGTGAGCTGAGATCTCGCCACTGCATTCCAGCCTGGAGGACAAGAGCAAAATTCTGTCTCAAAAGAAAAAAAAAAAGAAAGAAAGAAAAAGAATCTGGGGGTGATATAATTTAGCTCCTACAGTAGGTATTGATTAAGAATTATTCCTTTTGCCTGGATTAGAGCCTTTATCAATAATAATATCCACACATTTTAAAAATAGACAAAGCTTATTCCATGACTAAAATTTCTAGAAAACTTTCAGAGCTATGTGGACAACTTCATTCTTGGAGAAGTAGTTCCCTAGCCCACTAATTCAGAGGCCATTCAGGTCTCTCTGCACTGTATCTTTGAAAGACCAGCATTGGTATTAAATTCCAACTTGGTCAATAACCTTAATGGGCTTACTATATTTTTTTTAAGTCCAGATACTATGGGGCTTGAGGATATGATTGAGCCCTCAATTAATACTCATCTTATGGTAGGTTTTGAAAGCAGCTGTGGTCCTACCCAGGAAGGTCCCCACCTTGATCACAATCTCGTGGCCACAATTTCTAGACAAGCCAAGATGGCATGCATTTGAGAACATAGCTTTAAGAACTATCTGCCTTCCCCCAAATTCGAGGCTGTGGTGAAGCTCTCCTACATTGCTAGTATGTTGGAGTGTAGCTTGTTAATAGCTCTCAAAAGTAAAAAACAAAAGAAAAATGTATAATAAAATCTGATCCTGAAATCTACTTCTCAACACTTACCATACAGAAAGATGTGTGTGTGCCTGTGTGTGCGTGTGTGTGTGTCTGTGTGTGTGTGTGTGTGTAATATATATGTGATGCATACATGGTGGATGAAGAATTTTCGCTGCACTATTATTTATAATACAAAACATAAAAACAACATAAATATCCATCATAGGAGAGTGGTTAAATAACACTGGTATATGCATACAATAGAAAATTATGCAGCTGTTAAAAAATTGTACTGCTATTTTTGGTAATGGCAAGCTAGGTTATTCATACCAACCCTCCCACTGAAAGCAATTTAAAATGCTGGCTAAAATATTTTTAAATTAGCCCTTAAGACAAGGGAGATCCAACAAATAACAAAAGATATCTGAACAAAAGTGAGAACCCAGAGAGATAAGTGATCACAGCAGCCATCTTTATCCTGAGATCATTTGTCAGTCCCAGCAACTTCAAAATTCTACTTGTTGGGGTGAAGGGAAATAAATCAAAGCACTCAAGGTACCCCAAGACCAGAAATATAACCAACACCAACACCATCTCCAGGGGAATGCAAAGGAAGTTGCCTTTATGCTGAGCTGAACAAGAGGGAAATCCCCATCCTGAGATTTTTTTTTTTTTTTAACTACAAATTAGCTCTAACAAAAATTTTTACCTAAAATTTACATCATCTGGGTGGTCCACAAGAACCTCAAGCCATGAATTTAAAGTGATCCCAGGCTAAATAGTACAGTTTTTATGCGGCAACTACAAAAACAAATTCTCTACAGAGGAGGCACCTTTATCCTTGACCTCAAAGAACCCCCACATACAACTTTTCTAAGGTGATGAGAAGCACACAGCCAAAAATAACCAACCACAGGAAATGAGGCATCATGAGCAAGAACAGGAACAATAGAAAGTAGAAACAGACCCACAAATAATTGAAGTATTGGAATTATTAGACACAAGCTTGAAAAAATTTCTGCAGATATAGAAAATATAAAAGGTGATCTAGCATAGTTGAAAAAGAACTAAATGTTTAGAAATGTCTAGAATGTCTAGGAATGAAAACAATAACTCAAATTAAAAACTCAATAGATGGGCTTAACAGTAGCATTAGATACAGAAAAATGTATCCATGGGTTCAGTGTAATCACAGCATTTTGGGAAGCCAAGGCGGGAGAATCACTTGAGCTCAGGGGTTCAAGACCAGCCTAGGCAACATAGCAAGACCTAGTCTCTACTAAAAAAAAAAAAAATTAGCTTAGTGTGGTGGCACATGCCTATAGTCCAGCTATTTGGGAGGCTGAAGTGGGAGGATTACTGAAGCCAGGGAGATCGAGGTTGCAGTGAGCCGTGATCATGCCAATGCACTCTAGAATGGGCAACAGAGACGCTCTCTGAAAAAAAAAATGTATCCAGAATACACTAAGAGGCGAAAAAAAAGATGGGAAAAAATGGAAGACAGCTTAAGATGCCTGGACTGTAAAGTGATAAGGTCTAAAATACATTTAACAGAAATGATATTTTCATTATTCTGAAAGATAATAGCTACCAATGCAGAGTTGTATATATTTCTCAGTGACAATAACTTTCAGTAATGAAGGCAATAAAGACATTTGTAAAGGAAAAACACAACTTAATACTAGATGTCCCTTATTCAAAGAAATTCTAAAGGTACAGCAGTCAGAATGTAAGTGAACTCAGGTGGAAGGTTTGAGATATGAGAAGGAAGTAAACACAGAAAAAGAGAGAGGACGTAAGAATGGCAAGCAGAGAGGGGTGGGGCAATGGCACGCGAGGGCAAAGGCAGAGGTTGGACAAAATGTTGGAGTGAACCAGCCCACACCTACAGCATCTTTCCCCCATCCCACATAACTTTTGGGGTAGGAGTTTCAAGTACCTAAAGGTAGAATTAGTCGACAAAACAAAAACCACCAGTTAGAAACTGAGATAAAGGGGATCATGAGGTTAACTTGTAGGCGTAGGGGGAGAGAGGTGTCAAGCATCCTGAATGGGCAATATGACAAAGGAAATAAAAATGAAATGACCACCAACAATTCTATGTAAAAGTGGTTGTGAATCTTGACAATGAATATGTAAAAAACTGCAGTTCTTCTATGGAGGCAAGAGAGTAAAGAGATAAAGGAGACCTCTATGAAGGTAGCCAGCCAGGTAGCTGGGCCTTGATGTAGTCACTGCCTCTTAGGGGCTTGTCTTTAATTCTGTAGGTCCCAATCCTCAATTTGTCAGTGGACTCAGAAGGGGAATAGTCTTTTAGATCTTGACTCTGGGCTGCATGTTTCTTAAAGCATAGCCTCTGTAGTGATCAGAATGCTTGCAGCCACCTTTAAGGTCTCTAATGCCAGAAACAAGGTAAAAATAAGAATATATATTGGTATTTTCTTGCATGTGGCTAAAGAACTCTTGGAAGGATGTTTCTGTGTGTAGAGAGCTGGCTGGCTAGATGACAGGAGTGGAGGAAGGCTTTTTTGGTGTATGCATTCACATGGTCCAATAATATTTAGGTCATCTGAATTATCTATAAAATTTAATTAAAGCAATTATTTCCCCTTTTTCCCCTCCTCTGAAAACTCTCAAAAACATAAAGTGTTTGAGCAACTTGGTGCACTTATGAAGGTGGGTAGTGACGGATCCTTTCCTCTGTTCTTAGAACGTTGCCATAAATCAAATCATGTATGCCTTACTGCCTTAAATTGCACACTCCTTGCCTCATGGGGCTCAGACACATCACAACCTGAATGCTTCACTGTCGCCTCTTCTGGGCCTCCAAGGAATTGACCTCTCCTGAGCTAGGAATAAGCCTACAATTAAATTAAGCCTTCAGGAGTTAGAGGTGACAGCCACTAGGGTGACCAACTCATCCCAGTTTCCCCAAAACTTTCCCCAGTTTTAGCAATGAAAATCTCATCTCCAGGGAAACCTCTCAGTCCCAGGCTAAAGGGGACAATGGGCCATCCTGGCTGCTACCAGCTTGGCTGATGTCCCATCCTCTTAGAGTCCAAATGACTTCAAATTTATGAAAAAACAAACCTGGTTGAATAGAACCTGAGTAATACTAATAATGATATCAAACAATACATATGAAACAATTACCGTGTGCTAGACAGTGTTGCAAGTAGTCTATTCATGTAGACTCATTTAACCAGTCATAATAACTCTAACTCCCTGTCATGGATGAGAAAACTGAGGCCAAGGGCAATTAAATAACTTGCCCAAGATTACAGAGCTAGTATGTAGTAGAGCTGGGATTGAAAGTCAGGTAGTCTGGCTTCAGAGAGCAACAACTTAACAATTTCACTGTACTGCCTTTTGCTGTATTATGTTCCCCACATAATTTTTATTCTTCAAATGTTGCACCCTCTTCTCCCATTTCTTATCTCTGTTGTCCCCGCTGCTCATATCTCAGCTCCAATTCCCTTATAAATCTCTTCTTACTTCTATTCTATTCTTCTTTCATTCGACAAACACTGCTGTTGTGCCTACTGTGTGCCGGGCTGCTCTCAGGAGTTCTCAGTCTAGAGGAGGTACCAGACATATAAATAGCCAATAGCATAGTGAAGAAGTTCCCAAGTGTTCTCAGTTCATGGTGCCTCTAGCATCTCCATAATATTTCACAGTACCCCGAGGTCAAAAGAAATACCTAATGGTTTTATTTTTTAGTTTAATTCCAAACAACTGAATAGTAGTAGTAAATGTGGTTCCTGAAAGATGGGTCTGTGTTTCTCTCAAAAGGTAAAAGATCCTGCAGGACTTTCCTCTGTGTGGCCCTCTAGGGCACCCTGGTTTGGGAACTGTGGCCATAGCAGTTCTGTGGTCAGCTCCTAGAGTGAGTTGCTTGGGTTCAAATCTTGGCCCACCCCTTACAGTGTGAGTTTAGAGGTGTAATGAGGCCTCCCGTTGTCCCAGCACCATTTGTTGATAAGACTATTATTTCCACCAGTTTTCCTCATGGGTAATGCGTATTATAATAGTAGCTATATCATAACAATGTGGCATGAATTTAAATAAAAAACATGTCACGCTCCTGGAAAAAAGGTTGGCATCAAGCGATTAGAATGTAAGTTCCACAAGGGCAGGAATTTGGCTCTGTTTTGTTTATTGTTGTATTATCCAGTGCCTTGGACAGTGCCTGGCACTGTTCTTTTACCTTCTTTTTTTCTCTATTTAAAATAAACTGCAAAAGAGGGCAGTCCTGATTCTGATGTAATTGGCAAGGGGCAAACCTAAAAGGAAGTAGATTTCTACAACGGGTAAAAACTAGGAGTAAGTTGTGGGTTCGGTTCCTGGACGGAAACCTCATTTTCATTATGGGAATAAGGGAGGCACGTAATCCTTGCACCATTGCTCCTGGCGCTTGGTGTATCATACTTTGCAAGCAAGTCTTTTTCTGGGCCTTTCCCTGTGGGTTTTATCAGTGGCTCCCTCCTGTGAGATCTTAAAGTTTCATCAGACTAACTTATAGACCAGACAACATGGGAGGTGTTGGAGAGGGTGGGACCTTCAGCAGTGCCATTTCCTGTGATATACTTGGTGCAGCTGGTATGATAAGGTGAAAAGGCATTTTCCCCAACCCTTACTAAGAGGTGCTAGGTTATCATCATCCCCAGCTTCTATTCTCCATAAGACCCTCTCTGATGAGGTTTTTATAGAAATCCTGTTTTTCTGCCAAGGGTTGACTTTTTTATTTTTTTGCATTCCAATTGCTCTGTCATTTTTCTAGTTTATTTTTTAAATGTACAATTTAGTGGTTTCTAGTATATTCACAATATTGTGCAACCATCACCACTAACTATTTCCATAACATTTTTATCATTCCGAAAAGAAACCCCATATCCACTAGCAGTCATTCTTCATTACCCCATCCCCCCAGTCCCCCAGTCCCTGACAACCATTAATCTACTTTCTGTCTCTATAGATTTGCCAATTCTGGACAGTTCATTCAATGAAATTGTACAAAATGTGGTTGTTTGTATGTGACTTATTTCATTTAGCATGTTTCCAAGGTTCATCCTTGATGTGGCATGTATCAGCCCTGAATTCCTTTTTATTGTTGAATAAAATTCCGTTGTATGGGTATACCAGTATAGCACATTGCATTTATCCATTCATCAGCTGATGGACATTTGTGTTGTTTCCACTTGTGTCTATTACGAAGAATGCTACTATAAACATTTGTTTGTAGAAACGTGTTTCAAACTCTCATTCATATTTCTCATATTTCATTCTCATATTTTAATTCAATACCTAGAAATAGGACTGTGGGATCATTATAACTCTATGTTTAACATTTTGGGTAACTGCTAAACTGTTTTCCAAAGTGGTTGCATCATTTTACATCCCCACCAGCAATGTATGAGGACCCCAATTTCTCCACATCCTTGCCAACATTTGTTATTGCCAGATTTTTTGTTTTTGTTTTTGTTTTTTTAATTACGGCCATCCTAGCGGGTGTGAAGTGGTATCTTATTGTGGTTTTGATTTGCATTTTCCTGATAGCTAATGACGTTGAACGTCTTTTCATGTGCTTTTTGGCCATTTGTATACCTTCTTTGGAGAAATATCTATTTAAATTCTTTGTCTCTTTTAAAACTGGATTATCTTTCAATTGTTAAGTTGTAAGTGATCTCTGTGTATTCTGGATACAAGTCCTTTGTCAAATATATGATTTGCAAACATTTTACATCATTTTGTGGATTGTCTTTATTTTCTTGATGGTGTCCTTTGAAGTATAAAATTTTTAATTTAAATGATGTCCAATGTATTTGCTTTTGTTTGTTTTGTTGCTTGTGCTTTTGGGGTCAAATCTAATAAACCATTGCCTAATCCTATATCATGACTATTTACTTCTATGTTATCTTTTACAAGTTTCATACTTTTGGTTCTTACATTTAGGTCTTTAATACATTTTAAGTTAAATTTGTATATGGTGTGAAGTAGGGGTCCAACTTAATTCTTTTGCACGTAGGTATCCCGCTGTTCCAGCAACATTTGTTGATAAGACTATTATAGAGATCCGTCGTTGACTCTCTTGGCACCCTTGTTGAAAAGTCATTTGACCATAAATACAAGAAGACTCTCAATTCTTCTTCCTTTTTTTTGAGATGAAGTTTCGCTCTTGTTACACAGGCTGGAGTGCAATGATGCGATCTGAGCTCACCACAACCTCCACCTCCCAGGTTCAAGCGATCCTCCCTCCTCAGCCTCCCAAGTAGCTGGGATTACAGGCATGCGCCATCACGCCCAGCTTATTTTGTATTTTTAATAGAGACAGGGTTTCTCCTGGTTGGTCAGGCTGGTCTTGAACTCCCGACCTCAGGTGATCCACCCACCTTGTCTTCCCAAAGTGCTGGGATTATAGACGTGAGCCACCGCACCCGGCCGAGGACTCTCAATTCTATTCCATTGACTACTGTCTGTCCATCTTTGTACCCGTACCATCCTGGCTTGATTATTGTAAGCTTACATTTTAAAATGGAAAAGTTTAAGTTCTCCAAGTTTGTTCTTCTGTTTCAAGATTTTTTTCAACTATTCTGGGTTCTTTGAATTTCTATATGAATTTTAGGATCAGTTTATCAATTCCTGCCAAAAAAAAATAGCAGCTGGGATTTCTCTAAGGATTATGCTGTTAAATTTGGGGAGTATTGCCGTACATCAGTTTGGGGAGTTTTACCTTTTTACAATATTAAATCTTCTAATGAAATGTCTTTCCATTTAGTTAGGTCTTCTTTACTTTCTTTCAATAATGTTTTATTTTATAGCTTTCCATGTCCAAGTTTTGTACTTCTTTTGTTAAATTTATTCTAAGCATTTTGTTCCCTGTGATGCTATTGTAAATGGCATTGTTTTCTTAATTTTATGTTCAATTATTCATTGGAATTGTTTTCTTAATTTCATGTTCAATTATTCAAATCAATTGTAGAAATACAATTGATTTTTGTTTATTGATCTTGTATCCTGTAATCTTGTTGAACTTGTGTATTAGTTCTAATAATTGTGTGAGTGTGTGTGTGTGTGTGTATGTGTGTGTGTACTTTGGGATTTTCTACATATGAGATCATGTCATCTGTTAAGAACTAATTGGCTTTTGGATGTTGAATTAACCAGTCAGAAGTCCTGTCTGCACTGGAGTGGCAGTAGTCTTGCCTGTGAGCAGCAAGATGAGCAGATGGGCATCTTGCTATTTAGGGGAAAAGGAGGGTTTTCATCTGAGAGTATTTACTGGAATGTTGGATTAAGCACCAGTTCTTGAATAGAGATTTTGCTCCAGGGGACGTTTGGCATTACCTGAAGACAATTTTGGTTGTCACAGCTTGGGGGGCAGGAGCAGGACAATAGCCACAGATGCTGCTGAATATCCTGTAACACACAGGAAACCCCCCAGAAAAATAATTATCGTGCCCAAAATATCGGTAGCACTGAGGTTGAGAAACCCTGGATTAAAGGAATAGCTTCTAAACATGGCCTCTTCTCTCACTGACTTGAGCCACTCTTCTCAAAGCTGCAGGATTCTAAAGAAGAAATATGGAGTGAAGTTTAGGGAATGAGTTCTCAGCCCACAGGGGCTGCCTGATGAAAGTAGAGATGGTGTCCTAGGCCCTGGGTCAGCAACTCCATGTACAATTGGACCAAGTAGGGCACTATCTTCTGCACAGCAGAGATCAACACTTGGCACAGAACACACACCCCTCTGCCCCCACCACCCTGACATTGCAGCTGCCAGTGGCCAAATGTGATAATTACTATGGCACCAACAGAGGATATGAGGTTTTGTGGTGCTTGATGCTAATACGTCTGATGGGGGAACTCTTTAAGAAAAAGAATACAGCATTAGACACAGGGTCTTGTAGGACTCGTGCAAGTGAGGTGCCTGAAAACTGCCTCAGAGCAGAAGTACAGACTGTAGTGGGACCCCCTGTAAATTGATTCATCTTTCCTGTTTTTCTGAAGAACTCTAGCTAATTTGCATTAAGGAAAATATAAGCAGCATGGTGTGTTTTACTTCCTTACTCTTTTTTTTTTCCAACGTCTTCTCTGTTGAAAACAATCTAAAGTTCTGTAGTTTGGCTTTAAGATCGAAGTTGGCAGTTGCAGGGAGATAAACAACAGCCCTAGACACTCAAAAGCAGGTGCTAAGTGGTTAGTCAGTACAACAAATGGCTTTTATAATATATATTTCCAAATGTTGCATGATGAATTTAGTACCTAAGAAGTAGGCTTTGTAGGTACAAATGAGTCAGGTAACCCATATTGCAATAAAAGCAATGATATATGCATTTTATAGTGCAAAGCATTATTTCACAGTTATATAGCGCTTTGTATCTGTTAAATGTTTTCTAACCTTTAATTGTTTCTGTTAATGATCTAGTGAGACCAATCCTGGTGGGTACCAGCATCACTTGAAAGGTGAGAGAAAAAGGCAGAGGCTACAAAAAATGATCTAAAGGGCAGAAAGACACAAATGCCATAGGAAGACAGACTCCAAGCAGTGGGAATATTGGAGAAATCCAAAGGCAAATATAACTGAAATGAATGCAATTGTAACCAGCATAGAAACCTGAATTTCTAGGCTGTAGCGAGGGGGTATCTTTCAGAGATTGAGACGTCATAATCAATGAAAGGACATATTACTTATCTCACTTAGAAATAAGCACATGGGGCTGGGTGCAGTGGCTCACACCTGTAATCCCAGCACTTTGGGAGGCTGAGCGGGGCAGATCACAAGGTCAGGAGATGGGGACCATCCTGGCCAACATGGTGAAACCCTGTCTCTACTAAAAATACAAAAATTAGCTGGGCATGGTGGTGCGTGCCTGTAATCCCAGCTACTTGGGAGGCTGAGGCAGGAGAATAACTTGAACCAGGGAGTCAGAGGTTGCAGTGAGCTGAGATCACGGCACCGCAATCGAGCCGGGCGACAGAGAGAGACTCTGTCTCAAAAAAAAAAAAAAAAAGAAAAAAAGAAAAGAAAAGAAAAAAAGAAGCACATAGAACATGAGGAGGTAGTATTTGGCCAAATTTACAAATGACCGGGCCATAACTAACTACTATGAGAGTGCAGAATTCCCTCTCAGTGAATGTCAGAGAGGAAACTGGAAACTCAGGCCTTCTGCTTGCAAATTTCTTTAGTGTCACTGTCCCTCAAGGAGTCTAGGGAGGGCAGCTTGGACCTGAGTCAAGACAACCACACATACATCACACCTATCTCACTGACTGCTCAGAGCCTAGAGTACTTCCACAAACTACCAACTCCTCTATGGTCAGTTCAGAATCAATTGAAACATTTAGACTCATTCTGAGCTGCTCAAATTCCAGCACTGTAGTTATTCACGTTTAGAAAATAATAAGGGCTGGCACTTAGTACTAAGTGCCAGGCCCCATCCTAAGTACTTACAGACATTAACTCTTTTAATCTTCATAACAACTTTGTGAGATAAGAGCCAAGTTGACAGATGAGAAAAGTGAGGCCCGGAAGAGTTAAGTAACATGCCCAGGGTCACATAGCTGGTAAACAGCAGAATCTAGATTTGAACCCTGTGCAGTCCCTTTCCAGAATCTGTGCTGTAATTGCTTCTCTATAATGCCTTATTAAGAGCCTTATTTAAGGCCGGGCGCGGTGGCTCAAGCCTGTAATCCTAGCACTTTGGGAGGCTGAGGTGGGCAGATCACAAGATCAGGAGTTCAAGACCAGCCTGGCCAACGTAGTGAAACCCCGTCTCTACTAAAAATACAAACAATTAGCTGGGAGGCAGGAGAATCGCTTGAACTCGGGAGGCGGAGGTTGCAGTGAGTGGAGATTGCACCACTGCACTCCAGCCTGGGCAACAGTGAGAGACTGTCTCAAAAAAAAAAAAAGCCTTTAAATCTTATTCATTGTATTATTTACATATCAAATGTCAATGAATATTTCAATATTTCAAAAGCATCAGAACAATGGACAATGACCAAGCTATTTTTAAAGATCAGAAAAGAATTTATATATTCTTGCCTCCAGGATTACTCACACAATATATGTACTTCTTTTGTGCTTCTAAGTTCTTTTGGAACTTATCGTACTTGTTATTTTCTTGGTTATAGTTGGTTGGTGTTCCTGGGGCAAGTCCAGAAAACATTTCTGTTTTCCTCCATTGATATGTGATGTACCTGAGACAGGATCCTTTAAAAAAAAGTCCTTGTATCCCTGGAGTATCTAGGAGATGCAATGCTTCATACGATGTAGGCATTTAATAAATATTAATTGAATTAGTGGTGTTTTAGTCTATTCAGGCTGCAATAACAGAATATCAAAGACCGAGTGGCTTGTAAACAACCGTTTATATTTATTTCTCACAGTTCTAGAGGCTGGGAAGTCCAAGATCAAGACATCAGCAGAATGTGAAGACCCACTTCTTTGTTTGTAGATGGCTCCTTCTCACTGTGCCCTCACATAGAGATAGGAAGGGGTGAGGGTGCTCTCCGGGGTCTCTTTTATAAGGTCAGTAATTCCATTCATGAGGGTCTGCCCTCATAACCTAATCACCTCCCAAAGGCCTTACCTTCTAATACTACTACCTGGGGGATCAAGTTTCAAAACATGAATTTTAGGGGACATAAACATTCACTCTATAGGAATGAGTTAAATGCAGTCCAGGCAACAGATTGGTCCTAATTTGATAGTGGATTAAAAGATCACGTTGTACCAACACTGTACAATGGAATTTTTTTGCAATGAAGGAACTGTTCTATATCTGTATTTTCTAATGTGGCAGTCACTAGCCACATGTAGCTACTGGGCACTTGAAATGTGGCTAGTGTGACTGAGAAACTAAATATTTAATTTTATTTAATTTTGAATTACCTAAATTTAAATTAAAGTAGCCACAGCTTTAGAGTATTGGGTTTTTAACCAAATAAATTATTTCAGTTCCATGAATATAAAACCACTTCCTGAGACTCAGAGTCTTTGTTAAAGTCAAGGATCCAATCCTAGCAATCACAGATAAGAGAGTAAATTATATTACCTTCTAAATGGTTTAGTGATATTGTGCATTCAGAGTTCCTCAAGCAAAATGAAGGATAGTCACTGAAGCACTGCTTGTCATAAAAGATGATCTAAAAGCTCATATGTAGGAAACAGATAAAATAAACCAGGATACTGTGGTAGGCAGAATAGTGTCCCCTGCAAAGATGTCCACATCCTAATCCCGGGAATCTGTGAATACCTTCCATGGCAAAAGAGACATTTCAGCTGGATCTTGATTAAGCATCTGGACATGGGGAGACTATTATCCTGGTTGATCCAGGAGGGCCCAATGTAATCACAAGGGAGGAGTGTAAGAGCCAGAGAGAATGAGATGTGATGACAGACACAAAAGTCACAACGATAGGATTGGTGAATGGGGGCCATGAGCCAAGGAATGGGGGCAGCCTCTAGACATTGGAAAAGGCAAGAAAATGGATTTTGCCCTAGAGCCTCCAGAAAGAATGCATTCCTGAGGACACCTCGATTTCCACCCAGTGAGACCAATTTTGGACTTCTCACTTCCAGAACCATAAGATAATAAATATGTATTGTTTTAAGCCACAATATTCGCAATGGTTTGTTATGGAAACAATAGGAAACTAATACAAGTACTTCCACATATAATGGAATACAACGCAGCCATTTAACAGAATGAAGAGCACCTACACATTTTCATACGGGAAGATCCCCATGACGTATTATTAAATGAAACACATTAAAGTCTCAGACAATGTGAATATCATGCTACCCCTTGGTTACAAGGGACATACACATGGGCCTGTACGTATCTGGAAGGCAAAACAAAAAGTGAGTAATAGTGACTGCCTCTGGGAAGGGGCACACTGGGGAGGGAGTGGTCAGAATTGGAAGCGGGACTTACTTTTCATGATGTACTTTTCAGAACTGTAATACATTTTGAGAACTGTCACTAGATAGAAAATCCATTTCCACATCAAATTCTTTGGGGAAGAAGATAAAGAAACCATACTAAGCCCTATTGGCATTTTGCAGGCATGTTACTCTAAACTTCAGGGGAGAGTAGATAAATAACATTCTCTGACACGAGCAATTAGCTGCTGGGTGTGAGAACTGCTAATCTCTGGTCCAGAGCAGCCAGACTTGAAGTTCAGATGGAAGCTGAGAGAGAATTAAAAAAAAAACCCAAAGTCATTGTGGAAAAAGTAGGCACTAACTCCATGTTCAGGATCAAACCATTCAGAAAAAGAGATAGTGCTTCTTTCCCAGAAGTATGTGAAGAAGAAATGTTAGAAGGAGATTTTCGTTTTGTGCGCTAGAAACCTAGAACAGGAAATTTAAGAAGGTGGTGAGGTTATAGCTAATTATGAAGTGTGAACTGGAGAAGAAATGAAACAGTCTGCAGCCACTCCTGCAAACTGGAGCAGTTATCACCCAAGGCAGCCAACTGTCCCTGCAGGGCTGCAGGCCTCACTCTCAGCAGGGACTACACCCCTCTCTCTGCAGTGAGGCATCTCCCCCAGCCAGGATTTCACCAGGAACCCTGGCTAATGTGGCCCCAGGAGGGAGGAGGCGCCTAATTGTGGGTGAAGGGTAGGAGTTAGCACTGGGACAAGGTGAAGGCACGTATTTTCAGTTTAGGTTTGAGGTATAGGGAAACAACTTGTGAAATCCAATATCAATTTGGGAAGTATGGGTGATGACCCCCGACCCATGAGATCTAGGGCTTCTCAAAGCAAAGGAGAAAAGGAGAAAACCCCCCAGGTGCTCAAAAGCACAGTTACTTAACATTTGAATCATTTAACCCTTCTGAACCTCAGTTCGTTTATCTGTGAGATGGGAATAAACGGTACCTGCCTCTGTGGGAGGGTAAACAGAGCTTTCTGTGCTTGGCAAACACTCTGGCACCTGCCGGCTTACTTAGGGCTTGCATGGGCTTGGCGTTCACTATCTCTCATGCTGTGGGCTTCTCCAAGTGTTTTCATACCATTAGCTCCCTTTCCCTCCATGACGGCCCTGTAACGTAGGCTCCTTCTTTTCCTCATTTTACAAATGGAGAAACTGAGGCACGGAGCACTCAAACAGCTTGCTGTGGTTATCTCGGAATTCAGTAGCAGAAGTGTGGCTTCACCCTTGGCAATTTGGCATTACAGGTTGTATGTTTAACCACTAAGACATACACGTCTTGTAGTAAACGGGAAAAAATGGTAGTTGTGGCTGTGGTGATAATGACAGCAAAGTAAAGGTACCATTATTTATCCCCATCATGCAGATAAATAAAATGAGGTTCAGAAGGATTGATTCAATTGTTAAGTAACTGTGCTTTTGTGACCTAACTTGTGGGGCTCAGGTCCCCATCAGAGGAATCCAGACAAATGTCACTAGGCCTGCTCCAGTGACAGTTCCTGTGTGGCTGGTGGGAGCAAGAAAAAATGGGCCCCCTGAGCACATTTGGAGATGACAGATCTAGGGGCAGCCTGACGTGCCCTGTGCTGCTGGGACTCCTCACTCACATTCCCAGGGTAGAGGAGGCCTCAGTGGGCTTGGTGTGACTTTGGAACAGGGCTCTGAGTGGAGCAGCATTATGACAACACATGCAGGACCCTGCAAGAACCCCTGGATTCTCCAGGTGGGGCTGCCAGGGACAGACATTGACACTTGTAGGAATGGAAGCCATTATAGGGCCCCCAGCAATTCCCTGTCTTGTTTGGACCAGAAGGAGGAGATTTAGCCTGAGCAACATGGTGAGACCCTATGTTTACAAAAAATTAGCTGGGTATGGTGGCTTGTGCCTGTAGTCCCAGCTACTCAGGTGGCTGAGGTGGGAGGATCGCTTGATTCGAGGAGATCGAGGTTGCAGTAAGCCATGATTGCCCCTCTCCACTCCAGACGGGGTGACAGAACAAGACCCTGTCTCAAAAAAATAAAAATAAAACAGAAAATGAAGGAGGAGATTGTGGGAGTCAGGACACAGAAAATGAGCTTCATTCCTCATTACCACTTTGAGTATACACCTAGCATGGTGGTCCAGGGAAACACCTGCTCTAGTTTCCATTGAAGTCTATAACACACTATAACAGCGCTTTGAGTTAAATGTAGTTTGAAAAGCTGGCTCCAGCTCAGCTTAAGAAACCACAGGAGAGTGAAAAGTTTATAAGCTATACCATTACTAAAATGACTCTGGTATTAAGGGATATAGCTCAGATAATTAATTTAATAACTGGCAGAGCAAAAAAAAGTTCTTGATTTTGGAAATGGTCTGATTCATTTACCAAGCAGGTAGATCAGCCCTGCTTAAGTTTAAACTCATTTCTTCCTTTTTTGTTTTTTTCCCCCTGCTTTAATCTTCAGTTTGCTTTAGTTTTCTGTATCTATAAATTGCTTTTGGGAAATTGTACTCACAAAATGTTTCAGTATGCAGTTGACCTGTTTTAGTTCCTACAAACATTTTCTATTGGTAAACACTTTTTTTTATTAATAAAACGATGAGGCTGGGCGCAGTGGCTCATGCCTGTAATCCCAGCACTTTGGGAGGCCTAGGCGGGTGGATCACCTGAGGTCAGCAGTTCAAGACCAGGCTGGCCAACATGGCGAAACCCCATCTCTACTAAAAATACAAAAATTAGCCAAGTGTGGTGGCGCACTCCTGTAATCCCAGCTACTCAGGAGGCTGAGGCACGAGTATCACTTGAACCCAGGAGGTGGAGACTGCAGTAAGCTGAGATCACACCACTGCACTCCAGCCGGGGCCAGAGCAGGACTCCATCTCAAATAAAATAACATAACATAAAATAATGATTTGGGGAACAAAATTTTAAAAAGGGGAAATGGAGTGGGAGATAGAAAGGGAATGGGAGTGAGAGCTGCCACAGTGAGCATTTTTGCTGCTCCTTTCACAAGTGCAGTGATCTTTCCAATGGTGGTGGTGTTGGGGTGGGGGTGGGGGAAAGAGGGTGGAGAATCATCCTTAGTCTGAGGCCAGGTGGAAAAAGGCAGATGCAGTGAGAAAGTGCCTATGGGCTGATGACAGAATCCTTTACAGCTTCCAAAAGCTCTCGACATTTAGATTCAGGGGGCTTGATTAACTCAACAGGCAGGCCTGCAAGTCTCTAGGGTAAAAGCAGGGGGAAGTTTCGTATTTGTTGCAACACATTGTCATGGATCACTCCTTCCTGCTATGACAACAGGCAGGGAGCTCTGCTATGATGACCCTCAGACCTCAACTTTTGATTCCACCCTGTGGACTTCCCGACGCTACCTTAGAGTAGAAGGACCTGCCCTGCCACTCAGCCCCTTGTTCTATAGTGGATAATTTGGCTTGGCAGAGCCTTTAAAGCTTAGTCTTTCATGACCCAGGTCAGGGAGCCTGAGTGAGTTGTATGCATTTCTGTTGTATAGACTTCTGTTCCAAGTCAATTGTAAAATGTTGAACAAATCAAATGGGGGATTACATTGAATGAATATTTAGAATACCAGAATTGCATTCGACTATGAGTAATACAAATCTGAGAAGCAGTGGTTTAAATAAATAGGAATTTATTTTTCTCACACACAACGAGAATTCCAGAAGTAGGCAGTGCTGGGCTGATAGGGCAATTGCAGTTCATCAATCTAGTATGATCCACATTCTCACATTCATAAGATAGCTACTGTTGCTCCGGCTGTCATGTTGTGCTCTTGGAAACAGAAGGGAAGATGGGCCAAGTGAAAACAATGCCCAGTAGTTGAGTCAGTATGTTTTTTATTCTCATCCTGTTACTAAGGAGCAAGGTGAGAATAGATATTGGATAGGCACCTAGAAGTCTCTGCCACAAGATGTATATGAATGCACGAAAATGTGAATTCTTGAAAGTGCCAACTGTAACATGGCAGGAACAAGTTCATAGAAAAATTCAGAAACTCCTGAGCTCTGTTCATTAGCTCCCAAAGGCTGGCAGGTAACACTAACTGATAATAATCCCACTAATCTAGCATATATGACAAGCCTACCTACAGACAGTGAAAGACATTGCCACTGGAAACATGGACTCCAATTCATGAGGCTGCCACCCCCTACTCCAAGGATAGAACCCATGAAAGGCAACATAGGAATATGTTAGGTAGTACCTGAGTGAACATGCATAGTTTTGTCAGTTTGCATGTTTTGCTTTTTAGGAGATATACATTTAAATGAAAATATTAAGTCAATTAAATTTATATCAACTCTCTCCTCCATCTTCAAGTAAATCTTTCATGCTTAACAAGCTGGTGCCACTAGTCAACTAAGTCCAATGAAATAAGTTTTTTTGATAACTGAGGCATTATTTTAAGTAAAAATTAATATAAAATTAACCAGCAATAGTATAAATAATACCAAATCTTACTGCATATCCATCACCTCATGGATTTATCATTTCTTTGTGGTGAGAACATTCAAAATCCTTTCTTCTGGCTATTTTGTGATATACAATATAATATTGTTAGCCAGAATCACTGTGTAACAGAATGCCAGAACTTATTCCTCCTATCTAACTATAATTTTGTACCCATTGACCAATCTCTCCCCATCTCACCCTCCCCTTTTTCCTCCCCAGCCTCTGCAGCTGGGGAGATCAACTTCCTTAAGTTGCACTTGAGTGAGATCATGCAATATTTGTCTTTCTGTGCCTGGCTTATTTCACTTAGCATAATGTCTTCTGGGTTCATCCATGTTGCTGCAAATGACAGGATTTCATTCTTTCTTTATAGCTGAATAGTATTCCACTGTTTATAGGTAACACATTCTCTCTCTCTCTTCTGCTCTCTTTCTTTCTTTCCTCAGGCTATTGCAATGAAAATACCATATTTTCTTTATTCCTTCATTCCTTGATGATATTTATGAAAAATGCTTAACATCAGTAATCATCAGGGAAATGCAAATCAGACCACAGTGAGATATAACTTTACCCCAACTAGAATGGCTACTAGCAAAAAGAAAAAATAACAAATGGTGGCATGCAGGTGAAGGGGAACTCTTATCGCTATTGATGGAAATGCAAATTAGTACAGCCATTATGGAAAACAGTGTGGAGGTTCCTCAAAAAATTCAAAATAGAACTACCATATGATCTAGCAATCTCACTACTGGATATATATTCAAAGGAAATGAAATCAGCATGTCAAAGAGATATGCGCACTCTCATGTTTATTGCAGCACCATTTGCAACAGCCAAGACATGGAATCAACCTAATTGTAATAAAATGTTTTTGACTGGCTGTTATTTGTGCAGAAAACAACCTTCCCTACCATTACCCACCCCTTCATCATTTGCCCCCCCACACACTCCTTCCCCTTCTCTCTCCACACATGACTGCCATATCAGGAAGGAAAATTTTGATGGGGGTGCTGAGATATTCCTATTTCATGGAGAATAGGTTACAGCCAGCAGGTACTCAGGCACTTTTGTTACACTTGCATTTAAAAAAAACTTAAGAGAATTGAAATGTATTTAGCCTATAGACAATGTAAATGTAAAAGGCTCTGGGAACTCTGAACCAGTGATGGTGAGTATGTAAATTGCTAAGCTGGCTCGGAAAATGGTTTGGCAGAATCTATGAAAACTGAACATAGGCGTATTTACGGACTATACTCATGGCCATCAACTTAGTGACACAGCTTTATCCACAGCCTCACGCCAATGCCAGGACCCAGTTCAGCCTTCCTGCCTCTGTGATGGCTCAGGTCTCCCTCCTGCAGTGTTCTCTCCATCAGCTGATCATAGGTGGTCCCACCTTAGCCCATCAGAGGCAGGTTCACTGCTGTGAACCTCATTAAAAAAGATTAAGAGACGGGCAGCTTCCTCCAGTAAGCTCCCTGAACACTATGTAAACTTTCCCACCCCTTCTCCAGAAACCTTCAAACTCTGTATCATTTAGGATAATGACTTCGCCGTCACTATCTAGTACTCTAAAGCCCAACACAAACTGGCTTATACAATAAAGATGAATCACTGGATCATGTAACAGCATAAGACCAACGTGGGCTTTGGGCACAGTTCTATCAGAATTCCAGTTCAGTTTCTCTGAGATCTCTTAATTCTGCATTCTGCCAAGTTGGCTTTGTCCTCAGGCAGAAGTCCCTCATGGTCTTAAGATGTCTGCCAGCATCAACTGGGCTACGTGCTTCCTTCTCAAATGATAAGAAGAGAGCAGGCAGAGGCTTATCTGGATAGAAATGCAGATAACCACTGGATAAAAGCACTGAACTTAACTCTGATGGGACTTTCTGGCCACATGCCCACCTCCCGAACCAATCATTTTGGCAGCAAGATTCCAGCTGCCTGCAGTGCTGAAGCCTCAAGCCCTAGTCAAGCAAACCAAAACCAAAACTAAAACAATACCTGTTGCACTCCCCCCAGAATAATAAGTGTCTTACTATGTCTACATCACTCAGAAGGGTCCACTCAAATGGCTCATCTCAAAATAAAGCAGGTATGCTCCAAAGTGATTTCACATCTTCATGATGTCTCTGAAATAGCAATGGTTGACAACTTAAAGTTTCCTCCCTATAACTTAAAGCTCTACCTTATTGCTGCACCAGCCTGTAACACCCACACCCTTCTCCAAAAAATCAAAGAAAATTTAGTTAGATGACCACATGCCATAGCATTTGTAGCACTGGATTCAGAGATAATAATGATAATACCTCATCTTTGATTAGCATTTTATAGTTTCCAGTGTGTTTTCACATGCAGCATTTCATTTCATCCCCAGAAGCTGGGTAGGATCTGTACTGTTAAATCCAGTGTGTAGGTAAGAAGTCTCAGAGAGACTGAGTGACTTCCCCAAGGTTAATGATCTGTAAGTCAAAAAATAGAGTTGGCATTAGGATCTAGGTCTTTTCGATGCTGGACTTTTGTGAAGACCTTTCCTCTGATCAGTCTTTTGGATCAGGGTATAGAATAAGGAAGATAAGATGCAAATTTGATTGTGGTTCATAAGAATAAGAGACTGAGTAGGGATTATCTGAAGAGAGGATTCCTCTGCTGCAGGACTTTGGTGCACAGGAGAGAGAAGACAGAAAAGATCCTCTCAGCCTTTGCTTCTGCCCCTTTTTAGTTTTCTTTCCTAATTTCCTTTTTCTTGTTTCTTTCCTGAATTATTGTCTCTGGTGCAACTTTCTCAAACACAATACCGAACACTCTCCATGCCTAGGCCCCATTCAAGAATCAATCTTGAAAAGGCACCATATTTTCAGGGGGTTGGGGATGGCAGGGAAAGGCAGCAGGGGAGGGATATTGGATTGGGACGGGGAGAGTGAGGATGGGAATGGCGGAAGAGAGAGAAAGAAATTGGAGTCATGAGTTGGCTCTAACCCTGAAGACCGTTATCTAAAATGTTTGATTACTATACACATTTTTAAAGAGAATACCTTGCAAGTAATGTGACTTTGAGCTGCAGACACAGGAGAGGGAATACGCAAAGACTGGGCCATCCAAACCTACCAACTGAAGGGTTTTGTTAATTATTTTATAGATGAAGACTGGTCAGGCACTATACAACATTATCTTTTACTGCACTCGCTTTAAATAAATTTGTAGTACTTACATAGTCAGCTTGTTGAAAATTTTCTTATGACTCTGATCTGCACTGGGTAATATAGAACGATGTTGAGAACCAAGAAGTGTTAGAACCAGGAAGGCAGTCCTTATCAACTATTTATTCCCTCTGATATGACTGTTTACCTGGGCAGCTCAGATATTATCTTCAAGATGTGTTTAAGGTGCAAATGACCCTTCTTGAATTGTTAACAACAAGAATTAGATTACATCTAATCTCATAGTGATGAGAAATAATTAATCCGGATATTTTTGGGCTGTTGTGGCAATAACAGTAATCTAAGTTGGGCACCGTGGCATGGAAGGAAAAACAGGGGGTGCAAACTGGAAGGTTCATGGGCCAACTGTGGGTTGCAGGTGGAATGTGTTTTCCTTCCAGTGTTTTAAAAGAACAGTTCTCTCCAGGTCACCATTGCCCCACCATTCACACAATACAAAGGTGCATTCACACACCTCTTCTCTCATTGCATCCTGTGTCTGACCCTAAGGCTTCTGAGTTTGAGGCCTTATAAATAAGAAAAGTCATTACATATATAAGGTAATACAGAGAAGAAAGAATCATTTATCTTGGCAAACACATAATGGGATGAAAATTACAGAAAGGCAAATTGAGTTATAAAACCCAGGGGAAAAGTCATTTCCTAGAGAAATGACTGGAATCTGGGTCCATTTTCTGAAAGGCAAAAGTAGCCTCCACATTGGTCCAGATCTGGAAAAGAAAGGATTGAGCTGCAGAGCCCATTGAGATGACGTTTAATGGGACTGTTTGTTCTGTGACTCTGGGAACAAAAATTGCAACAGAAAATATAATTATGCCAAACAATTAGCTGAAAGGCAACATGAGTTAAGTCCTTACAAAACAGGAGACAAAGATAAAGAGCATGACAAAAGCAAAAGGGTCACCTTTCCTCATGAGAGGTGATGCCTGTTTTCCCTACTCCACCCCAAAATCACCAGCAGGAAGGCGCAGAGTGGAGGTTGTCAGGAACAGGGTGAAGAGCAACCCAAGGGTATCTTTTAAAAGTCTGACGTCTCTATAAAGTTTAGTTTTAAAATAAGGTATTTAAGACCAGAAACAAGCTTGGTAACAGTAATGAGAGGACCTCCCAATAGAGAAGCAGAGGGCAAAAGACAAGCCAAGAGCTTCAGTTCCTGCTGGAGGCCTCATGACATCTCCATCATCAATTCCCCATCCTGATTCTCAGTATCCTCACCTAAGTGCATTTGGCAAACTAGGATGCTGTTGCCCCTCTAGCCTAGTTTCTGTGATTTATGTGAGCATGGGCCCGCCCCCAGATTCAAGGGGAGAGAACAAAAGTGTTTTATAATCCACAAATTCAAGTACGGGTAGAATGTTAAGTGCCAGGACTCTGGAGTCACACAGAGCTGAGTTCAATCCTAGTTCCAGCACTTACTAGCTTTAAGGACCTCAGCAAGTTACCTTATTTCCCAGGGTCTTGTTTTTCTCATCCATAGTTTGGGCATAACAGCATTTGTCTACCTCATAGGATTTAAGAACTGCTCTCTGTTAAGGCATCAAGTCCAATAGTAGGCACTCAATGAATGTGGTAATAGTTATTTAAAATAATCACCATAATGAATTTGAACATCTGTGTAAAGGGAAAGGTATCGTAGTCAGTCTACGAAAGGAGAGCTAGTGTCAGATCTCATGTCATTGCTGAATGGCTCCCTGCTTATCTCTGTCCAGTTGAATGGCTTTGCGTCAGCAGAGACTAGTAAACTAGCACCATCAAAACAAATGAGACAAGCATTTTCTAAGTGCCTGTTATTGGCGCAGCACAGTCCCTGTGCTAGACCTTAGAAAGAGGTCTCGTCAAAAGTGTGTCCACAACCACGGGAAGGAATGACTTGTAATCTATCCAAGCTAAGAGATTGAAGACTATCTTTCCTCGATGCTACATTAGAGAGGAACAGTAACAAATTGTTAGAAATTGCTTTAACATTGAAAACTGAAGTCTTAGCACACTGCCTTATCACAGTGCTGAACTATACTCCCATGCAACTTTTATTGAGCAGTGCAGGCCTAAAGATAGTTTCTCTTTGGGAGGCCAAGGTGGACGGATCATGAAGTCAGGAGATTGAGACCATCCTGGCTAACATGGCAAAACCCCGTCTCTGCTAAAAATACAAAAAATTAGCCAGGTGTGGTAGTGGGCGCCTGTAGTCTCAGCTACTCGGGAGGCTGAGGCAGAATTGCTTGAACCTAGGAGGCGGAGGTTGCAGTGAGCCGAGATGGTGCCACTGCACTCCAGCCTGGGCGACAGAGCGAGACTCCGGCTAAAAAAAAAAAAATAAAAGTTTCTTTTCTCAAGGAGGCTACCATCAAGTGCAGAGGCCTCCAAGGAGGAATGCATTCACCCCAGGATGTGGGCCAGGCAATACTCTGCGGTATGGTATGAAGATACTAGGCCTTCTATTCCTGCGTTTTAAAAAGAATTTGATTTATTTCATAACACACATACTACATTTGGTTTTGGTTTAGAGATAGAATCTCACTCTGTAGCCCAGGCTGGAGTGTAGTGGTGTGATCATAGCTCAGTGTATCCTTGAACTTCTGGGTTCAAGTTATTCCCCCCTGCCTCAGCCTCCTGAATAGCCAGGATTACAGGGGTGTACCACCACACCCAGCTAATTTTTTAGTTTTTTGCCAGACATAGGGTCCTGCTATATTGACCAGGCTGGTCTCAAACCCCTGGCTTCAAATGTCCTCCCACCTCAGCCTCCCAAAGTACTGGGATTATAGGCGTGACTCACTGTGCCCAGCCTATAATATACATACTATATGTGAAAAGTAGCACCTGTATATAATTTATAAGTAAATATAAATATTAATGAGATCAAGGTTCAAGTGGATTCTTGAGCAAAAGGTTTGAGAACTACTGGTACACAGGAGATGGAAGACCAGTAAGCCAGCAGTCAGAATCTGATGCAGAGGGAATTTGGCTAGAACACAGATGACAGGCATCCAGCTCAGCAGGGAAGGAAGAGGAGGAAGTTATAGGGAAGGCTTCCTGGAGGAGATGACATGCTGAGTTGCTGCAGAGTATTTGGGGGAGGGAATAGGGAAGAGGGAAAAAGAATGTTCCAGACAGGCTACACAATATTTGCAAAGAAAGGCAAGGTGGTTTTTGTTGAACAAGTGAGCGCATTTTGAAAACTAAATGACAGCATGCGGTGGCTCATACCTGTAATCCCAGCACTTTGGGAGGCCAAGGTGGTTGAGTCCAGGACTGCGAGTCCAGCCTGGGCAAATGGCAAAACTCCATCTCTATAAAAAAATACAAAAAATTAGCTGGGCATGGTGGCGTGCACCTGTAATCCCAGCTACCCAGGAAGCTGAAATGGGAGGATCGCTTGACTCCAGGAGGTCGAGGCTGCAGTGAGCCGTGATCGTGCCACTGTACTCCAGCCTGGGCAACAGAGTGAGATCTTATCTTAAAAAAAAAAAAAAAAAAAAAAAAAGAAGAAGAAGAAAGAAAACTAAAATGATTTGGTACATCTTGAACTGTCAGTACATGTGGGGAAACTGTAGGAGGTAAGGCTGGGATCAATTTTGGTCACTGAAAAGCAGGAAGCCTATTCTGGTAGTGAAAGTTACCACTAAGACATTCTAGCAGGGGAGATGAGATCATGGAGTATTCCCAATTTGATCTTCTAGTCCAATCTCCAGTGATACTTGTCTGAGTCCAGAGGAAACGGACTGCAATAGTGTGAGCTGGTAAAACCTCAAAAAGCTAGAACAAAAAACGTGCTAGTAGCCTTTGAAGTTATAGAAATCCTCAAGACTGTGCATTGCTGGGTGAGAATCAGTGACGTCTAAAAACACATCTTTGGGCAAAAAAGGCTGTGCAGTCTTTTACAAGCATTAGTGGCCTTAGTGGCTCCATTACAGTCAACAGCAACTGAAGTTATCATCTGAGTGAGCCAAAGCTGGAAAGAAGGGAAATAATAGATACCAGAGCAGCCAAGAGGGTAGTACACGGAGTCCAACCAAGCCACCCCTAGCAGGCCCTTAGAATAGATTGAGGAGGACTTTGCAAAGCACCTAGTGCTCTCTCACGTGAGGAGAGACTGGGCTTGTCTTATTCAAATTGTATCCCTCATATCTTGCGCAGTGGAACAGGACTGCAAGGCTGCACAGATCCCAGGGTCACTGTTCATGCAGTTGCCTATATAAATAGAGCCTTCTGGAGTTGTGTAACAGGAGCTTTGCATAGATGTTCAATCAAGATAGGTTAAAGGCAAAAATGAAACAGTAATTGCTTAGCTGCTTCTGTTAACATTATTCTAAAACTCAGGTTGGGGTGGCCTGAGCAGCAGTGGCTCCCATCAGATTTGGGTTTGGAGTTATCATCTGGGTAGTAGTGTGGCACATAATGTAGTGGAATGGATCCAGGATGCTCAATTAGAACTGCAGTGATTGGGTGGGTGTTTTACTACTTTAGTTCTGGAAAAGTCCTTCAAGGAACTGGAAATAAATGCCAAAACTACGTATACAGTCAGTAGGCAGGAGCAGCCAGGTGGAGAGCTAGGGGCTAACACTCATGAGGTCACTGGTGGCAACTAATAAGAATACCCCCATTACTCATTCTAAGGCTAGCTCTTAATCCTAGGCAAAATGAGACTGAGGGACAAAATGAGAATTAATCACCAGAGAGCAGATAAAGCTGATTCATTTCTGAGCTGGAATAAAATAAATACAGAAAACTTGGTTACATAAATATTAAACAATAAAACCTGGAATAGAAATCATCCTCCTTAGAAGAAGATGGAGCCTAAAAAGAAGGCATCCCTTTGAGCCCAAGGTTGCTGTTGGTGGAAGTGGCAGCCTTAGCATTCAAGAGCCAGGGAACATCAGACATTGTAAGCGTCCACAGACTTGCATGAGCTGAAGAAGACCAAGGTTCATGATCTGCTCCTTCGACACAGTGGTGACAATAGAAGAAATATCTAGTAAACCTGAAAAGCACCTCAAGAGGGACCTGGAAAACAATCTAAAAAGCCAGAGAAAGCTACAGTTGAAGGCAGTATAGAGTTAGATTCAAGATAGAATCTAATGTTCATATAGATCCTCTTGCATCATTAACAGATGTCCACACAGGACACAGGAAGTGCACGGTTTTGATTATCAGTGTATGCCAAAATAAACCAATTCCTGTATGTGGAGGACAGACAGCTGTATGAAGCAGGATCCTCAGTGTCTTCAGTTGGCTCCATTAGACCAGTGGATTCACACCTTCCGGCAGCTGCCCCATCTCGAGGGCACTGGACATGCTGGATTTGGGGAGACTGTTATGCGATCTCAAACCATTTGTAATGCTAAGTACCATATTATGGGGCCACTGCACATCCATACTTTGTGCCTATACATTGGGAGGCACTGGGCTCTGGGGAGAGACAGATGGTTTTCAAGAAAAGGCTCTTAAACCCAGAGAATGCTTCTTGTCTACAGCCACTGTCATATCATTCTGACTTCTCAGTTCCCTCACTTTCCCTCTCCTTTCAAATATTTTTACTTTCCAAATCAGACAGATGTTTTTTGCCAGTACAGAGGTATATCAGTCATCACCTTCTCTCTCGGATGTAATAAGTTGAATTGTTTGTTTTATATATTTTTGTAGCTTAGATGTTGACTTTATCTAAAGGGATATCCTGGAAACAAACATTTTAAAAATATAAGTACAGAAAGGTAAGCATGCTATTAGCAATTTTTAAAAAACTTTGCCTGTGGTTACTATCTATATATAATTTGTCCTTCTATTGTCTATCAATGCCTTCTAAATGCACCATGAGTACAGAGAAAAAAACTGTCTGTGTGCACCTGGGAGAACTTGCTTGATGCCCCGGCCTCAGTTTACCACATCTCCAAAACCAGTGGTTCTGACAGCCAGAGTATCTTCCAGGTCTAAGAGATCACAATCATGTATCTTATATAAAGACCGGAAATGCCTAGAGTGTACAGATTTTTAAAAAGTAGTATGAGCAGAACATCACATAAACAAAGCTTCAGTCACATATGAAGAAGTAGTAGGGTGGATTATTTTCAGGCAAAATGAACTGATTCCTTACAAAACAGTAATAATTATCCAAGGTAGAGAAAATAATTTTGTCTTAAAAACCAATATCTTGATTTACTTTGGAAGTTATTTTAGCTCACTTCATTTTTTAAAAAATCTATTTTTTTCAATTTGGTCTAGCAAGGTTTTATTTTAGGAATAGTGAAACTGACAGGAGGTAGTAGAAAGCCATGCATTAGTGAAACCCAGGCCCCTTACTTCCTTCATCTTTCACCTGCACATTTCTGGCACTTCCCATCTCGGAACTCTCTTGCCTGAACCACCTCTCCACACTCTTGGGAGTTAATAACTCCACGTAGACAATTTTTCCTCTGGAGGACAGAACTGCTACTTCTTCAAAGCTTTTGGGGCTCCCAGATGCTGCATAGTGGGGGTGCCTAACATTCATCTCTAAGGGTGGCTGTTTTGGCATCATTTTTGGCTGAAGTTTTGTATTGCATTTCCATGTCATTTGGTGTGGTGTGTGCCTGCCAGATATTCTGCCTGCTCTCAGCTGAAGGCCTTCCCAGATTGGGCAGCTGAATGTACTGCACAGCTGCCAAAATTCTAATTCAAGATCTAGAATTCTAACTCCTGCTCTTTAGACCCTTGTCTGGCCTTGGCCTCAGTCCCCTGCCAACTCGGTCCCTGGCTCATTATCAGGCCCACCAGGGCCCTGCCCCCACCCTCATTGGGCCCATGAAACCATTCTTGGCACCAAACTGAACTTCAAGACACAGCTGCCCCAGCCCCACCCAAGCCGAATCTCATCTCAGCAAGTTTGTCACCTTGTGAGCTGCAAGACAGAAGAGATGAGAAGAGAAAATGCCACCGGTGATGGTCAGATCATAAAACTTCCTGTAGCAACAGACATATTACATGTGCCTTTACTCTAAGCACTTACATGAAAAGCAAACAATCCCATTATTAGAAATAACACTAGACAGAGATGCATAGAGTTTATGGAGGGAGGAATACTATTTCTCCATGCATCTGCACCAGAGGGTAAGTGAAATTTGCCCTAAGGAAAAATGCTAAATTCAGTATGCATATATTAATATTAATAAAAAAAATGTACTGTTGGGTCATAAACTGCTGATAATGTGTAATATTTCTTAGACACCTGGAAAAGTGCTACTGGAAAATACACACTTTACAGAAGAAATATGACTGCAACTGGAGGAGGGGGTGGGGACAAGAAAGTAATTGATTCTCAGCAAAATGCTGGTTTTCAGGGAAGCTACTAAATTCACCTTAAGTGGTTACCTGGTCAACATTATGCTTTAAATGCTCACAGGATGAAATCGCTTCCTTTTTAAATGAAGAGTCACTATGTCCCTTGCCGTTGTTTCCGCTCCTTCTAGCCTTAACCAATGCACTGTCCTTTCTGCAGTGGCTGAAACGAGGATGGGTTAATTACCAGACCTGAGATGGTGGAGTGGGTGCAGTAGGGTGCTGTAATTTCGGGTGATGAAATTATTTTAGTTTTTGTTTTCCTAGAAGGAGCAGGGAGTATAAAAAACGTGGCACATATGTAAAACACAGGCAAATGCACTTGACAACCAAGCACTCTATTTTGAAATTTAAATAAAGCTAAGATTTTTTTCTGGCCTAGAGGGAAAGCTTCATTAAAATCAATTAGTTAGTACAAACCTCCGGAGAATGTGTACTTTTTCTAAAGAAGGTTTAAAGAAGAAGGTGCACACAATTACCTTTCCTGGGTCCCCTGTGAATGTGTCACACCTAGACAGGTGGCTGAGTACAAAAAAATGTCCCTGAGAGGGACCAGGGTAACTCCCTGAGTTCTCCTCGCAGGGAGGTAGGTGTAATTAATCGATGTGGGTGTATTAAGAACGTCATATACATAACCAAGGAGGCTCCAAACAGATGGCACGGATGGCAAGCCGTAAAGGGCAGGCCTAGCGAGATAAAGTTGGTGGCAGGGCTCGCAGGTGAGGCCTGGGTCCGCGCGCTGAGGTTGGGGCCGCACAGCTGTAGCCGCGCGCCCTGGTCCCTCCTCCCAGCTGCGGCGGCCTTCCCCCCCCGCCCCCGCCCCCGCCCTCCCCCCGCCGCTCCCGACGCCGCCGCCGCAGCCGCCGCCTCCCCTCTGCCTCCCGGTGGCTCCTCGCTCTCCTTCCATCTCTCTCGCCCCCTCTCCCTCCGTCCCGTCCTCGCCGCTCCCCTCACCCCGCCTCTCTCCCCCTCCCCCAGCCCCTCCTCTCCTCACCCCACCCGGCCTCCCTCCCTCCCTCGCCCGCCCGGCGCTCGCAGAGCCGACACCAGGGGGGCTCTCGATGTAGCACCATGACAGGCATCGCCGCCGCCTCCTTCTTCTCCAATACCTGCCGATTCGGGGGCTGCGGACTCCACTTCCCCACCCTGGCCGACCTCATCGAGCACATCGAGGACAACCACATCGGTAAATGGCCCGGGGGTGGGCGGGGGTGCCAGGCGCGCGGAAACTCCTGCCCGGGCGGGGAGCCCCGGAATGGCCAGGGGTGGCCGGCGGGGAGGGAGGCGGCAGGGCGGGGAGGGCGCGTGCGAGCCCCGAGGTGGGGGTGGCGGGATGCGGGGGCGCGAGGTGCCGGGGGGCGGGGAGCGGGCTCGGGTGGGGGAGGGGGCGGGCGCCCCGAGGTGCCGCGGGCGGGCGGGCGGGCGGCTGGGGGACTCAGGGGCGTGCACGCGGGCTGCGAAGTGGTGGGAGCGGGGAGCGCCGCGGCGGGGCGGCGGGGTTGCGGCGGCGGGGCCGAGTGCCGGCGCGCGGGGCGCGGGGCGGAGGGCGCGGCGGGCGGCGGGAGCTGGGCGCTGGGCAGGGTCGCGGAGTTAGTTGGCCCGGGTGGTCGGAGTAGCCCGAGGCGCTGAGGGCAGCGGGGGGCGGGCGCTGCACGCCGCCGGGCGCTTCCGCCCCGGCTCGAGCTGTCAGGGCTCGGCGGCGGCTGCAGCCGCGGGGAGGTGGAGCGGGGGGGCGGGGGTGGCTCCACCGCGGCAGCCATTCCGCTTCCTCCTCCCGCCGCCGCCGCCGCCACTGCGTCCTGTCAGCGCCGGTTGCTAGGTGTGGTGCGTCGGGAGGGGGCCGGGGCCGGCGGCCGCGGGCGGGGGCCGGGGAGCTTGCCCTCTCCCTGGGAGGCGGCCGAGGGGCCCGGGCGGGGCCGGGGACGCGGGCCCGGGGGCTCTGGGTGCCCTCCCCTGCCCCGGCCTGGCGCGGACGCCCGGGCGCTGCGGGCTGAGGTCTTGGGTGCGCCCGCGGGCCGCGCCCAGCGCCCCGGGGTCGACGCGCCCTGGAGGCCCCTGCGGCGGCGCCCGCTGGAGAGACACCCCCAGGGCCCATGGCCGGGCATTTAAATGCACCCCGGCTCTGCGATTTGCCTTTCTAATGGTGCTAGGCCCGAGGTGCGCTGGCTGCGCCCTGGGATCGGCGGCGGCCTGCGCAGCGCCCCGGGCCCGGGAGACGCCGGGGAGGGGGCGCCCCGCAGGGTGGCTGCTTTCCCTTCACGCCTGGACCCCTGGACCTTTCAACAAGTCCTCTGATTTGCAGAAGTCATTGCACACATTTTCACACTTCTATTCGGAACCCCTGCTAAGGGAGGTGGGCCGGGTGCATCTGGCTTAGGCGGTCCAACCACCTGCGGAAGGTGTGACCGACGCCAGCGAGTTGTCCTGCGTGGGCTAGAAGGTGAAGGGTCCGAGCGATGTCCCAATGGGGCTGTCTAATCCAGAGAACCTGTAAATTGCCCCCAGGAAGTCCAAATGAATGCCATGGATTCAGCCATGTGGATGCAGCTCACGTTTCTACAAAGTTGAGAGAATAAATCACGACTGCTGTGTATTTATGCAGGAATAAAATGAGGCAGAACCCTATGCTCCTTTGCTTAGTATAGTGCTGTCTCTGCACACAGTGGCTGCTTAATAAGTGTTGAATGCCTGTTTAGAATGTGATTTGATGGGCCATCCGGAATAGGAGATAATCATGGGAAACGTCTACAAAATGTCTTTCAGAGGAAAATGCTGTTGAGTAATTGTCCAGGTTTTGAAACTTTTCAAGTTTTCAGGCGTCCTTGTAATAGCTTCTTCCATTTCCTCTGCTAAAGGTATGACAGAAGAGCTGGGCAAGTTTTGGTAGTCTTAAAAGCAGTTTAATGGAGCAACCAATTTGCTGATTCATATCATGATTGAATAGTCATAACTGAAAGTGCTTGAAAGTATTAAATCAGATTTTTCATGATGGCTAGTTTAAAATAAAGCGAAAACACCGGTACTGTGAAGTTCTGGTAGAAATGTTACTAGTTCAAGTTCTTCCCCTTACTCCCAATAATAAGTAAAAAATAAATATAGATAATGCTATACATTAATATGTATGATATAAGTAATATAAATAAATAATTTCTCTTGACTTACAGAAGGCTGTCATTGCATATCCCATCCATTCTCGCTAACAGTTATTTCAGAATAAACTATAATTTATATAAGCTGAGTAATAATTTTACCCCATTGCCTACCTACTTAGACAAGCTGGTTAAAAGACAGTATAAATTATATTTATTAAAATGTGTTAAAGACAGTTATCCTTCTTGAGGATTTAGTTTGAGATGGTTTAAAACTTGGTGAATCATGAGGTTTTTTTTTTAAGTGTAGAAATTGTCTTAATATTTTGCACACATTTTTAAAGAAGGTTAAGAGTTTGATACGTTTTCTAAAACTCAGCTTTGAAGTAATGCTACCTCATTCCCAGAAGGCTAGTGTTGTCCTTTTAATAGTGAAAATGTGGAAAAATTAAGTTTACAGCAATAGCAGTGACCTAGGTGAACTGTGTTGCAGGGCTAACACAGTTGAAAACAGTTTGAACCAGCAAACTTTATGAAAAGCAAATGTTAAAATGAACAAACACTTGCAATTCCCAGGATGAAGAGGCTCAAACTATTATACACTTCTGCTGGGGAGAGGCCCTTTACTATCAAAGGCAGCCCTATATGCAGAAAGAAGAACTGATCTTAAGAAGAATAAAAATATCCCAATTAGTAGATAGTGTCATATAAATACACTTCTGATGAAAAGACATGGGTGAAAATATAAAGCATTTAGTCAAAGTTCTAGACAGGTATTGTTATGTGGTATTTATCGTTTTTGATTCAATCTATAAGTATTTGGAGACCGTTAATGATTGACTTACTGATTTCATGTCTGTTGGTGAGTGGTTACATTAAAAAGATTCATGAAAAGAATAAGAGGTGTGTTATTTTGCTTTTAATTTGTTCAACAGTCTTGTTATTTAGCAACCGTGAGTATTAGAGATATGCTTAGGTGAGCATTCCATTTTGGGGGCCTATCTGGGTTATTACCTTTAGCCACTAGTAAAAACCCTTAAACAGCGATAAAATGAATATTTATGGGAATATGGTGTGTTTCTTGCTTGGCAGATTTTTCAAGGCCTGTGTTTTTCATTATAAAAGTATTATGTTTAGTTTGGATTAATTAAGTGCATTAAGTTGAGAATAACTCTCTGTTATCTTATATGTGTATGCTTAACTTTTGTTTTTAACTGTTTTCCTCTCCCCATAATGAACAAGGATTTGGGGGCTTTAGAACCAAGGGAAGTGTGATTTTCACCACCCACTTTTTTAGCTCTTTTCTCTCCTGGAAGAGTGCTGTACCGGTGTTCCTGTTTTCTTTCTTGCATTTCACTGCTGGTTCAGTACTGGAGTACCTGTCTCAGTGTATACACTGAATATCCTAGCTAAAACTCTCCCCCATCCCCACTTAAATTTAAATTGCCGAGAAATCCCGTAGCCCTGCAACTGTGAAGTGCTTTTCCATCAATTTTGTTATCAATTCATTCATAGGTCTGAGTCTGTTACATGGAGATGGGAAAAGCAGGTCCAGGTTTGCTTGCTTCTTATTTTGAGTAGATAATTGAGTTTGTAGAAACATTCTTGGTATGAACATCCTAGATAGATGAAGTTAAACTGGTAACTGGGAATCTTAGAAACACCAGGAGCACTAAATTTAGCACTGAAGGTCATGTCCCAGGCTCATGAAATGCCGCTACAACCCTGCATCCCAGTGCTATGAAATCGTATGGCTTTTTGTCTGAGAAACACAACTGTTGAATCATTCTTATTTGATTATTTGGTGCATTTTTAAAAGTACCTCTGCATTTTGAATTTATTTATGTAATAATATATATTGAGTCCCTAGTTTATGCCAGGCAAAGTTATGAGCACTTGATATTTTTTGGTTAACAAAATGAAAATATCACTCTTTAGGAAGTTTATATTCTAGGATAGGGGGCCAGACAATAAACAATTGAGGTATGTGATACACAGTATGTTGGGAGGTGGTTAGTGATACAGAAAAGAGAAAAACTAGATCAGGGTCCGGAGGGTTGGGAGGAGAAAGTATGAGAATTTTAAATAGATTGGTCAGGGTGGGCCTTGCTGAGAGGCTGATATGGGAGACAAAACCTCGAAGGAGGTGTGAGAGTTAGTCATGAGGACATTCTGGGCGCAGGCAGTACACAGGCCCCAAGGCAGGCCTGCAGCACTTGAATAGAAACACAGGAATCTGACCCAATTCAGTTATTCATGTGATCGTACCAGACTAGCAGGTCATTTAGAACTTTCCTCAGATGTTAGGATCCTCAGCTTTGCTATTGAAACATTTCCCTGCAAGGGCCCAGTTAAGGGGCAGAGTCTCATTGACCAAGAATGGCTTGCATTAGCTATGACTTGGTTCCTGACCCCGAATATCAACAGGTTTCTTGTTG
Source organism: Homo sapiens (assembly GCF_000001405.40). Classification (NCBI taxonomy): domain Eukaryota; kingdom Metazoa; phylum Chordata; class Mammalia; order Primates; family Hominidae; genus Homo; species Homo sapiens. The sequence goes on along the minus strand of NC_000007.14, from coordinate 28,176,121 downwards.
TGAGTCTCTACTTGTTAGTTTCCTCATCTCCAAAACCCAGGTAATAAACCTACAGTGCTTCATTTCATAGTATAGATTTATAAACCGTCTAATTAATAAAGGTCAAAGTTTCTGTAAAAAAAAATCAGGGCACTTACTATCAAAACTGTAGAATTTAGCTCCTAAGATGATTTAGTAAATATTTGCATTATCTTCTCAAAGGAGCATCACAGTGTACTAAATAGATAAGCTGTGCAATATGTCATAGGTCCTTATTACTCCCACTTTTAGGTGAGCAAACTAAGGTACAGTTTATAATTGCCTGAGCTTTCGTGGCTGATGTGTATGATTTGAGATTTGAATTCCAGACAGGTATGCAAAGCTAAGCCTATGCCAGTTGCCAATTAGGTGAAGAACGTGACAGTCCCCTCCTCACCTCCCCTCACACGATTGACTCTGTTTCCTCCTTTAGAAAGTAACTGAACTCGAGATGAAGGTCATCTGAGCAGTGGCATAGCGAATCCAGCCTGCTTGGAGTTGAACACACATGTCTGCCACTTGTCCCCCTTATGACCAGGGGCAAATTAACCGTACTATGCCTCCTCTGTAAAATGAGGATAGTAGCAGCATCCATCTCACGGAGTGGTTAGTGAGGATTAAGTGAGATAATATATGTGAAGTGTTTATCTACAATAATAAGTTGTCTACATCATCTAGTTTCTTGCCATTTGTGTATCTGCTAAATAAATATGTAATCCTACTGTCAGAGTCTACCTTCGAGATTAACATGGGTTGTATCCACCTATTAGTGGTGCTGTTTTGGGCATTTTATAACTATGACATCATCAGGCTCTTCCTGGGAAGGACTGAGAATGGAAAATAGGAGACTCCTCAACAGTCTAGTGCTGGTGTTGCAGCCTCTGGCCACGTTCTCTTTTGTGTGGCCAGAGGCACTTTACACCCTGGCAGAGGCATTTGCCACAGTGGACTGGGAAAGTGGTGTCAAAGCCAGCGGCTTCCAACATGGCCTTTCCTTGTGGCCTGAATTTATTTGAAAAAATCCAGGACTAGAAAGAGGCACTGTGCCTTGGGCCTGTGGGTGCATTCCATTGAGGACACTTCCTGTGGGGAGAAGGAATGACTGAATTAATAAATGAATGAATGAAAGGCTTGTTGCTGCCTGCCCTGCTCTCTGCCTGTGCCCTGTGGCTTGGCGGCAAGATCTCCCTGTTACTCCCAGGGTTCCCGAGAAGCCCCCAGGTGTAATGCTAGGAGTTTTAAATACATGTGCATACACACACACACACACACACACACACACCCACACACCCCATAGGCAGGATCAGGGAACCCGAAATCTGAAACTTTACGGCAGTCTCCAAAACTCTGTTTTCACTGGTTTTTCCATTAGCCTCTTCTCACCTGTAAACAGTCAGATCATCCTTTATAAAACATCACTGTTGAACATCCTGTCTCATAAGTTTCACAAGCTTCTAATTGTTTTCATTTAGTATACACATTTTCTGACATGTGACCGAAATGTACAGACACCAGAACTCTGCCTGTAACTGACTGGGTTGACAAAAACCCACATATTCTTCAGAAAATGGTTTCCTTTAGAGTTCATATATTTCGGAGATATCTCCTACGTTGACAGTTCTAGAAATACAAACTGACAGCTGTTTTGAGAAAACCCAATTCTTCCCGTAGGTGACAGTGAGGATACCTTAAGGCTGGCACAGGCTGGTGACACTTGATGAGGGGCTTCCCTGGGACTGTTTGGAAGCCAGAGGCCTGGTGTTGTAGACTGAGTCTGAGAGACAGGAGACAATGTTTCTGAATTCCTTAAAAATCCTCCTTTTCTAGTTTTAGCTTCTAGGGCAACAATCATACATACCCCACATTCCCTTATATTTCTCTACCCCATTCTTACCCCCGCCTTCAGATCTTGACAGTACAGACGTGTCCTGTGTACAAAGAAATACTTGCTGGATTGTAGATACTCATTTTGTTTCATGGTGAGGTAATAGATTTATTCCATGTTGACCTGGCTAACGTATTAAGTTGAAAAATGTTATTTATTTAGAATCTGAAGATAGGAAACCATAGATGTCAGAAATTTATTATGTGTGTATTTTTTAAAAGTGCCTTCCATTTAATATATTTAATTGCTGTAAAGAAAATTGTATTTTCCCCTCGCTGTAAGCACTGGAATGTTGCAGTAGTTTTCACCTACTTTTTTTTTTTTTTTTTTTTTTTTTTAAAGCTAGCTGCAAGCAGGGACCAGATTAGTGGATATCCTCTTTAAGGGTGAAGTCTTTCCAATTGCTGTCAACTTTGGCAGGAGTCAGAGGGACTCTTCTTGGGTCACTAACAATAGACTGTCTGCCCAGCACCAGAGAGCACTGATAGTCCCCTGACGGCCATTGTCCCTTGCCCAGCTCACCCACTGGCCTCCCAAGGAAGCACTGTTCATTGTCTGCCAGACTACAATGGTGACTTTCTCCTGAGATAGACCTCCTTGAAGGGACATGATCTGGATGCCAGGTTAATAACACTGAAAAATTCACCATTTCTTTGGTATTATAGATATAATTGATATATAGAAATAAATATATATTTTAGGCACAAAGGCATGTAGGATATCTAACACATATATAAATAATACATGTATATGTCTAATACACATACCACATATATGTGTGTACGTATATCCATATGTGTGTATATATTTATGTGTGTATATGTATACATTTGTATTATACATTTTTTCCCTCTCTTTCAAGATCACCATGGATAGTGAGGACAGCCACACATTTTTGAGTATTTCCTATGTTAGTGCTTAAGACAGTACTTCCTATCTCTAAGGATTTGAAATTTATTTGGAGAGACCAGACATGTACAGACTGAGATAAATAATGAATAATAATAGGGACCACAGAGGCAGATTTATTGTGAAGCTAATGAAGCTCCAGCCCCAGGGCCCCTGACTTGTACAACGCATTCCTTGCCGTTTTTGAATATATTGCCAGGGCCCACCCAGCACTTTCCAGGGCCCTGGAGGAGCCCTAGCAGTATACGTAGCTGGGCCTTCATGGGATCATAACTGGTAAAATTGGAAGAAGATTTTAAGCAATCCTTTAATGTTTTTCTTTCTCATTCTGACTTCCCTGCTGTCACATTTCTGTTTGGGTTTGATGACATTGGACTTGAAAGTGCTTTTGAGATATAGCTAGGGGGAAGTCGAATTGGGTCCACATTTTGTTTGGGTTTAGTGGGATGTATTTATGCAGTTCACAGTCATCTCTGTGTCAAGTTATCCCTAGCCATCCTAGTGTAGAAGTTGCTTCATAGGATCGCCACCCACCGTGCCAGCTTACCTGGGGTCCTTACACAAAGGGGAGGGTCAGAGAGAGAATTGCAGTGTTAACGGGTACCATGACATCTGCTGTGGGATGGTTTATGGTGCGTGGAGCCAGGTCTGTGGAGAATTCTTTCACTTGTTAGATGTGTAAAATTCTACGTGGAGGATTCAGTTCTTATCTAAGTGTAGTCAGTATGAAAATTCTCTTCTTTTAGGAATATACTCAATAATACAAATATACTATTAGAAATGCACCATTTTTAATGGGAATTCTGTGTTTAAGATTCTTGTTCATTTGACATGAATATGCCTGATACCAAAAATACTGACAACAAACTGGTTAATGAGTATCATTGATAAAAAGAATATTTAAAGTTAGTCATTGCACGAGAAAACTTGAAATGTCCTGGATTTTTATGGCTCATATGTGAAAGAAAATTAAGAGATGTGATTACAGGTTTGACAACAATCCTAAAAATGTATATGTCATTGCCAATAAAGAACTATAAGGCTAAAAGTAACTTTTCTGAATTGTCAATAATTAGGAATAAATTTTGATCACCCATGCTTGAGGGGAGATTGATTCATCTTTCTGCCCTGTGGAAAATGATATGAATATAAGTCATTGTGATATGAGGATTCATCAGAGTATACAGCCCAAAAGAAGTATTTATAGCAGTGTGTCAGGAAGTTAATTAATACACATACTGGGTTCTTTTCCTGGATTCTGATTTTAGGATGTTTTGGTATTGCGGCTTGTAAAATTTTGTGATTTGTTGTGATTTCTTAATCTCAATAGATAATCACTTTTGTAAACATTTTATAACATTCAATTTTTTTTCATAAGAAAAGTCTGAATCTGCAGGCCCACAAAACTTGGGTCTATTCCTTGAGCTCCCAATTCGGGAATCATTACTATATGTGCCACAGACAGTGCTAAATAATTTTTGTATAGTATTTCATTGGCCCTCACAGCAAGCCTGTGAAGTAGACATTACCCCCATCCTGTAAGTACTGCCTTCCGCTTTGGAGTTAAATATGCTACCATATTAGTTAAATAACACACTTAGTGAAATATGAACTAGAGTGTTTGTTTATATTGGTATAAAACAGAAATATTTTTCTTCAGGACAGAAAGCCTCTTTTACCTCAATAAATATCATTATTTTAATGGGTCTTCCCCTCTCTGTCCTGTAGCCCCTGCCCACAGCTGCACCAGCGGGGGTGTGCTCTGAACTGTGTGGTCACCTCCTGTGCACTGTTTCCTCCCCCAGAAACTCAGGGTCTTGTCATCATCCTATCCTCGTCCCCAAGACGTGTTTTCAGAAATGGTATGAAAATAAAAATTGAGAAGTACTTTGGGCTGTGAAAAAAATAAATTACAAAGGTAACTTTGGACAGTGAAAAACATCTTTGAAATTAATTTCTGTAGGTTTGCATCAATGAGGGCTGTATATTTATATGTTTATGTGTTTATGGCATTCACACAAATATCCATTATGCAATTAGTCCAGTATGGTTTATATTAAGGGAATCTGAAAGAGACTCTTTTTAAAGCTGATTTAAAAAGGAAATTGATTTTCCTTGTTAAATTGCCAGGGGTATTTGGTACACAGGAGGCAGAGGCCTGGGTGGTGAGAAGCATGGACTGTGAAGCTATACAGAATTGGATTTTGAATCCTCCTGATCTCACTAACTTGAGCTTTTCAAACTTGGGCAGCTCTTACAGTCTTATTTATATGAGATAGTAATACTATTATTTATTATTTGGGGGGATCCCGAGATTGATTTTCCTTTCACAGTACCTACTGGCTAGTTGCTTTAATATGCATTATGCAGTGTTAGTCCCATGCGACGCAGGAGGAAGCCAGGACACAGAGCAAAGAACAGCCAGGAAAATGCCCGGGGTAGCCAGGGCCGGCTTTGCTGCCAGGTGTGCCCATATACTCAGTGCTTGCTCTTTACAGCCTAAGTTGTGATCTTTTACAAGATGTTTGCATTTTCATTGAAGGCTCTTCCGCACCTGAAAGTCTTGGAGAAATAAATACAGAAAGGCTGGATTTCCACCAAGAGCAGTGTCGATGGGAGCAGTATGGATGGTTGATGACATATTTTGATGCCGGTTGTCTGGTTGAGGTAGAAATGTTTCTGAATGTGTCAAGGCTTCTGAAGAAAACACTTAGGTAGGACAGGAGGGTGCATGAGCATCCCATCACAGTAACAACAATGAAAACAATAATTTGGCAGTTCTAAAATGGTTGTAATTACTGAATTGTCCAAAGACGCTAACTGGTTTTCTCTCTCTCGCTGATGATCATTTAGGGATAGGTTCTCCTGACAAACACAATACCTAACCCTCTACACATACACACACATACACACATACACACACACACACACACACACACACACACACACACACACACACACACACACACACATATCAACTTCTCTTTTACTTCAGATTTCCAAAATTAAAATCATGTAATTATGTTCAGGTACTTTATTTTATTATTATTTTTCAGACAGGGTCTTGGTATGTTGCCCAGGCTGATCTTGAACTTTTGGGCTCCAGCGATCCTCCTGCCTCAGCCTTCTGGTAGCTGGGATTGCATGCACACGGCCCAGTACTCAGCTCATGTACTTTATTTTAAAGATTTTTTTTTTGACTAGTGGTACATATGGGGCCCAACTGTAAACACTGTGAGTTAAGCACTGAAAACCCTCAGTGCTTGTGGCCTATGTGTAGAGCCCTCACTGCTGGATGCTTCCCTGGTGCCATCCACAGAGAAGGCACACATCAAGTCCTGTCACTCCAGCACCAGACCTTAAATCGCTTCTGCAGGAGCACATCTGGGCTTAAAATTGAAGCACTCGTTTTCTTACCTAATTCATTTAGCGAGAGCCTCTCGAATGCTAATTTAGCTGCCTGATTTTCCATATATGGCATAATTATGAAAGTAATGGCAAAAGCAGGGGAATCTGTAGAGGCATACTTGTACAGTTTTCTGTTAAGTAAATTGAACACCATGGTAATAGGCATAAATAAGCAGAAATTATGCCCAGGCTTCCTCAGGTATCAAACATCACATGAAGGAAATGGGGTTTTTGAAGTTTCTTTGTAAACCCAAGCTAAGTACTTCTTATGGAAAGCTTGGCCTCAACAGTTTGCAGTTAACTTTTTCTAGGCCTCTCTTGTCCTCATTGAGCTCATCTCAGTTTACTTGGGAATCTCACCGGCTGGTAGACTGTGGAGTATGACTCATCTTCAGGACTGATAGCAAGTGTCACACAGGTGTTTTGCAGCCCTCCTGTAACTTAGAGATAGTTTAGATTTTAGAGAGATGCCAAGTACATCTTTTAATAAGATCTTTCTGACACTAGACATCTGGAGTTTGGCATCAACTCAAAGTGGTTGATGATGTGTGATTTAAACTAATGTGTCTCAATATTCTGCCCAGATTGGAAACTCCCTTTTATATATTGGCTCCACTTCAGCACTTTCAGGGGCCCACACCAAAATATTTGCTGTTAAAATATGCAAACATCACACAGAAAAATAAAGAGATTAACGTATAACGTTAAGTTATACATGCACTTCACTTCAGATGTTAGAATAAAGGAATCGTCTTTTGTCAATCCCTGGAACTATCATGGCACCTTCAGTGTAGTATATCTGACATAACTTGTAATGAGAATGATTCTCATCTGTGGCTTGTGGAAAATCAGCCTTATTGATTTATAAGTCACACTGTGTATGTCAGTGTTTACACCAGTACTTTAACACATGGGTTGCCATTCACAATCACTTGGGTGAAGCTGGGGGAGAAAAGGTTTCCCGGGTTCTGAGTCAGAGCCTATGTGTTCTTAGCCCTTCAGAGTTTATTCTAATGTGTTGCCAAGGTTGGGAACTCATTGGGTTACACTAATGAAATATCGAGCATTGGGAGGATTGTGTTGTTTCAAAAAGGAATCAAACTTTTAAAGGTGTGTGTCCATTTTGGGTTTCAGTTCTGTGGGTGTAGTTTTTAGTTTTACTGGAGGCAGGCCTTTAATATACAGCAAGTTTGATGCTGTGTTACTGTCTCAGCTATGTAGTTAGAGTACAAATGCTCAAACCAGGGCACCTGTGGTGGTGAAAGAGTCTCAAACTCACATGCCTCAGGACACAGCATATGAGGGAAGTAACCAAGTTCAATGCAGTGGGGCGTGGCAGAGACTGGCAAACTGAAGAGTCTTTGCTTTGCTTAAAAAGGCAGCCGATACCCAGTGTTGCCATGTTGGAGTACAGGCCCTTTGTTGGCAGATGCTTTTATTTATTATTATTATTTGAGAGAGAGAAGCTAGGAATTAAGATTTTTACTTGAAACTCATCTTTTTTTTTTTTTTTTTTTTTTTGAGACGGAGTCTCGCTCTGTCACCCAGGCTGGGGTGCAATGGCGCGTCGCAGCTCACTGCAAACTCCACCTCCTGGGTTCACACCATTCTCCTGTCTCAGCCTCCCGAGTAGCTGGGACTACAGGCGCCTGCTGCCACGCCCGGCTAATTTTTTGTATTTTTAGTGGAGACGGAGTTTCACCATGTTAGCCAGGATGGTCTCGATCTCCTGACCTCATGATCCACCCGCCTCGGCCTCCCAAAGTGCTGGGATTACAGGCATGAGCCACTGCGCCCGGCCGAAACTCATCTTTAAATGCTGGTAACTAATACAGATGGGTTTAAAAACATTGTGCAAGACAACTGCTCCACTCCACCCAATCACTGTGTTTAATAAGAGCCATTGATGACAGGCCATGTGCTTTAATGAAGCACGTATGAATGGCGGGGTGCAAAGTAAACCTTGTATACCATTGCTTCCTGCAAAGAAGCTATCTGAACTACAGAAAATGAAAAGAATAGTAGCTTATAGTGGTTTTTATTCAAAATTTCCATTGTTCTTTATGAAGCAGTTAACTATTTTTTAACATGAAAACATTGTAATTAAAACTTTTTCTTTTATACCAAATTCTAAAATGATAAGCCTTAATCCTAAAAGTGTATTAAGATTATTATCAGTACCATTTCCTTCCCCTGGGAAAAAAAGCAGGACCACTGAAACACTCTCTCCAGAGTGTTTTTATTGTGGCAAAAACCCTTTTGCAGGTGAATTGAGCATCTTATCATTTAAAAATGGAAAGGAAACTTACAGATGATCTAGGCCAACTAGCTAATTCTGTCGATGAAAATTTTAAGTCTTGAGTGAGTGCAGGTGCTTGGACGAGAAAAGTTGAGAGAATAGCAGTAAGCTGTGGTTCAGTGTGAGGTTCCTGGAGCTCGCTTGCCTCACTTGTGATCCTGGCTTTGCTCCTGTCAAGTTATAGAACCTCCCTGTGCCTCATTTTCTTCCTCTCTAAGATGGGGTGATAGTATGCACATATCACAGTGTTTTGTGAGACACCACCTATATTCAGTGTGCTAGCTGGTGAATTCTGAAGAAAAGAAAGCTGTCTGGTCATTTCCCTTCCTTGTCTTTTGCAGGAGGCTGGGGTGGAGGTTTTACTGTGAAGCGGTTATGCATGACCCTGGAATCCCACAGGCTACGTGACCTTGGCCAACTTATTTAATTCCTGTAGCCCTCAGCTTCTGTGCAATGAGCATGGGAATAGTATTTATCTCCCAGTGTTGTTATGAGGATTAAGTAGAAACATGACTATGAAGGGCCTGGAGATCAGGAAGCCCCCACACATGTTATAACACTGATAGGATTTACCTTTTTTTTGCATCCATGGTGATGCTCCCTATGCCACATACTCCTCAAAGTCTCCTGTCCTCTTCATATTTCCATAATATGATGGGAGAAAAACAATCAAAATAACCATATACATTTCTGCTTTTTGTTAAATATTTTACCTTGGAGATATTAGGTGAAATTTGATTTCCCTGGTAGAGTTTTGGTTTGTGTTTGTGTAAGTCATACTGAGTGGTCGTAGGAATTCATGAGCTGTTAAAACATTCCACACACAAATTCTTGCTGTTTGAAAATATAGCAGCCTTAATTTAGTATTGTTTATCCAGATTTAAGTTTTTGAGACATTAGATCATGTGATTAGAAAAATACTTCCATGTTTGATAAATATAGTTTTCTCTTTCGGAAAGAAGGCATTTCAAGAGTCTAGAGAGGTTTGTTAATCTATATAAGCAGAAAACATAATTATTACATGTTGCAACAACCAAGCAATGGAAAAAACAAGAGATGATTTTATATGTGTGGTTTGTAAAGGTTTGTGGTGAATCATTCGAAAGATTTGTAGGGCTTTTATGAAGAAATCCGAGAACATGACTCTAGGACTCACAAAATGCCATGCCTTCCTCTTTAAGGGGCTGTGCATCTCTTTAATAATAGTCCTTGAAATGTTACAGACTTAAACACTGGAAGCTTCTCAGGAAAACCCCAGGCTGGGCCTTGTTTTAGAAGCTTGCACAGCAATATATGAGTTGTTTACTTATTGCAGAGAATATTTAAAATACTTTATTCCTAAACAATCTTTGTCAACATCACTTGAAATCATTTTTAGTCTTATAGAATATATTGCCCTGATACAGTTAAGCAGCTGGTCCAGGCTTATTTGACTCAGCAGTAGTTGAGTAAGAAAGTGGTTTCCAACTTTTTTTATATATATATATATGTAACCAAGGGCCTCTTTTGTTAATTTTCCTTCTCCCTTCTCATGGGTTCTATTTCTTGAAAGATTTTGTCTAACAAAACAGGCTGATTTAATAAGTAATTAAATGCTTTTTTTTTATTTTTCATGCAGCAACATCTCAAACACCCAATTTATGCGTTTAGTAACTATTTATTGAGTGCCAACTATGCAGGCACTGTCTAGGAGCTGGGGTTATAGTAGTGAACTACACAGTTAAAGCCTCATGCTCATGGAAGAAGCAGACAAAACACAATACATGAGCTAATTTCAAACAGTCATAACCTTGTGAAGAAAAATACAGCGAGTCAGGAGAGAGAGGTTGAAAGGCCTGTTTGAGATAAAGTGGTCTGGGACGGCCTCTTTGAGAGGGAAACATTTCAGAAGGGGTCTGAATGAAGTTCAGTGAAGCTCAATGAAGGGGAGTGAATGAGCCATTGGGGCATCTAGGGGAAGAATGTTCCAGGCAGAGGCTGCAAGGGCCTGAGACTGGAGTATCTGGTGTGTTTGAGGGGGTGGGATAGGAGAGGGAGCTGGGACCTGCATGTGTAGCCTTGTGTCAGACAATGTTACCACACGGAGGGAACCTAATTCCAGCCCCAAAGGATGATGTGGAATGTTGTGTGACTTCGTTATGGTTAGTTTCCATTCTGCTTTTTTATAACATTCAAATAGCTCAAAGCCCCATTACCACCTTCAAAGCCCCTAGGGACCTGAGAAGCCCTAACTGGCACTCTAGTTCTCTTTAAATCTAGTTTGCTTGTTTTTTAATTCTAAAAGCTCTATTTACTTTTTGTGTTCTGTATTGAAATAAAAATTTTTGGCTAATGTAACTCACTTGACTAATGTAATTTATTTAGTGTTTGCTATTTGGAAGTGGGAATGAAAAATAAGGTTGTTGTTTTTGTTTTGTTTTTGTTTTTTTCTTTTGATACAGAGTGTCACTCTGTCACCCAGGCTGGAGTGCAGTGGCACCATCTTGGCTCACTGCAGCCTCCGCCTCTCCGGCTCAAGCAATCCTCCCACCTCAGCCTCCTGAGTATCTGGGACTACAGGTGCGCACCACCACACCTGACTGATTTTTATATTTTTTGTAGAGATGGGGTCTCCCTGTGTTGCCCAGGCTGGTCTCAAACTCCTGGGCTAAAGTGATCCTTCCGCCTAGGCCTCCCAAAGTGCTGGGATTACAGATGTGAGCCACATGCCGAGCCAAGTGTGTTGTATTAAAAATAATGTTTGGTACATTTTTCAAACTGAGAGCCCATAGATTTCTTTTAAAAAATTTCTTCAGTAGCTTTGTGAAATCTGCATAGATTTTAGTGGTTATGAGACTGCCAGAAATGGGGGCAGGGGAGGAGAATGGTCTTGAAAGCAGTAACGTAACATGTATTTTATTTGAGAAGAAGTACTGAGGGAGATTGTATAGATTCCACCTCTGAAGATACTATTTCACCATCACAGTGCCATTTCTTTAATTCTGAAAGGTAGTATTTTATGAATTCCATGAACAGTTTTTTTCTTTCACATCTGCATGTTATGGAGAGATGTTAGTGGAAACACTTTACTGTCAGAATAAGCCATTTGTTTTACCGAGGACATCTGGACCTGTTATCTGTATTTTAACCTGTCAGCATCTTTGTTCAAGTAATTGAAAGTAGTGTGCTTTGAGTGACAGGATGCCCATGCAGTCAATGAAGTTCAAGAGAAAAATCAGAGTGTGAGATATGCCAAGATACATATATTCGTACCTGTAATTTAGCCTTTCCTAAATTAAAATGATGATCAGCTGCTGCTACAATAATGAAGCATCACAAACTATCCCAAAACTCAGTAGCTTTAGACAATAAGCATTAATGCTATCTGGTCTGCAGGGGCACTGTGGTTTGGCTGATTGAGGCTGGGTTCAGCTGGGTGGCTCTGTGTTAGGCTGCTGGTCAGCTAATCTGCTGTGGGTTGGGCTCACATCTGGTCACAGATGTTCCTTCTGGGAACCAGGCTGAAGGGGCAGCAGCTAGTAGGGACATGGTTTTCTCATGGTGGACTACTAGAGCTCAAGTGTCAAGCCAAACCACAGAAGCTTATTTAAGGCCTCTATTCACATCATGCACATAACATTCTTTTTGCCAAATTAAGTAATATGGCCAAGGCCAGAATTATTAGGTCAAGGAAGTATGTTTCTTTTGAGGAGGGAGAGCTGTGAGTGAACAGTAATCCAATCTATTATGGATGCATTTTATCAGAAATAGGAAGAGTCCAAAAGGATTTTGATGTTTAGTACAGAGATAAAAATTTTCTCCTAAAGTGACCACGGTACTCTTTAAACAGGAGGTTGCTGTCCCTACGACATCCCAGAGGGCTTGGGACGCATATGTTGTAACTCCCCATGGAGGAGTTAATAAGCATTTCAGGCAGGGAAATTGGGACTTGAAGGGGAGAAAAAGCAATTAAATGATTTCTCCTTGGCCACAAAGAATAGGGGAACCTGCTTGTTTGGTTAGGGATGACCCCTTTTTATTACAAGGTTCCTTAAGAACCTAAAGGCTTTAATTTGGGTTGCCCAGTCTTCTGTACTTGTGTTCTCAATTCCTGAGCTGCTTGGCCAGGCTGAGAAGGTTAAGGGATGCTTCCTGTGATGCCCTCCCCTAGCATAGAGAGCTTTAAGAATTTTGGGGTGCTTTGCCACTTGTTCCTGTGCCCCTTCTCTTCCCCAGTTCCAAGTCGATGTCATGGAGGATGGAAAAGGACAGCCCAGCCAGTTGGGAACCTCTTTTTCCCTTTCTCCCACTGTATATCACACCTTCTTGTGGCTGAGAGAGCTGTCTCTGATGTCAGTTGTCCCAGGTTCTGGTTGGACTGCTGTGTGACCTTGGGCAACTTACTAAGGTATGATTTTTCCATGTGCAAACTGAGGAATAGGATATTTGCCATATAAGGCTGATGTGTGAGGGGCACATGTTAAACATTTAATGACCATGAGCTGATAATGCTTTTGTTATTATCTGGTATAACAAGCACAACAGGCAGCATTCTATTATTGTTATTCCAGTATCTTCCTGTTTCTCCTCACTAAATTGTGGGCCTCCAGAAGACATGATCCATGGCTCTGCATCTCATCTGCAATGGCACTAAGTTTATGACGCAGGAACTTAAACTGATAGCCACTGAATCGTATTCAGATGTTTCCTCTACCATGAAGTCTTAAGCTCCAAGGACCAGATTAGATTATTCCTAAAAACAGATTTAGTCCTCCTTTTTTCACTTGCATATTTTGCCTGAAATAAAGACTCCTGAAGCCATAGGAATGTAAAGGCTTTGAGTTAGTTTCATGCTTTACCTTTCATCAGACGTTTTATACACCCAAGGAAGCCCCTGGTGTCTTTATATCAGAAGAGTTGCAAAAAGCATGGAGACTAATTTTCATGGTGTGTCTGCAAGACTTAAAGGGTATTTAAAGAATATATCCTTCTAATATTCTTCTAACACCTGTCCTTTTACTTGTCTGTCAGGTTGTGACCATGATCTTACCATTTAGCTTGTTGACAGGTATTGTAAATGTTTCAGCTTAAGTCACTGATCCCAAGGAGCGGTCACTCTAGGACAAAAAGTTCAGCTGTTGTAACAAATAGGCCCAACCTTACATGAACTAAAGGCTCAAGAAGTTTGTCTCTCTTTCACATAAGGTAGAAGCTGGATTCTCTGGGGCCTGAGGATGAAACTTTGTGTTCCTGTAGAGGGAAAGGAAAAGAGTATGGAGGAGTACACATACAATATGTATGGCCTAGGCTATTAGTGATAACTTCTTATTTCCACTTTTATTGCATTAGTGAGAACTTAATTGCATGGCTACATGGAACTGCAAAGGCACTGGGGCATGTATCCTCAGCATGGCCTAGCTATAATTCTATTACTGTAGAGGAAAGGAAGGCCTGATTTGGGTAGACAGTTAGCAAGTTCCTGCCTTGGACCAAATAAGTGAGCCTGCTGTTAAGAACTTTGCCTTTCCTTTGAATAGGTAACATATAGCCTAATGGTTTAATGGAGAGAGTAGATGGTTATAATGACAATTAATAGCAATTACAATTTATTGTGCTGCAACTAAGTACTAGGGACTACAAAACACAATTGAATGCATTTTCTCATTTGACCCTCTCGGAAAGGCTGCAAAGGAGGTACTATATATTATTTGGATTTTGTAGGCGAAGACACTGAGCCTTAAGGAGAGTAAGTAATCCCCTCAAGATCACACAGTCAGGCCTGCTTGACTCCAAAGCCTTCACCATACTGCCATGCGAATGGTGAGATTCTTGGGGAATAAAGGATAATCATATACTGCTTCTAAGTCTGGTTTTTATAGCTAGTTAGCAGCAAAGGCTGTCAGGGAAAGCAGTGGGTTCATTGGAAATATTCAAGCAGAGGCTGTATAACCATCTGGCAGGGAAGCCCCAGAGGGACTTATTGCTTTTCACTTTGCCATGGGGACCTCCATGATTCTCTGTGAAGATCACATGCAGTTTCTGAAAGTCACTCCTGACACTCATTCCTGTGACAGCAGCAAAGCCCCCATTAGCACATGTTCTGTACTTCCTTAATAACAAGGAGGCACCTGGTAACGTAGAGTGCAAGAGGGCCAGTAGTTGAAACTGGAGTTCTCTGTGACCTTGACTAGTCACTTCAACCTGTAGCCTCCATTTCTTGGGGAATAAAATGTGTGCTTTGGGCTTAATCACTGGTTTTCTAGGAGTGTTCTTGGGGCTCTAGGGTTTCTGTAGGACTTCCTAGTAGTTTTCATCCTCTACCTACAGGGCTTTTGAGTAGACTTTTTTTTTTTTTTTTTTTTTTTTAGATTAAAGGATTTTTCAAGTTAAAAAAAGTAAAAACCAAAAGGCTGGTTATAATGATAATGGCTAATATTTGTTGAATGCCTGAATTGTGCTACATATTATTATTGTTTCGACAGCCTTACATGAATTAATTCATCTATGGGGTGCATCTATTATTATTCCCAATTTACAAACGAGGAAGCTGAGCTACAGAGTGCTTAAATAATCTGTTCATTGTCACTTACTAGAACATAACCAGAGTTCAGACTTAGACGTTGAGATCCACAGCTACATTCTAATGCAGGAATGGATGATTTCTGAGGTTTCTTTCAGGTCAAAAAATGCTGTGGTTCTATACCTAATAGCTCAAGAACTTTTCTCTCCAACCAAACCAAAAACAAACTTCCAAATGATTTACTACCTCCTTCTTGACAATTAGAAGCTGAATGCAAGCCATAAAGGTCCATATCTTGCTGATAATTTTAGAAAGCCTGTAATCTTTTCATGATCACCTGATGCAGCATGAGGTACTGTCATGCTGAAGTTTCTGACTATGGAGCTGTTTCGATAAATATATCGTGACCTTCCTAAAACACAGCTGGTGGAGATCATAAGTGGGGCCACCTTCTGATGAGATGGTTTTGGTATGCAAGGAATGGCCTCCTGGGATGGAACTAAAACGATGTTTTGTGGCTGACAATGCTGCGAGGGCATCTGAGAATCTTAGAGTTTGCAGCAGAAGGAACCTTTGAGGACATCTCACCCAACAGCCTCCCTTCACAAAACAAGCCTCGCCTACCGTGTGCCAGGCCCTTCTGTAAGTGCTGGGGGTGCAGCCACAAGCAAAGCCCTTGCCCTCATGGAGCCTACATTCTAGATGGGGGACACAGGTAGACAACAAAGAAACAAAAGTATGTCATATTAGGTAGTGGTAAGGGCTGGAAAGAAAGGTAGAACAGGGTGAGGGGAGAGAGTGACAGCGGAGTTCTGCCTGGGTTATGCTATATTTGGGGTGTTTATGCAAATTCACGTTTCTCAACTCTTTTTTCACTATGTACCCCCATATCCTGGAGCCTTTTTTGACATTTTTTTCCTATTCCCATCCCTCCTCATGAGATTTTAATACCACAGATAAACTGTGCATCTGTTGATGTCCTATATGTAATCTGTGCTTTACACTTAGAGTGAGATTCCGTACCCCACCCAGAACCGATTTTCACCACCTGGAGGGCAGTATCACCCCATCATTCTGTTAAGTTCTGCTTTTTTGCTATTATAAGCAAATCAAACTCATGAAGTAGCCATTTTTAAACTATCACAATCTAACCTAAAACAACTTTTTAATTCAAAGCACTTTATTTCGTAATTATGGTTTCGCTTATAAGGGGTATCAGGGCTTGGGTGAATATTTTAAAAAATTGTTCAGGCACCAGGAGTGAAGTATGAGAATCTAGACTCCCCGTTTTTATGCAGTCTACAGTATAATAGGCTATGTGTACACCAGGAAGAATGAACTTTACTAGGTAAAACTGATTCTTCCTGCAGTTGGTAAGGAGGCTGAAGACTGCGACTGAAGCCCCATCTCCCAGTGCTGCAGCCTCCTCCTGGGCCTCCCTGCCTCTACTTTCTCCACCACCCTAGAGCTCGTCCTCCACAGCGGCAAGAGTGATCCTTCAAAATGTCAATCATGTCAAGCCACTGTGCTGACAAGGCTCTCCATTCCAACAAAAGAAAACCCAGACACCTTCCCAGGGCTTACGGTCTCAACACCTCCTGCCCACGCCCCCTCGAAGGTCCCACCTCCCGCCTTCCTCTCTGCTCCTGTGCTGCACCCACTCACGGTCCTCCTCTCCTGAGTTGGCCAGTGTTGTTCATGTCTCAAGATCTTTGCTCTTGTTTCTTCTGCTTGGGTTTCTCTTTAGATTTTAAAAAATTTGTTATATTAAAAATGAATTTAATTTTTAGAATAATTTTAGACTTACTGAAAAGTTGCAAAAGTAGTACAGGGAGTTCCCATCAACCCCACTCCCAGTTACTTCCCTGGGTTTTCCTATGAATATCCCCTCAGCATCTAAGTCTCATCTATTCGGAGGCTTTCTCTCTCCATGTCAGCTGAGTTAGGAGCCCACCTTCCTGCCTATTTTGCTATTGCATTACCCCGTTATGTCTTTTCATAAAACTTTCCTCTATCGAAATTGTCTTTATGTATTTGTTTGTTCAGCGTCTCTCTCCCCTCATCAGCTTGTGAGCTCCTTAAGGGCAGGGACTCAAAGCCAAGTGCACTGCAGTTCCCAGGGCCCAGGACAGTGGCTGGCACATAGGATGTTCTGACCTACTGACTGGCTTTCAGTCAGGGAAGGCTGGTCCAAGGCCTAAAGCCATGAGTGGAGAGCCAAAATGAGCAGCTCATTTTCTTGACATTCATTCAAATGCTCGACATCATTAAGCCCAGTCTATGTCCATATCAGATTGAATTCTCAATGGCAATCAAAGATAGGACTGCTTCTACAGAGGACCAGTCAGAAGTTATTTGGGTAAACTGATGGTGAGAGGACTTAGGCAAAAAAACTGGCTTTCCCAGAGTCACCCTATGAGACCCGCATCTTAGCCCCATGTATTGTTGCTCCTTTATATCTGAGAATTCTCTCCATCTCAGAGCTGTGCATTGCGTTGATGTGGGTGCTACCTTTATTCGGTTGTGGAAATAGGATCTAATTTGGGGCTTATGGGAATTGGAATTGCATTGGCTACTAGTAACAGACACCTGACACAGCAGCTTAAGTCAAGAATTCTGGAATTCACCTGTTGCTGTCTTCAGTGGTCCAGGATGTTTGTGCCAGCTGGAGTCTCTGCCGTTCTCTTCCCCTTTCGTTAGCACTCCTGATTTCTAGGCTTCCAGAAGGAAGGGCAGGAAGGCCAAAAGGGCTTACTGGAAAGCCCCACCAATAACTACTGCCTCCATTACGTTGGCTACCCCTCCTTGCCTTTTTATCTCCTGTCAGTCCCCTATGGACCATGGGTTTTGGGTGAGGCCCAGGCAGCATTAGGAAGTATCTCTCTCTCTCTCTCTCTCCCTCTCTCTCTCTCTCTCTGTGTGTGTGTGTGTGTGTTTGTGTGTGTGTGTGTGTGCGCGCGTGTTTTCAATGTGGTCTCCTTTCTCCCTAGGCCCAGAGTGCCTGCCCTCAACCAAGTTTTGAGAGGTCGAGAAGTATAATTCCCCCTGCAGGGCACATTGTGCAGGGTTCTGTTATGCAGAGATAAAGAGAGAATAGACATTGGGCAATCCCTGCTGCAGGAACCAACATGAGTGTTTATTCCTATCAGTTCTGCTACTTGAGAAACTTAGGAGGAGACCATGGGGAATTTAAGCTTACATCGGGGATTAAAAAAAAATAAAGGGGACTCTTCCATTCCTTAATTTTTTGTTCATTTTGAACAGTACTAAACTCAAACCGTGTCACACCAAAATGTGATTTTGTGTATGTAGGTGCATGAGTTAGCATTACATGCTAAGCTTCATTAACAGGGACCCTGAAATCAATTGTTTAAAAGAAGATAAAAGCTGTCTCTGTCACGAATGGAAGTAGACTGTGGTTCAGGGTGGATAGTATGTCTCCTCCACGAAGCTGTCTAAGGATGGGTTCCTTCTGTCTTGTGTCATCTTCCCATCGGGCAGGGGTTGGCAAATTGCTGCCCTTGGGACAGATTTGGCCTGTCTCCTGTTTTTGTACAGCCCGCATACTAAGAATAGCTTTTACATTTTTAAATGGTTGGAAAAAATGTGAAAATTATTTGCAACTCAGATTTCACGTCCATAAATAAAGTTTTATTGGAACACAGTCATACTCCTTATTTTTATACCGTCTGTGACTGCTTTTGTGCTGCAATGGCAGAGTTGAATAATTGTGATAGAGCTGATAGGGCCCACAAAGCCAAAAATATTCACTGTCTGGCTCTTTACAAAGGAACTTTGCCACCTTCTACTCTAGGCTGTGGTCCTGACTCAGTGCTTGAGGCCAGCCTCCTCTCACTTTGTCTGCTTATCAGCCTGTGGGAAGAGGGACTTAGTGGGCACACCTAGCTGTGGGGGTGCTGAGGAGATCAGTCTGCAGCTGGGCAGCCATTTGCCCAGCAGACACTCTGGAGGTTCTGCTATTAAAAGGAAGGAGAGAGGAGATTGAGTTACATTGAGCAGACCACCACAGGGGCTGTGTGCATGCACATGTATGTATGCTTTCAGAATCCACTGTGGTTGGTTGAAGGATATCGAAGGTCATCTTAATGGATATTGAAGACTGTCTTTATTTATACGTAGTATGGAGTCCGGTATAAACAAATATGGGAAATGTAGCATATGATGGAAGAGAAGGTATTTATCTGCCCTTTGATTCATGCATTCATTCAATGACTGTCTCATAAGAATGATTTCCCCCCTTGCTTGGTAGTGTTCTAGTTCTAGGATCTGAATTTAAATTTCTTGGTGACGTACTCTTGCTTATAGAGCAGTGGTCTCCAAGAGTGGTCTCTGGACAAGCAGCAGCAGTATTTTCTGGATTATTGTATTAGATGTGCAGATTCTCAACACTGTGTCCTCTTGCCCCACACCTACGAAATCAGAAACTATGGGGCTGAGACCCAGCAATTTGTGTTTCAACAAATTCCCAGGTAATTTCAATACACTCTTGGGAACCTCTGCTGTAGAAGATGTAGCGTTAATTCATAACTATAATGAGCGAATGGTCTTCTCTCTTCACTGAATGAACATTTTGTGCTTTCTGGGGAATCAACAAACATTTTCTCCACTTACCTAAACTTCTTATCAATAGTCTCTTGTACTCAGAAAATGTACACAAGTCAAAATAGACAAATCATATTTTGGCTCCACATTTATTCTAGCAGACAGTGGCAGACTCTGCCAAAGCCACGAAGTGACTCCCCATGCAATTGGCCAGGTGACCACCACCACCACACAGAGCAATCTCAGTCCTTGACTGGTTCCTCTGTGTGAAAAGGGGCCTCTACAGCCTTGACCCAGTGACTTTCAGATTCTGAGGAAAACAGACGCTTGATGCCTGTCCAAAGTAAACAGAGCCAAGAGAACCTTTCACAAGCCTGGTTAAGGATCGATGGTTCCACCCAAATGATTTAGATGATTTGGTGTTTAAGTATGTTGTTGCATAACTCTTGGCAGCCAGAGATACCAGTGTGCTGGAGTGAGTGGCAATTTGGATTGAATGAATAAGGTATCTATCAAGGGTGTATGTATATGTACATACCAGCTACTGTGATTTGGACATTACCTACATTAGCTTATGTAACCTCATAGACACCTTATCAGGTAGGTACCCTTATACCCTTAAGATAATTTTCCAGATCAAAAAGCAGAGGCATTGTGAGGTTAATTTGCACAAGATCATCTTCCCAGGAAGAAGCAGGGTTAGAATTTGGACCCAGGTATTTGGTTCCTATACTTCCCATGTGCGCGTGCACACACACACAGACACACACATACATTCTGTGCTGTCACAGCCTAGATGTGGTTGTTTCTCTTGGTCTCTTCTGCATGGGTCATTTCTTGTATGATAATTCTGAATTTAGGTGGAGGTTGTAGTTGCTGAATGGGCATGGGTGGCCAGGCCCTCCATACTGTGTTCAGTACCTTTGATGATTAACTCTGAAAGGGAAGAAAGGATTACTTAGTGCAGGCCAGAGAGCTGTAAAAGGTTCCTAAATTACTCATTTCCCCTCTGAATTTCTCCTCTTGCCTCGAAAACTAAAACACACTTTATAGGGGAAGAATGAAGACCGTATAACTCTGTGGCAGCACAGTTTGGTAATTAATGGACTTGTGCCTCTATCAGAAGAGTGATGTATTATTCCAGAGCCCTGTAGAATGAGTTAAACTGAGAGTGAATTATTTGGTTTGACTGATGTGTACAGTAACTGAAGATAGTTTATTAGTGGGCCAGGTTTTAATCTTCTCTCAAAATGAGTTCTCCTCATATTCTGCACAACTGCCCAGTCTCTTTCATGCCCTGAAATTGAGTAAAAGGAGAAGGTGCTAAAATGGTTGAAACAAGAAGTGAAACCTTCTGTTTCATCATATGTTCCAGAAAATATACAGTGTGTTTTTACTGCAGCCTCCTTTCCATCCCCCCTCCCAATCATTTTCATTAGTGACTGATGTGATTGCAGAGTGGTTTGGTGGGGAAAAGTACTTGCAACCAAATTTAGTAAACCGCAAGCCAATTTTATTTTTAGTTTTAGTGAGCAAGGGCAGATAGCAATTGCAAATATCTTACTGTATCTACTTCTAAGCTTTTACTTTTCTTTTTTTTTAATGTTTTGCCTTTTTCTCTCCCTAGTATGTTTTGTCTATTTTGAATATAATTGTTTTTAGGAGAAAAGGCCATTTTTTCCTTCTATCATTGAGAGCCCCCTTTTTTTTTCAATATTGTAGGCATCATCTTAGTAGGAAATAGAATATATTTATAATCAATGATGTTACAGAAATTTTGAAACTGAGAAATTAAGTACCATAATTAATAAAAGGTAGGAATAGGGAATCATAAATAATTATTTAGTATTAATTGTCAGCAGCAGCCTAAGGTTGCTCAGTGATAGATTAATAAGATCAAGCAGAAAAATAAAGGATCCCATTGGCCAGAGAATGTGAGTGGAATTCCTTTTTCACCTGTATGGCACAATGGTTGGCATTCAAGAGACATTCAGTAAATGTGGTTTGGTTAGTTAGTTGGTTGATTGTTGAATAAATGTTTGAGTCCTGCACTCACTCCAGAACATCAGACTATTGGATATGAGGTTAAGTTTGACCAGAGGATCTTGAAGAGGCTGTATAATGATCATATCTTAAGTACTAGAAGAGTCATTAGTGGTCTCAAACCCATCTGCTCTACCCATTGGAGACTTCTGTAGGGACCCTGACAGTGGCCCTCTGCCATGCTTGAACATTGTGATCACTAAGGGCTTATTTCACATCAGCTTATTTCAGGTCTATTCTGTTGCTGGACAGCTTAGATTATGGGATCAACTTGTGGGATTGTAGCAAAAGCTCATCTGCGCTTTGCAGATTCTTTCTTAAATAGTCATATAAGCCAGTTACCCTCATGGGTTGGGATGGGAGGGGGTCAGTCAAGGAGGACAGCAGTCCCCAAAACTTCGGGGAGGCTTTGTTAGGGGCCATCTTCATGTGTACCTCTTCATCCCATTATGAAAGTACCCAGGGACTGAGAATTCTTGGCATTTCCCAGTGTTCTCCCTGGATTTTTCATAGTGAAGTTTTGATAGGGACTTCTCTTAGAGTCTCATGATAATTGTTCCAGGGGGAGGGGGTAGAGGGGCAGGTAGGTGGAGGGCAGGAGAGGATACATGTTTTGCAAACAGTTCTGAGCTGCAGACATCCCAAAGCACCCCTAATAGAGGTATGGATTTCTGGGTATGGTGAGTGGTAACCCCACCGTGGTCATTGCCAGACCACATCAATTCTGATTGTCATATTCAATGAAATAAGTCTCTGTAGAAAGGCTATCAAGAAATGAAGGCTCTGGAAGCCATGAATGAGGAAGAGAAGAGGGACTGGTAATGCTTAGCTTGGTGAAGAGAACATAGTTCCAGATATGAGGAGGGCTGTCAAGAAAGAGGGAATAGGTTTGTTCAGTATGGCTGCAGAGAGTGAGACAGTTAGAATGGAGATGGCTATGGGATAGGTTTGCCTCAGGTAGAATTTCCTGGTATCGTCATCTAGAACTGAACAATCCTTTTTTTGTTTGGTTTTGTTTTGGTCTTTGCCTTTTTATTATAGTTGGGAAAAACCTGCAATCTGGTTATTAATGAAAATTTCCCCAATAGAAGTTACTCACTTTTTTGAATAATCATATTCTAAATATAGACTTTAGGAAAATAAATTTATAAAATACATTGTTGCTAATTTTTTTTTTTAGTGGAAGTGTGATGCTTTTTATCATTCGCAAAGAGCCTGATGCTTACATTTCATTAGTTTTATTTCAGCAAACATTTTCTGAGAGCCCACTTCCTGGCTGACAGTGTTAAGAACTGTATGCTCCAAGATGAGCAAACCAAGTAGTGTACCCTTGGAGAGTACTAGTGGCCCCACACTGCTCATAGGGCCATAGTGGAGGTGCTGATTCGAGGGAGAAATTATAATGAACTGGACATTGGTCTCTGGAAGTTGGAAATTACCTAGACTGCTCAACAAACCTTTTACATGATTTATAAATTTTAAAAATTCTCCCTAGAAACTAAGAAACTATATAATACGGCTTTGTGAAAATGCAACACCAATTTACACTGTTTTCAAAAACATGTAATCATAATAGTTATGAAAAAGTTGTAAAATTCAAATGTATTTCTGTGTATCTGTATTGGGTTATCTCTGTATCTTTCTTGTACTTTTTCCACTGCCATTTTTTGCAGTGTCCCCTTTTCAAACCTCCTACCTTCTTCCTTTTCCTGTCCTGTGTCAATAGACCTAGCTGAATTTCGCCTCTGCATAACTCATTCTTCAATCACTACTTTCTTATCTGTAATTCTTCATTAACTCGCTGTATTTACTTACTATTCTTGTATTTCCTGAGTCGAATTTTTAATTTTTATCTTTTTCTTTTACAAAGGAATAGTAAGTCAGGATTCATTTGTTATTACTTATATGGCCTTTGATTTTTCTTTTCCCTTTTCTGAGTCAATGGGAGATAGAAAAAACTAATCCAATGCCTGGCATAGATGAAGCATTGAGTATTAGAAGAAATGCAGTAGAGTTTGGGAGAGGAAAAGGTGTGCTCAGTAGCACAGTGGGGTAACTGGGAGATGGAGTGGGTCAGAGGGCCAGCTTACTTATACCCTGGCCAGGGAATTAGATTCAGGGTTTCATGAGTAGTAAGTCAAGCCTTTTGATTTATTCCAAATACAGGACTTTTAGGTATTCAGATGAATACTTGTGAAGTTGTTGAAGAGATGTAGCCAAATATGGGAAAATCGTATAGAGCAAAGTTTTAGCAACCCTGTCATGAAACCATGAAAGCTGATTCATTTCCTTTAAAAACCATCTATATCATTAGCTGACCTGTAGTAGTAGTTGTTGTTGTTTTATATAAGAGAACTTCTGATTCATCAACAGACCTAGCTAAATTTCCTCTGCATAGTGACATAATTAAGTCAAATCGAAACTCTCACATCATCATGTGAGGACGAAACTACGTAAAGACATGAAGCTGCTGGTTTGATTTGGGAAATCTAAAAATAAAATGCTAATGAGATAGATATACTAAAGTAGAAAGAAAAATAATTATTAAGTATATGTCAACATGAGCCACAATTCTTTTTTGTTTTTTCACTAGTAGAGTGAATTGTGGCAATTTATGACAATTGGATAATGCAGGTTTTTTAAAAACATTAGTTTTGACTCAAACTTTTAAAAATTAAAAGATTTTATCCTCTGTGTTTTTTTTTTGAGATGGAATTTCACTCTTTTTGTCCAGGCTGGAGTGCAATGGCATGATCTCGGCTCACTGCAACCTCCGCCTCCCGGGTTCAAGCCTCAGCCTCCCAAGTAGCTGGGATTACAGGCATGCGCCATCATGCCCGGCTAACTTTGTATTTTTTTAGTAGAGACAGGGTTTCACCATGTTGGTCAGGCTGGTCTCAAACTCCTGACCTCAAGTGATCCATCTGCCTTGGCCTCCCAAAGTGCTGGGATTACAGACATGAGCCACCGTGCCTGGCCTCATCCTTTGTTTTTGAAAGTATTGTAGAAAATATAGAAAATAAAGGAAAACATGAAAATAAATTATAGTACATTTATAAGACATAGAAAAGCATTTTTAAAATTCCCCCTCCAAGCCAGGTATGGTGGCTTATGCCTGTAATCCCAGCACTTTGGGAGGCCAAGGCGGGCAGATCACTTGTGGTCAGGAGTTTAAGACCAGCCTGGGCAACATGGTGAAACCTTGTCTGTACTAAAAATACAAAAAATTAGCCGAGTGTGGTGGCATGTGCCTGTAATCCCAGCTACTTGGGAGGCTGGGGCAGGAGAATCACTTGAACCCGGGAGGTGGAGGTTGCAGTGAGCTGAGATCGCACCACTGCACTCCAGCCTGGGCAACAGAGTGAAACTCCGTCTCAAAAAAAAAATATATATATATATATATCGAAAATCCCCCCTCCCAAGAGCTACTGCTGTTAACATTTGGATGCCTTTCCTTTCAGTCTTTATTTACATTATTAATTATTATGTATAATTTGTATTGTGCTTTTCCATTTGCCTTATAACTTAAAACTTTTTCACTTCTAGTTACAAATTCTTCATGCATGAAATTTTTAATGGCGTTACCTATCGAATGAGCACATTTTTATCTAAAATACTTGATGACTATACTTCACATGCTGCCTGCAGACACTTAAATGACTGGTGGAGTTTTGGACCTCAAGAGCCAGTCTCCTTCAGTTGTCAGGCCATCAGCATGGGCCTGGAGGCGAAGTGGCCTGTAGCATGAGAAGCAGGTGGACACACAGGCTTCCCTTCAGACCCCACCTGAGTGCTTCCTAATGTCTCCCCCGTGTGAGGCTTGGGCAAGTTGTGTGGCCTCTTAGGAGAGGAAAGCCCCTTCCTGTGCCCTGTAGTCATCATGCCCAAATGTGCAGACCAGGGCTGGCCCCATGACAGTGTTCCCACCGGTCCTCATGCAATGAGAAAAAAACATAGACACGCTGTCATGACTGTTTCTTCAAGTTAGATACGGCGGCATTTGTGGCCTTTATTCGAAGGTGATGCCTTTTGATGAATGTGTGCACTAAACTGTTGTTTCTTTTACAAAATGAAGATAATGATAGTCAATATCTTTGTTTTCTGGACTCTTCCATGGGCATTACTTTTCTTTCATGGCCTGCTTTGTGAAATCCAAAAGTCTGGAAGCAATTCTTTTGCAGGCCATCTGTGCCAAATTATTGGCAATTCCCTGAGTCCTCCCAGCACATCTTTGCTCACCCTGTTTCTACTTCCTTGAATGCCCACCTTTGACAAGATGACAGATTCTGTCAAAATTCCCTGAAGCAGTACCCTGCCCCCCGAAGCTTTCTGGACCTGCCTCCCCACCGGGCAAGATGATCCTGTCCTCCTTATAGTAACACTCATTTCAGTTACTCAGTCCTCTGACTGCCTCCCCTAGAAAGTTCCTGAAGGAAATGGAATCCTCTTCAGAAAACCTATCTTCAAAGAAGCCAGGTAATGTTTGTCAGGGTGCTCCTGGCAAGGGAATAGAGGAAGGTAAAACCTTCTTGCAGATTACGTGGGCGCTGTGTTTGCTCTAGTGGTCACTGCTGAGGCTCCTGCCAGAAGGGACTTTCCAATCAGCATTGTGAGACTTTGTTTTATTTCATCAGGGTGTTTATTTCCTCAGGGGAAGAAAACGTAGGGAAGACAATGGGAAGAAAATGAGGTGACTGCTAAGTGAATTAATCAGTAATTATTTAGCCCATTGCTATATCCCATGTTTCAGCAGATACATTCGTTTTAGACAGCTCTCACATTTAAAGATAAGTGACCTTTCCCCCCACTGATTCAAATTGAAGATCAATGTGTGCTTGTGTGGGAATCTAGTTGAACCTGTGGGTTCAGGCTTTCCCATTGCCTCTTTATTTCTGTGCTTTTACCAACTGGATGCACCTCCCTATTTCTGACACTGAGAAGTTCACCGGTGAGGGAGGCATGCCAAGGAGGACTTGCGATAGCCCAAAAAGACAGGGTCTCATAGAGCAGAGAGACTGGGGGTGGGGTGGGGAACTTTGAGTTTGACCCAGGCCTTTCTGCTTGCCTGCCTTTGCCTGCCTGTTTACATTTTGATCTTCAGAGGGAAAAAAATAGGTGAACTGTTGCCCTTTCTTTCTCCATGGACGTCTTTCTTGACACTGGCGACATACTTCTTTGGCACTTTTTCCAGTCTGATAGGCATTAAGAAAAAAAGAGGCTTTTCATGCATTTGTTGACAGAGCAAGAAAGGGGATATAGTTGTCTGGTTCAATTGCTAAGATATGAGAAATTGGGCTGCTTGAGGAGAGGAGGCTGTTTACAGGCTCTGCAGCCCAGCCTATGTGTGAATGCTCCCTGGTAGCACAGGAAAGGTGGCCCACCATCCTGATTCCTTCACCAAAAATGATGGGGACAGCACGTAATGCCAGGAGACAAAGAGTTATTTTTGCTCTACTTGACTTTGGATTGGGGGAAAGATTTGAGTACCATCTCTTCGTTAATATGAGAGCAGTAAAATAGATAAGTAAAGCCAACGTAAGTAGAAACCTCGCCTATCCTTAAGGACTCCTCAGCTGCCCATTTCTGACTGCGTAAACCGCAAGGAGGTTTTCCTCCTCCAGACCCTGAGTTGCATGTGTCATTCACTCAGCAGTGAATCAGTGAATCCTGCCTCGTTCCTTTGTTGCTGTCTGATTGTTTCAAGTGCAGTGAGTTTGTCTTCACAGCTAGTTCATGAGCTTATTGAGTGCAGCAACCATGCATTTTAATTTATTTCATTAAAAAAGATCTCTAACCTTAAGAAGGAACTTGGTAAATGTGTTTCAAATAAATGAATAGATGGATGGATAAATGAATGAATGAATGCAACAGTTTCTTAGGCCTCACTCTGATGATAACAAGTCAAGTCAAGAAATACTCAGATACGCCTTCTCAGTAGATTAAAAGTCCAAAGACTAAACCGTATGCTTAAAGATATTCCCTGGAGTCTATTTACAATAGCAAATAATTGGAAATATCCTAAGTGAGTAATGATGAGAGAGGATTGGTTCAATAATGGGTACATTCACTTGCTCTGCTATGCGGCCTCTAAAAAATTATGGTGTGTAGCAATCTAAAGAAACACGTGGGCCAGGCGCGGTGGCTCACGCCTATAATCCCAGCACTTTGGGAGGCCGAGGTGGATGGATCACCTGAGGTCAGGAGATGGAGACCAGCCTGGCCAACATGGTGAAACTCCGTCTCTACTAAAAATACAAAAATTAACTGGGTGTAGTGGTGCGTGCCTGTAATCCCAGCTACTCGGGAAGCTGAGGCTGGAGAATTGTTTGAACTCAGGAGGCAGAGGTTGCAGTGAGCTGAGATCGTGCCACTGCACTCCAGCCTGGGCAACAGGGTGAGACTCTGTCTGAAAAAAAAAAAAGTAAGAAACATGTGATAAAGTGACATACCACATTATATATATAATGCACAAAGATCTGGGAAACCCAGTTGCATGGGGATAAAGGAAAGAAAGAAATTTACCAAAATGTAAAGAGTGGTTGTGCTATGTTAAGAGTGATTTCTTTTTCTTTTCTTTTCCTTTTTTTTGAGACAGGGTCTCACTTTGTCACTCAGGCTGGGGTGTAGTGGTGCAATCAGTGCTCACTGCAGCCTCAATCTCCCCATGTTCAGGTGATCCTTCCACCTCAGCCTCCCTGTCCCCCCTCCCCCCAGCCCACTCCCAGGTAGCTGACACTACAGGTATGTGTCAACACACCTGGCTAATTTTTTTTTGTGTGTATATATATATGTATATATACTTTTTTTTTTTTGGTAGAGATGGGGTTTTGCCGTGTTGCCCAGGCTGGTCTTGAGCTCCTGGGCTTAAGCTATCCACTCGCCTTGGCCTCCCAAAGTGCTGGGATTACAGGCATGGCCCACTATACCCAGCCAAGAGTGATTTCTTTTCTCTATTTTCCAGATGTCTTGGAAGGTAGCTAAACTTTCATAATGTAAAAAAAAAAATTGTTTTTACTAGTAGAGGAAAAGTGATCTGAAAGAAATATGTTAAGTGTGTACAGTTGCTGAATCAGAAGGTGAGTACTTGGATACTTATTCTTTGGGCTTTTCTGTATGAAGGACATATTTTATAATTTTTTTATATAAAAAGAGAAAATAGTGCAGGTTGAGCATCCCAGATTGGAAAATCTGAAATCCAAAATACTCTAAAATTGGGTATTTTTGGGTTGCTGATGGGATGCTCAAAGGAAATGCTCATTGGGACATTTTGGATTTTGGGTTTTCAGATTAGGGATGCTCAACCAGTAAGTATAATGCAAATATCCCAAACGCCAAAAAAAATCAGAATTCTGGGCCAGGTGCACTGGCTCATGCCTATAATCCCAGCACTTTGGGAGGCCGAGGTGTGAGGTCAGGAGTTTGAACCAGCCTGACAAACATGGTGAAACCCCGTCTCTACTAAAAATGCAACAAATTAGCCAAGTGTAGTGGCGGGCGCCTGTAATCCCAGCTACCTAGTAGGCTGAGGCAGAAGAATTGTTTGAACCCAGGAGGCAGAGGTTGCAGTGAGCTGAGATCACGCCATTGCACTCTAGCCTGGGTGACAGAACGAGACTCTCTCAAAAAAAAAAAACAAAAAAAAACCACCAAAACGAAACAAAAAAAGCAAAAAACCAGAATTCCAAAGTGCTCAGGTTTCAAGCATTTTAGACAAAGGAAACTCAACCTATAGTAGATTAAAAGCAAGAACAGCAACAGTATGACTAGTGATAGTTAACATTATAGGAAGAAGATCAGAACTTCTATTTTTAAATGGCAATACTCTGGGACCATTTGGAATAGGGAGACAATTGTCTGCCATCCCTGAGGACAACTCTATTTAAGGGCTTATCATGCAGTCAGACTGTTGATAATGATCACTCTGCCTCATCAAGTAAACACTTGATTATATTCAGTAGACTCTGTTTAAGAAGGCATAGAATTAGCACCTTTTAATACTTAATTAGTACTTACAGTACTTAATAAGATAAATTTCAGTTATCTGAAGATTCACTCCTGTGTTACACCAGAACACCCTGAATCTTCAAGTGCCATGGGATAGCTCATGTCACCCTCACAGTGGGACAAGTTACAGATCATCTGGTATATCACTGTTCCCTAAATGGAAATACTTACTGATCAATCGATCAATGGGGAAACGGTTTTCCTTAATTTAATGTTGTTCTAATCTTTTACAGTCAAGAGGTTTCTTCAAGATGGTGGCCTGTCATCTGCTGGCTTCTGCTCCTTAGTATGGCTAGGCATTTCCAACTCTTTGTTTAAATTCTTGTTGGCTTGCCTAGCTTGACCCTCCTGACAGGTGCTATTTTTGTTCCTGGCCAAGTGGCCACAGCTGTGTTGACATTTCTGCCAAAGACAAAATCAAGGAAAGTCAATAAACAGTATTTAGAATAGTAGCATGGGGCTTATCTTAAGGCTTCTAGGAAGAGTAGAAAATTGACATGGAGAAATGGAATACTACTCAGCAATAAAAAGGAACAAACTCCTCATCCACATAGCAACATGCATGACTCTCAAACCCATCATACTGAGTGAAAGAAGTCACACACAAAGGCTACGTACAGTTTGATTTTACTTTATGAAATTCTAGAAAAGGCAAGACTATAGGGACAGAAAACAGCAAAGTGGTTGCCAGCGTCCTGGAATGGGGGAAGGAGATTGTACGAAGAAGCACAAGGGAACGTTATTGGGGTGCTGCAAATGTTCTGTTTTTTTTTTTATTGTGGTGGTGGTTACCCAACTATATGCATTTGCCAGAACCCATCAAACTACACACATAAAAATGGATGACTCTGATTTTATATAAATTGTTTCTCAGTAGCTGTTAAGTGATATGAGAAAGCTTCCAGTCACTTTCTGTGCTCTTTGAGGATGAATTGTTACCAAACCCTTCTCCCTCTTGTTATTATTTGTTGGATGCCTACAAGAAACTATGGTGCTAAATATTTAAAAATGCTTCATGTGATGTTACTTAGGGGTAAGATTAAGTGGTTGATGATTAAGCTGCAGAGTCAGCATATAATTTATTCTTATCTTTGGATTTTCCTGGTCTCCATTTCAGTATGTGCTTAGGCGTGTTTTCATATTTACCTCCAGTATTTTGGGAGGCATGACCTCTTAGTTTCATACCCTCAGTACCCGGAAAAGCAAAGAGTATACATGTGAACCTTGACTCACAGACTTTTTACTGCCCTGGACATTTTAGTTACCTTTTCCTTTGTCCTTCTACTTGCTGGAAATGTGGATCCGGTTTAGAAGGGATCAAGGATGGGAGCTCTCTAGGTTTATTTTTTTAATTTTTCTATCAGCCTAAATCATGCTTTGATCTCTTGGTTTCTTTATTCCTTGTTCAGTGATGCAAACTCACTATGACCTCTGTCATTAGATCTAGCAGTATTGAACGTGTTTGGATAGTTCTGTAGAAAATGATTTTTAAAACAGAAGAGGAGAGTGATCTCATCTCCTAACTGTAAGTAAAAAGTAAATTGAAAAAGTCCAACCAAAATTAATTTTAAGTTTCATCAAAATTTACATTTTACTTTCCCTTCTTGGAATATGAGTAATAATACTGGAAGCCAAGTGCCATTTTCCAGCAGATTTACCTTTGATTTAAAAAGGCTGAAATCGGAAAATTAGGAGTCTTTATCCATCTGTCCATTTTCCTTTTTTAAAAATTTAATTTGGAGTCTCATGTATAATATAAATGAGCATATTTGCTGCTAGATGATTATACTGTGATTAAACTGTGATTAAATATATTTATTTTTGATGTCAGCCTATTGTGTGTTTGATTTAATTATTTTTAAGTTAGGTTTTATTTCCTTTTCTCTTTCCTCTCCAGCTGCTCTGTAAAGAGCCTGTACAGACCCCTGGCAGTGAGCGAGCCCCAGCCTCCTGGTGACAGAGTGGTGTCACTGCTGATTGGCAGGCAGGGCCTGAGACTCTGGAGCGAGACTGCTGCTCCCATTGTTTCCTGCAAATGTCTGCCTCTCAGGACCTTGGAAATTGATGACTGAATAATGCAGTGTATACACACTGAGAACTTACAATTCCAGACAGAACTGTCTGTTTCTCTTTCGATGCAGTGTGCTGAGAATATGTGCAAAGCTTTGTGGGTCTCATGCCTTCAACTCTTATTTTCTCTAATATGTCAACCTTTTGGAGATCAGCAGTATCTTTAATCTTATTCCTATTACTGGCTAGGGGCTAAGCATTGAACTTGAAGCTGATATGCTGTGTGACCTTGGGTTTGAATTCCCTTATCTTAAAATTGGGAGGATAGCACTGCCTGCAATGGAGAGAATGTGGCTTAGAAAATCTAATTAGTGATTATAAAGCAATTTGTAAACATGCTACAAATGCAGAACCTGTTCCTAGTTCTTTCCCTCCTCTTAACACACCCACCCAGCAACTTTCATTTTCATGGGCTTATTTGTTCATTTATTCCATCATTCAACAATGTTTTACAGAGCACCTTCTAGGCTCCAGGTACTGTTTTAGGTGGTGAGGATTCAGCACGAAATGAAAATTGATTTTGATCTGCTAGAGCTTACATTTTAAGAGGAAAGACAGATAATAAAATAATAAACATGACCTGGCTTACGGTATATAAGGAGGAGCTTATATGTAAGGAGAAAATGATATTATCCGTAAAAGGACCCTCTTTAAGACCTGCAGTCTGGCTGCATTGATGAAAAGAATATACCATAAATTCCTTTTATGGATAGTATCATTTTCTCTTCTACTTAAAGGATCTGTCTATAGCTCCAAAGACTGGGCGTAGGTCCATCCGTCTCTTTGATCAGAGGGACACTGTAGTAACTGCTAGAGGGTAGAAGAAACAGTTTTCCCATTTATTAATTCCTTCCGTGAATACTGAGCCTTCTAAACCTGGGACTGTATAGTCAATGGAACATCATCTCCAAAGGTTGTGTACCTGCATGGAATGGGAAGACAGGCACACCGGCCAGGAGCTATAATACAGTGTGATGCTTTGTCTAAGGAGGGTGTATATGTTCAAGGTGTAGTGGTTGGAAGCAGTACTTGAGGGAGTCAGAGAAGGCTTCACCAGAGACAAAGGGCCATAGAAATTACTATTTCTATTCCAGCCTTTTAAAATCAAAGTTAAATTTGCTGGAACTTAAACTTGAAGGACATGGATGAGTTCTGAAGACACACAAGTATCAGGAAGGGCTTCCTGAGCAGGGAACAGCACTACAAGGCTAGAGGCATCACAGAGAAAGTCTGATGACTTTTGGAAGTAGAAGTGTTTGAGTCAATCTGCAGTATAGAGAAGGAGATGAGAGTTGTGGAAGGTGAGACTAGACCCAGAGGGTTGGACCTAGGCTTAAACAAAACTCTTCATTCTCTCTCTCAGAGACTGCAGAGCAGTGTGGCCCAGTGACGATCTCAGTAGCTGGTTGGAGGCAGGGTAGAGACTGAAAGCTCTCCTGACTCCCAGTACAATGCTCTTTCTGCTCCAACACAATGCCCATACTTTCTATCCCCAGAACACAGAAGAAGCTCTAGGCAGGGTTGACAGTGAATTGGATTGCATCTGGTGTGGTTGTGCACGTTGTCACTGTGCATGAATGCCTGGGTTGGGGAAAGGGTGCTGAAATCCAGCCTGCTCTCTGCTGGCCATACCCTGCATCTCATGCTAGGTTGTTGTCCTACCCAGAAGTAGTGGTACCTCTTTTGACGAAAGGGCTGCATGGGCTAGCAGGGCCCTGGGTGGCCTGCTGAGACATACTCTGGCTCCAAGGGACAGATACAGTGAGCAACATAAGTTCAACAGCAAGGCCTCCTATACTTGATGTCTTACTGCAGCGTCCTTTGTGCTGGGAGCTAAAAATGGCAGGACAAAGGAAAGGTGCGCACGGTAGAAGGGCCTTGAGTATTTGGGAAGTACTCATGGAGTCACCTCCTCCATTGCCTTTAGAACTTATTTCTGACTCCTGGTGGTCAGTGCTCCCTAAGTCTTTATTTTAAAGTGGAGGCTCCTCAGCGAGCCTCAGGGAATATGTTACTGCTCACCTGGCTCTGAAAGACTGAGTGTCACTGAGGCTTTAGAAATGGTTCTCGAAGTGTGGTCCTCAGAGTACCTTTGTTGGAATTGTTGCATGTGCATATGTGTCTGTTGGTGGGGGGTGGTACATACCAAAAATACTGGATTCTGAACATCACATCAGAGTCTCTGAGGATGAGGTCCAGGAATTTCACTGAGCTCCCCAGATGATGTTTATGGGCAGTAGCATTTACGAAATTCTGTTTTCATGTCCTGTTTACAAAGAAGAGGGAAAAAATGCTTGAACATCATTAAGAAGGTAATCCTAATATTTTTAAATTAATTTTATTTCATTTAATCATATACCTTGAAAATCATTCCATGTGAGTAGAAGTAGAACTGCCTCATTGTTTCTAATGACCGCCACATATTTTGCTCTGCAGATGTAGTATAATTTAGCTAACTGGTATTTTTCTGACTGTAGTCTTTTTTCTGACTGTAAACCCAATAAGAGGTTATATATTAATATTGACCAGTAACAAGTATTATTTTTATAATAAAAGAAATTAGAAAAGAGTGTTTTGTGAAACTTTTTCATTTTAAACATGTAGGTATACTGATGAAGATACTAGAAATTATTTCTTATTGTCATCTGTGGTCAAAACTCTGGAAGTCATAGGTTAAGAGAACTATATGTAAAGTATCTGTCAAGCACCTAACATCAGAACCTTGCATTTTCTTTCTCAGGGAGCAGTCACAGTAACTGCTGAACTTACTGTATATGAACATTTGTACTAAAAACCAGGATTTCTTTTTCTTTTTTAGTTTAGTCTATGCCTGATACTAATGAAGGCTTCCTGTTGTTAAGGCATGTGTTATTGAAAACATCTAATTTGATCTTAGGGCCATAATACAATCCTGTAAAAGTTGAATTGACAGTCTTATTGGAATTAACTCAACATATTCTAACTGCACCTTTTTAACCAAGAAAACTGGCCTGGCTTGAGTAGCACTGGCCTCTTACCAACACCTTACAGGAATTTTCTGGCATTCCATGACTGTGTACCTAAAGAACTTAGGGCAAGTTCTCAGAATCCACCTCTATAGCTTAAAAAGCCAAGTCTTTGAAAAATCCTTTCCTTAAACCTTCTGTTCTGGTTGTCAGGCTTTCCATGTAGGAGGTGCTTGTTCATTTTGTTTGTTAACTTCAACCTTCTAGAAGTCACATGTTCTCTGAGTTGTGTCTGTCTCGATTTTCTATTTCACATTTGGCTTGGGATTTCACTGTAACAGGATACAGGGCTGTGGCTGCATCTTTTGAGTCTGTGAAATTTTGTTCTACTCCAAATTAAAAGCTGGGATAGCATAACATAACCAAGAGCTTACTAAACTATATGCTGTGAATGAGTTTCACATTGCCACCAGATATTCACAGCTGTAAAGTTCTTTCTGCGTTAAAACATTGAACATTTCCTACAACCATTCAAAACATTATAACAGTTCAAATTATATTTGAGCATCACTTATATGGCTCTTACGGAACTTATGTAAAGTTCTTGAAGTCAGTGATTTTAAGAAATTGTGCTTGGAATATTTATAAAAATTCTTGCTAAGATCTTTCCTAGTATTTTATTTCTCTTACCATAACAATGTGATATAAAGAATAAAAATAGATTCTTCTCACCGGTTGCTGCATAAATGTTGTGAGGTTATCTCTACTTTAATTCAATGTGTTGTACACATATTATTATTGACTCTATGTGCTATGATGTGAAAATGTTGGGAAGCACCAACAGAATCCACGGGGGACCGGACAGTAAAATCTCCTGTAGAATTTTTTAAGGGCATACATGTTCTCTCCCCACCCCGGATCTACTGAGTCAGAATCTCGGTGGGGTTTGGGGTGAGGGGTGGCAGGTGTTATGTTTCCTAGACTGCAGTAAAAATACTGTAGTGAGTATTTCTGTCTGTTAGCCTTCCTCATATTTTGACACCTTGGTCATTTTATTCTCTGCCTGTTTTCTGGGCTACTTAGATTTGTGACTTTTGGCTGGGCATGGTGGCTCATGCCTGTAATCCCAGCACTTTGGGAGGCCAAGGCAGGTGGATCACCTGAGATTGGGACTTCGAGACCAGCCTGGCCAACATGGTAAAACCCCATCTCTACTAAAAATACAAAAATTAGCTGGGTGTGGTAGTGGGCGCCTGTAATCCCAGCTACTCAGGAGGCTGAGGCAGGAGAATTGCTGGAACCGGGGAGCTGAAGGTTGTAGTGATCCAAGATCACGCCACTGCACTCCAGCCTGGGTGACAGAGTGAAACTCCGTCTCAAAAAAAAAAAAAAAAAGATTTGTGACTTTCAACTTTTATAGGAGCTGGAGACCTTGAAGAACTTACTTTGTCAGAGTAAGTACTTCTTTCTGCAACCTTTTCTAGTCTCCCTCCCCAACCTCCGTCTCTTTCCAGAAAGAACCATGCCTTCTTCCCTGTTCCCCAAATACATATACTCTAAACATACCTCCACACCACTTTATCATGTTTGTCCATAGGGCTGTTACCTCCTACCCTGCTCTAAGTTCTTTAAGGGCAGGATATAGATGTCTTCTTCAACCTTGTGTCCAAGGCCTAGTCGTTTAGTGGATCCTCAGTAAATGTGATTAAATGAACGAATTATTGAGTGTAGGGAAACAGGAAAAGCAAATCCTAAATATATGGTTTCCTGGGACTACAATAACTGTACCATAAACTGAGTGGCTGATACAGTAGGAATTTATTGTCTCCCACTTCTGGGGACTAGAATTGTTGGCATCAAGGTGTTGGCAGGGTTGTGCTCCCTCTAAAGGTGCTAGGGAAGGGTCGATACCAGGTCCTTTTCCCAGCTTCTGGTAGTTTCTTGTCAGCATAACTCCAGTCTTCATAGGAAGTTCTCCTTGTATGCATGTCTGTCTGTGTGTCCACACGTTTCCTTTTTATAGGGACACCAATCACACTGGATTAGAGGTCCATCCTAATGACTCATCTTAACTAATTATATCTGCAATGACCCTTTTTCCAAATGAAATACATTTTGATGTACCAGGGGTTAGAACTTCAGTGGATCAGCTCTGGGGGACACAGTTCACCTCATGGCACTAACTGTTCCCTGGGCCTCTGGCTGATGCACAGAAGAAGGAATATGCCCTTGCAAAGAGTTTCCTTTGGTGTTTCCATGAAAAACTTGGCAGCTTCATAGATGGAGTGGGTTGATGGCCCTTGAGGTCTTCAGGCACTGACAGGAGGATACAAAATCAGTGTTTTGTGACAAAATCTAAACCAAGGTCACTACAGGCAACCGGGAAATTTGTCTCTGATGGTGAAGCAAAACAACTAGTACCAGGCCCCTGATCTTCAGTGCTGGGCAGTGGGGCAGTGACTCAGCCCCTCCACTTCAGGTCTACCTTGACCTAATTAATTAGCCAGTTCACCAAGTCATTCATATTTATGTGTTGGTACAGTTTCCAAACAACTGTCATGTATGTTATCTCATTTGAGCCTCCAGCCGCTCTGGGAGGTAGTCTGGGAGGTGCCTCTATTTTATAAATATGTAAACTGAGGGCAAATCCATACTCACAAGTGGTAAGTCTGGGGCCCGAGCCCAGGTCTTTGGACTCCTAATTTAGTGCTCCAGCACTCGACGTCTACAGTTTCCTTCCAGGACTGTCAGTCTTTGCAAGTGTAACACTCAGCATAACAAGGAAATCCAAAACCCTTTGGAGAAGAAGAAGGGTGGCAAATATTCTTCACAGAGCGAGTTAGGATGAGAAGCCTACTAGGATTTAGAAATCAGATTTCCTTTTTCTCTTTGAAAAGTGTCTTTAGTCTAATCTTAAAAGCCTGTCATGCCTGTCAAAAGAAGCTGGCAACAGGTGAACAGCGAAGCATTCTGAGAATCAGAATAAAGGGTTTTTTATTAGGGAAGGAAGGCATAGCAACTTAATAATTACTGTTGAAATAGTCATAGCAATGCTGAAGCTTCTCCATAATTTAATCTAACTTAATACTAACTGCCTCCTCCCTAGTGGCAATACATAAATTAATTAATAGTAGGTTGGATTTGAAGCTATGTCTTTATATTTAGGCCATTATTAACTTGTTCTCTGTGCCTGTCTTACCTGGCTGGCTCTGTTCGGAGCTTGTGGCTCCTGCTTCCACTGTGACTTCTACCAGCATCAGGCTTTTGAAAATATGTGCTTTTTAGATCTGTGTTTATTCCCTTCTGGTAATAAATACATAAGCCCTGCAGAGAGTTTATACCTGCTTGTTTCATAGCAGGTAGTAGGTATGGTTCTGGAACATGGATCTCTTTTCTTTAGTTTTTCTTGTGAGAAGCATTGAACAGAGGATAGTAATTAAGACCAAGGGCTCTGAGTGAGATTATCTGGAATTGAATCCTGGCTCTGCCACTTACTTACCTACTGTGTGACTTGGGGCAAGGCACTTAACCTGCCTGTCCCTCAGTCTCCCCATCAGGAAAATGGGTAATAATTAATTGTATCTACCCATAGGATTGTCATGACAATTGAATGAATACACGGAAAGTTCTTGGAAGAGTGTCAGATACCTTCTAAGTACCACTCACGTTGGTTCACACTAATAATGGAATTCCTTTGGGCTCTCAGTTGCCAGATGGTGTCAAAGGATCGAAGTTGGCCATCCTGAGTTTCTGGCTGCACGGCAGACACCATTCCTGTGGTGACTATTAAGAAACGGCATCTGTGGAGAGGGGGAGGCATCATTCAGAAACCACTGCCATCTATATCCCAGGGATACGTAGAGGAATTATGCACAGTTCATCCAAGAGCGCACCCTGTGGAGGCAGAAAAGGACTTGCAAGGCCTCTTGAGGCCTGTGATAAATGCTGTTAAGGAGACCTGGGTGGGGAACTGGAAAAGGGCATTCTGATTTGCTATGGATTGCTTGTTCCAAATAGATTCCTTCCTTGTTTTGGAATGCCGCAGGGTTGTGAAGGGTGACTAGCAGCAGGAGAGGGAGCTATCAGCATGAGAAGTTTGACCACAAGGAAGATGCTGTTGCTGAGCAGTTGACTGGTCTCCGTGCCTCTGGTCCACCCCTGCCCCTTACTTTTCACAGCGGTGAGAGTGGTATTCTAAGACACAGATTGAATCGTGTTACTTCTCTACCTAGACCCTTTGTGTGTTGCTCCTTCCTGCCCTCAGATGCTTACTGAGCCTCAGAGGCCAAACAGCACCGCAGTTCTCTGCAGGCTTTGGAGTGAGAGGTTCTGAGTCTCAGTCCCTACCCTACCATGGTAACTGTTGAGCAACTTCACACGAGTCACTGCTTTCCAGTGCCCCAGCTGCCTCGGTAAGATGGTATCAGGATGCCTAGCTTGTTGGGCTGTTGGGCAGGAAAGTGCACTTGCACAGGGTCTGGCACGGCATAAGCATTCAGCATTGGCCATTGCTATTTTCTGGCCCTGCAGCCTCATCTCCTGCGAGCCTCCCGTGTGAACACTCATCCACCCTGCGGCCTGCAGGCTTGTCCACCCATCGCACTCTGTGGGCTCCCTCAGGCCTTCTCCTTCAGGAAGCCTTCCTGGAAGTCCCTCATCTTCCTCACCATAGGCTGGGTCTAGACATACCTTTGTCCCTGAACAATTAGTACTTAGGTCAGAATTGGGTCTCTTCATGCAGTATTTTAATTCCTCCTCCTCCTGTCTCTCTCCCTAACTAGACCACAAACTCCGTAAGGACAAAGACTCTGTTATTCATCTCTGAAATTGTGGTGTGTGTGGAAATGGTGAGTGTATAGTGGGTGCTCACTAAAAAATAGATGGATTTGAGCTGTCTAATCATACCACACATTCAACTCAGTGCCGAAGGCAGCCCTGCACAGACCCACTTCCACCAATGTGTTATTTCTCTCTAGATTCTGAGCACGCTGCTGTTTCTAGACTCATCCTTGTTGGAGTGGTGCAGCCCAGATCCCTATATGTGTCCAGGGATTTCTGTCTTTTCCTTCTTGAGGGAGGTTGAATTTTCCATTTATGAAATCAGCAGGGCAGGAACTGGTTCAATATGGGAGATAAGGGTATTGGGTTAGAGTTAGAAAAACTGGTTTGGAATCCCAGGCCTACCACTCATTCTTAGCTGAACTACCTTAATCAAGTAACTTAAACTCTGTGTCCCAGCTTCTTCACCTGTAAAATAGGGAGAATAGAGTGTGAGAGTTATTTGAGATAATAAATACCCAACGTTCAGCAGGGTGCCTGACACAGTGAGCATTCAGTAATTACTCCCTGCTGCGATCATGCTAGTTGTTGTTGTTGTATTTTGGGCTTCCATAGCAGCGTTGTAGATTGGCAGTGCTATCCATACATTTCAGAAGAATGAAATTATTTCCTGAAGTGAAACATGGAGAATGGAAAAAGGTATTTGTACAGTTGGCAATCCCCGCAGCTTGCAGAAACTTCATTACACAGAGTTGCTTAAAATAAGAGAGCCAGTACAATAGTACAAGACTCTAATACAGGAAGAGGACCAGAGATGAATTGGTTGATAATCTCCATCCACCTAGTTACATAGATACAAACAGAATTTTATGTTTATA
Organism: Homo sapiens; assembly: GCF_000001405.40. Taxonomy (NCBI): domain Eukaryota; kingdom Metazoa; phylum Chordata; class Mammalia; order Primates; family Hominidae; genus Homo; species Homo sapiens. Next base: position 28,135,821 of record NC_000007.14, on the reverse strand, counting down.
CCACCTACTTAGCCAGAATACCACCAGCTTGTTTATAAGTATTTTGTTCTTGGTGTTGCTGTAAATGTCACTGCACCTCACCCTGAAATGAGTTTTTAAGAGGTATTTTATAGTTCATGCTCTTCACTATTGATCAGACTTAAAAAGTAATTGCCTCTTTTGAAGCTTTCTTTTGCCCTTGAAAACTTCTTCTCCGTGTTCTTTCAAAACAGTGTTTCAAAATGCCGTCCCCAGATGTCCATGTGTGGGGGGCGGTTATCAGATAAGATTTTGGCAGAAAGTCCTAAGTAAAGTTATTTTGCTGTAAATCCAGTCCAGTTCTTATTAAAATAGCCAAAGAACATGTGGCTGTGAGCATGTGGCAAGGTGCTGTTTGTTCTTATAAGCAATTAACTGACATAAGAACAATTGTAAAACTAGTAACATGTAGCAACCCTTACATATTAAACAATATATTTAGTGCTACGTGGTGAAAGCTCTGTCTCATATCTGCCTTTTAGTTAATGTTTGTGGTAGCAACACAGCCTGCTTGTTAGGTATCAAGCCAGTTGAGGAGAGAGGGCTCCTTAGTTTTGCGGAACACAGACTTTGGGAATAGAACTGTCCATGTTTACATGTTCACATTTAAGTTTCACTCAAACCTGTGTCTGTGTGTATGCAATGTAACCTGTGCATGTTTGTATTTCAAATAGTCTATATTTCTCAATTGTCATTTAGGCTGCTACTATATAAGGAAAATATAGCTTCCCTACAATCACCCAGTTATCACTTAGGGAAATTGCTACTGCAAACAGGATAGGTCATAGTTTGAGTCATTTTAAGTAATAGTGCAAGTATAATTTGTGCATTCATTTGGGGTCTGTTGAGCACGTGTATATATAAAGCACAATTCTAGGCATTCGGGAGGTAGCAGGAATCAGATGTGGATTCCACTCCTCAAGGAGCTTATAGTCCAAGCGAGAGAATATGTGTATACATAAAGCCTTAATACAAAATAGAAGATTATAAATGATAGTGTAAAACAGTATACTGTAGGAGTCACACACCTATATACACATATTTTTCAATTCTCTCTTCTTATATCATTTGGGTGTAAAAAAAAATAAATATATCACTTAGACTGGGTTCTAATTGATGGCCTGCAGGAACCAGGATCCTGTTGTATTTCTTCAAAAAGACAAATATTGGTAAATTTAAAACAATGATAGAGGCTAGGCACAGTGGCTTGTGCCTGTAATCCCAGCACTTTGGGAGGCTGAAGAGGGAGGATCGTTTGAAGCCAAGAATTCAAAACCAACCTGGGCAACAAAGTGAGATCCAGTCTCTATGAAAAATTAAAAAAAAAAAAAAAAAAAGCTAGGCATGCTGGTGTGCATACCTATAATCCCAGCTACTCGGGAGGCTGAGTTGGGAGGATCACTTGAGCCCTGGAGATGGAGGCTGCAGTGAACTGTGTTTGTGCCACTCCACTCCAGCCTGGGTGACAGAGCAAGACCCTGTCTCTCTCAATCAATCATCAAAGAAACAAATATATGTGGAGACCCAACTTGGGCTATTAGAACTATAAATATTTAGTTGGAGATGATTATTGGCTATGCCTTTGAAACTATTCATAATAGAGAAATTCCCAAATTAAAAAAAGCAGTATCCCATGTAGTTACTGAAAATCTTTTTTATAGCCAACATGCATGGAGTGCTCAGTACCCACCAGGCGCTGTTCAATGCACAGGGTTGACAGCAGCCATCAAGAGATGACACCCCTGCCTACAGGAAGTTTGGGTTGTAGTATGGAAGACAGATGCTAAGTGAATAAATAAATAAACAAGATAATGTTTCTTATAGGCCTAAGTGCTAAGAAGGAAATAAGCATATAGTAAGACTGATAGAGACAAGTCATTATGTATGAGTTTTGGGGAGTGGCAGTGGGACAACATTGGTTAGGGTCAGGGAAGGCCCATCTGGAGAGGTGAAATTTATTGAGACCAGAGTGATGTGAAGGACTCTCTGGAAGAAGACTGTTTCTCAGAGGAAGCAGCAAAGGCCTAAGGCAGGAGCAAGTTGACCTGTTAGAGGAACAGAAGGAAAACCCATATGGCTAGAACACTGAGTAAGGACTGTGGTGAGGTTGGTGGGGGAGCTGGTGTCCTGGGAGGCCATGATAAAGAATTATGACAGTGGACAGGTTCCTACACTAGTGCACAAAAGACCATTTATCTCAAGTGGAAGCCTGGTTCTAGGTTTTTTTCCTTTTTAGTGAGACTAAGTTGAATTCTGGGGCCTGGAAGCAAGTTGCTGCTAGGGAAAGAAGGAAGAAGAGAAAAGAACATTTGTTTTCTTTCCTGGATTCTCCTGGCAGATCTTAAAAAACACAATTTATGTCATCATCTCTTTTCATCTAGAGACCTTTATCTAAGCAGCTGATAGGCTTATGATTCTTGGATTTTCTTTCCCTGTTGTGATACTCCTTCCTTGTCATATCCCTGTAGCACTCCATTTTCTGAATTTAATTTTACCTTTCTTCCTCTTTTAATCATTCTCAGTCAAAACTCTCATTCCTTCAGGGCAGCTGATGGTAGCTGGTAGTAGGAAAGTAAATCTGATTCATAATGTGCATAATGGATGTGGTCTGGTCCACTTATCAAGTCATTTGCATTTTACAGAGGGTGTTTGTTAAGCTGAATGAATCTTCTGTTTTAGTGAAAAAGATGGTAAAATAAAGATGAGTAATCCATGTCAGAGGTTTGGAGGGTGATCTTTTTTGGGAAGAGGTGAGCCAGCCTTGTTTGCTTGCCAGAGGTGGTTTGCTTCTGTGCTTAAAGCACATCTGCTTTTACGGCTTCTTCCTTTCTTCCATACACAAATTCTCTTGAAAGTTCCATTTTTATCCATAAAGGTATTTGTGTTGCTACTGCAGCAGCAGCATGGAGTTCCATAGTCAGGAGTACACGGTGTGAAGGCTCAGAGATGGGTAGGGGTGGGGGGCAGTGGTGACAGTGTATTTATCAATTGTTTGTAAATTGAATATTTATACATTGAGAGCTAACTGTATTTTGTTTGAAAAGTTTCACCTGCAGTTGGAGGATCTGAAAGATGTGATTATGGTTGACCTTTCTTCCATGTCTATGTTTAATTTCCATCTATGTTTATGCATGTGGATGCAGGGTAATTCTGAATAATGCTAATGATGAAGGGTCATCATTACACAGAAGATCATTCTATGCTCCTAATTAAAATTATGGCTGGAAATTGCTTCCTTATGTGTAGCTCCAATTGCCGTCGCAATAATTTCACTTTATAACTTCTATTTAATCCTCTCCTTACCACCCTTAAGAATCTTTCCATGTCCTTGAAGTTGACTCCTTTGAAATCTTTGCAGGCAGCCCTGGTTTCCCCTAAGCTATGGGTATCCTGATACTTTGTTCCCACGAGTCTTTAAGCTTCTAAGTAAAACAGTCTTTGCTCCCTCTTCTCCCACTGCATTTTTAATGAGTTCTGGTTCTGGAACATGACTTAATTTCATGTTGTGGTCAATATTATAAATTAGCTGAGCCTTGCTGATCCTCGTTCTCCCTAATGAATTCATTGCTAACTGTCTTTTGGGCCAAGACCGCCATGTACTGCTTACCCTAATTAGTATTCTCTGATGGAAACCAAGTGACCAATAGCTCACATGTTTTCAAAATGAGCACTTATTGCATTCCATGTCATCAGTTATAGTAGGAAAATTACATGTAATGATATTCTCCATGGAATTCCAAGTAGGAAATGTTTTACCCAAGAAGCATCTGATCATGAGGGTAGTAGGATCAAAGAGTATTTTTTTTTCAAATCAATATTTTATGTGGTCAGTCTTTGCCCCATATATTCCAGAGAGATTGTTTAGTACAATAAATTTGAAGATTTGTGCGTTGCATTTTCCATTGCATTAAATTTCAAGAATCACTTCTAAATAATACATCGAGTGAAGTGTTTTGTCAATTTTCCCATAGCAGAAGAAACTTTTGAGAACAAATGCCCATGGCAAAGTAACAGCCCAGTTTTCCAACCTAGAGCTTAGAAAAATTAGGCAATATTTGACTCTCCGAGAGTGGTAGCAAAACTCTATGCAAATTGTAGGATACTGCTCTGGGATAAGCCCTGAAGATTTGTGGTTAGTGTTGAGAAGTGCTTATTTTGGTCATTTGTTGGATGAATAAAAGAATGTTGAACAGAGCTTAGTCCATGTATTCAAAGGCAAGGTTGTATCGACCATGGACCAAATGTCTGTTCATTTTGTGAAATGCTTATAGGAAAAAGAGATAATACCTATAATTTTAAGGATTTTTTAAAGATTCTAGTCATCTAGTGCATATCGTGGTTTTATTTATGTAAGGAGAGAAGGCTCTGGTGAAATAAAAAGTGTTTTGGAAAGGGATTGAGAATCTTCTGTTATTTTCCCTAACATGGGGCAATAGGGAGAAAGTTTATTGTGTACAGTCAGGTATACTCATTTAGATTTTTTTTTTTTTAAGTGATAGAGAACACTCATTTTAAGGGTCATCTGTTTTTGTGAATATATAAATCACTGACATGCAATTCAATCATATTGCATTGAGGGTTCCCAGTCTTACTGAAACGAATGAACAATCTTTTGTCAAGGATAATTTGGCATAGAAACTACTAAGGGAAGTTAGGGCTTCTTAAAATTTTGTATGTGATTAAGTTAAAAGCTCCAGAATCTCTGATGTGAGGCCTGAGAATCCTTTGTTTCTGAAAAGCTTACCAGGTAATGGTGATGATAAGCTCAGTTTGGGACCATGCCCAATAATTCTCAGAAAATTATTATTCACAAAGATTTTCCCAGAATATATAACTTTTCATGATGGTAGTGAGGGATCCATGGGTCTGATTCCATTGTAAAGTAGTCGTCAGGCCAAATATTGAAAGATTAAATTAATCTCTGTTCTTTGGCCCAACACACATACATTTGGTATTCTATCCAATCTCTTGTGTTCAGGAAGTTGCGGAATATTGTGTGTGGGCAATAGACTAAGGAATAGTGAGCGAGCACCCTTTCGAGAGAGAGAGAAATACCAATTAGACTCCTGATCACATTGGAGTACCACTCGACAGTCTACATAGAGCTTCATGTTTTATCCCATGTGGCCTTCAGAAAACCCTGAGTAGATTAGCACAGATGCTGTTTAGTAGCGTCCATGTTTTCCAGATGAGGAAACTGAAACATAGAAGCATTAAGTGGCTTGCCTACATTCATGTGACTACTGTGTTGAAGCTTTTACAAGCTGTCTGATACCAGGCAGGCCTTGCAAGGGAGGGTGAATGTGGGTCGTTACGTAAACTCACATTCTTTGTGTCTCATTTATAAACATGCAAGAGTTTAGCTCTCAGTTTATGATGAGTGCATTCTGTGAAATATATTTATTTTTCAACCACTCCCTAGTTGAACAGAATTAGTTTATAGACTCTCAGGGCAGGTTAAAAAAACATTTTTGTTGGGGGGAGGGTCCTCAGTTTTGTTTTGTTTTTTTTCCAGTAGAGTCTTTTAGCTCCCTTTGGATTTCATGAGAAAAACCTTTGTCTAATACATTTCATTAAAGTGGATACTTGTTGTATGAATATATTGTAGATGTATCCAGAGGCCTCCAGTAATGTGCATGCTTTCACTAAAATGAGCTAATGAGCTAGTAAAGATTACTAATAAACTCTGCCTCAATACAAAATCAGTTTAATAAAAACAAATTTTTAGCATACTTGTACAAGTGACATAAATATTTGTATTTATGTGCTGGTTACATAGAATTTTAATTCCTTGATTTAAAAAAAAATCAGTAGTTCCTGTTTAGGCATTCTTTCACTTTATATCTTAAAGAATTGAGGAGTGGTGGAAAGATACCGATAGTGTTATTAGATGTAAAAAACACATAACACAGTAACTGCATATACTCTGATCCCACTATTAAAAAAAAATGTATTTGGAAACAGCCAGCACGTTATCTGGGAAAATGTAATGTACCAACTTATCTCTGGATGATGTGATTGTGGGTATTTTATACTTTCTCCCTTTTGTTTTTCTTTCTTTTCTTTTTTAAATTTTTTATAATGAACATGTATAACTTTTATTAAAATAAAAAATTACTTATTAAAAACTTACTTTAATGAGAGACATACAGACTTTTTCTCAACTGCTTTAGTAAACACCCAAGGGAAAAGGAACTTGTAGTTCTTTTGGTATAGCATTGCTTTGTTTCCCTAAGTTAAAAAGCCCTCTCTCATTATGCCATATTAATACCCCTTGAAAACTGGAAAAGTTACCATGTAGATAAGTTAAACACAAATCCCTGTATGAAAATCACCTGGGCAGATTCTTGGGCCCCAGTTCACACCAAATGAATCAACAATGTTCGGGCCCCAGAAATCTCCATTCTTATTAGGCATCACAAGTGATTCTGATGTGCAGTTACATTTGAGATTCATCCTTCTGCTTGTAGATTTGTCCATGTGTAGCTGTCTTATAATGTTAAAGTATTTTCTAGGCTCTTTTTTCATCTTCAGACTTTTTAAGTAACCATACACCTGCATAATATCCATTTTGTTGTCAGGAACACTAAGAGATTATATGATTCTCTCTAAAATATGAGAGGTAGAGGGAGTTTGGGGGGTATTCACAGAGGGTCTTCTTGTATGACTAAGAAAGACCCTCTGTCCAATGCTAGGGAGCTCCTGCTGTTTAGGATGGAGACCTGACAGCTGGCCATGAAGGGTCAAGGAAAAGAGTCTTGCATAAAAACAGAGAACCCAGTGATTCTCAGAGCTACTCTCAGAAGGCTACCCCAAACTTAAGTTTCCTAAAGGATAACTCACTTTTTTCTTTTTACTTCTCTCCCAGTCAGAACAATGGGTTATCTTAAGAAATCACTAAATCAGCATCTTGTGTTCTGAGTAGTACATTCTTTTGAAGAAGTCATTATGTGAAAGAATTCACACCATGAATGTGCTTATTTTGAATGTGTGCCATCATGCAGGAGGTACAGTGCAGCTATCCTTGGTTTCCTGTTGATTGAAATAATTTGCAGCAAGTCAGTGCTAAGTATAAACTCAGCAAATATAAAGTCAGTGCTAAGTATAAACTCAGCAAGACACACCTTCTTGCTGAATTGGCCTGGAATGTTAGTTCTGAAATATACTGTGCATCAGAAGCTTCTGGAGGGCTTATTAATGCACAGGTTGCTGGGGCCACTGCCAGATTTCTAATTCATTAAGTCTGGGGCCGGGCCTGTGAATATGCATTTCTTTATTATTTATTTTTTAGACGGACTCTGTTGCCCAGGCTGGAGTGCAGTGGCACAACTTCAGCTCACTGCAACCTCTGCCACCCAGATTCAAGCGATTCTTCTCCCTCAGCCTCCCAAGTAGCTGGGACTACCTATGCGTGCCACCACACCTGGCTAATTTTTGTATTTTTAGTAGAGACAGGGTTTCACCATATTGGCCAGGCTGGTCTCAAACTCCTGACCTCGTGATCCACCTGCCTCGGCCTTCCATAGTGCTGGGATTACAGGCATGAAGCACTGCGCCCAGTCGAATATGCATTTCTAGTAAGTTCTCAGGTGTTGCATCAGCTGCTACTCTAGGGACCAGACTTCGGGAACCACTGACCTAGAAGATACGTCTCAGTAACCAGGACTATGATCACATCTACAACCTGATTCTTAACTCACAATTTAATATGGCCTCCTGGAACTCTGAGTAGATGCTACTAAGAGAGGATATCTCTTTTTTGTAATTGAGTGGTAGGCCACCGAAATGGTTTGGCTGCGTCCCCACCCAAATCTCATCTTGAATTGTAGTTCCCATAATCCCCATGTGTTGTGGGAAGGGCCCAGTGGGAGATGATTGAATCATGAGGGCACTTCTCATGAATCATGAGAACACCCGCCATACTGCTGTTCTCATGATAGTGAGCAAGTTCTCATGAAATCTGATGGTTTTATAAGAGGCTTTTCCCCCTTTTGCTCGGCACTTCTCCTTGCTATTGCCGTGTGAAGAAGGTTGCATTTGCTTTCCCTTCTGCCATGATTGTAAGTTTCCTGAGGCCTCCCCAGCCATGCTGAACTGTGAATCAATTAAACCTCTTTCCTTTACAAATTACCCAGTCTTGGGGATGTCTTTATTAGCAGTGTGAGAATGGACTAATACAGCCACATTTTCCCTTTTTTTGACATTTATCTCTGCTTTTCATGAAATAAAACTTTTTGGCACTTTTTTTTTCTTTTAGACCTCCCTGGTGAAATGAGGTGCCAGTGGTGTTTCTCTCTAAGGGTTAACATGAATTAAGGCAAGCCTGGTGAAGGTTTGTGTTTTCCAGTCAGGCATCACAACTCCCCTTGCATACCTTGACATTGTCACCATTCCCAATGCAGGTCCATGCTAGGCCACTTGATAGACGAGGTTCCATCCCACTTCCACAGCTTCCTCTGGCATCTGTATCCCCACCCTGACATGGGTTATACCTAAGGTTACACATGTTTCTCTAAAGGGCATTCGCATTTAATAGTAATCCTTAAATACTTCAAAGACTGAAGGCATGACTTCTAAGGCTAGAGTGAGATGCTCTGCAGGAAGGGTCTGTCCATTTTCCCTTGCCCCAGTACTCTTAAGGTTAGCCTTAGGATCCTTCGCCTAGTATGCAGCTGTCAGGAGACTGTCAATTCTAATGAAAAGCAAGCTTCAGAACTTTCTGGAATATATGTCCTGTTGACCACTGCCTGGGATATCCCAGAGCCTTGATTGAGTGTCTGGAACAAACTGTTCATTGAGAGACAGGGGGCTTTGGCCAGAAAAGCCATTCACTGTTTTCTAGGGGAGATCAGTTTAAGAATGTACTTTCCACTGGCATGGAAGCTTTTCTGGGGGTGGGGTAGGGTTGGAAAGGGACTGGGCCTTGACCTGGAAAGGAGATGACCTTTAGGGTTCCGTGGACTCACTCTTCTCTTCCTCTCTCCTCCCTTCTTGTTTTCACTCCTCCCCTCCCCTTCCTTTCCCTCTCCTCTTCCTCACATGGCAGACTTTTGCTCCTGCACTGTACCCTGAGGTGGCTCTAGAGACACTTGTGTCCCTGAAACACCGTAAGGTGGGGAATGGGGAGTACAGTCTTGTTGGAAGATGGTTTAGGAGCTTATCTCAAAGTTGCTCCTCTTGCATCATCACCGCTCCCCTTCCTGTTCTGCGTCACACTCAGAGCCTCTGGTCTCTGTGCTGTTCCAAGGTCATTCCTGCCTCTGAGTGAGACTCGCTTCCCCCCACCTTGCCTGGCTTGCTCCTTTTCCTTTAGGTCTGTGCAGAAGGTATCCTCCCTCCAAAAGACCTTATCCAAAGTGGTCCCCCAGCCATGCCCATCCCCCTCTCCTCATTAAGCTACTTTTTTCTTCCTAGCTCTTATCACTACCCGAAATTATTGTTTCTCAGTTTATTTATGTATTTATCTCTCCCCTGAACTACTAGGGTGAGAGTAGGAACTTTTTCTAATTCACTTCTGTGTCTCCAGCTCCCTAAGATCATTGCCTGGCAAATAGTAACTGTGCAATAAATATTTGTTGCATGAGAGTGAAAGTGAGGCAAGCACATTGCTTTTGTCTGGAGTAGTGTGTTACTAGGGTAGCTTTGGGGGATGATGGAGATTATGAAGGGGCTACATCCTTCCCACCCCTAACCCCTTCCTGGTGCCTCCATTTACTGGAATATGCTACACTTGAACCATAGGATAAGGCCAGGGTATAGCTGAGGAAGGCTGCCTTATTTGGCAGTCTTGTAGGGAATTTGTTTGCTTGGATCCCATTCCGGTGGAGTCACCCAAAGGTCTTGTTCCATCTGAAAAACTACACTTGAGACCAACCTTGGTCTTGGGTTGGCAAGGCCCTTGCATCAGCTGATGGAATTCTAAGCTGAAAACATCATCTGTCTCTATCATTTAGCACTGATGAGAAACCAGTGTTTGAGAAATCACAAGGCCCAGCAATCTCATTTTTTAGTCATCTGTCATGCTTGCACTGAGTGAGGGTGGTGGTGAGGTGGGACAGGGAGGACAGGTACAGGAAAATGCCAGACAAGATGGGCAACCCTGGCAGCTTGCAGTCCTTCCAAGGGAATATCCTCAACTCTAGTGCTTTGAACACCAGAATGATGTTAATCAGGGGATTTTTTGTATCAGCATTGTCAACATTTACATTCACTTTACACATTGGATTTGCATCTGAAAAGACCAGCTATAATCAACATTTAAGGGATAACACTCAAATTTGCATCTGATTGAACAGACATGTTAAGTAATTTTAGCCCCGCTGTTGCTAGGAAACCAATTAATAATGCTCCACATTTCATTAAAAACCGGTTTCTATCTTTGCTTTCATTTAACTTCACAATTCAGCTGCTTGTGCTGCACTTTTTCCCCCTCGGTAAATTGTGACAGATAAATTATCGTTTTACTACATTTATTTCTGTGATTACAATTGTTAGTCATATCTGTCAATACAATTTCAAAGCTTTTAAAAAATGCTTTAGGGGGGAAAACTGAATTTTAACTGTTAATCATTTTTTTCCCTTTATAGCTTATTGGGTCTTAAATAATATTTTTGTGAAGGCCTTCCAAATTGTGGGTTAACAAAAAAAAAAAAAAAAAGCAATCTTCCCTGTTCCATAATTGCACCTTCTCAGTGTGGTGACTAATAATTAGAATATTAGGCACTATTCAGAAAGTGACAGACAGCTGATTAAGCATTCAGCTGCATTTTATTTTTCTCTGCTTTCCATGGTTTGTAGGCTAGATCAGGTTCTGTCCTTTATGCAGTGCAATTAAAATTTTTATGACTTTATTTTACATAATAGACCCTGCTTTTATAAAGAGAAAGTATATTTTTTAGCTACTGTAATGCCCCTTTGAGCCAGTCAACTGGGTAGTTGCATTTAAACAGTAATGGCATTGTACAGTTTAGCATTTTGTAGTATTGATCTGATCAAAATGCTCATTAAAAAGCAAAATTAGTTCCTATTCACATCTGTTCCACAGCATTTCAGTCACTTTATTTAAATGTGTCTGGTTCTTTAACTTAGTTAGAATGGTGATCTCCCCCCTTTTCTAAGGGCTAAGAAAAGCAAAATGGAATCTGCTTTCATATTTTATACTCCACTTTGGTCTTTTGAACTGAAGGTAAAGTGCAAAGGACATGGACTTTGGAAGCACATGGCCCTGCAGTCAAGTTCTGGCTCAGCCCCCTCTGTGGCTTTGAGCCTCAGTGTCCTTATTGGTCAAATGAAGATGAAAGGACGGCACTGGGGAGAAGATGACACCCAGGATGGTGAAGAGTGGGTTGGGCAGCAGATACTTGGAACCTCTTCCTTCCCTTTCTCTCGAGAACCGCTTGGGCTGCCACAGCACACAGTATCACAGGCCAGTTGGCGTTAAGTGTAGAAATGTATTTTTTTCACAGCTTTGGACACTATAAGTCCAGGAGCAAGGTGCTGACAGGGTTGGTCTCCTCTGAGGCCTCTTTGTGTGGCTTGCAGATGGCCGCCCCCTCGCTGTGTCCTCACGGGGTCTTTCCTCTGTGCATGCACACTCCTGGGGTCTCTCTGTGTGTCCTGCTCTCCTCTTATTAATCAGATTGGATTAGGGCCCACCTTAATGGCCTCATTTTAACTTAATTTCCTTTTTAAAGGCCCTATCTCCAAATAGTTACTTTCCGAGGCACTGGGGGTTAAGACTTTAATATTTGAATTTTGGAAGGACACAAGTCAGCCCCAAACAGGGACTGACCGAGATGCTGCACGTGGCACGTTGCGTCTCCTGTTCACTCAGTTTTGTTCTTTCTCAGCAGTCAAAACAGCTGAAACATCAACAGAAGAGCCAGGAAATGGGGTTTCTTGGTTGTGACTTCTGGTTAGGTTAGAATTGATCAGAAACAGTAATATTACCTGCCCCCTTGATTTTTGGTTAGTATTTCTACCTTTTTGGATCTGTTCTATGGCCACTTTTTCCTGACCTTAGTAAGAGTCATCAATCCCAGGATTTTAAGACCCTTATTTCCATCTTCCATCATTGCTATAGATGTGTATGTACAAGGTACAGGTGATAGGGATACATGTCCATTTCCATTTTTAAATGAATTCTGGGAAAGTGTTTGCCTCTTGACGTGGCTGGCAGGGGCCAGGCTTTGTGGCCAGCACACAATGGGCATTTAGAATATAATGACACAGACACTATAGAGAAGGTCATTCGTTCATTCAGCTAATCTTTCCCGAGTGCCTACTATGTGCTACTGTGCTGGTCACTGGGGTTGCAATGATAGACTAAAATAGTCATGGTCCCTACTCTTATGGAGCTTACAGTCTAGTGGGGAAATAGACTTTAATCAGGTCATATCACAGTTCTACCAGTACAGCTCTGATAAGTGCAGGAAAGGAAAGGCATGGCCTGCTGTGAGGGTGAATAATGTTGAGGGGTTAAGGAGGGCTTTGCTGGTTGAACTGAGATCTGAAGAAGATGAGACTTACTTCGATGAAGGGGTGAGTGGTAGGGATTGAGGTGCTGGGGGTGGTCATGATTCGGAGTACAGGGAGGAACATTTCTCAAGAGCAAACTGCATGTGCACAGGCCCTGAGACAGAAAGCAACTTAACATGGAAGCAATGAAGAAAAGGGCAGTGTGGCTAGAGGAGAGAGGGAGGGTGGGGCATGCAGGGTGACGTAGCTGGAAAGTCTCCTGGGAAGGCTGGGGGAGTTGGAAAAAACTTCCCAGGGAGGTGACATCTTTGTCTTTAAGGATAAATAGAACTGATTGCTGCTGGTAGAGAAGAGGGAGAGGCATCTTTAGATAGGATATCAGCATCTTGGTGTGTTCAGGAAATAATGAGAATTTCATCGAGGCTGAAATGTCACTTATGTGAAGGAACCATCATTCCAGTTAATGGAATTTTATACTTCTCTGCGTTCTAGCTAACTAGAGGCTCACTAGATTTTCCAAATTGGGATGTATCTCCCTATAACTATGGAGGGGCTCATTACATAGAGAATGAATGAATGAACACATGAGTGCTGCGTCCCTGCTTGAGTGGTGTTGGTTGGTGTTCCGGGATTGCCCTAACCTTACAAGCAATGATACGTTAATATTTCATCTGTTCAGGTCTGGTGGATTGATGGAAGGCAGGCCGCATTGACATCTCAGGCCCAGCTGGTTCCTCAGCCACTGTTTTCTTCTCCTTCACAGATCTGGGCCTGGAGAACCCCTTAAATCCTGCTTGGTGCCCCAGCCTCACCCTAGTTGCTTGAACCAATTTCAGCTCAAGCCAGGAGACACCCAAAAGAGCTCCAGCCCTGTGGTCTGGGTCAGCAGTTACTGTTAGGCTGACCTGGGTCATGGTGGCTGGGTTCTGGAAAACAAGGTTCAGATGTTCACATAAGCTGAGCTACAGAGCATGTTCCAGACATGGTAGGAGCCTGGATTGGGTGGAAGTTGCCCGTCCTATTTGCAGGGGAGGAAGGGGAGGAAAAACTGAAACATGAGTTTGGGAGCGCATTAGAGAAGACTCCCTGGCAGCTGTATCACTGATGGCAGGACTTGTATGTATTTGGTTTTGGCTCAGACATGAATTCTTACTTCTTTCCCCCAAGAAACTAAAATCAGATAGAAGATTTAAAATTGGAGCTTAGAATGGTATGTTTCTCCTGCTTTTAACAATTCATTTAAACAGAAATAAACAAGGCCTCTTGCTGGCTGCTGCTAGGTAGAAAGTCTCTATACTTCAAAGATTTTCATAAATGCAAGGAATATTCTTTGATCTTGAAAACTTTTCTTTTTATGTGAACATTGGCACCAAACTATCCTCTAGGTGTGATGGCAGCTTGGGAGAGAACTTTTGTCAGCTTCCAAGATTATGGGATTCGGCTAAACCAAAAGACTGGGACATTGAAGGATGATTATAAACTGCGGGTGCAGATTTATTGTGAATAATGGGAAAGCTGTGTAAAACAACACCTGAAGGGTGTCTAACTTGGTCAACATGGACTTCAGAATCTATGCCCAATTAAGTGCTATCACTTTTTCTAGGCCCCACAGAGAAATGTACAAACATATGAGACATTCTTATCTACATTGGTCACGTGTATGCAACTACGCCTCTGTTAAATTTGACTTTCATTATTAGGGGATCCAGGAAACAGTATTGAGCACCAGTTGTCATTTCAGTGAGCACAGGGGTGGGATGAAAATAGGATCACACATTTCCCCCTTGAGTGTCATACGAATAGTGGAGAGGAAATCACATGGATACAGAAATGGAGCTCATGTTAAAAATCTTATAGCAGGATATACCATGCTACATCTCACAGCTTTATAGATGATTCCTGGACTCTACCAGCCTGTTTCAAATTGAACGTCTCATATGATTATTCTTACTTTGCGCTTGTAGATCCTTTTAATTGTAGTCCCATTCTACCTCTAGCTGAGGGTAACAGCTATCTCCCTTAGAGAGCTCTCTAGCTTCCAGCAGGGGCAGCTCACTGGCCAGAGGGGAGGGTAAAGCATTGATATGGCACAATAAGGGAACCTCCGGATTTTTTTTTCCTTTTCTTTTTCTTTTTTTTTCGAGACAGTCTCCTTCTGTTGTGCGGTAGTGCGATCTCGGCTCACTGCAATTTCTGCCTCCCAGATTCAAAGGGTTCTTCAGCCTCAGCCTCCTGAGTAGCTGAGATTACAGGCATGTGCCACCATGCTTGGCTAATATTTGTATTTTTAGTGGAGATGGGGTTTAGCCATGTTGTCCAGGCTGGTCTTGAACTCCTGACATCAAGTGATCCACCCGCCTTGGCCTCCCAAAGTACTGGGATTACAGGTGTGAGCCACCATGCCCAGTGGAACCCCTGGATTTCAAGGCGTGGGGGTAATATCTGGGCCTAGGGTTTAGTTCTGGTAAGTATCTGGGCTTAGGGTTTAGTTTATTAGCATTGTCTAGGTCCCAAGCAAGTGCACGGAGTGGAGGATTGAAAAGAGAGTAGCAGGGCAGAGCTGAGCAAATCTCCCACTTGGGGTGGCTTCCCAGCTTAGTTAGGCCTCATCTGGGGAGAAGCTCCAAATAATTCATCAGACAGCTTGAGAGTCCCTGCATGAATTCCAGAGTTAAATGAAAATCCCAGCTACTCGGGAGGCTGAGGCAGGAGAATCACTTGAACCCGGGAGGCGGAGGTTGTGGTGAGCCAAGATCGCGCCATTGCACTCCAGCCTGGCAACAGAGCGAGACTCTGTCTCAAAAAAAAAAAAAAAAAAAAAAAAAGAACTGTGTGTGGCTAGTGGTTCAGACATCTTCCTTCCTCTACCCCTAGGGACAAAGGGAAGGATGCCTGCTAGACTTCCTTCATATTTCTATTCACTTCTTTTTAGCATTTGATATTACAATTTAGCTTCTCTGTGTCTCAGATTCCTCAAGCAATGATATGGGTTTGATGAACAAGGGTCAGAAGTTTCCTTTGGCTGTAGTGTTCAGTGATCATGGCGTTCTAGGGAGTGCAAAGAAGAAAATAAGCAGCCAATCCTCTAAGACCTTTACTCTAATTAGGGAGTTTCATTAAACCCCTGAAAAGCTTAATAAAAAAAAAAAACCACCAAACAAATGAAAACCATAAGTACTTTTACAAGATAAGATAAGTGCTGTTGCAAGACAGGAATTAATGGCCCCTGATGTGGGCTTGGGTACCTACGAGAGTCTTTGTGGAGGTTGGAGGGGTTGGATTGCATATTTTAGGATGGCAGGGTTAGAGGGAACAGAAAAGACTACATCTGTCTTGCTGACTGCTGGATCTAACACATGGTAGGGGCTTGTTAGGCATCATTGAATGTATCAATACAGTAGAATATAACTGTTGATACAGATATATGTATAGGTAATGTTTACAGTTATGTAGGGGACTAGTGGGGTAAGGTGCAGGAGAAAACAGGTTAAGACAAGATTAAGCAAGAGTTTTTATCAGTTAATTGATATGTCCCAAATGCCCAGAATAGCATCTGGCACGTAGTGGGTATTCAGTAAATATCTGTTGAGTTAATGAAATGATTAATGGCATAATTTGGGGCTGTCATGTAAGTAGTAGGGGGAAGCATGGAAGGTTTTTGAGAAAGTACCATTTAGGAAAGGTCCATGGCAGCCATGTGGACAGCCGATTGTAAATAGAGGAATAAAGAAGCAAATTAAGAGATTATGTCATAAAGTGGGCACAGGGTCATGGGGAGGGTCTGAAATAGATGAGTGGCATTGGAAACAAAAAGGACGGGCAGGATGGAGACATCACAAGAATAGACTTCCTGAATGGTTATAGTAGGTGTCAAGGGAAGGTTGAGTCAGAAGATGCCTGCAGTCTGAGGTGCTAAGGAGTCCAGATAAGTTGGAAAATGATCATATGATTGGCATAGAGGAAACAAAGTAGGGTTTTGTTGGAGGGGAGGGGCAGCGGGTATTAATGGTTAGTTTTAGATACTTAGATATGATATAAGGGCAAATCATCTCCATTAGGCACTTACTTGCAAGCCGAAAAAAGGTTGAAATTCAGGAGCGTCCTCTCAGGGCTGGAGATCAGGTTTGTGAGTGATGGTCTGCAGGTTGCCATGGGAAGCAGGAGCTTCTTGAGGGTGGGAGTGGGTAGGGAGACCGGGGGCTGCCTGGGGAGCAGCATGGCCACTGCCTCTTGGTTCACAGAGCTGTTGGCTTCCAGTTCAACTGTTTCTTTTAACAGCACAGAGGTCTTAGGAGCCATACTTTGTTCATGTCTAGGGAGCTTTCATTCCAAGGGATTCTCCCTGCTCTCTTCCCCAGCATTGCCTTTATTTATTATGTAGGGGTATTTTGTTGTCATAGCTATTTATCTGGTAAGATATCTGCTGTGTGAAAGTTTTATAATTTGTGTCTAATGAATGAGCATCCTCTGCAGGAACAGATCCCTCTGCTGTTTTTGGAGGATATGCTGCTCATGACTCTGTGTGTGTGTGTGTTGTGTGTGTGTGTGTGTGTGTGTGTGTGTGTAAAACTCTCTTAGAAATAGATCTCCAACAACTAATCTTACAACCTCAAATGACAGAGTAATGTGTACATTATGGATTGAATACAAACTTGAAGAATGTTAATATGGAAAATTAGAATTAGTAATGAAATACAAAGTCATTTGCCATAGAATACTGTAGCTTTCACATTTTTACTTTAAAAATTCCAGTTTACGAGAAATTTTCAAATAGAAATAATTGGGAACGTTAGATCCTTGTTAAAAAATACTCTTTTTTTTCTTTTGAGACAGAGTCTCACTTTGTCACCCTGGTGCAATCTTGGCCCACTGCAACCTCTGCCTCTCGGGTTCAAGTGATTCTCCTGCCTCAGCCTCCTGAGTAGCTGGGACTACAGGCGCCCACCACCACGCCCGGCTAATTTTTGTATTTTTAGTAGAGGCGGGGCTTCACCATATTGGCCAGGCTGGTCTTGAACTCCTGACCTTGTGATCCACCCGCCTCGGCCTCCCAAAGTGCTGGCATTACAGGTGTGAGCCACCACGCCTGGCCAGAAACATTCTTTTTGTGCTCCTCTTGGCAGCACATATGCAAAAATAGGAAAGATACAGAGAAGATTAGCATGGCCCTTATGCAAGGATGACACACACATTTATGAAGCATTTTATATTTTTATCCTTATGAAACACTCAAAGAAACGTCATTTACCACTTTTCCAGCTGCGGTGGACCAGACATTTTCCGATTTGCCTGTTTTCCCTGTCCTATTTTTGTTGTAATTTTTTTTTAATACCGCACGTACTGGTGTTCATATAAAATAAACTTGAGTAAACCAGAATTCTGTGAGTTTTGCCAGACTTTAATTGTGTTGTATTGCTTGCTTTTTAAACAAATTAATAGTGAAAAATAATTTAGCGACCTCCCAGTTGTAAACTTCTAAATGGCAGTTTGTGTCTGTATATCTCTTCAAGTCAAGCATCTGCTCAAAAGATATTGTTGATGATGTGATAAATGCAGTTTCATGAAACTTGGCAGTTCCCATAAATAATTGAATAACATAGGTTGTATTTACCTCTGTAGTGTCTAGACTAGAGGATTAGAACCATGAGTTTATAAAAATCTAGGTTGCTGTCTACACACAAATAGAATAGTATTTAAAATTGTGTTTTCCATGGGATAATGATGAAATTTTTATTGGGCCAAGTGGGTAGCTATCTGGAGAAAGGTGAGGTTGGTTTCATATCTCATACCATTCAGATAAACTCCAACCTGATCAATTAATTTTATATGATGACCAGTGTCATATTCAACAGAGTTATGACAAAGAAAGAAAGGAAGGAGAAATCAGAAAGGCAATTCAGCAAATGTCTAGTCTACCTCAGTTGGAAAAAAGTGAAAAATGATATTTTTAAGAAGGATTTCAATATACAAATATATTTGTATCTGCATAAAATGCTGAGAAACTGGAAGACATTCCTTTATAACCTTGAAGTAAGAAGGACTTTTTAACCGTGAATCAGAATCCAGCAGCCATTAAAAAAAATGATAAATTTGACTAAATTCAAATAAAGTATTTTTACCTGATTAAAAAAATGCCATAAGCAAATTCAAATGACAATCAGAGAAGAAACTATTTGCAGTGGACAGTTAACCTCCATATAAAGAGTTTCTACAAATGAATAAGAAAATGACTTTCTTATTCATTGAAGGCCAAGGCGGGTGGATCATCTGAGGTCAGGAGTTCGAGACCAGTCTGGACAACATGGTGAAACCCTGCCTCTACTAAAAATGCAAAAATTAGCTGGGTGTGGTGGTGCATGTCTGTAATCCCAGCTACTTGGGAGGCTGAGGCAGGAGAATCGCTTGAACCTGGGAGGCGGAGGTTGCAGTGAGCTGAGATCGCGCCACTGCATTCCAGCTTGGGCAACAGAGCGAGACTCTGTCTCAAAAGAAAAAAGAAAAAGAAAATGACTTGGAATACCAATAGCCTAGGCAAAGGATATGAACAGATTATCCTCAGAATAAGAAAAACATTGTCTTGGCTGGGTGCGGTGTTTCACGCCTGTAATCCCAGCACTTTGGGAGACTGAGGCAGGTGGATCACGAGGTCAGGAGTTCGAGTTTGAGACCAGCCTGGCCAACATGGTGAAACCCCGTCTCTGCTAAAGATACAAAAAATTAGCCGGGCGTAGTGGCACGTGCCTGTATCCCAGCTACTCAGAGGCTGAGGCAGGAGAATTGCTTGAACCGGGGAGGTGGAGGTTGCAGTGAGCCAAGATCGCACCATTGCACTCCAGCCTGGGTGACAGGGCGAGACTCTGTCTGAAAAAAAGAGAGAGAGAGAAAGAAATACATTGTTTTCAAACCTACCAAAAGATCTTCAGCCTTACACATAATAAGAGAATCACAAACTTAAACTGTACTGAAGTAGCACTTTTAACTTTATCAGATTGGCAAAAATTCTACAGTGTGACACTTAGAAATTGTTGACCAGTTGTGGAAACATCAGCAGTGTACTTCTGAGAGTACAGAATGGCATAACCCTCATGAAGGCCAGTTCGGCCAGTTTTCATCTATCGAGATTACAAATACAATTACCCTTTGACCCAGCAGTCTGGCTTTGGCAATTACTCCTGCAGATACATCTGAATACATATGCAGTGACCTATAGAGTAGGTGTCTCATTAGACCATTGTTTATAATAGAAAAGACTGGAAGCAATTCAAGTATCCACTGGTGAAAGACTGGTTAAATAAACTATGATCCACTTTTACAATGGAATATTGTGCAGCATTTTAAAGAGAGCATGGAAACTCTTCATACGTTGATATGGAAAGACCTCCAAGATATGTTATTAAATGGAAAAAAAACCCCACCAAAGTATAGAACCATATATAGTATGCTCCCTTTGATGTAGAAAGGAGACAAAATATGAGTCTGTAGTCATATCTGCTTGAATCCACATGAAGAAACATTGAAAGGATAAATGAAAGGAGTTCAATAAAAGTGGTTACTTTTAGTGGGTAGGTGGGGGATAGCATGGATAAGGATGTGGTGAGCAGGAAGAGGCAGGGGGCAATACTCTTCATTGTGTACTCTGTTGTATTATTTTTATATTTGAAGCCTGTAAAGTATTACCTATTCAAAACAAAAAATAAGTTACATGTCTTTACAGTTGTATTTCAGTGCCAATTCAACATATGTCCAAGGGCCAGAAATAACCTTCCTAGAGCTTTTATCATTTCTTGTTGGTACTGTTGACTACAGCCTCCTAAGTGGGTCTTGTATTAGCTGTAGTGGTTTATCTACAGTTGTGCTGTCCGTTATGGTAGTCACTGGCCACATCTGGCTTTTGAGCACTTGAAATGTGGCTAGTCTAAATTGAGATGTGCTGCACTGTGCCTGATTTAGAAGACTTAGTATGAAAAAAAGAATGTAAGCTATCTCATTTATAATTTTAAAACTCTTGATTACATGGTGAAAGATAGTAGTTTGTGTTTGAGGGGTTAAACCATATTATTAAATTAATTTCACTTGTCTTTTCTTACCTTAAATGTGGCTGCTAGGAAATTTAAAATTACATATGTGGCTTGGCCCTGTGGTTGGCATTTTACTTCTTTTGTGCAGCCCTGATGTAGCCTCCTATCCACAGTCAGCATGTCTGCCAGAATTACTTAAAAACAACAACAGAACCTACATGTGTCATTTCACTGCTTTAAAACCTCTTGCCTCCTACATGCCTACAGAGACCCTTTGTAAATAGTCTCTGAGATCCTTCCTTTAACCCATTCCCCTTCCCTGCACATACAAACGCTGCTTCTCTTTACTCCCTGGACTGCAGGCCTCTTGATAAATTTGAGTCTCTGAACACACTGTTCTTTCTGTTTGGAATGTCCTTTCACCCCCATTTTGTTGCCCAGAAAATTCCTACTCATCTATAAGCCCCGTTCACGTGGCACCTTTTTTGATGAGGCATCCCTAGTTCCCCTGTCCCATTTTCTTATAGCATCTAGTAGACCTCTGTGTTCTCACACTCATCCTCAGTACCACGGTTGTCCCCTGAAAGGTGTTGTGTCCCTCACCAGACTGGGAGCACCTCAAGGGCAGAACCCATGTCATGTTCCTTTTTGTATTTCCAGACCTGAAACTGCCAGTAAATAAACCCTAAAAGTAGAAAGAAAAAAAAAAAAACCTAAAAAGAAGTTGGTTGTATTTGGTTGACAGTACACCATGCCCAGTTTGCCTTGATGATGCTTCTGTTTGTCTAATCTATATATTGAGGAAAGCAGGCTCCAACCTGTCAGCCTTCCTTGATTAAGAATAGGCCTCTTTGGAGTGTTCTAGCTTTGAACAAGCCAGCCTCCCTGCAAGCAGAAGATTACAAACTGCAGAGATGTCAGTAGCACCAAACCCGCAGTGAGTTCTAGTTTTCAGGGCTGTGTTCAGACTGGAAGATGGGAATTATCTGTGTTCTGTTCAGAGAGCAGAATTCTCCAGGCTGGCCAGGTGCCTGCGTTTGCAGAAGGTAAAGGTAGCAGGTGGTTGCCAGAAGGTGAAAGCATCAGTGGAGCATGGCCAGCTCCAAGGAGGCAGTGAGCTGGAATAATGAAGTTCTCCACAGTCTGGTCTGTGGGATCTTACTTCGGTTACCAACTCCGTGGAAAGTTATTCTTGCTTGTTAATATTCCCATTGTCCTTCTCTTCTGTTGTGTTAAGCTTTTGTTCTAAAAAGAAATGAAGAATAATAAACAATACCCAAACTATGTGGAGTAAAGATTTTTGGAAGGAAAAATTAGAATTTTGCAAGAAACTTCTCTCTTTAGCAAAGTAAACTGAAAGGGCCTGTGTTTACCCTCCAAGATTTTAGAAGCATTATTGCCATTGTTCAGAATCTACTTATTTCATATATAGAGATCCGGATATTTTCATCAGGTAAAGCTTCCTGTGCAGCTCTCATAATCAGCTGAATGAGGAGCTCTTTCTTTAGCAAAATTTTGAGAGCTAGTAGTGTAGTAGAAAGTACAGTACCTTCAGTGGCTAGAAAAACCAGTCTGAACCTAGGACTGTCACTACGTAGTGGTGTGGACTTCGCAAGCTACTTCACATCTTTAAGCCCTCATTATTGAGTAAAATGAGGCTTAAACACATCCTAAGTTATAGGCATTACAAGAGGTGAATGAATGCAGGGGCCTAGCACTGTGCCTGGTCCATAGTAGGTTTTGGTAAATAGGAGTTATAGCTCCGATATGAATACAGATTTTCTTCTGCAGGTATCTGGTGTTGAATAACCAGGTGAGAACGCCCAAGGTCAGAGAGGAGTATGTCCTTTCGTAGTGGGCAGACTGTGGTGAGTGAGTGCTCCTCAGCAGCAGTGTTAGTAACTGTTCTTCAGAGCCTCACCACTAGCCCAGGGAGAGAGGACAGGAGCAGCTGGGTAAAGGAGTCGGGACACGTGGGTTGGAGAACTGGCTTTGCCATTAGTTAGTCCCATGAGGATTCACTCTGCCTCCTTGGTCCTGTTTGTAAAACGAGGCTGGCGATCATTTCCATCTCTAAATACTGTAGTCTGTCGCCATAAAGCAACAGAATTGGGCCCCCAGAAGTTACACTGCCTTGTTTGTAGGATACCGATTCAACAGGCCGGACTCTGAGAACGAACCTGGATGTTGCACAACAAGGCTGTGTCATCTCTGAATGCCCTGAACTGGAGGCGGGTTCCCATTTCCCCTTCGAGATTATGTCCAGAGGCGCAGGTCATCTTTCCAGGCTCCATTCCCCTTGTTCTGCTTTCATATTCTCCTGAGCTTGACCTGGTTCAGTTTCTCCCTGGAGAGGCTCACTATTTTTTCTGGGGTTGAGATCCTCGTCATTCTTTTGACAAGAGATACAGAATCATCATTTTTAAGAGGAAGTTTATCAGCAGGCTGTTTTTAAAAGTGAGTTTTGTGCTTGATACAAATTTTTATGATGTTTGCTTTCTCTTAAGCACTCGAGGTCTGTACGGTCAGCCTTCTTTGCCTCATTTGCTCCCCTTCCTCCCCTGCCTCCCATCTTATTTGACTGCTAACCTGGGCGGGCCCACCATTCATTCTTGTTTGAGACAGATGAACACAGTACTTTGTATGCCTTATGACCAGATAATTCAAGCTGACAGTAATCAAGTTTGGGGCTAATTATCATTAAAAGGTAATTTCATTGCTGCCCATAATTGATCTTATCTTAAACCAATTGTAGCATTTCTTTTGTCACATGATTTAAAAATTTAAAAAAAAATGCTTTTGGCAATAAACTTTTGAAAACAGATTTTCTACACTCAGTTCTTTTTAAAACCAACTTTACAAACTTTAAGTGTGCTCTTATTAATGTGATTTGTCTGCTTTGTAATATTGCATATTCAAAATAAAAAGAAAATGGAGACAGTTCATCACTGAAATGGATGTTACAAAATCAGCATCTGGTTTGAATAATGAGTCTTCTGGTCCAAGTTTTGCTTCAGTGAATGAAACTAATGAAACTGGCCTCCATTGTTATGTCAGTGACTTCACCTCCACTAACTTTTGGTTTCTTTCCGTTGCCAATTTGGAGGCCACTAAGGTTTCTTCAGAAAGTTCTTTCCTAGTGGTATTTGTTCTAAGTAACTCTGGGACAGCCAAGTATCTGTCACCAGCAGGGGAGAGGCGAAGACACCTCATGATCATAAAATCATAGGTTTGGGACGTTTCAAGTATCCTTTGCCACCAGTCAAGCTCTGGAAACAAAAGCAAAGTGAAAAAACAGCTCTAGAGTTGGAACGATTAAAAATTAGATGTTGGTATAGCACCATAATACTACACAATTCTAGGTCAGGCATATAGACAGCTGTCCCAAGTCTTGTTTCTTCCTTGAACTCTGATGCTTGCAGAAATATGGTTGTACCTGGGAAATGATCACCCTGGCTGCAAGGCACAGAGCCACCCTACTTCTCCTGCTGGTAACACATACACACATGCACATGCATGCATGCTGCATGCACACACACACCCCTGGGAAGTCTCCTGAAGGTAAATACACTGTTGTTGTTATTAGGTTTTCTGATCCATAGGTATCTATGCTAATAATAAGTAACAATATCCTCTAATACTTACAGAGCACTTTTTGATTCATCATTTGATTTGGCCTTCAGAAAACCACTTTAAGATGAATAGCATAGATTTTATTATCCGCCTTTTACTGAGGAACCTCCTCAAAGAAGCATTGTGACTTATTCAAAGACATAGCTATCATGTGATAGAAAGCGATGATATTTTATAAAGGCCTAGTTTTATATTTTACCATAAAACTGAAGGAAAATCCTTTATTGCATGTTCTTCCTCAATAAAAAGCTCACCAAATGAATTAATAAACAAACACATAAATAAAATGTAACAAAACCCTAATAAATAAAACAGAACCCTAAAGAGAAATGTCTTCAGTGGTCAGAAAGTAGAAACATGGAAGCAAATGAATATTTTCTGTTTGTTACTTCTGTGCCTATAACCAGATGTGGCAAGGATGCAGGCAAGCCTACGGTAGATTTGCAATAAGTATTTATTTAACTTAACTGGATTAGCATTACTTTGCTAAGTAGGAAAACAACAGACTATCCCTTTATCTATGAATACTTTGATACTCGGGTTGTATCAAGCATAAAATAGACCAAGATTTTCTATGAATTCCTTACTTTTCTTCAGCCAGATCTAGTTGTCTACTGTAGCAGAGTCCTCAGGAAACTCAAAGCCAGAAAATCAGGGTCGTTTGTCCATCTTGTTGACCAGATTGCAAGCATTTTCCCCCACCCTAGTTTTTAATTTTAAATGTATTACCAGTGGTAGTTTTTACTGCTATCTTTACAAAAATAAGAGGCGAACAAAACTTTTGGATGGAATTAGAAGTCCCTCCCAGGCAAGGCTCCCAGGTTGCGAGTGTGATTTTAGGTGACTGAGATATCATGCTACCCTGTGGCCAGCCATGTGGGCACATCACCACGTCTTAGTCTTCAGGACACTGAGGCAGAAAGCACCGTCCCATTCACACCTTGGTAACTGAACTCTAACATCTCAGCCTGAGAATCCTGGATTTTTTGCTTATTTGTTTTTAAACTAACTTTTCTTTTCCTTTCCTTTCCTTTCCTTTTCCTTTCCTTTCCTTTCCTTTTCCTTTCCTTTTCCTTTTCCTTTTCCTTTTCCTTTTCCCTTTCCCTTTTCCTTTCCCTTTCCTTTTCCTTTTCCTTTTCCTTTCCTTTTCCTTTTCCTTTTCCTTTCCTTTTCCTTTCCTTTCCTTTCCTTTCCTTTCCTTTCCTTTCCTTTCCTTTCCTTTCCTTTTTCTCTCTCTCTTTTTTCTTTTTTTGATGGAGTCTCACTCTGTCGCCCAGGCTGGAGTGCAATGGCGTGATCTCGGCTCACTACAACCTCTGCCTCCCAGGTTCAAGTGATTCTCCTCCCGCAGCCTCCCAAGTAACTGAGATTACAGGCACACACCACCACACCCAGCTAATTTTTGTATTTTTATCAGAAATGGGGTTTCACTGTGTTGGCCAGGCTGGTCTCGAACTCCTGACCTCAGGTGATCTGCCCACCTTGGCCTCCCAAAGTGCTGGGATTACAGGTGTGAGCCACCATGCCCGGCCTAAACTTTCTAATTATAATTCTTTTCAGTTGATTCTTTTCCTCTTGACCAGTCTTTTAAAATTTTAACTCTTCAGGAGTCAAATGAATGTTTTCCTTTTTATTGATAAATGTGTGTGACGTGCAACTGTTCCTTAAAAAAATATCTAGTGTAGTTTGTAATGTAACCTTTGCAGCTTCATTCTGAGTTCTTTTCTGACAACTTCTCGTTGGATACTACTACTTTTTTAAATTCACTTAGGCTGTTTAGGATTCAAGTCTTCATATGCCCATCTCTTTTGGCTTGGCTGATTCTCTCTTCAGTTGTTGGCCCTGTTTGGCCTTCGGGAGATGAGGCAAGGTGAGTGCCCTCCATCCCCGCAGTCTCTCATGGCTAATACTGAACAGGGGTTGGCAGAGTGGGTGATGGAAGGACCATTATTTAGCAGCCTATTGACAGAGTGAGTCCCAGTTCAGCCATTCACTAGCTCTATTATCTAGGACTAGTTAATTTGTACAAACCTTAGTTTCCTTGTGTGTAAAATGAGTTAAGTAATAGCCATTTCACAGTGTTGAGGATGGATTGAGATGGTATAATTGGAAGTGCTTTACAGTATTCAGTGCTATTGTTATTACAGATGTTTTTTTCCTGGGCAGGTGGTTGATATACCTTGAGAGAGCGTTTATGGGTTATCAGATGAAATATGTAGGCATGCGGCGTATCAGTTACCTGAATAAGGAAGAGGATAGGCTGGTTTTTAAATTATTATTTTTTTAAATTTCAATTTTATTTTTCCCCGCTTTATTGAGGTATCACTGATGAATTAAAAGTGAATATATTTACCATATACAATGTGATGTTTTGATATATGTCGACATTGTGGAATGATTACCAGAAACCAGCTAATTAACTGACCCATCACCTCACATAGTTATCTTTGTGTGTGTGGTGAAAACATTGAAGACCAGCCCTCTCACCAGCTTTCAAGTATGTAAAACAGTATTGTTAACGATAGTTACTGTGCTATTAATTACATCCCCAGAATTATTCATCTTATAACTGGAAGTTTATATCCTTTAGCTAATGGCTTCCTATTCCTCCTCCAGCCATCCACCCCCAGCCCCTGGCAACCACCATTCTAATTCTACCCTCTGTTTCTATGAGTTCGACTTTCTTAGTTCCCACATATAAGTGAGATCATACAGTACTTGTCTTTCTGTGTCTGACTTTTTCATTTAGAATAATGCCCTCAAGGTTCATTCATGTTATTGCAAATGGCAGTTTCCTTTTTTTATGACTGAATAATTTCCATTGTGTATGAATACCACAATTTTTAAAATCTGTTTATCCATCGATGGACACTTAGGTTGTTTCCATGGCTTAGCTATTGAGAATAATGCGTCAGTGAACACAGGAGTGCAGGTATCTCTTTGAGATACTGATTTTTTGTTCTTTGGGCATCTATCCAGAAGTGGGGTTGCTGGATCACACAGTAGTTCTGTTTTTAATATTTTGAGGCACCTTCGTACTGTTTTTTCCATAGTGGCTATACCAGTTTACATTCCTGCCAACAGTGCACAAGGGTTTCATTTTCTCCACAGAGGACAGGCCCTCCTTGATCAGGCTGCCTCATGGGATGATCAGATCCGTAAGAAACTGAGCAAGTGAATGTTAGAGGAGCAGAGAGAACTGGCAGGGAAGAGTAAAGACAACATGAGTTGTTTTGATTATAGAGAGATGAGCTTGGAAACCAAGGGCAGGGGCTATCCTGCCACCAAAATGTAATAATAGGAGCACCATGACGAGGCTCCTCATTTGAAACTAGGATGCCAGTGACCTTGGGGACTGAATGAATTTGGCATTGCTGGAAGGGTAAGCATGAAGAGAGGTTGGAAGGTTAATCCAATCGGGGCATTAACTGGGCCTGGATATGACTGTCTCGACTAGGAAAATGTAATGCCAAGTCCAGTGCCTGGCAGAGCAAGGGCTGAGGAAATACTTGTTGAGTGACTCAGTGGGTACAATAAAGATAGTGCAGAGAACCAGTTGCAGAATTGAGGTTGTGTTGTCACACTGCCATCTGGAAAAGCCTGTCCTCTGAAGAAGAGAGTTACTGCATCCCACCCCCCAGGTCTGATCAGTGGGCCTCTGGGACCTGGGAGCTCATTGTTTTAGCCGTGATGGAGCAAATGCCTTCTGAGCTCAGGGAAGTGAGGCGTGCCTGGGTGTGGTGCTGGATCCTAAGCCTTTACGCTTATGTCTCTGGTTTCATTTGTAGGCCACCATTTATTTTGGTTTTAATAAGTCATCTCTGTGAAAATGCTTTAGGTCCATCGTAGGGTCTGTAAAGTGGAACTCCGTATGCATTCTCTGGCAGTAAACTACATTAGATATGTGTGTCTAACAACGGAAATGGTGTCTCTGTGTATTCTTTCCTTTGAACCACTATTGAATGGCATTTTGTTCTGATAATGTTGTAACCTGTGAGGTCCTTATGTCCTCATTTTGTGTATGTGCCTTGGGTTGACTACGTTCACTTAATTTTGCCTTGTTTCTGTTGGTCTGCCATGGTGGCCTCTGGCTTAGATAGCTACAGTGTAATTTTTGGCTTGAGAAGTTGAAGCCCATGGAGACACTAGATTCCTATATTCCTGGCTGTTTCATGCTGTATGTCATGAAACACATCTCCAGTTTAGGTTTCATCAATTTGGAGGGAGAAGCACAGTGAGTACAGATACTGAGAACATTCTCAGCGCCCCAAAGCACTTTAGTAAAGTACATCTGATACCAAGGTGTTCCTGGTTGTATTCTCCACAGGTGACTTGCCTCAGCTACTATATGGGCTCACATTTCTGTAGTAGGTCATGGTTTTTGAAATACACAAAAGTGCTTCAAGAGACTGGTTGTAAAACTCTGCCCATGATGAGAAATACCTTCAAGATACTTCACTCACTAAGTGCTGGAAACGTACTCTAGTGGGATGTTTGTGGATTGGTTGGTGTTTGAGGGACAAATATAAAGCACACCTGTAAAACTGGGAGAATCAGGTGGCAGATTAATTCGATGTTGGCAGCTTGAGTCATCAAAGCTTAGATGCTTCTGCTGCAATTAGGAATTTGTAGTCACTTTGTTCCCTCTTCCAGAAATAAAGAACCGAGGTATAATTTACATAATTTTCCTGAACTCAAAATCTGTGAGGAACCAAGGCAGTCCTGTAACTAACTCTCAGATTCCTCCAGTTCCAGCCTTGTGCTAGCCCACTAGACCATGGGGCCTGCATGGAAGATGAAAGTGTAAAAGTCTGAACCTGTGTTTCCTAAGTCAGTGGAATGCTGTGTCTCTTGCTTATATATATAGTACAGTATTTCCTATCGGGGTGCATGGTGCTCACAGCTGAAAGGAGTATTTATATGCAGCCTTCAGAGGTATGCTTGGTATGAAAACCGTAAGTGATCTGCCTCACTGGTTTGTTTAAAATTCTCAAGCATATTGCTATCCTAACATAGCTTTTATTCACTGCATCTCCTTTGCAGTGGAGGGAAATGACCATATGGTGAATGAAAAATATACTGGACTTGATCCCCATAGCAAGAAAGGCCTATAATGTTTATGTTAGAAGGTGATCCTGTGTTTCTTCTGCTTGGCAGAAGGCTTGGGTGTATAATGAGGTATTAACACGTGTCAGATCCTGTGTCTCCCTAGAACTCGCTGTTGTCTTGTAACACTTGAGTTCTATTTATTGAAATGATGACATGTGGTAATTGGGACGTTGCTGCTCAGCAAGCCAGGTGCATGTCTGCGTCAGAGGTTGTTGGGAGAGTGGCTATTGGAACATTAACTCCAGATTTCCTGACTTTTGTGTGATGAAAATATCAACCCCAATGTGGAGTTAAACCAATACCAAAAGCAAGTGAAAAGAAAAACCATTGCTCTTCGGAAGGAAAAATGCCACATCAACAATACTAGGGGATTTATTTGTAATCCTTTGGTCTGATATGGATTCATTTATTTTCTCTAGTTTTACTATCATAAATAAAGCATTTTAAACGCTGAAATAACCTGTAAGACAGCATTCACAGTGAAGGTTATTCTTGTTACCTACTGAAAACCTCCACATGTGCTTGGATTGGATCCTAGCAGAACCGATCGTGAGCTTGCCAGTGTGTCATCCTTAAAACAGTTTCCCATGCTACCTCATTTTTCTTGGGAATATGTTGTTATTCCTGGAAGAGAGTCCAAATGCAAAATAGCTTTTTGTTTGTTTGGTTTACTTTTAATGAAGAAAGAAGCCACGGTTGATGAGGATGAGATGCTGTGTGCTCATCGAGTCACTTTGATAAAGTGAGAAATGAAAGCTTTTTCTGTAGCCGCTTGTATAATTCTTTCTGATAGACTCTTCCTCTTGCGTCTGTGGTAACACAGACTCAATGCAATGAGATGAGAGGAGCAAGTCAAGCTTGGTATGTTGCTGACAGGCAAAATCTTACAATTAAGCTGATTAAGTCTTAAATCGGTCAGTTTCCCACTTTGATATTAGGGTATTTAACAGGATATAATTTTATAAGTTGCTTCTTTCTAAAGGAGCCTTAGGGTGTGACGAAGGAAATCCTTTTGTCAAACTAAAAGGTGAACTCAGTGCAGCTGCCTTCCTATCAACTCTGCGCATTCCTGAAATAGGGCAGGCATTGCTGCTGGGCTCAAGTGTCCCAAGGTGCAGTTTTATCCACTCGAAAACCGTTATGTGTTCAGCTCAATTAGATTAATTACCTTCCTCACCAGGAGTCACAATGCTTTGCAGTTTATCTGCGGTAACTAAATGTTAGTTTTGTAAGTAAAAGGTACTGTTATTGACCTCGAAAGGGCTATAGTTCCTTTGAACTTACAGAGAAGAGTTCCAAACAACTATTTCTAACCAAGATGGAATATGGGTCAGCAAAATTGTCTTCAGGTAGAGTTTTCTACTTGCCAAGAGACTTTGGCATTGAGAGGAGAGTTCTTGTTTGTTTTTTTTAACTCTGTATCATTTCTGTTTGGTGTCTCTAAAAAAAAATCCGGACATGTCATAACCTAACATGCAGTTTTCTGTATCTCCTAGAGTTACTGGCATATTTTAAATACTCTTGGTTTCCAGATGAAGATCTCTGAGCTGAACCCAAGCTATTGTCTATTGAGAGGTCACACAGAAATCCACCTCGGGTGAGACATGGTTGTTTCATGAGGGCTAAGCAAAAGTCAAGGGCAGAGTCTTCTACCCTGAGCTGCCTTAGGTTAAGTGGTATACTATTTCTGATGCACAGTAAAGAAAGAATAGGCACTGTTTGCACTCTTCGGTGATGACGTTTAATCTTTTAATCTCCCCTTATTCTTCCCCATGGGAAGACAAAAATGGGAAGATTCAGATAATTATTTGT
Source organism: Homo sapiens (assembly GCF_000001405.40). Taxonomy (NCBI): domain Eukaryota; kingdom Metazoa; phylum Chordata; class Mammalia; order Primates; family Hominidae; genus Homo; species Homo sapiens. The sequence goes on along the minus strand of NC_000007.14, from coordinate 28,104,754 downwards.
AGGGTTGGACATTGAGTGGGTCTGCGAACCTAATACGTTCCAGAATCCTAATGTTGTAGGAATTCTCAGTTACCAACCTTGGTACTGAAATAAATAAAGTAGGAGGGAGGTGGAGAATCACAGGTCAAGCATGAATAAGGCCACATCTGGCAGAACTGGGACATATCTTCAATACAACAGTGATAATAGTAACACTATCCACATGTTTATCTAAGTGACAAATTATTAAGTAGTTACATTTACATTCCTTATTTTGTGGGCTTCTTATGTAACTCAGACATGTAAGGGCAGGTTGTTAAATCCTATTTGTTTATTCAGTAAACATTTATTGAGTGCCTAGTATTTGCCAGGCCCTGTCCTAGGTACAAAGGATACAATTGGGAACAAAACAATAAAGAAATCCTGTTTTTGTGGAATTTATGTGTTAGCTGTAGGGAGACAGACCACAAATAAATGAAGTGAGTGAAACAAAAGTTATGTTGGGAAATGAAACTGCCATGGAGAAAAGTAAGATAAGGAAAGTGGAGAGGGGGAGTGTGGGGTTGTCACAGTACTACCTAGGGTGGCTGGGGAGTCGCCCCAGGGAGAAGACATTTGAGTAATGACCTGCAGGAAGTGGGAAGGTGGCCAGCTGGGAGAACAGCATTCCAAGTAGAGGGAACAGCTCGGACTGGGGCCCTGAGGTGGGAGCCTGCCCGGTGTGCTGGAGGAACTGCAGGGAGGCCAGTGGGGCTGGAGTGAGTGAGAAAGAGGGCAGGGGGAGATAAGGTCGTGGTGGGCACCCACGTAGGCCAGTTTGCGCTTTTGAGGCATTTACTCTCTGGGAGATGGGGAGCCAGTGGCCCTTGAGAAGAGGAGGACAGGATGGATGAATGGGTGCTTTCATAGTGTGACTCTGGCTGCAGTGTCTCGAGTAGACTGGAGGGGACAAGGGTGGAAGCAGGGAGACTGATTAAGAGGGGATTGCAATAGTCCAGTAACAAGATAACCAGTGGTCCTGGTCCAGGTGGTAGTTGTGAAGGTGGTGGGAAGTGGTAGAGTTCTGGGTAGATTTTAGAGATAAGGTCAACAGGTTTGGTTTAGGTATGAGAGAAAGAAAGAAACCAAGGATGACTCCAGAGTGGTTGACCTGAACAACTGGAAGGATTTGGTTGGCATTCGCTAAGATGAGGGTGACTGGCTGGAGGAAGTTTTGGAGGAAGATGGAAATCAGGATCTCTGTTTTGGCCAGGTTAAGTTTGCGATGCCTGTTGGATGCCAAATGATAATCTTCAGTGGGCAATTAAAAAAAAATATTTTAGAGATGGATCTTGCTCTGCTTCCCATGCTGGAGTGCAGTGGCTTTTCAGAGGCGCGATCATAGTACACTACAGCCTCAAACCCCTGGCCGGCCTCAAGGGATCCTCCCACCTCAGCCACCTAAGTAGCCAGAACTATAGGTAAATACCACCATGCCCAGCATCCAGTGGGCAATTTTTGATATTCACTTCTGGAGTTCAGGAGAGAGGTCAGGACTGAAGATAGGCATTTGGGAATGGTGGGCATTAAAACAATAGACTGGATGAGATCCGGGAACCAGTAAAGGAGACCAAGAAGGAGGGACCACCGAGGTGGAAGGAAAAGCCAGGAGGGAGTGACCTGGAAGCCAAGGCAGAGTGTTCCAAGGAGAAGGGACTGGTCATCCCTAGCAAGTGTTGCCACTGGGGCAAAAATGGTTACATCAATCGGTCGTAAGCTGAGGCCCAAGATGAGTGACTCACCGAGGGCTGTGGCTGGGGAAGAGCTGAGTTAGGGCTCAAGGTCAAGTTCACTTTCTCTCTGCCATGAGAGTCCTCTGGCTGTGCTTGACCTTTGAGTGCTGTTTTATGTCATCGTGTTCTTTTGCATTGGAGGTGGTATTGTGTTTGTACTAGTTCTGATATTTTAGCAGCAGTATCTTATGATTTTGTTTTTCAGTATGTATGAAAATTTTGATTTCTCATATTTTTATATAACTATGGAGTGTATGCTCACTATAGAAAAATTAGAAAAACAGAGAAGCAAAAGGAAAGACAAAGCTGTTGATTGTAGTTAAACCACTCAGAACCTACCATGTTTACAAATCAGTATATGTCCTTTCAGACTTTTTTTCAACCACATATGCAGACATTTTTTTTCAAAAAATGAATTTGTGCTAAATATTATATACCCCTTTTCACCAACTATGTATAATAAGTATACATTGTTGTATTTTTTTCTCAGATAGTGCCTGGATATTTATGATATGGTTTGCAAGGTCATGGTGATAAGAAATAACCTAGGGACTGCCAATGAGAACAAGCCCAGAAATCAGAGAGTGATACTTATGGGAATCGTTTCTATTCACAGAGCCTTAAGCATGCTCTGGGCGCTATCGCCAGGCATTTTATTCACAATATGTCTTTTAATTCTCACAATAGTCCTGTGAGGTGTAGCTGTTACTGTTTCCACTTTTGTAGCAAATGCCCTAAGAGATAAAGACATTTGCTTGTGGTTACCTTGCAGCAAATGTTGGAGCAGGGATGGATTTGGTCCATCTCTTATCTCTTTCTGTGTTTCAGATTTGAGCCCAGGCTAAGCTGTCCCTCCAGCTGCCTGCCTCTGCATTGTCCCTTGGGGGTGCTGGGCAATCAGGGTGGTGGCACAGGCTGGGAGGGGTTGTTGGTGCCCTGCCTCCCACTCAGGGTGGTACCACTCCCCAGTTCTGCCACTGAGACATGTCTGATGAGGCACCATTTATTCCTCTGTGGTTCATAAGACAACGTGTAGAAAATTAGCATTTTATCCCTCTAGCTGTATTCTGTTAAAAATATATCTAAAAGCATCCCATGCCGTATTGATCCCTTTTGAGCTAAGAAAAAAAAATGGCATTTCCGTCAAGCAGTTAAATTGTATTTGTTTTTGTTTATTTGTTTGTTTGTTTTCTTTACAGATTCTCAAGTACACCAAGCGCACACTTAAAATGGGCTTACATTTTATTTTATTTTGTTTTTGAAACTGAGTTTTGCTCTATCACCCAGACTGGAGTGCAGCGGCAGGATCACAGCTCACTGCAGCCTCAACCTCCTGGGCTCAAGCAATCCTCCCTCCACAGCCTCCCAAGTAGCTGGGACTACAGGTGTGCATTACCATGCCAGGCTTTTTTTTTTTTTTTTTTTTTAATATAGAAATGAGTCTCATTATGCTGTCCAGTCTGCTCTCAAACTTCTGGCCTCAAGCAGTCCTCTACCTCAACCTCTCAAAGTGCTAGAATTACAGGCATGAGCCACCATGACTGGCCAAAACTGTAAATGTGTCAGAATCTTCTGTGATTCCCTTTCAGCCCTTCTTGGGCACCCTAGTCTTCTTAGATATTCTTACAGTAGAATCAATATATAACATAATATACGTAATAATATATAACACGTTGTATAACTGTGTGTCTGTGATGGAGGTGTGTTTAATATGTGGTATACAGCAAGAGCTAAAACATTGAAAAGCTGTAGTGGCAGAAATATCAGATTGATTGTGTTTGAAGTCACAGTTGTGGTATTATTTACAAAATTAATGTGGCACGATGAGGATAAAAAAAGGGTTCCACCTGTATTTCCAATGCCTCTATTGTTATCTGGAATGCTGAAGGAATGCTTATGTCATTAAGTCACTAAATATGCTTCAAAGCAGTTCTGAAAATGTAAACTTCATAAAAATCACTATGATATTTTTATCTTTTTAGGTGCTTAGATGACATGATCTATAAATAATTCCTATCACCAGCTCACTGTTAGATGGAGAATTTATTCTTTATCCAGAGTGGATGAGTGCTGCCTAAAGTTTTGTTTTGTTTTTTCCAGTTTTTAACCCAATACAAAATACAGTGTAGATGCACAGATGCCTCAAACCTATTTCTTGGTGGCCCCATGACCACCTACCACAGACTTGGTCCAGCTATTCTTTGGATTCTTCTTTTCCAGACACACCTTTGCTTCTCAGAATTTCAGCACATTTTTAAAGCAGTGCATATGGATGGTGGTCTTGTGATTCTGTTTTCTTTTCCTTTCTTATACTTCTTTAAGTTTGAGTCTAGAGTGATCAGAATGTGAAGGCACTTCTGTGATGGGTTAAGTTAAACTGAGCCATTTTGTAGGACACTAATCATGTTGCTCATAGAGCCTTAACTTACAGGACTGTAAATTAAACTTGCAGAATCACGCTTAGCATTGAGAAGTTGTCTGAGATATAATTCCATCCATCTGAAAGTACCTCTTCCTGCTGGTAAATGGAGACCTCCTCATTTAATAGGGATTATATCTTGTTATTATTATATATATATGTATATATATATGCTCTACCTGAACAATCAGTAGTTTGAAAAATAAAACTTTTTTGATTTGGATTTGCAGTGATTTACTTTATACAAGTTTTAGGCGAGCTCAGAGAGATGCTAATCTAAAACCCAGAGTTCATGTAAGGATTGTGGTTTATAGAAATGCTCTTATGTATTGGTTTAGTAATCCTGGTTTATAGTTTATTTTGAACTTGATTTATGAACAGAAGTATTACTCTCATTTATTAAGGCTGATGGGTTTCTCTCCCCACCCTCTCTTCAGAACTTTCTGCTTTGTCCTTTCTAATAAATTTGGGAGTGTGGAACACACTGTCCATGATTCTTCCTTCCAACATTAGATTTTAGACTAATTAACAGAAGAAAGCAAGCATCTTTCAAAAACTTGACTTTAAGTACTTGGGTATATATAATCAGGACCATTAAAAAGAACACGATGTTTAGTGCATCTCTCTTCTCTTAGTGAGCACAGAAACTTCTCTTGGCTGTTTCCAGTGTTGAGGCAGGCCAAGTATAGCTCCAAGCACTGAAATCTTGGAGACTAAAAGGCCATATCTTTTTGTAGGAAAGTGAGGACCCCTTCTTGTTCATCAGTTCTGTTTTTGTCACTGGTTAGCTTTTAAAAATATGTTTAAAAGGCCAGGCGCGGTGGATCGTGCCTGTAATCCCAGCACTTTGGGAGGCTGAGGCAGGCAGATCACCTGAGGTCGGGAGTTTGAGACCAGCCTGACCAACATGGAGAAATCCCGTCTGTATTAAAAATGTAAAATTAGCAAGGCATGGTGGTGCATGCCTGTAATCCCAGCTACTTGGGAGGCTGAGGCAGGAGAAATGCTTGAACCTGGGAGGTGGAGGTTGCGGTGAGTCGAGATCGCTCCATTGCATTCCAGCCTGGGCAACAAGAGCGAAACTCTGTCTCAAAAGAAAAAAAGAGTTAAAAGGCTGTTCCATCTTGCATACTCCTCTCCCCCATGTTGGTGAGATTCCAAAGTGTAGAAGTTTTAACTTTTCTAAGCTGGAATTTATTAGCTGTAAAAAAAAAAAGAAAAAAAAAAGCTTTTTAGTCTTGCTGGAAGTTGTGAACAGACAATGAAAATTTCATAGAATTTTTTTTAGTCAGACTGAATACATATTTAAGAAATAAGTATCAAATGCTAAAGAACATTGGAATTTGGGGATGGAGATGTGGCCGACTGTCATCATAAGAGACAAGATACTGGACATTTGAACAAAGTACACTATCCTCTTTGAAATGAAGAGGAAGGTTTCCATTCCATACTACAAATAATCCCCACATTATTCTAAGTCACATTGGCTAACATGCCAGCAATAATAGAAAGTCCCAAGAAAGTGGTGCTGGCATCCCTCAGTCCTAGTGCTAACTTTGCCCTGATGCTTATTAGGAAAAGGTAGAGTAGCCCATGGATGCCTATCATGGCCCGAGAGAGAGAACATTTAATTCAGAACATTTTGCTTTGTTTTATGAATAATCCCAGACTAGGAGTTGGGCATGACTAGCGGACCTCCCTTTATGGACTTTCTTGTTGCACTGGAGGATGGTCATAGTTCTGTCCTCAGAGTGTTTTCCTGATGGTCAGATGAAATGTTGTGCATGATATGCTTAGCACAGTGCCAAACATGTTGTCAGTACACAGTCAGTGTTAGCGGTTACCATTACCATCGTAATTACTAATCATTTCTTACCATCAAATGCTTAGTTGTGAGTCTAGCATTCATTTCTCCTCAGTGGGACACATTGTGAGGCATCCCAGAGTTCAAAGGAGCTAGAATCTAGTTGCACTTTAGATAAAGGAGACTCTGAAATAAAAAGTGAATAATGTTCCATTCTGAACCAGAATTTACATTTTACTGGGGAGATTATGATTGAGTGCTATTTGTTTAGTAATGCCTCTTGGTGGTCGCTGTATACCTCCTATGTGCCAGGCACTTGGCTAAGTGCTAAAGGCATAAAGATGAAGAAGACGTACTTGGTCCTTGCACTCAGGAAGTGTCTTAGGTTGAGCTGCTACAACAAAATACTGCAGACTGTTTGGCTTACACACAATCATTTATTTCCCACAGTTCTGGAGGCTGGGGAATCTGAGATCAAGGTGCTGGCCGATTCACTTCCTGGTGAGGGCCTGCTACCTGGTTTGTGGATAGCTGTCTTCTCGCTACGTCCACATATGTCAGGGAGAGAGGGAGAGGGAGAAGAAAAACTCTCTGGTTTCTCTTCTTATGAGGGCACTAATCCCATCCAGAGACCCTCATGACCTGATCATCTCCCAAAGGCTTCACTCCAAATATCATCACATTGCGGATTACAGATTCAACATAGGAATTTAAGGGGACACAGACATTCAGTCCATAGTAGCAAGCTTAAGGTTTCTGGGGTCTAGAGACAAAATGTTCCGTTTTGTGTGCTTCAGTTTCATCATGAGATTTAATAATAATAACTACGTTATGGAATGGTTTGAGAATTTAATGAGTAGCCTGGAGCTGGGCACCCCTGTGCAGAAGTGCATAGTGTTCTGGGTTTGGTTAAAGCAGATTGCTGTGTGGCTGCTGGGAGTCATGGCATTTCCAAGATTTACCTCTTTCCTGTCACCCTCCCATTTCTACATGCAAAATGACCTCCCAGACTCTAGCAGGCCTGTGGCTGCCACCTTTCTTTTTAGCTCCCCGAACCTTCCCCTTCATTCAGCTACCTGAAATCCCACCTCCTCCCAAAGGACTTGCTGACTGATTCGTAGACAGCTGTGATTTCTTCTTGCCCCACCCTTTATATATCCAGCTCCTTCAGCTCTCCCATTTCTTGCTTCAGAACACAATGTAGGTCCATTCACTTAAGTTAATGTACCTGTGTTGTTCTATTGTATCAATGTGTGTGACTTCATCTATTTTAGGAAACAAGCTCTGAGGCAGGAATTTGGCTTAACTAATTTATACAGGGCTTAGTAAAAGGCTCTGTGGAATTAGAGACACCTAATAAATGCTTCAGACTTTTGAATTGATGCTGTAATCATTTTAATGGAGGCTGATGTTGTATGTGTTTAAACAAATGGCATGTTTTCCAGCAACATTCTGGCAAATTAGCAGCATCTAAATTTAAAAAAAAAGTCTGTACTTAGAAAATGAATTTTGTAAACTGTGGTAACATGCAGTTATTTATTGCTGAGCTGATTTAAGCAGAGGCCCAAATGCAGTGGTGGGAGCCAAGATTTCATTTTTTGCAATATTTGTTTTCTGAAAAGTTGGTTAGTGTGGCAGAGGTTGGGTGGGAAAGTGGGGGTGGGGGGTGATTTAAAGGCATTATTGTTAACTTAATGCATATTTTAAAGAGTTAGTTAAAAACCCTTTATATTAGGTTAGCAGGTGTGATTTGGCACCATTTCTTTCTACACATGTGCCCTTTTCATTAGGAATGTGTGCCTGATGTGGTGCAGATGGCATTTAAGCCACTTGGTAATATTTTCCACAACCTGTTCTTAGTAATTAGGCTTGAATTTGCTGTTTCAAAATACTGAACGTCTTTTGGCAACTTTGTAAAAACGAAGGAACTTGAAATGTGGTCAGTATACCAGCAGAGGGCAGTGTAAGCCAGTGTTTCATTTGCAGTCAGCTTCCCACGGCCATGGCTGCTTTTCCACACCCCAGAGCTAGAATGTTCCCATTACTTTATTTGAGATATAGATGCAATTTGAGAATTAAAAAAAAAATTGCAAATGAAAAAGTTAAAAAATAGTCTCTTATTGGCCATCTTGTAGTAAGAAGATAAATTGTTCAGAACAGATTTGAGCTGCAGTTCTGTTTTATGAATTTTTCCTTGAATCGTCTATCAACATGCATGAATGATTATGTGAAAAGTGTAGTTCTTATGTAAATCATTTTGCTAATGCACTTAAAAGACAAAATATTTAATTTGATTATAGATGTTTTTCCTTGCTCAATAGTGGATAGTAAGATTTTCATTATGTCTGTAAGGGTTTCAGTTATTTTTATGACAAGGGAAAGGTCATTTCCGACATATATGGTCCAGTCAAGTTAACCTTCAGAGAATTAACAGCAAAGGACTGCTTCTTGTCATAGCTTATTGTGCTTTATAACCAAAAGTGTTGCCTTTTACTCATAGTTTTTTCCTCACCACAGAACTTCTCGGACAACCCTAACCACTGGCCCTCTTGTTCCCTTCATTCTTGTTTTCTCCAACTCCAAGAGCGGACAGAGGCCCTGCCTCCCACTTCTCTCTTCAGTGGCCTCCCTCTCAGTTCTGCTTATCCCTCTCCCTTTTAGTGTCTTCTGTCTCACGCCATCCTTGATGCTATGGAATGTTTGTGCCCCCCCCAAATTTCATATGTTGAAGCCCTAACCCCCAGGATATTTGGAGATGGAGCCTTTGAGGGGATGATGAAGGTTAAATGAGTCATACGGTTGGGGCCCAGTAAAGGCTAGTGCTAGTATAAGAAGAGGAGGAGCACCAGAGCTCTCCGTCTCAGCCGTGTGAGGACACAGCAAGAGGGCCAGCCTATGAGCCAGGAAGCAAGGCCTCAGCAGAACAGTCCTGATGGTGCCTTGATCTGGGACTTCTGCCCTCCAGAATTGCTTCTGTTGTTCAGGCCACTCTGGCTGTGGTATTCTGTTATGGCAGCCTAAGCTGACTGATGCCCTCTTAGGATCTCACAGGGATTTGACGTTCAGCGGAGGGGACCATGATTACCTGTTGGAAGGCAGCAGAGGCTCTGCTAGAAGGACAGGTGGACTGAAGATGAGCAGAAAGCCAGAGAACTCCTTGAGGTAGGGACTTGATATGGTTAGGGTTTGTGTACCCACCCAAATCTCATCTTGAATTATACTCCCCATAATCCCCACGTGTCAAAGGAGAGACCAGCTGTAGGTAATTGAATCATGGGGGTGGTTTCCCCCATGCTGTTCTCATGATAGTGAGTTAGTTCTCACAAGATCTGATGGCTTTGTAAGGGGCTCCTCCCCCTTCACTTGGCACTTCTCCTTCCTCCCTGCTTGTGAAGATCATGTTTTGCTTCCCCTTCACCATCCGCCATGATCGTAAGTTTCCTGAGGCCTCCCCGATAATGCTGAACTGTGAGACAATTAAACCTCTTTCCTTTATAAATAACCCAGTCTTGGGCAGTTCTTCATAGCAGTATAAAAATGGACTAATACAGGGCTTGCCTAGGAGGCCCAACAGAGTGAACAAATATGTAGAATGATTGTGGTGCTCTTGATGGAGAATGAAGAGAGGGACTGGGATGAAACTGAAGACTTGTGGGAATAAGATGGGAGAGGTTGCGTGGAGCCTTGAAAGTGGTTTGGCTTTGGTGCTGTGGGAGCTTCTCAGATTCGGAGATGGCACACCCTTGGGGTACATGTGGGTATCAGGTAAGCCAAAGCATAGAGACTGTGCCCTTCTCTGGGGTGCCAGTTTTTCTGGATGGAGCTTCTTTCTTGTTGGGACTCCACATGTATTTCTGTGTGTTTCCTCCTTGTCGTCTTACTAAGGGAGCTTTGGTAGGACGATTGAGGGCAGTGGAGGAAAGAGGGCATTGTTAAAACATCATGAGCAGGCGCAGCTCGGCCCTTGGTCCCCTCTGGCCACAGGGTGGGGCTGAGCTGGCAAAAAAAATAAAAAATAATAATTTTTAAAAAGCACCATAAGCAAAACATGAATAAGTGGAGGTGAAGCAGGTGTTCTTGCCTGGAAGGAGAAGCTTCGGGTCTGCTTGCCCATGTTCCTTCTGCCAGAAAATTTCAAGTGCTGGGTGCCTACTGGGTTCCTTCTTCCCCCATGGCATTCCTGTAAGATAAATGGCTGCTTTTCAGCAGATGACAGTTTGGAGACAGAAGTTATTAATGTGTATAGGGTCGCAAAAAAGTTAGCTGATGTGTCAGAACAGAAACCCAGGCCAGGCCAAGCCTCTCCAGGCTTTTCGTGCTACGGAGCGGATAGGCAGAAGCGAGCAGCCCTGGAGACTCGGTGCCGGGGCTGGAAAGGAGACTGCTGATGTTTGGCGAGTCAGCCCTTTGGTTTCTGTCTTGTTCCTTGCCAGCCGTGGGACCTTCAGGCTGGCAATGTAGCCTCTGTTCTGAGTGAACATTAGGGATCTGTATTGATGGGAAAAGGGAAGAAGGGATATCGGGGAGGCAGACAACGATTTACTTTTAGATCCTCTCTTGATCCGAAAAAGAAATACAAATGTCTGTTGCCTCCGAGCAGATCGAATGTTGACTTCTACTTCAGAGGGTTACATTGCTGATTTATGCATATTACCATGTCTCATAGCCTTACCCTATTTTGAACCTCTGAGTGGTGGGGACATTTATCACTGTCTGAAATAATTTTATTTATGTGCTTTCATAGTTAATGTCTGTCTCTTGCTTTGGCCACACAAGAATCTAAGTTCCAAGCTTTGCGAATGAATATATGGAATACTGAAGAGGGAGGGTCAAGTTGTCCTGAGCACTGAATGCATTCTTCCCTCCCTGGCTCCTGCCCACCCACACCCTTACTTTTGTCTGCAGCTCATTCTAAAAGGCATTCTTGTTATTGGCTTGTTTGCAGGCATTGCCACAGGGGGGCGCTACAGCATTTGAAAAGAGACAGTGGACAAGCATCTGCAGGCAGGCACCTGTCTTTTGGGTTTGCCCAAAGCTCGGTGAGAAGTGAACTATCACTGTGGCACTCTCTTCATTTCCCCCTGAATGGGCAAAACAACCCAGTGAACGCGCCGCCTGAGAGAGCTGACTGGATTTTAGCAATGTGAAATGGTCATATACCAGGAGAAATTTTTAGTAAATTGAAAGGAACATATGTAAGTGGTAATTGATGAAGAATCAAGTTTTTCAGATAAGTTTGAAGTTATCCAATCAGTAATTTTTTTGTCTGCAACATTGTAGTAGTCTGTTTTCACGCTGCTGATAACGCTGCTGATAAAGACATCCCAAGACTGGGTAATTTATAAAGAAAGAGTTTCAATGGACTCACAGTTCCGTGTAGCTGGGGAGGCCTCACAATCATGGTGGAAGGCAGAAGGCATGTCTTACATGGCAGCAGACAAGAGAGAATGCGTCGAGTGAGGGAAACCCCTTATAAAACCATCAGATCTCGCAAGACTTACTGCCACGAGAACAGTATGGGGGAAACCGCCCCCAGGATTCAGTTATCTCCCACCTGGTCCCTCCCACAACATGTGGGAATTATGGAGCTACAATTCAGTATGAGATTTGGGTGGGGATACAGCCAAACCATATCAAACACCAAATTCACAGATGCTAATTAATGGTGGGAAGTAAGGGGTGATAAGTCACACTGAAGTATTAAAACATCAAAATTTTAAAATGCTTTTAAAAAGATTGTGCCCTTCTGTGTTCTTCCAGTGCACATGGCAACTAGAACACTTTGTAGAAACCCTTTCAGGGATATGTTTTAGGAAAGATATTTAAGTTACATGAAATAATGTTTTGATTATTTGTCTATGAATGGAAATTTCTAGATAAAAATTTCCTTTTTTTCTTTTCTTTCTTTCTTTTTTTTTTCGAAACAGGGCCTCACTCTACTGCCCAGGCTGGAGTGCAGTTGTGTAATTACGGCTCACTGCAGCCTCGATCTTCCCAGGCCCAGGTGATCCTCCCACCTCAGCCTCCTGAGTGGCTGGGACTGCAGGCACAAGTCACTACACTCAGCTAATTTTTTTGGTTTTTTTTCTTTTTGTATTTTTGTAGAGATGGGATTTCACTATGTTGCCCAGGCTGGACTTGAACTCCTGGGCTCAAGCACTCTGCCTGCCTCAGCCTCCCAAAGTGCTGGGATTATAAGTGTGAGCCACCGCATCCAGCCAGAAATTTCTAAAAGCAGTTCTATGAAGTAGTTTAAGCAGTTTCTTTTCCTTTTCTTCCCTATTTTAATTTTTTATATACTTTTAATATTGCTTATCCCTTTCTGAACAGGCAATATAACATCAAAGCTCAGTCCAACCGTGTATTTTAACTAAATAGAAGCCAAAATAAGGAGCTGTCATTTCTAAAAATGAGATCTTTTTATTTCCTTCTTCCTCTACTTTGACATTAGTTGTTTTTTTTTTTTTTTTTTTTTTTTTTTTTTTTTTTTGCCTTTTGTCCCTGAAATGGGATGTTAGAGTTTAGATTATTGCTGTCAGGTTAAAAAAAAAATTGAAACTAATTAGAAGTTGATAGTTTAAACATTGACTCCTACCCATTGAGTGCCCTTTATATATGTAATTACAGTGTCTACATATATACACAAATACAACATTGTGTTTACATATATATGTGAAGTCATATGTAATAACCCAAATATACCCTCAATGAGAGGAAAGAGAAAATATTGAAAAGTTTCCCCAAATCTAAACCTTTTCTCACTAGAAGTTGAATGTTGCCATGTACTTGTGTAATTAAGCCATCGTAGCAAATTTTCTGCTACGGTAACATACTTGGACTGCATGAAATGTTATTGCCAAGTTGATTTTACAAGGTTTTGACCTATTGACATGCTAAGGTAGAAGGTGTGAGTCTTTTAAGTTCCATTACACAGGATTCAAGGACCCATCATCATTTAAAACAAGAGAATATTTTCCAGTTGGGCCATACACACACCGACTATTCTAACAGCAATATGAATGTTGAAGTGTATTTCTGAATTTTAAAACCCCAAAGTAATAAAGTTTACATTAAACAGATTTTCCTTTGATCTCTCTCTCTCTCTCTCTGCATGTGCATATATATGTGTGTGTCTGTGTGTGTGTATATATATATATGTTATATATATATAATATATATGTATATTTAACTTACATTGAAATCTTCATTCAGGACTTTGTTTATTCAGGTTAGTATTAAGTTGATTTTAAGAGCATAAAAGAAAGTAAAACTGTATTCTCTTTTCTCAAAAAGTGGATTTAATGGGAAATACCTAAATAAAAAAAAATCTAAACTATTTTAAGAATGTTCTTAGTGGTGAAAATTGTTATGGTAGCATATTGGGAGCAAGGGAAAATGCCTCATAAATACCTAGTTTAACAACTGTGGTTTTAAATAGTCGTGAAAAATAACATGACTGTTAGGAGGAAACATTAAATATTCATGAAAATATGGACTTCTAGTTGAGACATAATAAAAAATTGAAGTTCAGGTTGACAGAAGAAAGTGCATCTCTCAAAAGTATGTAAAAATATGAATAACATTATTTCCCCTGATATAATTAGAAAAAATAGTAATAATTTTAATTAACTTTTAAGTTAAAAAACTAAAAAAAAGGCCGGGCGCGGTGGCTCACGCCTGTAATCCCAGCACTTTGGGAGGCCGAGGCGGGTGGATCATGAGGTCAGGAGATTGAGACCATCCTGGCTAACAAGGTGAAACCCCGTCTCTACTAAAAATACAAAAAATTAGCCGGGCGCGGTGGCGGGCGCCTGTAGTCCCAGCTACTCGGGAGGCTGAGGCAGGAGAATGGCGTGAACCCGGGAAGCGGAGCTTGCAGTGAGCCGAGATCGCGCCACTGCAGTCCGCAGTCCGGCCTGGGTGACAGAGCGAGACTCCGTCTCAAAAAAAAAAAAAAAAAAAACAACTAAAAAAAAGTCTGTGGAATAGAAAAAAAAATAAGAGCTTGAATAGGAAAAGAGGAAGACAGAGAATGAGGAGGTGTGGTTAAAAGTCGGGTAAGCTGGCTTTGATTCAGGTTCCACTAATTACTAGCCTATGGCCTTGGGTAGATTAGGCAGTGAAGCCGCCTCACTTTTCTTCTCTATTATGTGGGAGTACTAGTACCTGTGTTGGAGGATATTGTGATGCTCAAAGGAGATATTTTAAACAGAGTGAGTTTTTACTTTTCATGTAGATAGAATAGGATAATGCTAAGAATGCACTGTAACACTAAAATAATTTCCTTTTGGCATGTAATTGGCCTAGAATTTATACTAGAGTCTTATGCTTTGATTTAATAATGTTTAAAGTTATGAAAAATAAGATGAATGGGCAAGTTAGGCAGTTATTGAAGAAACTGGGGAAACCCAGTATTAAGATTGCAGTTTGACTGGATATTAGCATCTTCGTTAAGCAGAGAGATTTGTTGTTCATGATGAAGAAGGTGATGATGATGATAATGGCAGTTAATGTTCATTGAGTTCATAAGGTATGTTAGGCACTATAAGAGCTATACAGGCAATCTTATCCAATCTTCACTATAGTCCGATGAGGTAGGTTCAATCATTAAACTGATTTTTAAGTTGAGGAAAGTGTGGTTTAAAGAGGTTGAGTAACTTGTTAGTATCTACAGTGGATATTGGGATTGAAGCCCTGGCAGGCAACCTTGATTCTTGACTGACAATGGCACCATACTGGATTTGATGGTACCTGTGGTTAACTTCTTGGGGACCCAAATCTTACATGGACTTTTGAATCTAAATGATGTAATCTCACCACGGAGTTTCTTGTTTCCCTCACATCTCAATTTCTCTCATCTTGTATTTTACTATATGTAGTCAGGAAGAACCAAGCTCCTCTTTCAACACTTAGAAATTTCCTCAGCTAAATAGCCAATTTTATCACTTGCCAATTCTACCTTCTACAAAATACTAGTACATGAACACAGTTCAATCAAGTTCTTTGCCACTTTATAACAAGAATTTACTTTTCTTAATTATTCAATAACATGTTCCTCATTTGTCTGAGCCTTCATTGGACCATCCCTATTTCTACGACATTCTGAACAGGATTACTTAAGTGTTTTCCCAGAAGATGAAAACTTTCTATATATCTCTCCTCTTTTCTTTCTGAGCCCTCACCAGAATCACCTTCCAAAGTCCCTTCACAGCAATGTCAACATTTTCTAGCATGTACCTTCCAGCCTCTCTACGCGTTAACCAGTTCCAAAGCCACTCCCACATATTTAAGTATTTGTTAAGGCAGCACTCCACTTCCCAGTACCAATTTCTGTTTTAGCTTGGGCTATTATAATAGAATACTGGTATTTATTTCTCATGGTTCTAAACGCTGGGAAGTCCAAGATCAAGGTGCTAGCATAATTGGGTCTGGTAAGGCCCTCTTCCTGGTTTGCAGATGGCTGTGGTTTTGCTGTCTTCAAATAGTGCAGAGAGAGAGGAAGCAAGTTCTCTCAAGTCCCCTCTTATAAGAGTATTAATCCCATCATAGGCAAGGACTCCACTCTTATGATCTAATTACCTCCCAAAGGCCTCATCGCCACAGACCATCACATTGGGGATTAGATTTTTAAGTTTCCTTAAATATTCAGTACTATTATTGTTTTGCTTTCTGTTTCTGTTTTATTATTTTCCTCTTGTATTGCTCATTGGAATGCACTGTGATGACCAAGTGTATCCAAATGGGAGATTATGTCTTGGGAGCATTTTTATTCTTGTTGGAAATTGGTGATGATTGGAAATATGATGAGTATGCGCAGTGCTGATGATTTGTCCAGTGTCCTCCTAGTTTGGAGATGTTGGTAAAATAAAATTAATTGAAGGGAGGAATTAACATGAGAATCAAGCCCATTATTAGTTTAAGAATGAATTTATCCTGAGAGAGATTATGTAAACTCACAGAAACATCCATCCCTGCTTAAAACAATAAAAGAGAAACACAAGGGACAACAGAATGCAAATAGTGATTTAATGGCATAGTGGTGGTTTGGCAGGTGAAAATAACAGAGTTCTAACAGAGGAGAATCAGAGGACCAGTCCTTGGGAATGGAGACAGGCCCCCTTTTCTTTGGGAGATATTAGGACAAGGGTTGGAAGTAGAAGGAAAAGGAGACACTCCTTAAACAAACCTAGCTACACTTCATCACACACATCTCTGACTTTGATCCCTGTGGCAGGAAGCACTATTATTAAAATTGGGACTTACTGAGGTTTTCTCATGTAATTAGGAAAAGGAAAGGTGTGTTTGACAGTGGAGCCTTTAGATCTAATTACCTGCAACCTAGTTGTGGCTCAGTGGTCAGAAGGGAGCCACCAATAGCACTTATTAATGTATTGCCTAATTTCCTTATAAGGCACAGGGAGCCAGTAAGAAAGCTAGCTCCTAGTAGCAAAATATCTCAGAATCCAGAAAGGATTTAGCAATGCGGAAGAGAGACTTGCAGAAAAATGTAGAAGTTGCAGTTTTAAAAGTGATGAAACTTTCGGAACATGATACCAGTTGAAACTGCTGTTGGCTACCATGTCCCTGCACCACTGTCTCTTGCAGCAGATTGTAGCCCCGTGGTGTTAACCCTGAGTGACTGTTAAGCTCCGTGAAGGGATGTGTTTTCAGACCCCCTGGTTTTCAGGCTGTTTCTGTTAATGTAGGGCATCTAATCTGTATGAGGGGGGCAAGGATGTAGTTCAAAGCTGGCAGGGAGACATCCACTGGGAAGCAGGACTTGTCTTGGTAATTGCTTAAAAGAAATAAAGGCCCTTTGTCAAAGCCTTCTCTTTATCTCCTGTATTCCCACTAGGAAAAAAAAGTGGAGAGGAGAAAGAAAATATACAAGAATACTGATTTTGACTATTTTTTTCCTTTTTAAAATGGACATTTTCATTGATTAAGGAAAACAAAAGGAAGGAAACAAAGATAAATCTAGATTTTGGTGCTCCTTCTTTGATATAGACAAATGACCTCCTCCTTGCATTCTTCCTGATTAGGAATTTTGAAAAACCTTATGTCGACTGATGACATTCTAAAGCTCACTATCCTAAGAAAATGAGTCCTTGATAAATTTTTCTTTGCTTAGAAGCAAGAGATGATTAACTGTATGCAAAGGGTCTTCATTTTATGTGTCCTTTTTCCCCTCAGAAAATGGAGAGGTTGGTTGTTAATACAGACCAACAGTACATTTCTGAATGACGTTATTTTCTGAATTAATGCTGCACTACTCTATTTTTTTTTAAATCCTATTTTGGTAAATGTAAACTTTATATCAAAAATGAAGTAAACAAAAAGGAAAATTCCCCAAACCACCTAGACAAAAATTAGGGATCACTTTTGAGGACTGTTCTCATTCAGAGGCAGTCACGTCTATTTTGCCCTCTGAAATTAAATGGAATATGATTTTTTTTTTTTTACTTCTAAAGGGGCCCTTCCAAGATTGATTCCTAGAATAGCTCTGGCTGATGTATTCTTGAAATCAAGTGAGACCCTGTCTTACTGTCATCAACATGAATCCACCTTTTAAGGATGGTGTTGGTCCTTGGATTAGCAGCTGTTACATAATTACTTTTGTCTATCTGATCATTAATGTGTAGAGTATCCATATAACTTGTTGAAAGCTAAATAAAAACCTACTTAGGTCAGTCATTTGATGTCATAAAACTGATTGTTTATAACGTTAAAAATGTTTTAACTGAATTAAATTAAATTGATTAGTATGAGTTACAGAGTAAAGAGAAGAAAGACACATAGTAAGTTAAATAAAGGGCTCTGTGTTTTCTGAATGGTAGGAAAATTTCCCAGGGTACATCACCCTTATAATACTACTGTGGGGAAGTTGTTAACTCTTTTTAAAATTCTACTTCTAAGGATATTTGTCATCATCAGTGGTAACCTTTTCTCTTGCTTCAGATGTGTTAAGTCTTTACACTTATTAATTCTTTTATGTAGTGTTGGTAGTTTGTAGAAGGAAATTGATTTTCTTGTAATGGGAAAATCATCGCTCCTATTATGACATAAAACTTTAATTTGATGTCTCCTCCACTGACCCAAACTAATTACAGCAAAAACATGTTAACAAAGTGAGTAAAGTTCTTTCTTTCATGCATCAATTTTACTACTCAGGGCTGCCCCAGAAAGTCTTAAATGAAGGTGCTGCTCTGTTACCCTGGGACTGTGTGTGTGCACATGTATATGTGTGTCTGGAGTAACCACTGTGACAGGCAGTGAAATATAGATGCTCGTGGTGAAACTTGAACTCCTCAGATCATCAGCTCCTAAGGAGCAAAGAAATATTAAAGGGGTTTATCAGTAATGGTTAGAACACACAACAGCTGAAAACATGGGCAGAGCTTCCTCTTTAATTTGGGCAGATTGGAATGCACCTCCCCAAATGAAACGGAAACAGTAAAATTTAAAAACTTTTATGAGTACCCAGCTCAGCTGCACCTGGCTGCTCTAATTGCCTTCAACCTAGTCATTACTGGGGAGGCAAGATGTTTAGCCACCAACAGCCCTTATTAATGTATAATAGGAATTTACTTGTAAAACAGAATTATTGGGATGGCATGATGTCATAAAGACAGAGTGCTGACATTTCAGATTGTTTTATATAGGGATGTTGAATTATAATTTAGGAGTGGAATATTCTTTTGGTAATTAATCACAATTTGATACAACCCCAGTGTGGGTTAGGCATATGGATACATAGAATTCATGATTGCAGTGCTCTTCTAATAAAGGCTGTGTTTGTGCAAATGCATGTAATTCTCATGAATTATCTATGGGAAAGAAAAATCTTCTCTAGTACTTTGCAGATGTGCAAAAACTGACCACAGCAGGTGTAAATAAATGAAATGTTTCAACAAGTCTGCCTCTGGATTTCTGTAAAAATGTAAAAGCCTCACAATTATGAAGCTGCCTGCAAATTTTCTTCTTGGTATCAATGATATAAGAAATGGGATACATTAATTTTGCTGGACCTCAAACTTAGAATCTGTCAATATGGCTCTGTGATTAATGGCTACAGATTTTACCTGCCTCATAAATATAATGGGCCTTGATTACTGAGCTCAGTTTGCAAAGCAATAGTTAACATGATGTCAACACTTCCATTGTAAACCCCATTTTTGGAGGGGTTTATAACGTGGTCATAAAAAATCACGGGGGGATGACACTTTGAATATGAGGTCTTAGTCTGGGGAAACAAAGATATTTTCAGGAAAAGATTTAAGTGTTCCCTTTACCTATTTGTAGGTTTATGAAGACCTAAGCTGCATATAAAAATTTCAAGTTTTATGTACTTTAAAGAGAAACATTTTAAATAAATAGGATTTCTTATTGCTCATCTTGTTCAGTTTTTCTAAGGAAATACTGTATAGTTAGAGCATACATTTTAAACTGGAAGGGAACATTTTAAACATGGTATGGTACATATCAGAAGATATTTAAAAAATCATTCTGTATTAATGTCTTTGGGATTTTATGCCTGTTAGCCACATAAAAATCATATGTTTCAGATCTTCTCAACAAGAATACTAGGGCAAAGCTTAGTTTTTGCAAGCCTTGGAAAATATAGTATGAACTGAGCCACCTTGGCAAGACAATGTTGCACACAACAGAATACATGATACTGGGTAATTTATAAAGAAAAGAATTTATTTCTTCCAGTTATGGAGGCTGAGAAGTCCAAGGTTGAGGGGCTGCATCTCGTGAGGCCTTCCTCCAAGTGGGGACTCTACAGAGTCCTGAGGTGTGCAAACATGCCAGCCCAGGTCTCTCTGCCTCATCTTCTAAAGCCACCAGCCCCAATCCCATATGAACCTATTAATCCATAAATGTTAATCCATTCACGTCTTAAAGGCCCCACCTCTCAATACTGCCATATTGGGGATTAAATTGCAACACGAACTTTGGAGAGGATAAACATTCAAACCACAGCAGACAACAAACATCCTTTCTGACCTAGAACATAAATTGCCTCTTGTGTGAAGAGAGAGGGAGCCTGCCCAGAGCTGCTCCAAGGCCATCTCCATGTCTCCCTCCTGGGCATGGCAATGGCATGATGCTGCTTGCCCGCTGTGGGGTGGGGTCACCCTTAGAAGCTCAGGATTTGTTTTGTGCCCTTACTGACCATGGCACAGAAAGACTAAAAGAACCCATACACTTTTTAATAGCCAGTACTTCTACAAGTTTGTGAGAGCAAACTTCCTGACGGGAAGCCAGGATTAACTCTCTTGGAATTTGAGGGAGGTTGGATTGGAGGCCGTGGTCAGAACCCAAATTTTGAAGTGGGAGTTCAGCTCCCACAATGTACTTGACTTGGTGAATAGCTTAAGAGTTTTCATTTAAAGAGTCATCTCATAGTACTTTGTAATTGGTTCCAAAGCCACTAGTTGGCCTGATGGAAAGGGTTTTTGTTGTTGCTGTTAGTTTGTTTTTGTTTTGGGGATATGGGGAGACTAGATTGTGCCATAAAATCAGTAAAGCAAAATTGTTAAACCCACAATGATACTGGGCAAGTGTTAGGTTTTTCTCTTCTCTTTCTGAGAAACTCCCTCTCTTCCTTCCACCCTCCCTTGCAAGGGGGCTTTTCCACAGTCTTCAGAAGGCAGCAGAAAATGTTGCAGTGTGATGGTTACAAGACTGGCATATATTTCAGTATTGTTTGTAATGCCTGAAATATTTATCAAAATATACCCATGACATCTTCTGCCCTCATTCGATAATCCTGGAAAGAAACAAGCTATTTCACTATTTGCTTTATATTGTTAGACTTGTTGTCATAAAATGTAACATGTAAAAGCAATACCAATAATTCTTAGGCTGGCAGAAATTGTTGGATGTTCCAGCCTGCTTGAGTAATAGCACTGGGCCCTGGCATTGGGTAAGACAATGTTGCAACAATGTTACAATGTTGTAAGCAACATTTCTTACCCAATGTCAGGGCCCAATGTTTTTACTGGCTGGGTCAGCGGACAAGGCTTTTCCTTGAATAATGCTCACATAAAGAACTTTAAAAATGTATCTGATGGCCTGTGGGTTAAGGCAGCAGTAGCATTAATTGACATAGTGATAAAGAAGTTTGTAGCACTGCATTTTGAAAAATATAAAATAATACAGCACTCTTGGCACTTCATATGCTGTGTGTATTTTAGTCTTCACGGCAACCCTGTGAAGTAAGTGGTTGGTCGTGCTCTTACAGCTTTGCAAACAGCCTTAAAAAGTTTCCATACATTTTCTGAGTTCACATAGCATGTGAGCTGTGGAGCTGGGATGGGAAACAAGGTCTGTGTTATTCTGCAACCCATGGTACTCCCATTACGTATCAATAACTCATAGGTCAGGTACTAAAATATTCATAATCATGAGTTTATGCAGTAAATATCCGTTGAGTGGCTGTCATGTGGTAGGCCTTGTGCAGATTCTGGGGTTGTGATATGAGTGAGACAGCCTTAGGGTATATGCACGAGTGGGGCAGGGATACTGAGACGTTACAGGAACTTACACTTGAGGCACAAGGGCTAAACTGAGAGATGTGAACCCCAAGAGAGCATGTGGAAGGGGCGCTTGATCTAGGATTGAGGGGGTTCAGGCAAAACTTACCAGAAGCCAAAAAGCTGGAAGGCAATGGCCCCAGCCAGGTAGAGGGGATTTGGATGAGGGAAAACATTTTAATCCACGAGTACAGCAGAAGCAAAGGAGGTGAGAAAATGTGTTTCCATGAGGGACAGGCCAGAGCACTCAGTGGTGGTCAGCTCTGGAAGGGCTTTGCAATCCCAGTTGGAGGAGTTTTGACTTTCTCACAGACTGAAGGAAGGCACTGGTGGGTTCTGAGCTGGGAATGAGGTGTCCAGGTCAGCATTTGAGAAGCTGGCCCTGGCTACCTTGTGGAGCAGGGAATAGTAATGGTGGCACCGAGGCAAAGGCCCCCTTTGCAGTCACTGGGAGTGGAATTGGAAGTGGACTTTGGTGATGTTCAGCAGGTGGATGCACAGTCCTTGGGGATTTATGGGATGTGAGGGGTAAGGTTCCAGAGAGGGGCCAAGGATGGCTCATGGGTGTCTGGTGGGACATGTGCCTTTCACCCAGAAGAGGCTGCGAGGAGGGAGACCAGGGCAAGGGAGCTTCAAACATACTGCAGCGTGGGGAGCTACTGGTTATACATGTCCAATAGGCAGCTGGAGCTGGAGGAAGAGATTTGAGAGCCATCAGCATACAGATATTAACTAAAATCACAGGAGAGGAAAGACCGTGTGGTATGAGAAGAGAACCTAAGAAGATCCCCAAGGTCAAAGACTCACCAAGGGTGGACAGAGAAAAGGGAGCCTGCACAGGAGTAGAGTGAACGGGCAGAGGCGGGAGAGCAACGGGAAGCCCAGGAAGGAGAGTTCAATGAGGAACACTCCTCAGCCCAGTGAAATGTTGCAGAGAAAGCCAAATAGACAAGGGCTGCAAGGGTGAGTGACATCCTCGCCTCCCCACGCCCCCATGCATTGTCTTGAAGGAGGTGATGCTTTGGCATGATTTGTCTGAGAAATTCTACCAGGTCTTACTTCATTTTGTCAGAGGGACCTGTCTAAAGGATACTTTAGCAGGCTAAAGTTTCAAGTCTCCAGATACTTTCTCATAATCATCAAACATACTCTACTCTAAAATAGCCTAAGGACTTTTAAATAATAAACTTATTGTTATCGCAGAATGTAGCATTTTTAGGTTGAAAGTAATTTTAGAGATCAACTTATTTAGCCCCTTAATATTACTGTCAGTCATTGATTTATTCTATAAATGGTTATTAAACTCTAGTATCATCCAGGTATATAGATTAATAGTTTTACTATAGTGATCTTTTTAAGAAAGCATAAGAGTGCAGCATTTTGTGGTAATGAAAATGGCATAATATGTGAATTAATAGAAATAGAGAAAATTCAGTCCATGTTAATTTTTTTCTCTCTCTGGAAAGATGGAAACACATATAAATGCAGATTGACCCATCCTCCACAAAGTTTTGAGTATCACAAACTCCCTGGCCTTGATGTTTTATTAAATTCTTCCCTGGGGTCTTGTCCCACTTCGCTCTCTGGTGGTGTCGAGGCTTCTGGACAAGGGGAAAGGGTGGAGCAGAGGCCGCTACAATGCCCCAGGCTCACCAGCTTGTCCAAGTGCGTGGACACTGTGTTCTGTAGCCCCAGGTAACTTTTCAAGTCCCCAAAACCCCAGCTAAGCAGCGTGAAGAAGTAGAATAGCTGGGGGAATGGCGCAGCTTGCTGTTTTTTGGTGCTGGTTATGACCAAACCTTAGAAAAAGCATCTGGTGCCCCGAAGTGCTGGATGCTCTCCCTCTTGCTCCCCTCTGCAGGCACAGCCCCCCAGGCACTCCCGCACTCCTTCCCCCATGTTGGTGTTGGTTCCTCCGAGCTGGTCATCCTGTCTTCATTTACTGTTTATCTGCATGTGGCTTCCTCATCGTTATGTGATTTCCTTGGGGAGGGGCTGGCTCCATTCCAGGCTTACTGAAGAGTAACAACACTGGGCTTAGCCCTGTCTCAAAACCTTAACCTGACTGGGTCACATCCCAGAGATGTCCCCCGCTGCCCTGAGGTCAAAGAATGCAAGGCCTGCTTTATCTCTGCCAGCTGCCTTTCCTGTGCTGGTCCCCACGAGGTTTTCTTGACTTTTCCTCTAATTTACCAGCTTACTACTCTGTATCTTTTGAGGAACTTTGATGCCCTCCCTTCCCCCCTACAGGCACACCTTGCTTTACCACACTTGGCAGACAGTGCATTTTTTTTTTTGTTTTTTTTTACAAATTGTAGGTTTATGGCCATTTTCCCAATGGCATGTGCTTGCTTTATGTCTCTGTGTCACATTTTGGTAATTCTTGCAATATTTTAAATTTCATTGTTATTGTATCTGTCATTGTGATCTGTGATCGGTCATCTTTGACTTTACTATTGTAATTGGTGGTGCCATGAACTGCACCCATATAAGACGGTGAACTTAATCAATAAATGTTTTATGTGTTGACTGCTCTATCAACAGGTCCTTCCTCTGTCTCTCTTCCTCTCCCTGAGCCTGCCTATTCCTGGAGACATGGCAGTGTTGAAATTAGGCCAATTAATAACCTTATGATGACCTGTAAGTGTTCAAGTGAAAGGAAGAGTAACACGTCTCTCACTTTCAATCAAAAGCTAGCAAGGATTAAGCTTAGTGAGGAAGGCATGTTGAAAGCCAACACAGGCTGAAAACTCGGCTTCTTGCACCAAACAGTTAGCCAAGTTGTGAATGCAAGGAAAAAGTTCTTGAGGGAAATTAAAAGTGTTACTCCAGTGAACACATGAATGATAAGAAAGCAGAACAGCTTTATTGCTGATAGGGAGAAAGTCTGAGTGTTCTGGATGGAAGACCAACACAGCCATAACATTCCCGTAAGCCAAAGCCTGATCCAGAGCAAGGCCCCAAGTCTCTTCAATTCTATGAAGGCTGGGTGAGGTGAGGAAGCTGCAGAAGAAAAGTTGAAAGCTAGCAGAAGTTGGGTTCATGAAGTTTAGGAAACTAAGCCATCTCCGTAAGGTGAAAGTGCAAAGTGAGGCAGCAAGTGCTGATGGAGAAGCTGCAACAATTTATCCAGAAGATCTAGCTTGGATGACTATAAGCATTTTTACAAAGTATTTTTTAGCAATAAAATATTTTAAAATTAAGATATATACTTTTTAAAGACATGTTATTGCACACTTTATAGACTACAGTATAGTGTAAATATAACTTTATGTGCACTGGGAAATCAAAAAATTAGTGTGACTTGCTTTATTGTGATATTTGCTATTGCAATGGTCTGGAACCAGACCAGCAGTATCTCTGAGTTATGCATCTAGATTACTCCCTGATCCATGGTGCTAGCTGAACAATCAGCAGGGTTCGTAAACCGATGCTGCAGTCAATAAAGGTTATTAACAGCATATTGGATGTTGTGATGAGATTAGAAGAAAGCATTTGAAACATGGCCTACTACATAGTGAGTACAATTAAATGTTTCTAATTAAAAATTTTAGAGAGGCGCCAAGTTCTTAAGTTCCTACTCAGTTCATCAGCAAGCATGTATTGATTTGCTTGTGGTTGTCATCCTTATCATTATTTTAATATTTGCTAACCTATGGGTAAACTCTCAGGTCATTTTTGTTCAGGAGACTTGTCAGTTTTATGATTTCTCATAATGAATTCCCTTAAGTGATATTTATATTTTATTTTGCTCCTCGTGGCTTAGTTTTCCAGTATTTCTTATTCTATATCAGTGTCTGTCAGAGAAAAATGGGATTGAAGATGTATTTTGAGTTAAGAAGTGATAAAAACAGAAGCGGGAGGCAGCTCCAAGTGAAGGTGGTTGCTGTGATGGAATTTGGTGATCAGAGTCCAAGTGAGGTACATCTTTTAAATTATGCGCATGGCCGGGTGTGGTTGGCTCACACCTGTAATCCTAACACTTTGGGAGGCCCAAGCAGGCGGATCACCTGAGGTCAGGAGTTCAAGAGCAGCCTGCCCAACTTGGTGAAACCCTGTCTCTACTAAAAATATTTTAAAAATTAGCCTGGCATGGTGGTGGGCACCTGTAATCCCAGCTACTTGGGAGGCTGAGGCGGGAGAATTGCTTGAACCTGAGAAGTGGAGGTTGCAGTGAGCAGAGATCACGCCACTTGCACTCCAGCCTGGGCAACAGAGCAAACTCTGTCTCAAAAAAAAAAAAAAAAATTATGGGCATTTTAGATTTTCCATCTGTAAAGAAAGGAGGAGGAACAATGTGGCATCTCAGGTCCCTACCAATTCTAAAAGTCAGTTATTCTAGTTCTAGAGTACAGGCAAAACTATGGATGGCTTTTTGTTCCTACAATTTTTATGAACATTTTCACTGGCTTTAATATCCATGTCCAAAGTAACAGGGAAGGTAGGACTTTTCACCAATACTCAACTGATCTGCTGCTTCTCTTCTTTTCCAGTGTTTTCCACTTTTCAAAAATTTTTATCATGGACTAGTAGTGCAAGAAAAGGGGCCAGAGTATAGTGTCCGGATTCACTGTTCATAAATGGCATTACAAAAAAAACCCAAGTAGATCCTTTGAATTGTATATTTCATGTCAAGTGGCCCTCTCTCTATTCGCCTGGCAATTAAGAGTTGGTTACATGAAATTAATCTGGTAGTAATACAATCTTCAGTTCACAAAATAATTTTCTTTGCCTTTGAGTAGCAATGCAGCCTGCCTACCGCAAGAGGGCAGTGTAGGTGATTGCATGGAGATGGCTTCTGCAAAAAGAAATGACGTTTATGACACTAGTTTCCAGCTTAGAGAGCATTTTCACATGCACATATGATGGTCTCAGCAGTTCTCTGTGATGGGTGAAGCATGCATAATCGCTCCCATTTTATAGATGGAGAAACTAATGCTAGAAAGGCTTAAAGATAATTTGCATAGAGTTGCACAGCTGATAAATGCCATGCAGTGCTTGAATCCAAGTCTCTTGCCACTATACCATCCTGCCCGTAAGTGGTACATTATCATCATACGAGTGACTTCCTAATGTACAGTTGAGAGGCTGTACAAACCTAGGAAACATCTGTTCTATGGGAAAAATTCTCAATTTTTTTCATCTAACACAGCATCTTGTGAAAACTTTCAAGACTTATGTTTTCTTCTGTTCCATAAAGATGGGAAAGGCCAGGAATTATTTGTCTCATAAGTGCCACCATGCACAGCCATCATTGCAGTCTCAGTTATTTTGAGCTAGATTACATAGTGGGTCTTAAATAGTAGATGGGGAGGAGAAAGAGGTCAAAGTGAAGGAGAAATCAGGACCCGGATGTACATAATCCAAATTACCACTTCCTCAGTTTCCATGGTGAACGTGGAAATTCCCCATGGACTCCCAGAGCTCCAGCTCTTTAAGTAGTTTCAAAGGAGAGAGCAGAATACAGTAAAGGCAGAAGCAAGGCTAAATCAGAACCAAAACAAAGCACCCTGTTTTTGTACACCCAGATGAAGATTTTTCTAAGCTCCCAAATTCTAAGACCTAACACTGGGTGGCCTGCAAGCAGTCAGACAAGTGGTCACTTTGCTGGAGGACTTATATACCAAATTTATTCTACTGGGATTTTGCCACTTTTTTTTGTAGTTAAGGTGGTTCTATCAGGTAATTAATTTTAAGTGCTTTTATTTATTTGTTGTAGAAAAAAAAAAGGCTCCAGTAGCCTTTTTTTGTGGTTATACCAGTTACCTGATGATTCATGAATTCAGATCTAAAACCAGAGTCGGTATAATCAATACGTGAAAAATAGGTGCTGCCTAATTGCCTTTCTAAATCAGTAAAATAATTAAAGCCTTTATAGTCTGGCGGATTAATGTATTGCACATCTGTATGGTCGGCTTAATAGGGAAAATGCTTGAGAAAGATAAAATCACAAGACCAAAAGCAACTAATAGCTGAAAAAAATTTCTATGTAGTTGATTAATTGTCCTCCTCTTTTTTTCTTAAGAGACTAAACATTGAGTAAATCCTCCCAGTTTGTATAGTTCCGATTTAGTCAGCATTCCCATTGTAAAGTGCCGGTGTTATAATTTTTCATTCATCATTTTCTTAGATTCCAATGTAAGTGTCGTTGTTGTGTTTAGTGAAAGAATACAAATATTTATTTTAACATTCTTTAAACAGATTCTTAGTGGAGGGTAGAGCTTTCTAATGCTCTGCAGCTGGGTTTCGGGCTTTAAAATTGGTTGTCGTCTACACACTAAGATCTCTGCAAGTACTCAGCCGCAGAGAGCAAAATCCCACTTGACAAGCAGTCTCTAGATATGGATTTATGCAATAGGATGTCATGTTTACTTTGGACCTGCTATGATCTACCTGGAAAAATTTCCCTATTATACATTTATTAAAAAATTCTAAATATATATTTGCACAATGTTTTCTTATGGAAACATCTGTAAGGAATTATTAACTTACTCATTTCCACACGGGATTTTTTTTTTTTTTTTTTTTTGAGAGAGAGAAAGACAGCAATTGTGTAAGCAAACCGGAGAAAAACTATGAACATAATACATTTAGCATTCACTCTGAATTCCACTTGGATTTTCTTTCGTTCTCATGTTGGTGCAGATAGATAACATAATTGTTATCCTAACCGGAATTCAGAATTCGCATCTCATTCTGATTTCCTTAAACATTTTTAGAATTTCATCAGTCTTTTTTAGCAAAGCCAGTCATGGGAGGAGTTGAGTATTGACCTTTTTTCTTCTTTTTCTTTCTGGTTAGCCTGCATTGAACCTTTGGCCTTACCCCAAGTGTATGGGTGGTATATGTTTTTAAATTGATATATCAATGTTGAATTTTTATTGTCACAGTTTCTGTTCATGCTCCCTTCAAACCTTTCATTTATTTGTTTCTGAACCTTGGATATCTCATAAAAATGTCACCATTGTGGTTGAACATTAAGCACCTTCCCATTTTGCTCTGGGCCGTTGAAATAAATTTGGACCAGGTGCTCTGCTCATAATGGAGCCCCTTGAAGTGCTCTGATAATGAGCCGGGAGCGGAAGCTGTCAGCCTTCAGCTGGCTTGAAGAATGCAATTAGAGCAGTTTTAATACTGCAGAGGGACCCCATCCAATCAAGGCCATTTGAGTTAAACCAAGTCTAGAATCCTAAACATGCACTTTTAAGCTTGTCAGCTTTGTCTCTGCACTGAGAATGGGGAGAAGGCATTCTTGTACAATGGATTCATTTTATGTCCAAAAGAAAAAAAATGCTCTGAATACCTGTAGAAGTTCTCTATCTCTTGTCTCTCCCATTATGATGTCATTATGACCATATTTATGATCTGATGTCACTGTGGTCAAGATAACCAGTGTCAAATTAAGTTTCAAATGAATCAAGGACTTAGCAAGCCCATTTCTAGAATTCCACCCTAAAAATAGTGCACAGCCTTTTTTTTTAATAGCAAAAAATGGGATTCACCTAAATATCCATTAATATGGGGAGTGCTTAAGTAAAGTATATTCACTATAGGAAACACTATGCAGCCATTAAAAAGAATAATACTGTCTGTTTTATGTTGTTAAGTAAAGTAAGTCACTTATAGAACAGTTTATAGAGCATGATGTGGTTTTTGGGGAAAACCAACCAATTACAATATACATTTATAGGTAGACAGAGAAGGTTTGGAAGAAAGTATACTAAATTGTTTATGGTAAAAATCAGGAAAAGTGGAGATGGAGGGAGGTAAAGTTTTTTTACTCTCTGTATGTGTGTATTTTAAAATTATTTTCTCATATTTACTTAATACATACTTTTTATATTCTAGGGATAGTTTAGCTCACTATCAGGTAAATGCCCTGTTGTAAGTAAATAAATGAGCTTCTGTGGTCCAGGAGGAGTGGGGAGAAGCTTCTGGTATTAAGGGATGCTGGGGCATAGTAATGATGAGAGGGGTTATCACTGAGGGAGAACTTTACATTCTTCATTTTGGAAAATGCTGCCAACAGCCCTGTGGGGTAGATGCTGTTACACTTACTTTATACCCGAGGATGCACAGGTTTGGAGAGATGTGTTGATTTGCCGGGTCATAAATTTGCAGTGAGTGTAGTAAGGCTTTGAACCCAGGTCAGCTTGGCTCTAGCGACATGCCCATAACCTCTTCCCTTTTGCCTGCTTGGTTTCTGAGGACAGTTCTTTAAAAGTGGATTTGATTTCCTGGGACGTGTGTCCTTTACCTCTTCATTTCTTTCAAGAAAATGAGGACACAATTCAGGAGTAGTTGTTATTGTCGTTAATGGTTGACATTTTTTATAAATGCTTAGACTAGTCATTAAGAAGTCTCATTCTGTGCTCATGGGATTCACAGTGGATTCTCCAGTGAGTGGAAGTCTTTGTCCTAAAATGAGGCAGTGTATAATAATGTCAGTTAATTTCATTTGAAATACAGTTTAAAAATAAACAATTTCACACATCAGACAAGCCAGGGTTGTCTTCATTAATGAGAAATATTATGCAAAATTTAAAGATCAGAATAATTATAAAAGTATTTTTATAAACTCCTTTATAAACTTACTCCTGCTAAGTAGCAGCTTACTCAAATAGCTCATTTCTTCTAACATATTTATTAAGCCACAAATCTTTTTTGATTTCATAAAAATAAGCTTATTTCATCAACAAAAACTAGGACTCTGTATGTATGTGTGTATGTACACATAAGTACATACATATGTGTATTTCTGTTTCTGATTTTTAAAAGCTCTCCACAATGTTTTGTTTGTTTCCCATATCTTCTTTAGCTTGGATTTCTGCTTCATATGGGATACTGCTTTCCTGTTGGCTTTTTAAGGTGTTGTGCATAATATTAAAATCTCATTTCAGGTTTCCTCTCTATTCCATGACTCAAACTTTGGAATTATTCCTATGAAAGAAATAATTACTAAATTTAGCCACAAGTTAGCCTCTTCCAGTGACCTCAACAAACATTTCATGGCCCTTCTTCTGACATTGTGACACTGACTTTTTTAACTTATTTGGGGCAAATTAATTACTTAGGACAAATAATGTAAACATCCTTGCCCAGAGGCCTGGAAAAGTAGGAACACATAGGTAGACATGAGGCACTTAGAAAATGTTGCAATGACCCTGTACAGTACTGTTAGCTAATTTTATAATAAAGCATAAGAAAGCAATAGAATACGTTGAAGGGAAAAAGCCTCACCTCTGATTTTTTTTTTTTTAACTAAGTAAACTTTTTTTTCAAGCATCTACTCTTAAATAATTGAATTTACTTGGCATTTAGGTTCTTTTTTCTTATGCAATTTCTTTCTAATTACGATTATTTTATTTTATGTTTTGCTTCTTATCAACCCCTTTGACCATGTAATCATGAGACTATCACTGGACCTTCTTTCCCTTTGTTGCAAAGAAAATTCACACATCCAGGGACTTCTGCATGTAGGTGAGTTTCTTTGAAAATGGCCACAACAGAGTGGTTTTTCCTCCTGGGGTTGCCAGCCAGCACTGCCCCGGGCAGGGGCAATAATGCATATGTGACGTAAATAAGCACGTTCCCTGTGATGAGACGTGAGGGCTCCTTATTCTTCCAAAGAGACTGTGCCTCAGTGGTTCTAAGTGTACCTTGTGAAATTGTCTCCCGGGAGAATACTTTAGGCCAAATTATTAAGAGACAGCCTAACAAACTACTTTGATTTAAAGTGAAAATAAAGCAAAATGCAAAGATTCGGGTCCAGAGAGTCAGGATGGGAGTCATGTGGTCCTGGCTTTGATTTTCAGTCCTTGGGTGCGCCCTTGCCTGAGAGAAAGGGAGGGGAGGCAGCCTGAAGTGATCACACTCCAGGGCAAATCTGAGGACTGACCTTCCCTCTCAGTATAAAAGAGCCCTACAAACAACAGCATGGATGGGTGTGTGGGCTTCATGGGAAGCCCAGAGACCAGGTCTCCAGCCACGCTCCGGCACAACGAGCTCTGCTAACTCAAGTACCCTGTAACCTATCTAGATATTAGTTGCTTATTTTAAAACATAGGGGATTGGAGAGGGTCATCTCCAACTCGGATGAAGGAAATTTAGAAGACGATAGTGTTGTGTTTTGTGGGAAAGGAAGATTGTGGGTCACACATTGCCCACTGCTAACACCTACCGATAGTGCTATTTTAAAAAGTCATGTATTTTCATACTGAGGCAAGGCTGGAGTTTCCTTTTCTGAGCTTTGGGAGGAGGGGAACAAGGTGAGAGAGGTTGTCTTTGTACTTTTCTTAAATACATAATTTTTTTTGGTTATTCACATAATGTCATCACCATTTTGGTTTTTAAAAAATATGTATCCAGAGGAAAATCTGAAAGGTGTATGCAAGTTTATATAAACTATTTTCTAAAAATTAAAAATACATGCACATGACTTGAAAAATTTAAATGATACAAAGAAAGGTAAACTCATCCTTCCCTGATCCTCCAACCCCATCCCAACTTTTGAAACAACTGTTAAGTGTTTATATCTTTCCTTCTAAAACGTTAATTATACATGTTTGGGTGGGGTGGTGGTGGAAGGGAGCTGAATTATGGATGGTTTCTGTTTTTTCTTTAGTTTATCTTTTCTAATTTTTATAATTACTTCTAGTCTTTTTAAGTTTTATCCAAGAATTTGTATGTCTGGAGATACTTATCTCAAAAGTGAAGCAATGCCAATTTACATTACAAGACCTGACTTTGGGAATTGTTATATGCTATTTAAGCATAGAGTTGCATATAGCCATATCCATAAGTAAATATGGTAACAATTATTTGAAGTGAACTTTATTCTTCAGCCTGAACAGATTATATTCTATAGTAGGCTTATGCCGTTTTGTTAATTGCATTAATTATTTATTACATGCTGCCATTTCGCACAGTTCAGTGGGTTGTGGGAAGTTGATTATAGAAGTTTGTTTCAAGTCAGTTTTACACCCTGGTTGACAAAATCATCACACTTTCTCACTGAAATGAAAGAGCTGGAATAATGCTTGGGGCAATTATAACAGATGCAAGGTTAAGGTGCAAACTGTGTGTGAAGCCCAGCCACCATATTTTTAATGAGATCCAATTTATGCAAGCAATATATACAGTGTTTCCTTTATTCGTCTTCTCAGAAGTTCTTCATTTTGATGGATTTTAGAACAGAAGACGTGTTTGATTCAGACACGTCTCCCAGACTTCATACTACGATGTTAAACTTACAACATCATGAATTTCTTCTTTAACATTTTCTGCCTTCTGACAAGAAAACAAAAGTTAAAATGAGCTCTTTTGTATTGTTAGTAGTTCCATTACATATTTTTGGAATAAGAAATGCCGAGAACTTGTTAAACATGGAATCGCTTGAAACAGCAGGATCTCTCCTGAACCCGAG
Source organism: Homo sapiens (assembly GCF_000001405.40). NCBI lineage: Eukaryota > Metazoa > Chordata > Mammalia > Primates > Hominidae > Homo > Homo sapiens. Next base: position 28,071,813 of record NC_000007.14, on the reverse strand, counting down.
CAGTAATAATGCAAATCGAAAGCAGCTTCCTCCTCTGCAAATTTGCACTTTTTCTGATCACAGATGTGTCCTTCCATGTTGCCTGTCTTTGTAAACCAAGCATATTTTTGTCATCACCTCCAAACCCTTTAATCAGCTGTAAGTGCCGTCACTGGATAGAAGGTCCGTCCTTGGGTCTGTATGTGGGTGGCAAATGGTAAGTGAAAGGTTTCACTGAAATCTTGGCAGATTAGGAGCTGGTTAAAAATACTTTTATGGGACATACTAACTTTTGTGTATTAATATATTTATTGAAAAACCAAAATCTTTCCAAATGGTTCTATGAGGAAGGAAAGAAATGAGAGTTGAATTATAAAAGTTTGAAAGGAGGACTAAAGATTTTTCAGGGCAGTTGAGGCAGGGTTTTCAGAATTTGCATTTAGCCACTAAACTGTAGACGCCTGCTGGTGTTGGAGTTGACAGAGGTGTATCTGCTGAGGTTATTAGGTCTTTGTCCTGGTGCATAAAAGTGGAAGAGTATGCTGTGATGAGCTCTTTTCATAACGTTATGAACGCAGGTCTTGCCTGTGACTTAGAACAGTCTCTTTTGGTGTCAAACCTCCCTGTGCACTGGCTTCCGGCTACACCTAGTTGGATCTTTGTATCACACCGCATTGCTTGCTGACCTGTAGTATTTCGCTACACACAGGGATTCTGGCTCTCCAGAGCCGATTCCGTTTTAGGCAGCTGCCTTCCCCATGTAGGAATACTCTGTTTATCTTACCTTCACCCGGTAACCAGTTCTAGGTAAGATGCCTGCTGGTCATGGCCCTGTTCCCATGAAGGTATTCACAGTTTTCATTTCAGTCAATCAAATTTATTGAATGTCTGCTCTGTGTGTGCAGTATGCAAGTGCTGGGGATAGAAAGATGAATAAAACCACAGTCTGTGCCCTCGAGGAGCTCACGCTTTAATAGGGGATTTTGGATGACCTTAATGCTTCAGGACTTAGTAAGAAATAAGCCCGAGTACTTGTGAAATGTTAGGCTTTGTTGATGAATGTCATGAAGAGAATATGTACCTTTCTGTTGCCTTCACACTCTACCTCTGGCCCTCTGTGCTGTTCAAATGCCCATCTTCCTGCTACCTCCTCTACCTTGAAACATTGCAGGGCTTGGAGGGAGCTTGTTCTAAAGTCTAAGAAGAGCTAGATGATTTGTAAAACTTTCTTCAGACCAGCTGCCACTGACAGCCTGCCCGGAGCCGGACATGGGGCAGGATCGTGCCGGGATTGCTGTGACTGGATGGTGGAAAATTTTGCAGAAACATCTGTTCTGTTTGGAGGGTCCAAATAGTTTTAAAAACATGTGCTTAGCCAAAGCTCATATTTCACAAAACCTTTGCAAATATCTAGAAGCTTTTCTTCTTTTCTATGTGGACGTGGAAGCAAAGGAGAGGAAAATGTGGCCACATGTATGTTTTCAACTTCTTATTTCCAAGTATTTGGCTTTTTCAGGGATGAGAACCAATCAGATCACTTTCGTGAGGTATGCAGTGCCTCTAGACTGTTCTCTCTCTTTTGGATAGATACATGAAGTCTTGAAGAAAGAAAAATTTCTCTAAACACAATGGGAGAGATTACAGTAATGCTATCAAGCTGTAGTTTTAATTGCTTGAAAATAAACGAAGAAAAAGGTTCACAGCTGTTTGAGAGTGAGGACCAATCAAGGGCAGAGCAACAAAAAAGCTCCCCTTTCCTGGGATGACTGCCAGGACTCAGCTCTCCACATCTGAAGACGTTTTACAAAGTGCAGTGTGCCGTGAGCAGGGAGAGAAAGGCATCCAGAGAAGGCGCGGGAGGACTTGAGTGAGGAGCCAGGTCCTGGCTTCATCCCAGTCTGTGGGCCTCAAGGTCAGGGGAGTAACGAGCTCATGGCCGACAGACCGGGATGACAGGGACTTCTTAGGGGACAAGTATGAGTTTGTTCAAACTTGGGGGCATGAGTTTTTGAGAACACGGCTCAACGCTCAGCATGGTGAATGCTGCAGACCTAGCATGGAGCCGTACCTGGCACCTCCAGGAGAAAAAAGCGCCCCAAACTCTAAAGCTAAAGGCCTCTGCACATGATTGCCTGTGAACCAGAGGGTTGGAGATTAGTTTTCTCCCCCCTTAGGTCATTATGTATGTTCCAAGTTGGGCATGGAGAGCAGCTCTTCTGCCCTTTGAACCTGGTACAGACCCAGGAAACCTGGGCCTCTCCCTCGGTACCTCTCATTACAGGTGCATGGCTCAGGCTCATGGAACAAATCAGCTGACTTTTCCTTTGTTTCTTAATGCTAGGGAGCAGGCAGGGAGCTAAAGGCTGAAGGAAGTTGAGGCAGTTGTCCTTAAGACTATCTTTAGTGAAGTGAAAGGTGCAGAATCTGCCATTTGTCATGTCACCTTAGAACAAGGCAAAATCCCCAGGGTACAGACATCCAATTGATGTACCATACTTGATCTCCAGGTTAAAATATAATACAGCTATGATGCATGAGTCTCATTGTGAAAACAGCTGATTGGTGAGGAAGGTCAGTTCTCACTAAATTGGAGAGATGAGGCCGTGAGATCAAGAGGAAGCAGCGCTGAGCTGGGAGTCCAGATAGCTGGCTCTGCTCTCTGCTCTGCCACCAGCTGTGGTGCTGGTTAAGTTACTGGGCTCTTCCATCCCCTCTCTGCCTTGTCAGTAGGCAGATTGGATGATGTGTAAGTTCCTCCTGTGCTGAAGATCCTTGAACTGAGGACCTGATTTCCAGAGCCCAGGGAACATCTTAGAAATGGAGTAAATTACATGAGATTTTCCCAGGGGAGGCCTTGATCACATTTTGTACAACATTCAGTCATGTATGGTTGCTATGATACCAGGCAGCATTTTGAAACCATACACAGGGATGAGTCTTTCAGTCAGTGGCCTAAACCATCTCCCTTTGCTGCAGAGCCAGCTTTTCTGCAATTCCAGGGGAAAGTATGGGCAATTGTTAATACCCCAAAGATTTTATATGATTTTAAAACAAAGTGGCCAACAGTGTCAACATTGTTTACCAGTGACTCGTGTCTTTTTTTTCCTTTGTCCTCCTCCTTTTTTAAAAAATAACATTTCCTTGGCCTGTTAATTTCTCTGTTCTATGTTGCTTGTATGGAAAAGTATCTCAAAACCTATAATGTAAACCTCTCAATTTGCTTTACTTTTCCTGCTCTTGAGATTTTCATGTGGCCCTGATTAAAATTTTAATTTGTCAGTAGAGTCAAATCTTATTAGTGCCATTCCAGCAATTGGGCACTGGGATCATTTGCAAGGTCTTCAGGGAAGTTTGCCTTTGCACAGTTTAGGAAAGATTCTGTTAATTAGGTGAATGGTATAATTGATACGACAAGAGGATTGTTTAACTTAAGGGAAGCAATTTATTATGCATGCATGAGAAGCTTCTAGGTATTTACTGACCAATTGCATGCCCATTACATATCCTTTTTGTATTTTAGAGATAATAATCATCTTATATTGTTTACCTCCTAGCCCAGTTTTTGGCACACTTGAAAGTACTACAAATTGTCTTTATGAAAAAAAAAAAAAAAAAAACTAGGCTGAGCACGGTGGCTTACACCTGTAATCCCAGCACTTTGGGAGGCCGAGGTGGGCAGATCATCTGATGTCAGGAGTTCGAGACCAGCCTGGCTAACATGGTGAAACCCTGTTTTTACTAAATATACAAAAAATTAGCTGGGCGTGTTGGTGTGCACCTGTAATCCCAGCTACTCCGGAGGCCGAGGCAGGAAAATCACTTGAACCCGGGAGGTGGAGGTTTCAGTGAGCTGAGATCGCACCATTGCACTCCAGCTTGGGCAACAAGAGCGAAACTCTGTCTCAAAAACAAACAAACGAAAAAAACTACTTAGAAGCAGAAGGAGACGGGAAAGGACACTAGGCTGAGAGACTGAGGCTGAAGTCTAGGTTCTGTTCCTCGCCTCGGCACTGATTAGCAAGTGAGCAAAAGTCATTTATCCCATCTGTACAGTTTGAAGATTGGTTTGAGCACCTGCCGAAGTCCCCTTCCAACCTATTTTGACACTGAGATTTAACAAATTCAAACGAAATTGCCCTACTTGGTTCAAATATGTTTTTCCAAGTGGCCCAAATCTACCTTCTTCGTCATTTTTTCATTTTATTAGACTGGGCAGAAAACAAGAGAAAGTTTGCCCAACACTTGCTCCATCATTGGTTCTCCAGAGCTTTCCAGCAGAAGTCAGATTACCTAAAGCCTGGTGTAGCCTGGGCAGCACTGATGAGGCTCTGGCTGAAGCCTTGGCATTGATTCTCACAGGGCTTTGGCTGTGCTGTGTGGTCACCTCTTTAGTTGCTGGATTATAGCCCCAAGGAGAGGGCAGGAGCAGCAAGGGATTCCTTTGGGGATATGGGCACAACAGCATTTGTCAATGGAGAGATAAAGATTCCACTGGTTTAACAACCAGAACAACAGAACTCATCCCTGTTGATGTCTGAGTCATCTCTGGGATCTTACCCCCTCACAACACTGATGGAGCAAGGAAACATGTTCACTGAGGATAATAGTTACCTTAATTCAGGTTTTTCAGACCCAGCCTTTCCTATCTCCATGTGCTGTGGACCTAGTAAATGACAAAGTTTCACTTAGTTATCTGGAGTGGACACAGACTCCAGCATTTTCTCCTAGAGTTTTTGTCCAGGTGGTCTCACAGCCATGGAGGGATGGCAGCAGCTTGTCAAAGATTCTCATTTTCAAGGGTAGGCAGGTACAAAGGAGTTAACTTGTGGAAGCTTAATCTGGAATGGGGACCAGCCCTGTGCCAAGATGCTGGAGGTACCTGCTAGTTCTTCTTGGCTCTGGATGAGCAGAAGCTGTCTTTGGATGCATTTGTAGGGTTTTTTTGGATAGCTTTTCTTAAAAAGACCATTCATCTTTTCAGGAGTCATAAAATGGAATTACAAACTGATTTTCCAATTAGAGTTTTAAAACAGCAGTAACAATCAAATCAACAGCAGCAGCCACCCTCTGGAAGGTGCCATTAGGTGGTAACCGTGAGCTTGAGGCAAGCACAGACACTTCTTTTCCAAGCAGGGACCTTGCAGTACTCTGGTTGAGGATCATCATCTGGTTTGATGGTTCCCACCTTTTGTTGTTAATGCTTTCTCTTTTTTTTTTTTTTTTTTTTTTTTTGAGATGGAGTCTCGCTCTGTCGCCCAGGCTGGAGTGCAGTGGTGCGATCTCGGCTCACTGCAACCTCTGCCTCCTGGATTCAAGCAATTCTCCTGCCTCAGCCTCCCAAGTAGCTGGGATAACAGGCATGCGCCACCATACCTGGCTAATTTTTTGTATTTTTAGTAGAGATGGGGTTTTACCATGCTGGCCAGGCTGGTCTCGAACACCTGACCTTGTGATCCCCCTGCCTCAGCCTCCCAAAGTGCTGGGATTACAGGTGTGAGCCACTGCGCCCAGCCTTGTTGTTGATGCTTTCTTTGCCACTTCCAGCCCTGACCTGGCCTGTACCGGAGCCTTTCCAGTGTTCTTTTAACAAAGCATCCAGCAGTTCTTAGAAATACCTCTGGTGAAGTTCCGTAGCCTTAGAGATTTGTTTCTGTAATTGTTAGAATTCAGTGCATCTAAGGTGTGTGTTAACACTTCTGTAATGAGCTTAGCAAAGACTAAATCTGCCTGGGGGTGATTTCCTTAGCATTCCTAAATTCTTGGTTCTAGGTGGAATGAAAACAAAAAACAGAGATAGCACTAGTGAGTTCCTTGCTTACATTAGTAGTCCTCTCGTGAACATTTAACTGTGCTCTTGGCAAGTTTTGCGATCCATCTGGTCCAGTATTTTGGTCACAAGTAAAAATTTCCTTCATGGAGCTCAACATCCCACCCCCTGCTTGGTGTCAGGTCTAAAATGCGCACTGTTTGGGAAAGGAAAAATAGCCCCGGGCTGTAATCGCTAACACACAAATAAAACGTGTTGTAGTTTTATTTTCTCTGCCTTTTCCCATTTAAAAAGAAGGACAAATATAGGACTCATATAACTGGCAATTTCCTAGGAAAGAAAAAGAAAAGGCATGAGGTGGTTGGGTGATTTTCTTTTTCTTTAGCTATCACATTAACCCTTGGTATTTTACTACCTAGATAACAAGATGCTAGGCAGGATGTAAAACATTTTTGGTAATTTTTCGAAATAGTTGCAAAATTTGTAGGCCATCCTGTGCTGACTTAACAACACATGTTGGGATAGGATCGTGACATTTATGGTCTGCTTGTTGGCAGGAGAAGGTCTGTGAAACATTGTGCAATAAACAAAGTGTGTTTCTTCCATTCCCTCACCTCACTGTCTGATTGTTCTCCTGAGGCGCCTCCCCGCTTCTCTCACCCACTCCTCTACTCTACCCAGGTTTTCACTGTGTTTCTTCCATTCCCTCACCTCGCTGTCTGATTGTTCTCTTGAGGCGCCTCCCCGCTTCTCTCACCCACTCCTCTACTCTACCCAGGTTTTCACTCTGCTTACATTTGTCAAGAACCCCAGACTATGTCTCCTGGACCCAAGTCTGGCTCCCTTCTGTCCTCTCCTATTTAAAACCTACCACCCCCAAATCTTACTCCCAAAAGATTCCTTATCAGCGCTTAGGGAGAAAGTCAGCTGACTGATTCTTTGGTCATTTTCACCAACACCACAATTAATATGTAGGTTATTGTCTGCCAGGATCTGGGACTATGGAGTTAAAGAAGATCCAGTCATTTCCCTAAAAGCACTTAACCTAAATGTGATTTGGATATGCTGCTTGAGTGAGTTTGGACTCAGGATCTACAAATGCCCTTCACACTTAGATTCTCAGATCTAAAGTTTAGATTCTTAGATCTAAAGTTATATAATGAATAACCCTATAGAATGAATCTCTAATGGTAGAATTTAAGATATCCTGTTAAGCTGGTCAAGAAATGTTAAAGGCTAAGTGATCTAGTGCCTCTGAAATTGTACCCTGTTTATTCCACCTGCCAGTAAGGTCATTAGCAGAGCAGTTTTTAGAGGAAAACAAAAAACAAAAAAACTTCTTTGGTTCTCAAGTTCCTAATCTGTGAAAGAAGACTGAGTTAGATGATAATAAGATCTCTTTATGCTTTATCCCACATTCCTGATATTTTGTTTGGCAAACATGAAGTATGAGGAAGTTCTGTTTGACTACTTGAGTGTTGTTGAAAGTTTGCTTCCTCAACTGTCATTATATTGATATTAGTTTAAACATTTATAGAATTTTTTTGTAGCTACATTTCAGAATGCATTGCTTAGTTTTTCAATTTAAAAACTAGTTCTTTGTTGAATGGGTGATAAATAGGACCACATTTCTTTTTGTTCTTTTCTATTTAATAATCAGTTTCCAGAAATCTTGCTTTCTGCTCTCATGTTGGAATAAAAATTGAAAAAGCATTTGCTTATATACGATTTTTACATAGTTTCCTTCTTTTAAATTTTATGTTGGTTTCCTGCTGGCTGGTTAAAGTAGAAAATGATGAGGTTTGAAATATGTTTCTATTTTGGGGGGAAATTAAAATTAAAAGACAAAAATAAGTAAATATATAGCCAGATGTTCCGGTCATTGAGGGGTGTTAATTCCATATCTTTGGTTTCCTTGATTTTGCCTACCTCAGACATATATATATATTTTTTAAATTATAATTTACAGGATGTCCAATTTTTTTTAACTCTTGGCAGTTACCTATCACTGTTAGACTGGTGTGACCTTTTAGAATATTTTGGGAAGAGAAAAAATGGAGCATTTATTGCAGTCATGTTGAAACTCTGCTTCAATATGATATGCAACTCATTACATTTAAAATTCCATTTTGGTAACTTTCACACTGTGGCATTTCTTGAGCCCTCTCTCACATGTCAAAGAGATGCATATAGATTGGAAACTATTTATTCAGGCAACCTCAAATGGTACTATAAATATAGTTGTAAAATGTCAAGTTATTTGCATGCTGGTGAATTAGATGTCCTAAAAATTTTTGTAATCCCAGATATTTGCTTGTTTCTATTACCAAGAAACACGGGAATATACTACAAATAATACATATCATTCTTTTCTTTCTGTTCTATTTTAGTGTAGTTTTGTTTTAGATTTTGATTTAATTTAGCTTTTACAATTAAGAGCCCACGTTCAAATAGATGTGATATGAAACTATTCTTAAAGATATTTGATTCTTTTTTCCACTGAATTATATGGGTTATACACTTAAGAAGTGTTTAATAATGTTGGTCATTATTACAAGAGTGATTTTTTTGGAGGAAATTTTTTGTTATATTTTGCTATGAAGTCTCCCTGCCTTTCCTTCTCTTTTTTCACCTATATTCTGGTTCTATTGCAGTTCGCAGAAGTGAGGATGCCTCATTCATCTTTTTATATCACAGTACCTAGTCTACAGTCTGTCCAATACTGGGTACTAAAGGAAAGATGAATAAATGATCTATATTTTTAAACGCACTTTTTAATACCTTAGTTTCAAATGTTATTCTGGAAGTAATTAGGATCTGCAAATTCTTGTTAAAATGTTTTAGAATAAGGCATTGTGAAATTATTTGTTATTTTTAAATTATAAACAAAAGTCCAGCCCTTTTCTGTGGAAGAGAGAAAGAACAGAGTGTGAAAAGAGGAAGAAATAATTAATTTGACTTTAAATCCTTGGGTAGGCAAGGTGCTGAGCTTGGAATTTTTTCATATGATATAAGCAAAGAATAAAATAAGCTTAGATGTTTTCTTGCATCATTCAAAGTTTTTCAAAACATGTAGTTGGCCAACATTTCAGCTGACATATACATGAAAAGATGGCATATTTTTAATGGATAGAGTAAGTGGTGTATGATGAGGAAAGAGTAGATGACTATATGAATTCAGAAATGAGAATTAAACAGTGTCAGTCTGGGTCAAACGAGGAGACAAAAACCACAAAGGAATTTAAACAGGAAGTTTAGTGTAAGGAATTACTAAACTAAGATAGGAGAGTAACTATAAAGATGTAAAGAAAACTCAATAAGTGCCCTAAGGCTGAAGAAAAATACGCAAGGAAGGACACACTCGGAAGCCACTCCCCAAGGCTGGGTTCAGACTGCTTTGGAGAGGATGTGGATGTCGCTCCCTGTGATGTCACAGAAGTTTGCTGGCTTTGGGGCACAGGCAACCTGAGGCTGGTGGAGAGTTGGAGTATCACGGTGGGCACTTGGAGTATCACGGTGGGCACAAGGCCTGCATGCAGCATGCAGGGTCTGTGTGGGAGGCCTGTGGAAAGGTGGTTACTCAGCCTCAGGACAGGGCTGCGTAGTCACTAAGGGACTGCATGCTCTGCACACAAGACTGGAGCAGAGATGTCCCTATATACATGCACCGCTGAAGGACAGTGAAGCAGCAGCAAGAAAACGTCAAAACACAGTACTCTGGAGCCATTACAGTGTCCCTGCGGCGCCCTCTACTGACAAGGCCTAACACTGAGGTCACTCTAACTAACTAATATTGAGCTCACTCAATCTTAGGCTTTGAGTAAGGAAGAAATGCTTCGAGTCCAGTCCATTATCACAGAGCAGCTATTAAGGGGTGTATTTGGAGTTGAACAGTGATGACCTGACGGTTGGCACAACCCCAAATCCCAGATCCCAGTTTAGCCAGGGGCATTTTGTTTTGTTGTGATAATTTATAAACAAATCAATAGGAGCTCATTTCTCTTGCAGGGTTCACGCTCTACCTTGTAACTGAAGTACTCAGTAAAAAATTCTGTGGTTTTGCTGGGTTTCCCCACTCCGTCCTTCACCGTTAGGCCAGATCCTTTGTGTCCAATCACATTTCTGTATGGCTGTTCATTCATCAAACCTAAATATAAAAATAAAGATTTTCATGGCTGGGCAAAATGTGTTCATGATAATAAGATTGATTTTGATACTTTAAAAATGTTCACATATTAAAATCAAGAAATACCCACTTGTCTTACTAAAGCCAGCTCTTTCAGATTGTATGCATGGTGTATGTCTTTTTACATTATTTGTAATATACTGGGTTTTCACCATTGTAAATACGGCCATTCTGGGCCTGAAAACTCTCCTGGCTCTTATTTGTGTAGCTCTATCTCATAAGGCTTAGTAAGAGCAAGGGATAATCACGTTTAACAAAGCCATTTCTTTTTGCTATTAACATGCTCACCTTTACACTTGATGGCAACAGCTGAATCCCTCCATTAGGCATCATTAAAATTATTCTTTGGGTTATTTTGATTAATGCTTTTTACTTTCATTGTACTCCCTCTTGGTCCTAAATGGTAAGAGCAGTTAAATAGGAGTGTTCAGCGGAGTGTGTCTGCCATTCATTGTTATGCATATATTTATGTGTTTTGTGTACTTTCTTAAACAGAGGTTTCATAAAAATGAGTGCACTGGCAGAAATGTTTATATAAAATTACATTTTGCAGAGCTTGATTTTATAACGTGATCATACAAGAGAGAATGTTAAGGAGTAGAAAGCAGCATCTGCATTGTAAGGTCTCATCATGGTACCACAATCTAATAGTAATAGTAATAATAATGCCTTGTTTTCTTTTGAATGCTGGCTATGGCCAGCCGTATTCTAAGTGCTTTACTGCACTAACTCATTTGATCCTTACAAAAACCCATGTATGAGGCAAGTACTATTCTTGTTCCCATTTTAGAAGTAGGAATATTAAAGCAGAGTTTAAATAACTTCCCAAGGCTGCCTGGCTAATCAGTGCTGTGCAGAAATTTGAACCCAGGCACTAGTTTCAAAGCTCTCATTCTGAACCATTGTAAATCATACTGCCTGCAGGATCAGTGGAAGAGATTTTTTTCAATTGTACTGCCAATGTGACAAGACAGGAAGAAATGCTCAGATGCTAAATACCAAGTGAAATTTGGAAACCCAGAGAGAGCTCTGGAGGCTCTGGACTTTCACCCTGAACTTGCTCTTAGGTTTTTACAACCTCCAGAGCCACAGAAGGAAAACTCTAGGCCCACCCAAGTTGAACTGTATAATTAGCAAAGGCTCCTCCCACCATGGAACTGGTACCTCTAAGCTATATTCTCTTGGTAATGGCAAGCTAGAAAAAAACCTGAGACTCCTCCAAGGAAAATTTTCTGTCTTGAACCTTAGAGCTATGTGGAGGAGCAAAAAATAAATCTCCTCAGAAAATCTGTAACCACAGAACAGCTTGTGGATTTACAGCTGAAATTCACACTAGCTGAATGGTCAGAAAAACATTCAGCTTAGAATCTAATTAAAATGGTACCAGGTTGGTAGTTGCTCTTGTCAGCTAGCAGAAGCAAATGCAGATTCTTTGTGAAGGAATTCTTTATTTGACCATAAAGAATCGTTACAGAATTCCTAAAATACATTAGCTCCCATTCAAAAATCTCAAAACACACACAAAAAATAAATCATTATGAACAAGAGTCAGCAGAATCAACCTGCAAAGACTTCAGGTACTGAATTTATCAGACATAATACATAAAATAAGTAAGTTTACTATGTTTACAAAAATGGAAGAGAAGATTGAAAATATGTCTAAGGAGCAAGAGTATTGAAATAACAAAGAAAATTTGAAAAGCAGATACAACTTATTAACTAAAATATAGAAATTTAAATTAAAAGCTTGATAGGCAATCAATGACAGATTAGATAGAATCAAATAAAGAATTAATAAGCTAGGAGATAAAATTGAATAAAATATTTAGAATGTAGTAGACACAAAAGATGAAAAATATGGAAGGGGGCTAAAAGACAAGGAGAAGAGTGAATTTTCCAGAAGTGATTAAAGATACCAACACATTAAACACGACTAAATGTTTAAAAGAGATCCGTATGCCTAGATATGGCATAGTAAAATAGCAGAGCACCATGACAAAGAGAAAACCCTTAAGCAGTCACAGAGAAAAGACATGTAGCTTTCAAAGGAGCGGTTCAACTAACTATAGTGATGGCAGGGCAGAAAATAGTGGGACAATGTCTTCAGAATACAGAGAGAAAATTAGCCTGTAATTGTTTGCTCAGCCAAATCTGTCTTTCAAAAATGAGGATAAATAAAGCAATTTTCAGACCAGGGAAAGAGGAGCAACATATTTTCATGAAAGGAGGTTCTAAAATACGTACTTTGAGAAGAAGGTAAGAGATCATGAATAAAAAGATAAGAGTTAAAAGAAGGGACAAAAAATAAAGTGGTAAATATGTGGGTAAATTTGAATCAACAGTGACTTTCTTGTGAGCTTAAAAAACCAAAATATGTGTTGTTTATAGCATGTCAGTCAGGAGGTGATTACATATAACATATTACTTAGGAAGAAGGTAAAGAAATTAGTAATGTTTAGGTTTTGATACATTATATATAATTTCAGTCTTTTCAGAATAACCACTAAATTATATTAAATACAACTGGACAAATTATTCCAGTTAAGAGACAAAGATTATCAATCTGGATTTTAAAAAATGTTGGCAGTGTGCTGCTTCCAAGAATCATCTTCACAACACACAAAGAAAAGTTGAAATGAAAAGTATGTAAAATTATATGCCAGGCAGAGTCCTACCAAAAGAAACCTGGTAAATTAATAATGGAATTGAAGGCAAAAATATTATTAATTACAAAGAAGGTCCTAGCAGGTTCCATTTACCAGAAACATCAAACAATTCTAAATGTTTATGTACTTATTATGTTACTACTATCACCCCAAAATATATAAAGTCAAAATTATTGAAATCACAAGGAAAAATAAAACAGTCTTGTTATCATGGGGCAGATTTTAATTTCTTTGTCACTCTAATTGGTTTATCAAGCAGGCAAAAAAACAGTAACACAGTTAGTGTTACGCTTGATGTGAAAGACATATAAAGAAGGCTGCATCCAACATTTGAAGTGGCAGAGCATTTTAAGGGCATGTAAAATACTTGAGAAAATTGACTGCAATGAAAATATTTAAGAAAATTGCACTATAAAATCAGTAACAAAAACTAGAAGAAAACGCATATGTTTGGAAATTATGAAGCATGCATGCACGTAAGTCACAGGACAAAGCAGAGATTATGGGAAAAGTAAAATATTTAGAAATAAATAGTAATGAAAATACATAGAATCTATGTTAAAACTTATGGGATATAGCTGAATAGTACTTAGAAATGTATTGAAGAAAGGCTGAACATTAATGAGATGAAAGCATCTATGCTATACTGTTCCCTGATCAAGTTGGTTAAACTAGGAACTGTGTTTCCCAGAATCTCCTTCCTTGTACAGGAAGGCCAAAAGATGAACTTGTAGGAGACTGGGGGGTAGAATCAGTGAAGCAGTGGCCTTGGTTCTCCAGAATGCTTCAGGGTGAGATGGGATGATGAACAGAAATAGAGGCAGGTGCAGGCAGGTTCTGGCTTGTCCTCATTTTCGTCCTCTCTGCATCTAGCTCTTCTTCCTCTGGCTGGCCACCCCAGGTTCTTTGCTGTGGACTCATAAAAAGTGAGCTTTCCTTAGACCTCTCTGTGCATCCCCCACTTTGTAGGTTCACTTTGGTGTATATGAGCCTGGCTTCTGAGTTCCTTGCATACAAACTCTGACTGGTCCTTCTGCTCCAGGGCTTCAGAAGGAGTGATTGGTGTCCCCACCAGGATCAGTACCACCGCCTTCACTTCCCCAGCCCCTCACACACTGGCAAAGTCTAATTGCTGTAAGCATTCCTCCTGTCACGTCACTGGTAATGGTTCTGCATCCCTGACTGGTACAGCATCCAGCCTCAGTTAGAAAAAATAACCACCTAAAAACCCCTCAGAAAATGGAAGGATATAATGAAACAAGAACTGGAATTAAGTGGAAAAAACTTTTTTACATTAGACAGGATCAAGAAAGCCAAAAGTTTGTTCTTTGAAAAGATGAATAGAGTTGACAAACCTCTGCCAAGATTGATCAAGGAAAACAAAAAGAGAAAAGCCATAAACAAATGATGTTAGTAACTGCAGTTAGGGCAGAGATTTAAATCTAATAAAAGAATATTTTGAACAAAATTTGGGGCCAATACATTTTAAATCTTAGACACAATGGGAAAATTCCTAACTTATTAAAACTGACTCAAAAGCTACAAAGACCTAAGTAGCTTATAACCATTAAAAATAGGAGTAAAAAATCTCTTAAGTTGGGTGATGGGTCATGAAGATTCATTATAACATTCTCTTTACTTTCGTGTATGTTTGAAAAATCTCTGTAATAAATAGTTAAAAATTAAAATCTTTTCATAGAGAAAACACCAGGCCCAGATGTTTTTATCACATAAGATGATTGAGGATTAAATGAGATAATACATATAAAGTACTTACAGAGTACTCGGCACAATATTAAGTGGTCAGTAGATCTTAGCTATTATCACTCTTAACATGCCTTGGGCTTGTTTGCAGGGTCTCTCTTCAACCTATACTGAGGTACAAAAGTAGAGTTTAAAATAGATAATCTCTGAAAACCTCATACAGATAGAGGTTAAGGTCATAAAAGCATTTTTTATGTGCTTTTACAATAGTCAAGCTGAAATCTTCCTTATATTACCAATTCATTTATTTAGCAAATTGTTTACTAAGGCGTGGGTTAAAGGTAAGATTCAGCCTAGCCCCTATCAGGTAAACCCTCTTTAATGTGCAGTAATTTCTGAACTTCAGTGATGAGGGTCACAGCATGATGGATAGCTAGGAACTTGCTTTAATCTTACTTTCTATTATGGAGAAATTCAGAAAAATAGCCAAAATTGTGTCATTGTTCAGGTGTTCCAGAATGAATGTATAGAATTAACATTTTAGCATGCTCTAGAATAGCAGCTCAAAATCTTATCCCCTAAAGACACAAAACATTCTGATATATATGTATTCATAAAGGAGAGTACAGGCAGCCCTCAGTTTAAGAGATGCGTGGGTTCTGGAATATCGTTGTACCTTACTTAGTTCTTAAGTCATGGAGGTGAGGAGCTACAGACTTGGGAAAGGGTTTCAGGAGCAGGGGACAGGAGTGTGTGCATCAGGAATTGTTAGGATGAAGAAGACAAAGAGAAGGGTGGTATGCAGCCACACTGGAGATTGTAGAAGCAGCCTGAGCCCCAGCTGAGCATAAAGCCAGATAGCTCTCCTGATTTCATGAGCTGTGTTTGCTTTTAGTTTAATCCACTAGTTTAGCACTTGTGACATGGTGGATGTGATTCTTAAGGAGGAAAAGGTTTATAATGATTTCTTCTGTGAAATTTCATGCTCACACTCAGATAATACATTCAGTCCAGCCTCAAGAATTTCTTTCTTATTGTGTGTGTGTGTGTGTGTGTGTGTGTGTGTGTGTGTGTGTAGTTGTTGAAATAGTTCAAGGAATGAAGCTGCCACGTGATGTTGCCCTTTGAGTCTTGTAGTTAATTTTTATATGGTAAAGACTTGCGCTCCCAGGAGTCCCATCTGACATGAGGCTGTTCTCTCCTGTCATGTACATGTGGTATGAACTGCCTCCTTTTACTAATTAACTTGCTTCCTTTTATTAATTAGTGCTCATTTATGCTTTAGTTTATTGCGTGCTCCAGGTTTTTTTTTTTAGAGATACTCCCTAAATCATATTCCCCCACCCCTTTATTATTATCTACTCTTCAGTCACTCACTAGATATTTATGGAGCCCCTGCACTGTGAAGACCTGAGCTGGGTGCTTCAGAGGATACTGTGGTGGGTAAGACACTGTCTCTGTTCACAAAGAATGGAAAGCAGAAAGAGAGAACAGGCTACTATGTAGCTGTAGTATCAGGCAGAAGATAAGCACCATAGTACAATGTTTTCTGAGAATTCAAAGGAAGAGGAGGTTGAATCCTGACTATCCTGAGCTGTGAGGCCTTAAACAAGTTACTTAACATCATCAAGCTTCAATTTCCCCATCTGGAATGTGGGGCTTATATTATACGTATTGCTTTGGTGTTTTCAGGAATAGAAATGATCTGTATTAAAGCACAGTGTGTGGGAAACAGGCTCTCCTTCAGGAAAGCTATTATCATCAAATCAGCAAATAATCGTTGTGCATCTACTATGTGCCAGCCGCTCTTCCAAGCCCAAGAGATACATTGGTGAATACAACAAAGAGCCTTGTCTTCGTGAAGCTTACATTGTATGTAGTAAATGATATTAAAACATTATTAATTATCAAATCCATAATAAACAAAGATCTCTTGCTGTTACTATTAGAGTATTCATTTGGAGGAAGCTGGAAAGGTATACATACATATGTTTAACAGTCCAAGATGGAAATTTGGGGAGGGGTGGAGGTAGAGGAGAGGAAATCACACGCACCAAAGTGTGGGCTGGGAGATCTTCATAGGACGGGCTTAGGGAAGGCTGTTGAGGGGTGTTTTGGGCCAGGGCATGTGGCTAACCCTGGAGTGGGGAATGAGTGCCAGGCCAGGGAGTTTATAGACAGTGATAAACCGTGGAGAGCCATCAGGGATTTTTACCCTGGAATATGACTTGATCAGAGTGGAACTTCAGGAATTTTAATGTGTTAGTGATGCAAAAAGGGGATGGGAGGGAGAGAGACTAGACTAGAAGTTGGAGACATCAGGTCATTGCAAAAATTTTTTTTTTTTTAAAACACCTGAAAGGAATGAATTGGAGCCATCCTCTGTCATTTAGTAAGTCTATATTGGGAACTTTTAAAATTTAATTTCTCAAAGTCTTATTAACATGTAGTACACGAATTCTAAGTGTACTTGACTGATTTTTACCCATTGCATAGTTCATCTATAGCCCTGGTAAACACCATCCAGATCGAGATAGAGCACATTGCCAGCACCTATATTGAGAACTTTTACCTCAAAATGCAATGTGAGCGCCATGCACTGTAGCTTGTTTTAGGGAGGGATGGTGTGGGTAAGTCTATGAGGTAAATCCTACCTAGCGCCAGCCGTCTTTTCAGCTCTCCGGTCCATCTCCCTCCCCTTCCTTCCTGAGCAGCCAGTTGCTACATTAACCAGACAGCAGGAAGAAAGGCAGACTGTGTCTACCAGCGTCTGCACCTCTTCCTGCGTTAACTTTTTAAGTGGGATACACGAGGCACATTTACCCTAATGGCCTCGAGCATGAGAGAATCACATATTATACCAGGCCCTGGGTTTCCTAAAGGGAAATGGCAGAAATATTTACAAGTAGCTTTAGTGTGGCCAGAACATACCCAAACAGACTGCAAATAGAGATCCTGTCAGCAAGTGTACAAGGGGAGGCTTCACTGGGTCTAGGGGCATGACTAGGGAGCAAGGGCCCTAGGGTCAGTGTTTTTTGCCATTCTCCCTCTCAAAAGTAATGGTACAGTGTTCTCTTCGTATATAGGAAAGGACCCATTTTCGTTCCAGTGCTGGTGACTGCCTTGCCATACACTAGTTGAATATCCATGTATCAGTTGTTATAAAGGACAACTGGGATTGGTTAAATTTAAAAGGGTAGATTCTTTTTAAGTTGTATCTCTTCAACTTCTATAACTACTATGGGGTCAGTTTTATGCTAGAGCAAATAAGAGAGCCATCCTATTAATAGATAAATGGTATTGATTGAGCAAGAATGATGACTGAAAGTAGTGCTTTGTATATTTAAGTAGATATAGGATTATATGCTCTGTGGAAAATAGAATTTGAAGGTTTTGTTCTACTTCACTAATTGGTTTGAGGCACATTTACTTTTCAGAATGAAGATGGGAAGTTTATACTTGGGGAGGTATATATGCAAAGTGAGAAATAGACAAGGATTCCTACCCTAATTGAAGAAATTGAATTTTAATCCTGGAAGGAGCATAAAGACTAATGGCTTTCCTTTTTTCCTTTTCTTTTTGCTTTATTCAACAGTTTTTTAAAAAGATTGATGCAGAGCTGCTCGGGGTGTGAGGTGGGGTGGGAAAGGTGAGGATGGAAGGGTCCTGTGAGGCCCTCTAGCATCTTCTCAGTATGAGTGGATTCAGCCTGTGTCTTCTTAGCCCCCTCCAGTTCTTTCCGTACCTTTCCACTCCTTTGCTCAAAAGCCAAGTGCCAGTGTTATGAAATTTAAGAAAAGCTATTTCATTTCAAACTCTTATTGGTTGAAATCTGTCATTGGGATCACAACATATTTTGGTTCTTTGGGATACTTTTTGCCATTAATAGGAGGTATGAAAATACTGTTTTATCTATTGTTTTCTTTTGCTATATAGTAGAATCAATTTCTTCAATTATTTCCTGAATACACTCCTGTAAAAGATTTCTTCCTCCTATCTGTGTAATTGTCATAGAATTGGCAAGGATGCAGAAAAATTGGAAAGCTTATGCATTGTTTATGGGAATTAAAAACAGTACAGCCATTATGGAAAACAGTTCCACAAAACATTATAGAAAACATGTTCCTCAAAAAACTGAAAATAGAATTACTGTGTGATTCACCAAACCCACTTCTGGGTATATATCCAAAATAATTCAAAGCAGGGTCTCAAAGAGATATTTGCACGCCGAAATTATTTACGCTATTATTTACAATAGCCAAGGAGTACAAGCAACCCAAGTATCCATCAGCAGATGAGTGGATTAAGAAAGTGTGGTGTGTAATTACAGTGGAATGTCATGCAGATGTAATGAAGGAAATCCTATCACATGTTACAGTATGGCTAACCCTCAAGGTCATTATGCTAGGCAAAATAAGTCAGTCTCAAAAGGACATGTACTATGAGTCAAAGCATATGATGTATCTAAAGTGGTCAAAATCATAGCAACAAAGTAGAAAAGCAGTTGTCAAAGGCTGGGGGAGGAAATTAGTATTTAATTGTATAGAGTTTCCATTTTGCAAGATGGAAAATTCTAGAGATCTGTTGTACAACAATATGAACATACATAACACTGCTGAACTATATACTTAAAAGTGGTTAAGATGGTAAAATTTAATACTATATTTTTTACCACAATCAGAAAAAAAAAAAGCCAGTATCCATACTTGTCGCTGTTTCTTTGGGTGAAAATGATTCCTCATCTTTGTGGATGTCCTATATTCTAAAACTAGGATTCTTAGCTTGGTTTTTGCAAGTTTTATTTTTACATCCTAGTTGATCAGCATATCAAGTAATCACAAGTAACACAAAGATACAAGTTGCTTTGCTCTGCTTAAGAAACTGAAGTGATTGGAGGTGTTGTTTGTTTCTTTGTTTTAATTTGTTGAATACTTCTGCAATTCCTGTTGTGCCAGATGGCTTCATCTTTTTTATGCATTGCTGGAGAAGCCACTTGTAGGTGAGGTCTTGAGTGTAGATTGTCTGCTTTGCACTGAAGTAAAATGATGGGGTCAATAGGGATTGCTTTCTTCCAAAAGTTTTTATAGTAGATTTTTACACCTGCATATCAATTATCAAATTAGCAAACTGACTCCAGAAACTCAAATAAAATGCAAGTGAAGGAGAGACAAAAAGCTATGTAATTTCCTTGGCACTATTCAACTTCTTAAGAGCAGAAGCACCCATTTTTTAATATGAGTAGTTTACAGCTACTCGTGGTTAAATGGTTTATAGGATTCTTTGTAACAAAAGGTGGTCTAATTACCAAGGAGGAGAGAATAATATACCCAGGTTATTTACAATGTGTGACTTACTTAAATTATGATCCTGTTAACTATACAAAAATGACAGAAAACAGAAACATCAGAGCAAATTAAACATTTTGGCTTTTCATTAATGATCTTGAGTATAGGAGGTGTGCACAAGGTTAATTTTTTTTTCCTTTAAACATCACATGAGGCCTGCCCTCAGAGTGAACCTGCAGTTTCAGATTTTATGCATTGGCTTCTAAACAGAAAAAAATGACAGTATTTTTTCTTTTCCACTAGGCCACACTAGAATGTTTAGTTTGTCAGTAAATCACTTTGTAAGGTTTCTAATGCCCGTCTAAATCAATTTTAGGTGTGATTTCTTTCCTTGTGATTTCTGTTCTCTGAGTTACTAGTTGATTTTAATTGTTCTTATTTGCAGGCTTTAAATATTGATGGACTGTGTTATTTATAGCACTGTTTGGTGGCACTGACCTTTGTAGGGAGTTTGCATATGAACCCCAGGACATTTTTTTAGTGGGGAAGTGTGATGGGTGAGGCTTGTTGGGGAGACGCCTTGGTTATAAGTGAAACAGATGAGGGGTATGCAGAAGGAGCTGGAAAAATTAGGTTTCAGGAGCCAGTTTGCAGGAGACAATGCAGAACTTTACTAGATTAGAGCTATTATTTATTGTAAGAATATTATACTCACAGCCGGATGCGGTGGCTGACGCCTGTAATTTCAGCACTTTGGGAGGCTGAGTGGGCAGGTCAAGAGATTTGAGACCATCCTGGCCAACATGGTGAAACCCCATCACTACTAAAAATACAAAAAAATTAGCCAGGCGTGGTGGTGTGCACCTGTAATCCCAGCTACTTGGGAGGCTAAGACAGATCATGTGAACCCAGGAGGTGGAGGAAGCAGAGCTGAGATCACACCACTGCACTCCACCCTGGCAACAGAGCAAGACTCCATCTCAAAAAATAAAAATAAAAATAAAAAATTATACTCACTTAAAATACAGCAATAGTTTCTTAAAAAAAAACAGTTATAGTAGTAGACTTTGTTTTTTTTTTTTTTTTTTTTTTTTTGAGATGGAGTCTTGCACTATCGCCTGGGCTGGAGTGCAATGGTGCGATCTTGGCTGACTGCAACCTCCACCTCCCAGGTTCACGCGATTCTCCTGTCTCAGCCTCCCAGGTAACTGGGATTACAGGTGCACACCACCATGCCTGGCTAATTTTTTGTATTTTTAGTAGTGACAGGATTTCATTATTTGGCCAGGCTGGTCTTGAACTCCTGACCTTGTGATCCGCCCGCCTCGGCCTCCCAAAGTGCTGGGATTACAGGCATGAGCCACCACACCCGGCCATTGTGGTAGGCTTTAATATGCCTTTAGCAGAAATTGACTGAATCAATAACAAAAGAAAGCATATGTAAAATATTAATAACTCGATCAACAAGCATGACTTAATGAGAGTATTTGGAATTCTTTTTTTTAATCCAACAATAAGAGAATGCATATTCTTTTGAAGTACTTAGTGACACTTACAAAAACTGACAGAGACTAAGCCACAAAGAAAATCTCTGTACACTTCAAAAATTGGACACCATGCATAGTCTAAATTCTCCAAATGAGATACAGTGATAGTAGATGTTAGCCTTCCCAAATCTAACAACATGGACGTTTAAAAATACTATTCTTTATAACTGTTGTTGTTGTGGAATACAATTCATATAAGATAAAATAGACCCTATTAAAGTGTACAATTCAGGGGTTTTCTATTCACAGAGTTGTGCAGCCATCAACACTGTCTAAAATCAGGACATTTTCATCACCCCCAAAAGAAACTCTGTGCCCATCAGCAGTCGCTTCCCATTCACTTCTTTCTCCAACCCCTGGTAACCACTAGCCTACTTTCTGTCTCTATGGATTTGCCTTGCGACATAATAAAAATAGAAATATATTGGTTTCTGCCCCTGATGCCTGGCACAGAGCTCCTAAAACCCTTGTAATTTTCTGAGCAATAGGGGTGCTAAATATATCTTTAATTCTAATATTTGGTCTTTGACCCCAGTTCCTGACACAGAGCTCCTCCATCTCATGGAATTTCCTGAGTGACAGGACTATCTGTTGTTTTAATGAGGCAACTCTTGGTGGGCTTCTGAATGGGGCTGGCCACCAGAAAGACCAAGCCATGGTTAGAAGGTTGGAGCTTTCAGCCGCACCTGCCAGCCTTAGGGAGGGGAGAGGAGCTGGAGATTAAATTCATAATCAATCATGCCGATGTGATGAAGCCTCCATAAAAATTCCTAAAGCATGGGGCTCTGAGAGCTTCTGGGGTGGTGAACATAGAAAGGTGCTGGGATGGTGGTGTGCTCGGAGAGGGCATGGAAGTTCTGTGCCTCTTTCCCATAGCTCGTCCAGTGCCTCGCTTCCATTTGGCTGTTCCTGAGTTGTATCCTTTATAGTAAATGGGTAAATTTAAGTAAAATGTTTCCCCTAATTCTGTGAACCATCCTAGCAAATAATTGAACCTGAAGAGAGCTTCCTATTTACCAGAACTTCCTGTTTATAGCCAGTTGTTCAGAAGCATAAGCAGCTACCTGGGCTTTCAATTGGCATCTGAAATAGGGACATTCTTGCAGGACTGAGCCCTTTACCTGTGGGAACTGACACTAACTCTGATTAGTGTCATAATTGAATTGAATATATTGTAGGACACCAGTTGGTTTTTGCCAAGGATTAGAGAATTGCTTGGTGTAAGGGAGAAAACCCCACACATCTGGTGTCGGAAGTGAAGTACTGGAAGTAGTAGAATAGAAAGAAAGGGTTTCCGGCCGGGCGCGGTGGCTCACGCCTGTAATCCTAGCACTTTGGGAGGCCGAGGCAGATGGATTACCTGAGGTTGGGAGTTCAAGACCAGCCTGGGCAGTATGGTGAAACCCTGTCTCTACTAAAAATACAAAAAATTAGCCAGCTGTGGTGGTGGGCACCTGTAATCCCAACTACTCTGGAGACTGAGGCAGGAGAATCACTTGAACCCAGGAAGCGGAGGTTGTGGTGAGCCGACATCACACCACTGCACTCCAGCCTGGGCTACAGAGAAAGAATCTGTCAAAGAAAGAAAGAGAGAGAGAGAGAGAGAGGAAGGGAGGGAGGGGAGGGGAGGGGAGGGAGGGAAGGGGAGGGGAAGGGAAGGGAGGGAGGGAGGAAGGAAGGGAAGGAAGGAAGGGAAGGAAGGGAAGGGAGAAAGAAAAGGTTTCCTCATGCCTCTTCTGGACATTTCGTATAAATAGAAACATGGAGTATGGGGCCTTTGGTGTCTGGCTTCTTTTCCTTAGCATGTTTTCAGGAGTCATCAATGCTGTAACGTGTCAGTACTGGCTTCCTTTTTATGGCTCAGTAATATTCCATTGTATGGTTATACTACATTTTGTTTATCCATTCATCCATTGATGGACATTTGGGATGATTCTACCTTTTGGCTATTATGAATAATGCTGCTATGAACATTCATTTACAAGGTTTTGTGTGAGCATTTTTTACAACTCTTCAGTGAAAGAAGAAATCATAATGAAAATGACAAACTCTTTAGAAGTTAATAAGAATGAGAGTACTTCATATAGGAACCCAGAAGTCTGGCCAAAGCAGTTCTCAGAGAACAAATTATAGTCTTGAAGACATTTATAAGAAAATTGGACAAGCTTTTTGCCAGCATTCCTGGCCTAAAAAAGAAAAGAAACTTAGAAGTGCTGAAAATAAATGGACTAAGTATTCAAATCAATATTTGAGAAAAAGAGCAACTATTATAATAAAGCAAAAAGTCAACTAATTAAGTAATAGCTGTAAGTCCAGAAATTATACAAAACAAGATTAAAGACAAAAACCTAATGGATTTGATTAAATAAAACTAATCTCTTTGAAAACGTTGATAAAATAGGAACACCTGGCAAGCTTACTTGAGGGTAAGAGGGAGATAGAACCAAAGGTTTGTAAAATTTTTCTATGTATCCGTCTTTTAGAAATGAATTTGAAAATTACCAAAAATGACTCAAAAAGGAACATATGAATAGAAAGGAACCACAGAAGAAAGTTGGTCTTTCTTCTGTCTGTCCATCCATGCACCGTTCATTCTAACCAACCATCTAATTCTTTCTGAAAAGTAGCCAAATCTCCTTCCTCCTCAACGATACTAGGGACAGATTTTGTTATTTTACTGGTAATTTGTACACCTCCAAAGCATAGAGAAAGACAGAACACATCCAGGCTTATTCTACAGACTGGTTTAACTCTTGTTATTTAAACCAGACAAGAATATGATCAAGAAAACACGAAACCATCTAATTTATCAATATAAGTGTAAACCAAGTACAGCAAAATACCAGAAAAATAATACTCCGTGGTATTGTAAACTTAGCCTGGGAAAGCAAGGATAGTCCAATATTAGGAAATCAGTGTAATTTGCTTAGTTAACGGCATAAAAGGCCAGAATCCATATGATCATCTCCATATATGATAAATATCAGAAGCAATGGATTAGGAGAAATAAAGCTTCAATAAAGTTGAAGAAAATGAATATTGTTTTCATCTGATATCAGTAACCATATATATAGTATTATGGGATGAAAGGGATACCTTTCACAATTGCATCACAATCTATAAAAATGTAAAAGTAAAATTAACAAAAAACGTCTATGAGATAAACGATAGAAATTTACTGAAGTATCTGGAAAGTGATATTGATAAACAGAGATACATTTCACTCCTGGCTAGGAGCTCAGTATTATAAATTCTCTTCAAATTAATGTAACATTCCTGTGCAATTTCAATGAAATTTTAATAGAATTTCTTTTTACAACTTTAAAGTTTGTTTCTAAAGTTCATACAGGAGAATAAGTAAGCAAAAATATCAAAGAACTATTTTTAAGAAGAGAAATAATTAGAAGGAATATGCCCCACCAGATTTTAAAATATCCTATGGAGAATCCATAAAGAGATCCATGTGTACATGAGAATTTAATATATGATAAAGGTAACTTTCAACTCAGAATAGATGGGATATTTAATATATAGTGTTGAGTCAACTGGCAATCTCTTTGGGAAAATAGATATTTAGATCCCTAATTCATAACATAACTACATTTCAAATCTATAAAATTCTAGAAGAAAATATATTTTTATAGTCATGGAGAAGTCCTTTAAAAGCATGACAAGAAGCCCTGAAGTCTTAAAATGTTTAACAAATTCAATTTCATGAAATTATGGTGAAAGAGACCATAAACAACATTAAAATATGGAGGGCCAACTGGGAGAAAAATATGTGAAACATATGTAACATAAAAAGCGTTAATATTCAAAATTTATACAGAGCTCCCACAAATCAGTAAGGAAAAGACAATGAAATAGATCAATGTTGGAAGGATGTGAACAACCACAGAAGAAATACAAATGACTATTTAACATATCAAAATACTTTCAACTTCAGTTACAATCAGGGAAAACAAATATTGAAATCAGTTTTCATGTATCAGATTGCCAAAAATGAAAATGATTGGCAATGTCCAGCACTTGGGAAGTTGTGTCAGAAAGGACGCTCTTGGAACATTCTTTCTAGAAATGTAGATTTACATAGGCTATTTAGGAGGGTAACACCTATCCAAACTTAAACCATACTATTTTTGACCTAACAGTTCTGCTATACTGCGGACATTCATCATAATGATATTTATAATAGAGGAAAGTTTGGGACAGCCTAAATGTCCCCTAGTAAGGGAACAGATTAAATAAAATTTGGAGTATTCATTATATGTAATGCCATGCAGCCATCTGAAAAGAAAAAGCTAGTTTTCCATGGTTTGACACGGACAGATGCCATATGTCAGCATAAGGGCTAACAAGCCAGGTCTGGAACTAGGTTTGTCATCTACCAGCTGGTTGACCTTGAGCAAGTTGCTTAACTTCTCTGCGCCTCAGTTTGCCCATCAGTAAAAATGGGGCTTTTTGTAGTACTTGGCTCCTAAAGGTTTTGTAGAAACTAAAGAAATAATTCCTGTGTCATGCTGGGCACAGCTGGAAGCACTGAATAAGAAACAGATACAAATATAACAAAAGCATTTACATATTTGCTCATACATTGAAAACATTAGAGAAGGAAACCTATCACAGTTCTTGTAGTAATTAACCTAGGGAGGTGTAGTGGGAGATTAAGGATACTCACTTTTTAACTTTACACTTCTATATGGCTTTCTTAAATTGTTTAATGGTTTTCCACTTTTTAAAAATTTGCAAATGCTATTTTGTAATTTTTAAGGCCAGTAAAATGCTTTTAAACAAGCAATAAAAACAGGCCAGGCACAGTGGCTCATTCCTGTAATCCCAGCACTTTGGGAGGCCAAGTTAGGAGGATCACTTGAGGCCAGGAGTTCAAGACCAGCCTGGGCAACACAGTGAGACCGTGTCTCTACAAAAAGTAAAATTAGCGGGACATGGTATAGCATGCCTGTAGTCTTTATTACTTGGGAGTCTGAGGTAGGCAGATCGCTTGAGCCCAGGAGTTCAAGGCTATAGTGAGCTATGAGCATGTCACTATACTCCAAACTTGGCGACAGAGTGAGACCCTGTCTCTAAAAAACAAAAACAAAATTCTGCTGTGAAGTTCTTCTAATCCACACACTCATTGCACTTTTAACAATTCTGTGTATCCTCTCTAGCCCACTAAACCAATAGATGTTTCTTACTCTGAATATAATCACTCCCCTTTGCCCTAGGTTTTGAATATAGCAGAAAATAAGCATAGTGGTGGAGAAATAGTTTAATCTCAGTTCAGCAGACCTTTTTCTCAAGAGTCCTTAGAAACTCTTCCCATTCCTGGCAGCTTCCCCTTCTTTTGTTATTCAGGTTGGGTTGAATTGGGTGAAGAAGAAAGTAGCCCAGATACTGTCCAAAGAAAGCATATTTTGGATTTTAGGGAAAATGGGCTTCAGGGCACTTAGCCATTCAGCAGCATTTCTGTAGACATACTCCTACCACTCATCCCCATCCCCACCCCCACCTCCTGCCCCTCACCTTCTTTGAAGAAGCAAAGCAAAAGAATTTCTTTTATGCCTCCCTAATTTTCACCTTCCTCCTGGCTTCCTCCCAGCCTTTTTTCTTCCTTCCTGC
This sequence comes from Homo sapiens, assembly GCF_000001405.40. Taxonomy (NCBI): domain Eukaryota; kingdom Metazoa; phylum Chordata; class Mammalia; order Primates; family Hominidae; genus Homo; species Homo sapiens. Next base: position 28,045,057 of record NC_000007.14, on the reverse strand, counting down.
CTGCCCCTTAGGCTAGGCACTGGTCTCACCTCATTCAGAGTTTAAGAGGATGGTGACCCCTGGTGTCAAAATTTCATCTCTTTTAGGGTTGAACTCCTTCTCATTTGCTTTTCTGGTTGCTGGCAGCATTAAAGGAAAAGCTGAGAATAAAGTCCCAAGAGTACCATATTCCAAATGGGTTGGTGGTTAGTCTTTTGCTCCAGAGTGATTACAATGTCTCTCAATCTGTATCCTCCCCGCATCCCAGCAATTAGGTGGTGTGTAGACACCTAGGAATTCTCTGATGATTATAACCTTTTTCACTGTAACTGTCACACTGTTAGTATCACCAGTAAATGACATCGTTTTTCATTACTATAGCTGCCTCCAGCCATAGAATCAGAAAGGTCATTTTTAATTAAAAACTAAAGAAAAATACATTTTGTGGGATTTTTTTTTCCTTAGAAGAATAGGTTATTAGCTTTCTTTGTAACTCCCACTGTCTTGCTGAACTTTCAAAGAAGGTGGGCAGACTCTTAAAATTTTTGGCATATCACCTCATCAGCTAGGACAGTGCAGACAGTTGGGAGGAAGGGGATCACTCATCCCTGTACCTGCTGTCTACTATGGGATGTCCAGTCCATAGGAACTGCAGCATCCCAGCAAATTATCTGTCAGATGCTAGAGCAGAGAAAATTGTATGATCATCATCTTCATGCAGTTCCCATTTTGCAGGTGAAGACTTTGCTTGCCTTTGTTCAAGGTTCATAGCAAGCTGGGAATGGAGGAAGGAATGAGGAAGAGAGGAATGTTGAGAGGAAGGAAGGAAGGACAGATGGACACTTACTAGCTAAGAAGAGATGAGATATATTTTATGGTCTTCAGTGAGATGAGATATATTTGATGCATTTTTTTTAGTAGAGGTGAAGTTCACATAGCGTACTATTCACCATTTAAACATTTTAAAGGGTACCATTTAATGGTTTTTAGTACATTTACAGTAATGTACAACCATCGGCACTGTATAACTTCAGAACATTTTCATCACCCCAAAAGAAACCTCAAACCCATTAAGCAGTCTCTTCCTACTCCACCCTCCCCCTTGCTCCTGGTAACCGGTAACCTGCTTTCTGCCTCTATGGATCTGCTTTTTCTGGATTTTTCCTCTAAGTTGAATCATACTATATCTGGCCTCTTGTGTCTTGTTTCTTTCACTTAACATAATGTTTTCAAGGTTCATCCATATTGTAGCATGCATCAGTACATCTTTTTTTTTTATGGCTGAATAATATACCACTGTAAGAATATACTACATTTTGTTTACCCATTCATCAGTCAATGGACACTTGGGTTGTTTCCATTCTGGCTACTATGGATAATGCTGCTTTGAACATTTATGTTCAAGTCTTTGAACAATTGTATCCACTCTCTTGGGTATTTACCTAAGAGTGGAATTGCCCGTCATATGGTAATTCTACGTTCAACTTTGTGAGGATCTGCCAGTTTTCTACAATGGCTGTGTAATAATTTTAGAGCAACGTTTAACTCACAGTGTTTCTGAAAACAAACACCAACTCATGTATCCAGCCCTTGTCTAGGCCAGGAGAGCACAAATATGAATAAAAAGTAGCCCCCAAGAAAATGTTGGGGCCGTAAGGTGGGTGGAACATGACGAGCTTAGGGGAGGGTAGTTCACGCTCTGGCTCTCAGAAGAGGCAACACTTGAGCCGAAAGATGCAGGTGATAGGTCACAGAAAAAAACAGACTCACAACAGTTGGCATTCTTGCAACCAAAGAGCTCATGTTCTTGGAGAAAGAGAGCTAGTGGTCCACCATTAACAAGCAGCCATCTTTTGTATAAGGCCATTGGCTCGCCAGTTTATTGGCTTCCTAGTACTCTACCTTGCCTCCTTATGTCACAGTTCATTGTTACAGACTTAGCTTCACCTGTTAATGTGAATCCTCATTCAGTATTCCCATATACTCCCTAGTGATGCTCAGATCATATGCATCTTTTGCAGCAGTTTCAAATCTGTCTTACATTTTTGCAGGATCATAGTACAGCAGGAGACTGTCAGGTAGGCAAAGCACACGTACTTAGTAGAATACAGTCATATATCACTTAACAATGGGAATACTTTCTGAGAAACTATGTTCTGAGAAATGCATTGTTAGGTGATTTCATCATTACCTGAACATCATAAGAGTGTACTTACAAAAACCTATATGGTAGAGCCTGCTACACACCTAGGCTATATGCTATAGCCTATTGCTTCTAGGCTACAAACCCATATAGTATGTTACTGTACTGAATACTGTAGGTGATTATAACACAATGGTATTTGTGTATCTAAACATAGAAAAGGTACAGTAAAAATACAGCATTACAACCTTATGGGACCACCATCACGTAAGTGTTCCATCATTGACCAAAATGTTGTTCTGCAGTACATGTCTATATGTTATAGTGCATAGGAGACAACCAAGACAACAATGTTTTAAAAACAATCCCTCCTGCCAAGCAGTTGGTTAAAGGACAGTTGTTACTTTGGTTTTTAACATAAATTAATTTGCTTTCTGCTTTGGCTTTAGTCTTCACACCTCCCCAGCCTTAACCCATCCATTCTTCAGCTGCTGCCATTTCCAGTGGTCTTTCTAAAACTTGATCATGTCAGGAACCCAACTCCCCCCAGCTCCCCCTCAGACTCAGAATTCTTCTGTGCTTCTCCATTTCCTTCAGGGCAATTGTCCCACTCTAGCAGGAACTCTAAGGTCTTTCTGAATGGAGCTGGCAGTAGTCTCCCCTTCCCTCCCCACACCCTGCACGGTAATCAGATGGGGCTACTTGTTCCACACATCACACTCCACCTTGCCTCTTTCTGTCACAGTTGGCTCCATCTCTTTGAAATATTGTCACCATCTCTCAGCCCTCTTAACGAACTCCTATTGATCCTTCAAAACCTATCCTGTGTGCTTTCAGCACATTCTTCCTCTTGGTTGTCACTGTTTACTTCTGTGCTTCCCCAAGAGGGCTGCCTCTTTTAGGCACCCAGGGCTTTATTTTCCTTGGGTGACCCCACCATCTGTGACTGTACAGAGAATGTGTTTGAGGGCAGCACTTCATAGGGTGATCTAGATCCTTGGTGCCCAGTTCGGCTTGATCTCCTCCTACAGGAGTAGAAAGGAGCCATTCTTTGAAAGTCAAACAGTTGTGGAAATGACTCCCTGCCAGTTTCTTAGAGAACTTAGTCATGAGTAGCATTTGTGGGTATGAGAAATACTGTTTCTGAGATACTCAAGATGAGTATCTCAGACAGCTGCGTACAGGGGAATTCTCTGAAGATTTATTAATAAAAAGTAAGGTGGCCCTTTCCCAAATGTAGTCAAGGAGACTTGGAATCAAGATTGTTAACTCTGGTATGTATTATAGTCATAACCCATCAATGCAAATCATCTGAAGTATGTAGGTCTTGCCCTTAGGCTGATGAGGCTCAGACACAAACATGTCTTGGAAAGTAAAGAGGCACAAGAAGCGGTGATATCTCACTGGCTTCTGGAAGGCTGTGTCTTGGGAAGTAGATGTGGCCATGGAATTCTGTGCTGCCTCAGAAATTTGCATAGCAAGATGTCTAGTTTCATTTTTCCCATACCTTTTAAAAAATGTCACCTTTTAAAAAATAGCTTATACCAAATTATAAACTATTTATCCATCTAAAGTCAAGCTCAAAGCATCCCAAGCAAGGAGGTATAATCATTTGGGCAATCTGACTTGGAAAGAGGGTGAACTTCCCTCCCTCCACCGTCAGCAATATCAAATCATACACACTCGTGCACTCACACCCATGCAGACATGCACAGAACTGGGCTCAAACACACATTCTCCAGGTAAACAATAGTTATTTGTGTTGTGAACCACCCCTAGAAAGCCTTTTGCTCTTACGTTCTCCAAATACTCTCTCTGATTACACACATTTTAATTTTTAAAAAATTTTGCCACATATATCTAGGGCACCCATTTATATGCATTTCTGAAAGAATTTGTGTCTTTGAGAGCACACTGTGTTATCTATGTAATAGAAATAATCTCTGTGGTTTCTAGATGGGTCTTCTTCCTTTCCTTAATAGAACATTAAGGAACATAGTGTCTGCTATGTTGAATTTGGGGCATATTAAATTAAATATTAGCCGATTAAATGGAATATCTAAAGTGATTCTTGGGATAAAGCTTGTTAGAGAATTGTGGTCTTCTACCTTACGTCGCTGCAGTCACTGGCATCCATCTCTGAATTCCATTCCCAATTCCTCTCTTAACTCTGGGCGATCATGGAATTGCTGTACATTAGTGTTTTATCATACCATTCTTTTAAGTGGGTATCTAAAACTCCATATGTCCAAAATACAACTCTTGATCCCACCAAACACACTTCTACACCCCGACACCCTCATCTGCCGGGTGGCCTAGACTCTATGGCTGCCTTCCTCCTCCTCACACCTGTCTGGCTCATTCCCACCTCCCCACTGTGGCACCGTGTATCCCTCTCTCTGAGATGTTTACCCCCAGACTTTGTGTAGCCAACTGCTGATCATTTAGGACTTGACATAAGTTCTTCCTCTTCACAGAGGCCTTACCAGTCACTCTTGATTACATTACTCTTTAATTTTCTTTATAGTACTCATCTCTCTTCGATATTTTCTTACATATTTGTTGTTTGTTATTTTCCCATCTAGATTGTAAACTGCACAAGAACAGGACCTTGCTTGCCCCACTTGGAGCAGTATCTGCCTGGCACATAGTTGGCACTCAACAGATTCTTAAAGGAGTGGGTGAATGAATGAATAAAAAAATGAAACTGGCTTTAGATTTTTTTTATGTGTTTAAAGGGCTCAAACATTATGTAAAATTGAAGACTTCTGACAGTTTAATTCATTTTTAATAAACGTAAGGTTTTTCTTTCATGTGTAAAGAATACCCTTTAATAATACTTTAGGTTTGCATTATCTGGACTCTCAGCATTTTTTAATGTGTAGGAGTCTTCAGTTTGAGGACTTTCTGAAAGGCTAACTTTAATAACATCAGACCTGCCATTTCCACAGGGCTTAGAATAAATTCCAAAATGCCAGAGAAAATTAAATGCAAAAAAGCTCCAGTTAATTAATGTTTCAGAATAAATTAATGCTTTAGGCCTGACTTTAACTGACAAGTATAGTGAATTTCAAAGTTAAAACTGCCACCCTTTCCCCACGTCTGTATTTTGTGCTGTATTCAGTCATTCCAGTTATTTATATCCTTGGGGCGGGGGGAAGGAGACATATACACGTTGAATTTTAAATTAAAGTAAGAAACACAATTACACTGATTATTCTTAGGGGAAAGGGTTTTAGCATTCCTCATAACTCTCTTTAGTTATGCGATAATTCCAAAATTTTCAGAGTTGAGAATGGGTCCTAAATATCTTTACTTGTCCCCAAGATGCTGTAACATACTGAAAAGAAAGGAAGCTAACATTTATGTGTGTAGTGTGTTCCAGGGACTATCTTAGCTTCATATATCTCAGTAAGTCAGTTATAATATTGGTATTTGCATGGGGCAGGGGAGGCACATTTTCATCTTGTCTGATTAATTTCTTACTTATTCTTGGATCTTAGACCATAGAAAAGAATTGGCAAAAACATGTTACACTTCTTTCTGACTTTTTCTTCTTCCTTGTCTTCCCTCTGTCACTTCCTGAACCTCAGTTTCCCCGGTTGCAAGATAAATACATCTATCTCATAAGACTGAAATAATAAGGGGTGTGTGTGTGTGTTTGTATGCACGTGCGCATGTGCGTGTGTTCCCAATATGGTAGCTAATACCAAAGCATTTTTTAAAACATTAGAATGTTCTTGGAGGAGCCCTGCACCAAGGAGGGCTAAGTAAGTCTCCAAGGTCTCTTTAAACCTTAAGATGCTATGAGCTTACGTTCCATATGCAGAGCAATCATGAATCTTTTTAAATTTAGCATGCTTTGCCTCTAATTTGCCACTCTTTATTAATTTGTTAACACAAATATTTTAGTATGCAGGTCTAATCAATGTGCTAAGCATTAAAGTTGTAGAGATAAAAGATAATACCTGCTTACATTCTGCTTTGTTCCACAAAAGAATTTGAGGTAGAGATAAAAGGAACAGTTCATACCTCATCATGAGCATGGTTTTTTGTACAATACTTTATACCAAGCATGGACAGTGAAGCTGAATATGTACTAAACTACCGATATGTTCAGCAAATCTTTTGCTTTAAATAAATTTGTATCTTTTTTGTAGTTTCCTACTTTCTTATAAAAGTCATATGGAAAGGAAAAGCTTCAGCTCATCTGGAATTCTGTTTGGTTGGGTTTTGACTTTCAGTTAATCAAGGATTTGCTGGAGTTATGGGGTGTGTGCATGCTTCTTTTTTTGGAATTTTAGTTATGTGATATTTGCAAGTAATTCTTGGGAACAAGAGTTTCAAACCTGAATGTTCACAAGAAATAACAATATTATAAAAAGCAGATGTTAAACAGTTTTGTTTAAATAAAAAGGAAGATTATCTCTAATATTTGTAAATGCTTGAAAGAAAACAACAAATTCCGTAGTAGAATTTTTATCTTGTCTTCCTTTCTTTAGTTCAGTTATGTAAACAAAATTATATGAATCATGTACTTAACAAGTTCAAGTCTACTTTGGATTTATAGTGTCAGAATCATAAAACCCTGAAAAATGAGCTTATATCTACTAGTTATGCTAATACAAGCACAGTGAGAAGCTATTTGCCACAATCATTCCCCCATCCCAAAGTTTATAGGCTGTATGTTTTCTTTCACCTGAATTACTCTAATATAATATGTTAATGTTTCATTTACCTTGCCAAAAATAGGTTACCCACTTCATGGAAATTCCCATTCTCCTCTGTTCTTTGTATTGTGTTGCATTAGCCCATTGGTTCTGGTATTTTCTTCCTTTGTTTGGTACCATTTGTAAGAATTATCAACTGAGTTTCATGCATTCTCTGCTGGAAGAAAAAAAGCTTTTTATTTTTCCTATTTGAAATTGTGATGTTGGCAATGAAAATTCCAAAATCTCTCTGCCCATTTCTAGTAAAGCAATTTATGCATACATGTGACTAGAGTAGAGAAAAGTGAGTTTGACGTAGAAATTATGAGGAGACATATTACCTGGAGACATCTGTGATAATTCATGCTGTCCAAAAATGGCATGAACCAACTCAGCGAAAGATTCCTTGTTGCTGGGGGTGTCCTGGGTGTCTGGAATTCATTAATAAGATTTGAATAAGGAACCTTTCCATCCACACATCTCTGGATATGGAACAATCCTGTGAATTGGCATTTAGAAAGAGGGTTCATTTTGACCAAGTGTGTTCAACCTGAGCCCAGTTTTTAATAAAATGGAGATGAAATAGACACATACAAATAAAACTGTAAAAATTCCTTCCCTTTCTTTCACACGAGGAAAAAGAGGCTCTGAGAAGTGAAGGGACCCGTTCAAAGCCGCACAGCTAGTTACTGATCTGGGGAATAAGAACTCAGATCTCATGACTCACCTCTTCCACTTTTATCTCACTATGTCCCCTCTTTTTCCCTGAGTCATTTTCAGAATGTTTTACATGAGTCATAAAACTCGACCAAGGTTAAAATGGGGCCTGCTAAACTCTTATAATACTACACAGATGAATCATGTCAGCATTGCTTGAGAATTTTATTAAGACAGGTTTAATTGGTCCTGCCTGGAAAACTGAAACATAAAACAAAGTCACTGATTTCTCTGACTGTGCAGATCTCTTGGATGTGCTCTTTAAATTCCTCTGCTTCTGTATCTCATTGCTGAGGACATTTGCAAGAAAACATAATATTTATTGTGTTTGAGTACATCTAGTCTTGCTGCTTTTTCTTTTCCTACATCATAATTGTCTCTTTTCAGGCAGAGGTGGACAGTTAAGCAAGTTCTGCACGTACCCAAATAAACTCTGAACAGATTGATTCCCTCTGCACCCCAGTAAGGGTGTGCTCCACTGTGTTCCCTTGTCCCCAGGCCCAGATTCTTCCTAAAGTAAACTGGGCCACTGAACTGTGCCCATTAGTGAGCCAAAAGATTGGCATCTGCTGTACCTAGAGGGAGTTTGTTCTGTAGATGCCAATGGGCTGCCGTGAGGGTTGCTGGTTATTCACTTTCTCTGGTCTTGCTATGTGCATTCTTTGCAGATGTTTCTCCCCATCCCTGACCATACTTTCCTACCTTCTCCAGGAGCACAGCCTCACCCCCAACATCCCATACCCCTGAGTGCCCAGGCAGGGTTAGGAACCTCTAGGTGTCTAATAAAGGGAGGTAAAAGCCACTAACCCACGTTAAGAAGGTAGCTTTCCCTCCTTTCCTCTGTTTGGCACAAGGCATCATGGCATTTGGGGCAGGCCCCAGAATAATCTGTGTGCCATGAGGAAGCCCAAATGTCCTCCAGAGATGACCCTACCTCCTCCAGTGCGAGCCTTTTTCAAGATGCTCTGTGTCCAAAGCTGCCTGCAGAGTGAGGTTGCGTTACTCTACCACTTCTATTTGCATCCTCATTGTTCCCCCCAAAAATGAGTGAAGACTATGGCACCAGATGAAGAATAAACAAGGAAAACAACTTCAGGTTATTAATATTTTCAAATAATATGCATGCTCCCAATAACTGTACAAAACATAAGAAAAAAATCACTATAGAAGTCAGATAGGTTTTAGTTTGTTACTATGTCAGTAGTTTGTTAATCAGTGTTTATCAGACTGACTCTAACCTGAAGTTTATTCTAGGCAGGGCTGCTGTCCTGGTGGACTTGAATGTATAATGGAATCATAATTATTGCAGAGTGCTGCATGTTAAAATGACTGGTTGGGGGAAGGTGTTATTTACTTGTATTTTCCCCCACAGTTGTTACATATTAGTGCATCAAGACAAAGAAATGATTATAATTTACTGAGTAAAGTTGCAAAGGTCCTTGGCAATCATCTCACATACATGTACTTATAGAGAGGCTAGAGCTACTCCATTGGACTTTATGTATGTTACATTGTTAGAAAAAAAGATAAGGTCTTCCTGCTGAATTTTCACAAATATATCTTCTTCCACTTAAAGATATTATTTGACAATTGCATTTAATTTTTCTCCTTTATTTTCATGTATTTATTGTCATACATGTCTATGGTCTGTTCTCAGGGTTTCAGGTTGCTGTTGCTTTAGAATTGAAATTGAGAATTGTTCAGGACAATGGTTGAAAGCTTTGCTGGGTTTTGAAAACCCAGAAGAAATATTAATCGGGTGTATATTTTCTGGTTTACATCTTGTCACTCTGTGTACTCACTAATGAGTACATGTTAACAATTTCTATGCATGCCATAATTTCTCTGCACTTTATCCTCCAGCTTACTCCTCTCGTCCAGCCCTTCCCAAAAGTAAAGCAAGGAACCACAATCATCTCTCCTGCAGTCATCCATTAGGAGAAAGGGCTCTACACCAAAATTGAGTGGATTATTTGCTTTTAAGAGTTTGTTAAACATGTTTTGAAAAAATATTTTCTGAAAAATTTATTTTTGATGATACTCTCTATCTCTTTAGATTTCTTAAGTTTCTCATTCTTTTCCTGTTTTTTTTACTTACTTGAGATTAATGCCACACTGATGTTTTTCAACACTATAACAGATAAATTGGGCCTGTTTCTTTCTTTCTTTTTTTTTTTTTTTTTTTTTTTTTTTTTTGAGATGGAGTCTCACTTTGTCGCCCAGGCTGGAGTGCAGAGGTGCGATTTCAGCTCACCACAACCTCCACCTCCTGGGTTCAAGCAATTCTGCCTCAGCCTCCCAAGTAGCTGGGATTACAGGCGCCCACCACCACGGCAGGCTAATTTTCGTATTTTTAGTAGAGATGAGGTTTCACCATGTCGGCCAGGCTGGTCTCGAACTCCTGACCTCAGGTGATCCACTTGCCTCGGACTCCCAAAGTGCTGGGATTATAGGCTTGAGCCACTGCACCCAGCCTATTTCTTTTATATATATAAAAGATTGCAATTTGAGGACGGTAACGGCTCAGCCTTCATGTCTTAGCTTCACGTTGTAAGTTCTCATCTTGCTGGCTGTGATGGTATTTCATTAATATACAGGATAGTAAAAAATCACACTTTGTTTGCAGAGGCCATGGCATGTTTACCTTTTACTCAATAGCAAATTCCTTTCTGAGTGAACAGGGAAGCAGGATTTGTCTTTTGATATTTCATCCAGATCTCTGTTTCTGTTAAGAGGATGATGGTGTCATTTCTGTACTTTCTAGAAGGATTATGGCATTTTAATTCAAAAGACTTGTGTTCAGATTCCAACTTGGCCATACACCTGGGTATGTGAGTATAGGGAAGTCACTTACACAGTTTGGCCTCTGTTTTCTCATTTGTGAGTTAAAGACAGAGCTGTCTCTTTTGTAAATGCTTTTGGAATGAAGCAGGATTGGGAAAAATAAGAATATTTTCCATACAAGAATGTGAATATTAAATGCTCCATTATAAAAATTATAAATCAGTGTGTGTGTGTGTGTGTGTGTGTGTGTGTGTGTATTAGTTTTCTTTCATATTTTTATTATAACTGGCCACCCTCAAAGACTGCCTCAAAATAACAAAAGAAACTGAAAGGATTTGTTTGTGCTTCCAATTGTTCTTCTCCCTGTTGTTTGTCTTAAAAGCAGTGGGGCCCCCAGTAGGCAAAGCCTTCTAGGATTTGGCCAAAGGGAACAAAAACCCATCCTAACCTTTCAGATTCTCATGTTCCTTTGACTCAAATTGCTTAAGTAAGGTTCTACTTAAACTTCGTGTGTGTGTGTGCATGTGTGTGTTTTGCCTGGGATCAGTAGAACACAGAACAGTTTGAAATTCATATTGTGATGTTTTATTTTAGAAAGTCATAAAAGATAATTTTTTTTTAGAGAGGTATTGGTATTTCTTATGCACCAGGACTAACTGATTTGAGAAAGAATTAAGAGTTCCAGCTGGGTGTGATGATTCATGCCTGTAATCCCAGCACTTTGGGAGGCCGAGGCAGGTGGATCACCTGAAGTCAGGAGTTCAAGACCAGCTTGGCCAACGTGGTGAAACCCCATCTCTACAAAAAAACACAAAAATTAGCCGGGCATAGTGGCGGTGCCTGTAATCCAGTTACTCAGGAGGCTGAGGCAGGGAGAATTGCTTGAACCCAGGAAGTGGAGATTGTGGTGAGCCGAGATCGTGTCTCTGCGTTCCAGCCTGGGTGACAGAGTGAGACTCCTCCCATTGCCCCCCCAAAAAAGAGTTCCCATAGAGTACCACAATTACAAGTTTAGCAATCAGGGCTGTTTGAAAATCAGGAAAGAAAGAGGTGCATGTCATTTGAAAGAAAGGGGAGTTGCTGTCAAGCACAAAGGATAGTATTTACACAGGTAGCTGGTGAGTTCTTGCTTTCCTCAGCTGGGGTGTGCCCTGTGGTCACATTACAGTAATTCCCCAAACCTGCTCCACACCCTCAGTTCTCATTAGCGGTACGTCCTCTCTCTTCCAGGGGTTTTACTCCCCAAATAACTTTGGAGCCTTCACAGGCTTACATGTGCAGCTCGAGCGTACCCTAGGCCTAGCCAGTTTTGGGTCCTGGAGTGTCTCATTTCTAATCAGAGCCACAGTCTGCTGCCATTCCAGCCCTCGTGCCATTGTCCTCTGCCACCTTGCCAGCCTCAAGTCTTTATCCACATTACACACTAGGCTCCAAATCTGTGGTCTTCCTCTTTAACTCCTTGGAAATGTTTTTATTTTTGTGGACTTTTGATCGCATAATCGATGTTCCATCCCAGTGGCCGTGCAGTCTCCTTATTTTCACTTGAGTCAGCATTATGTCAACTAAGTACCAGGCACTTTGCTTTGTTCTAGGGGTAGATATGGAAAAGATGGACTCCCCATCTAGTTTGCTTAAGTAACATAGACCATACTTACATAGGTCCTTTGTTAAATTCAATTTGCAAGGTGCTGTAGTAATATCTTTAGAGAGTAAAGATGAAGGGGTCAAGGACTGAGAGGAGATGCTTGGGCACACACGTTTGTGTTGGGTTGCTTTCGCCTCCTTGTGGGGAGCTGAGGGGAGTTGCTGGAGCTGCAGTGGGAGGACCAAGAGGTATAAGGGGAGATGGTAGAGCATGTGGATGCGGCACAGGTTAGGGTCAAAGACTGGGCCCGTTGTGCTAATGTTACTTCCTTACGTGGTAATGACACTGGCCTGGTCCTGGGGTCTCTTCCTGGCTAGAATTATCCAAACTCAGGTGTTTAAAGCTTTCAATCTTTTTGTGTTGATTCTTAGATCTAGCTGGAAATGCATGAAGCACAGTTAGGTTGCTTCAGGGATAGCCCTGCCTCATATTCTAAATATATTGGGCAAATTCTTATTAAAGTGAAGATAAGGTTTCACTTCTCACAAACAGAAGAGGCTATCTGATCTAGCAAATGAGGGAGTGGGCTTGACACTCTTAAGCTGTCACTCCTGCTAGCAAAGTGAAACATACTGTTTACAAACATGCCAGGGCAGAGAAAGCTTTCAGCAAGGCACAGCAGAGCCATTTTTTTTCTCTTTAATTCCAAAACTATAAGATGTATTTATCCTCTGTGAGTCTTACAAAGAAAGCCAGTAACTTTTTCTTATTATTAATTTCCAAATTGCAGATCTATTTATTTAGTTCTGAACTAGTATTTTCAGAGTCCATATTTTCTGTCCTTGGTTTGTATCCAAAATGTGCAGTGCCAGTGTTGATTCTTATGCAGATTTCACAGTTCCCTTTTGCAGGTTAAAGAAGAGAGAAGGAGAAGGTAAACATGAAAGTAAGGAAGAAATCATGTTTTATTCATATGATTTGTACATATACAAGATGAACTTCTATAAACATAGATCATACCACTTTTAGAACTTTTAGATTTGTTGTGAAGCTTAGGAAGAGAACCAGCCCCAGTCTTCACTTAATGGTTGCGTGAGACACTCCAAAGTGTCTTGGAAAAGCAAAGCCTCCCACACGCAGAAAGAAGAAAATCCTCATGTCTCCCATTGCAGGTTCCCATGTGACAAAGTGTAGATCCTGTCTCTTCCCAGAGAGTCTTTATCAGAGAAAAGAAGCCCATTTTCTTTTCTTTGTTTTAAAGTTCTGGGGTACATATGCAGGATATGCAGGTTTGTTACACAGGTGAACATGTCGCATGGTGGTTTGCTGCACCTATCAACCCATCACTCAGGTGTTAAGCCCAGCATGCATTAGCTATTTTTCCTGATGCTTTCCCTTCCCCCAACCCCCATGACTGGCCCCAGTGTGTGTTGTTCCCCTCTCTGTATCCATGTGTTCAGCTCCCACTTATAAGTGAGAACATTTGGTGTTTGGTTTTCTGTTCCTGCTTTAGGTTGCTGAGAATAATGAAAGAAGCCCATTTTCTAAGTGAAAAAGTTATGCATACACAAACGTACATGTACAAATGGTACGCTCTGCAGGACGGTGCTAGTAACCAGCATAAGGTCTCACTGCATCGCCAGCTACATTCCTCCTGCTCTCTGCTTCCTAGTCTCAGAAGCAATCTGGGGCTGAGGGGTGGGATATTGGGAGTGAGCGTCTTCCCACAAACACTTTCTCTTCTCCCCATCGTCCACTCAACATCTGTCATCCCCCACCATCACCATGCCGGTGTTTGTTCTATATGAACGTTCACTGTGTTAGACACACAGGCAGAAATGGCCATCAGAAAGATGATACTTCCTGGCCCCTTCTTCCCCATATCAACTTCTAAAGACTCTTCTCTTTCCTAAGGTCTAGAAAGACCTAAGGGTGACTTCTTTCTTAGGATCAAATGTATGAAGGTGCCATCGATAGAGAAAGGATGCAAAGGAGAGCTGAACCTGAGATATAGATGTCTTTTTAGCTTTAGAGGACTCAACAGCTAGACCATATACTAAGTAGATGTGAATATGCTTCGTGTATAGCAACCAAGCTTTGCCAAGAATAGGTAGTTAGGTAATTGATGAGATGCCTGGGAACTATGGTTACTTTTAATGACAACTGTGCCTTTGTTGGTATGAATAATGACACAAGGATGAAAATGATGAATGTATTTATCTGAATATATCATAAGAAGGTTTATCTTTATCATGGGGGCAGTTAGGTAGAGCTTGACAACCTTCTTAGTAAATGTTTATGAAATACTTTTGGGCAAGACCAAAATAGAAATCAAAACTTTCATTTTTCTCTCTCCCTAAACCAAAAGAGAGAGAGACATTAAAGTTTAAGTTTTAAACCAACACAAAGATAAATAAAAACTATTTTAAAGTCAAGATGGTAACTGACGACCTGTACTTCACATTATAAATAGTATAATTGTTCATAGTAACTCATGTACTTTTTTTTAGTGGTACAAGTCTCAATCTGACAAATAGATAAAGCAAAATTTACAAGATCTTTGCAACTGTCTTCCAAAAGGAATGAAGCCAGGCCTTGAAAGGACGAACAGCCCTTACTTATGCAGAGTTATCCATAACAAGTCACATTTACCATGGAGGTTTACCTGGTCAAGGCATCGTTGCTTTTCTCAAGAAGGTAGTGCTGTATCCTGTGTGGTTTCATAAAGCGCTATAATTGGAATAGCCAGACCAAAATTTTCCAAGTCTCCTCTTTTGGCAGTAAACGTGGGCTGCAGAAACATTTTAGTTGTACAAGACATTTAAAACTGTTTATCTCTTACTCCTGTCCGCATTGATTTGTTTGTATTCCATGCCTGCCTTCCACAAGCCTATAAAACTTCCCTAAACTACAGTCAGAACTGAGGCTGTGTTCTGTATCTGTATATTTAAACTGAACACTCCTTTTCAATTCTTTAGAAACATTCTCCATCCTGCGCCAGCCCCTACAGGGCTCTTGCTGCTTCTGGTTTGCTCAGGTCTGCATCTAGAGGGGCACCGCCTGCAGAGTCCTTGTCTTTATTTTCTGAATCTCATCAGCTCACCTGCTCTGACACTCTGATATAATGATGCCAAGTTGTATTATTAACTCTTGTTATTTTTCAGATTTTGAAAGTAAGGATGCTTTAACCCAGGTATACCTGAGGCCAGTGCTCCATTCACCTCAACCCCTTGACTTTCAAGAAATGTGTAGCACTTTACTGAGTCTGAACTTACCACTGATTCCTATGATTTGTTTTCCACCTAGTGATGCACTGTAGCCAGTACCTGAGTACTGACTGTATAGTTCTTCACCTTGTCAGCAAACTTGGCTCTGATCATTGCAAAGGTGCCATTGCTTTCTTTTTCAAGCTTTTAAATAATTAGCTTATATGCTGTAAGAAAAGATCTAAACATTTAGGTTAAAAAATTTAATATCTCTGTTGCCTCAATACTTAAAATGATTCCCATTTTATCGAAAACATTATTTCCTAAGAATTCTATAGATTTTCCCATGTAGCCTTTCATTCTCTACATAGGTATTACCAAGTTCTGTAGCCATTTTTATCTGTGATACATCTGTTTAGGATAAAGAAAGCAGTTGCCTTTGTAGTAACTTCCCATGGTCTGTTCTGTTGCCTGTGCTTGATTGTGGATTATTTGAGAGGGGATTTTTAGAGGACGTTCTTTTCATCTGTTAGCAATTCCTTACAACAGACAAAGTGTGATGTGTCAGATATCTTGATTCCATTGTTTCGTCCTCATTCTTTCTCCTTCATTCCTAAGATATTTCATAAGCTTCTGCCTAAGTTTTCTGACTAAAATTTTGCCATATTATTTAGTGATCCAGCATAAAAGTGAATTGTTGGTTTTGTAGGAAGTAAATTTGACTTGGCAGAACATCACAAGAATGAGTCCTGTGCTGGGAATCCTATTCCTCCCCGGGGCCATCCTCTAAGAAGCATTCGGCGCAGTCCCTTGAATCACTGCAGCCCTTAGAAGTGAAAAACTTCAAGGAAGATGTCAGGAATGTGGATATTAACAAAAGATGTCTGCATGATTTTGCTTTAAGTTAGGTATATTATGTTAAATCATCTGCAAAATAATTTTTTCTCCTAGGATGAAGGAATAAATTTGAGAAACTCATGAGTTTCCATGTACCATGAAAACCATCTAAAAGTGAAATTATTATTTTTAAGTTATAACTTTAATGAGTAAAGTTTTTACTGTATAATATCAAGTTTTCTCTCCACTACAGGGAGAAGTCCATAATGGCAAGGATTTTTGTCTTTATACTTAATTCACTTTTGCATCCCCATCATCCTGAGCAATGGCTGGCATTTAATAGACACTTAGTACATATTGGTTGAATGAATAGTTGCGTTATGTTATTCACCAACGCTTAATAGAGTTGTTGAGGCAAAGGAGACATTCCAAATGAGATGCCAAATCCTATCCTTATTCGTGACAATTGACTCTTGCATCTTTATTTGTACATATTAATGAGCAGATGCATTGTTGTTACATTCCTGGGGTGGATGGTTTTGCTTTGTGTCTAAAAGTGGGAATGGAGCAGAATGGAAAGGTGGTAGAGAAGAATGTTGCAACATCTCTACATATTGCCTTCAGCAGATTCAATGGACACAAGAAGTTTGATTTAGTATTTAGTGCTACATGACCCTTAAGAATACAGCCATAGTGTGGTTTGTGCCTTTTTGGAAATAGCAACAGCATGGTTAAGTTAAATCTGCAGGTAATATTCAAGTGAGCTCCTTGGTCTTTGATATTGTTCAAAATCCTCCCCCTTAAACTCTGGTTTTAATGAACAGTTATTCAAGCCTACCTGAACTCTTGGAAATGGCAACAAGCAATGAAATACCCAGAGGTCAAGAAAGGGAGGGTAATGACTGCTTGGGTGCTTCAGATTTGGCTGAAGACTATTGCTTTGCAGAAGATAGGTTGCTTGTTTCATATTGAACTTGGGCTTGTTTTGATTCAGTCATTTCCAGAGCCTTGCAGAGCAGTTCCTGAGACCAAACTTTCAAATAAACCAATTAGAAAATATAGAGAATAAACAAACTTCCATTATAATGTCTTCATGATCATCTGGGTTTTAGAATGTAATAGGCTCTATTCAGAAATGGGTCCCTTCATAACTCTGATTAATTCAAAAGTTCTGTTTTGCTGTTCAGTGAAGCTGATAGCCCTGTTTCCCCACTGCATACCCAGTGCATCAGGGAAAGAAACAGGCATCGGGGCTGAATCCCAGCCTTCCACAGCTACTTTTTGATGGTACATAGCTGCACATTTAATTCTTTAGCTATAAAATGGAAAATGTAGTGTCTGTTTTGCAGGGTAATTGTGAGGATTAACTGAGATAATATAAGTACCCAGCCTGGCCTGGACTAGGTGATGAAGGTAGCTTTGTTGCCATCCCCCTTAGTTATTTAATGTTTATGTTGCAGCCAGCAGATTGGAGTTCTGAGATGAGAGTGCTCTCCCCACTCTCCCAACCCACGTTCCCATTTCTCTGCTCTTCAGAAGCCTTGGCATGGAGTCTAAGGAAGTATTTCCCAGATTTTTGCATTTCATGGGGCAGTAAAATTTTATCAAAAAACTTTATCAATATGCCAATGGTAACTCTTTATTTTGCCAATGAAAGACATTTTAAAATGTCACCTACTGTCCCACATTATTTCACAAATAAGGGGTATTTTAATAACCAAACAAGAACATAACCCACAAATAAAGGACTGTCCTTATCAGTGTTTCATCCCTTGTGAGAGATCAGAAACAGGCCAGGGCCAGCAGTAGGAACCACTTTTTCCTACTCTCCAGGCACAAATAAGGATTTTCTTCTTCACCGTGGAAGCAACAACCCTTATCCCCAAGTGAGCCACTTGTGGGGCAGCCCCTGAGACTGGCATGGGGCTGGGGTCAGTACGTCTGTTCATTCAGGCTGTTTTCTCCAGGGATGGGAGAAGGGGCCTCACCCCTCCTGACAAGCCAGCTCAGCTGTTACCATTTAGGGGCCTGAGTCTGTGGTGAGCGCAGAGCTTGGAGACTTTCACCAGCCCTAAATGCCCATAAATTAAAGAGTCTGTTTTTAAACACGGGTAATGGAAAAAGACACACTGGCGAATAGGAGGGAAGGTGTGAAGCCCACTTGGGGCAGCAAATCAAATAAGTTTCTGACCTGATGCAGTGGAAAACTGAGGTAAGCGGTGCAGTAAGTTCTGTGGCATAAGCCATTCTGCGGACATCTCCTGACCACTCACCAGTAAGGAGGTGCTGGCTCCCTTCTCCAGTGCCGGTGGCTTCAGGAATACTTAACTAGGTCCTGTTCAGTTGAGAGAACGTTTAGTAAATGACTACTGGGTATAGAGTTCTGTGTTAGGGGCAAGAAATTGGGTCTATTTTTATAACATGAAAATATAGCCTTTGCATGGTACCTTAGTTACACAAATGATACCTGCACCATTGGTTAGATTCCCCTACACCAAGGAATTCTTATGAGTAGCACATTCTAGGGGGAATGCATTTTCAACATTCATTTTGTACATACGTTAGAAGCATTGCAGTCACCCGGAGGAACCTGAGCCTTGAGGGGGAAAGCAGCTGGAACAGGTTCAAAATCAGGGCTATTACTGGGCCACAAGTGCCAGGGACTGTCAGTTTGGTGCACAAAAGGCTCAGAGCTCTTGTGTCTGCACTGCATTCTCTTATTCTTTTAGTCCTCTTTTGAGAAGGATATTGTAGTAAGAAAAACAGACTTCCTCCACTGCAGCCTACCCTGCTCCAAGGTTTAGGGTGGATGATTTGGGCTAACTTTGGGCTTTAGAGAAGAATACTTTTGTAGCTTTTATTCCTGTGGAGCATTTTTCCTTAGATTCATCTTTAGAAGTCACTTGTTGCTATTAGCAACAGGATGAGGGTGTGAGCCTGGGCAACCAGACCCAGTGGGGCCTCTAGACTTCCTGTAACCTAGGCCTTAAGCTAGAAGGTAAAGGGGCTCCTTATGACCAGGGTGACCATAAGTGTTGGTTTGCCATGGCCAGACCTGGATTACACATTTGTCCTGTTGTCATTATTAATAACACTCCCTTTCACTGTGTCCCAATAGTTTGGACAATGAATTATATGATCCTCTACTTATAATTAATTGACATATAACCTACCCTGATTTATCAGCACCTTGGCAAAGTTTGGTGCCAAGGCTCTGAATAATAACAGTGTGCATTTGGCTAGAGTAACCCCAGCTCCGCCCTAGCTCTCATGAACCTGTAAGCTGGTCTAGAATTTAGGGTTTCAGAAACCTGGCCAAAAATTTTTCCATCTCACATCAGTCCAACATCTGCTGCTGCAAGGGCCATATTGACAAGACTAAATACACCACTGAACCATAAATGAAGGTTTAAGAGTTGAGGATATAATTTCAAAGTCGGATTTTAAACCCCTGATTGGTTTCTTGACCAATCTTCTGTAGCAAACACGTTAACTGCCAACTTGAGAAAGATAGTATGTTTTTAAATGACGTATTTTACTTCTGAAAAATTAAATAACATAGTAGAATGAGGCTGGCCTTGGAGTCAGAACTGGGTTTGAAGACTGCTTATGCTCTTATTTAGCCATGTGGACCAAAGCAAGTCTATTTACCTTTTCCCGTGTTTTCATGTTTTGTGAGGACAAGCACATCTTTTTCTCATGGTGGTGGTTGTAAGGATTTAGATACGATGTTGCTGTATGGAGAACGTATTACCTACACTGAAAATTTTAGTTTAATTTCTCTTTCTTACTCATAGCTTTGAAGAAAGTAGAATAAAGGGTTGACTGGGTTGTTGTTAAGTATGAGGACAAATGTTCTTTAACACTATCATTGGTAAGTGGCATTTCTCCAGCAGGGAGGTGACAAAGTAGCTAAACCCCAAGAGGGGAAGAGTGTGACTAAGCCAGTAACAGCCCTGGACACTCAACGGACATTGTTGCTGGGTCACCAGGTTAGGATTGGGGATTATAGAAAGGTGTTAGGGAACAGAACCATTGTCCTGAGTTTGTCAGACCCAGAGAAGAGCTTGGGCTGTAGCTGTGGTCACTGTTTCCCTGTGGTCAGGGCTTTCTCTTCCTGCAAGAAGCTTGGCTGTCTTTCAAAGAAGGAACCTCAGTCTATGATTCTGCTGGTCATGGTGCTTTAGAAAGTAGTTGGTCTATGGAATCCTTGTCAAGCAATACAGAGAGCACCCAGTGTCCCAATATGCTTGTTGCCCCTGGTAGATTATAAACTCCTTGAAGGAAAAGGTTCTGTCTGCGTTTCATGATCTCTCAAGTTGCAGGCTCAGGGCATGGCATGTCAGATGACAGAAAGTGAGCCCTTTAATCTCTCTGGGAAGCTTAATAAAGATTTTATCATCACTTCCTATCTTCCAAAGCATTCTCTACACTGCATCATTGGTATTTTGCCAGAGATGCAAAATTCATCATGTCCCTCTTCCATTCAGGGTCCTTTGGCTACTTATTGTTTATCACCAACTAGTGTTCTCATACCTGTTTCCTCATCTTCAAAATGATGATAATTATGGGAGGATTGTTTTGAGGTCTAAATGAGTATGTGTGTATACACACATGCCCACACCTGGTTATGTATGTGCATACCTCTAGCTCACCAAAATCCTCCTTTCTCCACCCTTGGACCCAGCCATTCTGAATATCTTTTTTCCACTCTTTCACCATGTTTTTTTCTCTCCCTTAGAACTTTTAATATGCTGTTCTCTCTTCTTAAACATCTCTCTCTCTCTCTTTGTTTTTCTTTTTGTGACAGAGTCTTGTTCTATCACCCAAACTGGAATGTGGTGGCGTGATTACATCTCACTGCAGCCTCAACCTCGTGGGCTTAAGCAGTCCTTCCGCCGCAACCTCCTGAGTAGCTGGGACTACAGGTGGTGCCACCATATTCATTTTTAAATTTTTTATTTTATTTTTTTTTTTTAGAGATGGGTCTTGCTATGCTGCCCAGGTTGGTCTTGAAGTCCTGACCTCAAGCAATCCTCCCACCTTGGCCTCCCAAAGTGCTAGCATGTCAGGCATGAGCCACTGTGCCTAGCCCTAGATATTTCTTTTACTGCCGCTCCTGACTTTCTGCTCTTCTTCCTTAAACTTAAATGTTATCTATTCTAAGAAGCTTTCCTAATTTTCCAAGTGTAGGTTAATATAGTGTTTTTTCTAGGTGCTCATTTCTTAATGAAGCATTTATATCTATAGCATCTATAAGTCCTTAAGGTAGCTTAATTTACCAAGCATTTATTACATTGGGCTGTCATTGTCTGTCTACCTGTCAGCCTCTCTCTTACTAAAACTGTCCACTCCATGAGGGCAGGAACCTGTCCGTATGGTTCACTTTGCCTTAGCGCCTAGCCCAGTGCTGGACTCATTAACACGCATTCTAAAATACTTAACAGTATTTCCTGAATGGATGAGTGGATGAATACAGGTTAAGCAGGAAGGTCTGTCCTAGGAATTAAGCTTGGTTGTTAAGTGGTTCCAAGTTTCAATATCATGTGTGGAGTAGATTCTTGCTAATTCTTGTATTATGTGTTATTTAGACACCAGGAATCTGGAATTTCAGAATTCACTTCTAATTCTTCAGATAACCTTTTTTATTTTCTCTTAAAACCTTAGTTTTCCTCATGAATGCAAACATAATTGGAAAATCGTTTCGAATTACTTACATCCTCATTTATGATATTTGAAAAACAGCTTTTGTGGGAGCTCAGCTTTGTCCATAAGAGCAAAGGCTTAGCAAGGGAAATTACTTCAGTGAATCTGTCCTTCGGTATATTGGAGAAAGGGAGGTAAATTAGTCATTATCACTTCAAAATTTTCTATAGAACTACAATGCTTCACGGCTGGACTCGTTTCTGTCTTCCTTCATGGAGTCCTTGCAAGGCCATTCTAGGCCATGGTAATCTCATCTAGGTGTGAACCTCACAGACGTTGTTTGTACTACCCCTGTCTTAAGTCATTCTTGTATACCATCATTATTGTATACCATTATTTGTTTTTCCTGTGTGTTTGTCTTGTATCCTCACGAAGCACCGACCTCTAGAGAATAAAGACTTCACCTCACATCTCTTTCAATACTGCCTGACATCCAGCACAGCTTTATGTAATTTGGTAATTTTTTACAAAGTGAAATATGGTGGCACGTGCCTGTAATCCCAGCTACTCGGGAGGCTGAGACACGAGAATCACTTGAACCTGGGCAGCGGAGGTTGCAGTGAGCCAAGATCATGCCGTTGCACTCCAGCCTGGACAACAGAGACTCCATCTCAAAACAAACAAACAACAACAAAAACAACAACAACAGTGAAATATTAAAGAAAATCTTCAGGTATAATAAGTGAAAAGATAAGACTGACTCCATTTTAAAAATATATATGCAAAGAAGACTAAGAGAATAGTAAAGGATATAGTAAAATGCACAGCCTGAACTATGTTTGGATAGTTGATTATGGGTAACTTGTTTTTTATAATTTTCTAGATTTTCCACTTTTTCTGTAGTCATCTGTTATTTTTGATCAACAAAAAAGTATAAATGTTATTATTTTTTAAAGGAAGAGATTTTCTTCCCCTAGTGTCAGAAGCCACAGCTGAACTTTGTTGGCAGATAGGAGCAGATGTTGTCCTAAACTGTCTCATTGCAGCAAAGTTTATCCATTTGTTAGAACGGTCAGGAAAAGGTGGTGCCAACTGCATTCTTTTGGTGGAAATTTGAAAAGATTTTTTCTGGAAAAGCAGTTAAGGGCAGTGCTGCCATGGTGTGTTTTTGAAAGCTATGCTTAAGAAGTGGGAAAGTTACATAATATGGAGAAATTCAGATGAAAACCCAATTTTCTTAACAAATCTCTTAGAAAATATTGTTGTGACGATATTGTTCAATGCTGTCTGATTTATCTGAGCATATCCTTAGGTCTTTGAGACTGGGTTTCATAGAAAACAGTCTTCAGTGCTTTCTGTGAAGTTGGCAGCTAGGACTCTAGCAGGTGCGGCTCTCATAGCAGTTATCTTTTATTGAGCCTTTTCCCAGTCATTTGTCCATTCACTTGCATTTTCTCATTTAATCTTCACAGCAACCAAAAGAGGCAAGTATTGTTTCTTTGTTTGAATTTTACTGAAGAGAAACCTGCCTTCTAACAGAGGTTAGTTAATTTGCTGAAAGTGACCCAGCACAGGCAGGGGCCAGGCCAAATGTTCAGTGAATGTCTGCTCTGCACCTGGGCCTTCTGCTGGACCCATGGTGACGAACTGTGGGCCCTTGTCTCCAGAAAGCCAAAATAACATCCCTGGGGAGAGAGGATATAAACAGGCAAAAAGAAACCAAGTGAAGAGTCAGGTGACACATTGGGAGAGCAGAGAGGAGCAAGAGCTGGTCAGGAGGCCCTGCCTGGTGTCTAGTGCCTCTGTCCTCCGACCCTGCCCCACCACCATGTCTTTGTTTGTCCTACGTCCACACTGTCTTCACCTGCCCCTGACTTCCACAGGCGGTGGCGGCCTTTCCTGCCCGTCACTGCACTCCTGCTGCTCCTCCAGCTGTTAGCAACTGGTGTGTGTCCTTAGTGTGTGCCGAGTTATCAGTTCTACACGTTATTTTACTCATTCCTCACAACTCCATCATTAAGTCAGAATTTTCATCCCTGCTTTTCAGAGGAAGAAAACAAGGTTTTGAGAGCTCACAGATCATGTTCAGATGGACAGTTAGGAAGTGATGGGCCTGGGCGTAAATCCTGTTTTGTCTGATTCCTAAGGCCTGTGACTCTAACCACCTGCTATAAATGCCTTCATGCACAACTTTATTTGCCCCACACTGCTCATCCTAAAAGAAAAAATGCTGCTCTCCCATGGGAGTCTTTCCTGATGTCTCCTGCAAGAACTCTCTCGGCCCGTGTCCGCCGCTTGCCAATCTTCCTTTACTTCACCGTGATGGGGTCCTGCCCATCCCTTGTTGGACCGTGGGCCCTCTGAGGTGCACTAGTATCCCCCAGGTGCTTTGAATGCAGCAGGCACTCAGGACCATCTGGGATTCTGCAAGATGGAGGGTTTCTGGAGCACCTCCATTACTGAGTAGCTCCGGGGTATGGTTGTGAAAAGAAATTTAATTTTGAAATTCCAAAGAACCAGGTTACTTTTCTATTTCCTGACTTCCTCCCTTAGACTTCATGAGGGAGTGGTTCGGTTGGTATTTGAAAGCTCTGAGCAGCTGCAGTTTTCATTTCACTTTTAAAACAACCAGTGAGTTTTGGTAATTCTCCTAAAGAAGCCTTGGGTGCTGGAGAAGAGATGCTCAGCCAAGGCTGCAGAGGCTTCAGCCACTAGCATGGATGCAGTTGGGAGGGACAAATGCCAGTGTCACATTCATCAGCAGTTCCTTCGCTCACTTCTACCTCTACTGAGAACAGGGAGCTTGGGGTTGAGAAAACGTTTGATGCTTTTGAAATGCTGAGAAATGAAGACATGGTTGTTGTACGAATATGCATGTCCATGCCTGCCGTAGGACAACGTAAGTGTCATGACACTTGTAACCACAAGATGTCAGTATGGGATCAGTCCTAGGGGTCATAGGCTTCAACTCCTGCTTCCAGGAGGAGAAGGCACCGTGGAGGCGCTGGCTCTCCTCGTTTGTTTCCTTCTGCAGCAGTGTTACCCCACAGGCTGCATTTCCGATTCATTTTCCCTGTGCCGTTTTCCATGGGCTCACACCTCATCAGAAGGCTTCTCTTCGCTTTTCTCTCTAAGCTTAAATACTTTCCTCACTCCTACTTATGTCCCAAGTCACCTTAGGAATTCCCCCATTTTGGTGTTATCGCAGCACTCTACTTTAAAAATTTGCAAAAGGATATAAGTTACAGCATAGTTTTATCTCTTATCTAAGGAGGGTTTCAGCATGAGGAAAAAATGGTATCTCTGGTAAGAACAGCACTATTAGGATGTTTTTTCTTTTTTGGTAAAAGCTTAACCTATAGGGAAAATAGCTGAGCAGAGCAAGCAAAAGAGGGAGAAGTGGTGTTCAGGGCAGAACATGTGTCTGTTGAGGCATTTCTGTGCAACATAGGTAGGCTTTTGTAGCCCTCAGAAAGAGGTAGGTATATTGCACCCATTATTCTGATGAAGAAAGATGAATTATAATACCTTTCCTACAACTAGTTAACTACTAGCTGGTAAACTAGTGGCATAGCCTGGAAACTAGTGGCATAGCCTGGATTTGGAGTCCGGTCTGTTTGTCGCAGAGCCTGTGACCCCCAAAAGCCTGGGAGTGTTACTCTTGTCTCTATCATAAAGCAAGGAGGAGTCTTAAGAATCCATTCAGGAGTTTCAGCAAATATCTCCCCAGAGACCTGGCTACATGGAAGATGCCATGTTGTGAATAATACAGAGACCTATTAAATATATTATTTGCCCTCAAGAAGCTAAATAAAGTCAAGGAGGGGGGTAGGAAAAGACATGTAAATTCAGCTCAGTATAAATCAATCAGAGGATGGTAACATTTCCATGAAGTGGTTGGAGGGGCAGCAAAGCAGAGGGGAAGGGCCACGGTCCAGGGTGAGTTCTGTCCCATCTATGAGCAATTTGTAGGATCTGCCTTCAATAAATCTACCAAATGAAAAGAGTGTTGCTAAGGTCGCGTTTACCCCAACATTCTGAGATTCTAAGGTGGAATATGAGAAGGGGCATAATCCAAGCCGGCAGAGGTTGCCACCCTACGTGCCTTTGTCCCCCAGACACGGTAAGATTATGCTTAATCCTCTCTTTAGGTGGTCTGGTCCAAGGAGGACAGGTGGAAGCAAGGCAGGAGGTACAGTGTGGCTTGTCAGCGCCGGTTCCAGTGTCCTGGCCCATGGCTTAGATGCAGAGGAGAATGGCTTTGCTTCTGGAAAGATTTGGTAGGGAAAATAGCAGAGGGCTTCTGGAGTATAACTTTAGAAGTACTGTGTCAGTGTGAAGAACTTGGCAAGGATAAACAGAGGAGCCACAAGGATGACTGAACATTTGAAAAATAAGACCTGAGAGGAGAGGTTAGAGAAACAGGGCTTATGTAACCTGGAGCTGCTCAGAGGTGACTTTGGCAGGCTTCTTCAAGAACAGGACTCTCAGGATCTCTGCACAGACAGCAATGACTGGCCCTTTTTGTCCATATCAAGTGAGGACAGACTCCAACTGAACCACGAAAATTTTAGATTTCATCTGTGGAAAAGTTTTCCCCTCGCAGCAGCTGTAAAATGTGGAATACATCATGGAGCGAAGTTTATAGAATTTTCTCTTCTTCCTGTCTTTCAAAAAAACCACCAGAACACAGTAGAACCTTTTTATAATTGCGATGCTGGAGGACAGGCTTAATTTCCCACCATAGAATATGTTGTATTCAGCCTCTGCTGTATTTGGGGGGATGTGACTGGTACAGAGCATATCAGGTTTCTCAGAACAGTGAATCATGTTAGTTGTAATAATGGGTTCTGGATAGGATGACTGTATAATTTTTCCCTTAATCTGCAACACTTTGGAGAGTGAAATGGGGTGCTGTTAATAATGATGCTAGGACAACGGGTATAAAGTGGCACTGTCCCTGGCAAAGTGTGACATGTAGTCACCGTGATTCTGGGGCCGTCTTTTCAGAGGGATCCTCTTAAAATAGAAATCTTGTGTTCTCTCCTGCTAAGACTGTCCTGTGTCTTTCCATTGCACTAGAATGAAACCCACACTCCCAACGGTGGCCCACAAGGGCCTGTGAAAGCTGGCTCCTGCCTTCCCCAGCCTCATCCCCACACTAACTGGATTCTGTGACCATGCACCCAGCACATTTCCGCCTCCAGGCCTGTGCCCTGGCCGACTCCTCCTCCAGGAGCTGTTTCTCAGTATCCTTGCCCACCCCCATCCTGCCCTTGGCCTCGCTGGCTCGTTCTACCCCTTCCTGTCTTGGCTGGAACATCATCTCCATGGAAAGGCTTTTCCTATCCTCCGTGTTGCTTTTCTCCTTTTCATCTCCCTGCCCGTTTCCTTCATAGAGGTAATTGCTTATCCACTTTGGGAGGCTGAGGTGGGCGGATCACCCGAGATCAGTTCGAGACCAGACTGACCAACATGGTGAAACCCTGTCTCTACTAAAATTACAAAAAATTAGCCAGACGTGGTGGCAGGCACCTGTAATCCCAGCTACCTGGAAGGCTGAGACACAAGAATCGCTTGAACCCCGGAGGTGGAGGTTGCAGTGAACCGAGATCGTGCCACTGCACTCCAGCCTGGGCAACAGAACGAGACTCTGTCTCAAACAAACAAACAAACAACAACAACAAAAACAAAGAAGTAATCACTTATCATTTGCTGGTCTTTTTCACCAAAATGTACACATCACGAGGGCAGGATTTCACTGGTGAGCCCACAAGTATCTGGCCAGTGCTGCACTCATGTGCCTAGGACATGGCTGCTGGAAAATAGATGTGGAATGGATGACTCACTGCCTGCAGTTCCACATGGATTAATTCATCTCCTGACTTCCCTTTGCACCCAGAAGGTCTGTGTTTCTAAAATATGAATCAGCTGTATAAGTTTTTTTGTTCAACAGAATTGGTTGAACGGCGACAGTATGTACAATCCTATGCTGGAAGAAGCCGAAAACAGCCCTTATTGTTTGAGAACATAGAGGATCTAGCTGAAGAGGAAACAAAACATTAACTAAGTTAAATAATGGCTTTTTTTTTTTTTTTTTTCTGAAACAGAGTCTCACTGTCGCCTAGGCTGGAGTACAGTGGTGTGATCTCAGCTCACTGTAACCTCTGCCTCCCAGGTTCAAGCAATTCTCCTGCCTTAGCCTCCTGAGTAGTTGGGATTACAGGCACCCACCACCATGCCTGGCTAATTTTTGTATGTTTAGTAGAGATGGGGTTTCACCGTATTGGTCAGGCTGGTCTCGAACTCCTGACCTTGGGTGATCCACCTGCCTCAGCCTCCCAAAGTGCTGGAATTATAGGTGTGAGCCATTGGGCCCGGCCAGATAATGGCATATTTAACCTAAGTGCCAGTGAAGAGAGTAGGATGGCTGTCACTTTCATCCCTTCCCCTGTTCTGTTTCTCTTCCTGGAAGTTACCATCTGACATAGTACACATAACAATGTATACTTAGTGATGTCCTTATTGACCCTTGTCCTTCCCAGAATGTAAATCCTCTTTTTTTGTCATTCACTGCCATATTTCTAGTGCCTAGAACAGTACCTGGCACATAGTAGGTCTTCGATAAATATTGGTTGAATGAAAGAATGAATGATACAAAAGAAAGCAGAGAACGATCCCCTGGGCTGCCTTTTGGACTTCAACAGGCTCTTTAGGGAGGGATTGTGTTTGACTCCACTGAGGAGTGGAGGGAGAGCAGTCAAAAATGACATAATGGCATGAGTAAGGGCAGGGGGAGCCAGCAGGTACATGAGGGTGATGTATTTGGTCTAGAAAACAAACCAGTAAGCTTTCAGTGTTGTTTCTTGAACTCACAAACAATGCCCCCTTGGCCCCTGTCCCTTCATCCTCACTCATTTGGTCTGGGTGAGACCCAAGGCAAAGGTGTCAGGGGAAGGCTGGCTGCCACACACATTCCTTGGTGTTGGCATTAAAACAGCAGAGTGAAAATAGCCAGCCTCAGAAACATGTGGGCAGCCGTGAATGTCCCACTATTCTAGGGATTAAAATTCAGTTTATGGGTTGTTCAGGCCTCTTAGCTCTCTTTCCTCTGAATCCCCATTCTGTCGGTTTCACCACCTGTTTTTAACTCCTTCAGAGGTTGGAAAAGAAAGAGGTAAGTAAGTGACTTGATGCATCATCAAGAGCTCCAGGCTGACCTCAGAGGCATTGCTCCATCAGAAGCCACTGGGGCGAGGGGCATGGGTTTTACCTCTGACCAAGGGCAGTCCAGTCTGCAGCAAAGAAAGGCAGAGGGAAATGGCCAACTGGCTTGGTCTGAAGGCACCGGCAGCTTTCAGCATGCAGTTCACTCCTGCGGGGCTCAGAGGCTCTATAGTGCCCTCATTAAAATGCCGTCACTGTCTGGAAGAGGAGCAGCTACTGTTAGAGGAGGCCTAGCTGAGATGAGGGCCCTGTGGGGTTATAAGCATGATGAGATGCCCGGGCCTGTGGTGGGTGTGAGGGGAGAGGCAGGGACCTGGAGCCTGGGGAGCAGGGGGGACCTAGAGCATCTCCATCACAGCAGTTATTTTTCAGGGACGATCCTGAGCATGGGCAGGTCCCCTTCATGGTGCCAGAGCTGACAATACAAAGAGGGCTTGCACAAAAAGGATCCACAGCCTCTGCTGGGACGAGGGTGTGTTTCAGGCCTGCTGTAAGCACAGTATCCTTATCTAAACACATGCCAGTCCTTTTCCGGAGAAAAGACAAAACAGTGTCTGAGTATGTATAGTTTTTACAGTTTCAAAGTATTGTATAATTTATTATAAAATATTTCATAAATATTTTAAACATACAGAAAATAATGCCATAGGCACCCATTGTGTATTTAGCATCTTGCTTTAACATGTATCTCAGAGCATCTGTTCCCTAATTGTTTTAAACAAACTTTTTATTTTAGAAAAAATCACAAAGATAGTACAGTTCTTATATATTCCCATGCCGAGTTTTCCCTATTATTAATGTCTTACATTAGTGTAGTCTATTTGTTACAATTAATGAACCAAATTGATGCATTGTCAGCTATTCTTTATTCAGATTTCTTCGTTTTCCCCTAATGTCATTTTTCTGTTCCAGGATCCTGTATTAACATTTAGCCACTATGCCTCCTTAAGCTTATCTTGGTTGTCTCAGTTCAGTTCCCTAATGTTTAAAATGGAATGATACCATCTTTCCCACGTGGTTGTTGGACTTGCCCAAGAAAAGCTATGCCGAGGTGCTTCGAGGACTCTGAAGCTCTGTCAGTAGCTCTCAAACTTGAGCTGCGTCAGAATTTTTAGCATGGGACTTGTTAAAATGTAGGTTGCACTGCCCCCTACCCCTACACACACACACACACACACACACACACACACATACACACTTTCTGCTTTTGCTGGGTCTGAGGAGTGGCAGGAGCTGAGAATTTGGCAGGATCCTGGGGGCTGCTGCTCCAGGACCGCACTTTAAACCACTGCTCTCTGCAAATGTAAGGGTTGATCCTTGTTGAGTGGGTGAGCCCACCATCTTTATGCCACTCCCTTCCCAATAACAGACTGTGTTTTCAGAGAACATAGTTTCCTGTTTACTTCTGTTCTAGAAACTCCTTGAAGACTGTCTCACAACCCCAGAGTAGAGAGACATTCCGTTCTCTAACACCCAGGTTTATTACTGCTGTCTAGGACCTATATACTAGTCTGTTTCCGTGCTGCTGTTAAAGACATACCGAAGACTGGGCAATTTACCAAAGAAAGAGGTTTAATGAACTTACAGTTTCACGTGACTGGGGAAGTCTCACAATCATGGTGGAAGGCAAGGAGGAGCAAGTCATGTCTTACATGGATGGCAGCAGGCAAAGAGAGAGAGCTTGTGCAGGGAAACTCCCCTTTTTAAAACTATCAGATCTTTTGAGACTTATTCACTGTCACAACAACAGCATGGGAAAGACTTGCCCCCATGATTCAATTACCTCCCACCAGGTCCGTCCCACAACACATGGGAATTCAAGATGAGATTTGGGTGGGGACACAGCCAAACCATATCAACCCATAAGATGGTTCATCAGAAATGGAGAGAGAACCCCTGCTTGTGTTACTGTCACAATGCCATTTGTGTCACTGTTCAATGGCTTGGGTGATGGGAGGGTTACTGGGAACCAGTAGCCAGTGCTCTCTTAGGAAAACCAAATGCAATTGGCATTTTCCTATTCCTTTCCTTTATCTGTTAAGAAAGAAATCTCTTAACTGGCAGTAAAGAGAGCATGCATTCCCCACCCCCACCCCCACCATGTAATTTTAGCATCTATTTGGATGGCTGTTGGAAGCTTGGATTTTAAACCACTGTATTTTTACAGCTGTAGAATCCACTGCCTCAGTTGATTTAACTAGCAGCCATGGGTTTGTTTTCTGGCCTAGTTCTGCCACTGGTTGCTTTTGGAAAATTTTTTCTTGGGCCTATTTCTAAGAAAGTGTTACTGTAATTTTTATTTAGATATTGATGGCAGTCTGTTCTTCTTGCCAGCCACACCCTAATTCTGAATAGTAGTGGACATGTGATGGATAATTCATATACTTAAGCCATGAAGATTAAAGGTAGCTGAGTGAATTGGAATCACAGTCTAAAAGGGAGATTTCCTCAGCCCTGGTCTCTCTGTGGCCAGCAATCAGATAGGATTAAAGACCTGTGGACCCCTCCTTGTGATGTCCCTCATAGAATTACTATCCTTGACCACCTCATCAGATCCTGCAGCCCGTTACTATGTGTCATCTAATCTAAGATTACTAAACTGCTTTGGTCATTTCAGTGCCGTGGTTCTAGAAGCGTGGTTCTGAGATCAGTCAGCAGCATCATCGTCACCTGGGAGCTTGTAAAAAATGGAAATTCTCAGGGCCCACCCTATAGCTACTAAATCAGGAGCACTGGGGATGC
The DNA here is from genome assembly GCF_000001405.40 of Homo sapiens. NCBI lineage: Eukaryota > Metazoa > Chordata > Mammalia > Primates > Hominidae > Homo > Homo sapiens. The sequence goes on along the minus strand of NC_000007.14, from coordinate 28,013,482 downwards.
CTGCCCTACCCCCCCAACCCCCGCTATCCTGAGCTGTAACAGGCCTCCAGGTGATTCTGATGCACACTCAAGTTTGAGAGGCCATCCTGAATGGCCCTCCTATTTTTTCCTCCCACTGTCTTCTTTAATCACTGAACAACATTCTTTTATGTATTCCATTAGTATTTAGCAAGCAGGCCCTATGCTAGGTCTGGTTCCTATTTAGCAAGCAGGCCCTGTGCTAGGTCTGGTTCAAAGGTGAACAGCCCTGGGGCTTGTCCCCAGGGAGCTTAGCACAGCAGTGGTTCTCAGCCCTGACTGCACATGAGAGTCACCGGGGGTGCACTCAGGTGTCTCAGTGGGTGTTTCATGCCAGATCAAATTAAACTGGAATCACTGGGGCTATAGCAAGGAGCCGCTACTTGATAAACCTACCCAGGCTGAGAAACATGGAGCTAGTGGGAGAGAATGCCCATCAGGAGGTTTCAAACCATGGGGTAAGTGTGAAGATGGGGCAACTAAAAGGAGCAGATGGGAGGGTCACTTTACCCAGGCTTAGGTTGTGGTGGGAAAAAGGAGGGAGAAGTATCTGCAAAACTTTCTTCAAATTGTATTTAAAGGTAAACTAAAAGAAAGATAAAAAACGTGGTTTAAATACAGATCCACAAGTGACTTTAAAATGACTCATGGAGGAGAAGAGTCTCAAGAGATGTTGCTTCCTTCTGCAATGCATGTCCATCAACCTCTGTCCACATCTCAACCCTCAGTAGTGGTGGGTTGCAAAGGGCCAGCTGAGGCCACACCCAAAGTGGCTGACATACCCTTTGACCTTGTAGTCCTCCCTCCACTGGAAATGCCAGTTCTGGCTTTGTCTTAAGGACCACCTGGACACCAAGAAACTCCCTCTTCCCTCCTATCTGTCTTTAAGAGGAGGCAGCCCAGGGGTGCAGCCCACACCCTTCAGTGGCCTTAATTGGCTGACCTATCAACAACAAATTTGTATCCCAAGAATTTCAGTCGTTTCTTTTCTATCCTTTAAGAGGGGTTTTTTGGTTTTGTTTTTTAAAGAAAAAAAGAGTGTTTACTTAATTTCTTCTTCATGAGTCCCTCCATTTTTGATTCAGAAGGTCAGGTAGGGAGATTTAATGTGAAATATTAGCTGTCTTTGCCAATTGCTGTGCCCTGTTACCATGCTGTAAGCCAGAAATAGAAGCGACCTGTTTTCAATGACAGATCAAAATTTAGTGCTGTGTTGATGGTTCAGAATGAAGATTTTTTGACACGGTGAATGAAATACATACCAGTGCATTTCTGGTTGTGATTTAGCTGACCAAGTAGTTCAGTTATAATTATATTATTTTTACTCCTGGAGATCATTACTCTAAATGAAAAATGCTTCAGCATCCAGACTGTTAAGATGTGGATGGTGAACATTATTTACAATAAAAAAATTTTTTCCCTGGACTGTGAAACAGCTTTACGGGCATGTCGAGCCTGGAATATGGTTGTTAGCATTTAAAGTTAAATGAAAACATGGAAGTTTTTTTGGTTTTAAAAAATAAACTCAACTGTCAGTTATTGTTTGCTGCCTTCTGTGACCCATCTCCCATCCCTTAAGTCCCTTTTAATGGAATGGGGAGACACATCTAGGCAATATATGGTCGACATAAATCTGAGGACATGAATATTATAAAAGGGCGTTGAGAAGAAGGGCTGGAGAGAGAGGCTGGAGGGGTTTGTTTATCATTTTTTATGAGGGCCCATGCTCTTTGGGATTGAAGTATCTTTTAATAGTAGGTGTAGGTTTGATTTGATCTCTGGGTCACTATGTTGTTTTTTGGGCAGATATTTCCCTGCGCTCTGATTACCAAGGTGTTAGAAGAATTTAAAATGTCCTCTCACCCTCAGTTAAAAAGCCGTGTGTTTATAAGGGTCAAAGATGACGTAAATGTTTACCAAGCCCAATGGTGTTCTCATCATGACACCTTTCTTCCTCCTCACTTGTAATATAAGAAAACAGAAGCTGACGTTTGTCATGTTCAGAAGTCCTTGCGTGAAGTGTTTTAAACCAACCAAATATGAGATTAATGTCTCCTTGTTATCACTACCTTTTTGTGCAGTATAATGATTAAATAACAGTTGTGCAATGCATTCTAAAACTCAAAAGTTTAAACCTAGACTTCATTAGAAGTCATTGGACTAAATCTGAAATGTAAACTTTCAAGAGACTATAATTGAATAGATTTAACCTATACTTATGAAAAGGAGAAATCTCTAGGTGATTATCTTTTTTTCCTTCTCTCTAAGGACCTTTTTCCTAAACGCTGCAGGTCTCTTGTCTGTTGACTTGATTAATGAATATTTTGCCCGCTAAAATTGGCCATTAATTATTTTCTTGGGTTGCGGCAATAATTACATCTTTCAAGTAAAATCTCATTAGCATCGTAAGCAGAAACACCCTGCCAGGTGATGTGGGATTGTGAGGAGCCCGCTAGTTACCACCAGAGATACTGGGTTCACCACACAGTAAGCAGCAGTTGTCTCTAGCTGGATCCCAGCAGCTACATGTAGAGAAAATTGACTAGATCACCCCAGAATGGGAATTCAGACAAAGCTCTGTAGACACTCTTGTTAGAAAATACGACCTACTGGCATGCAGTTGTGATGTCGTTTAATAATTGAGAATCCTCTTACCTTTCATTCATTTATTCTTTCAGTGATCATGATTATTTACCAGCCCTTGTGCTAAATGCTAGGGACAGGAAAGAAACAAGTTGCTGGCTTTTGGAGAAGCTGAGTCTGTTGGGAACAAAGCACTTTAAAATGTAATCTATCTTTTTAATATACCTGACTATTAAGGCAGATTCTACCATGTAGCTTCATGGAATGTTTTGTAGAGGAGGTGACTTTTATAGTGGACTTTGGATGATGGGTTTGAGGATGACCACAGAAAAGCAGGTGAGGACGAGGTGTTCTGGGTAGCATGTGTTACAAAGGCATATCATTCTAGGCCCCCAAAGAATAGAAGAGAATTAAATATGGGGGCTATTTATAGGGGTGTGGCAGGGTAAGAGATGTTGAGGCACCCGGGACCTAGGAACAGCAGAAGGCTGAAGGGGAAGGGGAGGTGATGCTGTGAACAGAACCTGGAGAGTGGCAGCCTTGCAAGGGGGACGACCGCCCTCCCAGAGCTGTGGCCCTAGGTGGAGCATAGCAGCTGCTTCCAAAACCATGCCTAGCTAGGAGGGAGTAGGAGAACAAATACTGGACCACCCTCTCCTTTCACCCCCTGATTTTCTCTGAACCTAACCAAAGGCAAGAGAGACTGTGTAAAACAGTGCTTGGCACAGGGAACAGGACACAGAAAGGCAAACAGGATAATCAGAACCAAAGGTATAGAGTGTAGATGAGGTATGTGCAGAGGACGGGAAGAAGTTAGGAGTTGCTGGAGTGTAGGGGGCATGTAGAGAACTAGAGATGAGTTTGAATAATTTGATTGATGAAGCCAAATTGCAAATGATCTTCTATGTTTTACCTAAATCTCTTATCATGTAAGCAATAAAGAGCCATGTGTGGGAGTGGACTTAACACATGACATTATTGATTTGTAATTCAGCAAGATTTGAATTTTTTTGAAGTCACCATTTAGGACTCATTAGTCAGTGACAACATCAATTTAATGGGTTGTCATAACATTTTTAAAAAACGCAATGGTGACCGGGTGTGGGTGTGGTGGCTCACGCCTGTGATCCCAGCACTTTGGGAGGCTGAGGCAGGCAGATCACGAGGTCAGGAGATCGAGACCAGCCTGGCTAACACGGTGAAACCCCGTCTCTACTAAAAATACAAAAACTTAGCTGGGCGTGGTGACATGCGCCTGTAGTCCCACCTACTCGGGAGGCTGAGGCAGGAGAATTGCTTGAACCTGGGAGGCGGAGGTTGCAGTGAGCCGAGATCGTGCCACTGCACTCCAGCCTGGGCGACAGAGCGAGACTCTGTCTCAAAAAAAAAAAAAAGCAATGGTATTATCAGGGTACATCACATATGGTGAAGTTTAGTAATGTTTTGTGAAACTTTCGTATGTTTGTGTCTGGAGGGGTGTACTGGTTATGATTTAAAATGTATGTCTTACTGTGAGTTGCATCAAAAATACTGTAAAAACACTGAACTGATTGGCTAAAGTAGGAAGGTGTGGGCTGAAGGGAGGAGAGATTGACAGGCAGAGTAGTTGTAGATACTCAGCAACTACCTTTTTTTTTTTTGAAAGTATGTTATCTCTGCATTCCTTTTAAAACCAAGCCATAGAAATGAAGACGCAGTATCTTTATTATATTGAATCCATGTCTAGAGCATTAAACCTCATCTTAAGTAAGCCTAGAAAATCCATCAGAGTCTCTGCCTTCCATTTGTGGAAACTCAGCTGATAGTAAGGTTTACCAAATCCCAGAGGTCTCCCGAGCTTCTCTGAGGAATCTGATGTCTTGTGATTACCTTGATAATGTCTGTTTTACTTAACCATGATAGAAAGTTTTGCATTTGACTTGAATGTGTGATAAAATCATTTAAATGTATCTTGGTTTTATAAATTGAAAGGCTTTCCTTTATGTATAAAACAAGTTAGTTGATCACACAGTTTGTAGTGAATCAGAATGGCTTTTAATAAACTCAGCTTAAAGCTAGCCAAAAGGTTTTCTATCTCTACTGAAAAGTCATATGGCTCTTTGGAAAAACTTTTGAAGAACTTTTCTGATGCAAGTCCCTACTCTTGCAAGAGAAAAATCATAATCTGAGTGCATGTGTGCACTCAAGTTCCAAGGATAGCAAAGTAAAATGAAATCTAAGTTCTTTATGCAAATAATTCAGGTTTCTGTTTTAGTGTATAGTTTAAGCCTTCTCTTCCCAGAGATTATTTGCCAGAGAGACTAATGAGTTAAGATGTGGCTGCACTGGGTTATTCCTGCTGGAGAGACAATGACTCTCAGACCACCTTGTCTTGGAAGCTGGGGTAGGACCTTAGAATTTATACTGGAATTGCTCAATTAAAATGTATGATTCACACAGTGGCTCACACCTATAATCCCAGAACTTTGGGAGGCCAAGGTGGGAGGATTCTTTTTTTAATTCACTGAGCATAGTGGTGCACGCCTGTAGTCCCAGCCACTCAGGAAGCTGAGGTGGGAGGATCTCTTAAGCCAGGAGATTGACGTTGCAGTGAGCCATGTTTGTGCCACTGTACTGCAGCCGGGGCAACAGACACTATCTCTAAAAAAAATAATAATAATTAATTTTAAAAATAAATAATTAAAATGTATGATTCTCACTTAAAGCTTGTGAGGGAGTTGGTGCATATATCATTATCTTTTCACAGGTAAAGAAACTGACTTGATGAAAGCTCTAAGCTAGAAATAGTTAGAACCTGGACTAGAACCTCTGGTGTTTTTTAAGATCAGTCACCCAAAGGAGAAATTTAATAAAAGATGCAGGTGCAGTAACAGTGTTGCAGCTTCTGTCGTGGGTTCTGATTTCCATCAGAATTTGTCTAAATATTTCATCCCAGTGCTTCCAAAGCATTCCAGCATTCTATGAAGCACTTTTTAGCGAGGAAAAAAAAGAACTCTAGTGGGGAATGCTAGTAATGGGAGAGGCCATGCATGGGGTGGGAGCAAAAGTATATGGGATATCTCTGTACCTTCCTCTCCATTTTGCTGTGAACCTAAAACTGCTCTTTTAAAAAGTCTAATTTTTAAGTCTTTTTAAAAAAGGGAAAGAGGCATGTCTCAGACCTGTATGCTTTCCCATCCAGCTGGTCACCTGGTCAATTTGTATTGATTCCTGCCACCATGGCAATGAGGCCAAAACCAACCACTTAATTCAGAGAGTTGCCTGCCAGCCCCAAGAGCAACCTTAGTGTCCAGAAATAATTTTTTTTTTTTTTGAGATGGAGTCTCACTCTGTTGCCCAGGCTGGAGTGCAGCGGCATGATCTCGGCTCACTGCAACCTCCGCCTCCCGGGTTCCAGTGATTCTCCTGCCTCAGCCTCCCCAGTAGCTGGGATTACAGGCACACACCACCACACCTGGCTAATTTTTGTATTTTTAGTAGAGACAGGGTTTCACCATGTTGGTCGGATTGATCTCGAACTCCCTACCTCAGGTGATCCTCCCACCTCACCACACCCGGCTAATTTTTTTTATTTTCAGTAGAGATGGGGTTTCATCATGTTGGCCAGACTGGTCTCGAACTCCTAACCTCAGGTGATCTGCCCACCTCGGCCTCCCGAAGTACTGGGCATGAGAAATATTTGGGTCCAGAAATAATTCTATGCCTAGAGTCAGACGTGGGCAATCAAAAACATAAACTTTATTGGAAAGATCAGGAATAGCATACTTTTACCTGCTCCTAAGTTATGGGGCTGTTGACATCCCATTGCAGTAGCTGGATAGCACTTAAAGAGTGGGAATTAGGCAAGGTGGGGTGCCTGGAAAGTGTTCCATGTGCTTCTGGGGCCATGTAAGATGATGTTGGGTCATACAAGAACAAAAATGTTTTATGCTAATAGTTACATAATGCTTATTTTAATTTTGTCATAAAAAATCCATGTTCATTTATGGAAGAGATATAATAAAATCACCTTAAAAGTTAAAATACAAAGGAAAGGCCACCTGGCAATTTAATTAGAGAGCATTGTTACTGAACAGTGTTTCAGGGCTCCATGCTATGAAACAAGTTATTTCTACTCAGGGGAAGCAGCAAATGTGGTCAAATAGCACATACTTTGAAGTCAGACAAACCCAGATTTAAGGCTTTATCTCCTGGTCCTGTGATTTGGGCCTTTTCTGAGCTTTATATTTTCCTCTGGGAAGTGGGGTGGGTCAGGAGATATCTCCCTTACAGGATTTTCATGAGGACTGCACACAGAAAGCAATTCATTTTGTATTGACCCATAGTAGACACGCAGTGATAGTAATAATATCTTTATTATCAGTTATTATTGCTACTTGAGAACTATTGATTGTTCACAAATGTAGTCCCACAACGCAAGCACTAAATGCTTTCAGACCTTACTACCTAAAATAATAATGGTACCTAGTGGGTAAGTTTTTGGTGTTTGGGGTTTTTGTTTTTTGTTTTTTTTGAGACACAGTCTTGCTCTGTTGCCCAGGCTGGAGTGCAGTGGTGCCGTCTTGGCTCACTGTGACCTCCGCTTCCCAGGTTTAAGTAATTCTCCTGACTCAGCCTCCTGAGTAGCTGGGACTACAGGAGCACACCACCACGCCTGGCTGATTTTTGTATTTTAGTAGAGATGGGGTTTCACCAAGTTGGGGTGATCCAGCTGCCTCTGCCTCCCAAAGTGCTGGTATTACAGGCATGAGCCACTGAGCCTGGCCCCTAGTGGGTAAGATTTATTAAGTATTTATCATGTACCAGCCACTGTGCTCTGTGCTGTCTATGGCTTATCTCTTTTAATCCTCTTAATAACCTCTTCATGTGTAGGAGCCATGAGTCACTGTCATCTTTATCTGCTGAGAAACTTGCTCAAGTCACACAGAAAGTAGCAGACTGTCAGTAACTACCATCTTACATTGTCTAAAGAAATTTAAGCCTTTTTTTTTTTTTTTTTAAGCAACAGAAAGTCCAGAGTTAATTCCCAGAAGTCCTTCCACAGAAGCCAAGATTGTCAGGAGCCATCTGCCAAGTGCCAGATAACTGAGAAGGTCCAGGGACTTCCCAGACACCCAAATTCACACCATCAGCGAGATCAATTGAGTTACAGCTCAGCATGCTCCCCTACTCATTAGCAAGTAGAATGAATACACAACTTGCACAGAATCAGGAACGATAAATCCCCAGCTAGCACATAACCTCTGTGGCCCACGAACCTGAACACTGTGTTCCTGGCTGCCACCTGGGTGTGGAGTCGGCAGGCATAATGCTCTAGCCAGCCTGGCAGAGCCTCTTGGACCAGAATTTGACCTGAGTAAGCTGTGACCTATGTGCACTTACATTTGATAACTCTTAGGCAGGGCCATCCAGTCAGTCTGTGTCCAGATGTTCAGCTCTTTCTCCTGTGACTTTTTTTTTTTTTTTTAAGCAATGATTCGGCTTCCCTGGGAGATAGGAAGTAACGAAGGCAATTCCTTTTGTCAAATCCTTGACAAAACTGGCTTCCGAAATACAAAACTAATATACTTGGATACAGCCTGATTTGTTACCAAGGTGAATAATGACAGCACAGGAAAACCACAGTGGTTCTGGCCAATCTGACTTACAGAAAATTCTGAACCACAGAACAACTAAAGTGATGTGGTCTTATTAATTGTAGGCACATACTGTGAAGAAAAATAAATGGTTCCCAGTCAAAGGTCTTGTCAGAACACCCTTACTGAATAGATGAAAACCATATCACAATTCAAAGATTGTGATTTGGTTTTCGAAATACATGAAAACACTAACTTGTCTACATAATTACTAAGCTTAATACTTTCTGTATAGAAAGTGAAAGGGGTGGAAATAAACCTGAGTCCCAAGTGAAGTCAAAATTTAATGATTTCAGGTAGGTCTTGTGGTTCACGCCGTAATCCCAGCACTTTGGGAGGCTGAGGTGGGCAAATCACTTGAAGTCAGGAGTTCGAGACCAGCCTGGCCAACATGGCGAAACCCCATCTCTACTAAAAATACAAAAATTAGCTAGGTGTGGTGGTGCACACCTGTAATCCCAGCTACTTGGGAGACCAAGGCACGAGAATCACTTGAACCCAAGAGGCGGAGGTTGCAGTAAGCTGAGATCATGCCACTGCATTCCAGCCTGAGGGACAGAGCAAGACTTCATCTCAGAAAAGAAAAAAAAAAATTATTTCACTGGATGTCGGACTTATACAACTTTTAAATCACTTCCAGTAGTTCCTTTCCAGTTTCACAATTGCCTTTTTAGTTTGGAAGGGTGGGAGAGATGCAAATTGGTGTAAATAACTTTCCCAACCAGTTCTCTATCCCTTTTCCAGTTTCTGAGCCTTCTCAGAGTCTGTAATAGTAATTGCCAACCCTGACTGCATATTAGAATCTTTGGGGATGGGTCCTTGGCATCAGACTTTTTTTTTTTTTAAGTTACCCAGGTGATAATAATGGGCAGTTCTGGCTAGAAACCATTGGCCCTCTAGGCTCTTGTTGATTTAGAAATGGCTGAAACCACAGGAGACAAACTCACAGATGGGATCATAGGCGTCAGGTATTAAGCCTGTAGCATGGGTGTTTCTTCTTAGCTTGGGAACACCTACTCCAACTGGCTCATCAGGTACCCCCCCTTTCTGGTTATCCCTGCCATTTCTCTAAAGTCCAGGTACTTAAATCACAAAACATGCAAATAGTGATTCTTACACTTTATTAGAAAAGCTGATACTTCTACACTAGATTATTCTTAGATCAATATAAGTCACATCCTCTATAGTCCAGTCTGCTTGAGAGCTGAGACCTTTTTGTATGTGTGTTGGCAGGGGTGGGTAGGGGCAGGCAGGAGGACCTTCAATGCCTAGCACCCAATACTTGACGTATATATTTGGCCATCTGTAAATATCCATTATTGATTATTTTCATCTTATTTTGTGTTTTCCTGATTGGGCTTACTTCTTTATAGACTTCTTTTCCTTCTAGACTCCCAGCTTGTCCTAAATTTATATTTGAGTCAAGGGAAAGGGAGGAAAATTTCTTTCAGTGCAGATAGGAGAGATGTCACGGTGCATGTAGGTTTCAGGTAAATGTGATGCATGATGTCAGAGCTGCCCTTTAAAGAAAAAAAAATTTTGGCAGGTGGAGGTGGGATAGGTTATAGGAAATGGAGAGGAACAAATGGGAACAGATCTGCATTAATAAATATTCAGACTGAGCCCCACTCCTATGTCAGTGTTTGTAGGTGGTGTTATTACATGTAGTATTGGGTGATGGAAGTTGTGCGCACACTCATTTTTCACTTTAATTGCCTGCCTGAAAAGATCCTGACAGCTTCAAAGGTTACTGTTGGTTGTATTGTTCATAACTCAGAAGTAATATGCATGTGCAATTTGCTTCATTATTGCCCACTAATAACTAATTCTGGAGAAAGTCTTAAAACGACCAAAAGAGCCATAATTTGACATGATGATTTTTTCCTCCTCTTTCTCCCAGTCTTTAACCATTCCTGTTTAGAGTTAGCCACAGAGGCTGTGGTGATTCAGGTGTGATTTTACTCTGATTTTCTTTCCCTGCACTTAGTATGATACATTTTTAAAGAGGTTTTTTTTTTCTTTTAAATCCAAGAAAATAAAATGAAACATGAAATATTTCATGTTTCAGATGAGAGTTTTAGGTCCAACAAAATAAACCAGAATTCCGGTTGTTTTGTATTTCAGTCAAGTTTTGGTTTGACTTCATGTAATTGAAAAACCTTCAAATATATGGCTTAATTGGAAGATAAGTTTATTTCTTTCACTTTAAAGAAGGCTGGAGGTGCTCAGTTCAAGAGTAGTATAGAGCTTCACCCAATCAGGGATCCAGACTCCTACTGTGTTGCTTCACCATGTATGACTTCCATTCACAAGATTATCTCATACCCAGAATTTCTTTCAGGCAGCCTGAAAGAAATCTACCATATTAAGGAGGCTTCCTGAAGCCTTATCCTGTTGGCCAAGACTTAGTCACATGAATGCACCTGGCTCAAGGAATGCTGGGAAGTGTGGTTTTTATACCAGGAAGCCATGTTTCTAAGCATTATGGAGGGAAAGGGGGGAAAATAGCTCTTGGGCAGCAGCCAGCAGTCCCAGCCACACTTAAGTGAGTGATGAATTCTTAGATTTTCTATGTACCATTATGCCACATAAAATGGAAATAATCCAGAACAATGCAAGTTTTAGTTTCAAAACGCCTTATGGACTAAAGAACTGAGCAGTAGTTACACTTAACATGCTTGCTAATTTAATCCACATTTCAACCCTAGGGTGAAAGGACTATCCTTATCAACTTCTTGTGGATGAAAAAAACTGAGGCTTAAAGAAGTTAGACAGCTAGGATTGAATTGAGGCAGTTTGACTTGTATGCAACAACAAATGTGCCAATAAGAGGTCGATTGTCATAGTAAGCCTTGGAGACTCGGGTACCAGATCAAAACTGAACTCAGGGCCAATTTTTATTCTATTCTTTTTTCCCCCCCGTCTTTCATAGTCATCTTTTGGGAAATTTACCATTCAGTTGGTTTCAAATGCAGCACAACCTCTGGCTTTTAAAAAATCCCTGCTGGAATTCCACTGGGCCTAGTAGGTTCTCAGCCAGTATTTGGCCAAGTTATATGATAAGCAAGTTTTTAATCAGGGTAGTTGGGGTTTTATGGAATATGATTGTTTTGTTTTGAGAGACATGCTTTGGTTCAGTTGTCTGTTGGAATGTGTGGTGTTATGATGGGATTCTTCAGCACTTCACTTCCTATCTATACCATGAGTCTTTTATCTCCCCTTTGAGTTCCAGACTTCTTGGTTCTGCAGAATATCTTACCACATGTCAGAAGCAGACCTCATATTCTTGTCTATCAAACTCCTTTTCACCTTCTAGTTACTTCTTTGTTTTTGTAATGAAATACTCAGATCTATAACATAAGAAAAGTCTTCTATTTCCAGTTCTTTTTCATCGAATCTTATATTTCTACATCCCAGTTTCCCGCCCCCGCCCAGTCCTCCCTGCCACCACTGGTTATTTTTCTAAAACATGGGCCATACCAGTTTATACCTTCAGTGCTCTGCATCGTCTGCAGAACTAAGTTTGAACTCTTGGAAAGCATTGCAAGCCTTTTGTGATGTGACCCAATCTGCATTTCAGGTCTCTTGCCAAGTTCCAGCCCCACTGACTTCTTGCCACCCCCTGCTCCTTTCTATTAAATACTTCTGTTTATCTGCTCAAACTGTCTTCTATTCAGACTCATCATTTTCTCATCTTTTCTGAATGTAGATTTAGTTCAAGGCTTATGTAAATTTTTCTTTCAAGAAGTTCCTCTCAGTTGCACAGAGAGTCATGTTTTGTTTCTAGAGTAGTAAGTATATTCCTCTATATTGACAAACATTGTAGTCTGTCTTAGATTATTGGTTTTTTTTGTTTAGGTTTTTTGTTTTGTTTTGTTTTGTTTTGTTTTTTTTGAGACAGGGTCTCACTCTGTCACCCAGGCTGGAGTGCAGTGGCACGTTCTCGGCTGACTGCAACCTCTATCTCCCGTGTTCAAACGATTCTCATATCTCAGCCTCACATGTAGCTGGGATTACAGGCACGCCACCATGCCTGGCTAATTTTTGTATTTTTATTAGAAGTAGAGTATTGTCAGGTTGCCCAGGCTGGTCTCGAACTCCTGACTTCAAGTGATTTGCCTGCCTTGGCCTCCCAAAGTGCTAGGATTACAGACATGAGCCACTGCGCCCGGCCAGATTATTGTTAACTGTGAATTCTGTTCATCTTTTTCGCTCAATTGTGAACCTACTGACTTAAAGTTTCCCCTAAGCAACTAAACATGGCAAGAATTCAATGTCTTTTTTAAATGAATTCAATTTATTTGTCTCCATTAAGAAAATAAGAACTGGCTAGGCGCTGTGGCTCATGCCTGTAATTCCAGCACTTTGGGAGGCCAAGGCCAGTGGATTGCTTGAGCCCAGGAGTTCGAGAACACTCTGGCCAACATGGTGAAACCCCATCTCTACTAAAAACACAAAAATTAGTCAGGTGTGGTGGCGGATGCCTGTAATCCCAGCTACTCAGGAGGCTGAGGCATGAGAATCGATTGAACGTGGGAGGCAGAGGTTGCAGTGAGCTGAGATCCCACTACTCCATCCTGGGTGATAGAGTGAGACTCTTGTCTCAAAAAAAAAAAAAAAAAAGAAAGAAAGAAAGAAAGAAAGAAAAAGAAAATAGGAGCACTTATCTAGGTCCAAACAGCCTCTGTGTTGTTCTTCTCTTGTTGTCTCCTCACCAGCCTTCTGGCTTCTTGATTTAGACTGCAGAAAACAACAAATTATCACCTAGAAGCAATCTAGGAGCAATAGCTCTGTTTCTCATAATATTCGTGTAGTTTTAAAGCAGGGTTTCTCAACTTTGACATTATTGACATTTTAGACCAGATGACTCTTTGTTGTAGGCGCTACTCTGCGTGCGTATGTAGGGTGTTCAGCAGCATCCCTGCCCTCTACCCCCTAGATACTATACTGGAACCCTCCCTCCAGTTGTTAGCAGACTTTGCCAAATATCCCAGGGTGTGGATGGGGGGTCGGGGGGGTGCTGCAAAATTGCCTGCAGTTCAGAACCACTCTTCTGAAGTATCTCTAAAAAGTGTCTCTATAAATATTCTACAACTAATACTAATACTGCAACTAATACTCTTCAACTCACTGCTTTTCTACAGTATCCACAGACCTCTCCCCTATGCTGTTCTTAGGTTTCCCGCCCTCACCTGTGAATGATTCGCTACGCTCACTCCCTTCAAAACCTGGCTCAGTTCCCATTCATCAGTAAAGCCTGCCCAGATTAGCCCTGTCTGCCCTCTGTCCCTTATTATTGTGAATTGTACATCATTTTATAGCCCTCTGAACATCTGTGCTTGGTGGGATGTATTTTGATGGAAGTATATATCCTGGTAAAGTCATTTACCATGGGCCTGTTTTCCCCTCCTGTTTGCCTGACTCTCCAAGGCAGAGCTGTCTGAGCTGAATGCTTTTGTATCCTCTGTGGTACTGCATGTCCAGGGCATTCATTCATGTATTCATCATATATCATCATGGACACTGATTATTTACAGAACACTGGGCTTAGGATTTGTGGCCTCTAAGATCTGGTTCCTTAAGGAGCTTCCATTTTAATGGGCTGATAAGACATATTTGCAAATATATATGGTACAATGCATGCTGAAAGTACTATATGGGCCAAAGCCTTGGAAGATGGGTAGGATTTCCTTGGGCAAACAATGTTAGGCAGAAGGAGGGAAAGGTTTCCTTTCCATAAACAGGTTTTTGCCTTCCAGCCTTCAGAGATGAATTCGAGAGCCTCATGTTCCTGCCTTTTCTTTTGTCACTAAGCCTCACTCACAAGCAGCTGTCTTCTCTTCCAGATACCTTCTCATAGGCTCTTCTCATGAGCAGGGGAGGTATACCAGCTTCTTTGTGATCTTTTGTGTTGCATGCTGCTTGGATCTGTCATCAGGTTCATTTCTGGAGAAAGCAGGCATGTATATTTATTTGTGTGTGCACACAAATTAACTTGGTCCCAGGATTAAATGGGACCAAGTTTTGGCCTTACTCCAGTTTGAAAGAATTTTATTGTTGTTTAATCTCAGCACCCCAGTTTCCAGGGCTGCTGTATACAGATATGCAGGCTGTATACTTCACAAGCATATCTTGCAGCCATTATGGTTTCTGGCAGGCTCTTTTCTCACAAGTAACAAGGCGAGAGCTTGGGTGGACAAAGCACACCCCATCACCACTGAAGAGTGTGAACTGGTAGTGTCATTTTCATAGAAGGACTATACATCTTATACTTGGGGAAAAATTCAAGCAGTCATTGATGATTCTACAAGCTGGATAGATTGGTAAAGTTGGGAAGTATCCTAGTCAGAATTATTTTTGATCATTTTAACCCTCTGGTCTGCCAGGAATAGGGAAGGTTGCAGCAGCCGGCTGATCTAGGCTATGGAACATTGTCCAAACAGTTCTTGGTTGAATAATGTTTATTCATTCACTTGTGGCAGGAAAACTCAGGCTACAAATGTGAATATGAATGCTTGTTTTAATAGATGGTGTTATTGTGCTGCACAGTGTCCCTGACTTTTAGATATTTAACTCATAAAGTTTACAGCAACACTTAACCGCATCTGGATTTCACATTGAATTTGGGAAACCAAGAATCTCACTGAAATTTGCACTGACTTCCCTGTAATGGAAATTATGGCTTGGGAAAAGTTTCAAATGACATGTCTATAAACTAAGGAAAAGTTGATCCATTCAAAGGCTGGTTATGTGCAATTGTACAATTTTTTTTTTAAAGGGCCGTTGCCAACAAGCATTATTTGTTTCAGCAGCTGAAGTAAACTAGCCATGAATTAAAAGTTGGTCTTTGTAAATTGTTGATGCAACAAATTCAGTCTTCAAAGTGGGGTAAAAGTTGCAGCCGACAGAACTATGGGGCTTTTAAGAAAGTATAAAAAAGATTATCTATACAGAGTCCAGTGTTAGAACTGGATAGTAACAATGAAATGTCTTTAGAGGATAAGCAGCATTTTTAATAGTCCAAATGCTGGCCCAATAAGACTCAGGACGCAGGGCTTCTGGTCCTAGCCCTGCCAGTACCAGGTTTGTGTAAGTAAACATGTCACTTAACTTCCCAGGCCTTGATGTGTTTGTTACTTTGCTCATGTCTGCCTGCCTGCCTGCCTGCCTGCCTTCCTTCCTTCCTTCCTTCCTTCCTTCCTTCCTTCCTTCCTTCCTTCTTCCCCCCATTCCTCTCTTCCTCCCTTCCTTTTTTCTGTCCTGCCCTCCCCATTTGTTTGTTCTGGTTTCTCTCATTCACGTTTAAGACTTTTCCTCCAATGTCTAGAGACAATTTCTTGACTGTTCTTGGTTCATATTTAAAGCTAAGGCAGGCTGAGCTCATTGGCTCACAACTGTAATCCCAGCACTTTGGGAGGCCGAGGCAAGAGGATTGCTTGAGGCCAGGAGTTCAAGACCAGCCTAGGCAACATAGCAAGACCCCAACTCTAAAAAAAAAAAAAGTAGAAATATTGCTCAGCTATGGTGGTGCACACCTGCAGTCCTATCTGCTCAGGAGGATGAGGCAGGAGGATATCTTGAGCCCAGAGTTTGAGGCTGCAGTGAGCTATGGTCTGATTCCACCATTGCACTCCAGCTGAGCAATAGAGCAAGACTTTGACTCTTAAGAAAATATATCACAGCAATAAAAAGCTGCTAGGAGGCTCTGGATGGAAGCATGGATGGAGCTTGTTGACCATGCACTTAACTGTAGGGAGATTGTTTAATTAGGGAATCACCAGATGTTGGCATTGGCAGTCTTTTCTCCACACCCACTTAACTGAATCAGAGAAGAATCCTCCTGACTGGTTACCATTGTTATTGGGAGCAGTGGAGTTGGCATATTTCCATTTTAACTCCCCTATTTTCTCAGCCCTGCGCTCTCCCCTCTCCTCCCTCCACTATTGTTGGTGTCTTGCTTTAGTGTCCCTGGATAATCAACCTTTTAAACAACCCCCCTATTTTCAGGCCTGAACCTTCCCTCACTTGCCTTTTGCCATACCTGACACCTCTAAGTCTGGGGCCTATCAGGGTTTCTGCAGGGTCTTCAGATCCTGGCTGTGGGTCTCCCCCACTGCAGGTACTTGAGACTGTATCTACTCTAGGTCTTTGTCTACTCCTGTATGGGTTTTCCATTTTCCAAAACACTGGTTCAAATAACTTATTTCCTGATGCCTCTGCTGCCATTCTTCTATCCTTGGTTAGTTTTTTATTCATTCATTTCTATTTTAGTGGGGCTTTGGATGGTGAAGGAAACAAATACCCTTGATGAAGCTGCTACCTGTAAGCAAAAGCCTTCAATTTTCTCATTATAAAAATAATAGATCAGTGTATTCATTCAGCAATTACTTTGCATCTCTTACATGCAGGGCACTGAGCTGAGTGCCAGAGAAATGAAAGAAGTTGAGACAAGTTCTTCACCTCTGAAAAGTGTGCAAAGAAGAGAGGATATGCCTTGATAACACCCCTCCAGGGGCATAATTGCAGTGCTAGCACTAGGAACACAGTGGTGCAGAGTGAGGAAGAGGAGGATGCAGCAAACTCCACACGGAATGTTGTGGAAGGCTGTGCTGAACAAAGTCTACAACTCTGTGGCTTCACAAGTTCTATAGCTGGGGGAAGGCCAAGAACAGACAGCACCCATTAGTTGTTGCTGATTCCCAAGAAAAGTGTCGTATCCAGCCCAGATCTTCAAAATTACTCATCTGGCTGGGTGGGCATTTGCCTTCCCAGGGTCTTCCAACACTGCAAATCCCCTACTACCTTCCCACCCACATCCTCTCAGGCCTCCCACTGTTGCTGTACACAGTTAAAAAAGAACCTGGTGTTTGGAGGATATCGAATTTGAACAAGTTCTCAAACGGCGTGATATCACATCTTCCCCACACTGCTACCTCCCAGCCTGCGAATAGCACATTGCCCTTAGAGGCCTCCCTAGTTTTGTTGAGACATTGTGCGGCTGGTTTCTGACTTTCTTACATTATAAGTAATCCAGGTTATAAAATGTAGACCAGCTAAAGCATAGCCAAAGCCCAAGAGCTCGTTAATTAGCCTCACCTGACCAGGCAAATAACCCTGATAGAGTTTTCGTTTAGACTTGACAAGAGCACTGCAAAAGGCAATTCTTCAGAACCGTGGCAATCCTGATGCTTGATGGCCATTGGTTCCAGTGCTGGAGACAACAAAGAGGATCAACGTGGGCTTCACAGAGACAATAAGGTGGTCTGTGGTGTTTGCCTTTCCTTGGTCACGTTGCAGTTCCAGTTCCTACTGAGAAAGGTCTGAATGCTGTCCTTTCCTTATTTCTGCTATCTGCCTTGCTGTTTCCTTGCCACTTGAGAAGCAATGGGAGCTAGTGCTGTGACCCCCAGCCCTTCGCAATGTAATTGAGTCTGTAAAACCATAAGTTACTAGGACCACAGGAGCTACAGAAAGCTTTCAATTTGTACCTGTGTCTAGTGTTACATAGCCAAGTCCTTATAATAGAGCTGTGCATTCAGAATCTCATCCCCTGAAATAAAGATAGACACATTGCCATCTAATGTCAAGAATGCTATGTTTTAGAAACTTTGAAGTAAGCTAGTGTAGGTATTTATCACTTGGGTATTTTAAAATATATTTTAATATGTGAATTATTTTATCCTCCAGTCAACCTGAAATCTGTGAGTATGCAAGGGACTGTGCAAGGAGTAGTCTAGGGCGGAAAACAGTGTCATAATCTCTGTCGGTGCTGTGTTTGGCCCTACCCTGCCCTGCTAAAAAAAAGTTGAAGTTTTGAGTTTATCTTCCTGTCACTTCTTAGTGATATGAAAGTGGTCGAATGTTGTTATGTGGCTGTTGACAGCAATGTTATAGAAATGCTTACTCTCTTGCCAAATTGCAAGCTTAAGGAGCCTCATGTGGCTATGAAAAAACCAAGTGCTTTTATTCCATAGACCATTTGCTGAGGTGGATTGTATCTCTGGGCAATTGTAGCCAATGTTCTAGTTCCAGATTTTTATCGGCACCATAAATGTGTGCCATGGCCATCTCATTTCATATTATATTCCTTAGTGTAGCGATTTATCATGTTCAAAAAATATCTGAACAATGTGGCATGGTATAAGGAAATTCTTCCTGTTGGATTTAGTAATGTCTAATGAATAGTGTTACTCTTTCCAGTTTGTTCTGATTGTATCCTTTCTGCCCTCATATAATCCTCATGAGGAGTATGTCATTGTGCAGGATGTGGGGATCTGTCCTGCTCTGAAAATCATACTCTCTTGTCTCTCTCCTCCTATCCTGTGGAGAGTTTTTAGCATCAGACAGTTACATTTCTGTCAGGGAGGGAGAAATACTGAAGGCAGCTATTACACTTTTACTGAATGTGAAGTGCTCAACAGCATAATTAAATCCATAAAATGGTGAGTCATAATCCCCACACACCAGCCCGCCAGGAAGCAAGTGACAGAACCAACATTTATTTGTGACCAGCAGCTGATTTGACTCCTCCGGTAGCACTGGTGCAGGCCTCTCCTGATTTGTGGGCACCAAGTGCCTAATTTCATTTTAAGATTTCAGCACTTTAATGGATATTCTAAAGGTTGCCCAAGGAAACATTTGTTTGAAAAGGAGATTTGGGGACCTGGTGGATGTCTGTCCAGAAGTTCTGCTGTCTTGTTGGTTACCAGAGTACATTCTAGAAAAAGTAGAATCCTACCTGAGGTGCTTCCAAATGGTTTTTTGTGTGTGTGTGTTTTTTTTTGTTTTTTGTTTTTTTTTTTTTGTGATGGAGAGGGTGGTGTTTGGAAGCTTCCAGAAGTCTGTTTCCCACTTAACAATTTGAGGATATGTGAGCCTAAGTCTAGAATAGGTTATGAAAGATGATGAAGCAAATTAAGAAAACAAAACTTTAAAACCTTGCTTTGCAAATAAAGTGCTAAACATTCTTGATTTTTTGTAAATCAAGATTACAAGATGCAGTTTGTGTGATCAGCAGGAGCTGATGCCATTTATTTGAGCAACAAAATTGTAGACATTTGTATAAGATACTTCCTTCCCATTTCCCAAAGAGATTCTAGAGCTTGAAGAAGGAAAAGGATAATATAAATGTATCTTTGTACACATACACACGGGAAAAAATAAAAATCAAGGTAGTCTGGAGAGGTAATATTTAGAACATTTTAGAAATTATATAATTTGAGAAAAAAAGAAATCTTTAGAAGATGGTTTGTGGGAATATTGTTAGGTTGGGGAATGTCAGTTACAGGAATGAAGACAAGCAAATGATTATAAAAATGTTTATGGGCCTCTTTTCCCCTTTACACACAAATTTTAGACTCCTAACGGTGCCCTTTTCTTTCAAAATAATACACCTTATTAAATCATGCACCAGATATCTCTTTGAGTCTCAAAAGCAAAGCCCTTTGATCGTCAGTACCTAAACTTGAGGTGAAACCATTTTGTGAGCACTTGAGAAATTTTCTACATTGCCCTGTTCTTTCTTACCTTCCTCCTTTCTTTTCATTTTCATGATTTTTATCTCTAATTTCTTGTTTCTTACCTCGTTAAGCACCTAGAAAGACCCTGTAGGATTAGCATGTCAGTCACCATTTGCACAAATGGCCCACCCAGCATACCAATGTGCCATTTCTTTGGACAAAACACCTTTCCTTGTTGAACATTGTTCTACTGTCTCCTCCAGCAAGTATCTTTCTCTCAGAAGCATGGATATATGTTGGGATTACAGCAAATTTAAATGAGTGTGAGTAAGAGTTACGTTTGAAAACTGCGTTTCCCCGTGAAGAGTGGTTTTTTTGTTATTTAGAGAACCACTCCTTTTATCCCTAGGCCAGAGATCGAGGAATAGCCTCAGTTGCATGTGTACTGAGGAAGCGCAGAGCTACTGATCTGTTCTCATTTGCAGTGCCAAAACCTTCAGACCCGACTTGATGGAGCCATTCAGAGAATCTTTGTCTCTTGTTTCAGAATTTGGCTTTCAAGGACCTGCAGTGGCAAAGACCCAGGAGGCAGGATTTCTGAATAGTGTGTCCCTGAAATTCTTGGCATAGAAAAAACAATAAAGTGAACATGAGATTCTTAATTTTAACACCACGAATAAAACTGATACTACTGTCCAGTTTTAATCTGGGAGTTAAAAGCATTGTAAATTGATTTTTATGCTGTCATTGTTGCCACCCGTGTTCTCTGCCACTGTATCTGCTTCCCTCCCCCCATCACCTGTTAATGCACTTTGGAGTTAGTGGACATAGCTTACATCTACCATGTGCAGTAAACACTTCCTGTGCAAAGGTGCTGGAAACAACATCTGTCATTACATCAAAGAAGGGGTTACTGCCAAGTGCACCTGGAAGGTTTCTAATAATGAGATAGTTTGAAGTGAGTTTATAATGAAAAGAAATCTGTGTGAAATCTATGAACCTTTTTCTAAGAAAATTAAAATTGTGTGCTCATTTTCTTCCTTATATGTCCTTATTACATAAACATTGTTTATACATATATTTATACAGTCATTTCTCTATGTGAGAAGTTTGAGAATACATTTCTGGCTATGAAAAAAGTACCTTTTTGGTGCTGTGCTGGAGAAGCACCATTATAAAGCGTTGCTATGGTGTTGAATTCTGTCTCTTTGAGGGGAAAAGTCCTCTGGTGAATGTAGTGTTTGTTGACTCTGAACCAGTATGAGAATTTCTGATTGAGAGTCTAGAAAAGTTATAATAAACTCATTATACATTTTAAAAAGAGAAGAACTGCCCTTCAGAATATGAATCCAAATGCAGAAAAGTGTTCCGTGAACAAGAACAATACTCAGTAGGTTTTCAAATTGATGGAGCTTTCCAATGGAAACTAATTTGTTCCAGCATTGAAGTGAGCATAATTAACAGAGACTTTCTTTCTTAGGCCGATGAACCACCAAAAACCATGCCAACATTGTAACTGTAAGCAGTGAAAACCAATATTTATAAGGGGGATTGTGCAAGAGTTTGTGTGACAGATGGACATTTTATCACTGTTGATGTTTGGAATTCCCTTGAAAAGTAATGCAATATCTTGTTATTTATGAATGAATGAACAAATGATTGTGCTTCGCCGACTCAGTTTTCTTTAAAAAGTGGTGTACTAAATTAATCTTTTTCTCTGCTTAGCCTCTGTTACTTTGTGTTAGGTAGCCTCATATATTCTGATGCAAAATCTAAAAAAAATCGTAATTGTGTTTTTATTACAGATACAGATCCACGGGTTTTAGAAAAACAAGAATTACAGCAGCCAACCTATGTTGCCCTGAGTTACATAAATAGGTAAGCCATTTTCAGAATTTATTATAACAACCTTATATCTGCTGCTTATTGACTTTTTAAACACATCTTTTTTAACAGAGTGGAAAAATGTTTTCAGTCTTAAAATATTTGCATGAAACTATTTAAAAGCAACCTGTATATGGAATGCTCTTGTTTCTTTGTTAGGGAGAAGTTGAATTGTAATGCTCTGTGCATATGCTGCAAACATGACTGATTTATAAGCTCATTTTGGAAGTACTTTATATGCAGAGTTAGAATATGCTCTTTTGACTTCATAGGGCAGTTTGGGAGATTAATGGATTTATGTTCGAGTGAACCTTTTAAATCCTGAGGTGAAGAAGTACTTTATGAATTCAAAACATTGTTGTAATATCAGAATATAATAAATTGAAATAATTTAATATCAGAAAGTTATTTAGAAGCAGCTCATCTTTTAGTAAAAACATTCTCAACAACTGACCCCAGCTGTAGAGTAACTTGAGTTTTTACTTAAACTGAACATGTGAGCCCAACTTCAGAGCACCATTTCAAACTTGATATATCAGGTCTAAAAGAGGACTTAGTGTTTCAGCCAACTCAAATAATTAGGGAGACAGTAATATTTGGAGAGAAACTGAAATCAACTTAGGTTAAGAAAACACACAGTCCCAAAGCAAAAAAGACAAAGTAAAAGCAAAACTAGTTTTTAATGAGAATGAGAAACTCTCTGCTCATAATTCAGGGAATGAATTTCTATTGATAGGTCTTTTTATAGAAGGTGAGGAGTGTTTTTAGTCTCTTGGTACCAGAGTTGAGGTTCAGGGTCTGAAGTGGAAAGCTGGGAATGAATTACCTGTACTGTTTCATTTGAGTGCCTTTTTAGAAAACTTAATTGATTCTTGCCCAGATAGTGCTGTGAATTAGAGACACCTGTTGTTCAGTTTCAGGTTCTTCTATGAAACATGTTTTTAAAAGGATTTATTGACATAAACATCTATTTCCATACCTCCCTTGGATTTCTTGCTTATCAGCCTTCCCAAGAAGTGAGATGGAATATCTCCAATTTTTCATTACCAATAATATTTGACATGTGTTAAATAGAACGCCTTCAAAATTACATCAAATGAAAATAAAGACATACACTTTTCTGGGTTTCTTACAGAGCCAGTATTGTTTTCTGTAATTAGCAAGGGTTTTGAAATTTTTAATTATATATTGAAGTTATATGAATTAATATAACTAATAATATTGGCCTACTAATATTGGAGAATAGGATGAACAGGCATATAGATTAATTATGGTATTGAATAGGACTTCTAATAGTGTGGCTGTCACTTTGGGTAAAATATGTCACCTATGTATATACAAATCTGTGTAATACTAAGCCATATTCTAATAAGAATCTATGAAATTTTCACCTTCATTATTTGTATTTATATTGTCAGCCATGTTGGACAGCAGGTACCTACTAATTATATAGGAGTTCCTTTTTTTTTTTTATACTTTAAGTTCTAGGGTACATGTGCACAACGTGCAGGTTTGTTACATATGTATACATGTGCCATGTTGGTGTGCTGCACCCGTTAACTGGTCATTTACATTAGGTGTATCTCCTAATGCTATCCCTCTCACCTCCCCCCACCTCGCGACAGGCTCTGGTGTGTGATGTTCCCCACCCTGTGTCCAAGTGTTCTCATTGTTCAATTCCCACCTATGAGTGAGAACATGCGGTGTTTGGTTTTCTGTCCTTGCAATAGTTTGCTCAGAATGATGGTTTCCAGCTTCATCCATGTCTCTACAAAGGACATGAACTCATCCTTTTTTATGGCTGCATAGTATTCCATGGTGTATATGTGCCACATTTTCTTAATCCAGTCTATCACTGATGGACATTTGGGTTGGTTCCAAGTCTTTGCTATTGTGAATAGTGCCACAATAAACATACATGTGCATGTGTCTTTATAGCAGCATGATTTATAAACCTTTGGGTATATGCCCAGTAATAGGATGGCTGGGTCAAGTGGTATTTCTAGTTCTAGATCCCTGAGGAATCGCCACACTGTCTTCCACAATGGTTGAACTAGTTTACAGTCCCACCAACAGTGTAAAAGTGTTCCTATTTCTCCACATCCTCTCCAGCACCTGTTGTTTCCTGACTTTTTGATGATTGCCATTCTAACTGGTGTGAGATGGTACCTCATTGTGGTTTTGATTTGCATTTCTCTGATGGCCAGTGATGATGAGCATTTTTTCATGTGTCTGTTGGCTGCATAAATGTCTTCTTTTGAGAAGCGTCTGTTCATACACTTTGCCCACTTTTTGATAGGGTTGTTTGATTTTTTTCTTGTAAATTTGTTTAAGTTCTTTGTAGATTCTGGATATTAGCCCTTTGTCAGATGGGTAGATTGTAAAAATTTTCTCCCATTCTGTAGGTTGCCTGTTCACTCTGACGGTAGTTTCTTTTGCTGTGCAGAAGCTCTTTAGTTTAATTAGATCCCATTTTTGACTTTTGTTGCCATTGCTTTTGGTGTTTTAGTCATGAAGTCCTTGTCCATGCCTATGGCCTGAATGCTATTGCCTAGGTTTCTTTCTAGGGTTTTTATGGTTTTAGGTCTAACATTTAAGTCTTTAATCCATCTTGAATTAATTTTTGTATAAGGTATAAGGAAGGGATCCAATTTCAGCTTTCTACATATGGCTAGCCAGTTTTCCCAGCACCATTTATTAAATAGGGAATCCTTTCCCCATTTCTTGTATTTGTCAGGTTTGTCAAAGATCAGATGGTTGTAGATGTGTGGTATTATTTCTGAGGGCTCTGTTCTGTTCCTTTGGTCTACATCTCTGTTTTGGTACCAGTACCATGCTGTTTTGGTTACTGTAGCCTTGTAGTATAGTTTGAAGTCAGGAAGCATGATGCCTCCAGCTTTGTTGTTTTGGCTTAGGATTGACTTGGCAATGCAGGCTCTTTTTTGGTTCCATATGAACTTTTTTTTTTTTTTTTTTTTTTTTACAGAGATTCTTTTTAATTTAAAAAATTTACAACATAAAAGAATTATATTACAATCCCATCATACAACTACTGACATTTTTCTGTTGTTCTTTCCACACTTGAAACATGCGTGTTCCATGTATTTTTATAAAGTTGTAAAAATAGTATGTATGCAATTTTACATTCTACCAGAAATAAAACAGTATAATGAAAATAACAATAGATTCAAACAATGATATGCTATTTTTTTTACCTATGACATTGGCAAGGTCTTTTAAAAAATCACAATAACCGATGTTGGAGAGATCATGGGGAAATAGCCACTCAAATGTCACTCATGAGAGTGTACATATGTGTAACTTCACTTGGAGGGCAATTTGGTGATACATTTAAAAGTTTTGGCCAGGTTTGGTAGTGTACACCTGTATCCCCAGCTACACGGGGAGGCTAAAGCGGGAGGATGGTTTGAGCCCAGGAGTTTGAGGCTGCAGTGAGCTACGATGGCACCACTGCACTTCAGCCTGGGTAATGGGGGGAGACACTGTCTCAAAAAAAAAAAAAAAAATTTACAATTTAACCTAAGGGGGAAAATGTAGAGATGTGGGTACAGATTTGTATAAAGGCTGGTTGTCAAAGCCTTACTTATGCTAAAAAATAGACCTAACCTAAATATCCAACAGGGATTGTTTAAATGAATTATGATTCAACCATCCACAGAGATTAGAATCATGTTCTTTTTTTTTTTTTTCAGTATTTATTGATCATTCTTGGGTGTTTCTCATAGAGGGGGATTTGGCAGGGTCATAGGACAATAGTGGAGGGAAGGTCAGCAGATAAACATGTGAACAAGGGTCTCTGGTTTTCCTAGGCAGAGGACCCTGCAGCCTTCCACAGTGTTTGTGTCCCTGGGTACTTGAGATTAGGGAGTGGTGATGACTCTTAACGAGCATGCTGCCTTCAAGCCTCTGTTTAACAAAGCACATCTTGCACCACCCTTAATCCATTTAACCCTGAGTTGACACAGCACGTGTTTCAGAGAGCATGGGGTTGGGGGTAAGGTTATAGATTAACAGCATCCCAAGGCAGAAGAATTTTTCTTAGTACAGAACAAAATGGAGTCTCCTATGGCTACTTCTTTCTACACAGACACAGTAACAATCTGATCTCTCTTTCTTTTCCCATTTCCCCCTTTTCTATTCAACAAAACCGCCATCGTCATCATGGCCCGTTCTCAATGAGCTGTTGGGTACACCTCCCAGATGGGGTGGCAGCCGGGCAGAGGGGCTCCTCACTTCCCAGATGGGGCAGCCGGGCAGAGGCACCCCCCATCTCCCTCCCGGACGGGGCGGCTGGCCGGGCGGGGGCTGCCCCCCACCTCCCTCCCGGACAGGGCGGCTGGCCGGGCAGGGGCTGCCCCCGACCTCCCGTACTGGGTGGCTGGCCGGGTGGGGGCTGCCCCCAACCTCCTGGACGGGGCGGCTGCCAGGCGGAAATGCTCCTCACTTCCCAGACGGGGCGGCTGCCGGGTGGAGGGGCTCCTCACTTCTCAGACGGGGCGGCCGGGCAGAGACGCTCCTCACCTCCCAGATGGGGTGGCGGTCGGGCAGAGACACTCCTCAGATCCCAGACGGGGTCGCAGCCGGGCAGAGGCACTCCTCACATCCCAGACGGGGCGTCGGGGCAGAGGCGCTCCCCACATCTCAGACGATGGGCGGCCAGGCAGAGACGCTCCTCACCTCCTAGATGGGATGGCGGCCGGGAAGAGGCGCTCCTCACTTCCCAGACTGGGCGGCCAGGCAGAGGGGCTCCTCACATCCCAGACGATGGGTGGCCAGGCAGAGACGCTCCTCACTTCCCAGATGGGGTGGCGGCCGGGCAGAGGCTGCAATCTCAGCACTTTGGGAGGCCAAGGCAGGCGGCTGGGAGGTGGAGGTTGTAGCGAGCCGAGATCACGCCACTGCACTCCAGCCTGGGCAAGATTGAGCACTGAGTGATCGAGACTCCGTCTGCAATCCTGGCACCTCGGGAGGCCCAGGCGGGCAGATCACTCACAGTCAGGAGCTGGAGACCAGCCCGGCCAACACGGCGAAACCCCGTCTCCACCAAAAAATACAAAAACCAGTCAGGCATGGCAGCGCGCGCCTGCAATCCCAGGCACTGGGCAGGCTGAGGCAGGAGAATCAGGCAGGGAGGTTGCAGTGAGCCGAGATGGCAGCAGTACAGTCCAGCCTCAGCTCGGCATCAGAGGGAGACCGTGGAAAGTGGGAGACAGAGAGGGAGAGGGAGGGAGAGGGGGAGGGGGAGGGAGAGCCCATATGAACTTCAAAGTAGTTTTTTCCAATTCTGTGAAGAAAGTCATTGGTAGCTTGATGAGGATGGCATTGAATCTATAAATTACCTTGGGCAGTATGGCCATTTTCACAATATTGATTCTTCCTATCCATGAGCATGGAATGTTCTTCCATTTGTTTGTGTCCTCTTTTATTTCATTGAGCAGTGGTTTGTAGTTCTCCTTGAAGAGGTCCTTCACATCCCTTGTAAGTTGTATTCCTAGGTATTTTATTCTCTTTGAAGCAATTGTGAATGGGAGTTCACTCATGATTTGGCTCTCTGTCTGTCTGTTATTGGTGTATAGGAATGCTTGTGATTTTTGCACATTGATTTTGTATCCTGAGACTTCGCTGAAGTTGCTTATCAGCTTAAGGAGATTTTGGGCTGAGACGATGGGGTTTTCTAAATATACAATCATGTCATCTGCAAACAGGGACAATTTGACATCCTCTTTTCCTAATTGAATACCCTTTATTTCTTTCTCTTGCCTGATTGCCCTGGCCAGAGCTTCCAACACTATGTTGAATAGGAGTGGTGAGAGAGGACATCCCTGTCTTGTGCCAGTCTTAAAAGGGAATGCTTCCAGTTTTTGCCCATTCAGTATGATATTGGCTGTGGGTTTGTCATAAATAGCTCTTATTATTTTGAGATATGTCAGATATGTCCCATCAATACCTAGTTTATTGAGAGTTTTTAGCATAAAGGGCTGTTGAATTTTGTCAAAGGCCTTTTCTGCTTCTATTGAGATAATCATGTGGTTTTTGTCTTTGGTTCTGTTTATATGATGGATTACGTTTATTGATTTGAGTATGTTGAACCAGCCTTGCATCCCAGGGATGAAGCCAACTTGATGGTGGTGGATAAGCTTTTTGATGTGCTGCTGGATTTGGTTTGCCAGTATTTTATTGAGGATTTTTGCATCGATGTTCATCAGGGATATTGGTCTAAAATTCTCTTTTTTTGTTGTGTCTCTGCCAGGCTTTGATATCAGGATGATGCTGGCCTCATAAAATGAATTAGGGAGGATTCCCTCTTTTTCTATTGATTGGAATAGTTTCAGAAGGAATGGTACCAGCTCCTCTTTGTACCTCTGGTAGAGTTCAGCTGTGAATCTGTCTGGTCCTGGACTTTTTTTGGTTGGTAGACTATTAATTATTGCCTCAATTTCAGAACCTGTTATTGGTCTATTCACAGATTCAACTTCTTCCTGGTTTAGTCTTGGGAGGGTGTATATGTCCAGGAATTTATCCATTTCTTCTAGGTGTTCTAGTTTATTTGCATAGAGGTGTTTATAGTATTCTCTGATGGTAGTTTGTATTTCTGTGGGATTGGTGGTGATATTCCCTTTATCATTTTTTATTGCATCTATTTGATTCTTCTCTATTTTCTTCTTTATTAGTCTTGCTAGCAGTCTATCAATTTTGTTGATCTTTTCAAAAAACCAGCTCCTGGATTCATTGATTTTTTTGAAGGGTTTTTGTGTCTCTATCTTCTTCAGTTCTGCTCTGATCTTAGTTATTTCTTGTCTTCTGCTAGCTTTTGAATGTGTTTGCTCTTGCTTCTCTAGTTCTTTTAATTGTGATGTTAGGTGTCAATTTTGGATCTTTCCTGCTTTCTCTTGTGGGCATTTAGTGCTATAAATTTCCCCCTAAACACTGCTTTAAATGTATCCCAGAGATTCTGGTATGTTGTGTCTTTGTTCTCATTGGTTTCAAAGAACATCTTTATTTCTGCCTTCATTTTGTTGTGTACCCAGTAGTCATTTAGGAGCAGATTGTTCAGTTTCCATGTAGTTGAGTGGTTTTGAGTGAGTTTCTTAATCCTGAGTTCTAGTTTGATTGCACTGTGGTCTGAGAGACAGTTTGTTATAATTTCTGTTCTTTTACGTTTGCTGAGGAATGCTTTACTTCCAACTATGTGGTCAATTTTGGAATAAGTGCAATGTGATGCTGAGAAGAATGTATGTTCTGCTGATTTGGGGTGGAGAGTTCTGTAGATGTCTATTAGGTCCGCTTGGTGCAGAGCTGAGTTCAATTCCTGGATATCCTTGTTAACTTTCTGTATAGTTGATCTGTCTAATGGTGACAGTGGGGTGTTAAAGTCTCCCGTTATTATTGTGTGGGAGTCTAAGTCTCTTTGTAGGTCTCTAAGGACTTGCTTTATGAATCTGGTGATCCTGTATTGGGTGCCTATATATTTAGGATAGTTAGCTCTTCTTGTTGAATTGATCCCTTTACCATTATGTAATGGCCTTCTTTGTCTCTTTTGATCTTTGTTGGTTTAAAGTCTATTTTATCAGAGACTAGGATTGCAACCCCAGCTTTTCTTTTTTCTTTTCCATTTGCTTGGTAGATCTTCCTCCATCCCTTTATTTTGAGCCTATGTGTGTCTCTGCACATGAGATGGGTCTCCTGAATACAACACACTGATGGGTCTTGACTTTTAATCCAATTTACCAGTCTGTGTCTTTTAATTGGAGCATTTAGCCCATTTACATTTAAGGTTAATACTGTTATGTGTGAATTTGATCCTGTCGTTATGATGTTAGCTGGTTATTTTGCTTGTTAGTTGATGCAGTTTCTTCCTGGCCTTGATGGTCTTTACAATTTGGCATGTTTTTGCAGTGGCTGGTACTGGTTGTTCCTTTCCATGTTTAGTGCTTCCTTCAGGAGCTCTTGTAAGGAAGGCCTGGTGGTGACAAAATCTCTCAGCATTTGCTTGTCTGTAAAGGATTTTATTTCTCCTTCACTTATGAAGCTTACTTTGGCTGGCTATGAAATTCTGGGTTGAAAATCCTTTTCTTTAAGAATGTTAAATATTGGCCCCCACTCTCTTCTGGCTTGCAGAGTTTCTGCTGAGAGATCAGCTGTTAGTCTGATGGGCTTCCCGTTGTGGGTAACCCGACCTTTCTCTCTGGCTGCCCTTATTATTTTTTCCTTTATTTCAACTTTTGTGAATCTGACAATCATGTGTCTTGGAGTTGCTTTTCTCGAGGAGTATCTTTGTGGCGTTCTCTGTATTTCCTGAATTTGAATGTTGGCCTGCCTTGGTAGTTTGGGGAAGTTCTCCTGGATAATATCCTGCAGAGTATTTTCCAGTTTGGTTCTATTCTCCCCGTCATTTTCAGGTACACCAATCAGACGTAGATTTGGTCTTTTCACATAGTCCTGTATTTCTTGGAGGCTTTGGTTTGTTTCTTTTTACTCTTTTTTCTCTAAACTTCTCTTCTCACTTCATTTCATTCATTTGATCTTCAATCACTGATACCCTTTCTTCCAGTTGATCAAATCAGCTACTGAAGCTTGTGCATTCATCACGTAGTTCTCGTGCCATGGTTTTCAGCTCCATCAGGTCATTTAAGGCTTTCTCTACACTATTTATTCTAGTTAGCCATTAGTCTGATCTTTTTTCAAGGGTTTTAGCTTCTTTGCCATGGGTTCGAACATCCTCCTTTAGCTCGGAGAAGTTTGTTATTACCGGTCATCTGAAGCCTTCTTCTCTCAACTCGTCAAAGTCATTCTCCATCCAGCTTTGTTCCGTTGCTGCCAAGGAGCTGCATTCCTTTGAAGGAGAAGAGGAGCTCTGATTTTTAGAATTTTCAGCTTTTCTGCTCTGGTTTCTCCCCATCTTTGTGGTTTTATCTATCTTTGGTCTTTGACAATGGTGACGTACAGATGGGGTTTTGGTGTGGATGTCCTTTCTGTTTGTTAGTTTTCCTTCTAATAGTCAGGACCCTCAGCTGCAGGTCTGTTGGAGTTTGCTGGAGGTCCTCTCCAGACCCTGTTTGCCTGTGTATCACCAGCGGAGGCTGCAGAACAGCAAATATTGCAGGACGACAGATGTTGCTGCCTGATCCTTCCTCTGGAAGCTTCGTCTCAGAGGTGTATGAGGTGTCACTTGGCCCCTACTGGGAGGTGTCTCCCAGTTAGGATACTCGGGGGTCAGGGACCCATTTGAGGAGGGAGTCTGTCCATTCTCAGATTTCAAACTCCGTGCCGGGAGAACCACTACTCTCTTCAAAGCTGTCAGACAGGGACGTTTAAGTCTGCAGAAGTTTTTGCTGCCTTTTATTCAGCTATGCCCTGTCCCCAGAGTTGGAGTCTACAGAGGCAGGCGGACCTCCTTGAGCTGTGGTGGCCTCCACCGAGTTCGAGCTTCCTAGCCATTTTGTTTACCTACTCAAGCCTCAGCAGTGGCGGACGCCCCTCCCCCAGCCTCGCTGCCGCCTTGCTGTTCGATCTCAGATGGCTGTGCTAGCAGTGAGTGAGGCTCCATGGGCGTGGGACCCTCTGAGCCATGCGCGGGATATAATCTCCTGGTGTGCTGTGTTGCCAAGGCTGTTGGAAAAGTGCAGTATTAGGATGGGAGTGTCCCGATTTTCCAGGTACCATCTGTCATGGCTTCCCTTTGCTAGGAAAGGGAATTCCCCTACCTCTTGCACTTCCTGGGTGCGGTGATGCCCCGCCCTGCTCCATGGGCTGCACCCACTGTCTGGCAAGCCCCAGTAAGATGAACCCAGTACCTCAGTTGGAAATGCAGAAATCACCCATGTTCTGCATCGCTCACACTGGGAGCTGCAGACTGGAGCAGTTCCTATTCGGCCATCTTGGAACCTCCTCTATATAGGAGTTATACTCACTAAAGTAACAAATATTTTGCCAAGCATGGTTTGGGACTACAAAAGAAGTCAAAGAATAGGGATGGGGCCACATACAAAAACCACCAGAGAACTTGAATCAAGTGCAGTGGTTTGGCATAAACTGTCAGTAGGATGTGCTGGAATTCTAGAGTCAGGGCATGATCAGTGGGTGTGAAATTTCTTGGATAAGTCATCTCGGAGAAAGTGAGTAATTTTTAAAATAACATTTTATTATAGCCGTCTATAGGCATTATAGAAAATTAGAAAATATAGTCTGACAAAAATGTAAAAACAAATTAAAACATCACATTCCCACCACCCAGGTATCACTGCTACTAAAACTTTAACTCATATTTTTCAGATCATTTTATAAAAATACATATATAATTTTTTAATTGAGAGCTGTACATACTACTTCATAATCTACTCTTTAGTCATTCATCTCTACTTTTCCATTTCACTAAATTTAAATCTTATCTAATACCCAGATTTCTAATCTAATATTCAGATTTCTCCAGGTGGTCTAAACATGTTCTTTATAGCTGGTCAGTCTAGTCTAGCATCCCAATTCAGGGAATCACAGTCCCTTTTATTGACAATAACTTGTTGAAGAGATAGGCTTGTTGTCCCACAGAATGTTTCTACCTTCTGGATTTTCTCTTGGTTGTTTCCTCTAGATGTCATTTGATGGGTTCCTCTGTCTTCTGTATTTACTGTAAATTAGAAGTTAGATCTGGAGAAGATGGGTCTTGAACTGGGCACCTCATTATAATTACAAACCTGAGAAAATATGGAATTTGACAGATCAAATCCTAGCTGGGAGAGAAGTAGACATGTATAGTGGATCAGTAAGTTTACGAATGATTTTTAAGTGAAGAGAAAGATTGAGTGGAAGGTTGCCTAAGTTACTAATACCTCCACTCATACAGGATTTCTAGTGCCACTTTCAGAGGATAAAGTTACCACACAGTAGGAACTTTGGATATGTATTTGTAGGAACATAGTAAATGAAAGAGAGGGCCAAGCAACAGACAACTACTAGCCTGGCCATAGTGGAAAGATAACTAAAAGGAGTCTTGGGGACCTTTGGTAAGAGAAAGGAAGCATGCAGTATCAAAATTCAGATGAAGCCAGTATGCATTCAAGATGATAGTAATAAGGGTTAAGTCATGTGAAAGAAAATCGGCTTGACAACAGTAGGCTAAATATGACAGAAGATGGTGCTTTTAAAAAAAATGATGTTTATACAAATAAGAGATTTTTATTTCCCCTCAGGGGAAATAAACTCTAATTTTCCTGAGCAGTGAAGACCAGAAAAGAATGACGACTTTTCTGCTCAAATATCTGTTTAAACAACCTTGATAGACATTTGGGCATCTCAAAATTGAAATGAAACTTTCTTTGGCAATAACATTGACTAATCAATCAGCAGAGGGTTAGGTTCCTTAAAATGGAGCTAGCTTTTTGGATTATTAAAAAAAAGAAGAAAACACTTAAGTAAAAATTGTTGCCTTTATATACCTATTTAAAATTACTCTACACTCTTGAACATAATATGTTGAACATAATAGATATTTACAGGTAGGAAAAAAAACCTATGATTTTCTTAAAAGTGGGCTTTTTAATGACTTAATGGACATCAGCTAGATTTTGGATTTTGCGTCCAATCTGCTGCAATGCTATGTGTCGTACAGCCTCTGGAAAACCCCACAGTATACCTGTGAAAAAATGAGAATGAAAAAGGCAAATGATAGTACACAGTGGGGCATTGGGTTCAAACCTACACAGTTAGGCTCTAGGCTCTAGCCACTGTGTAGCTTGACCTGTTGGGATATCAGAGTTAAAACTTAAGTATTAGAGGATAGAAAAGTAAGAGGAGAATTTGAAAAAGTATCTAATATTGGAAAAATAGGGTAGGACACCTGGGCAGAGGGAACAGACATAAAAATAAGAATAATTGCCATGTCCTAGATAATTAGAGGTTAGCAACCCAATAAGATGAAACAGTAGGAGACTGAAGAAGCTGGAAACTCTATGAGAGAGGTAACCAGTAATTCCTATATGATAGATGGCTACCACTGAATTAGGTTGACTGTGCAAGGCAAACCCTAGCATAACAGGCCTCAGCTGTAATGGATAAGGACACCTTAGCATCTCCAATCGATAGGAAAGAAAGGGCATAGCACCCAGGAAATTATTCTCCATCGTGACTCACCAATGAGGCAGGGGATAGGGGAGAGGCAGGGGATTCGGGGAGCTGCAGGGCAAAGGCAGGTGAGTCTCCATAAAAAGGTTACTGAGAAGCATGGGACTGTCCCTGGGTGTTTCTTTCAGATTATTGTCAGAGTAGTTCAGATAGCTTAGTAATAACTTTTGGCTTCCCAGAAATGGATAACTGACATAACTTAAAGATATGATCCTAGGCACAGTGGCTCACACCTGTAATCTCAACTGTTTTGGAGGCTGAGATGAGAGGATTGCTTGAGCCCAGGAGTTCAAGGCTACAGTTAGCTATGATGGGGCCACTGCACTCCAGCCTGGGTGATAGAACAAGACTCTGTTTCTAAAAAAAAAAAAAAAAAAAAAAAAAAAAAAAAAAAAAAATGTAGTGTACCTGGCCACGCCTGTTAATTATACTGTATTTTCTGCAAAATATGCTTTTATTAAAATAACATAAATTGGAGTTTCCAAATTAACTTTACCTTAAAAATATATATATAGCATTTAGTATAAGATGTAAAGAATTGTCATGCCTAGGCACAAATTGGCACCTTTTTATACTCGATTCTTTTCATTTACTACTTAACAAAAATATACTATGTTCTTATAACTTAGTTACAGATCTACTCTCGTTCTCTTTGTAGGACTCCCTGTACTACTTGGTGCAGTAATGGTAGGCTCGACCTCTAAAAATTATTTTTATTTAACCTAGTATTTGCTGTTGACATTAGATAGCAAATTCTAAAATCTGTTTCATAGAACAGTAATTCCAAGGGATATTCACCAGTTTCACATGCACTCACTCTCACACTGTCCCTCTCTCTCTCCCCCTCTCCCCTGCCTTTCTCCCCCCAAAAAACACACACACATACACACCCCTACACCCTCACGCCCTCACACACTTACTCACAGTATAGGGTACTGTGGTCTTTATGTTTGGGAAATTTTGAGTTAAATAAAATGGTTTTCTTTACCATAAGATTTATCAGATCCTCTGCTATGCTGATATGCATTTTAAGTCTCCAAGAGGAGTAATATAATTCTCATATGTACCTGATTCCAGAGCACTTTTTCTTGAAGCATCTGATGGGAGTAGTGTTGTGTATATAGTTTGAGGTAATTGTAATATCACTAGAGTAATATCACTTCCACCTACTTCCTCAACTTCCCCGAGGAACCCTGAAGCCTTTTATTCAGAATGGCTTTTTGTTCTTTTTCTGATACAAAAGGCAGAATACTCTTTTTACTCATCATCGTCTGGGAAAAACAAGGACAAAATTTTGCCCTAATGGTCTAACTCAATCAAATTCTCCTCTTGTGCCTCTTTTAGTGGTGTTCCCAACTACTCATAACCTGCTCAGACACCAAGCTGTTTTTTGCTCAGAAACTATCACTGTTTTTCCCACATTTCCAATGTATTTCTCCTCTCTTTGAGAAGTAGAACAATGTAGTGGTTAAGAGTATAGGAGCAGGAGTCAGACTGTTTAGGTTCGAATCCTGTCTCTGCCCCCAGAACAGTGTCTGTCATATATAAGACTCTCAATAAGTATTTATTGAATGAATAAATGAATTTGTTTATGAAAGAATAAGAATGAATGATCTAAGAACTCTAGGGACACTTTGATGTGAAACAAGGAGCTGCTACTGCCTATTTGCATTGAGAGAGCTATGTGGAATGTTATTGCAACTTTTATTCAACATTCATATGGCATGCAGCATAAAAATATTTAAATAATTAAATTTCCATCATGATTTCTGTCACCATAAACAACTGGACAAATGTACAACATAATGGTTTTCAGGCTCTAGACAATAAGTAGTGCAAGACCATGATCCCTGAAAGAAAGGAAGCTTAGGAGGTGAGCCCCATGATCACCTACCTGGCCCTCGCTGTCTGAGGACAATGTCCTTACTGCAATGGAGTAAGCTAGAGTCCAGGCAGAACACAGCAGCTTCGCTGAACTGAGGAGGCAGAGGTCAGAATCGGCACAACTAAAGTTGCTGAAATCTGCCTGTGTGTGTATGTGTGTGGAGAGAAAGGGGGTGCAAGTGAAGATGAGGGATCTGTGAAGACTTTCCAAAAATCTATATCAGGATCCTCCATGAGTCCATGGCTGAGGGTGGGTTGCTCATGTTCGGGGTAAGACTTTGAGTCTTAATCAAAGAGTGGCTGCCACAAGGGTGAGACTAGAACAGAGAAACCATGTTGCACTCCAGCCCAGCCAGTATAGAAACAATTTGTGGACACCTAGTCATTCAACTGAGATACCAGAAAGACTTCAAATTAGAAATAAGGACTTTGCTCTAGGGTATGACTTGCTCTAAAAGCACCCCAATGATCCCTAAAACCAAACCCACATAAGATTGTCAGAGGAGACAGAATTTGGAGTTCTGACAAGTTAAAGGGTCTTGGGAAACGTTTTGGGCTTTTAAGAGATGTATTCTAATAAAGTATAAGTCTAGACCTATACAAGTTCAACATGATCAGCATGAAATTGAACTGCCTGCTAGGACAAAACTCAGTATTTTCATAGGAATGGATCAGATATCACAATGTCTAATATATAATGAAAAATTACTAAACATGAAAGAAGTAGGAAAATCTTCCCTTAGACAAAACAAAGCAGTCAATAGAGATCTTTCCTGAGATAGCCCAGATGTTGGATTTAAGAGACAATGACTTCAGAGTAGCCATTATAAACATGTTCAGGGATTTAAAGTAAAAATGTATGGAATAAGAGGTTGTTTTGAATGAAAATAAAATCAGTCTGGATGCTTTTTTTTCCTCCTTCTACCAGAATGTGAGCTGCTTAATGAAAGCTTTCTTCCTCTTTCCCACATTTCTTCCCACTCCAAAACCTCACCTAATCCTCCCAAACTCTCACTCTTGGTGTTTCAGTTGGACTCATTTTTGCCAGATTTTAGTCAGCCATAGCCTCATAAAAAATGCTATAATTAGCTGAGTGTGTACTGGCCTTCTATTTTTTTAATACAAACAAGCCTGAAGCATTTGATGTTTTTTAAATCTAAAAGCGATGACTTTTTTTTTTTCATGAAACCACCTGTTTATGGTCTTCTGAGAGCAGTCATATTTATTACAGTACAAGGCATGCCTTCCTATTTTCCTCCCTTGTCTACTAGAACTAAGGTTCTGCTGTGTGCCCCAGCTCCAGACTGAAGTTTGTGGCCTGATACATGCCATAATAAACATGTTGCATGCTCTTAGGTCTCAATCACCAGGCATCGTGCTACCGTTTTCTTAGCCTATATTTTTATGGACATCAGTTGAAACAAAGCTGAGATGGCTGCCTGCCAGATTTTCCTTGTAATATCTGTAATTTGATTTGGTGTGCTCATTGTGTTCCAGAAAGACCATATATTCTTTTTTTTTTTTTTTTTTTTTTTTGAGACGGAGTCTGGCTCTGTTGCCCAGGCTGGAGTGCAGTGGCGCTTCTCGGCTCACTGCAAGCTCCGCCTCCCGGGTTCGCGCCATTCTCCTGCCTCAGCCTCCCGAGTAGCTGGGACTACAGGCGCACACAACCATGCCCGGCTAATTTTTTTTGTATTTTTAGTAGAGACGGGGTTTCACCATGGTAGCCAGGATGGTCTCGATCTCTTGACCTCGTGATCCGCCCGCCTTGGCCTCCCAAAGTGCTGGGATTACAGGCGTGAGCCATCGCGACTAGCCCAGAAAGACCATATATTCTTGAGGGACACTGGGAAGCTGGAAGGACAACCCTTATGTGACATTTTGGCTTGCTCCAACAGAATTAGTTTGCATTGCTCACACAAAACACTTGGTAGGAGAGGTGAGTCTTGTCACAGTTGGGTGATGTGATTCATTTGTTAGGAACTGTGCCTCCAGTAGTCTACAGTTCATTCTTAGGACACTCTATGTTTTAAACAGGTTGCTTATACAATTGAAATCACATCAGACCATTTTTAAAAATCTTTATGTCCACTCATCAGTATTTATGACTGATCTTTTTATGCATCTTTGAGCCCAATTCAAAGCTGCTTTATAATTTTTCAAAATTTTTAAACTTATCACAGGTCAGTAGAAATTCAGTGATAAAGAAACACCCTAGACATAGACTTGGATTTCCTATTTCTTTTTTATGTAGAAAGCCTTTTCCTGGACTTTGTCATAAGCAAGAGCTGCTGTACTTTCATTATCTCAAACTGTGAAGTTGACCTATTGACCAGAGGCTCCACTGTTTCCCCTGCTGTGTCCTCTCCTGGGTGTCACATTTGCCTTGAGACCTCTAGGGTCTCAGCCCGTCCTTCCTTGACATGTGATATAGCTTAGATGTCTACTCCAAATCTCATGTTGAGATGTAATCCCCAGTGTTGGAGGTGGAGCCTGGTGGGAGGTGATTGGATCATAGGGGT
Source organism: Homo sapiens (assembly GCF_000001405.40). Classification (NCBI taxonomy): domain Eukaryota; kingdom Metazoa; phylum Chordata; class Mammalia; order Primates; family Hominidae; genus Homo; species Homo sapiens. The sequence goes on along the minus strand of NC_000007.14, from coordinate 27,975,358 downwards.
GGATTTCTCATGACTGATTTAGCACTATCCCCTTGGTGCTGTCCTTGAGATCATGAGTTCTCACAGGATCTGGTTGTTTAAAAGCATGTGGTACCTCCCCCTCCTCTTGCTCCTGCCCTTAACATGTGACACACCTGCTCCCACTTTGCCTCGACCCTTGAATAAAAGCTCCCTGGCCCGACGCGGTGACTCACGCCTGTAATCCCAGCACTTTGGGAGGCCGAGGCAGGTGAATCATGAGGTTAGAAGATCGAAACCATCCTGGCTAACATGGTGAAACCCCATCTCTACTAAAAATACCATAAACTTAGCCAGGCATGGTGGCACATGCCTGTAGTCCCAGCTACTCAGGAGGCTGAGGCAGGAGAATGGCTTGAACCTGGGAGGCAGAGGTTGCAGAGAGCCCAGATCGTGCCACTGCACTCCAGCCTGGTGACAGAGGCGAGACTCCATCTCAAAAAAAAAAAAAAACTCCCTAAGGCCTCCCCAGAAGCCAAGCAGATATTGGCACCATACTTACACAGCCTGCAGAACTGTGAGCCAGTTAAACCTCTTTTCTTTTCTTTATAAATTACCCAGTCTCAGGTATTCCTTCATAGCTTCAGAAGAACAGCCAAACACAACTTGCCTTCACTCAATTGCTAAATTCAACTTTGACTTGTCCCCATGACCTTGCCCACTCATCATCTCCAGTCCTCAGCCTCAGATGAACCTAATATGTGCCTCTCTACTTAGTGGACGTGGAGAATTCCTACATAAAAGTATATAGCAGGATGATTCATCCCACTTCAAATGCAATCTTTCCAACCTCGGCTGGACCCTCAAGACTGACCTGTAACATTCTCAGGTCAAAACCTTGCTAAACTTACTGCAGTTCAGTTTGAAGTGTTTCGCACTGTACTCAAGTTCCTTAAGGAAGTCCCCATCCCCTCGTCAGCAGATGCTCTCAGTGCTGAAATTCTTTCTTCCTTTGTGCCCATTAGTTTGTTCTGTCCTGGTTCTTCTTCTACTTCTTTGCCATAAAAGCGGTGGCCTCTCCCTAAGTTTCGTCCCTAGCATTTTGCTTTTCTATCTGTATTTGTTCCGTGCCTTGACCTTGGCTGTTAACCGATGTGGAGAGGACCCTAGTCCCATGCTTCCTTCAGCCCCCATTTTTAACCACCCCACTATCTGTGGGTTTGGGAATGTTCAGTACAGGCTCAGCTCATCTAGTGCCAGGCCCGTTATTTTATATCCTTCTCCAGAGTGCCTCCTCTTTTTTTGATTCATACTATGTTTAATGGCACCTACCCATTCATTAGTCTAGGAAGCTTGGAATTATATTCCAACCATCTCATCTCCTCACCCCTGTTTCCAAATAATCAGGCACCAAATGTATTACCTTTGCATCCTCATCGCCTCTTGAATGCTTCCCCTGCTCTTGTCCTTACTTGAAGCTCTAACTTCCTGTTTGGGATTGTCCCAAGAGTTCACCGATCTCCCTGCCTGCCTCCATTCTCTCCACTGAAACCCTGTCCACCAGCTGCCATCACTAGAGCTGTAGAAAGCATCAGTCTGTTAGTGCCATGAATGAAAACCTTCCATTGTTTTGCCCTTGGCTTGCAGCGTACTCCTTCTTCTCTCCACTTCTTTCTGGCTGTGATAATCCTGTTCTTCAAGATGGACATTTAACACTATCTATTTTACAAAGATTTCCCAATCACTGAGAATAAATTGTTTAAATATTTGATTAAGTTCCTTTTTCAAAATCATACACCCCCTACCGGGCATGGTGGCTCACACCTGTAATCCCAGCACTTTGGGAAGCCAAGGCAGGAGGATCACTTGAGCGCGGGAGTTTGAGGCAAGCCTTGGCAACAAAGCAAGACCCCATCTCTTCAAAAAAATTTTTAAATTAGCTGGGCATGGAGGCATGAGCCTGTAGTCCCAGCTGCTCAAGAGGCTGAGGGAGGAGGATCACCAGAGCCCAGAAGGTCAAGATTGCAATGAGCTATAATTGCACTCTAGCCTGGGTAAAAGAGTGAGACCCTGTCTCAGAAAATAATAAAAATAAATATATATACACACACACACACTCCAGCCTGGGTGACAAAGTGAGACCTCCATCTCCTAAAAAGTTAAAATTTAAAAAATCATAACATTAACACATTTGGCTATGACTATTGAATAATAGAAATTTTAAAATTGTGTACAAATATATTTAAGATTAATAGCTTCTCTCCTCTCTCCCTAACACCCCACCCTGCCCCACCCCAAGTTAACAAATGTTAACGTTGTGGCGGGTATTCTCCCTGTATGGAGATATGCATATATATAGCTCTAATTGGTTGTAACATTTTTTAAATAAAATTGAGAGCGAGCCTAAAATAAACATCATATATTACATGTGTATGTGTGTGTGTGTGTATATATACACACACATATACATATATATGCATAAAATATATCTATATATTGCATACATATATGTATATAGATATATACGTATATGTATATGTGTGTGTATATATATATATATCATTCCCCCCACACACTTATCTTTTGTTTTTCGTGTAACATCCTTCCAGGTCAATAGAGATAGATCTAAGTCGTTCTTTTTAACAGCAACGCAAAATACTATGATACGGATATATAATGATTTATTTCACTATTAAGTGGTGGATATCCCAGTTGTTTCCAGGCTTGCTTGCATGTGTTTGTTTTTCACCACTAACGATAATCCTGCAATGTGGATTAATCCTTATTCTACAGACCTATATTTCTTTGCTTGTGTTTTTATCTTAGCAGGAGCTAAGTCATATCACCTCCTTCATCTGCCAAAGGCTTCCTGTCACACTTGAAGTAAAAGTGAAACTTCTTATCATGGCCAACATGGCTTCTGCGACCAGGCATCCCCTCACTTCTCCAGCCTCACCTCTTACCCCCATCCTCCTTCCCCTAAAAGAGTTGGGGTTCCTGCCCCTTGAGCACACCCAGCTCAGGCCTGCTCCAAGTCTCTTGTCCTTGTTGGCCCTCTACTGGGATGCTCTCCCTCCAATCAGAGCTTTACACAGTTCATGTCCTCCCCTTCTTTTAGTCTCTGGTCAGATGTCACTTGCGCAGCAGGGCTTCCCTCCTTTAAACAGTATCCTGTTCATCCCTCTCTGTGCCCTTACTCTTCTCTTCTGTTCTTCATAGTGCTTATCACTGCTTGAAATCACAGTTTATGTAATTATCTTGTTGAGTACCTGTCTTCCCCTAAGGAATCTGGGCTCCATGGGGGCAGAGATTTTGTCCATCTTGGTCGTTACTACATCCTCAGCTTCTAGAACACTGTTACACAGTAGGTTGTACACTGTTACACAGTAGGTAGTACACTGTTACACAGTAGTAGCTCAATAAATATATATGGGATAAATGCATGAGTAACAAGTTTACAGTTTTACATGTGTGTATATTGCATTGCCCTCCCATCATGTCTTACCAATCTTTCTATTTCCTATCTTTTCACACCTGATTGTATAGCAAGTACTTTGCACATGGTATGAAATTAAATCATAAAGTGGCGAATTAAACACAAGAGATGACCTTGGAGATTTCCCTTCCACCCCCACCATACACATTTACAAAATGACTCAAGGTGCTACACCTCTCTTATTTCATTTGGAAATTCAGATTGCCGGCAGTAATCTACTTGATTTATCGTTTTCCCCTTATGTGCGGCACCTCGGAGTTAATTAAGAAGGCCATGAATCTTCCCTCTATAGCTCTAGTGCATTCCCATTTGTAGAGTACTCTCATATTGCTGAGACTGTTGATTTGGGACTCGAGTTGAAACATTACTTAATTTTCTCACATTGAGGTTCATTATGCTGAGCCTAAAGACTAGTCCTGCCTTTGAAGGCTCTCTCACTGGCAAGCTTTAAAATAGCTCTGTGTTCCCAGTTTCTAAATTACTTGTTCTCATTTCCTCCCTTGTGGCCAAGACCTTGCCCGTTGGCTCAAAGCAGTGCAGCTAAGTCAGCGGCATATCCCCTGTAAGGCGCCCCCATCCTCAGCCAGCGTGGACTCATCCCCAGAGCTCTCCCGTCTGGCCTGTGCAGAGGTTGTCTCCAGCAATAGCACTTTGAACTTAGAAGGAAAGGACATCCACATAACCATATCATCACAAACGACACCCAAAGCCGTCCAGCAAATGAAGACAGTCAAGTCTTCATTGACTTAAATCCTTGAAATACCAAAAATAAACTGTATTGAAATTAGGAAGAATGAAAGGCATAACATAGAAATTAATTCCCTTCTCTCATTGTTTTCAACGCATACTGGCTTCTTTTGAATGCCTACTATGTGTGGGGCACTAGGCGGTGTGCTTCTCTGTCATCTGGAATCTTCACGGTGACCATGCATCATAGCTCTTAGCTCTCTTTAACACCTAAAGAAATGGATGCCCAAGGGAGGTTGTGGGAGCCCTTTGGCGAACTTGTGAAGCCTGTGGACTGCTTCCCAAAATAGTGTTTTGGAATTAACTAAAACTAGTTAAAGTAAACTAAGATTCATAAACTAAAATATGTAAGATTCCAAAGAAAACCAGTTACATTAAAATGCTGTTGTCAAAATAGTAAAATTACAAACTTGTGATACACTAATGTGTGCTTCTTTAATAAAGCCTTAAATAAGGAAGCTTAGGCACTGGGTTAGTAGCTTCCATAATTTCAATTAGTAATGAGTACAAATAATATTTTGAGATATCTGCTACAATCGTACTGTGATATCAAAATATCTGACTTCTACAGGTACAAAGTCATGCGTAGATACTGTAAAAATACTGTGACTCATTCCATATACTCATAATTGAAAGAAATGCTACATTTCGGTTACAGGCTACTTGAAAGTAATGATGTAAGTTTTTTGGGGTTTTTTTGTTTTGTTTTGTTTTGTTTTGTTTGTCCAGGTTCACAGATCTCTTAAATTCTCCCCATGACCCCTTTGGGTCCACAGACCTCAGGTTAAGAATGCCCGAGTAAGGTGTCATCACAGTTCTAAGTAGTCAAGCTTTTAGAAGTGGGTTCTTACCGAAATTTATGTGATTCCAAAGTTTTGTTTTTTCTTGGATATCATAGAACCTCTCCATACTAATACCTTGCTTTCTGTAAGATCTTTTATATATTGTACACTTCATCACACTGCCCTGTGTGGTAAGTCATAGCAGAAGCAGTAATGAAAACCAAAATGTATATAACCCTCTCTATTTTACAAAGAACTTGCACAGATACTTCCAGGTGTCTAGTTTATTACAAAGTCATTTGCTCATGTGAGCCATGATTCTACTTTAAAAGATTGCTCTTACCACTATTTTTTATAAGGATCAGAGAAATTCAGTGACTTGCCCAAGTTTACACAGCTAATAAATGGCAGACAAGGTTTGAACTACGAGATCTTTCTATTGTACATCCCTGTTTTTATCATTATTCTGGATTGCTCAGATACAAAGGTAAAAAGATGCTAGATGATTTCTCGCCATACTGCACGGAATCAAGGCATGGCCAAGGCAAGGCCTGTGTCTCCTAATCTCCAACTCCATTGTCTTGCCTCATACACATTGCCTCTAAAAACCTGCAGCTCAGAATTTACACAGAGTTCTTTAACCAGACATACAGACTGTGTGGAATTACCAGACTTGAATAATTGAAGTGCTAGCTTGTATTTTATGTCATTGTCTCCAGTTGCAGATAAATCCCCTTGCTTGTTGTTTGGTTTTTTCACTCCACCCTAAGCAGGTGGTAATTTAGTCTCTGGTCATTGCACTCGTGTCAGTCTTGTCCCAGGAGCTTTTTTCCCTGGCTTGATGTGAGTTAGTGCATTTTCCTTGACAGTCAATTCACTCTGCACCGTTGCTAAGGCCATAAACGTGATGTTCAACAAGCAGAAGGATTCGCAGAGAAGCCCTCCAAGCAGCTTCCACCTTCCGTGACCACCGAAATTTCCCTGCAGATTTAGGTGACAACATGGCCCTGTGTAATTTACAGTTGGTAGGGCCGGCATACAATCAGTCCTTGCCAACGTCCTCTCTCCCCTAATGAGATATTCAGCATGCCAAGACCAGAAATGGGATCTGGCTTTTGGAATTATCCCTGCCTTCTTGGTGATGTCTGCGTGCATCTCTTCTTGATGATGCCAGACTTGGCTGACTCACTCTTTCATTTCAAATTGAGAGAGCTTAGCAATAGTCAATAGTTGTGTCTCTCAGAAATCACAGTATCACCTTGGCAAATTGTGAGTTGTCCAAGTTTGCCTATTGACCAGACTAAGGTTAGCAGAAAAGGATAAATGGCATCACATCCTGATACCCGGAGAAAGAGTGCTATGTTACTCTTAGACATTGGGGGCCATCTTGGTACTGTATACTACTAGGAAAAATACTATCTATTATTCGTACAAACTTGATTGATTTTTTTTCATTTTTATTATTGGGGTAAATTCATTTGGAGCAAATTAGCTGGGAAGTTGCTTAGACTTGTCTTCCTTGTGCCCATACAAACATCCCTACTTTCTTTTATTGCCCATTTTATCATTATGTTCAACACCAACCAGATTCAGTGATGTACAGTTCTCCTGGGCCAAATAAGTATGATGAAAAGCTGGTTTCTATATTGCATTAATCTTTGCTAGACAGCGGGAATATTTTTGAAAACTCAAAGCCAGAATGCTTTTAATAATAAAGGCACATTATGCTCTTAACTTATTTACTGTTTTTGAAAATAGCACTTTCTGGTGTTTGGCATAAATTTGTCTCAAGGGCTAAGACATCAAGGTCTTATTTTCTACAGTTTTAAAGAGGCATGTGCATATTTGTATATAATAGCAAAGTCAAAGTTATTAATTTAAATTGGAAAACTGTGGTAAGCCCTGCAATTTCTGATTTCCTAGGCACAAACACCCTTGTAGCCACTGAAAGATGCTGAATGCAAAAAGACCAGGCTCAGGCTCTGGAATTCTACCTTATATAAGCATTTTTTTTCCATCTTCAAGACAAGTACTTCACCAGTTGCTACCACCTCTCCCATCTGTTAATAAGTTTATTATGTGACTGTGAGTTATGGGACTAATTATATTATGTATAGAATAATACTTGTTATGGCAAAGCAAATTAATCTGGAATTTCAGGTGGTCTTCGTTTAACTTTCATTTAATTGTGTCTGATTTCTTTTGCTCAGCATGTTTTTGAGTTTCTTCCATATTACTGCATGTGTTAGTACATGTTTTGTTGTTTGTTATATACCATACAACTATATGAATTACCACAATTATTTATTCTCTGTTGAAAGTCTTTGACTACTATAAAGAGAGAGATTATGAATATTCTTTTCCCAGTCTTTTTGTGCACGTAGCACTCATTTCTAATATATTATTATAAGTGGAATCACTGGCTTGTGGTATAGATGTGTGTTTAGCTAGTAGAAACAGCCAACCAGTTAAACTGTTTAAAAATAAAATGGTGGGACCACAATACTGCCCTGTTGGCAAGGTTTGAGACTTCCTGTTGTTTTGCATGCTTACCAACAATTTGTATTGTCAGTAATTTCAGTTTTAGTCATTCTTGTAGTTGTATAGTGGTATATAGAGCAATTTATTTTTGATCCATCTTATCTCTTTTTCTATTTAAAAATAATAGGAACAAAAATGGAAAGAAATAGCACCAGGAATTTATCAACAAATAAGATGCTTTTGTATTTCCCTTCAAGTGTTTATCCACACATATGTGTAAAATTGCATTAGAGGAACTTCTTTAAATTTTGCTTTTTCATTTAACCTATGTTTTTGTAGATTGTTATTTAGTAATATATAGTTTTTAATGACCCTGATTGATCTGAGTACACAAATATGGCTGGCAAGAAGACATTACTTCATCTTTTTACAACTAAAAGTATTAGTCTCTCGGGTCCCTCCCTTTATCACTATGAGAGGGATCGGACAGTCAGAAAGCTGTAAGATGTCCCTATGTTCTGTTTTCTCTTCCTATGTGCAAGCAGAGGACCCCACAGATCCCTTAGCTATTCCTGTTCATGTCTCAGGGGTAGGGGTATGGCCAGAGCATGGTACGGGGGTCCTGCAGCATCTACTCCAAAGCTCTGTCAGGTGCATCATGGGTCTGCCAGTGGCTTTGACCCGCTGCCCAAAACCATCTTGAGGAGGGTGCAGCTAGTTGAATTTCTTTCCCCCACCTCAAATGAGGACAGCTTTATTTTTAAAAAATAAAACCGATGTGTCTGGGATACATATGTGTATAATAAAAGCATAAAAATGTGCTTTATGAAGAGGAGACTGTAATAAGAAATGGTAGTTGGGCCTTTTCAGATCTCTTGGTTTATCACTGGCATAGACCCTGACTAGTCAGTTCCTTAGACCTGTGCAGTCTGCACCATCTTGCCAAGCAACCTGGATGCCCCCATCAGTTTCTTTTCGTGTCTAAAGTTGAAGCAGCTGGAAAGTTAAACCACTACCTCATCTTTGTTGCTTATACTGCTTCATTGCAAGTTACCAGGTCAGAATCTCACACCTTTAAAGGAATTAAGAAATAAGTAGAAGGAACTTTCTGGACAAAAAAAATTACCCCTTGAGAGTTCCCTAAGAATTTTGTTTATTCAAAGGCTTTAACTAATATAAAAGCATGAAAAAGAAAACCTGCCTTTTCCACCAGAGAAATTTGGCCACCAGTAACGATTGCTGCAAACTTACCCTGCTTCTGCTTCTCCCATGCATTTATGGAGACTCAGATAAAGGGGAACTGCAGTTTATGGACCTCATCTCCTTTACAGGCTTGGCCACATACACCATCAGTGCCCTTCCCTTCCTGGACTACCCCTGTGAACTTGACTGTGTCCAGGGTCAGCCTTGAATTGTGTTTTTCTCACTTGTGATAGGAGTAGAATTTTGCATCTCACTCTCTACCTCCATCCGTTGCCAAACCACCCCAATTCCCTCATCACCGCTTCAATCTGCACAAACCAAGGTTTCATTTCTCTATTTGTAATAAAAATGCTATAAATCATGTAAGGCTGGTGTAAGAAAGAGTGGGTAGGGATTAAAGAAAAGCAGCACCCTCTTCCCAAGTAAAACTCAAACCCAGCATCTGTGCAAGGCACCTCCTCAGAAGAACCTGGGGTTGTGTTAGCAGGAGAGTCTTGCCCTCATTGTAGAGTTGTGGAATGTATTGTGTAGTGTTAATGTGTTGGGTGCTTTTTTTAAAATGAATCTTCTGCAGCTAAAAAGGGATGCCAGCATGCTGCTCATAAAGCATTAGCTTTTTCTAATTACATTACCATATTCTGCAATAGCAGGGGAAGGAGAATTCAGATTCTTCCAGTAGCTTTCAGCTTGAACATTCATGACAAAATACAGAAACACATGTATCCAAGTGACATGTCACTTGACAGTCATCTTGGTTTTGTATATGCAGTGGTTGCATTGCTCATGTGTTTTTATTCATGTAGTCGTATCTCTATACCCTGCAGCCTGACTTGTCCTAGAGATGGAACAAGACAAACTTCAGAAGTTAAATTGAAACAAGATGTGCAGGAATGAATTTCTTTTAGGGATAAGGGAGGAATGCCTTCTGGTCAGGAAGGATTTATGATTTTTGGCTTTGTTTTTCTCTTTCATTTTTCATTAATCTTTAGACTACCGAAATCTAATATGCTGAAGATTTATAAAATACAAGGATCTTTCATTTATTGTCACAAGTAAAGATCAAGAAAGGTTAATCAGCATTTTACTGAATATGCTCAAATGTATTCCAAAAAGATGTCTCATATAGAAATATAACATTTTCTTAAAACAGGGAAACATTTGCCAGTCTTCTTCATGCAGTCAAATTTAAGGATGTTGTGATCCACAGCCTTGATTCATCTCAAGCAGTAATTTTGGGATGTCAGAAGACTTAAGTGAAAGACATTTATGTGTGTTAATATTAGCTATAAGGAAAACATATGTATCTATGCTTTGTGAGACAACTTGACTATAAAAATAAACATGTTCAGATCTTCTTTTAATACCTGTCACCAGTTTTACTTTCTTAGACTTTGAATATAGAATGGATGCATTTTGATTAGATGCCTGATTTTTTGTTTGCTTATTTGTGTTATAAATATCGGGGAATAAAGTATGTTGGGTGTACAATGACTGGAAAAAGTAAGAGCAACATTTTGGTGCTGTCAAGAGTTAAGATCTTTGCTTAGATTTTATGCTGAAGAACAGTATGTACATATTTTAACCTTTGTGTCTGATATATACTGAAATATGCAGTGTCAGTATCTATAAATGAAACCCTGTAGCTGTCGCAGCTGTCTTGACTTCTGAAAAACCTACAGCTCATTTCTAGTCATTCTCATGCTGATAATGTTAGAAAAAAGAAACACATGCGAACATACACTCTTCTCTGTCACAGATACCGCAATAAATTCCAGATCACAAGATATACTGGGAAAGGCATCTCTCTTGCTCTCTTTCTTTTTAAAATGACTTTTATTGAGATTAGTTTGACCATTTTAGCCAATATTTTAAGGACTAACAGATTCATGAGTTACCATTGTTGGCATCTGAGGTGACCCAACTAGCCTTTGGTAAGATTCATGACTACCAAAATATGTTGGTTCTTTTTTCCTTTGATTTCCTTGGTCATCTTCTGCTTGACTTCTTTTTAAAAACGTAATATACTGTGTCAGCCATTTTAAAAAAAAAAACTTTTTCTGATTATTAGGGAAATAGTAAAAAGTAAGCTTTGAAAATGGTTTTGGTGGTAGGGGTGGATCATTTATATTGTACCCATTCTTGTACAATATTTTAGGTTCAGTGGTTCAATTTTTTGAGTCCCATTCTAATTTTATAAGCATCTGTGGCAAGATTCTAATTGGGTCATACATTTAACTATTGTATCATGAGCATTCTCCATGTTGCTGCATCTTCAAAATTACTGTTTTAGTGGCCACATAATATTCCATAAGATAGAGTTCACCGAAACATGCCCTTCATTTCGTCATGATGGCTGCTTACAAGCTTTCATTATTATAAATTACACTGAAGCAAACATTTTTCATTGTTCCAAAAAAGATCCACCTAATGGATCTTTTTCCCTTTAGATCATTTTCATAGAACCTTTTCTCAGAAGTGGTTGGACTGGGGAAAAAGGATACAGATGTTACAATGCTATTTACCAGTGAGTTTCCAATTTTTGTAACAATTTTTGTGTGTTTTGGATGATAATATTCATTAAACATTTCCAAGGGAAAACTTAGTCTTTTTACTAAATCCCAAAACATGTTGGAGGAAGAGGGTATAATGGAAGCACTAGAGAAATTCACAATTGCCATCACTATATTATGGGTATATAGGTATATAAGCAACCAATTCAGATGTTGTCCTCATTCTTCATTGAAGAAATTGTGTTAAAAGAAAGTGCTGCTTACATCCAGCCCTTTAATCTTCAATCTACTTCAGTTTATTAAAAATGGAGCCATTGCCTGGCATGTTGGCTCATGCCTTAATCCCAGCACTTTGGGAGCCCAAGGTAGGAGAATTGCTTGATCCCAGGAGTTTGAAATCAGCCTGGGCAATGTAGCAAGACCTTGCCTCTACCAAAACAAAACAAAACAAAACAAAACCGGTGTGGTGACGTGCACCTACAGTCTCAGCTACTCGGGAGGCTGAGGTAGGAGGATCACTTGAGGCCAGGAGATCAAGGCTGCAGTGAACTGTGATTGCACCACTGCACTCCAGCCTAGATGACAGAGCAAGACCCTGTCTCCAAAAAAAAAGGGGGGGGGGGAATTGCAAACATTGATCCATTTGCTATCATTTGTGCAATTATTTGAATGTTTGTGACACATCACAACAATGTGCAAGACCCCAGGATTGACAGCTACCCCCAATTTACCATTATAACTTAATATGAGTAATCATAGGGAACAAGCATGGCAATTTTGAATTTGGAATGAAATAAAAGAGTAGTTTTTTTTCCTCATCCAAGCATTTGCTCTGATCCTCTTAACAGTTGGAAAGAGAGCTCCAAAGCTACATTGTTTCCAATTTAAAGTTAATTGAAATTTAACTGTGATATGGAGGAACATGATTATTACCATACTCCTAAAATTGTCCTTGACTTAAATAGAAAATGTTTGCAGAATGCTGTATGCCAAATTGTAACGTAGTATACATGAGAACATATTCCCCAGAAAATTCTGTATTATTATGTATTCCCCTTCATTCACAGAAAATCCATCCCAAAGAATTAAACTTTGCAGCACAATCTGAATTTGGAATTCAGATTCCCTAATAATGAAGGTTTGCCATGTTCAGCTTGCTGAGTTTATTAAACAGGTGAATGCTAACCCCACACAGTGAAGTTTTAAAAGGAGGGATAGTGGGTAGATCATTTCTGTTAAGCTTCAGAGCTTCAGTCTATTCATTTAACAAGGACAAAAAAGATTTGCAGTGTATTTCAGAAAGGCATATGTAGGATTATTCCACAGCAAGGGCCAAAGTTCAAATTCCCTAGAATATCAGGGGAAATTCTCCCCTCAGCATGTTACTGTTTTTAAAACAACTGCTTTTCTTGCTGATTAGACGTGATTTTAATTCCAGGACTAAATACAAAATGAAAGCAGCAGATAGGGAAGCCCTTGCATATCTTCTTGCTTTTACCCTAAGCCTGGCCATTAAAGGTAATTAATTTATGGGCTGGCAAAGCCTACTGCCTTTCCTCTATGGATTTGTTAGTTCTGCATTCAATATGGGATTCCAAATATAACTTGTATCCACCATTTATAAAATACAAGGACTGATCCCTTTGGCTTCTCTTGTCCCTCAGAGATTCCAGGATTAGCATGAAAGCTTTCTGTTTTTAGAAAAGCAAGTCTTGACTCTCTGTGGATTGGGGAAGACTGTGAATCACCCAGCCATGAGAGCCAGTTGGATAAACTTTTCATAAGTGATGCATATGAACTGTGAGGCTTGGCCTTCCTAACACTTAATGGGTATGGTTGTCAGGGTAATTTCCTGAATATTACTATGATCACTTTTACCCTTTTTTAACATAACATCAACAAAGGCACATCTACAATCAGAAAATGTTGAGGAAAATGATTTCATACTTCTTACCTATGTGTATTTCCTCTTGTGTACAGTTAGTCTTGTTTTTGGTAAATATTCAATAAATTAAGTGAGAATATCCATACTGCAGTGAATCGTGTTGTTGTACATGAAGACTCTCAAGAATTCACATCAAACAAAAGTTGATATGAAAAAGCAAAGAGTGTTTATGATCACTATTTAAATAATCTATTATTATGGCTGAGATGCCATCTTCATTTTATAGATAAGGTAACAGAGCTCAAAAAGGTTACTCACCACTAGTGGAGCTGGGATTTGAACTCAGGTCTCTCCAGTGCCAAAGTCCTGGACCAGCATATAGCCTTCTGCCTCTAGGTGATGACAGTAAACCTTTGATACCCATGATGGAAAGATCCGGAGAGCATCATGAATCCCTAGATTCTCAAATACCATGGCATGGGTGTACAATTTCCCCCTTAAAATGCAGTGTTGCTCTGTCCGGAGCTCCTACTGGAACTGTTTAAATGACAATGTTTCCTTGTTTTATATTGACTGGTGGACAAGTCCAGCTAGCATCAAAGTCGGCATTCTATTCTTTATCCAAAAAGGAATTCTTCTGTAATCTGGCAAAACCTGTCCCTTTTTCCTTCTTTCCTGCCACCTCTGGCTCTTGCAGTAAGCTTTCTTTGGGGAGAATATTTTCCTGAAAAATAAACTCTTTAATGTCTTCACCAGAGTTCCTGGGCATATGTGTGGTGACAAATAGAAACCAGCTTCTCCCAGTTATGATGTGGTCTGGGACAATCAGTGGGTCTGAGTCATCGCCTGTGCCACTCACCCACACACCAGCCTTGGGCAGCAGTCGGAATTGAGAATCCTGCCTCAGGCAATTACGTTTCATATACACATCATATATTATAATTACATGTCGTGGGTCCGTGGGAGAGAGTATAGCTTAGTGACCAGGAACACAGACTCTGGAGGTAGACTACTTGAGTTGAAATTTCATCTTTGCTTCTGATAAGCTTGGTGGCCTTTGACAAGTTACTTAACCTCTGTGTGCCTTAGTTTATCCATCTGTAAAATGGAGGTTGTAATAGCTACCCTAACGACTGTTATAAGTACTAAATAAGTTAATGTTTGTAAAACAGTTAGAACAGTGCCTGGCACATAGTAAGCAATAAAACTGCCAGCTTTTATTGTCCTGGTTTCTCATAGAAGTTCAAACAGTAAGTCCTCAAATGCTGTGTTTCCATTTTGATGAAGAGGTTTGATTGACTCCATTTGCTTCTGCACTGCCTGCTCTCACATGCTCCCTCTATAACACCCCAGGGTTTTCTTTGGCCTGTCATGCTTCTCTTGGACTCCTCATTCTTAGCTGTGTTTGTTGTCTGTTCTGCCCACCTTCAGCATCTCCCCTCTGCTGCTTCCCTTGCCATTCCTTCCTTGTCTGCGTACCTTCCTGCACTTTTCTCCCAGCAGCCTCCACCAGGTTATGAGTTGGAGCCTCACGGACCTGAGCCTGCTGGGTGGCTTGGGAAACCAGGCTTTGTTCCTCCAGGTTTCACCCTCCTGTGGCTTTACTTTTTGCCAGATTTCTCCAATTCTCATTCTGCTGATGTGCCAACCCCTCAATTGTCAGGGCAACCACAGCAACCTCAGCCCTCTCTGCTGTCCAAAATATGTCAGCAGCCAGGCTGAACTTCCACCTCATGCCACAGCTTAACTCCTACAGAATACCCTGTTGTGCACTGAAGAATATACCAGCAAGACTGTCAGACATTGTTAGAGCCAGTCAATCCTTGTTACATTTTTACACAATGCCTTCTCTTCTAAGTCTGCCTGCTGGGTTCATTTGGCATGGGTTACCCCAAAGTGAGTGTAACCTAAAGAAATTGTGCACACAAGATAAACGTAGTGCCCTTGGCAAGAAAGATATGCAGGTTAAAAATTAGCATTTAGAGGTTTTTTCCCCAAAGGAGTAAATTCTCACTACTGGATTCCCTGGGTCCTTTCAGTCTTGTGATTTAAAGGAGACACATGAATTGATTAAAATTTTCCAGTGAAAATGCCATTCAATTAAATAAGCACAACAAGTCTAACTGGGAAGATTTCATGTTCTGAAGTTTGCGTTTTTCTCTTAGGAGGTGCTCACAGATGTATACCTTTTCCAGAGAGAAGAATTGAGGGATTTAAATGCATTTTTATGCTGAGTAAAGTAGGTGGCAAGGTAGCAGTATTTCACTCTAACCTCATTTTAGACCCCCAGTACGTTGGTACAGTCTGTCCTTATCATCTGTGAAAGGGCATCTGATCTGAGTATCATGCACTTCCACAAGATTAAGAAACTCATCTGCACATTTTTTTTTTTTTTTTGAGACAGCATCTCACTCTGTTGCCCAGGCTGGAGTGCAATAGCATGATCTCGGCTCACTGCAACCTCCGCCTCCTGGGTTCAAGCGATTCTCCTGCCTCAGCCTCCCAAGTAGTTGGGATTACAGGCACCCACCAACATGCCCAGCTAATTTTTTTATTTTTAGTAGAGATGGTGTTTCGCCATGTTGGTCAGGCTGGTCTCGAACTCCTGACCTCAGGGGATCTGCCTGCCTTGGCCTCCCAAAGTGCTGGGATTACAGGCATGAGCCACTGTGCCCAGCTGTTAATTCAGTTTTAGAGTGTCTGTAACATATGCTCTGTATGGAGAATGGTTACTGTATACTCGTGGGTGCCAGGTACTTTAGAAGAGACAAAGAAATATAACTGGTGGGTCTAGATACTCAAGATGACAAACATGGAAACTTAAATAGCAGTGTAAAGTATGTCACAGGGCCAAAGTATGTCCTTGTGCCAAGCTAATAGCTCAAATGATCAGTGCTATAACTTCATAGGGTTAAAGTAATCAGAGAAGTTTCATGGAGGAAAAAGTGAGATGGACTTTGCAGTATAAAGAGGAGTTGGCTAGCTAGAGAGGGAGAATGACATTTTATGTAAAAGGAATGGTAAAATGACTAGCCTAGAAGTATTTCCTGAGATTTGTTCAGGGAACCCTGATCATAATTAGAAAGCACTGGGACACCTGATGTCAAATCTTTATCTGCTGTTTACTCTGTGTGTGGCCTTGGACAGGTTCCCTTGGCAGGTTACAGCTATAATTTTCTCATCTGCAAAGTAAAGATAATACAGAAAAGTTAATAACATGTCTTTTTATTTTACCACTCAGTAGGCATTTCCTCAAATGATTGCTGCCATTAACATTACTCCTACTACTGTCACTGTTCTGCCACCACCACTGCCATTGCTAATCTTGCCATTACTCTTGCACTTTACTGGTACTGCTAGTAAAACCAATTACCGCTATTAGTACTACTCTAATTTCTATTAGCAGGTCACATCCCAGCTCCTTCCCTGCTTGTCTCCTTCTGCCCTCCCCATTGTCATCCATTCTTCTTTCCAAAAATTCTTTGTAAGGAGCCCTGACTTGGGGATGCTAGGGTGGATGTGGTACCGTCTGGACTGCAAAATCAAATTTGAAGGCTGAAGTCAAAGCCAGAACATTTCACCTTACTTTACTCCCAAGTTATGGTGAGGAAACGTAAGTCACACAGAACTGGACCCCTGGCTCGAAACAAGAACGAATCAGAGAGCCTGGGCTGGGCTTTGGGCTTGGAGCCATGTAGACAGCTCCAAGGATGCTTTGGGTGAGCTGTAAAGTCTAGCCTGCCAGATTGCTTTGGTGGAGCAGCAGCCATGTTCCCTCTGCAGCACACAAACTAGGGGTTGCTGTATTAGACTGCTGTCAAGGTTTCCATGTGATGACTTCATGGAGGTTGAGTCCTGTAGCTCTGTTATCCTTCTTCCTCCTTTCCCCTTAACTTAGAACTGGTTATGTGGCATTTGGAGCTAAAAAATGGTTTCTCTCTACTTGCTTTAGAAGGCATTCCTTTCCTTACAACATTTCACCTACTCTTTAGTAAAAATTTACATCAGCCATCTTAATGAGGCACATTTTGAGCATTTTCTTGTAGAGCCACCCTGAGCATCAAGTGCATATTTTAAGAACAGGAATGAATGTTAAAATATCCAAAATTGATAAGATCCATTCAATGTTTCTTACATATGCCTTTATACCATTACAGAGAGATGAATCTGTAACGGAGTAGGGGGAGTAAGAAATGTATGAGTAAATTAATAAAGGTGACCCCATTCCTTGCACCTCCTCTCTGTGTGATAAATAATAATAATTTCCAGTTCTCTCTCCTGATCTATTAGACCACTTTCAAGGTTTCTATGTGATGACCTATTCCCTCATTTCTTGTTTCACTTACCAAGGTCTTCTATTGCATAGATATGTAAAACTTGTCTGGTGGGCACGTTAGATATGTGTTTTACTGCTTTATCTCAAGGTCTGGAATATTTTACATGCTATTCTTAGAATTTTCAATTAGCAAATTTTAATTAACTAATTGGGGTTTCTTATTAAGAATCTTTTATGATTTGTCATAGTCTAGCTATGTGTGCACTCTGTTCTATTAAGAAGTCATTAAATCCTCAGAAACAGACTGTGAATTCATTAATCTTACTGTGTAATTGCAGTAGTCTGAGTATGGAGCAGGGGCATTTGCAAGATAGTGTCTTAAAACAGGAGGATCTTCTAGATGGTAGGATGTTACATCAATGGAACTGGGCTGGGTAGAAAATACAGTAGTCCAGGGTAACCAAAGTGCTCCGTTTGAATGTACTTTTGAGTTTGTTTTCATTCATCCACTTTCTTATACATCTGTATCTGGTGTTCTTGAAATGTACAATGCTTCACACCAGCTGCGTCGTTTGAAATCCTGCAGAAATGTCCCCACTTAGATGAACTACCTGGAGGTATTGCTTCCTCTGAGGCTACCTTGAACATACATCATCCCTTATGTCATCATATCCTATAAAATAAAAGCACAAAATCATGTTATTTATTTTATAAATAATTAAGCACTGAACTACTTCTCAAGTGCCAAGTGGGGCCTCATATCTAGGACACAAAAGCTAGAAATTTCAGGAATAAATGTGGCCAACTGATGTCAGGGTCTGGCTGCTGTTCCTGAAGGTCACAGGAGGAGTGCTTTGAGGATTTAAATTCAGTTCACTTACCCGGAAGAGAACCAAAGATGATTCCTATGTCAGGTCCAAATAGGCCTTTGCCACTGGGGGAAGGGAGGGAAAAATGCAGACTCAGGGCAGAGCAGAACTGAGTCAGCGGCACGAACTTTTCATTGACAAATGGCTTTATGAGGTACCACACTTCATTTTTCTACTAAAACTCAAGAGCAAGATTTGCCGTTATTCGTGTGCAGCCTTGCCTCAGCGTGATCTCACATAAATAGACTCTTGCTTTGGCAGTGACACTCAACAGAGTTTACTGCCTCTCTAGCCTCCCAGTCCCTCAGTGGTTGAATTAACAATTTGAAAATATTCTTCTCCGACAGCCATGGAGGCAGATGTCCTCAGCAGCCCGGACTGGCTGTAGCCAGAACTGTGAGGTGAGGTTTGGCATGACCGCATTTTCACCCCATCCTCCTTTTGGGCCATGGTGTGACTTGCCTGGTGTTTTCTGGCCTTGTACTCTGAAGCCCTACCACATAGGGCCCTTTCTTCCAGAAGAGCAGTCCCTGGCACTTTTATGAAGAGAAAATAGACTTTCTCCCCAGTAGTGTTGAGAGGCCTGGTTAGGAGTGGAAAACGGGGAACAATAAATGAAGATTCCAAGTGGAGGGGATATTAGGGAATAATAATGAGCAAGTCATGAGGTTCAAGGGCATTGACTAACCATGGCCTAGCACATTATTCTCCTTGATAGCATTCCCACTTTAAAATCTTCGGAATGCCTGGGTTACACCCCCAAAGAGCATGATCTTAATAGGGGTCTTTGGTCACCTGGCAGAATCAGTGAGGGAAGTAATTGAGTCAAAGGTCCGGACCCTCAGTTTTATAATATATGGCTAGTTGACTGCTCTCACGAGAGTGTGAAGGGGAAATGATAGCTGCACATTCACAGGTGCCACATCAGCCCCTCCACTACGTTCCTCCCTGTGCTTCATGACAGATCTCGGAGCCAAATAAAGGTTCTGATTTTTGTGAAACGCCTTTAAGATCTGCTACACCCTACTCACAGACTTCCTTGACACTCTGTCACTACTTCATCTCTGCTACCTCATCCCACCCAATCAGAACACAACAAGGTCATGGTCCCTTCCTCCAGCACTTTCTTAATTCAGTGAAGAAAGTCAAGTTGCCCCAGAGTGAGTTCTTGAGAACACTCATCCCATGAGATGCTCTTCCAAAGAAGGAGTCTGTGGTTGAGTTTGGGACCTGCTGTAGGTCGTAGGTACAGATTTAAAAGACTCACAGTGCAGATTCAAGCCTCTGAGAATTTTATTCACTAAAGATAGTCTGGTTAACCTTGTTGAGCTTTGGCACTCCTCCACCACCCTTTAGGGAGTGCTTCATTAAGTAAAGGTCATGCCTAATTGTGGTCTCATATTACCACTCCCAGCTGACATTATTGTGTAAAAACTTGCCTTTTAGTGACACTGTCACAATGAGTTGTAAAATAAAATATAGTCAAATTGCTGAGCAGGTTTGGGGACTGGACTGAGAGGGTGGAGAAAGAAGCCTCTCCGTGATTCCCAGTAAGCAGTTGCACCCAATTTCACGAAACAACGATTTGTTATTGACTCACAGAAAGCCTGAAACCCAAAGAATGCCCCTTAACTTCTTGTTCTTTTTTAGAAGCCAGGAAACTTACAAGGCTTTAGGGAGGTGATGTCCATCAGGAAAACACGCTAGAAAGCTAATTAAAAGTCCTTCAGTACGGTAAGTGTTTAAGGGAAACAAATCATTGCAGTTCGATTGGAAAGGCCTCTGTCAAAATCAGCCAAGAGCATTAACTTAGCACTGTTGTAAATGAAATGATATAAATTATACTGCTTTTTCTAAAAACACACTGAATTCAGGGAATGCATGTTGGCATCCTTTTCATATGAGCTACAAAGGATGTGTTTCATTTATGACCACTTTTTTCTATTACTTCACAAATCTGGCAGAAACCAATGTTGAACATGTAAAAGACTAATATACTTTTTAAGAAATTTATGTAGACCAAACCACAAGAATTTATTGGCCAGGCAACTTAATTGTCATTTAGTTGGAAGACGTCAATTAGAAAGAAGTCCTGGCTGGGCACGGTGGCTCATGCCTGTAATCCCAGCACTTTTGGAGGCCGAGGCAGGTGGATCGCCTGAGGTCGGGAGTACGAGACCAGCTTGACCAACATGGAGAAACTCCATCTCTACTAAAAATACAAAAATTAGCTGAGCATGGTGGTGCATACCTGTAATCCCAGCTACTCAGGAGGCTGAGACAGGAGAATCCCTTGAACCCAAGAGGCAGAGGTTGCGGTGAGCCAAGAACATGCCATTGCACTCCAGCCTGGGCATCAGAAGCAAAACTCCATCTAAAGAAAAAATAATAAGTCCTGTTCGCAGTCTGGAAAATCAAATGTGATGCTTAGAGAGTGACCTTGTTTACAGATTGGAGTGACATGCTGCCTTGCCCTCCACCCATAGGCCTCAACCTTCACACATTTGATTGTCACAGAAGTAACTGCATTTACACATTACCAGTTGATACCCTAAGCCACCTGCATTTGAGTTGCTGAATTTGACCTTTATATATGGGCTGACTAGTCATAATATTGAAAAGCTGCTGGAGTACAAGACTGGACTTCTTTTTTGAGGGGTGGAGGACAAGATCGATATTGCAGATGGACAAGGATGCCCTGCCAAAGCCACCATCCTAAATTAGTGTTCCCAAACTGAGCAGCCACACCCACTGCCGACCATACTCTGTTCCACAGAGAATGTTCCTCTGCAGATGACGGCAGGCACTGAGCTTCCAGGGGCCATCTTTACTGACATTGCATGATCAGTGAGACACAGCCCCAGTCAGGCTGGGCAGAGTAGTTAAGCAGGAAATAGTGAAAGGCAGCAGGAAGAAGAAGCACCATGGACCTCACTAACCAAAGTATTTACCTCTAGGAGCTATGATGGATTGGATCCCTGAGCTGGGCTACTACAGAAGGACAAATGATGTCTATCAGAAGCCTCTAGGATGTTTGCAGTTAGATATCTAAAGTCCCATCTTCATTGGTTCCTAGACAGACTAACTGGGAAGGACTGGCTGAGGGATTAATGAGCTCACCGCAGGGTGGGGCATGGCAGGACACCAGGGTGGGAAGAGGTTGGAAGCCCAGTGGGTCATGTCATCTAGCTCAGGATGTATGCCTTCATCTGCCATGCTGAGGCAGTGTGAATACTGTCACTGTGGCTTCTCTGATGACATCTCCAGTAAGAAGCTGACTGTGTTACAGTTATCCAGGGTAAACATCCATCTTTTCTCCAGATCATTGAAGCTGCACTTCTTATCATCTCACAGACTCAGCCCATAACTTAGGATAAGTATATATTTTACAGATCTTTGATCCATCAAGGGGTTTAAACATACTTTTCAGTCTATTTATTTTCTAGTTGTTCAAGTTAAATTTGTCTTTTTTATCCTTCATAACCCTCCACCCCCAAAGAATATAGGTGTGTGCATGCCACCTCGTTGGAGTCTCTTTAGAGATTCCTGGGATCCAGACCTTTCTGAGTAGGTGGATTCTGAGGTCAGGCATCCCAGCCAAACCACAGAACCTTTTGAAGCCTACTGCCCTCTCATCCTCTCAAAGCTGAGCTTGCATTAAGCTGCAGGCACTTCAGCTAAGTGTGAAGTCAGAGGGCTAGATTTGTCATTTGTCATGGTAACTAATATGGCACATTTTGGGTTCAGCATTAAGTTTGTAAATCCTTTTTATACACATAAATTTTAGTCTCAAACATGACCTTGCAAATGAATGCCAGAATTGGGTTTGGACTATTTTTACCTCTTGGCTATAGTTAACAAAAAGCCTACCCCTTAAAATGTTGTTCAAGCTTAAAATTTATCCACCTACAGGTAAGATTAGAACAGCTTAAAAAATTACCCATTGGCTGGGAATATTTTTAGTACATGGGGCTATAAAGCCTTATATGACTTAACTTTTCAGCCTGTGGTTTGCCAGCTGGAAAAACTTGAGTTTGGTAAAACTTGAGGCATCATCAAATATTTGTTCCCATGCTTTTAAAATAAAGTAAGCTCAGGATTATGCTAATGCTGTAACTAATATCCTATGTTACTGCCTTTAGAGCAACAAGAGGAAACTGCATGTTTCTTTCTGCTAAAGATGATTTTGCTTAATCTTATGAAGCTCTTTGTTATCAGGATGTGGTTCCACTTGGTAACATTTAAGAGATCAAATAGGTAAGATTTGTTTATTGAATATTGATAGCAGATGACTTCAAATCCCTCCGTGCTTGCACTCATAAGAATAAAAATATCTTAATGTGTTTTTTCCTGAACATGTTTCAAACATGTTTTCAGTGCATTTCTGTGCATAACAAGAAAACAGATGAAATTTGATAACATCTGATTTTAATAGAAAGGAATATGCTTGTTGTTCAACTCCCCCAGCCCTATAGCTGGTTGCAGTTTTCTCCGGCCCTTTTCCCTCAGTGATTCATAGCCCAGAGAACAACTCCACTGCCAACTACAGCTCAGCCACTTTGGGAAGGCCTAAAGGGATTTAACTTCTTGTAGCCAGATCTGTATTTCAGCTGTTGGTTTACTTGTGAGACTTACGAAAGAATGTAAGAGAGAATTGGTGGATTACAATGTAATTTTGTACTCATAGGTTGTGTCTGCATGGGCAAAGCCCCTCGTGGAAAGTGGGGAAAGGTCCCCTATTGACATTGGTGACACAGATGAAGCATGGGAACCATTTCATTGGGTGCTGGGATCGGTCCCCTACTCCCCATTTAGGGCTGATAAACTTCAGATGTTTTCTCACAACGTACCTCCTCCGAAATGTCTTCTCTGACCCCTCCCCACCTCTTAGGGTTCATTACCCCTTCTGTGCTAGGTGCAGCCTCTACCTTGTGCAAAGTAGTTAAGTTTTTCCATTTGTGAACCTGCCTTCCCTACTAGACTATGGGCTCCTTGAAGGCAGGTGCTAATTCTTACTCATTATGTCCCTGGAAGTGAACACAAACTCATTATTATAGTGCCATGAACTGCTGATGACACAGCTGCTCTGAGTGCCCACCCCACCTGCCTAGTCATTAACCAGTTTCTCATCCTACAGGTATATGCAAGGAATATTCTGCGTTGGCTCAGTTCCTCAAAGAGTAGGCTTTTGTAGTTTCTCTATAGGAGGGAATGGAGTGAGCATGAAAGGAGACAGAACCTGTGGCTCAGCTCAGTAATTCAATCTGAGGAAGGACACAGAGGCAGCAAAGGAGAGAGGTTGTAGAATGTCAGCAGTGTGGCTTATGAACCCGCCGTCTTTCTCTTCTTACACCAGATACCTTTTCTGATGTGTTGATTCTAAAACTAGGAGATGGCTGAGCAGTGTTTTTGTCTTGTTCCAATAGTGTGGGACCAATGCTGTGTTCTCCTTCTTAATTGGTTCTCTGCCTTTGGAAGAATTGTTGAGTATAAGCACCAACATCAGGACCTAAATACTGTAATAATTAACTTGTAAAAGGATTCAGGATCCTGAATGTTTGCTGAATGAACTAATTCATTTTACAAAACTGGACACACCTGGATTCTTGAAGCTATAAAAACAAATCTGGTCGCCCAGGAAAGATGACCATTTCAGAAAAGTAACCATAAGGCTTATGCTTTGATGTCTAAAATGCATGCTTTTCCTTTTTATTCATGTACACTGTGGCAGCAAATGCCTTAGAACCTGGCAAAAAAATTGCATTATTAAATAGAGACCTATACAATTTCTTAAGGTAATAGTACTGTTCTTTTGGCTTAGCAGGGCTAATGCATCAAGCAATGCCAGGGTAAAGACCATTACACATCTAGAGGGGTTCTAGATGTATGTGAGCCAGAGTAGCATTCCTACAGGGAAGTTAGCACACCCAGATGAAAATTGAACAGCATATTTAAATAGGAGTGATAAGCTTAATTATAACAACCTTTTATTGAGTCCTTACTATGGGCCAGGCACTGAGCTAAGCCTCTTCAGTAAGATGGGGAATAGAAGTAATTAAAGCTGGGTTACGTGGGTTCACCATCCTAAAAGAATGGGCAAAATTCCATGGAACTCATACCAACATTTATTTAAATATCATTTAAAATGGAAAATGTAGTTGCTTCATTTTGTATTTGCAGAAAATTAGAAGAGAAAGACGAAATTATCTTGTATGCAGGAGTTGTGCCTTTTTTGTCATTGAAATTCAGGTTGTTCGAGCCATCTGTTCATTTCTAACAGAAGCCTATTGCACTGATTTGTAATTATTTTGTGTCCTATGTTTGGCCTTGAGGTAGCCATTAGCTTATGAATGCTGTGACCAACTACTCGATGTAGTCTTATGTAGTACAATGCAGGCAATGTACTTGGCTAAATATCAAGCTCATGGCACATAGTGGACACTCTGTAGGTCCCTTGGACAATACAGAATTGAAGTTTTGTTAACCAAGTTTGGTTCAAAGTTAGAATGGTTTCATAAGTACCAGACCTGTGTTTGACATTTGGTTCTTCAGTTATTATAGGTTGAAGATCATTAGGGTTAGTGTCATAAAAATCCTGGTTTTTGGTAAAGTGTACGCCTACCTAGACCTACTCAAAGGTCCCGTGGGTGTGGGTGTGATAGTGGCTTTTCATTGGTAGTCTTCTGTAGATCTTTTCAACTAGATAGGGCTACTGGATGATCCCAATCCCTCTTGGGAGGGATGGCATTCCAAGGCAATGGATCCAAACGTGCCTATGGGCACTGGGCCACCTGGAGCTTGAAGCAGCTTTGCATATTTAGTCCCTCAAGTGATTCGCTGTCAACTGCTCAGGGTGTCAGCTGAGACTCCTGCTCTGACATCAGACTGTATAGCCTCAACAACTCTGCAGAGAGTCTTAATGCTCTGGTATCTGGCTGATCTAACCACTTCTATATTACTTAACAGATTACAAAATATTTTGATATACATAGTCTCATTTGACATGCTCATGATGATACTACAAAGTCTTGAACCTTGAAAATGTTAACCGGTGCAAAGCTCAATGATGCCAATGTTTCACAAAGAGGAGTGGAAGGTGGAATGAGATTGTATCAAAAGTATCGTGAAAAGCAGGTAAGTTATCTCTCTAATTTAGGTCTGAAGCTGAGTGTCTAGTAAAAGTCAGGAATCCTGGGAAGTTCCTAAGTTGGGGATTGGGAGACAGTGGAGAGATAATTTTGACCTGTGTCTGAGGGGTAAACTTGAGACTCCTGACATACATTCATGAGGCTAGCAGAGCTGTGAGAGGCAGCTTTTTAACGATTGGCATTGTCTAGGAGGCAGACTGTTAATTTTATTTTATTTATATATTTAGTTTTTGAGACAGAGTCTTGCTAGTCTTGCTCCGTTGCCTGGGGTAGAGTGCAATGGCACAATTTCGGCTCATTGCAACCTCTCTGTCCTGGGTTCAAGCAATTCTTATGCCTCAGACTCCCGAGTAGCTGGGATTACAGGCATGTGCCACCACGCCTGGCTAATTTTTGTATTTTTAGTAGAGACAGGGTTTCACCATGTTGGCCAGGCTGGTCTCAAACTCCTGACCTCACATGATCCACCTGGCCGGAGGCAGACTTTTAAATAACCACAAGAGCACACTTTGTGGCTCAGACCCACAGGGAGAAGGTCAGCATCATGCATGAGCATGGCAACACTTCCCTGCTTGTAGTTTGGGTCCTGGAACTACACATGCACTCTAAAGGCTGACAGTGTGGGGACCTCCACTACCAAAAGGAAAAGAAAACACTGGGGAATGACAGGAGGGCACGACAATAGAAAGGCTGGTGGAGGTCAAACGGGGAGCCCAAGGAACAGCATGATCAGCCAGAATTGTTGTGTTGACAGTTGCCTTGCATCGCAAATCCTTCCCTTCTCAGCTCATCCCTTTCTCTCTCCTCAACTCTCCCTGGCCTCCCAAAATCCAGATGTCAGTATTATTGTTCTACAGAATTTATCTGAGTGACTATGGAATTGGAGGAGTCCAGAAAATAACATCTAGACAAGGATGCAAAGGGTGTAACTGATGAGAGCAGCTGTTGTGGGATGAGGGTGTGGCTGACAGCAGGGCCTGCTGAATTTGGCCTCTTATGCAGCCTTGTGAGTTTGTGGGTGCACATTTTAGCATATATCAGGACTTCCTGGGTGTTCAGAAAATGGATGTCTTCTAAGGGCAGGTAGAAATCCGTGAAGTTAATTGCCCAGTTTTCTAATCACTGACATAGGGTAGAACGCTGCACAAATGTAGAATGAAGCAAGTGAAAAAATTCCAAAACTTGACCACTACCTTCAAGTATGGTATTTTACATCCAGGAGCCCCCATTCTCTTTTTAATCACCAAAAACATGATCTAGCAATCTATCTGCAAACCCTTGTAGGTTATCAATACAGGTGGTCAATATACAGTCAATATAAAGATTGTATACAATCAATATTCAGATGGTTACTGTGTTTCTGTTCCTGACATCTTGGCTGTAAGTGCTCCCGCATGCCTGAAGTGAGTCTTCAGAAGAAGGGACAGAAAATACAGGGGTGTACAAATGATAAGTCATTGCTGTCAGGGTAATTACAGACTCTTACAAGGTTTTGATTTGGTCTCATTTTCCATAGGCATTGTGGCACAGTGGGAAAGGGGATGCAGAAAAAAAATAATGCTTCATTTGGACTTTACAGTCTCTCATCCTTATTGCCAGATTTGTTTGATTAGATGAGCCTCAGGTGAGGCAGGATACAACAGCTGCCCCTCTGTATAAATTTTACCAAATGCCACATGTAGTTTTTATTTGGCTGTGTTTGCAATGATAAGCTGGAGCACCGTGGCATGAAGCAGTCGGGAAAATGCTTGAAACTGAGCACAGATGTAAACACCCCTGGGTCTTGTAAATCTCCCACAGTAAAGCCCCTCAGAGTGTTTCTCTCTGCCCAGCCTGTGATTTTCAGGCTCCCCAGGACCTCTCAGTGGCTGGCTACCCCACATCAGTGACCCGAATATCACCAGCCCAGCAGCACCGTCCAGTGGCCTGGTATGGCACATAGACCATCTGCAGGCCACACCCACCCCTTTGCCCCCACGTCTTGTTTTTGACATCCTTGGCAGCCTCTGCCATGAATTGACCAAAAGACCTAAGTGTAAGATAAGAAAAGAGAAGTAGGAAAGCAAGCAGAGTTAGCCCGTGGATGCTGGAGGTAGAGACGGCTTGTCTGAGACACCCAGCTGTTAGTCATCAGAGTGTCCGTCTCCAGCCAGCTCAAGGCAATGCTGGCCAAGGGTGCTGTGAGCAGCCAGGTGGGAATCAGTGGGCAGAGGTCTAATAAATTTTCATCAAGCACTCCAAGGCTTTGATCCACAGTGAGGAAGGGGATGGTGATGGCAATTTATTATAGTATGTCACTAGTGATGTAAATAACCAACTAGAAGGAGAAGGGAGGAAAAACAGGAGAAATTCACTATGTTTAGAGTTTTATAGTTTTTTGTTTGGTTGGTTTACACATAGTCATGGATCAAAGGGGAAAAAATTAAGGAGTGTTGACTAAATTATGTGAACTGTCAAGAAGTAAATGCTGCATGAAAGCAGATTCACTTGAAAGGAATAGCAGAGGCTCTCATAAGCCACAAATGCCAAAAACAGAACAACTGTGAGTGCTAGATTCTTAGTACCTATTATATTGTTCTTTATGGATGGCTACTATTGTGTAGTAGTTATAAATCCATCAGAAAAAGAGTATATTCAGAGATGAAATTGAACTGTCCACAGAAAGCAAAATAACTCAGCAGTTATTTTAATCTTGGAAGTATTTGAAAGCATTTAAAGCTGTTTTGCAAACATGACATTATGAGCATCCTTTGGCAGAGTAATTAAATAATCTGCTAGAAAGGAACAAAAACGTAGACTCTTGACGACAATGAAAATGTATAATATCATCTGCTTTTTAGATGTCATGGCATAAGTAACAGGAGGCTTTATATTTTCACCTCAGAGAGGAAAAACAAATTGCTTTGTGAGAGGAAAAACAAATTGCTTTGTGATTCCACTATAAAATGATCTAGACTTCAGCCAAGTTTGCTTGAAAACAAAAACTTCAGGACCATTTCTGATTGAATGCAGTGGGCATAGCGTAGCTACTCAGAACATTTTGCATTCTTTTTTTTCTTTAGGGCAGTAGCATATATTTACATATTACAGTGATATTCTGTCCTCAGTGGAATAAAAGACCACCGTAGTTTACTAAACATGTAGACACAAGTTCAAGGACTGACACGTAGACAACAAAACCCTTCCTCACCTTTGGATTCAGAACTCTATGTCATCAAAATCTCTGTGTATAAATCTGTGTTTGTGATTGAGGTTACAGCTACAACATAAGACAGAAGCCACCTTTGGAGCCCCTCAGTGGCCTAGAATAATTGCTCCCACTTATGGTCCTTCTGCAGTCACTAGGGAGATTTAAAACCACAAATCCCTACCCCAACATCTGACAGTTCTGCTCTATTAGGGATGACATGCAGCCCAGAAATCTATTTTTGGAAGCCACTCACAACCCTGTGAATACTGAGTACTCCAAAACTTCAAGGAAAATCAGTTGGTCATTGGGGGAATCATGGAGACTCTCGGATGTTTTTTCCAGGAGAATTTCAGTTAAAACAAAGGCTGTTTTATCCCCAGCCTTTGTCAGCTGGTGCTAAATATGAGACACTACAAGATTTCAAAGTGCCTTCAGATTGCGTATTAGATAGATCTTCTTTAGGTTAATTCTTCAAAAATTACATATCTTTATTTGGTGTGTGTGGTAACCAGAACATTTAATTTCCCTTTTAAACTAAACAAATTTACTACAGATTTAAACATATCTCCTGGATATCCAAATACAGATGTTCCTGGATTTATAATGAAGTTATGTCCTGATAAACCCATCATAAGTTAAAAATACATTAAGTTAAAAAGGCTTTTAATACACCTAACCTACCAAACAAACATCATAGCTTAGCCTAGCTGGCCTTAAACATCCTCAAAACACTTATATTAGCCTTTATTCTAGTAAAATCAACTCACACAAACCCTATTTTATAGTAGAGGATTAAATAATTTATTGACTACTGTACTGAAAGTGAAAAACAAAATGGTTGTATGTACTCAAAGTACTGTTTCTATTGAATGTGTATTACTTTTGCGCCATCATAAAGTCAAAAAATTGTAAGTCAAATTATCATAAATCATTCTGTCTGCAGGATGAAGACTTCACCTGGGAGATTTTAGAAGGCAGCCATGGTTGTCAATATTCTGTGAATTGGCCCAGAATTCTAGATCACTCATGAACTCTCAGAAATAAGTTGCTTTCAAGAAAGACCTGTCATTTCCAGACCAGTGCTTCTTAAACTTAAAGTGCATACAAATCCCATAGGTCTGGGGTGGAGTCTAGGATTCTGCCTAACAAGTGCCCAGGCAATGCCGATGCAGCTGGTTCTGAGAACTCCCAGCAAGGGCATGGTGATGAACCACAACCCTTGATATGTGTTGCTTGCTGGTCTGGAGAAAATCAACCGTAAAAAACGGACAGGTGTAACTTGACCTGGGTGTGGGAAGTGATAGTAACTTTGAGAGAAGGGGAGGAGGAAGAACTGAAAAGATCTGATTTTAGGGACACACAAGGCCTGGGTTAAGAAGAGGTGCAGAGGACCCTGCTGGCCCACACCAAGGTCAGGAATCGGGAGGTGCTACACAGAAGCTCAGGGGGATGATCAGCAGAGCTTTTCCTAGTCCAGGGAATTGGTGCTGGGCATGGCTTGCCCCGCTGGGCTTCCCTGGACATCTTACAGGCTAGCTGTCATAATGCCGCATAAAGCCAACACCCACACTCAATTCTGCTTGAAATCACGGCTTCTGGATTTACTTTCTTTTCTAACAGTGTGTCCAACAGCGGTGTGCTTAAACCCCGGCCCTGAAACAAGATTTTTTTAAAAAAAAATTTTTTTACTTCAGTATCCCCAGAGGTACCAAAGTGAGTTCTCGATCACTTTTCCAAAGATCCTAGATAGAAGAACTGTTTTCCTGTGGGTCTTGTGATAGTTTTAAGATGATAATGCATAGTGGGGAGGTGTCAAGGATTATTTCTCGAACTCCGAAATGTATTACCAGTCACACCGTAGCAGATGACAGCGTTCCGGAAAGGGTGTGGCTTAGAGAAATAGAAATTAGGCAAGGGGTTTCCTGCAAAGCCAAATGATCCAATTTTTTTTTTCTGTCCCTTGGAAGGCCAGTGAGTCTCCAAAATAGAAATGAAGCTCCCTAGGGCTGGCTTCAGTCATACTCCTGGATTGCTAACTGCTGACATGTGTTTTTAGGAAGATCGTTGCTAGTGGAAACAGCTTCAGGCAAGTGGCAGCACCCAAGATTCTCATGTGACCCCTGCACAATTTCTGGAGGAACATGACTTTACCAAAAACAATAAATGAAATCTCACATCCATATGTTTCAGTCAAGTTCAAGGGACTATTTTGTTGGCCTGAGACCCAGACTGAAATAAAATTTTTTTTAAGATTTGGTCAACATTATAAAATGAAAAAAGTAGATAATAGCTGCTCAAATTGGGCACCCACCTACAAAACAAATAATCTACCACTAAAGTCACAGTTTGTATTTCAGGTTACTTGATTTTTCAGTAAAATGTGTCAACAAGCATATTCTTCAAAATAGGAAGCCAAATGGCAAATGGTTGGATAACCGGAAAATTAAGGGATTGGTCTGCAAGCAAGCGAAGGCCATTAAAACCTTATGCGCTGTAGACACAGCCTTTGAGCCACACTTTTTCTTGCACTGGACTCATGCATAGAACAATTTGAAATACAGAGACTACAGATATGCATCTAACAGCACACTGGGCACATGTATTATGTTCCTTGTTGCTAAAGGGTTCGGCAAGATGTAGTTCCTTTTGTAGTAGTGTTCAGAGGGAGGTAAATAATGTCAGACCACTGGGCTCTGCACAGTGGGGCAATAACTTTCATGCTAAGCCCATCTGTAGAGGATATGTTTCCATAGTTCCTGTGAAACTTAGGTGGAATTTGAATGGCTGTTGAAGGACACGCCAAGGAGGGAAGTGTGGTACAAAATAATTTCCTATCAACATTGCTTTGTGTCATAGGAATCAAAGAAAGTATGAAAATCAGGAGACAGACTTAAACCCACAAGGCTTTATTCCCAGCTGAAATCTGGGTTTACCTTGACAGAATAAGGTGATGAGAAGCATCAGGATGTTGAAAACTGGGCCCCCAGATATCTCTGTGGAATGCATTAACTTTCAGCTAATGCTCTAGAGAAAGAGCTTTGTAGCTCACCCCAAATGACAATTAGCATCACTCATCAAAGAAAGCACAGGCATGCTCACTTTATGGGAAAGCAGCGAATGCTCATGAGAGGGAGATGACTGACTTGAGTACCCCTGGAAAGAAATTAGCCCACACAGTGTTTATGAAACACTTGATTTACACCCTCGTGGCACTAACTTGGCATCATATCGAGGGGAAGGATTGGCTTCCTAATTTGAGATCATCTGTGGAGGAAGTAATGAAGTGGGCCCGAGGTGTCGGGGAAGAGGGAGCACGTTATTTCAGACGGAAATGATCGCATTCCTTTCTCACATCTCCCCGGATCAGTCTGTGAGAGACCCGCATCTGGGCCTCATTAGCCATCCAGTGCGCGGCCTCCAGCTAGCAGCGGAGGCGTCTACACTACCCTCCTTTCCTCTGCATTGTTTCCCACGACCCTGAGCCTTATCACAACCTGGGTGTGGCCACCAGGGAAATGCTATTTGGCTCCTTACAGAACAGGATGGATTCCCTGTTCTGTCTGCATAGGCCAGGCAGTCCGGATGTAGGGGATGTGAACATCTGTGTTTTAATAGGGGTTCACTTGAGACAGTCCCCTTCTATTCTGGGAAAATTCAGAACTGTATCTGAGGATGTTGCCTCCAGTTATGCTCAGAACCCTGCTGTATTCCGGGTTCTTGTCAGGTTGGCCTAGGAAGGGCAGGCAGGTGAGGCAGGAACGCATCGATGTGACAGAATTTGTTTCGTCATGAAAAAGAAGCCTCTCTGGATTAAGCCAGAGGAGGTTTGTGCCCCATAAATTACCACTCAAGGCTGATCACGCTTGAGGTCATGTGACCAAATAGCGCCTCATCTTACTTCACTCCCAGCACCCCTTGCCCCATGCAAAGGCCAAGGCTTATGTTTCAGACCTGCCTCCTGCCCTGCTGCCTTTGCAGTTTGTCACAGCAGAGAGCCAAAAAGGCACTTATTGTTGATTGTTCCTTATAATTAGAGTGCCACATAACGGTGTGGGGAACATTTTCAGGCCGGTATCACCCTGTCCTTTTCTACTAAAAGCATTGTGGAGGTAATTAAAACGTATTGTGGTGTCCCCTCTGTTTTGAGAAGTGGGTGTTTTGGCTCTCAACTCAGGCCTGGGCTCTGAAACTTACAAGTTGTGGATGTTGCACAAGTCGTTTAACCTTTCTTCTCTTCTTTCCTCATCTCCAGAGGGAATATGCTAAGAGTAGCCACCTCATAGGGATGCTGTGTGGATTAAACAAAGTGAAGCACTCCCCATGGTGACTGGCACGTAGTAAATGCTCAGTTAAATAAATGCTACTCCATTTGCTATTACCAAGGCAGGTTGCAAAATGTTTGACTCAGGTAACCCTTTGAGAAGAGAGTCGTCTTTGCTTTTGAATTCTTTAAGACATTTGTACCTACAAAGGGGAGACTGCACTAAATGATCTGGGTAGGGTAGCTTTCAGCTCTGCTGTGTTCTCATCAGTTCTGACCACAGGGGTGAAGGAGGAAGGCTGCGCATAAGACATTGTGCAAGGTGCATGCAAGAGCTCCATAAATGGTACTTCTAGCTGTTGTTATCTGTTATCTTGATCATTAGGAAAGGAAAAGGCAAATGGGAAGAAAGTAAACAGATGCTCAGCACCTTCTATGTGATAGCACTCTGCTAGGTGTTTCTACATTTGTTACCTTCCATTCCCCTCACTCACCCAGCCCCCAGTGAGGTGAAATGGTGTTGCCTCCATTTTTCTGATGAAGTGATTTATTCAACGTCACACAGCAAATAAGTGAGCTGAAATTTGAACTCGGATCTGATTCCAGATTCCCGGAAAAACTGTAGAAATATGCAGTTCCTTGCCTGTCCCCTCCCCCTTACCCCACTTTCCAGCAGCTTCCCTCCTGTGGGCCGTGCTGAAGCTGGCATAAATTTCAAAACAGCTCATTCTTCCTGCTGGACAGGCCACAAGTAAGATGCATCATAATTAGCTGTGTCTGATTGCCCTCCTGTTGTCCTAAGCTGTAGCCCCTAATTGTATGGTGGTGAGGGTTTTGCTACGGCTAGTTTTATCATTTTGACAGTTTGCTAATAAAAGGTCATCACAGGTACAGAAGCACTCTGATTTACATATGGCAAGTAAAAGGGCTTATGGGAAGTCAGCATCCAAGGTAGGCCTGTGCATTTGTTGCTATTGACACCCATGCTGAGATTCCATAATTGACAAGAAATGCTATTATTAAGCAGGTCTGTTGAGATAATTAGCACTCAGGGTTGCATTTTTAATCGGACTTGAGTCAGATAATTTATCACAGCAGTAGCAAGCTGTCAGGGTCACACAATAAATACTCATTAAGGCTGAATAAAGATTAACTGCAGGCTGAAAGAAAATTAGGCGAAGTAGTAACATTTGATTTTAATATTTACAGTGCTAATTTGCACTGATATTGGCAAAAAGATCACATCCCCAAATTGAGCTCATTTATGAAGGAAAAAGGGAAGGGATGCTATGTTGAGATGCCTGAGTGGGAATCTTTTTAAAGCTTGAAATCTTATTCCTAATTGATTGCCAAAAATATTAATTTCGAAAGGCTCATTTGGTGCAGCTATTCTAGGAGCTTTGGTATCTCTGCATTAGTAAAATGACAACTCCAAACAGAAATTGTGCATCTTGAAGGCGTGCCTAATTTGTTAACATTAGTCAGATACTGCACTTTTAATTTAATGCAACTCACTTGTCTTTGTTCATACATGGGCAGTTTATGGCACTTCAAGTTAATTAAAAACACCTACCATTAAAACATGCAACATCTTTAAAGGAAAAAGGAAGTCATTTCAGGCCACTATATTACCAGGCCAAGACATTTATGTACTTGCTTATAATTTACAGTATACTAAAGATAGGGAACCAAGTGAGAACATTAGTATTTATGAATACAGTAAATTTTGTTGACAAAACCAGTGTAAAAGTTCAGATACAGAATCCACAGTAAATGTGCAGTTTGTTTATTGGACTGAGAGGCTTAGATTTTAATGGAAAATTAATTTTAAGGGCTGCTGCGCTGGTGTAAACCCCTTCTGATCGGAGACCCAAGACCCAGGCCGCCTCCACCCAAGTACGCCACCCACCCAAGATGCAGCAGTCAGTCGTTCTCGTGGACTGGTTGGCATCTCAGTGCTGTCATCAGACTTGAGGGATTTCAGCCAAATCAGCAGCATCATCAGAGAGCTTTTGTTCAATGCCTAATTGTGCCTGTAGTCGTTCTCTGTGAAACCATGCGGGCTGACTGCTGAGACGGCATCTGGGCATGTGTGTGTGCTGTGTATTGGAAATGCAGGCTGTAGAATAAGATGCATTACACTGAGGCAGAAGGACTGTGAGGTGAGTCTGGGTCACAGGGTGCATGAAGGAGCTAGAGTCAGGAGGAGCCAGGGTAAGGCTGATCACGGGGGGTGGCGGGGAGAGCACCCCCCACCACCACACCGCCGTGACCCGGCCCTGTGAAAGATAGGAGAGCAGAAAGGTGTCACCTTCTTCACCAGCCTTTCCAAGAAACTTATCTCAAAACTAAACATGAAGAGGCCTTTGTGTTCCAGGCTCACTGAGAATGGTACCGGGGGCATGCTCAGGGCTGGCGCAGCACTCTGTAGGGAGCAGGTGAGAGGAGGGCAGCAGGCAGGAGCCGGGTTTCTTCTTCCCAGAAGACAGGGAGCTGCTCACTGCTGTGCCGGGGCTCCTGGCCAACACCTGCAGTCTGGCCCTGCTGCCTGCCTCAGTCCTCAGAACCCTCCTCACTGGCCACGGCAGCCGTGGAATGGTTTTCAACCACTGTTAGCAAGCGGCAGGGTCACTTACATGCAAAGAGGAAAGCAGAGCCCCAGATTCCAATGTGTTCATCCCAATAAACATCATGTGTAGACCCCGTGATGAGAACCGAGGAGTGAAAACCATCTGAATTCTGAAGGGGTTTCTCATGAAGTGGAGAGACAGACCATGAGTGAGTGTGTTATAAAACCAGTCTCCCTATTGCGAGTGCCCAAGAAAAGCAACACATTAGGGTTGCTGATGGCAAGGTCGCATTTGGCTTGTGGCCTTACATACAGGGTCTTCCCCCTCTAGGAGGCCACAGCCATTTCTTCCCTACACTGGCTCATTGCTGAAGTTGCCATCCAAGGGGCATGGAGAAGGAAAAAAGCCTGAGGCCATGGATAACTGGCAGGTGGGACAGGGCACAGGGGCCATCTCACCCCAGGGACACACAGCTCATCCCCTTCTCTCCAGATCCAGGGGCCTCTAAAACTGGCTTGGGGCCCTCAGAGTATTGGGGGTATGGCAGGACCTGGGAACCACACCCTGCAAAGGAAGCAAGGCCTCCCTCCTGTCCTGTTGCCTCCCCTGCCACAGTGCTGCTTCTCAGCCTGCTACTCAGTCCTTCCCACCCCCAGCTGTGATTTCCACCTATTTTAGCTTAGCTGACTATCAGTTCATCTTTGCTGAGCTGTGAGATAACTAAAGGTTTTTTCTCCCAGGAGTTTTGATATTTTAAGCAGAGAATTCCTGATAACAAAACCATTCCTAAAGCTCCAAGTAATGAGCCTCTAACCATATCATTTTGAAGCAGGAAGGTTTGCTCTGTGCTCCGTAGACCTCATGGCCAGCTGCTACTTGGCTCTGCAACACAAGGTGTTTTAGAGAAATGGCCCAAGCTTCAGATTTCTTGCTAAACAGTGATGGTGGCAAAAGCGGCATCAGTCATGGAAACAAGTGAGAGCCATTCTCCCTGAAGGGGGCAGAAATCAGTATTTTCAGTTCTTTAAAACAGAATCATTATGGCCAGCCATGGTGGCTCACATTTGTAATTCCAGCACTTTGGGAGACCAAGGTGGGTAGATGGCTTGAACTCAGGAGTTTGAGACCAGCCTGGGCAACATGGCAAAACTCCATTTCTACAAAAAAAAAAAAAAAATAGCTATTCAGGAGGCTGAGGTGGGACAATTGCTTGAGCCTGGGAGGTGGAGGTTGCAGTGAGCCATAATCATGCCACTGCACTCCAGCCTGGGCAACAGAGCCAGACCGTATCTCAAAAAATCATTAAAAGCAACCAACCAACTATTAACAATAATGGCTGCTACTTACTGAATAGCTATTACCAGGCACCATTTGAAGCACTTTGCATTGTATTCATTCAATCCTCACAACTGTATTATTCCCATTTCACACATGAGGTAACTGAGGCACAGAGATAAGTACCTTGCCCAAGGCTGTAGCACCAGTGAGGTGTGAAGCTGAGTTTAATATGCCCTGGACCTCCATGAAATCGCTACAGGACAAAGAGCTAGTCAATAGATGAATGGGCCAGGACAGAGAAACAGATTTTCAGAGGATTGTAACATAGACACAGATGCTTTGGTGTTTTGTTTTTGTTGTTTTGTTTTTCCCAGGGAAGAGGTAATGTTGGAAAGTTAAGAACAAAACAAACCATGCTCCTGGATACAATATAACCTAAGGATTCTAAAGAGAAGAGGACATAAAATAGCGGGGCTCATTTGAGGATGGATGTTACCATTCATTTCAATAGATAATCATGAAACTTGGAAGAACCTTTCAAACATAGAGATTGGGTCAGGTTGTGAAATTGTTAAGAATTTGACCATGAAAGTGTTTGTGATAGAAAAAGAAAAATGGAAGTAACCAAAATATTCTTCAGTTTGAGATTGGTTCAGTAAATTGAGTGTATCCATCCTGTTTAAAACCATGAGGTAGATCTATATGTACTGACCTGAAAAGATGTCCAAGATCTATTGCTAAGTTTAAGAAGAAAAAAAAGTTGCTAAAGAAAATGCACCAAAAAATGCAATCCGGAGTATTTCCCAATAACTGACAGTGGCTGTTGGGATAGGACTGTAAGAATTTCCCTTTTTTACAGTATCAGTAATCCTGTGATGTTTGCATTTTTATGGAAAGGTATGTTGCTTTTGAATTCCAAAGAAAGAGATAGAAAACAGGTTTAAATGGATAGTTCTATTGACTCAGGTATAAGATTTCCTAATGGAATATAAAGCTTTTTCATAGCATATTGATTCTGTTGTTATACATCCATCCATAAAACCAAGAGGGAACACTGATTGCTTAATTTTTTTTCTTGTTTATAAGCAGTAAACCTATTCTACAGGTTTTTGAGTGTTTTTGAGTCAATAATTATTTATTTTTCAATTAGCACATATGCTCTTAAAGGAGAGGATCATATTTTGGTTATCTATAAGCAAACCAGAATAAGAGGATGTCATGGGAACATCCTAAAGGCAAAAGTTCAACAATACTAATGGCAACCGCCTCTATTGAGTGATTGCTATGTACTTCATTTAATCCTCACAACAGCCTGATGGAGGAGCTATTCATACTGGTCACCATTTTCCATTAAAGAAAATAGGCAGAGCTAGGGTAAAGAATGTGCACAGAGCTAGTAAGTGGTAGGGGGAGGTTTCAGACCCTGTATATGAGTTAGGCTTGTGGAGTCCTTTTTAAACATTAAGCCTATGTGCTTGCTTGAGGCGTAAATGTTGTGGACATAAGAGCTCTCTTCATAATGCACAAATCTCTTTGGTTTGTAAGATATATACCAAGAAAGGAAATTTGGCAAGGCTTTGACAACTCTAGTTGACACCAAGCAATAGAAGTGCATGAGAAAAAACCTAACACTGTTGGCAAAGCCTCACAAGAAAATCTAAGGATGAGTACAATGCTTATTTAGAGAAACAAATAGAGCAAAACTAAACATTAAAACTGTAAAGCCCAAGCATCTATTTAACTTGCTGTGTAATGGGATACTTAAACTTAGAGTCAGCAAGCATGTCTGTGATTTCAAATATTTGGCTATGATTAAAGCAGGAAAGGGTATAAAAATATGTTTAGCTGGAGCATGGAGCTCATTCTGGAGGGGATAATAAACAGGGAATCTTTGACAACAGCAAATAAATCAGAACATGTAAATAGAAAGTCTGGCCTTACGAGCCGTTTTATGCCATCGACAGGCAGGATAGATAATCAGGATAGACATGGGAGAGCATTTTAATCTTTACTACCACCATCTCATGTCAAAGTAAACAAATGGACAAAATAAAGCTGAAAGCTTATGTACTCTTTCAGGAATACTTTGTCCCTGAGTTTGTGCATTGGATATAACCATGTAGCATGCAGAGAGTGTGTGCTGAGCTTACCTTAGAGAGACTGCATAGATGTGTAAATAAAAAATAAAAGATTATTGGGTAGCAGTAAGGCCACATTTTTATTGTAGCATTTACACTATGTCCACTGCACTCACAAAGAAACTCACTAATCCAGTTGAAGCATGTTGGTATAGACACGTATGAGGAAGAGAGTTGGCCAGTCTGGATTCCACTGGCAGCTGTAGTAGGCATGTTGTGGAAGACCATGCTAGATGAAACTGTTAAAATAAGTGGTGGTGGTACTTCTGGTCACCAGAGAAAGCATGTCCTCTTGGCAAGCATGTATTTTTTCACACTTAGTTTTTCTTCCAGGCTCAGCCTGACTTCTCATTCTTTGTGTCATCTCTCTTTTCCCTAAAGTATTCCCTAAAGTAAAGGGGAAGAAAAAAATCTTTTCTTGTTCTTTAACAACATTTTTAGGAAAAAGAAATGAAGAATGATGGTTGTTGCTTTAACAATAGCGTTTCTACTTGCAGCTGTTCTTGTTTCGAACTTCCCAGGGAGGTGGCATGGAAAGCGGAACCAGGGCTGGGACTAGGGCAAGGCGCACGAGGTACTGGGAGTGAGCACCCTCTTCACTGGGGCACTCCAAGTACCTCACTCCTCACCCTAGTCCTGGCCCTGCATGGAACTTTGGGCGACCCAGCTCCTGGTCCCACTTCTGCTGCTG
Source organism: Homo sapiens (assembly GCF_000001405.40). Classification (NCBI taxonomy): domain Eukaryota; kingdom Metazoa; phylum Chordata; class Mammalia; order Primates; family Hominidae; genus Homo; species Homo sapiens. The sequence continues at coordinate 27,935,875 of NC_000007.14, read as the reverse complement.
TGTGACCTCACCAACTTGTCATTGTTTCCCCCTTCAAAATTGGGTAGAAGAGATTTGCAAACTACAGGATCACAGAGGCTGTGCTTGGTTTATTTTTGTATGTAAACAATACCTTCTATTTTGCTGGGGGCTAGCAATTGAGAACTATTCAACTGAATGTAACAGCTTTGTAGATATAATTCACATACCATACATTTCACATATTTAAGTATATAATTCATTGGTTTTAGTATATTCACAGCACTGTGCAGCCATCAATACAACCTAGTTTTAGAATATTTTTGTCATCTCTCAAACCACGTACACATTAGTTGTCACTGCCCATTTCCCCACTTTCCCAGCTCCTGGAAACCACTAATCTACTTTACACCTTTATAGATTTGCCTATTCTGGATTTCATACACGTGGAATCATATGTGACCTAAAGTGTCTGGCTGCTTTCATTTAGCACGACATTTTCAGGGTTCATCCATGTTATCACATATGTCAGTACTTTGTTTTTATTGCCAAAGAATGTTCTTGTGTATGAATATGGCATATTTTGTTTATTAATTTCTCACTCGAGGTACAGTTGCATTTTGAGGATCCGCCAACTATTTTCCAAAGCAGCTGCACCGTTTAACATTCCCACCAACAATAGGTGACGATTCCAATTTCTCCACATCCTCACCAACACTTATTATTGTCTGTTTGATTATAACCATTCCAGCAGGTGTGAAGTGGAATCTCGTTGCGATTTTGATTTGCATTTCTCAAATGACTAATAATGTTGAGCATCTTTTCAAATGCTTATTGGCATTTGTATATCTTCTTTGGAGAAATAACTATTCAAATCCTTTGCCATTATTTAATTGGATTATTTATGTTTTTATTGTTGAGTTGTAAGAGTTCTTTTTATATTCTGGATACAAGTTCATTATCAGATATAAAATTTGCAAATATGTTCTCCTATTCTGTGGGTTGTCTTCACTTACTTGACGATATCATTTGCAACACTAAAGTTTTAGTTTTAACGAAGTCTAATTATCTAGTTTTTTCTTTTGTCACTTGTGCTTTTGGTGTCATATCTAAAGAACCATTGCCTAACCCAAAGTAAGGAGGATTTATTCCTGTGTTTTCTTCTAAGAGTTTTATATATAGTTTTAGCTCTTACATTTACATTTAGGTCTGTGATTGTCTTGGTGTATGAGTTCATTCAACTGAATTTTGAACCTTGCAAAATGATCCTTTCTGTAAATTGGATTGATTTCCGCCCCCCACCCGATGGGATATGGAGCCAAATATAAGTGCTCCAGAGGCTACCGCCAAGGTGTACCATCTGTCAAACTGCATTTATCATAACAATCTGGTACACTGTAATATATATGTTTTATATATAATATATATGGGGTGTGTGTGTGTGTGTGTGTATGTATGGTAAAATGAAAAATCCTCACTGGTTTTCAACCTTCATTTAGTTTTTATTGCTATTGAAATGCCCTTTAGGTGGTGCTATTGCATTTTCTCTCTTTTTCTTCCTTTTGGCTTTAAAAATCAGAGGGTTTACATCTTGCTTTGGTAAACCACGTAATTTACTAGAGAAAAGCCTTTCACCAAAGTAGAAAACTAAAATAACTGCATTTAGATCACATTTACCTGATATGGCTTCTTCAGTTGAAATTCTTGAAGACATTATCCAATGAGTATCCTTCTCCAACTGGGTTATTTTGAATGTGCACCCTGACTAACAAATGAGCATACTGGCTTCTGAGAACTGGTTGCTCAACTGTAAGATCTCCATGTGGAATTAATGATCATTTCCAGCTCATACTCTTTCAATTTCCATGCGGCTAATGAAAAAGTAAAACTTTCAAGTGGTTGACTTCCTAAATGGAAGTGCATTCTTTATGTTGGCTGTTTGCAAAATGCCTCTTCTGTTAAGAAACCTGTGTACAGTTTTTACATCTCATTTCCTGGATTATCTTTCCTGTGCCAACTCACAGTGTGGGACATTAGGAAATGGTATGCCTTTTTTTTAACCACTTAAAAAATTCCCAGGAAGGTTTTTTTCCACTCCAACCGCCTTCCCATTATGTTCTGCAGTCTGCCAAGCTTGCCAGAACTCAGCAGGTAGCCCACATGGTATGCATGTCTGTGTGAGAAAGCTCCCCTGATGTGGACAAGATGTTAGTTGTAAAATGAAGCCAACATCTTGTCCACAAGTGTGCAAAAATACAGTATATCCACAAGCAACAAGGCCTTAAAGAATATTTAGCCAAATATGGCTTACTAAAATTACTCTGTTGTTGTAAATGTGATTCAAAGATCAAAACTGCTAAATCTAGAGAAGAAAATCTATAGCCAAACAACCTGTTTTGTTGGCACCTTTTCAAAAACACAAAACATAGTAATATTTATGTGTGTTTTTTGTAATAAACTGGAGAGTCCCAAAGGAGGGCCTAGGAAGGATTTTACTGTAGACTATTTCCTACTGCAGAAGCAGCTCTGCTCATTTTCTAGACCTTATATTTCAGTCAGTTCTTACCCTCTCCATGCTTGGAGTATTATTTTGGGAAAATCTCTGCTTAGCAGTTATTGGTCAGCTAGTGATTGTTTGCTATTTTTGAATTCTCCATCTGTATTCAAAATGCTCATATCACATCATATATCCATTTAGAATATAGATTGAATGTTGTCTTTATTAAACCCTCTACCCCTAATTTCAGAGCATTATTTTAAAAATGTTTAATCATCTTTGTCCTGCTTTTACCAGGGACATCTATACATCACTGAGCCCATTTTCCTCCGTTGGAAAATTGAATTAATAATACCCATTCCACAGAGCTGTTTATAATGTCCATCCCAGTAACATTTGTAAAGCATCTCCTGGCCTGCCTTTATGCTCAGGGAATGACAGCCATCGTTACCAGATCTTGTATATCATCTTTACACATGTCTGGTGCAGCCCTTTCGTATTTATACGCAATATCAAAAACATCCTAAAGAAGCATAAAAAAATTATAAGTATGAAAAAGTATGTAAGCCTTAAGGCTAGAAGAAAAGAATCATTGTTTTTCAGTAGCCTATCCAGTCACCACACACGTAAATAGTTCTAAATCTCTTCAGCTTATAGGTTTGCAGGAGTGTGAGTGAGGAGTCTGTTGAATATCATCACCAAGTTCATTTTCACATCTTGAAAGACTTTGTTTTTTGTCTTCAGTCTCGGTTTACTTCTAGCTGTCGTTATTTAAATAAAAGATTAGTTTGAAGTAAATGGATATACATTAAAATGGTTTGGGATAAACAATGTGTAACTAAAACCTTCATTTAAAATCTTTCTTTTTAAAAGTCTGTATTTCATGTTGCGAATCATAAATTTATTTATTGTTTCCAGCTGATTGAGAGCACAAGATGCACCCTCTCTTCCACCTGCACCTAGATTATGGATGACTGTGTCTGTGGCTTTACATACCAACAGTCCTCATAAAGTATTACATTATGATGTGGGAGCACCTATCAAACACCAATATTTTTCTCAACTGTGACAGGCTATAGAGCCAAGATTATGCTACTTCAAACAGCATTCTCATTATACATGGATTTACACACAACACATGCCTCCTTTCATCCCCAGTTGGACTTGAGAACAGTTGGGGGAAATGTCTTAGGTAACTTACTGCGTTAGTCCTATCCAACTCCAGATGACCTTCCCAAACCTTGGGTTTCTCTTTCTTTCCTTTCTCACTCTCCATACACATAAAACTCTTCTCTGTTTTTACCCGCTTTTCCTTTGGCTTATTTCTCCAGTCCCCCAAACCTTGTTTTTAAAAAAATTAAAATAGCCCACGCTATTAGTTTATCAAACGAGTTCCTGCTCAGGACTGAGCCCATGATGAACCAGGGAGAATTCTTTCCAAATACATTCAAGAAGTCACCCAAACCTGATTTTTTTAATTTTTTTATTTTTTATTTATTTATTTTTTCGAGACAGGGTCTCACTTTGTCACTTAGGCTGGAGTGCAGTGGTGCGATCTTGGCTCACTGCAACCTCTACCTCCCAGGTTCAAGCAGTTCTCCCAGGTTCAAGCAATTCTCCCAGGTTCCAGCACGTCTCCCAGGTTCAAGCAATTCTCCCCGGTTCAAGCAGTTCTCCCAGGTTCAAGCAATTCTCCTGCCTCAGCCTCCCGAGTAGCTGGGATTACAGGTGTGCACCAACACGCCCAGCTAATTTTTTTGTATTTTTAGTAGAGACGGGGTTTCACCATATTGGCCAGGCTGGTCTCAAACTCCTGACCCTCAGGTGATCTGCCTGCCTCAGCCTCCCAAAGTGCTGGGATTACAGGCATGAGCCACCACGCCCAGCCTCCAAACCTGATTTTTGCCATCATGTGCAAACACACACATTGCTGTGCCAAGGTATCCCAAATTCCCACATGCAGAGTTTATTCTTGTAATGTAATAGTCCTGTGTTTTTTGTTTTGTTATGTTTTGTTTTTTTAGGATACAGCTTTTAAAGACTGGTTTTGTAATTCAACAGTTAGGTTCCTCCACACCAGCAACTGGCAAACTATGACTTGTGAGCCAAATCTGGCCCTCCACCTGTTTTTGTAAATAAAGTTTTATTGAAACACAGACATATTCATTTATGTATGAATTGTCTATGGTTGCTTTCACACTGTCATAAGAGTGAAGTCATTGCAGCAGAAATACTCTGGCCCACAAAGCCTAAAATATTTCCTGTCTGACCCTTTACAGAAAGTTTGCTAACCCATGCTCTACATGTAATCTCATTGTAGATGGCCTTCTGGAAGGCAAAGATGTAATTACTGCACTGAGAAATTCTCCTTTGCCACAAATTTACAGAAAGGACTTGGCCAAGTCATTTAATCTACTTAGATTTAGTTTCACATTCAGTAAAGATGTGATTTTTAACACTGGCTTTTTTTCTGAGAGCAAAGTGATGGGAAAACTTCAATTACTGGTCATATAATACCACTGTCCTGCTGATGGCTGTGTTATATTTAGCATATTGTTTTGTCAACTTATCTCTTCCTTTTTTTTTTAAAAAAAATGGCTGTCTATAGGATAAAATTATTTGGAATATTTGGGCTATAGTGGTAAGATATAAATATAGTTTCTTAAAAGAATGCAAAATTTAGATTATATGAACATTTTCTTAGTGGTAGAGCAAAAACCTACAATTTTGAGTTTTTATGAAAGTGTCTAAAAATAACTGAACAGTTTTTTCATGAAGAAAAGTTTAGTCTTTCCTTTTTAAAAAATATATCACAAAACCAATAAAACTATCAAAAAGTGAACATACTTGTGTTGTATTGCCTTTTCGTATGCTGTAAATGTGCCTGTTTTCATTAACCTCAGTGTGACCACTTGAAATGTGTTCTTCTTGGGAGAAAAGGACAAGGTTGGAATGTTCCAGAGATACTGTCAGGGAAAACAGTGGTCAGGTTTGCAATAACATTTTCTCATCTTGTTCTTCGTAGCCATTTTCTTTATATTTTCATGTAAGATACATTTTAGTATTGTAATAACTGTGTTCTGATCAAAAAGTAATATATGTTCATTATAGAAAATGCAGAAAATTGGCCGGGCACGGTGGCTCATGCCTGTAATCCCAGTACTTTGGGAGGCCAAGGCGGGCGGATCATGAGGTCAGGAGATTGAGACCATCCTGGCTAACACAGTGAAACCCTGTCTCTACTAAAAATACAAAAAATTAGCCGAGCGTGGTGGCAGGTGCCTGTAATCCCAGCTACTCGGGGGGCTGAGGCAGGAGAATGGTGTGAACCCGGGAGGCAGAGCTTGCAGTGAGCCGAGATCGCACCACTGGACTCCAGCCTGGGCGACAGAGCAAGACTCCGTCTCAAAAAGAAAGAAAGAAAGAGAGAGAGAGAGAGAGGGAGGGAGGGAGAGAGGGGGAGAGAGAGAGAGAGAGAGAGAGAATGCAGAAAATATGGAGGAAGGGATAGAGAAGGAAATAAATTCTCCCAAAATTTTGCTCCCCAGAGATAACCACTGTTGATATTTTGGGGTATATCTTTCTAGGCTTTTTTCCCACATATATTACATGCATTTTTAAAAATTGCTATTATACTGTCTTAGGAATAATAATACTGCCATTTATTATTTGGCTTCACTCTGCGCTTTGCAACAGCTTAATCACTTAATCCTGACAGCATCCCTCATGTACAGATGGGATAAACCTCATTTTACCCATGAGAAATTTCACCCAAGAGGTTAAGTCTTTTGCCCAAAGTCACACAGCTCATGCCTAAACTCACATTCTTAGGTACTGTATGTACTCTTCTACCTACAAACTTCTGCTTACAGTCAATAAGCTAAAGTGCTTGTAACTGGCAAACTAAGTAACTTCTTTGTGGTTAAGGTACTATTTAGTAAAAGTGGTTCTTATACCCTGTAGTGAAGGTTTTCATTGAAGATTCCAGGCTGACCCTCACTTCATTCTGTGAGCCTGGATCTCCTCCACAGGTCTGCTGGACACACTCCCTGGCCTGCTGGCCACCAGATCTTTCAGGGTGGCCGCCACTTCTGCTCCCTCCCCCTGCTGGCCACAGCACCCGATATGCTGTGGGCATGCCACAGGCCACGGGGCAATGCTGCCTGCCCACTGGAGCCACCCTACCCTAAATCACAGGGAAATATTTTAACCACTAAATAAATCAGAAACCAGAATATAGCAGCTCCTCTAAAGGAGCTGGCTCCTAGAAGACTGCTTTATTTATTAGTTTTGAAGAGGAGTCCAGAGGGATAAGTTGCTTAGAATACTTTCAGTTGCAAGAAAACTGAGTTGCCAGTTTAAATCAAATCTTGAACGTGCCCCTCTTGCCCAGGTTAGATTTTGAGCCTGTAGGTGAGCATCGTCCATGCCCTTCCTGTCACCAACTGCCATGTCCTCTGTTTTTAACTTTTAAGTCCAGGGGTACATATTTTCATATGTACATATGCAGATTTGCTACATAGGTAAAGTGTCATGGGGGTTTGTTGTACAAATTGTTTCATCGTCCAGGTACTAAGCCTAACATCCATTAATTATTTTTCCTGATCCTCTCCCTCCTTCCACCCTCCGCCCTCTGACAGGCCCCAGTGTGTGTTATTCCCCTGTATGTGTCCATGTGTTCTCATCATTTAGCTCCCACTTATGAGTGAGAACACGCAGTATTTGGTTTTATGTTCATGCGTTACTTTGCTGAAGATAATGGCCTCCAGCTCCATCCATGTGCTTGCTCTGTTAGAAGGCTGTAACTCAAAAATGTTTAAGAAGGGTACTTGCACAATACCTAAGATGGGCACTAGCAAAGAACAAAACAAAGAATTAGTGTCCTTTAGAGCATACTATATCAGAACTTAACAAAAGCAAGCTTTTAAGAATTGTGTTTTCTTCTTTGTTAGAAGGCAAATCTAAGATTGACTGCGACATCCCAGTCGTAAAAGGCCTTGCCTGCAATTGGCTTTCCATTGGGAAACCCAATAAAAATTTGTTAATGCAATGTGATTCAAAATTACTATGAAAGTTAAGAATAATAAAGCTGAACCTAAATAAAGTGCTATTAAATGTGTTTATATCTGTATTAGGCTTAAGCTGCACTGGCAATGAAAAGTTTCTACTTTTCATTGTTCAACAGTTTCAAATGTACCAGAAAATGCTGGCCAAAGACTATTGCCTAACTGAAACCAGATAGGCCCAGACTTCCAAAAGCTATGAGAAGAAAATAAATCCCTCTGTTCAAAATAATCTGAGCATTTTAAGTATAGCCATCACATACCATTTGGCACAATTTAGTACAAGTCTCTGTTGCTTTTCAGTAAATATATAATTAAATAAATACAAATGAACTATTCAAATAAAACACAAACATGTTGACGTAAAGTTATATGACCTCATGTTGCATGTGGGCCTTGTAGATTCAATTATTATTTCATTTTATCAAGTACATGTAAAATGAGACGTTTTCATCATAGGGTTCCTGAAAATTGATTTGGGGAAGAAATTCTTGCCTCTAGAATTTGCTCTGACCTTCTTGTAGGATACTAATTAGCATTTGGGGTGATTTAAAGGGTGCTGAGAACTCCTTACCCAAACAGCATTACCATATCTACCATTATGAATTATTTTTTTGGTAACTTCTCTTCATAGTTCTTTTTTATATTTTTATATTGCAATATAAAAAACATCTCTTGTGAGATGTTATTCAAATGAGAAATATAGCTTGATGATTCTATGAGGCCCTTGCCCACAAAGGCTTATAGTTTACTTTAAAAAGCAGAGGGAGGCATTAAAATCTCACTACTTGTTAAATACTATATACCAGACACAACTATAAGTACTTTATAGTTATTATATGATTTAATGCATACAACAACACTATAAGGAAGATACTATTATCCTCATTTTACAGATGAAGATACTAAGGCACAGAGATGTTGAGAAACTTGTCCATTGTCACAGAGAGTAGATGATCAAGCTGGGATTCAAATCACAGCAGAAAGGTTTCGCAGCCCATCCTCTTAATGTTCCTAAGTGACCTTCCCAATAGTGAGAGTTTATTTGTTCATTTCTTTAGTAAATATTATAAATAGAAGTGCAGGGAAGAAATTGGGATGGGGGCTCCACAGGGGACTCCCAGCTGAGCACGAGAGTGCTGGAGCCACTGCCTCTGGGAATCCTGGGAAACTCTGAAGGGGGAGACAGAGCAGCTCCTGGATCTCCTGTGCATCCTCGGCTACTCAGTTACTCCCTTCTCCCTGTTCCTCAACTTCTAGAAGATAACAGAATCAGTTTGCAGAAAAAATTCACCCCATTCTTTTGCCCCTGGCAACACCATGAAGATGGAAGGGAGGAGTATGTCTGTCCATACAAATGAAGAACTCCCGGGGAGATGTTCTGTCCCCTGAGAATCTACAGTGATGTGGTCTAATCCCCTAAAGAAGAGGGCCAGGCTGCTGTTGTCATGATATCAATGCTGTCAATACATACCTGCTTCTAGAAACCTTACCTCTTTGTTGCCTCCTGCCACTACATTTGGACTCTGCCATACCTCCAATCCCCAACATGGAAGGAACTGGGAAGAGCCCCAGCCTGAGAGGATTCTTGAACTCCTCGTTCAAAAGAAGTGCTGTCTGTCAGCCATTCAGTGCCTCCATTCCTCAGTGTCCTTGTCTGTAAAATGAGTCTTGTAGTATTCTTTTTGTCTACATCACTGACTTTGTTGTGAGATTCACACAACATTTGTATTGACAAATATTTGTGGAGTGTGTTCATACGTTGAAGGCAATGAATGAGAGATGACAAAATAGGCTAGAGTGCTGATATGGTGACTTTTTCCAATTAGTAGAGCACCTGTATGTTCTTAGAAGAAAGTCTGATGTCTTCTTGACATGCACAAATTACCCAAGAACCCAGTGGTTTGCTCAGAGTCAAAAAGGTCAGTCTTACTTTATAGATGTTAAGGAAAAAGTGCGAGCCAGGACCTGAATGGCTCTTTTTCACCATCTCCCTTGTACAGTGTTGCTGTTGAAGGTATGTCCTGCCAGTTCCAAGGATTAGCTGCTATTTGGGGGGTTTGCAGGTCCATTTATGGCTCACACCATGGTAGATCCTTATGTGGGCCTCTCTTCACAGCTTTGTTTCATAATTGTACTCTCAGCCAAGATTTCCCCAAACCCAAGTACTGTGTCCAGGAAGATGGTTACAAAGGAGTTTCTAACTCATCATATACTCTTCCCAAACCAGCCTTCCTCTCCATCTTGAGCCTGTCCTTAAGATGTCCTGTCTGTCTTGAGCCTGTCCACACTCTGCCTGCCCTAATGATAACATCACTCCCCTTTGGGGACTCCCTTATCATTCATGCAGAGTGGTTCACTTCCTTCCAAGTATTCAGCTCTGCATACCACAGGGGACTCTCCAGGCTAGCCATGGTGAGGTTTCTAAGGTTTTTAGTACACCTTTCTTTGTAACTACGGAGGTATCATTCAAGTGGCTTCCCAGAAGAAATGTGATCTGCATCCAGGTGACCTCAATAGATTCCTAGTTGTAGGAGGGGCTGCCATGATTTTTAAGAACTCCTCCGATGGGTGTTTTGCTTACTCTGCAAAAGACACATAATACACAACATCCAAATGAATATTGGCCTTGGGCTGGGCACATGGCTCATGCCTGTAATTCCAGCACTTTGGGAGGCTGAGGCGAGAGGATCCCTTGACGCTGGGAGTTCGAGACCAGGCTGGGCAACATAGCAAGAGCCTGTATCTAGAAAAAAATTAAAAATAAAATGAGTGAGGCACGGTGACCCATGCCTGTAGTCCCAGCTACTTGTGAGGACGAGGTGGGAGAATCACTTGAGCCCAAGAGTTAGAGGCTGCAATGAGCTATGACTGCCACTGCACTCCAGTCTGGGCAACAGGACGAGACCCTGTCTCTAGAGAAATAAAATAAATGAATGTTGTCTTTTTAAAAAGTACCACACTGGGGGATGTTTACCTGACCTGTTTCAATGACTCTACCATTGCTCAAAATATGTTTTCAGCTGCTTTTTTGGCATGGCCTTCAAAGATAATTTCAAATCTCATGAAAGGCTGAGATTCTATTTAGCTTCACCTTATTTGTTTTGGGTAAGTTTTTGCTGTGTGGTTTTTACTTTAAGGGGTTCTGGGAGCTGAATTACCTACATTATTCTCCAAACTTGACTACAAATGGCCTTTGGCTCCTCAGTGATAGTTACCACCCTTAGTGATCTTCCATAGAAGTCCAGGTATTTTCCAAAGGTGTTTTCAATAGGAAGTCCAAAATGTTTTTGAGTAATAAAATGGCAGTGCAGTAGAGTAAGTACATATATCCTCCTAAGATGGCAGCATTAAAGGGAATAACCCTATTTTTAAAAATATATGTCTGGCATTTGTCTTTAGCTAGATTGTAGTCAGTCACTGTGTGTTGGTAAAGCACTGTGTTCACGATGGATGTCATGTTGTGTTCCAAGGGATGCTAGACTTGTGCTTACTTACAGAGAAACTAACTCACCATTGTCTTAGCAGAAAACAAATTAAAGCAGCTTTATGCGGATTTGCCCAGAGAATGCACACATTACCTTACTGGATTCATAAAAATGAGAAGAAAGTTTTAATGGCATTCATTTTTCTAGGTACCTTCATATGACAGCAAATTGAAATAGCATTAGCTGCCTTCTTGCTGGCTTCAAATTACAGAATGACTCAGTTGTCTAAATAATCATTTTAAAAAATCAGCCCCTTTTCTGACTTTCCCATGAGAAGCAGCTTTAGAAAAATGAAAATATACTTCATGGGTACTAATTCATTTTCTCTTTCACTTAACTTTGTGAGAGATTGTGAAAAGTTTTTATGCTCTTATTATAGTGAACAAAAATTGTATGAAATGTTCAGTTTCTGAAATACCTAATTGTCAGAGCATTTCTGAATTTGGCTGCAGACAAATGGTCAACATTGTCCTTAAGGGCCTATTAAGATTGTGAGCTGGGCACACTGGCTCACGCCTGTAATCGCAGCACTTTAGGAGGCCGAGGCGGGTGGATCATGAGGTCAGGAGTTCAAGAGCAGCCTGGCCAAGATGGTGAAACACCATCTCTACTAAAAATACAAAAATCAGCCGGGCATGGTGGCGGGCGCCTGTAATTCCAGCTGCTCGGGAGGCTGAAGCAGAGAATTGCTTGAACAAGGGAGACAGAGTTTGTAGTGAGCCGAGATGGCGCCACTGCACTCCAGCCTGGGCGACAGAGCAAGACTCGGTCTCAAAAGATTGTGATACAGCTGCCAGAGGAGAAAATGATCATGAAAACTGTCCCACCATTTTCAGTCCCCGTCCCCATCCCACAAGAATACAGTAAAGGTGGCATTTCTTGTGCCCAAGTATAAGGCCCACTCATAATTTGTGAGTGAACGTTAAACAACACTTCATACTCAAACTAATTCATTTCTGTTTCTTCCATTAACCCTGGACAAGCCCATCCCTGCCAGATGGGTTGCATTTTACATCTCCCTCAGTCTCATAGTGCTCAAAAATTGGTTCAGACCTTTCTCAGGTTTAAGGTTAGCCACTAAATCATGTCACTGTGGTGTTAATTTCCTTCCCTGTGCTGACGATATGCAAATACGTTTGGCCTAATCCTCATCACCTGTCCTCTCCTAGTGTGCCAAGTCTGCAAGCAGGCGTTGGTGGGACAGGGCTGGGGGGCTGCAGGGGGAATGGAGCAAGAGGAATGACTGTAAATGTTGGCGGCGCCAGCCCAGCCATGCTCCCATCCGTTGGCAGCCCAACATCTGCTGGGAAGTGTGCAGTTCCATCCAGTCAGCCACAGCCTCCCAGTAGGAGATAAGCCGGATGAAGGAGGCTGAGTCTGGCAGCGGATTCCAGGCCTGATAGAATAATGTCTGACATTCAACTCTGCAAAGTTGGGATAGAGTGTGTGGAGACGATCCCACAGGAGCCACCAGCTGGCCTGTTTTAACTTTGGCTGTTGACAGTTCATGCCGAGAGCACTTGTTTCTGAATTCAACAAATCTGGAAACTCGACGTTTTAATTTCGGGTTTTCGTTTGGAAGAGTCATTTTACTGGAACCCAAACCCTTGCAGACATTACCCTAAGGACATGCTGGTCTTGTCTATACCACTGAGTAGAGAAGACTAGAAAAACCTCCAACACCAAATGGCTGTCCTTGGGAAAAGCAGCAGTCAGTTATGCTAAACAACCACAGAAGGCATGGTCTTAGAATGTCACCAGAGTCCCCAGGGAGCTGCTGAGGCTCATCTGGAGACTGCCGCCAACAACCACAGCCTGGGTTCTTGCCTCCAGACCACGGCCTCCTCATAACTCCCTTCGGGTCCTTAAAGAGACCCTGTTAAATGATTAAAATGCTGTGGAAGGAAATTTTAACATATGCAATATCTGATTCTTTTCATCATCATATCACTTCCCATTTCTTCCACTTATCCTGGCTTCTAGGCGAATGTTGATCATAATGTTTTACTGCCAGGGTGAGGAACTTTGAGGAGACGGCTCTGGCACCTCTGTGAGTTGTTAGAAGCATGTATCTCTGGGTGCTCCAGGAGGTTTATGAGTTACCTGGCACAGATTAAACTCAATAAAAGGAAATATTTTGGTCAAATGCTTCCTCTTTTAAATTAATACTCTCTTGACTATTATGCAAAAAAAAACCCATTATTAAAAGCTGTTAGTACTTTTGCTGACTTGAAAATATTAGGAAAAATTTTCCTATTAAAAGTTATTTTGCTGACTTTAAGTTATTTGGTTATTTTGCTGACTTTAAGAATATTTTATAAGGCCTGGCGCGGTGGGTCATGCCTGTAGTCCTAGCACTTTGGGAGGCCGAGGCGGGCGGATTGCCTGAGCTCAGGAGTTCGAGACCAGCCTGGGCAACACCGTGAAACCCCGTCTCTACTAAAATACAAAAAATTAGCCAGACATGGTGGTGTGAGCCTGTAGTCCAGTCCAGCTACTCAGGAGGCTGAGGCAGGAGAATTGCTTGAACCTGGGATGCAGAGGTTGCAGTGAGCTGAGATCGTGCCACTGCACTCCAGCCTGGGCGACTGAGTGAGACTCCGTCTCCAACAAAAAAAGAATACTTTATAACCAACATAAAATGTGGTTCGAAAAGTACCATCTAAATGAAAATCAGACCTTATTTATTTGTTCTGTTTGTCTTCAATGCACTTCCTCATTTTTATCTTTATGTATTTCTTTCTGTAATGATTTATATCCATTTCATCCAAAAAGTTTAAAACACAATATAAAATGCCCTGTAAAAATTTATACTAAGTTCCCTAAAACACTTAAGAAATTCACTGAATTTTTCTAGGCATACACTTCATTCATTCGAATGAAAACTTGGCTGAGGAAATCATAGAGTTCGTATAACTGACTTCTAATTTCTTCTTCCTTATACCTAGGCTTCTAAAGCCCAGGTGTGATATAAATTCTTTTTTTAAAAAAATACTTTTCTATTTTTGTAGAGACAGGATCTCACTACATGGCTGATCTTGAACTCCTGGTCTCGAGCAGTCCTACCACCTCGGACTCCCAAAGCACTGGGATTGCAGGCTTGAGCCACCATGCCTGGCCAGAAATTGCATTTTTAAGTGAACAGTTCAGAGCCCTGTATTTTTCATGGATTATTTTAAGAATTACGATGATGATGAAGATGATATAATCCCTAACACTGCAACCCATTATGAAGTTACCAGGGGCCCTCCAAAATTTTGCTATCAAGGCAACATCCCTTAAACAAGTTAACAGAGATGCTCTTTTTCAGTGAGTCTTCTGGAAGAATCGATGCCAGTCTGCCCTTATGACAAACATATTTCTTAATGAGATCTGATTTACGAAGTTTTGACAATTATGCTTTTCCCCTCTCTTACTGCCACTTTAAGAAAAATCATGCTGGTAAGCTACACTACAAAACTTCTGGCCTGCAGAGGGCTCTATAATACCATATTTTCCTAGACAACACTTGTAAAAAGGAAAAAAAAAAAAAAAGATACTTGCTGGAAGGGGGAAGGGGAAGCCCAGAGGCTTTATAATGCTTCCAGCAGGCAGTCTGGTTGCAGTCTGGTAAACAGACTAGGAATTGTGGGCAAAGCCCTTTTCCTTGAGTTTTCCACCAACCATGAGATCAGATGACTCTGTCCGGACTCATTACTTTAATAGCCTACAGCTAGTTCACATAGCAGCAGGAGTCCACCAAAAAGGCATTTAATTATTGAAACTAAAACTGGTACTTGTAACTGCCGGTTAGTAGTAGTCAGATTTTTTCAGTATTTCAAGTAATTTATAAAGCGCTTACACACATAAATAGAAAGCTTTAAATGCTGGTATTCCATAAAAAGTAAATAAAATATATTTTTGTGCATTAAGACTTAATTAAGTGGCATGATTTCATGTCACAAATTTAAAACGGGCAGGTGAGACTTGCCAACATTACTACAGCTGTGTTTTACATTAGGAAATTAATTAAAATGGTCGTTTATGCTTTTTTCCACTTACGGGTATTTAGACCTCTCTATTACACCATATATTTTCCCTTCAATCATTATATTATGGTAATTTATCTTAGCAGGTGATATCTTACTCTGTTGTCGGCGGAAGTGGGGAGCATTAGTCAACTAAAAAATTTGTGCTGGGCTACTGAGGCAGATCAGACAGCTGGAGGCACTTGCTGCTGGCCAGGAAAGAAGAGGGTCTTATTCACATGCTCCCCTTTTATCCCATCTTAGCAGAATTTATTTTCTATTTCACTAGAACAAAGTTTTTTCTGATGTCAGGATGGGAAGCAGAGGAAAGCAGAAAAATGTTTGACACGCCATATGACACATCGTCATATAGACTTAGCTGTTACATGAGACCTTATTTTTGAAGCCAACCTGCTTACACAGTTCAGTTATGGAATGTGCAAAACCTAAAACCAATTAAAACATGCCCAAGTGAATAGTTGATATGCAGTTTGTAATGCAAATAAATAATGTCCTGATTTTATATATCAAAGCTAAATAAAGACTCCCTTGAGATATCAAGAACAAATCGATCACTCTGTACTTATTTACTGCAGTTATTTATGTTAACAATTATAATAAAATTATGACTTGATGAAGTTTTAATGATGTAAGTAATTTTGCTCCCCAAGAGGCATCAGTTGCCAAATGAAGCTGAAGTTTTAAGGAACGCTAAGGACTCACTGTACTAAAACATCACCATAGTGCCTTTAATATTGGATGTACCTTACAATAATGTGGATTAGTTTTGGGTCAGGGCCAGGAGCTTTTGGTTCCTCAAACACCAAAGGCACTTCCCTTAAGGCATTCACTCCTGTAAGAGAGTCCCTTTAGCTTGGATTCTAAGGGTAGCAATGAAGGAGGATTCCAAGGTGCAAGCAGTAATACAACTTGCACACAGAGTAAACTCCACAAGTTGTTGATTGTAAAGTTGTTTGGAAACCAGGATTGAATTTGCCTCTACATACATTGTCATTAGTGATATTTAGATTTAGAGCCAGTTCCCAGCTAGTACTTTTTGAAATGATTACGTATTAATTATTTAATAAATGGTGTGGGTAGAATTGGACTGCTGGTCCAATCTTCCTTGGCGTTCCAGAGCACTCCTGTAGTCAAATAGCACAAAACTGAGCTTGCTCCTTCCTTTTGTAACCATAAGTCACCCCTCTTTTGTATGACTTCACCCAAGCAAATTTGGCACTATTGTATTGATTATAAATATGTTATTTCCTGTTGCTACCTTATCATCGTAAAATGCATCCTCATGCTTGTTCTGTGTTATCCAGCTCTGATAGTTACATTTTTGACAAGATAAGCAGCTACTGAGCTTTAAGGCATTGTAGACATGCTTGCATTTTCCGTTTACCTTTGAAAAATTAAATGACTTTTCTTTAACTCTCATCACAGGTTTTAGCATGAATGACTTATGATCTTTATTCCTTATTGGTTTATTTCTCCAAATTTTCCCATTTTAGTTTCTATTCACAATGGGGGGCCAGGTTCAAAATATTTTTCTCTCCTAAGAGCTCAAAAATCATAATTCTTCAAAATATCATTTTACATTTCATGCTAATGAGATAGTCTACACACCTATGTTGAGCATTTCCTCTCCTAAGAGCTCAAAAATTGTAATTCTTCAAAATATAATTTTACATTTCATGCTAACAAGATAGTCTACCCACAGGTGTTGAGTATTTAAAGTTGCCCATTACTAGGACCTGTGTTTCAGTGCTACCTTCATCACTTAGTAAGCAAGGGACCTTCAGTCAGCCTCTTAACTTTTAAGAACCATGATACTTTGCATGCTTGAAAGCACAAATCTGAAGACAAAGGACTAGGCCAGATAACATCACAAAGTCCCATGTTTAGGTTATTGGTGTTAATGAAACTTAGGCTGTATTTCTTTTCAACAATCAATGTCATTTCCCATATTTAAGCAGCAATTTAGTATAAGCTCACCAAATTTTGTTTTAAATCTCACTAGCTGATTTTTTTTTTCTCTTATCACCACTGTTTTCTCTTCTCCTTAATTCATTTTGGAAAGAGGGAGTGAACAGGACATGTATAGTCAGATTGTTCAGAGAAATGGAAATTTGCACAGGTGGTAAAAATTGCCACAAGCACAGTTAATGAAGCAAGCACGTGGCTACTTGCAACTCTGCTCTCAAATTTTCTGTATAACTCTGCAGCAATATGTGCTCAATAACTGCCTGACTGTGTGCAAATAACACATGGAAAAGTTGAAATACTAGAAAATATTGACATCCATTCTCCAGCTAGATTTTATCTAAAAACTACTCATTTTCCTCCTTTGCTCAAGATGGTACAAAGATGCCTACAACATGAACTCTGCCCTCCTAAGTCTCTGATATAGTCAGTGAGGTGATACTAATATATATGGGCAATTATAAAATAAGTGCTAAACCTCGTGATTTTTCTTAGAGTTGCAATTGTTGTTCACACAAAGAGATAAATGTTGGCTGGAGTGATGATGAAGATGTAACTCAAGCCAGAGCTTGAAGGGTAATCAGGATTTTTTTTAAAGGGGCATTTGAGCTTAAAGGAAAAAAACGAATAATTAAAGTGCAGTATAAAAGTTTTACATCCTTTGTATTAGGATGGGTTTGATTATACTGCAGTAACAAATCCCCAAATTTCAGTGACTTAACACAACAGGAGTTTATTTTTTGCTTACTCTGCGTGTCCACCATGGTTCATTAGAGAGGCCCTGCTCCTTCACTCAGGAACCTAGTCTGATAGAAGCTTTATCTCAACCCACATTCTGTAATCACTATAGCAGGAAGTGCCACTGTAGTTCATCATCGCTTGTGCATTCTCTAAATCAAGTCATCTGCCCGTATGTAACCTCAAGGGGAACAAAGAAGTGCAGTACCATCATGTGGCCCAAAAGTGGAGAGTCAGAAATATGTGGGAAAGAGCATCAGTGACTGCCACATCTTTCTGTGTAATCTTTAGCCAGAATACAATGCTTAGAGTAAATAAAACGGTCTATGCAAACTTGTCATAGCATGAAAATCTCCAGCTTACCTTCCAGGGATCTTAAAATAGCTTGCTTGGCTTCTGAATACTGGTATACATGTTGCTAGCCTTCTTTGCAGTACTTTTCCCCACTCGCAGGTACCCTGACCAGTGTCTCAGCAAACATCAAAAGTCTGCAAAGACCATGTAGAAGAGCTCCATTGCCTGTTTCCACCTAAAACTCTCCCTCCTGTTCTCATTTGCTGGAAGGGCCATAAGTGTGTTCAGGTGGTAAATCTTAAATTGTCTAAACTCCGTGGTTCTCAAACCAACAGCATCAGGATCACCTGGGAACTTGTTAGACATGCAGATTATTAGTTGCCACCCTAGACCTACTGAGTCAGAACTGTGGTCTAAGCTAATGGAAGCAGTTGGTTCCTCATGCCAGTGATTGATGTAAACAATATTGTGATATAGTTCTAGCCAGTGAAACCTGAGGAGAAATACGCCAGAGTTGAGAGTGAGGAGAGGCACGCTGGAACAGGTCCTCATTGCCTTTAGAGAAGACTGTGCCTCCATGGAAAGCAAACTCAGGATGTTACCTAATGCCACTTAATGAAATGAAGCCCTTCTCTGAAATATGCAGATAAATAAGAAAATGTTTGACAAGCACTTGAAATGTCCCCAAATTGTGGATAAGCAAATATAATACATGGGTGAATGCATAGTAAGAGCCTGTAGTTTAAGGTACAATCGGTTATTTCTTTTTTAAGAGGTGAGATCTCACTCTGTTGCCCAGGCTGGTCTCCAGCTCCCGGGCTCAAGGAATCCTCCCACCTCGGCCTCCCAAAGTACTGGAATTTCAGGCATGAGCCATTGTGCCAGGCCTAGTCAGTTGCTATTATCTGTGGATTAGGTGTTTGTAAATTTGCCTTCTCACTAAAATGTATTTGTGTCCCCAAATCACTACTTGTGGTGCTTTCACAGTCACTCACCGACATGGACAGAGCGGTGGGATTTTTGAGTTGACCAGTGCACACGTTCCCAGCTGAGGCTGAGCGAAGCAGTGCTCTGCTTTCTTGTTTCAGCTCTTATATTATATGCATGTCCTTTTCACACTGTATTTAGTGCCATGTTGTTTGCATTTTGAGCTTTTTATTGGTGATCTTGCTGTTAAAAATGGCACCAAGCATAGCGCTGAAGTGCTATCTAGAGTCCCTAAGCACAAGAAGGCTGTGAGGTGACTTAAGGAGAAAATATGTGTCAGGTAAGTTTACACCAGCATGAGTCATAGTACTGTTGGCCCTGAGTTCAAGGAATCAACAATATGTATTTACAGAAGGTATGTTTAAACAGAAACACACCTAAAACAAGGTCATGTATTAGTCCATTGAGGAAAATGTTGTGGCCAGAGGCTTGCAGGAACCTAACCTTGAATTTCCCCTAGGAGCAATGGTTCAGTATACACTAACTTGGTTTCAAAGAAACTTAGTACTATGAATAACAAGTATTCATATTAGTATAAATAATCCTATTTGAAGGAGAAAAAAAATTCCACTGATCCCTTTTACATTTTTTTTTTTTCTTTTCCCTGAACCATCACTGAAATGTTGGGTTTGAGACTTAGGCTGCAACTAATCCTTTAGGTGTAACTAATGTCCTTGTGGTATTTTATTATGAACTCCTTTTGGAGAGAGTCTAAGAATGATCAAGCCACTACTGACTTCACCAGAGAATTCCAGCTCACTAGGGTTTAGAGTGCATGGTGTAAGGCCCTCTGAGGCCTCCCATACCCACCCCTGTGCACACACACAATTTAAATTCTTTGAAGGAACAAGCAAAGTACAGGGATAAGAGATTTAAGGTCAAATCATTCTAAATATGAACTGAAATTTCAGTTGAATTCTACTTAATTTTTCAGAATCAAATCTTCTCTTGTAAGAACCCCAGTATTTACTGGATAGTATTTCACTGTTACCTTGAATAAGTCAATAAATCAGGTCCATCATGTTTCAAATTTAATAGCTGCCTTATTAACCAAAATGGAGTATTAATAATAAAGTCAATATATTTACTGCCCTTTTCAGTGGGATGATTTTCATTATTCATTACTCAATTACTTTTGCAGTAAAAAGAAATGAGTTATGATTTGTTTTGGATGAGCATGTTGTTAAATTAATGGCTTGTTTCAAATGTTTCAACCTAAATGTTGTAGTTGAAGAACATCAGTGAAACTTTGCACTTCACCTTATTCAGGATAATAAACCTGTTCTAATCAAAACATTAAAACTTGCTTCATTTTTAATTACTCTACAGCAATACCATATTGTTATATGATACCTGGAATATAACACTTTTTAAAAAGTGCTAGCGATCAAATTATGCACCTTGATTAATTAGGCAATAACCCATGAAAGATCTATTGTTACCAGTGAGTAAAGACTAGTTTGCTATTTAATGACCCAAGATGAAGTCAGGCTGAGCTAAGCTGAAAGAAGGCACTCGTTAACCACAGGAAGGATGAATTTTGCAAATTATAATTACCATATTAAATGGAATTTGGTGATTTATTACAGCCCCCTTTTGAAACATAGCATTATAAAGAATTCCTGCCTTCAGCAAGGCAGGAAGCTTGAGCTCCTCCCTGTTTATTTTATAATTACTCAATAAAATCCAGACAAAATTAGTTGTTACCAGTAATTAATGACCAGTTTAATAAAGAAGGGAGTCTAGCAGATGGTGATTATTTTTTTAATAGGGCCTGCTTGAAGGAATCATCCTCATAGTAAACTCTTAACAGTAATTTGTAGCTAAAATGGCTGGTGGTTGCCATCTTATTGGTTGCTGAGGCTGGGTCTAATCCTCGCCTAAGGGCTGGGGCTCATTTCTTCACCAGCTAAAATCCTTTACATAAAGTAAATGGCGCTCTGGTTACTGCCATGAATAAACTAGGTCCTATGAGCACACTAGAGGGAGGTTCTAGAACAGAGGAGCCCAGTGCATGGCTTGTGAAATCCAGAAGGCTGTTTCCTGTAGGGACATTGGGCATCAGATGGAGTCAAGGCTGAACCGATCTACTGTAGCATCCTGAGAGGCCCCTGTGTGGAAATGAAAGGTAACTGTTGCCCTGTGCTTCTGAAGAAGTGCTATATCTATATGGGAGATCTAGTAACAATTGCAAGGTAAATGTTGGCCACACAGCACTCTTGTCCTTGGCTGGTGAGCAGGAGTTTCCATTTTTAGTAAGGGATGTGAGGGCTACTTCCCTGGCAGTCCTGCTGAAGGCATGAGAAAATCAGAATGCAGTCAGGCAACAAAAGGTTGCCACAATTTATATAAACCTAAACAAAACAGAAGCTGGGGTTGACGAGCACACACAGTAGTTTTTAACATCCAGGACCAAAGTACAGCCCCCGGCCCAACCATACACAGTGGTCTTCTGCTTCGGGCCTCACGCTGTGCATAACATACTCCCCACAGTTGGCTTTAGAATTTTTTGTGCCCTCCCTCAGGTGCCTATTCCAGGCTGTTAGCAGCATTTGAAGAGCAGAGAACCTGTCCCCATCTCCATGTCCCCTCAGCCCACGTACAGGTACCTCCATAACTACTTGTGAAATGGAGTTACAGCATCTGAAAATATTAGGAGCAATTCCTTGCATTGTTGACTCAACTTTCCAGTTTACAAGTATTCAAAAATTTTCAACCCACATAGCAAACAGATAGCAGGCGGTTCTCTCCACATTTTGTTTCTCCTGCCCCTGTGCTCTGTCCCCAGATTTGTTCTCTCTCAGTTCTCCCGCCCCTCTTATTCATTCGATTTTACTGTGCTTTAAATCTTTATCCTGAAGAGCCACCTTACGTGCTTTCAGAACTTGTGGAAATAAAGAAACACATCAATGAAACCCCCATTTACAGATAAGAAAACTGAAGCTCAGAGAGGTTAAAAGCTTATCACAGGCATATAACTAGCACGTGGTAAAGCTGGATACAGGGCTTGCCTGCAGGTCCCACCTTTGCTTCTCTGCTAAGAGCCCCTGCTAGGTAACAACTCACTAAGAGTGAAAGAGAGAAATTAGACTTCAATTATAGTAAGAAGAAGGTAGGTCAGAAAGCAAATGGCCAAGGTATCTCACTGCCTGAATGCAAGAGAAATGAGGCATCTGCAAGGGCTCCCATAGGTGGGTTGGATTTTCTTCTTCTGGAGATGTTAATCAGTCAAGGAATAGAGGGTAAGAGCAAGCTTGACCCAGTGTGCTCTGACTCAGTGTGAAAGAGAGCAAGGGGTTTCCACTCCTCCTGCAGCTGTGCTGACCACTTAGCTCCGCAGCGCCCCTCCCACCAAGCTCTGTTCACGTGGGGTCTCTTTGTTCCCCACCCTCTTCCGCCCACAGACAGCGGAGATGAGACAGACCTAGAGAAGACCTCCCTTCTCGCTGTCCTACTTGTCCAAAAGGTATGGCCTTCTGGTTCTTTTGTTGTTTTTTTCTTCCTCCCTTTTCTTAACACATTGTATGGTTAGAAAATCTCAATCTGGCTACACACACACACACAAATATATATATATAATATATATAAATACATATATAATATGTAAACATAAATATCTATGTATATACATATATAAAAAATGTATATAAATTTTTTTTTAATGTATGCTGTTCTGTATTGACCTCCCTTTGGTCCCATAAGGCCTAATGAGGAGGCAGATTCTGGAGGCCCTCAGGAGGTGAATTAACTCTTTCAAAGACACTGGGGTAGCATTCAGTGAATTACCCACTAAGTAGCTCCCAGATATCCTGAAAGATACAATGTCTCCTCACAAATACCTCATGTTCTCCGAGGGAGCGATACGGACACAGAGAATGTGTGGTTAATTGCGTAAATGAGGCCAGAGTCAGCTGTATCATCAGCACCGTGAGTGGAAACAGTATCTGCCACCATCACGAGTGATGACAGGGGAAAGGGAGCTTTGTGTTGGCCGTCTCCAGTCTTTTCCCAGCTGTCATAGGCAACTCTGGCCTTCTGTTTGTGCACTTTCTGCATTTTAATTCCCAGAATTCCTCTTTTCCAAATTCTGCATTGTAGGGCCACATGCTCTGGGCCACATGTTCTGTAAATAGTCACCCAAGCCCCATTGTAAATTATATAGGGGGGAAAAAGTTGGAAATGTCTTAATTGGCTTTTCAGAACTCTAAATTTCAAGGTTTTTGTTTTAATTTTAACCTTAATCTTAACAGCCCATTCTAATAACCTTTCTCACTATTCCCTCTTCCTTCCTCCCTCTCTGCATCACCCACCTCCATTTATAGGGGTGGGTGAAAAATTTTCTTCTGAAGTCAGTGAGAGTTTCGGACTCCTATCGTTCGATAGGATGCAGAGTATGGAGGTAAACTAGCCCCAAGATTTTTCTCACCCTCTCCAAGAGAAAACCCAGTTTGGTCTCAGGTCTTACCCAAGTAAAATTCCTGCATTGTGAGCAGACTTTTCACTTCCAATAAGGAAAAGGAGTCGACTTTTTCTCTAGGTGTTTTTGGTTACACAGTAAGAAATACAAGGTCAGTTAACATCACAAAGAATCCCCCAGGCAACTGAAAGAAGTGTAAGTGAAAATTATTGTAAAGTACCCTTCACAGCGGGTACCAATGTTAGAGTTTTATTTCAGCAAATTGTTGGGATCCCATTATTTAGGAGGGTTTGTGAACAGATTGAAATGGAATTTGAGCTACTTATTGCATAAAAGCCACGTGATGCTTATGTCCTCTATTAACATTTTTCAGCTCCCAGTACACCCCCATTCTGAGCTGGAAGATATAAATGCTATGCCTTTGAGAGGACGTCTTTGCATAAAACACTCAAATAAATAAATGTACTTTTTCATTTCAGATCTTCACTCTTAAATAATGTTTGTACCCCAGATGTTCATCTAAAAACATAAAAATATTGTCTGAAAAAAATATATGAGACCCATTACTCAGTCTCTCCTCCTGCCATTTATACTGCAGGTATTCCCCAAGTTTCTCTTCTCAACCTTTGCCTCCTTTTCCCTGCTTGCTCCCTTAGTTTTCTCCTCTGGGTGGATGACTCCCAAATCTAGATCACTGACCTGTTTGTCCACATCCTTGAGTATCCCACCACCATTTCACACCCAGCGTATCCAGATGGAGCTCTTATCAGTTGTAACAGCACTGCTCAATAGGACTTTCTGTGATCGTGGAAATTTTATGTTTCTATTCAATATGGTAGCCCTTAGCCATATGTGGCTACTTAAATTAAGTAAAATTAAATAAAATTATAAATTTCATTCCTTGGCTGTACTAGCCACATTTCAGGTGTTCATAGCTTCATATGGCTAATGGCTACTGTATTGAACAACACAGACTTTTAGCATTTTGTAACTTTCCTATGGCATGATATTAGCTGTGGGTCCTTGGGCAAACTACCTGATGTCTCAAGGCTCAATTTTGTATCTGTAAATAGGACTGATAACCCCTTGCAAGCTGTTATGAGGATTAAATAAGGTAATAATGATAAAGCACGTAGCATATCACATACTAAAAAGACTTTAAAAGTCATAGATCTTTTGCCCTTATTCCTTCTTTAATATTAACATCCAGATATCCACCTGAAGCTTGGATAATGTGAATGCTCTCCAGAGCCATTTTAAGAAGGGGTTAGTTTGCACACCGTTGGGAACACCTAAAAACGCTATGGATTAAATCTGGCTTAAAGCTGTAGCTCTTCGGTGTTTGGTTGTTGGAAAAGTTCTGAGCAATTCTGTGCATCATGGTTAATATAAGAGTGCTCGGCAGGGTCTGACAAGATTCTCCTAGTTGGTTGGAATTATTTTAGTTAGGGTATTTGTCTCATTTCCCAGGGCACAATAACAGAAGGAAAATCTCCACGAGGCTAGCATCTGGTGCAGTAATGATTGAGAGGTAACCCCATCTGAAAATGCCCATTGCTTCAGTGGATACTTGGGGTGGGGGGAACAACCGCTTGGTTTGCATACACGAACTTGGTGAAAGAGGCTCCCTGGTCACCAAAAATGGCCCGGGTGTTGGGTGCAGAGGTGTCCAGGACCTTCAGTCACTCAAAAAGGAGCCCTCTGCTGTGGACCATTCCTGCATACGCAAGTAATGGGTTTTAAAGAGGGTTTGCCTGGTTTATATCCCGGCTGCAATCCATTAAAGCTTTAATTACACTAATTAGGGATTTGGGATAATCAGGTTGGCTGGCCTGAAATAGGGGCCTGTACTCTCTGAGAAAAGCTTTGCTAAATAAACCAGCAGGATAAACAGGATTGTGGGACGCATGCATTCCTGGGAGCCAGCTGATGCCCAGGATTAGTGCATGCCTTTGGCATGCAAATGAAGGCTGCTCCTTGTAAATCAGCAGAAGGTCCAGAGGCCCCTCCAAGAAATACTTCATTAGCAGTTAAGTAGTGACATTCTTGAAAAATTTAAACACACACATACCCCCTGAATTTTTTTCCAGATAACCCATAAATTTGTGCAGGCTTTGCATGGGAGCTGTGCATGGGATGGAGCATGTAGGGGAAAGGTGGCTAGGAGAGCTTATAAAATACACATTGATTTCAAAGCATTACTGAATAGTGGTTTTATGTCATTCTTTTTTCCCTCTAACTTAAAAACCACCAAAATCTCACTATACTGTGCAAGACAGCATACCATTTGACATTATAACAGACTCTCATACCTGAAAGAGTTGGGAACCATTGGCTGATATTTTCAAATTAATAAACATTCAGTGTCATTCAATGGTATAGACTCTATATAACAGTGCTCCTCCTTTGCAAGCATTTGGCAGTGTGTGTTGTGTCCCTGCGGTTATGCTGCTGGCCATCTTAATTGTGAATCTATGTTAGGTATTTCCCAGGAACTATGTTGGAAAAATTTCCTTTTCCCTTTGTTCTCTTCTGTCTTTCCTTTCTTCCATTTTTAAAAATCCGTATATATTTTTAAGTGATTATGTGAACACAAGATGAAAAATATGTGAATTATCAATCATGGCCTAAAAAGGGAGGAAGGGAGAAAGCTTAAATAAGATAGCAAAATATTGACATTGTGGCGGTTGTTGTGGGTTTTTTGTTTTTTTGTTTTGTTTTGTTTTTTGTTTTTGAGATGGAGTTTCACTCTTGTTGCCCAGGCTGGAGGGCAGTGGCGGATCTCAGCTCACCACAACCTCCACCTCCCAGGTTCAAGCGATTCACCTGCCTCAGCCTCCCTAGTAGCTGGGATTACAGGCATGTGCCACCATGCCCGGCTAATTTTGTATTTTTAGTAGAGATGGGGGTTTCTCCATGTTGGTCAGGCTGGTCTCGAACTCCCGACCTCAGGTGATCCGCCCGCCTTGGCCTCCCAAAGTGCTGGGATTACAGGCATGAGCCACCGCGCCCGGCCAGTGGTGGGTTTTTTTTTTTTGAAATTATGCCTAATAAAAAGTTTAAATTATCACCATCATCAACATCTGCGTCCTTTCCATACCCAAGATTTACACACAGTTCACAGTTTACCAAGTATATTTAGCACTCAGACTAATTGGGTTAACCTTCAGTAGGCAGAAGAGGAGGCATGGAACTTCACATTTCTTCAATTAAAAAAAGAAAGTGGTTATTCAAAATTAGCAGGGCCTGGGTGGTTATTCAAAATTAGCAGGGCCTGGTGGTGTGCAACTATAGTCCTAGCTACTCAAGAGGCTGAGGCAGGAAGATTGCTTGAGCCCAGCAGGTCGAGGCTGCAGTTACCTATGATCACGCCACTGTACTCCATTCTGGACAGCACAGCGAGATTCTGCCTCTGAATGAATGAATGAATGAATGAATATTATTCAAGTGTGTACTTACCTGAATAACCTAATAATACCTGAACATATTCAACAGGTGCCAGCCTCCTGGATAACAGGGAAAACTAAACTTGTCAATAGACAAAATTACAACAAATTTAAAGACTTCACTTGATTTTTATTTGTGATTCTCGAATCAGGCAACACCTCATTTTATAAAATAGAATGTGTGTTCCAATGAGCTGAGTAGATGAGGTTGGCCTGATAGGCAGAAAAGGGCTGAGAAAAGCAGAAACAGAACAAAAAGTGCATTGGTTCTTTTAAAGTCATTTGTTGTTCTTACAGGGGACTTCCAGCTTAGGTAAACTGGGCCCCTTCTGATTGGTTGCTGTGACTGTCCTGTTTTTTTGGAAAACTGGCCCATTTCAAAGTTTAGCCTGAGCAACTCCATTCTGGTTTGGTCTGCTCAGTTGGGGCCTAGTGCAGAACCTTAGTCCAAATCAGTGACCGTCCATGAATTTTATTTAATGCTTTTAAGTTCAGAAGTAGTTTAACTGAACTCTTGCAACAAAAGGCAAAAAATCACTTTGAAAAAAAATCAACCCCCAAAACCCATGAGACTTGAGGTCTGTAAGCTTGAGATGCCCACATGCACATGCTTTGTCACAGAACAGCCCATGCTGGAAACTGGCTTTGCCCCCAAAATAGTTTTACTGTCTTATTATTAGTACTTCATTTAAGAAAAAGTGCTGTAAACTCTGCTCTATCTTTCAACAATGCTAATTTGCTGACTGCTATTCTGTGTATAAACAAGTCTCATATACACCATAAATTTGAGCAGTTGGCCCATACATAATTACATTTCATGAATAGATGCTGTTATCTGAATATGTCACTAATATTCTTGCTTTAGCTTGGGGACAGCTCTTGTCTTAGACATACTCAACTTTCTCTCTCAGATATTACAGTCTGCCAGCTTTGTTCTCTGATTTTCTGAGAAGGGATAAAGTATGTACCAAATGCCCAGGCCAGGGTATTAGTGGAAATCTCAGTAGATATAGAAGAAAATGTGTAAGTCCACGATGGCACAGACTTTCAGCTTACATGTCACCTTCATTGGTTTGTAGTGACTACCTAGGGCACAGTGCTGAAGAAAACTGTAAGGCTGAGTCCCAAAGCAGCACAGGCAAGAGTGCTGTAATCGATTCGTGTGGCCGTCTTGGGCAGAGTGCATTTAAGTGGCACGAGAGCCACTGTGTGTGCCATCTCTGGCATAGAAAAACCCTACCTATTTGAGACCTCCTCTCACATTGAGAATCTTCTACCATCTCATTTGCTTCTCCTCCCCTTTCTCAACCCAGTGTTTAATTAACTGGACACCTCCAGTGTGCCTCACCCCCTGGTGCTAGATTCCCCGGGAGTCCCTTGTTCTTAGCTGGATGTTGATGGTCACCCACCCCACCTTGTCAGAAGAATTCACCTAAGGATAAGGCCATGCAACATCAGAGAAGCACTTTTCTTTGGAAATGGAGATGTCCAATCCCAGGCTTCGATACCTATCTTAGCCCAACTGTGGACTGCATAGGTTCCCCCAAGAAATTACCTCTTATGTAAGAATTCTCCTAGATGGCAGTTAAATTTATAAACAATTTCTCCTTCCTGGGAAAGGGTCAGGAGCACAAGGCCAGCACCCATGGAAATACCACAACTCTGAGTGGTCTCCTAACATATATTGAGTATTATGTGGAGCCAAGGGCTTTTCATGCATTTATCCAATGAGATGTTGATAATAAACCCCATGAGGTAGGTGTTAGGATTACCTCTGTTTTATAAGGAGGACCCCAAGATGAGAAGGAGTCATTAATTTTCTAAGCTTGAACACCAACTAACTCAGATTAAGAGTTTGCCTTCAGAACCTAGATTTTTTCACCCACCAGGCTGTGTTCCCAGCTGAATACTGGATTTAAAACTCTAAGAGCCTTAGTGCAACTTTCTCTTCAGTTTTTAAATTTCTTCTAGTTTATGGGGAAAGTTACGCATCATCTCATTAGCAGCTTACAGTGAAACCTCAATAACTCATTTAATTTACTTCTAGAGGAGGCAAAACAAGAAAACTGAAAAGCTATTTGTAGTTTTATACCACAAAACCTTGTAAAGTGCAGCTTCTTTGTTTTGTTCATTAGTCTTTACGTGGATGTCAAATTAGCAATGAAAACCATGTGTAAGAAATAGCCATAGTTATTTGCAATTCAATGAGGGTAGAAAAGGAACGGAAAGGAGGATAGGGAGTTGCCAAGAGAAAGATATTCCATTGGTCTCCAAACCAAAGACTTGTGGTATGGTAGCTTTCAGAAGTGTTTTTTATTCTTGGCATCAATGACGGAAAAGACCATGGTTTATTTTATTCAGGCTAAAGTAAATCAAAATTAATTGCTTCACTGATAATTTATGCTGACCTGTGACTTTAAAGAGTGATTGCCAGAGCCTGAGCAAGCTTTCATTAAGGTAGATTGACTATATCATTCCATAGTTGTGAAGAAAATATACAATATTTGTTGGGAACATACAAAGACATAGTATTCAGGAATGGGATTTTGTTATTTCAATGGCTCAGCTTTGGTGCCTGGATTTCATTTGAGTGCCAAAATTTAGGAAAAGATACTACTGGTTTAAAAAAGTGGTTCTTAAGTGCTATCCACACCACAGCTGCTAGTCTGCTGCTGTTCATGAGGACGTTTCCACTGGTCTGCAGTGTCTGCCTGGGGCATGTGGGGCCAGGGAACGGGGGCATCCAGCACCTCACCACCCCTCTGTGTGTCCAGCTGTGAGAGGACACTCAGCTCTTGCTCACCACCTCCCAGCTCTTGGAAAGGAGAAGCTACTGGATTTGAGTGCCCTTGTATTTGCCTTCTTTCGTTTGCTTAGCATATTTCAAGCAATTCCACCTAAATTTAAGAGTTCTGTTTGGTCAGCATTCCTTGCAACTGAATTTTTCGCAATGATAATAATAGAAAACACATTTAGATATTTTTAAAAATTTGCATCTAGAGAATAATTGTAAACAGTATGTTATAAATAATACTATATATATGTGATGCAAGTATAAAGTAATGATAACATGAAATTTTATATTGTGGCTTTTCTTCATCAAAACAGTTTAAGTAGATTTTTCCTATGTTCTGTTATCATAATCTCAGAATAAAGAAGAATCTTTCTCAAGAAAGCCTTTCTCAAGAAAGGATTTATTCCAAGATTATGCTCTTCCTATATTTTATGTTAAAGTAGTTTTTCCTTTTTAATTAGAGGCTGGTGATGATAGATGGTAGTTAGATAAGGTATACATGGCAATATAAAAATTGGCAACCCAATGTTATTTAAATACTAAAAAAGGTATGGAATATCCAAACTATAATATACCAAAGAGAATATAAATTTACTGTAGCTGCCTTTAAAAAAGAAAATAAAAATAAGAAAAAAAATAAAAAATAAAAAGAAAAATAAATAAAATATGATTGTCAAGACAGTAGATGAAGGAAAGATCACCTTTTATCTTTTTTTATCCTTACCCCACCTTTTCTTCTTCCCTCTCCCCCACAAAAAAAAAAAAGAAAGAAAGAAATGAACATCTAGAAGCAAAATAAGCTACAAGGTTTGGTATGAAATTGGCTTGCCCTCATATTTATTTATTTTATGCAAAATTAGATTAGAATTCTCCAAAGACCGGGAACTATATCCTTCCATATATGTCATATATAAACTTAGAAAACTTAGAAAAACAGGCCAGGCGTGGGTAGCTCATGCCTGTAATCCTAGCACTTTGGGAGGCCAAGGCAACGAGACTGCTTGAGCCCAGGAGATAGAGACAAGCCTGGGCAGCAGAGTGGGATCCTGCCTCTACAAAAATTTAGCCTTGGATGTGGTGCTCTACAAAAAATACAAAAATTAGCTGGGTTTGGAAGTGCATCCCTGTAGTCCCAGCTACTTGGGAGGCTGAAGCAAGAGGATCACTTGAGCCCAGGAGGTCAAGGCTGCAATGAGCCGTGATGGCACCACTGCACCCCAGCCTGGTTGACAGAGTGAGACCCTGTCTTAAAAAGAAAAGGAGAGAGAAAATAACGTCTCTCTTAATGCAGTAAGTCTGTCAGTTTTAGTTTGGTACCCAAGAACACAATCTATTTCATTAGCTGTGTACTACTCAGATTATATCCACAACCATTGTAAAGGTCAAGTGAAAAATCACAAAAAATACCTCTTACAAGTTAAGTGCCAAACTGATCTGATCAAATGGAGTGGGTTTTTTTTCCTGGTGCTGCTTTTAGTTTTATTATTTTTCATTAGAATTTTAATAGCATGTTAAAAGGGGCTCAGAGTTTCGGTGATACTGCAAAAGTTCTATGAAGCTTCAAAATCCACCCCGTGGGCCTCAGATCGTGAAGTCAGAAATAACTCTGGGATAAGAAGTGAAACATAGGATTATTTAAAGCATTACTAGAAACTTTCTGAAATTAATGTTATTTGGAAATCCAGATTTTCTCTTTTCTACTGAAAAGTACATTTATTAAGTTCCCAGATCACCAAAAAAGGCCATTCTATTAACGAAGGGGTGCTGACAAATGATTACTCCACTTGCTGTTTCTAGGTCGTTTTACTAACTCGCTGTTTTAACCAAATACGCCTTTAGCTTCACTATGGAATTAAGTTGCTGCTAAAATAAGAAGATCCGCCACATGAATTTATTAGCAGATGTACGTTCTGAAAGCCATCATTACATTGAGACCTAGAGCAGCCAGATCCTTTGACATGTGGGCCACACATGGTTGCATGCTGAAATGTACCCATTATTTCCATCACCGTTTCCTACAGCCACATTTCAAATGTGCCATGCACTGTTTTGCTTACTTACTGGTTCTCTATCCATCCTTGTCCTGGATTGCATAGTAACAGCCAGAGAAAAGAAAAATCCTTACTCTCCATGTTAGACTGTCCTTCAGAAGGTTAGATTGTCATGTCAGAAATACCATCATCTGGAGCAATGAATTACCAGATTTGGGAGTGCTTGGAATCTCAGGGCCCATCTGCCAACTCCCCACAGCTTTTCTCAAAAGCTTGTTTTTGCTGAAAAATGGCAATGCCCAAAGGGCCATTGAAAAGGCAGAACAAAGCTTTTGAACTTCAAATGAAGCATAGTTGGATGTGATGTTCTACAGAGGGTCTGCTAGCAGACGAAGTCAGAGCCTTGTGCAACTTGATGAATCTGCCAAGCAGAGAACAGCCCTTAGCTGGATGGAAGGATGTCAGTCCAGCAGCTCATGGCATGGAGGGTCTCCTGTTGCCTGTCCTGCTGGAAAGACCCTCTATAATTTTGTTCTACTCTAGAAATCAAGGCCAGGAAGTAAGAAGAGGTGTATGAGTTTATAGATGGGCCCCAGCGTGTTGTCTAATGAGAGGAACCTTCTTTTTCTGTTCATGAGTAGTTATTGTATCTGTCTTCTTGAATTTGCCTGTGATTGCCATTTAATAGATACCATTGCAATTTAATAGATGCCTGGGCCGGGCACAGTGGCTCACGCCTGTAATCCCAACACTTTGGGAGACCAAAGTGGGCAGATTGCTTGATCCCAGGAGTTCAAAACTAGCCTGGGCAACATGGTAAAACCCCATCTTTACAAAAAGTACAAAAAATTATCCAGATGTGGTGGTGAACGCCTGTAGTCCCAGCTACTCAGGAGGCTGACATGAGAAAATCACACGGCTGCTAGTGAGCCATGATCATGCTACTGCATTCCAGCCTGGGCGACAGAGTGAGCCAAAAAATAAATAAAAATAACATTAATGCCTGCAGAATCAGTAAAGGTGGCTCTTTGCTTTCAGAATCAGCAAAACTCATGATGGCAGTATTTAAAATCCTAATATTCCGTGCCCCAAAGTAACCAAATGCTAGTGTAGATGGCAGAAGGTGAAAGGTTTGCGAGTTAAGATTTCCAGTACAAGTGTTAGTCACTTCTTTTTTTTTTTTTTTTTTTTTTTAAGACGGAGTCTCGCTCTGTCGCCCAGGCTGGAGTGCAGTGGCGCGATCTCGGCTCACTGCAGGCTCCGCCTCCCAGGTTCACGCCATTCTCCTGCCTCAGCCTCCTGAGTAGCTGGGACTACAGGCACATGCTGCCATGCCTGGCTAATTTTTTGTATTTTTAGTAGAGATGGGGTTTCACTGTGTTAGCCAAGATGGTCTCGATCTCCTGACCTTGTGATCTGCCCATCTCGGCCTCCCAAAGTGCTGGGATTACAGGCGTGAGCCACCGTGCCCAGCATGTTAATCACTTCTTTTATGAACCAGGAACCTGACATTTGTTAAGCACGAAGTGTCAGGCCCTGTTCTAAGTGCTTTATGAATATTAACTTACTTAATCCTCACCACAACCCTTGGTCGGACCTGTCATTGTCACCATTTATAGATGAGAAAATGGCAGCACCGAAAGGCTAGGTAGGTAACTTGCCCAATGTCATCACACAGCTAGCAGGGCATGGATCAGGGATTTGAATCTAGACAGTCTACCTCCAAAGCCCACCCTCTTAACTGCTACACTAATATATTCAGACTCCAGACCATGACCTCCCAGGGGGTCAAGAAGTCAATGTGGTGGTCATGACCATCATATTTTGTTAAAATGAAATAGAACAGGAAAATGACAGAGTATATCACATGTAGTAAAGATTGTTTTGTGAAATTTCTGTTTCAGATATTTATATTAAAATGTCTTGTCCTTGAGTCCAGAAATGTTTCATTATTCATAATTTTTTAGATTTCATAAAGATAATATAGTAGAAATACTTCATATTACATAATACCCCCATTAGGGTCTGGGGCAGCCCCATATAATCACGTACATTAATATTTATACAGTGAAACACATGAATATTTTCAGTAAATACAATAAAATCTGTAAGTAGCCTTTCACCCAGTCAGGTTAGTTTGCCTTCCAATGATGTTTTAGTGCCAAACTTTATTTTTAAAAAATTTCAGGTTTCAGAGCTTTGGAGATCTCAAAATTGCAGGTTGCAGGCCTATTTATACATGTGAGCGCACCAGGTCGCACCGTGAGATACGTTTCTTATAATGGGTTGAAGTCAAAACAAAGTTTGAAAAATACTGCACAGTGCTATTGCTGGAATCATTCACTGTTAGAACTGGGAAGGACCCTAGCAGTGATGTATTCCATATATCCATAAAACCAAATCTCAATTTTAACAGGTAGAAAAACTAGGACCACAAAAGTGAATACAGTGACTCCCGGAGGCCACCAGTTTCTTTGCCCCAGAACAAGCCTCCTGGCGACATGCAGTGCAGGCCTCTGGACCATGTGTCCTCTCCAGAGTCTCATAATCACAGCCACATCACACCACACATCTTGGAGTTTTCAGTTTTTTCTGAGACTGCAGTTTCAAGTGGTCACTTCAGTTTCTGAGTTCTCTGATCCAGTGAAAGCCAAGTGATTTTTTTCCCCAGCAGGTCACTTAGACTCAGGTGTTTTGGCCATGGAGTGAGGTGGCAATGGAGTCTCTGCCCAGGTTCCAGCAAATAGTGTACATTTCCTGAGTTTGTGGTTGAAACTAGTCTCCCTGGACCAGCAGTTGACATTTTCCCCCTGTGGAGTTATATTCATGTTTCCACGTTGAGCATGTCAGACTGAATGAACATTGTGGTCTGAGGATTTAAAAGATTTATAATGGAGTCTTGAAAATTTACTTAAGGAATATGTACTTCCCCTAGCAATAACAAATATTGCTACAAATGACCATATTAAATTAAAGTAACTTAGACATTTCTGATTTGTAGGGAAGTTGAAATTAATCTTACAGCAGTTTCAGTTTCAAAATGAAAACACTGCTTTGCCTGACCGCAGATTTTCAGGCTGTTAGTCAACAGTGAGTGAAAGAGTCTCAAGTGACTTTTTTTCTTTAAGAAATATTCAGTGTTCTCTACGTGTAGAAAAATGTTAGAAGGAAAAACCCTAAAATATCAACCATAGTTTTATCTGGGTAATACGTCTCTTAGAAAAAAAAAAAAAAAGTTTTTACACAGGAAACATCAAAAATTCTTTTCATAAGCTGAATGGTAGGTACACGGATTTCTATTTTATTAAAATCTTTATGTGTGGAAATGTATATATTGATTTGCATATATATTCCATAATTTTAAAAAATACCTTTATTTCATTTCTTTTCCTAACCTGTGTGTTGGTCAATTAAAAAACTTTTTAAACATAAGTCACAAATCCATAAAAAATGTTCTGTAAATGTTCTTTACTGAGATATATTACTTTTTACAATTTTAAAAAAGAAGACTTTCTTATTCATTCTTCGTTCCTTCCCTGATTAATTCCTTTAGTGAGTAGGCAAGAAGCCCGGTTCAAATGCTTTTTTTTCCCCACATTAAAAAATAATAATCACTAGAAGGTGTACTGGCAAATGTTGAACTGACTTGGGGAGGAAAAAAGTCTCAATTTGTGTTATTGCCAGTTTCTGTGGTGTAAATACTCCTGCCATAGCCAATTTCAAGCTACCCACATGTTACTGAACACAGAGTAGGTTACTTTGCATTATACAGAATATAGTTATAAATAATTCTACCAAATAGATAAAATGTTAATGTAAATAACAAGAATATAGATAATATTAAAATTCAATAAAATAAGTGATGAGCCTTGAGTTAAATATCCTTGTTTTTAACAAAGCACTTGATTTAATTATTTACGTCATTTAGTTTTTAATAACGGCTGTGTTTAACAACAGACTCACCAAATCCCTGAAAATTTAAGTCAGCTTTCACAACCCAGTATGAGCCAGCTCCAGCACACGGCGGCTGCCAGATCAGAGCAGTGTCACCATTGCAAAGCAGAGAGAATTCTGGGAGGTGGGCACAGCCAGCCTTTCCCAGATCGTAGCCCAGTGGGGCTACAATTCCAGAGACCTCCCCTGCCACAACCGGGGAGCCCAGTGGTCCCACACAGCAGGATGGACTGACATTGAGAGGATGAGCCTTTTGTTCTCCCAGCTGCCCACTGCCCCCATGTAAACCGCCAGAGGAGTTCTCACTGCATTTCCCCAGTCCCCATGCTCCAGCTCCCTGAACACTTTCAACTGTGAAAACCATGACAGCATCCCCAGGCTTGACTGGGCCCTGATGCCAGCTCTGCCACTATCCTAAATGACCTCAAACAGGTCACACCACCTCAGTTCACAGTTACTGTAACAAATGAGGGGGCTGGACCTGATGATCTGACTTAACCAAGGTTCCTTCCTGCTCTAAAACCCAAGTGAGTCAGGCGCAGTGGCTCACACCTATAATCCTAACACTTTGGGTGGGAGGATTGCTTGAGCCCAGGAGTTTGAAACCAGCCTGGGCAACATAGAGAGACCCCATCTCTACAAAAAATCCAAAAATTACCTGGGCATGGGGGGGCGTGCCTGTAGTCTCAGCTACTTGGGAGGCTGAGGCAAGAAGATTGCTTGAGCCCAGGAGGTTGGTGCTTCGGTGCACTGTAATCACACCACTGCACACCAGCCTGGGTGACAGCGAGACCCTGTCTCCAAAAAAATATCCACATCAGCCGTGATTACTGAGGGCTTCAGAAAGATCACCAGTGGTGTCCAGACTCATTGAGGAAAGCTTAGGCCACTGAGTCACATGACTTGCTTAACCTGAACTCAGCCTTGGCAACACGGTTAATCTTTCCAGACCTGATATTTGGTGAAACAGGGAACATAGTCCTCATTTGTTGGCCAGAATCACAGCCTTTGCTGTGCCTCCTTGGCTTCTCTAGACACTTTTGTCTCCCCAAATGGCTCCTTGCCACTAGGAATCTGCCCACCTTTTGACAGACAGCTGTGCTGATGGAACATTGCTCAAAAACTTGAGAATTTACTTACTAAATTAAGTCTCAGAAAATGGGTTAAGTCATGGTTAATGAAGGGAGGAGGAAGAGGAGCAGCATGCTAGTGCAGGGGAGACACGGGCCCTTTTTAACCAGGGTTCCCACAGCGTTTGTGTGGCATTCCTGTGTGTGTTTGTGGGGGCGGGTGGTGTGGGTGTGTGTGTGTATGGTTGTCACTAGAACAAATTGTGCAGCTGTGTACCTTGGTATGTCAAGGTTACCATGATTTATAGGTTGTATGTCCAAGTTCACAACACCAAGAGAGGAGGGAGAACTGCAGGAGGAAGTCTTAGCGACAGGGCTTTAAGAATGTGTTTCATGTTTAATGCTTTTAACATGGGTGCCTTGTTCTTGCTTCTAGAAAGCACTATAGAAGATATAACCCCAATCCAGATTGCTGTCTGTAGCTGGCCAAACCCATGTGAGGGTGAAGGTGGGGTTTGTGTGTGTGAATGTTGTTATGGTTGTTTATAGTTGTTGTGTTATATCTGAGCTGTAGGAGAGTATTTTACAACAAGAGGTATGAGTTCTGTAATCCCAGCACTTGGGAGGCCGAGGCAGGTGCAGCACTTGAGGTCAGTAGTTCAAGACCAGCCTGGCCAATGTGGTGAAACCTTGTCTCTACTAAAAATACAAAAATTAGCTGGGCATGGTGGTGGCACTTGTAGTCCCAGTTATTTGGGAGGCTGAGGCAGGAGAATTGCTTGAACCAGGAGGCAGAGGTGAGCCGAGATCGTGCCACTGCACTCCAGCCTGGGCAACAGTGCGAGACTCCATCTCAAAAAAAAAAAAAAAAAAACCGATGTATATATATATATATATATGAGTTAGACGTAGAGAAGCCTTTCTCTCTCTGCCTCTGGCTGTCTCTCCCTCTGTCTCTTACACTGGATATGCACCCTCTGGGTTTATTCCATTCAGCCATTCCACAAACGGAATTTCTGCTCTACACGAGGCACGTGTGTGCTCAGTGCTTTCAGAGCCATGGGTGTGTGGTGTGTCCTCAAGACACTTGGAGTTGAGTAAGGTGGACAAAATATAGAGACATAACGATATAATAATGCTTTATGTAATTAATAACAGCTTCTGCATTTTGAGCCACTTGGTACATGACAGGCCAATTACCTCATTTACTCTCACAACAGTCCTCTGAAGTTGAAATGTTATTGCCCCGTCTGCCAACAAGTCACCTTCTTAGGTTGTGAACATTCAGACTCACAGATGACCGTGGGCCACATAGGGCACTGGGTCTGTTCAGAGGATGGAGGACAAGTCGCCTTCTGCAGGCACCCTTGCAGCAGTGCACGTGGGAGTCTGTTCAGGTGCAGAGAGGTAGGAGTGGAAGCTATCCTGGTAGAAGAGCCTCACGCCCCATAGGAGCCAAAGCTCTTGAAACACGCTCTGGGCATAGCTCCCCATTCTGTGCAAGGGCCATGCCCAGCTACAAGATCACCACGCTCGGGAAGTCCAAATCAGGATTCTTGGCTTCCTATCAGATAGCTACAGGTTCCTAGATCCTCCAGGCTGTGCAGTTCACCAGTCAGAGGTCATTCTTACGTAGATAGTGTTGCCTAGTAACATAGTTGACACACTCTTTTAGCAGGTTACCAAATGTAGCCAAAGATCAGACTCCCGTGTAGAAAGGGAAAAGACGTACGTTAATTCCTTACCTACTCTCATTCCCATTTTACAGAGAATAAACCTGAGATTCAGAGAAGTTTATCAACTTGCCTCAAATTACATAATAACCCAGCCAGGATTTGAACCCCGGCCTGACTCCAAATACCATGCTCTTAACTAAAATGCAAGATGTAAACATTTTTTTCTACCCCCATAAGCATGTCCGTGTTTATTTTGCTATTTGAAACACTAGTTTGAATTACTTAACCCTCGAGAACAATCGGCCTTCCTGGAAGCAGCAGCCTGTTTATCCTGTGGCTTTGCCACTCCCTGGCGCACTGCATACCCCAGTGTGAGAAGCTCAGCACCATGATAGTTAGCAGTTCTTCTTAGGATAATAAAAAAAAAAGCACTAGTTCTTTGCTTTTCTCTGTGAGTCTGTATTTTTAGTAGAGGTTTATGAGGCGGAGGGAAAGAAGTTTAAGGACAATAGAACCAGTTTTGCATCTGAAGATAAATGAGTACCTACCTGGCTACCAGGTGCAAACAATTCTCTTTTGCCTTGACATTCCTTTCTTCTTTTTAAATCATCACTATCCTATAGCACAAAACCTAAGAGCTCAAGGCAAAGCTTTATTACTAAGCTCAGTTCAGCATATAAAATCCAGTTTATATATCTGGATTATATTGCAAGAACCATTCAAGAAATGTGCCATCCATGTTCCAAGTATAAAAATAGAAATTTTAAGACAGCGTAACAGTATTACTGTTGTTTCATTGGGTGTTTAATTGACTTCAAGCTTTCGCCAGGTATTAGAACTATCTGTTGACTTCCAAAACTTCATTGTGTAGTGAGGAAAAATACTAAGGAATTTTGTAGACAAAATGTGAAATAGGTTAGGTGAAATACCATGTTTAAGTGCAATGCAGTGAGCTTATGATAAATTATATTGAAATAGTCAAAATATAATTGATGCGGGAGGTGTTGGAGAGAGGCCTTGGGGGGCATGGAATGTTCTGTTTCTTAGCCTAGGTGGTGGGGACAGCTGTGGTTTTATCATCTGAACGCTATCATACATTTATGGACTATGCTTTCTATGGCAATTTTCAAAAATGCAGCTGACAAAGTTTGCCTGCCAATATGAAAAGGTGAATGTTCTTTAGGTAGGAGATACCATTTCATAGATTGTTTTGAATCTCATATTACAGGAATTTACAAAATGGTAGATTATACAGTGAGAAAAGAACAAAGTTT
Source organism: Homo sapiens (assembly GCF_000001405.40). Taxonomy (NCBI): domain Eukaryota; kingdom Metazoa; phylum Chordata; class Mammalia; order Primates; family Hominidae; genus Homo; species Homo sapiens. The sequence goes on along the minus strand of NC_000007.14, from coordinate 27,896,235 downwards.
GAATATTACCAACATCAGAGAAGCACTGGAAGAATAACTGAAGTTTCCAAAGTGAAACTATCAGGAAAAGTCACCTTTCTCTTTATGAGTAATAAAATTAGAACATAAACAAATCATCAGTGGTGACCTCCTTCCTTGTGCTGCTCTCTTCCCTTCTTCTGGAATCTTCCTGGGCAGATGTATGCAGTTCTGTCTGTGTTTCCTGAGGTGGGCCTGGCCCTGTGCTAGGAACTGGGGACTAGAATCCTTGCCTTCATGACTAGGGAAGCAAGGACTCAATTAGCCAAGAAAAGTTTTTAAACCCAAATAACAATATGAGAATCAAAGTAATACCAAAAAATTTAAAAAAAAAAGTTTTCATGAGGCCATTTATGTTAGATGGCAGTTAAGTGGTACAAAGAAGAAATACTGCCAACCTGCAGATAAAGGAAGCACTGTCTACTTAGGAGTGGTTGGGGAACTTTGAGGATGTGTGGGCTTCCTATGGGTAGAAAAAGAGAGCAGACCTTCCAAGAGAGGAAGTCTTGTAACTGAAAGTATTACAGTGGGTGCAGATGTATTCTGTGTGTATAAGCTTCCTGGCAAGGAGGATTTGCTGGGTAAGAAATGGACCTGACTTTGAGAAACCTTAAAAATAACAAGCTAGAAGATAATTCCATTGCATTGGAAAAGGGAAGCTGTTGTGAGTTTTTGAGATTGGGACTGACCTGTGGCCAAGGTCCTTTTCCAGGGTCGTGCATGTCTGAAACTCTAATAAATGTCATCAGTCCTCATGCTCTATACATGGCCCAGGTTCCTTACCTTCCATTATTGTTTCAGATTCATGACAGATGCTGCCCGCCGAGAGCAGGAGTCCCTAAAGAAGAAGATTCAGCCGAAGCTCTCGCTGACTCTGTCCAGCTCAGTGTCTCGAGGGAATGTGTCCACTCCCCCACGCCACAGCAGTGGAAGCCTTACTCCCCCCGTGACCCCACCCATCACCCCCTCCTCTTCATTCCGCAGCAGCACTCCGACAGGTGAGTGGCCTGGCCCTACCGCCTTGAGAAGGAGGAGAGGGGAGAAAGAGAAAGTGTGTGTGATGTGCTGGGGGCAGAAAGGGGCTGGGGACAGATGACGACACAGACCCACCACATCGTTGATCCTTTCACTAGTCTACATATTGATAAATTCTTTAATTTATTATTGAAGAAATATTTATAGATTATTGTTAATATGCATGTGATAATGGTTTTGTAGATTTTTTGTCAATATATTTCCCATTTTTACCATGCATACCCATCTACACAACATTTTTAATGGGCTCTGTAATACATATTTCATCACCCGATTTACAACTAAATATATTATGAACGTTTTCTCTTGTAAAACAGTTAAAATAATTGTATCCTTTAGAGAAAACATAATTTATTAAGCAGTCTTGGAGAAATTTAGATATAATTTTTCTTCCAAGGAGACTTCATTGTTTTTACAACACCTTGAGAAGAAGGGGGAGTCCTTGTCTTCTCCAGCTTTTTCTATAGATAGTGGAAACTTGCCCTTCAATTTAGCTTTTTCATTTGCTTCTTTATACCCACCTATTCACCAATCAAGTAATCCATTTTATTTTTCCCAGTCCATCTCTCCTATTTGCCTTCTCTTTCCCGTCAGTCTCCCTGACACACATGTGGATGTGCACTACTCCAGCACTCTCATCTGCTCTCCTCCAGGTCCTCGCCTTAAAGAGGCTTCTGTCCTTTTAAGGGTACCATCTTCATTGATTTGGATCAACTCTGCTCAAAACTTTATCCTCAGTTCCACATTAGGATTAGCCTATAATAATCTGAAGACAAAGTTCAGTTGTTTAAAAGAAAATATTAGTAAGAAAACCTTGGTAGACTTACATGTCTCAAGAAACTAGAACTTCAGCTGGGTGCTGTGGCTCACATGTATAATCACAGCACTTTGGGAGGCTGAGGCAGGAGGATCACCTGAGGCCAGGATTTCAAGACCAGCCTGGGCGAAATGGCATTTTGAATGCCTCACAAGTGCCAGAAACTGAGCTACTGAGGTGAGCAGAGAGAGGCCCCCTGCCCTGACCTCAGGAGCTTACACCTGTTGGAGGATATTGGCATTCTAGGGGCCAAACAAGATCACTCTTGTCTTCCTCTCCCAAGTGTGGAAATGATTAAAAAGTAAAATAGCAGTCATAGACGAAGAACAAAATATCAACTGTATTATTACATAAAGCTAAACCACAGAATGGAGCTTGGATCTGTAACAATTGGGCTTCCTAGTATGTCTTCCCAGAATTCAATTTATTTCCCAAAGTGCACTTCTCAGCTTACCCCAGGGTGGTAGCTGACCAGAGCGCACTCTGGACCCTGAGCAGAGCGTGCCCAGCCCTTCTTCCCTAGTTCATGCTTCATTAAGTCACTGTTCCTCCTTGGGCAGGAGTGAATAGAGATGGTGGAAGAGGTCCGCATGTTTGTGCTGTCTGAGAAACAGAGAAATAGCTCTCTTCCCCCAGTGGGAGTATAGACCGTCACTAATCAAATCAATACGCAAATAAATATAACCCTGTAATCATGACAAGTGCTATATAGAATTCTGTGATAGGAGGGCATCCGGAGAGAAGTTTGACCCAGTCAGGAAAGGCTTCCTTTGAAAGATAAATAGGAGTCAACTAAGTAAAGAGGAAAGGGGGAGCAATGTCACAAAGGGAACATTCTGCAAAGGCTCCATGGAGGGGGACAGCCTGGCAGGTCCCCATTACTGAAAGGCCAGGTGGCCCGAGTGTAAGATGAGACTGAGGAGGTAGGCGGGGACTAGGGCACTGGGGGTCTTATTCAAAATTTTGGTTGAATCGAAGAGCAAAGAGAACCCACTTGTAACCACACCATCATCTCCTTAGCCATGATTAAAATTATCTTCTCTGACAGTTTACGTATTTCTCTGTCATCCATTTTCCATTGTGCAAAGTGTGTTTCAGAATACTAACTTCACAAAATACTAGTTGGGGAAAAGGGATTTCCTAGTAAGTTTGGGGAGATGATGAGTTAGACAAAGTTAAATGGATTTCTTTAATTCGGGGCTTTAATATGCACTGTTAGTCTCCAAGGGGAGGATTTAGTAAATTTCCCAAACTTAGTTGCTCTGATTAGGGGACCTCTTTCTTTATGGGGCATCTCAGGGGACTCATGGTTGACAGACACCGTGTGTTCAATCAGGATTGAACATTTTGAAGACAGATTAGGTATGGGAGATAAACCAGAGTTGCTGCCTTAACTTCTTTCTTTACAAATGGTGTCACCTTGGGCAAGTCACTAATACCCATTATATAGATTTTTTGTCAAAGTTAAATGTGATAGCACATGTATAACACAGTGCTCAATAAATGTTCATTTCTTTCATCTGGGGTTTTCAACTTTGTATTTTAGGAACAGAATCAAGGTCATGCTTCTAGAGGACAAACCAGTTCATTTGTGTTAGGCATTTGTCCATTTCCTTGAATAGACCACCATGTTTCCCTTATATTTTATTTTGTGAAGATTGACTTTCCAGGATCTTTTTGTAACATTTATGTTGTAAATCTAAGGAATGAAAGAGAGTGTAGTGTAATTCCGCAATCCTCTTTTCTGGGTATTGCTATGATACTTATTCACATATAATATGAATTATGGGAACAGTTTCCCATTGGCTGTGTTTTATACCTGAAGTAATATGGACTGACTCATGTCCAACCCCAGATAACTGTGACTGCCCCAATTAGTGACGGGTGCCTAGGACCCCATGAAAATAAAGACAGTTTAAAAGTGAGAGTTTATTATTTTTCATGTAAGAATGTTTGGAAGAAATGGAATCATTTCCCTTCCTTCAGACATAAAGAAATCTTTCTGACACCTTGCCTATTTTAGCAATTTCCCATTGAGAGAATTAATTTATGTTGTGGTAAAGATGTATCATTTTCAGTCTGTCAAGATTATTGGTAAGTTATTTGCTGCTGTAAGAACATTCCATGTAAACATCAAAAATTAGCAGGGGAAATGGTTTCTTAAACCCCTACCACGTACAATTTTGATTGTGTACATTTTTCAATGTTTGGAATGTTATTTTACCTGTAGTTAGAGAGATCAGCTTATTTTGCCTGACTAATGTGGTTTCAGTCACTTTCATTGCCAGGTTATAAAATTCCACATTTCTACCCCTTAAATTCACTCTTGCAAGTTCTATATTCATGGTGCATTCCCACTTCAGAAGTAATAGTCATCTTGTAGGAACTTCATTTATAAAATGTTCTTTAAGGTATACTTTCTTGACAATACTGAATTAGAGCTCAGCTTTATCCTAAAGTTTCGAGTATTTCTTAGGTATAGTTGGAATCAATGTTTGTTTTGCAATTTTTTTTCTTTTCTGTTTGAAACAGGGTCTTACTGTATCACTCTATCACCTAGGCTGGAGTGCAGTGATGCTATCATAGCTCACTGCAGCCTCAAACTCCTGGGCTCAGCCTCCTGTGTAGCTCACGTCAGCCTCCTGTGTAGCTGGGACTACAGGCACATGCCACAATGCCCACTTAATTTTTTGACTTTTTTTGTAGAGATGAGGTCTTGCTATGTTGCCCAGGCTGGTCTTGAACTCTTGGCCTCAAGCAATCCTCCTGCCTCTGCCTCCCAAAACTCTGTGATTACAGGCAGGGGCCACCATATATGGCCTGTTTTGCCATTTTTACATCCTAGAAGAATCTTTTTCTCTCATTGTTTTCCTTTCCTATCCTTGTCTTTTTTTCTTTTAATATATAGAAAAAGTATTCATTTAAGAAAAGCTTAGAATAGTTTAAATCATAGATCAGCAAACTTTTTCTATAAAGGTCCATATAGTAAATATGCTTTGCAGGCCACAGGGTCTCTGTTTCAGCTACTCAACTTTGCCATTGTAATGTGCAAGCAGCTATAGAACCACCTAAATTAATGGGCATGTTGTGTTTTATTAAAAGTTTTTCTAAAACTTTATGTACAAAAACAGGCCAGAGTTGGCCCATAGGCCACAGTTTTCCAACCCCTGGTTTACATAATAGAGAAATGGAATTGAAAAATAAATGTGATTAAATTATCTGAAAATAAAGTGTTAAGATAATTCATACCCTTCTCCTTTTAAAAGTAGTAACATGGGCCAGGCACGGTCGCTCACGCCTGTAATCCCAGCACTTTGGGAGGCAGAGGCAGGCGAATCACTTGAGGTCAGGAGTTCGAGATGAGCCTGGCCAACATGGTGAAACCCCATCTCTACCAAAAATATAAAGATTTGCCAAGTGTGGTGGCTCACGCCTGTAATCCCAGCTACTTGGGAGGTTGAGGCAGGAGAATTGCTTGAACCTGGGAGGTGGAGGTTGCGGTGAGCCGAGATTGCACCACTGCACTACAGCCTGGGTGACAGAGCAAGACTTCATCTCAAAAAAAAAAAAAAAAAAAAAAAGTAGTAACATCTAAAGTACAATTACTTAGAGGGAAAGGCAAGTAGCACTTGTGGAGTGTTTGCTGTGTGTGCTTACTGTATTCTTTATGTATGACATTGTATTTAATCTTAACACCAGCCTCACTGAGACATTATTATTCCCATGTACAGATAAGAAATAGAGGCTTACTAAGGTTAACTTGACACATCCATGTCTGTCTATTCAAAGAATAAGCTCTTTCCAGTATACCCACACTTTCTATCCACATTCATTATTATTACATTAATACTTTTTTTAAACTTTATTATACCATCCACACTGTGTGTGAACTTGACACCTCCAAACTCAAAATATGTTAAGTTACTGAAACCTTGGTTTGACTTCATTCACTGTAACTTTCATTTTCACACAGCTCTACCATTCAAACAGCATGTCATAACAGAAGGACTTAACAGTTTCATTCAGCCAGGGTTTCTCTAAGGGTCAGCTGACTCCAGATAGCCGGTTGTTAAATAATCAGGTTTGCAAGCTGTTTGCTAAACTGTTACCTTGAAATCAGCCATGGTGGGAGTATTTACACCAGTGACATTGGCAAATGCTACATATCAGGACCTTCCCTGCCCCACTTTACCATTATACCACTGTTTTTTCCTTTCAGTATTTACCAGATTAATCTTACTTAGTTTGTAGGTCAAGGAATCGTGGATCCATGTGTCTGCAAATAAACCTAAAGTCAATCACCAATAAATAAATAATGACCATTTCAAGCAATGGACTGCTTTGTAGGCACTAACCACAATTATCTTGTTACACGAGAAAATCCAGTTTCAAAACTGCATAAGCAATATGATCTCAATTTTTTTTTTTTTTTTGAGAGAAAGTCTCACTCTATCACTCAGGCTGGAGTGCAGTGGTGTGATCTCAGCTCACTGCAACCTCCACCTTTCAGGTTCAAGAGATTCTCTGACCTCTGCCTCCCAAGTAGCTGGGAATACAGGTGCGCATCAACACCACCCAGCTAATTTTTGTATTTTTAGTAGAGGTGGGTTTTTGCCATATTGGCCAGGCTGGTCTTGAACTCCTGACCTCTAGTGATCCTCCTGCCTCAGCCTCCCAAGGTGCTGGGATTACAGGCGTGAGCCACCGCACCTGGCCCATGATCTCAATTTTATCTTTTATTTAAGAGAAGTTAACCATGGTTAACTACCTTAATATGATAGGAAGATGAATATTATTTTCTTCTTTTTCTTTTCCCATATTTTCTAAAATGAGTTTGTCTTTCTTTTTATAATTAAAACAACTTAGGACATATGATTGGAAGATATAGAATTACTGGCCCTAAAAAGAGTTGAATGGATCTCTTTCCATCAAATTAATTGACCTTTGACGTGGGATCATCCTATAGCAAAGGCCTTTTTGCTTTTGCATCCATCATTAGAGAGCAGGTTGTCTTGGTTATTATTGCCTACAGCTTAGTTAAGAAAGTAATTTCTCCCCCCTCCCCCCATATTTCCCCATTGAACCTCTGAAAACAGTGATTTTCGATCAGGATGAACGTTGAAATCACCTGGAAAAAATTTTAATCTACCTCTGCCTGGGCTCCACCCACAGCCACTCTGATTCAGCTGGTGGGTGGGGCTTGGGCATTGGGAGTTTTTAAAAGCTCTTTTGGGTGGGTAGTTCTACAACCAGAGTTAAGAAACCACTGTTTTAAAACATGGCCCATCTCATTGTAGTATCTATGTGCCTTCTAGCTTGAATTTTGAACATATTCCACGTTGTCTGGAGAAAGATTACTGTAATCCGTTTCCTTGACCTCCGGGATGAATCCAGTGGGACTGACAGATGCTCACTCATGTCTTAATGGAGAAGCCATGGAAAGAGCTGGCTGGGTTTCTGGTTCTAATAGCATCGCATAGTTACTCCTGGAAAATATTTGTATATATATTTTGGCGCACTCTGGGGGGGAAAATTCAAGTATTAAACCAGAGAAAGGCACCCAAGGAAATTAAACCAATTTTTAGGTTTTCTTGTTTAGATTCTTAATATAAAATTTAAGCTTCTGCATTGTTTTATTTTACTTCATATTCCTGTGTATCTTGGTATGGCCTTTTAAGAAACATTTCTTTATGGCTTTTACAATAAATTGTTCAGATTATAAAGTTATTGAAAATTTCAGGAGTTATTAATACACAGCAAATTATTTTAAATAATATAGTATTTTTCCCTTGGGGTGGACATTTCTCTGCAATACAGACTTACAGGACTGATAGAATTTTGCTTGGCATTTAGAAGCTCTATCTGAATGGAGTTGAGGTGAGCTCTTCCCTCATGCCTTTATTGTTAGAAAGCAAAATAAACTTAAATAGGCTTAGTAAGGACAAAAAATCCCAGACAGAAAAAAGATAACCAAAATAAAGTATAAACTAACATACATCTCCCACCTACGCAAAAGAAAAGAACAAAATGGAAGGAAAAATCTCAGAGAGAGAAATACTATTCTGTTTAATAGTGGAAAATGAGGGGAGAAAGGTGAAATTCTTCAGCCTGACTGAATTTTGTGATATGAATTCCTGAGGCTGTGATTTGGTTTTTCTAACAAATTCTCCCTAAAGAGTTGGATGTCTGCATGATACCTAAGCAACGTTCCCTAAAATCTTCGTATTGATCTGATTTACATTTCCCTTTTCACATAAATACCCGCTTTTGTAGCTGGAGAATGAGAAGATGTTGCTATATTCTCCGCCTGTGTTCTGTAGGTCACTGAAAGACCCTTTCCTGGCCTACAGTTTATTTGCTTGTTTATATACTACTCTGTTCTAATCCTTGTCTCTTCCTCTTCCTTTTTGATTGACTAGTAAAAACCTTTATTCCTCTGCCTGAGTGTCATGGTCGAGTCTTATGGCTAATTCTGCTTCCCCAGCATCTTCTGCAGCCACTTATTTTTAATCTCTTCTTGCTACTGAAAATGTTGGAGTGAGGATGGCAACAAGGAAATAGGATTTTATTTGTTTTTCCACAGCTATACCACTTAGAAAAAAACCTTCCCAAACAAAACATTTTTTTGACTTGAAGAAAACAATCAAATTGGCCAGGCACAGTGGTTCACGCCTGTAATCCCAGCACTTTGGGAGTCCAAGACGGACAGATCCCCTGAGGTCAGGAGTTCGAGACCAGCCTGGCAAACATGGCAAAACCCCATCTCTACTAAAAATACAAAAATTAGCCAGGCATGTTGGTGCGCACCTGTAATCCCAGCTACTTGGGAGGCTGAGGCATGAGAATCAGTTGGACCTGGGAGGCAGAGGTTGTAGTGAGCCAAGATTGCTCCACTGCACTCCAGGCTGGGTAACAGAGTGATACTTCATCTCAAATAAATAAATAAATAAATAAATACAAATCAGTGGTGATCTGTAATCATAATAGATCTTTTTCTAACCTTATAGTGCACAACAGCATTCACATTCACCATCTAATTTGATCCTTGTTAATACTTGATGGGACACAAGGCAAGTATTATTAACTTTTATTTTAAGTCCAGGGTACAAATGCAGGTTTCTTATATAGGTAAACTTGTGTCATGGGGGTTTATTGTCCAGATTATTTCATCGCCCAGGTATTAACCCTAGTACCCATTAATTATTTTTCCTGATCCTCTCCCTCCTCCCACCCTTTACCCTCCACCCTCCGAAAGGCCCCAGTATGTATAATTTCCCGTATGTGTCCATGTATTCTCATCATTTAGCTCTTTCTCATCATTTGGCTCCCACTTATAAGTAAGAACATGCAGTATTTGGTTTTCTGTTCCTGTGTTAGCTTCCTAAGGATGATGGCCTCCAGCTCCATTCAAGTCCCTGCAAAGTACATGATCTCATTCTTTTTTATGGCTGCATAGTATGCCATGGTGTATACGTACCACATTTTCTTTATCCAGTCTATCATTGATGGGCATCTGGGTTGATTCCATGTCTTTGCTATCGTGAATAGTGCTGCAATGAACATTTATCTGAGCATCTATCTTGTTATAAGGCACTGTGCCAAGTATTGGGGATACAGAAAAGCATAAGGCATAGCCTTTGTGGTTTAGAACTTACATCCCTTAATAGAAGCAGGCAACATATGCTTGTGGAACAGACAACTAATGAACATGATGTATACACACATGGGCTACATTAGCACAGATGATTAATAAGACAATATAGAGATACACATGGGGTCATTCTACGCTGTTTCAATGCAATTAAAAGATGTATATTCACACCCATAAAATGTCATAGATAATTGCAAGGCAAATGTAAGTTCCAAAGGAGTTGGAATAAGGTGAGATCATAGGGAAAGTGATTTGGGCAAACAATTTTATAGTCCATGATTATGGAATGTGTCAGGTTAGGGAATTAGTGAGCAGACCTGGATGTGTTGACTAAAGGTGGTATGCAAATCTAGAGTTTTCTGGGAGACCCTCCAGAACTCTGGGAGCACAGAAGTAAAGTGCTAAGAGTCCTTGACACCAAAGGGGTCTCGATCCAATTCTTGGTTCTGCTGCTTGAGAGACAGATGGACTTAAACCTTCTCAAGCCTCAGTTTCCTCATCTGTGTAATGGAGGCAGTGTTTACTTTACTGTGAGGATTAATAAAATAAGGATAGGGCCAGGAACAACTGCTGTGTTTACACTGATTCTACTTAAACCACCAGTTCAGAAAATAAATCAGCATAGGAATATCCCCGCTCTGCTTTCAAGATACCCTGCATTAGTAAATAAGCCCCATGTGTTCAGGAAGTGTTGACTGTCAATGGTGGAAATGGCTTATGTTGTCAGGTTAGTTAGGGCTTCTAGAAATAGCTATATAGCACATGTAAATCAAAACATTTTTTGCTCTAAGCTGAATCCAGCCTTTTTGGGCAGACAATATTTCACCAGCCCTGGCGAGGGCTGCTTGTGCATGTTTATTTTTGGTCTGCACTAACCTCAGAGAAGGCTGATTCCAGGAATGTGCATTACAGGTGGTATTTGCTAATGACTGCTCTGGACATGGATAAATTTTCAGGAAGGAGATGGGGTCATTTTCTTGTCAGAATGGATACAAACACTATATCTAAAGTGTCTGTGGGACCAAAGGAAAAAAAAAATGGAAGTTGGACTTCGGCAACACTAAAGAAGTGTGTGCTTTAAAGGACACTATCAAGAAATTGCGACAACAATCAGAATAGGTGAAAATATTTGCAAGCCATGTGTCTGATAAAGGCCTCATATCTAGAATACGTACGGAACTCCTACAATTCAACAATGAAAGGACAACCCAATTTAGAAATGGGGGGAAATGACACTGTTGTTATTAACACAGAAGCATTTAAGATTATCATTTTATAGCCAGGGGTGGCAGAAGTGAAGATGGAGCAAGTTGACCAATTTTTATATCCTGGTTGTTATTTTAGTAAAGGTAGCAATAACCCTTTTAAATGTGGAGACTCAGAGTACTAAGAAACAGAGCACTGGATGTTTCCAGCAGGTGAACACACTGGTGAAGGAGCTCTGTCCCCTTTCTTGTTGAAGGATGTGCCCACATAGGCCCAGCCATCATCACAGTTGGGAATGGGGGGACACCCCTTTGTGCTATCCAATTTGGGGTACTTTTACATTTCAGATTCCCTTTAAGGTGTGTAGAATTGAACATCCCACTGGTAATATTTAAATCAAGGTCAGGGGGCCATGTAAAGGGCATCTCAAAGTCTTTAGAACCGGGGGAGTTTTGACTATAGTGTCTCTGAAACTCCCTCCCCTCCTTCCTGTGCAGAGCAGAGAATGTCCTCAAACCTGCTCTGAGGGGAGAGGGGAGCAGATCTCATTATCCCTCCGCCCGGCAGAGAGAGTGAAACTGACAGAGGTGTGATATAGGTTCCTCGGGGCCACAGAGCTGAGTGATGTTGACCCAGCACTTCCACTCTAGGTATTTACCAAAGAGGAGTGAAAACATGTATCCACAAAAGACGGATACAAGGATGTATATAGCACCTTTATTCACAGTAGCCCCAAAATGATAAGTAGTTCATCCACAGATAAATGGGTAAACTGTGATATATCCAGACAGTGGAGTATAATTTAGCAATAAAAAGAAAGTACTGATACACACACAACAAATGGATGAATCTCAAAAACATTATGCTGAGCAAGTTAAGCCTGACACAAAGGGTACTCATGAAGTTCAAGTACAGGCAAACCAACCTGCAGTGACAGAAATCAGTACCATAGTTAACTTGAGTATGTGAGGAGGAAGGTGTGGACAAGGGAACTTTCTTGAGTGATGGATATATTCTGTGTCTTGATTGGGATGTTGGTTTCACAAATGTATACATTTATCAAGCTCATCCAATTATATACCTGCCCGATGCAGTGGCCCACACCTGTTATCCCAGCACGGGAGGCTGAGGTGGGAGAATTAGTCGAGCCCAGGAGTTTGAGACCAACCTGGTCATCATAGTGAGACCTGGTCTCTACGAAAATCAAAAAATTAGCTGGGTGTGGTGGCACATGCCTGTAGTCCCAGTTACTCGGGGCTGAGGCAGGGAGGATGGCTTGAGTCCAGGAGGTCGCAGCTGCAGTGAGCTGTGATTGGGTGACAGAGTGAGACCCTGTCTCAGAAAAAAACAAGCATGCACTTAAGATTTGTGCATTTCAGTGTGTGTAAATCTTACCTTAATTGAAACAAAAGAGTGGTTGCTCAGGCAGGAATGAAGAACAGGAGTCCACAACTTCCAGTCACTCTTTGAACTAGCAAATAGCATTTCCGCTCTTATAAACAATTCATTTAGGAACAATGAAGTAAATACATGCAGTAGTTTGAGTTTGAAAATCTCTGGAATTTCCTGTTCATTGAAGAAAGACAGTAGGCGGAATTCTTCATCCTTAGCATGGCAACACTAAGGAAGCAGTAACATGGACAAATAAACCAGTTACGGGACATATTAAGTAGAGAGAAGGAGCAGAGAAGAAAAGATAAAGAAGGGCTGTTGCCAAACTCTCAGTCCAGTGACACAGTTGAGAATTGGTTAATGACTGAAAGTGTTTCTGATAGAACTTACAGCACCTACGTCTTCCAATACCCAAAGTGTTTTGTTTCCCATGAGATAAAGAGTGCTTCCTTACATTGAGAATATTACCAGAAAGAAAATTAAAGCCGCCCAGGTTCAGTCCATGTTGAGCACATCCTCAGAAACTCTAAGTAGTCCAGTTTCTCTGACGGGCAGGCACTTAAATCCTCAGATTTAATATCTGTACTAACAGAAAGCCAATAATTCAGTGTTTCTGTGTTATTTTTTATAATGTTCATGCAAAGTGATCCTATACCACACTTGACCATTTACATTTAGTTAAAAACCTGAATTTCATCTCTACTATTAACTGTGTTGTTTAATCAAACTCAATAAAAATAGTATGTCCACTGTTAAGAATTCCCATAAGAAATCTCAAAGGTCTTTACAGCCATATTTCACTTCGTGCTAGAAACACGGTTAGTGGTGAGGCATTGGTCCTAGGTCCTAGCTGCTTTTTCTTTGTCCCAGCAGGGGTCTCTGCATTGGCCAAAAAAATATCAAAAAAGATCACAAGGTAAAGTTGTTTTAAAGAGCACACATTAAGACTGTGCTGTTCACACCCTGTCTCCCCAAGAAAGAATGCCATCTTTTTAAGCCAACGTCCAGAGCTCACTCATATGCCAACATCCATCAGTGCACACTTCTCAGTAATTTTCCTTTGGAAGCACAAACCAGAACTGAAATATGAGTGCTAAAGAGAGCAACATATTGTAAGCCTGGAAAATGGTGTGGATTCTACTGAAAATATGAATAAACAAACAGACGCCCGAGACTGCCATACACCTCCCTTGTGAAGGTGATGTAGATTTAGCACCTGAAGAATTCACAGCCCAGACAAACTCATATATTTCCAAAGACACCTTTTCTCCACACCCCCGTCCCTGCCACCACCAGTCTAAAACACGGCATATTAAAATCAGAGAAGCCCTTTCATCTTCATGAGTATCACGGCGGCAAACTTGTTTTAATGTCTTTTCCATGTGGCTCAAGTTTTAACAATAAAATGATCCCCAGGCACACCCAGCTGCACAGCATTAAAGAACCTGCAGAAAACTGAGAATGCTTTAAGCTAATTTGTTTTTGCTAAAAAGACAAGGGACAGAATCTCACTGCTCCTGTCCCAGGACTTGTGTCAGATGTTGGAAATGCACTCAGAACAAGTGGTATTTGACAGGCAGGAAGAAACTGAAGTTGCTAGAACCTTTCTGGGACCATGGACAAAGAGATTGTGCATGTCTGGCACCTTGCAACCAAAATTACATAGTTCCTCCTTGGAAAATTGGACTGGTGTTAATTCATATTTAGCTGTAACAAGTTGGGTTGATCTTATCAGATCAAAGATTTATTTCATATTCCACTAGGCTGAATAAGTTTTTGTTTTTTGTTTTTTTGTTTAAAAAAAAAAAACAAGCCAATTAGGCTCTGCTTGGTATGGAACACATAGGTAAAATCAACCATAAGAAACTAAAGTTGGTTGGGGGACAACTGTATATGAATTTGACATCTACTGATCTCATGATGTACTGTGTTTTCTATCTCAGTACCCCAATTCTTCAGTTTTATTTTAAGGCAGCCAGAGTATTCTAAGTAGTTACAGGCCCCAGGACAAATCATTCTCAGGGAGCCTGAATAATTTTGAATGAATTAGTCGGTCCCTGACATTGTCTACCAACTAAGATGTTTCCTTACAGCCTGAGACTGGATGCATTTTTTATTTTTCACATAGATTCCTATTTCAAAATTACCAAAATTTTTAAATAAAAAATAAAAGTCAAGCAGACTTCTTTCTGGCAAATGAAGTGGTGCTTTTCATGTGATCTGTTTTCATGTGAGCTCTCTAAGATAAGCTGTGTCACTGTATAGTTAAAAGTCTCATCAGAATGTTTGACTTGAAAATGGCTGCCTAGAGTCTTAAATTCAGGGGTGGAAAGGCCCTCGATATGCATTTCTGTTGGTGCATCCTCAGCTCTCCTCCTCTAGACAGAACTGTCTGGGGTTATCCAGGCTGAACTAACAGTGTGCTAACAGTTACGGGGACTGATGCTGGGCCATCAATGTAGGATGGTGTTTTTGAGACATGATCGTGACTCCCATATCTTGAGCAGGCCCCCACCCTTTTAAATGGTTACTTTCTAATATTCCACCAAGTTCTGGACCATTATTGTGTTGAAAGTCTCCCTGAAATTCACCATGATGAAGTTAGTTTTGGCAGAGCACTTAGATGCTATGAATGGTATTTCACTGCCATTAAAAGGAAGCATTCTTTGAAAAAAGTGTTTAATTAAAGCCACTTGGTTTCTGTAATACCAGTATATATAATTTATGCTATGTTGCGTGTAAAGGAAAATTAAGACTAACAAAACTTGACAAATGGTTAATATTTAAAAGCATGCAATTAAAATGTCACAACTTAGTTGTGAGTGAGCTACCAAGGGGATCTTGACTGGAGTTGGTTCTGAAGGGCTAGATGGGCTACTGCCACCACCTGTGGGCCATGCACCTTAATCTGGAAGGGTTCCCCATGCCCCCTCCCCGGGAGATGAATAGGCCCCTTTTGGAAACTAAAACCATAAAATTATGAAGTAACTGCAAATATAAAAATTGGCTTTTTCTTTAAATCAAAGAAAAATGAGACCATTTCTGGAATAACTGTATAATAAATATGCATTACAGAAACATAAATAAACCTTTGGTAACTAATACGCAGTACTTGCCAAGTAAATAGTAAATTAAAAGTTCAGGCCAGGCACAGTGGCTCACGCCTATAATCCCAACAATTTGGGAGGCCAAGGCAGGTGAGGCCTGAGGCACTTGAGCCCAGGAGTTCAGGACCAGCCACGGTAACACAGGGGGACCCTGTCTCTGCAAATAACTGTTTTTAAATTAGCCAGGTGCAGTGGCATGTGCCTGTGGTCCTAGCTACTCAGGAGGCTGAGGCAGGAGGATCACCTGAGCCTGGGAGATTGAGGCTGCAGTGAGCCTAGATTGCACCACTGCACTTCAGCCTGGGCAACAGAGCAAGACCCTGTCTCAAAACAAAGCAAAGTTTAGTAAAATCTAGTTAACCTTTCCCCACCATCCCCCGAGATGGAGTCTTGCTGTTACCCAGGCTGGAGTGCGGTGGCATGATCTCGGCTCACTGCAACCTCTGTCTCTCGGGTTCAAGCAATTCTCCTGCCTCAGCCTCCCGAGTAGCTGGGATTACAGGCACCCGCCACCGCGCCTGGCTAATTTTTGTGTTTTTAGTAGAGACACGGTTTCACCATGTTGGCCAGACTGGTCTCAAACTCCTGACCTCGTGATCCGCCCACCTCACCCTCCCAAAGTGCTGGGATTACAGGCATGAGCCACTGTGCCCAGCTAGTTAACACATTTGTAAGTAATCTATAGGGCTCTGTTTTCTAAAATGAATAAGTAATAAATATTCCAAAAAGGATTTTTTTTCCTTCCCTTTTTTGCTTTCCAACAAATATGTGTTTCTTGGCATCGTCAAAAATGGAAGTTTTGCCAGGACTAGAAAGCTTGTCCTTTGCCATGTGGGAGACCTTTAGCTAAAGCTATAAATGTGGCACACTGATGAACATTGTCATTTTAATTCTGTCAAGCAAGGAGGGTAAACTGGAAAATGAATTATGCTATATATAAACTTGAAAGTAGCTCCATCTTCGTGGTAGCTGTGCCTCTTAAAAATAGCATCTAACAGCCTCCTAGAATTTGTATTTACTGTGTGTTTTCTATTATATAATAGTATATTTTGGAAAGATGGCAGGACTGAAAAGTGAATGGATGTGTTCTCAGTACATTTTGCCTCTTTTGTTATCTTCCAGAAGATGGCAATTTGTGGCTCCTTCAGAGTGTTCGCAGGTTCTTGTCTGTAGTGTTCTGAGTGGTCTGAATTTATTAACCTAATAAACCATATTGTTACTTAGATGCCAAATTAATATTTTTTCATTGGTTCCTCTCATTCAAGTATATTTTCTAAGATATTAAATAAATGTACTTTTAGTATCTTTTCTAAGATACTAAATGTAGGATGGTGTTTTTGAGGCGTGATCATGACCCTATATCTTGAGCAGGCCCCACCCTTTTAAATGGTTACTTTCTAATATTCCACCAAGTTTTAGACCATTATTGTGTTGAAAGTCTCCCTAAAATTCACCATGATGAAGTTAGATACTAAATGATACTAACTCATTAAGTATCTTAGAGAAGATACTAAAGCGTATCAGTTCTGCATACCTGTTCATTGTTGTCTTATAAGAAGTCATTTCCCTCTCTGTTCATGATGCTTGCAAACTGGAGCTCAGGTGATAGGAGCATGGTGTTAATAAGTCTGAGGTCATGGGTTTAATTCTCATGTGGGCCAGTTGACTTAGCTTCATCCTGGCGCCATGAACCATGCCCTTGAAGCTAGCTAAATGTCAAACAACAGGTAATGTGGTCCCTTGACTCTCAGAAAAGAGAGGATGCTTGATATGAAGAAATGGAACATACACATAGGACAAATCACATTCTCAAAGATTGGCCTTACCCTCAAGGTCAGTGTGAAAATATCATGGTTATGAGAAAACAACTAAAATGCGTGTCTTACTGCATATGTTTTGGAAATAAAAGAATTACAGGTTTCAGAGACTCCTGAGAGTTCTGTGTTAAGATCTCTGGCCTCCATCTATGCATTGACAGAGTAGCAGCATTGCTGTAACATGTTGTTGATCTTCCTGTTCATCTTTTGTGTTCGGTACAAATGTCCTCAGAATATTCAAAAGAATGGAAAACAGATCAACAAAAATAATAATGTATGTCTTAAAAATGGGGAAGCTGCAAACCATTTCAGTAGTTGTTGCCTGGTAAGAACAGGGATTCTAGTGACATGAACGGAAGGGGGCTGTTTCCACCTACTGCTCTCTTTTAAAATGATAGTCAAAGAGGCCAGAGAGTGACTCCATTCCCTATTCCACCACTTAGATGAGAATTCTTGGGAGAATGGCAGGTGAGGCAATGGCTTCATTATGGAAGTTGTCATTCCTTAACACTCCTAAATTTACAAAATGCGTTACTGCCCCGAACTCCTCCCGATTAAAGAAAACAAAGAAGGAAAAACACTATGGCATGAAATAGCATCAGATCTTTACATATATGGAATTTGGGAACCAGAAATTTATGCAGAGATCATCTTGGATACTTTTTTCAAACTGAAGTCACATCTCATTGATGGGTCATGAAATTAATTGGTAAGATATAACCAGCATTTTAGAAAGACAAGAAAAAAACAGAAAATAGAGTGTTTCACACTCCATAAGGATAAGTATTACCTGGGGAAATGGGGTGTGTGTGTGTGTGTTAGATGTTTTCTGAGTTGTAATGTAAAATATATTTTTCAATGGATCATGGTCAAAAAATTTGGAAGGCTACAAGTGATCTAGGCTCATCTCTTCATAAGTGTAGAGTCAAGGACATGTAGCTAAATTGCATAAAACAGTACCACAGTCCAAGCTTCTTGATTCCCACTGTAGTGCTTATTCCTCTCAGTCACATTCCAGCCACTACAAAACAGCAAGTGTGTTTCCATAATCACACTGCATCATGTTCGTAGTTCACTCCTGAGACCCCATCGAGCCATAGCTATATAATTCCCTCTGGGCCTGCAGACCCTGGAACACTTGCAGACTCGGCATCAACAGAATGCATACAGAGTCCATGTCTGGAGCATAACCACAGAGAGGAAGAAAAATGCTTTTTTAAAATATGGCTTCTTTTGTAGATGGTCCCCCTTTGCATACTTAAGTTATTCCATCTTAGGTGTGAAGCACTTAGTGTGCAAGACAATCATAGGGCCATCAGGGTGAAATGCAGGTGGAGAAGGTGCCACACCCTGATGAACTCAACAGGAAGAAGAAACTGCATCCCCACAAATAACGTAGACGTGAAAAAACCACGTCTGTGTAAGTGTGAGATCATCTGAGAGCACGTATGGCAAGGAAAGCCACTGCGCAGGGCTGGTCTCCAAGGGCTTCTTGGAGAAGATGCTGACTTGCCAGAATGGGTTTTGCATTTGGATATGAGACTCGGGAGCACAGGCTGACATCCCTGCACAGAGGCCACTTGTCAGCTGACCAGAACCCAAGGCTTTCTAGACAGGTGTTTTCTCTTGGCTCAGTCCTAGGGTAGGTGAAAGTTATTTCTTCCCCATATTGAAGGAACACATACAACCACCTACCTCTATTGGCCCTGTAAAACCTGAGGTGAAAATAGTTGTGAGTTCCTCTGGGTTTTAAAACTATGACTTGCTGACATTTGGGGGAGCATTTTACCCCATACCCCGTTCAGACCGTTATACCTTTCCATGTTCGCTTCCAAAGATCTGAAGCTGCTGAGAAAGCTGAAAATGTTTTATGTAGAAAATATACAACAAAAAAAAGTTTGGTATTTCCATATTTCTCAGAGAAGGCTTGACCTCTCATTCGGAGCCATGGGCAGGCTTCATTTTTTGTTCTCCACCATTACCTCGAGTTGTGTTTTTCGCTAGCTCTCTCGTTCCCCTTTCCTGTCCTTGCTTTGACGGAAGAAAATAAACGTGGTCGGTGATAAAGCTGGGGATGCTGGCTTTCCAGCAGCGGCCTCTGCCAAAGTCTAGCGCCCTCTCGGTAGCCTGCCCTTCTGAATGCTAATTAGTTGTATGGGAATTTTTCACAGTAACCTCCCCAAGGAGCAATTTCACCAAAGAGTAACCCTCTTGTCTAGACCATACAACCCCATAAAGTCATCTCTAGCTGGGATTTCCAAGCTACAAAGCAGCAATAGAAAAGACTGCCTCTAGTCTTTAAGGGCATTCAAGTATAGAGCGCTCATTGTGGAAACCCACCAGTGCACAGACCTCTCTCCAGGGAGAGTAATGGAAACTCTCCCGCCCAGTTCCATCCTCTGAGGAAGGACACTCAGCTCATGATTTCTGCTTTATTTGAATCCAAATGATCTTGCCATCACCTTGCGTTTTATACCTAGTCTGCTATCCGGGATCTTATTTTTGAGAAAGATCCAGCCATGCCTTTTACTTTCTTGCTTGCCAAAGCTAATTATTAATTAGTGAGATAAAAGCAGTTTAATACTTGACATTTTAAGAAACTAGGCTGGCAAAACTTACCTAGAGAGAGATTAAAAGGATTCAGAATTCTAATCCAGGCCTCTTTCTGCTTTAAGTACTTAGCAAAATCCTAGCAGTTGTGATAACGGTGGTGTTAATGGGACTGGAAAATGGAAACGTGCACTCTGGAGGGAGAAGGGCAGAAAGGGATGGTATGCCCCTCGAGGTCCTATCAGATGCTCTCCCAAGAGTCAAGGTGGAAACAGATGACCAAAGCTATTCTAGAGTCCAGTAGAGTTGACTTTTCAGAAATACCAAAAATCAAGATTACCTAAAGAGGAAAACAAATCAGGAATTATGCTGTATTAGATAAAACAGTTCTGGAAGCAGGTTGAAGAGAGACCCTCTGTCCCTTCCACCCCACCTTGGCCAGAGGCATTAGAGGGTTAGCCCCCTAAAGGAGTAAGAACAACGCTGTGAGTTACCATGCGGGGACACCCAGGATGTACTGGGCACTTGGCTAACCAGGTCATTCACACACCCATTTTCTATGCAAATGTAGACCAGAAGGTAAGAGACATTAGGTAACATGCCCCAGGCCACACTGCTAGGAAGTTTTGGTGCCTGGATCTTAACCCAGGGCTGCCTTGCTGCAAAGCAGACTCCTGAGTGCTCTCCTCTGCTGCCTCTGAGGACTTAGGAATGACTGGAAATATAGGAAATGTGATTCCTTTGTGTGTCCTTCCATAACATTCATTTTAGCTCCTAGGATAATTACTAGTTTTCCAGGTATAACTAGGATAGGTCTGGTTAATATACTGAACAAACATCTGAGTGCTTACTGTGTACCTAATGAATGTACAGAGATAAAAGACATAACCCCAGTATCCCAGAGACTAGTGGGGAGACAGATGGTAAGATTCACATGGGGTGGACAGTTCTCTGATAGGGACGAGCTCAGAGCCCATGCAGGGCAGGCACCTGCCTAGCCCAGACTTGGATGAAGAGTCAGGAGACCTCTTGGAAGCAATGATGCCCAGTCTGAGCTTTAAGGATGAGTACCTCTTAGATGAAGAGAAAAAACAGGAGTGTGAGGCTAGCTAGGTCTGGTGGGTGGGGTGGGGGAAACATGCCCAGATGACAGGAGTTGGCACTTTTTGCTACGTTGAGGGGAAGTTAAGGGAGGGTTTTAAACAGGGGAATGTCATGGTTTGCTTCACATTTTTAAAAGGTTATTCTGACTGACCAATGACTGCTGGGATTGGGGCTGTAAAAATGGCTAAAAGAGGGACTCTATTCCAGCTGTGCCGAGGAAAGAGGAAAGTGATGTAAGGCTGGGACGAGGATCACAGAGCAGGGAAGTGCGGATGAACTCGGAATGTTTTGGAGTAGAGCCGATGGGAGTTGGATGAGGCTGGAAGAGAAAGCGAGAGAGAAAGACTCCCAGGCAGCCGAGTGGAGGCTGGGCCATTTCTTGCACGGATGGGAGACAAGCAGGTTTTCAGGGGCAGCCTACAGTCAAGGACTATCTTTTAGAATCAAGACATGGTCTTAAATCACTGACCGCCTCTGTCACAATATATGGTATTTCAATAGTTCCCAAGCTTTTCCCAGTGACCTTCAAAATACGGCTCTCTGGGACCTACCCCAAATCTAGCAAGTCAAATTCCAAGGGATAGAGCCTGGACCTCGGGTCTTTTCTGCAGCTCCCGGCGCTCCAGCACTGCCGGTCCAACATCATCTGTAGGTAGTGTTTGCAAGCCACTGCTTTGTTTTCTGTTTTCTGGGGCCAGGCTTGATGATCCCAAAGGCTATTGACCAGCCTTCCCACCCAGGGCCCAAGGCAGTGCCACGCCAAGCCAGCCCTCATTGATCATTGTCCAGCAGGCTGCTAGCGATTTCCCCAGATAAGGATCTCGATTAAAGGTTCAGTGGTTGGCCTGATTCAGGCCATGCTTCTTTGCTCTTTTCTCCTAGATGTTAGATGTGTTCTATGGGAGGAACTTTGAAAGAATAATGTTTTCCTAAGTGACAGGAATGTCCTGTATGTTAATGTTTTTTCATAAGGATCTAAGGTTCGGATGTCTGTCTGAATGATCTGATTCTCATAAATCGACAGATTGGTTCTGGAAATCCCATGAGCCTAGGCTGTCTTGAGAGATTTATGGCACTTCCTGCTCTCGTTGGGCCAGGAATAACATGACAGCTCCCTCTGCACTTCTGGTTTTTGTTCCTGAGGGGGTGGCAAAGGAGGGCAGAGGTGTGCTGAACCATACCACTTTGAAAGAAAACTGTCCAGACTTATTTTCCAGAACCTCAGAAAAAGCCTCATGTTCTGCTAAGGACGTAACAGTCTTCTGCCCCCTCCCTGGGGATTTTCCCAGCCTCAGCTCCTTCAGCCACATGGGTTCTGTGGTGTGGGATCAGGGCCAGGGCTGGCACGAGCCCATGGACACATTCCAAGGCTGAGCCAGCCTTCCTGGGCAGTGACCTTGGACCTTCAGCAGCAAGGCCCTGCGCCCAGCTGGAGATGAACTCATTCCCACCATGGTTTAAGATTCCTCCAAATAAATGTTAATGAGTTACAAATTAATTCCTTCTTGGCCTGACCAAGGAGAAAGACTGCTTATGATTGCCATTCCAATTAGAACCCACGCCTGGCAAATCTGTTTGACTGAATTATACATGATCCTGGTGGAAGTCTGATGTTTTTAGTCCATATAATAATTGCATCAGAGTGTCTCAGTCTACCTTCTCAGCAGCATATCAGAGTGGAGTCAGGAAATGTTCCACCAACTCTCTAGAAGAGAGACAGGCAACTGGCTCTAATGGCTGTTCCTCGAAGACCCAGCACTGAGTGCTGGAGGGGATGCAAAGATGAGCCACGCTCAGAGAGATGGCAGTGAAGTCACAGAGGAAGACAAGGTGTAAATAAAGCTCCTAGGAGACTCAACCTCAGTGCCTTCAGTGAACCGCTATCATGGTTAAAAGGGGTAGTAGGCACATCTACTGGCAACAATTCAGTTAACAATGACCGGGGGAAAGTAGCATTTGAGAGGTTTTCAAGAATGAGTGCAGGAAAGGGTAGAGGGTGGGCTGAGTGTTGTGTATTTCAAGCCAGAAAAACCTAGACAGCCAGCCAGGGGATGGTTGGGGACCCATTCCACACCAGTGAACTGGTGTGTTGGGTTCGGGAAGCATATGCATAGATATAAGGACCTTAAATGCCACGCTAAGGAATTTGTGTTTAATAGAGTTGGCAGTGGAGCCACTTTTAATAAGCAAAGTAACTAATGCAATCAAAGAAGAGCGATATGGATTGCAGCTATTTGGAGGAAGGTTGAATGTGGCAGCCAGAAAGAGGATGGATTGGAGGGCCAAGAGACTAGATCCTGGCATATCAGTTAGGAGGTTATTTCATTAGCCTGGGTGGAAGTATGAAGACCTTGTCGGAAATAGATTTGATTTTCTTGATGAAATTTCTGCATGTTGGACGGGAAATGACTTGATGTGGAAGCTTTTCAGTGCTGTCATGCATAACGCACAAATCCCTCCCAGTTGATAGAAACCTACCCCGTCGCTTAATATAAGTAAACTTTGTAGACGCTGGAATGTTTATGTTTGGCCCAAAATGGCTCTGGTTTTTTACACAGCTGTAAAGTGTATTTAACTCCCAAATATAAAACACTTATTGACTACTGGTTCATAGCTTCATAAAACAAGGCTCCGTTGCGTAGGTACTTTTTGTTGCCATCCCCTATCTTTTTATGCAGACCTGTTTCCTGATATTGTTATTCCAATGGGAAAAAAAAAATCGAACCCAAGTAAACTACCTTTTTTACAAGCAGCCTGAAGAAGAAAGCCCCAAAGACAATAAGGAGCCTCCGCATTTATATTTTTAACCCAAGATTACAGCTGCAACTAGCAGGGAAGCAAAATCGCTTTAATTGTGAATGTTTTTCATTGTGGTTGTGAGTGTAAGTAAGTAACAGATGTTCATTTTCCCCAGTTCAACTGTTTTTAATTCTTTCTTGAACATGTGGAGAGAGAAATCTTTAAACACTTGCCAAAGTTGAGTTAACATCCCCTGGCTGAAGGTAGAAAATGCCCTACTGTGTTTTTTCTCAGCCGTATACCCGCGTGGGCTGCCCTTGCCACAGAGCACAGGGGAAGGATTCCAGCTGGCACAGGTTTTATTACTGCTAAGTTAATTTGCAGAAAAAGCCTTTGGCGGGAGGGGTCTGTTCGACGTTTTATATATTTACTTATTTACTCTTTTTCAGTTATAAATAAAATTGCACTGTAAAACATTGCAGCTTAATTGCAGGAAACCCAATGCATTTTTTGTTGTTGTTCTGCAAGTGGTTAATAGCTTGTTTTTTTCTTTATATGGAGTTGGAGAAATCTTGTGTAAGAATATGTTTACAGCCAAGGCTGTGTGACTTGGTTTATCATGTTTTTCCTGTGCTCTGTGGAACAGACGGCTGTTCATTATTGAAAGGCCTTTTTCTGTGGAGAATGGAGCTTGCTGGCGGGGACGAGTTTATGTGAGAATGCAGAATGACTTCCAGAGACTATGGGCGCTCTGTGGCTATAAAGCCTCAACAGCACCATAGGCAGTGACATTATAACAATTTGCTTTAGCACCTCAGAAGTGTTTCAGCTGCATTTTCTGAAGTGAGCCCCGCTGAACGGAGCACATGCCACAGATAGTACCACCACTTTCTCCCAGCCTTCCATCCTTGACATGTGTGTCTCCCCACCTTCCATCCTTGACAGTTCTCGTGTGACAGTCGGCTGAGGCAGAAAAAGTTCTGCCCACTTGAACCATATACCCTTCACACGCTTCTAATTCTAGAACCCACCCCAAAAGATTGGGATCATCATATAATTAACATTCGAAGCATGTTTTTCTAAACCTTCACTTTTTAGAAAAATATAGACATAGAAAACATTTCTCTTGGATGCACAAACTTGAAAATTTTGCCCCTGAAGCAGTTTGAAATGGCCATTTACAAATGCATACTGTGCAGGCTTCTTGGACATTGATGACACTACCCATTGCAGAGGTTGTCTGTGTCTCCCCCGAAGGTTTGCTGAGTATCTGTTCATTAATCCTTATTTAGCTAACTGGAAAGTACTTTCCTTATTGTCTGTGACACATGGATTATCCCATTAGGACATCTGTGGATGACATATCGTTGGTTTGTTCTGAGATGAAAAGTGGTATTCTCCTTATAGAGCAAAACAAAGCAAGGGAAGAAACAGTTAATAGACTTGAGCTGACAAATGGGAGGTTGGCTAAAGATTGTGATCATCTCCTTACAGATGTCACAACCCCGTTGGCACACAGCACTGACCTTGCTTTCCCAAGGTTGACCTGTATGTCTCTAGATCAAGATTGATTTGAAAAATGAGCCATTTGTATTTAGTGCTGGTCTCAAATCAAACTCCAAACCAGTTGAGGAGGAACAGCGAAGTTATTCAGTGGTTTGAGAACTTAGAATTGGAAAATCTCTCCTTTTTATTTCCCTCAGGACCCAACTTGTAACTTCTCGTTACAATGACGGTTTAAGAGACACATTTAAACCTGGTATTCTTCCTCTATTCATGAAACTGCATCTACATATACGTACTGTGGCTGGGGGTACATGAACCCAGTCAAAATCATCCAGGAAGCATTGCTAACTACTCTGGAGTTTTCAAAAGCACTCCCTATTCGAACCTCATGTTCAGAAAAGTAGATAAGCAGCTTGTTTGGGTGGACACAATCACAGAGTACTGGATGCGTGCGCTGGTGTATGCCTGAGAATGAGTTTTAAGCAGCCTCCCGAGCAGCATCTGTGACTCAGGAGGGCTCTGTCACCTGGCTTGCAAATGCTGGTTTCCCATTTATTTGACCTGGGCAGCCACTAGCAGGACCTTGGAGGGGTTGCCAGTGACCTGGGGGCCGGACTTCCACCCTTGCTTGGACCTTTGCTGAGTATGTGACCTGGGACAGGTCACCCCCTCCCCAGGCCCTTGGTCTTGTCCTCTGTAAGAGGGGAGGTTGGCACAGGAAATCTGAGGTTCTTTCCAGCCTTGAAATATTATTATTCTATGACACAGTGATAACATTGTATATAGGTCAAGCTTGAGTGTTTTAAAATCTATCAGAAAGTATGTACTGATGGCATACTTGGGACTTGTGTAGGAGAGACTCATCAAACAGGGTCCCAGCCCACTTGGAACTTAAAGCAGATGTGGAATTCATACATGAAAGGGATGGGACATGGCCAGAACACAGGTAGCAGAGCCGGAGCCAGGGGCAGTGAGCAAGTTGGGGCTGGAGGGAGAGGCACAGCAGGACCAGTACCTCCTCCAAGACCCCAGGAAATGAGCTTATGGGGGCTTTCTAAATGCAGTTAGGGGCCAGGCATGGTGGCTCACGCCTGTAATCCCAGCACTTTGGGAGGCTGAGGTGGGTGGATCATGAGGTCAGGAGTTCGAGACCAGCCTGACCAACATGGTGAAACCCAGTCTCTACTAAAAATACAAAAAAAAAAAAAAAAAAAAAAATTAACCGGGTGTGGCAGTGTGCGCCTGTAATACCAGCCACTCAGGAGGCTGAGGCAGGAGATTCACTTGAACCCAGGATGCAGAGGTTGCAGTGAGCCAGTATCGTGCCACTGCACTCTAGCCTGGGCGACAGAGCAACAGAGCGAGATTCCATCTCAAAATAAAATAAATGTAGTTAGGGAGGCAGGGCTTGATGGTGGAGGGGCTAGGAAAATACGACACAGAAATTCAAACCAGCCTCCCTTTACTTTGCACAGAAAGTCAGCCCTTGGTAGAAATACCATTTCCTAACCCTAGAAGGGAAGAAATGGCAGAAGGACAGAGAGATAGTGTCTTTTGTTGCCGTGTTTCTATTTTTGTTTTACACAAAGCCTACTTCCTACTGCACATTACGAGTGGCAGGTGGGACATCTTCCTGGCCTGCCCCGTCCTGGATGTGATTCTGGAAAACAGGCCAGAAGCAACCCCTTGGTTCCTGCATGGGATCACCACACTAGGAAGGGACCCAAATAGAAGCCTGTGTCCATTTAATCATCTGTCTCGGAAGCATGGGGAGGAGAAGGGGGATGGCACAGCTGATGCTGCAGATGTTTGTACCTCCATGTTGGTGCCGTCGAGCTACTGCTGTCTAGAGTCCCCAAAATACCTAGTCTGTCCACATTTATTACAATGGAAACTACTATCCAAACTGGCCACCCGTAGTTCAGGCAGAACCTAATGGAAGCACCTGATGGTTTTGGAGTCCTACTGGTAAATACGTCATTCATCGCATTTCCATTCACAGCAGGGTGCGGGGTCCTCCCTTATTTCTGTTGCCGCTTGTTTGGGAACTGATAGGTGTGATTTATTAGGCCATGACTGTTCCTGTTTTTCAGCCCTGAATAGAGGTCTAATAACACTTAGTCTTATTACCAAACCACGTAAAAACCTCTTGCTTATCACTATGTGGTGTTTATGTGGCATCGTTCTGTTCCACAAGACATTTTATGAACATGCAGAGAAGTTTGCAACTTGTGAATGCAGGATTTCCAGTGTAGCAATACATAACAATACATGTATCCAGAGAGGCCCTGAAGTTGAATGAACAAAGGACAAGAGTGGAGGAAAGAGCCCACACACCTCTATTCTGGGGAAGAAAAATATCGTCCCTTTCATTCTTGGTGTGACCAATCTGCCCAGGGTCTAGACTGAGCTACTGCTCTCTGTCAGGCACCGTGAAAAGCCTTCTCCATGTATTAGTTGTATCCTTGCCACAGTGAGCTACTGTTGTGGTTGTCATTTTTCAAGTGGGGTAACTGGAGCTTGAAGGAGTAAGTCCCCAAGATCCCACAAACAGGGTTTAAATGTTGGCAGTTTGACTTGGGTACCATGCTCTCTCTTTCCAGGAGGCAACCTCTCACTGCCAGAGTTAATGCTTATAAGTCACAGCAACAGGGAAATCTGAGTGCCACTTTTGAAGTCCACTGTGTCCAAATTAAAGAAGAATCCAGTCTTCAGAGGAAGTGACATCATGCCTTTGTCACCTAGATAGGCTGGGGCAGGGCAGCTGGGGAGCCGACCAGCCAGGCTGGAGCAAGCAACTCCACGCCTTGTTCAGAGTGGATGGTGAGAAACCCCCGTGAGGCGGCCCATGCAGGGGCGGAGGAATCTGGAGAGGGGGATGGGAGCGGGAGAAGCAAGCGGCAGTCAACCCCACAGGGAGTTGCGGTGAGGACCGGGGAACGGCATCTGCAGGAGCAGGCATGGGCCATGTGAGTGACAGTGGGCAGGAGAAATTGGTCACCCGTGTTAACCCCGCTGCTCCTGGAGTTCTGTCACTGATCCTAGGCCTTAAAGTTGTTGAGCAAGCAACGTGACTCATCCCAATAGATGGTGTCATGTGTGAACTCACGTGTCTGTTCAACCAGTGAAAATAGTAACGACTAGTGCTGACAGTATGGCAGGCACTGATCCAAGCACCGTTGTCGTATTCACTCATTGAATCCTCTGAAGTGGGCTCTGTAGCAAGAGAAGAAAATGGCAAATGGAATTGAATGTCTTGCCTGAGTCACCAAGCGAGTCCATGAAGAAACCAACATGGAACCCAGGCTAGTCGGTCACAGAGTGTCCTCTCATGACCAGGCGAGATCCTGCGAAAGAAATAGAAATGACAGGAAAAGCATTGCCAGGGTCACTGGGCACTCCCACTGAGACCTTGGCCCTCTGAAACTGGCCACAATGCCCATGTCTAAGAGAAGCTTAGTAGATAAGCATGTAGGACATGAATGGCACTGGGAGCAGTGACAGCCACGCTGTCTACCTCTCCCTCGGTCTTTGTTGTCATGCCTGGAGTGTAAAATTCTGACTGATTTTTAGATCTCATTCTTAAAACGATCTCTTTGAGTGGGAAATTCTTGCCCTTGCAGTTTCTCCCAATCGCTTATGTCAAAGTTTGTCACCCGCATAACGTTTTACCAGATTGAAATGCAGCCCTGATGGTTATGAGGCCTGCCTGGTACATGCAATATGTAAAAGCGACACTGCTGGTGCTCTTAGGAAGCTGCCCTGTTAGGAAGCCAAATAGCCTTCTTAAAAATCAGAAGTACTCTCATAAAACTCGTTTTTCATGCGGCACAGGCTGTAGTTTCCCCATGGGACGAAGTGTGAAACTAAGCTTTTATGGGCAATCTCTGAGATTTGCGTGAACTTTCAGTGACTCTCACGACATTATTCTCAAGAGAAGCAGCTTATTTTCTGTTGGTGCATTTTCATGTCATATGCTATGTCTTGGAAGAGACAATTACTCTGATGTAGTAGAAACTGGTTTTGGCTGGCAGACCCTAATTATTTCTCATCTTGATCATTGCAACATTTTTCTCTATATCAATCATCCTCCCTTTCCCAGCCCTCCTTTTGAGCTTTCTCTTGGCATAAAAATATCCACCCTGTCTGTAGGTGTACCCTCTATAAATATAGCACATTTTATTTCACAGTTAAGAAGGAAATCATCATACCAAAACAAGCTCCGGCGAGGGCTGCCGCAGTGCAGACACAAGCAGCAGTTGGTCCAACAAAGACAGTACTCACTCTCACTGCCTTCAGAAGTCATGTCGTTAAGAGTGAGGCACTCCCTTAGTGTCTGGGCCATCTCCAACCTTGCATTCCTCCACGGTGTGATGCAGTCTGCCCACCCAAGTTCTGCATCGTGCACCTCGAGGCCAGAGAGACAGCGTGTCTTCTTTATCCCCAGGTCTCCACTAATGTGAATGGATTAATGAAAATAAATTCAGCAATATAATCCTAAATCAGCACATTATGTTTCTCCAACACCGTTAGGAAGCAGTATGGTAATCGAGTGTGTTCGAAATGTAAACTACATTTTAGACATTTTAGTCCACTAATTATAGGCAGATAATTCGAATTAGATTATTGTTAGGCCTTTGTGGTTCCTTGGTCGTTGTTCAAATCCAGACATTTAATTTAAAAATACTGATTAACAGGACTATAGCAACCAACACTAATATAGTGTTAACTGTGTGCTGGAAGTCAACCTAAATATGCTTATGAAACCACAGAATCTTCACCACAGCCCTGTGAGGTTAGCTCTAATATTACTTCCATTTTACAGATGAGGAAATGGAGGTGTGGAGAGGTGAGATAACTGTCAGAACAGAGCAGAATGAAGCACAGGATGCCTGCTCCCAAGTGCCTCTCTTAGCCACCTCACCATGTGGGCTCTGGACAGTTGGGTTGAGTTTGTGTCTTTGTGTTCATCAGGGTTAATGGAAGGATGAAGCCGTTCTGTGTGCACCTTTGCACATTGCAATCTGGCCTATCATCATTGTGGCTCCTTTCATTTTATCATATAGAAATTGTAGTGTCTGTTAAGTAAGCAAAATTACTAAGTACAAAATATCCATACTACATACAAATGCCTACGTGCACTGTGTCACAGAGCACCATCCTTTCAGTGCCGGCAGTGCTGCCCTCACTCGATGAAGACGAGCTGAGGTTGTGCTGCAAGACTTGAACCTGTCTGCGAACCCATTCTAGGTAGCAGCCTGATGACGGCCTGAGTAAGGAGTTCAAAGTGCCGCATACATGATCATTCTTAGTCCAGCAGAACAGCCCCAAGTGACTTGTGGCTGTTCCCTAGAACAAAGTCACCTGCTCAGAAAGCAAGGGTGGACTGCCCTTGAGAATATTCACAAAGAATGTGCCCCGTGTCCTAAAGGATACTGAATCAGCTGGGAATCTTCTGCATACTGTCCATCAATCTGTGTATCTGTCACTTTCGTGTCTGTGGCTGTCAGCTCCCTTCTACTTGGGCCCTTCTGAAGCTACGGAAGTTGGATTGGCAACAGCTCTGCTCCCCGGTTAAACTTCAGGTTCCTGGTGGGGAGGGCTGGTGGGTGGCACTCACTGTACTCCTAGCTAACACAACATCTTGTCGATGGTCGCCAAAAACTCCCCTTCTCTTTCTCTGTTAGCCTGTTTTATATCCTATTTAAATGTTGGATACCATTATTCAGTAGTATGTTTTTTCTGGGTTAAATGTTGGTTCTTTTATAAAGAAATCCTATAAACTAGATTCTGATGGTTAAATATGGCTTTAAAGATTTTTACTGTTTGAAGTAGTAAGAACTACATTTTCTGTGAGAGAGCACATACACCCCTGAAACAAAAGCTTCATGAACACATCTCTTTTGTCATTGTTTTCTGTTTGGAGACAGGGTCTCACTCTGTCACCTAGGCTGCAGTGCAGTGGCACGATCATGGCTCACTGCAGCCTCAACCTCCCCAGGCTCAAGCAATCCTCCTACCTCAGCCTCCTGAGTAGCTGGCATCACAAGCGTGTGCTACTGCACCTGGCTAATTTCTGTATTTTTTGTGGAGACAGGATTTCACCATGTTGCCCAGGCTGGTCTTGAACTCCTGGGCTCAAGCGATCTGCTTGCCTCAACCTCCCAAAGTGTTAGGATTAACATCTGTGAGCCACTGTGCCCAGCCCATGAACACACCTTATACTCTGATACTCTCTATTCCATTCTGTCCCTTTTCAAATGCTCGTCATGCCCCATTAAATTGATCTCACAACCTACTCCTGGGTCACGGTCTGCAGTTTGGGAGCACTATTCGAGACTCTGGGGGAAGCAGGTCCTGTGAGGGAGCCCATTGCCACAGAAAAACTTTATAGTAAATTTCCCCAAGTCTGTAGCAACATTGAGAAATGTTGTTAAGGGAAAATAAGTCATTTTGATCTCCCCAAGAGGGAAGTAGTGGGACTTCTGACTTGGTTAACGGATGGGGAAAGGTGTCTCTCTGAGCTCCCTGCTGTCCTGAAGAGACGTTGGCATTTTTCGTTGCTCAGTTTTTCCTAAAAATGTAGGATTTTTTTTTAAGAAATGAGACCTGAAACAACATATGGGAACAATAAAGGAGATGATATTTTCTTGGTGCTACTCAGGTGGTTTCTTTCTCTTCTAACCAAGCTGGGAGAGCAGGGAACTCAGGTACCAGGAGAAGTCAGCTTGACCGGAGCCCTCAGCAGGGAGAGGACTCCTGCTAGGGGGGCAGTAGGCTCTGAGCCGGGCAAACCCATGGGTTTTGACTCCAAACTGAGTAGGTGAGCAGAGGGCTGCTTTGAAGTCTCAAAATGAAAAGAAGAAAAGGATGAAGGGGCCTGGCACTCTAGGGTTAATGAGAAAGGGACTGATTTTTCCTAGGGTGTGCATTTTTTTCATCTTTTTCTGAGAATGTGCTTATTTAAATACATGCAGAATTTCTTGTTATGGCTTTGTGGAATTGTCTTAAAATCTGAATTTCCAGTTTTTAGAAGATGTTGATTTGAATAGCTTTGATCTTGACCTCAAATTAAATCGCGGGCCATGGAATTAGGGTGACATTCTTCCTTCTTCCCTGATGCAGAGTGAGGGAGCCAGGGGTGAGTCACAGCCTCCTCTGTGCATCATTAGCCCTTAGGATGACGACGGTCTCGTCACAGCGGCCAGGCGGTAGTCAGGGCCCTGCGCTCCTGGTGAGTCCGGGCTCTGTTCACAAAGCTGGCGGCTTGGAGGAGGCAGCCCCTGCATTCTCCTGTGCTCCTCTCTGGCAGTTGACCTAGCGGGAAGTGCCACTGCCCACAAGCATTCCATCAACTTGTGAGTTTCACTTCTTTGCCAAAAACTGGCAGAGAGAAATGTGACAGGGAATTGAACTTAGGCGTTTCATTTGCTGGAAGCTGAATCTCAGGTAGGTGACGTTTTTGTGTGTCTTCGCTATGCCTTCCTCCCTTGAGCCTTGTACTTGGATTTCTGTTCCCCAAGGAACCACATCGCGTAGTCACAAGACAGTGGCCTGGGGGTCAGGAGGCCCTGTGTTTGCACATTGTCTCTGCCTCTGATTTATTTCTTCAACAAATATATATTGAGTGCCAATTGTGTGCCAGTCACTTTTAAGGATACCAGGAATTCAGTTTTGCAGAGCTTGCATTCCAGTGCTGGGGGAAGAAGGATGGCAAAGACGAAAACAGCATCATTTAGAAAGTTAGCTGCACTATGAGGGAGATACCCAGGTACGGAGGTTGTGCCTGGGCAAGGACGGGCTCCCTCGGCAGGGAGGTGATCAGGGCAGGCCTCCTGGGGGAAGTGACATTTGAGCTGACATGACCTGAATGCTGAGCAGCCACCCATGAGAAAAACTGGAAGAAGAAAGTCCAAGGAGAGGGCACCATGGGAAGAAGGCCCTGTGGCGGGGACAGGCTCAGCATTTTATAGCCACCGGTCTCTAATTCAAGAGCAGGGAGAACAGGGTCATCAAAGGGACCCCAGCCAGATGGACATGGAGACATACAAGTGTCATAAAAGAGAGGGAAGGATAATGATGGGCAGGGAAGGAATAGACAACGAAGTAGCCGTAGGCAGAGAAAATAAATCTGCATGTTCACCTGAAATAACATTTTGAAGCACATGTTGATGTTAGCATTAAATTGGAAATGTCAGTAGTGAATTCATGATCCTAAAGAGAAGCCCAGACAGCCCTGTCCCCAAGGCAGGCCGGAATGGTGGCCCTACCCAGAAGCAGCCCTCACATGGGACCATCGGGCCCCACAAGCAGCACCTAGATTTTGGTCTCAGTGCTGTCCTCTATTTAAAGGAAAGGAGCTGACCCCATGTCTTAGGGCAGGAGTAATCCAAGACAGGCCTGGAACTTTTGTTCTTGCTAGAAAAAAGAATGATTTCAAAGCAGCCAGGGAACTTCCAGTTTAAAAAGGTGATGTGAACACGCACATGCACCCAAAATACAGAAAGCGGGGTTTCAAAATCATAAGCCACAAAGATAAAGATAGAGGTGAGGCAGCAGCAACAGAAGCGTGGAAGCTGGACAGCAAGTGGAAAAGAGGTCACTGACTTAGCAGACTAGAAAAAGCTGGAACTTAAGCTGAAAAGGGTGAGCTCAGAGGTGGGCTGATTCACATTCAATAATCCCAGAAAGCCTCCAGATCTGGAGCAACCTAATAGGTACGTGGTCTCTCTTTGGAGAGATGAAAATGGTCTGAAATTGTTTGAGATGATGGCTGCACTACTCTGTGAATATATGGAAAACCTTGAGCAGTACGCTTGAAATAAGTGGATTGTATAGTATGTGAATTATACCTCAGTAAAGCTTTATGTTCATTGGGTACTCATGGACATAAAGACGGCAGCAGTAGACACTGGGGACCTCTGGGGCGGGGGAGGCGGGAGGGGACAAGGGTTGAAAAGCTAACTATTGATTACCATGCCCAGGACCTGGGTGATGGGATCAATTGTACCCCAAACCTCAGCATCACACAATATACAAACCTGCATGTGTACCCCCTAGATCTAAAATAAAAGTTGAAAATATTTTTTAAAAAGTAAAAATAAATCTGTTCTATTTTAAAAATGGAGCTACAGATACCTCTGAATGTGGGAGTACAGATAAGGCTGAAGTCAGGAGAACTGGCTGAGAGTCTCCACGGGATGTCCCTTCCTTTCCCCCTCTGTATCCTCCCTAACTCTGCGAGGCCAGGCAGCTGCCATCCCTCCCGTGACAGAGCATGGCTCTGGAGATGCTGAACCAGAGCTGCCAGGCAGAGCCCAGGGTGAGGGCACAGTTCTTAGAACAGGGAGGCTGAGGAAGAGACTCCATCCTGAGTGGTAGAAGTCCAGTGCCCTTTCTCTACCCACAGCCACTCACACCACCCAGGATGGTCAGCCCAAGGGGAAAGGACCTGTGAGGTGGTCCCCCTCCAGGTTCACTGTGTGGACCTTCACCATTTGATAGACCCACCTATGCACCAGAGCATCCAATCTGCTTTTTATGCCTCACTTTTAAATATGAGCAGACAGACAAGGATCCTCAAGGTTTGGGAATGGCTTCCAGGACAGACAGTGTCAGAGACCAGATTAAAGAGGAAAAAAGGCACACCGGAGAAACAGTGACAGTGCATGGGGCAGGAGAAAATAAAAACAACAACCTTCTCCTTACAGAGAGAAGAAAGCTTTGTGCATGAAAAAAAAAAGAATAAAAAAAGTAGTCTTTGGAAATTAAAACAGGTGATGGCAGAAATGAAAACATTTATAGAAAGGACAGAGAGCTATTTTAGAAAAATCTCCCAGAAAGTAAAAAGGAAAAAAAAAATCAGAGATTTAGAAAACAGAAGTGATAAGAATATGAGAGGATTAGTCCAGGAGGTGTGTAACATTAGAATAAAAAGAATTCCCAGAAAGACAGCTAAGAGAGGAAATTATAAAAAAAAAATTTTTTTCAAAGAAATTTCCCAGAACTGAAGGGCGTGAGTTTCCAGGTGGATGAGTCCCCCGCACAGTAGTAAAAGGATGGCAGGTGGAAGGACAGAGAGCAGCGAGAAGCTGAGTCTCCCAGGAGGAGGACACATCTGAGAATGGGAGTTAGTGCAGCTCAGGACTCGTGGGCATCGACCTGAGAGTAGAATGAAGACGTCCTCAGACATTCAGGGACTCCAGATTTTACCTCCCATGACCCAAGCAAGGGGTGAACGAAGAAAGAGGAAGACACAGAACCTTGGAACAGGCATCGGCCCCATGTGGGGAGAGGAAAAGGGAACTGCTGGGACAGTGGAGAAGGGGAATCCCAGGATGGCAGCCATGCAGGGTGGTTCTGGAGTAGAAGGACAGAGGGCACCAGGTGCCCAAAGACTGTCTCTTAGGAAAAAGGAGGGACGAGGGGAGGCAAAGAGGAAAGTGGGGATGGGGGGAACCAGAATACCTGGGGGCTTAAACACACTGAGAGGAGGCTTACAGTCCATCTGAGGGTCAGGCTGGATTCAAGTATGCAGTGCAGTACGCTGGCTGGGAACACAGACCCTGGCCAGCTGGGAACCCTTGCACCCCACGGAGGAGCTTTGTGACCTCTGACAAGATACTCTGCCTCTCTGGGCTTCCATTTTATGTAAAATGAAGATAATCTTAGTACTCACCTAAAAGGGTTGTTGTGACATTTAAATGAGCTAATAGATGTACAGCGCTTAGAGCTGTGCCTGGCCTGTAGTGAGCCCCAGATACACATCAGCTGCTCATGCAGTGAGGAGGATGAGGAGGAGGATGAAGATGAGAAAGATCACAACAGAGGTTGTGGAGATGGTGTTGAACTCCAAGGAAGATAAAGATGTGAGCTTGGTTCATCCCATGGCTCAGTGTCATCATAGTGCAACATTGAATACTAATGAAGCCAAATACAGGAAGGCCTCACTTAATGTTGTCAAGAGGTTCTTGGAAATTTTCACTTTAAGTGAAATGACATATAACAGAACCAATTTTCCCAAAGGCTAATTTATACAAAGAGAAGTTAAGTTCCTACAGCATATTTCTGATCACAAAAACAGCAAACTTCTAAATAAAGACCCAAAACACTTCTAGTATTAAACATTAAAATAAATGTGAGCTATCATACATTTAAGAAAATTAATTAAACAGGATAATTATTTACCCAAGTTTTGATGCATCAGTGAGTAACAATGGTCCTCTTGGTAGTGGGTTAAATTAAGAAATAAATGTGTGACTATTGTAAGGAGCACCTCCTCCCACCACAGTTCAAAAACCAGCAATAACAGATGTGGCAGGCTCGCTGAGCACTTTTGCACATCATCATTTACTGTCGTGCACTTGTACAATTATCGTAGACTTTACAGACTTTTATTTGATAATTTGTATTCATTTTCTTTTTTTATTATACTTTAAGTTCTGTATACATGTGCAGAACGTGCAGGTTTGTTACATAGCTATACACATGCCATGGTGGTTTGCTGCACCCATCAACCCGTCATCTACATTAGGTATTTCTTCTAATGCTATCCCTCCCCTAGCCCCCCATGCCCCAACAGGCCCCGGTGTGTGATGTTCCCCTCCCTGTGTCCATGTGTTCTCATTGTTCAACTCCCACTTATGAGTGAGAACATGTGGTGTTTGGTTTTCTGTTCCTGTGTTAGTTTGCTGAGAATGATAGTTTCTGGCTTTATCCATGTCCCTGCAAAGGACATGACCTCATCCTATTTTATGGCTGCATAGTATTCCATGGTGTATATGTGCCACATTTTCTTTATCTATCATTGATGGACATTTGGGTTGGTTCCAAGTCTTTGCTGTTGTAAACAGGGCTGCAGTAAACATACATGTGCATGTGTCTTTATAGTAGAATGATTTATAATCCTTTGAGTATATACCCAGTAATGGGATTGCTGGGTCGAATGGTATTTCTGGTTCTAGATCCTTGAGGAATCACCACACTGTCTTCCACAATGGTTGAAATAATTTACACTCCCACCAACAGTGTAAAAGCCTTCCTGTTTCTCCACATCCTCTCCAGCATCTGTTGTTTCCTGACTTTTTAATGATTCCCATTTTAACTGGAGTGAGATGGTATCTCATTGTGGTTTTGATTTACATTTCTCTAATGATCAGTGATGATGAGCTTTTTTTCATATGTTTGCTGGCCGCATAAATGTCTTCTTTTGAGAAGTGTGTTCATATCCTTTGCCCACTTTTTGATGGGGTTGTTTGTTTTTTTCTTGTAAATTTAAGTTCTTTGCAGATTCTGGATATTAGCCCTTTGTCAGATGGATAGATTGCAAAAATTTTCTCCCATTCTGTAGGTTTCCTGTTCACTCTGATGATAGTTTCTTTTGCTGTGCAAAGCTCTTTAGTTTAATTAGATCCCATTTGTCTATTTTGGCTTTTGTTGCCATTGCTTTTGGTGTTTTAGTCATGAAGTCTTTTCCCATGCCTATGTCCTGAATGGTATTGCCTAGGTTTTCTTCTAGGGTTTTTATGGTTTTATGTTTTATGTTTAAGTCTTTAATCCATGTTCAGTTAATTTTTGTATAAGGTGTAAGAAGGGGTCCAGTTTCAGTTTTCTGCATATGGCTAGCCAGTTTTCCCAACAGCATTTATTAAATAGGGAATCCTTTCCCCATTGCTTATTTTTATCAGGTTTGTCAAAGATCAGATGGTTGTAGATGTGTGGCATTATTTCTGAGGCCTCTGTTCTTTCCACTGGTCTATATATCTGTTTTGGCATCCGTACCATGCTGTTTTGGTTACTGTACCCTTGTAGTATAGTTTGAAGTCAGGTAGGATGATGCCTCCAGCTTTGTTCTTTTTGCTTAGGATTGTCTTGGCTATATGGGCCCTTTTTTGGTTCCATATGAAATTTAAAGTAGTTTTTTCTAATTATGTGAAGAAAGTCAATGGTAGCTTGATGAGGATAGCATTGAATCTGTAAATTAGTTTGTGCAGTATGGCCATTTTCACGATATTGATTCTTCCTATCCATGAGCATGGAATGTTTTTCCATTTGTTTGTGTCCTCTCCTATTTCCTTGACCAGTGGTTTATAGTTGTCCTTGAAGAGGTCTTTCACATCCCTTGTAAGTTTTATTCCTAGGTATTTTATTATCTTAGTAGCAATTGTGAGTGGGATTTGGCTGTTTGTCTATTATTGGTGTATAGGAATGCTTGTGATTTTTGCACATTTATTTTGCATCCTGAGACTTTGCTGAAGTTGCTTATCAGCTTAAGGAGATTTTGGGCCGAGACATTGGGGTTTTCTAAATATACAATCATGTCATCTTCAAACAGAGACAATTTGACTTCCTCTCTTCCTATTTGAATACCCTTTACTTGTTTCTCTTGCCTGATTGCCCTGGCCGGAACTTCCAATTGTATGTTGAATAGGAGTGGTGAGACCTTGAGGGCATCCTTGTTTTGTGCCTGTTTTCAAAGGGAATTCTTCCAGCTTTTGCCCATTCAGTATGATATTGGCTGTGGGTTTGTCATAAATAGCTCTTATTATTTTGAGAGATGATCCGTCAATACCTAGTTTATTGAGAGTTTTTAGCATGAATGGATGTTGAATTTTGTCAAAGTCCTTTTCTGCATCTATTGAGATAATCATGTGGTTTTTGTCATTGGTTCTGTTTATGTGATGGATTATGTTTATTGATTTGCATATGTTGAACCAGCCTTGTGAGAGGTGACAGCATGCTGGCAGCCCTCGCAGCCCTAGCTCGCTCTCGGCGCCTCCTCAGCCTTGGCGCCCACTCTGGCCGCGCTTGAGTCCTTCAGCCTGCCGCTGCACTGTTTGAGCCCCTTTCTGGGCTGGCCAAGGCCAGAGCCAGCTTCCTCAGCTTGTGGGGAGGTGTGGAGGGAGAGGCGCAGGTGGGAACCGGGGCTGTGGGCGGCACTTGCAGGCCAGCACGAGTTCCGGGTGGGCGTGGGCTCGGCGGTCCCCGCACTCGGAGCGGCCAGCCAGCCCGCAAGCCCCAGGCAGTGAGGGGCTTGGCACCTGGGCCAGCAGCTGCTGTGCTTGACTTCTCACCGGGCCTTAGCTACCTCCCTGCAGAACAGGGCTCGGGACCTGCAGCCCACCATGCCTGAGCCTCCCCCCGCCCCCATGGGCTCCTGCGCGGCCCAAGCCTCCCCGACGAGCGCCGCCCCCTGCTCCACGGCGCCCAGTTCCATCAACCACCCAAGGGCTGAGGAGTGCAGGCACACGGCGCGGGACTGGCAGGCAGCTCCACCTGCGGCCCTGGTGCAGGATCCACTGGGTGAAGCCAGCTGGGCTCCTGAGTCTGGTGGAGACTTGGAGAATCTTTATGTCTAGCTAAGGGATTGTAAATACACCAGTCAGCACTTTGTCTCTAGCTCAAGGTTTGTAAACACAATCAGCACCTGTGTCTAGCTCAGGGTTTGTGAATGCACCAATCAGCACTCTCTATCTAGTTACTCTGGTGGGGACTTGGAGAACCTTCATGTCTAGCTAAGGGATTGTGAATGCACCAATTGGCACTCTGTATCTAGCTGAAGGTTTGTAAATGCACCAATCAGCACTCTGTGTCTAGCTCAGGGTTTGTAAATACACCAATCGACACTCTGTATCTAGCTAATCTGGTGGGGACATGGAGAACTTTTGTGTCTAGCTAAGGGATTGTAAACGCACCAATCAGCACCCTGTCAAAATGGACCAATCAGCTCTCTGTAAAACAGACCAATCAGCTCTCTGTAAAATGGACCAATCAGCAGGATGTGGGTGGGGCCAGATAAGAGAATAAAAGCAGGCTGCCTGAATCAGCAGTGGCAACCCGCTCAGGTCCCTTTCCACAGTGTGGAAACTTTGTTCTTTCGCTCTTTGCAATAACTCTTGCTGCTGCTCACTCTTTGGGTCCACACTGCCTTTATGAGCTGTAACACTCACTGTGAAAGCCTGCAGCTTCACTCTTGAAGCCAGCAAGACAACGAACCCACCGGGAGGAACAAACAATTGCAGATGTGCCGCCTTAAGAGCTGTAACGCTCACCGCGAAGGTCTGCAGCTTCACTCCTGAGCCAGCGAGACCACGAACCCCCCAGAAGGAAGAAACTCTGAACACATCCAAACATCAGAAGGAACAAACTCCGGACACACCACGTTTAAGAACTGTAACACACACCACGAGGGTCCGCAGCTTCATTCTTGAAGTCAGTGAGACCAAGAACCCACCAATTCCGGACACACTTGCATCCCAGGGATGAAGCCAACTCGATGGTGGTGGATAAGCTTTTTGATGTGCTGCTGGATTCGGTTTGCCAGTATTTTATTGAGGATTTTGGCATCGATGTTCAACAGGGACGTTGGCCTGAAATTTTCTTTTTTTGTTGTGTCTCTGCTGGTTTTTGGTATCAGGATGATGCTGGCCTCATAAAATGAGTTAGGGAGGAGTCCCTCTTTTTCTATTGTTTGGAATCATTTCAGAAGGAATGGTACCAGATCCTCTTTGTACCTGTGGTAGAATTCAGCTGTGAATCCATCTGGTCCTGGGCTTCTTTTGGTTGGTAGGCTATTAATTACTCTCTCAATTTCAGAACTTGTTATTGGTCTGTTCTGGGATTCGACTTCTTCCTGGTTTAGTCTTGGAAGGGTGTATGTGTCCAAGAATTTATCCATTTCTTCTAGATTTTCTAGTTTATTTACATAGAAGTGTTTGTAGTATAATCTGATGGTAGTTTGTATTTCTGTGGAATCAGTGGTGATATCCTCTTTATCATTTTTTATTGTGTCTATTTGATTCTTCTCTCTTTTCTTATTAGTTTGGCTAGCGATCTATTTTTTAATTTTTTCAAAAAACCAGCTCCTGGATTCATTGATTTTTTTGAAGGGTTTTTTGTGTCTCTATCTCCTTCAGTTCTGCTCTTAGTTATTTCTTGTCTTCTGCTAGCTTTTGAATGTGTTTGCTTTTGCTTCTGTAGTTCTTCTAATTGTGATGTTAGGGTGTCACTTTCAGATCTTTCCTGCTTTCTCTTGTGGGCATTTAGTGCTATAAATTTCCCTCTACACACTGCTTTAGCTGTGTGCCAGAGATTCTGATACATTGTGTGTCTTTGTTCTCATTGACACAAGTATCAATAGCTGAATCGATCAAGCAGAAGAAAGGATGTCAGGGATTGAAGATCAACTTAATGAAATAAAGCATGAAGACAAAATTAGAGAAAAGAGAATGAAAAGGAACAAACAAAGCCTCCCAGAAATATGGGACTATGTGAAATGACCGAACCTATGTTTGATTGGTGTACCTGAAAGTGAAGTGGGGAATGGAACCAAGTTGTAAAACACTCTTCAGGATATTTTCCAGGAGGACTTCCCCAACCTAGCAAGACAGGCCAACATTCAAATTCAGGAAATACAGAG
Source organism: Homo sapiens (assembly GCF_000001405.40). Lineage (NCBI taxonomy): Eukaryota > Metazoa > Chordata > Mammalia > Primates > Hominidae > Homo > Homo sapiens. Next base: position 27,854,876 of record NC_000007.14, on the reverse strand, counting down.
AATACTACAAAGATACTCCTTGAGAAAAGCAACCCCAAGACACATAATTGTCAGATTCACCAAGGTTGAAAGAAATGTTAAAGGCAGACAGAGAGAAAGGTCAGGTTACCCACAAAGGGAAGCCCATCAGACTAACAGCAGATCTCTCTGCAGAAACCATACAAGCCAGAAGAGAGTGGGGGCCGATATTCAACATTCTTAAAGAAAGGAATTTTCAGCCCAGAATTTCATATCCAGCCAAACTAAGCTTCATAAGCAAAGGAGAAATAACATCCTTTACAGAGAAGCAAATGCTGAGAGATTTTGTCACCACCAGGCCTGCCTTACAAGAGCTCTTGAAGGAAGCACTAAATACAGGAAGGAAAAACTATTACCAGCCACTGCAAAAAAATACCAAATTGTAAAGACCATAGATACTATGAAGAAGCTACATCAACTAACAAGCAAAATAACCAGCTATCATCATAATGACAGGATCAAATTCATACATAACAATATTAACCTTAAATGCAAACAGGCTGAATGCCCCAATTAAAAGACACAGACTAGCAAATTGGATAAAGAGTCAAGACTCATTGGTGTACTGTATTCGGGAGACCCATCTCGTGCAAAAACACACATAGGCTCAAAATAAAGGGATGGAAGAATATTTACCAAACAAATGGAAAGTAAAGAAAAGCAGGGGTTGGAATCCTAGTCTCTGGTAAAACAGACTTTAAACCAGCAAAGATCAAAAAAGACAAAGAAGGGCATTACATAATGGTAAAGGGATCCATGCAACAAGAAGAGCTAACTATCCTAAATATATACGCACCCAAAACAGGAGCATGCAGATTCATAAAGCAAATTCTTAGAGACCTACAAAGAGTCTTAGACTCCCACACAACAATAGTGGGAGACTTTAACACTCCACTGTCAATATTAGATCAACAAGACAGAAAATTAACAAGGATATTCAGGACTTGAACTCAGCTCTGGACCAAGTGGACCTAATAGACATCTACAGAACTCTTCACCCCAAATCAACAGAATATACATTCTTCTCAGCACCTCATCAAACTTATTCTAAAATTGACCACATAATTGGTAGTAAAATACTGCTCAGCAAATGCAAACGAACAGAAATCACAACAAACTGTCTCTCACACCACAGTGCAATCAAATTAGAACTCAGGTTAAGAAACTCACTCAAAACTGTACAACTACATGGAAACTGAACAACCTGCTCCTGAATGACTACTGGGTAAATAATGAAATGAAGGCAGAAATAAATAATTTCTTTGAAACCAATGAGTATCCACTCATTTTCTAACCCGCTTATTTCAGTTCAGGGTCTCAGGTAGCAAGAGCCTGTCGTGGCAGCTCAGGGCACAAGGCAAGAACCAACTCTGGACAGGACACCCTCCCGTCGCAGGGCCACCCACACGCTCACTCAGATAGGATCATGCAGACACACCAGTGAACCTCACGTGCACAGCCCTGGATGTGGGAAGAAACCAGAGGACCCTGAGAAAATCCACACAGATGAGGGGAGAACCAGCAGACTCCACATACACAATGGCCCCTACTGGGAATCAGTTTTTCTCATCAATGTTCCAACAAAACAACATTGAACAAAAACCTGCTGTAATATAATGAAATTCTTCTGGGAGGAGGGAAGGTGCAGAAAGAGGGTTGGGAGGATGTAAAAGATCAAAACTCTTATCTTCCATAGTAGGAAATCAGTAGATACCCCAAAACTGACACCAAAAACCAGCAGAAGTACATTATTTAGAAATGGGGAGGTAAATGCCACGTCAAAGACTGGGAAGGCGTCACCGCAGGGAGGGACAGGACAGGGCACTCCTGTGGTTCATGGCAAGCCTCATAGCCCTATCTGACTTCTTACTGCATGCAATTATAACTTTGATTAAAGAGAAGAAAATTTAAATTAAAAAATAGTAATGGGGATTACCAAAAGAGCCAGGAGGCCACCTAATGGGGCTTCCATCGACCAAGGTGTGGTAATTTGAGCATCACAGAGTAGGATAATGACTGGTAATTAATTGAATCTTTGAAAATAAGTGAGTCCAAAATGCTACTCAAAATGGGGAAGATAGTATAAAGTGTGCCCAAACAGTAGCTATAATATCAGAACAGGTGAAATGTGTTCTGTAAAGTAGATTGCTGTTTATAAAATATAGATATTTTCTCCATCTCGTTTAGCAGATAGGCAGGGACTTGTGAGTGACCCCACAGTTCTAGAAAAAGTAGGGCCTGGGGCAAGAGTAGGAAAGACTGGCCAACACTGTGTTGGTCACAAACAGGTAGAAAGAGGACCTGAGAGAGGGTTGCAAGATGGGAGAATGGCCGTGTGCCCTGAGAAAAGGGCTGGCCACACTGAGGGAGTTGCAACCTCAAATGACCCTAGTAATTAGACTGAAGGCATCAAAGTGGCAAAAATGGCCAGGTGCAGTGGCTCATGCCTGTAATTCCAGCACTTTCGGAGGCTGAGGTGAGCAGATCACCTGAGGTCAAGAGTTCATGACCAGCCTGGCCAACGTGGTAAAACCCCATCTCTACTAAAAATACAAAAAAATTAGCCAGGTGTTGGGGCGCACGTCTGTAATCCCAGCTACTCAAGAGGCTGAGGCAGGAGAATCAGTTGAACCTGGGAGGTGGAGGTTGCAGTGAGCTCAGATCGCTCCACTGCACTCCAGCCTGGGCGACAGAGTGAGATTCCATCTCAAAGAAAAAAAAAAAAAAAGTCCTGTTTATTGAGCAAGCAAACGTTGGTCAAAAAACCTAGGAGTCTAGGCAAGGAAACACAGGCTCACTTTTGAATCATCTTGTACTGACTGCATACTGACCAAGCATCAGTGTGGGTCCATAACTCAGAACCCCCAGGCATCAGTGTGGGTCCATAACTCAGAACCCCCAGGCATCAGTGTGGGTCCATAACTCAGAACCCCCAGGCATCAGTGTGGGTCCATAACTCAGAACACACACCCTCCACTGGCCCGAGGTCAGTTCCTCTGTCTTTTAGGTCTCACCAGATTCTTGTGACCCAGGAAGGTCAAAGCTAATATGGAAATTATGAAAAAATAATTCAGCTCTTTAGAACCAACTGTGTAATAGGCTAAATTTAGGCTTGGTAGTCATTGTGATCATTGGTGTGATTCGTTTTTTGGTTTGCATTTTTTTGTTTTTTAGGAGACAAGGTCTTGCCTTGTCGGAGTACAGTGGTGCCATCACCACTCACTGCAGCCTCGACCTCCTGGGCTCAAGTGATCTTCCCGAACTTATCACAGGGTTCTATCCTGGTTTTGCTCATTTCCTGCCTCAGCCTCCTGAGTAGCTGGGACAACAGGTGTGTACCACCACACCCAGCTAATTTTTTAATTTTTATTTGATAGAGATGGGGTGCCACTACATTGCCCAGGCTGGTTTCAAACTTCTGCCTTCAAATGATCCTCCCACCTCAGCCTCCCAAAGTGTGTGTGAACAGGTGTGAACCACCATGCCCAGCCTTGATGTGTGTATTTTTAAGATCTTTTAAAACTTACATAGTAAAGTTGGCATGATTTTGTTGAAATATGTCAAATTTGAGTGTGTTTGTAATCAATATTTAAATGTATTAGAACATTTTATTTTAGGCTGGGCTTGGTGGCTCACGCCTGTAATCCCAACACTTTGGGAGGCCGAGGCGGGTGGATCACCTAAGGTTAGGGGTTCAAGACCAGCCTGACCAACATGGTGAAACCCTGTCTCTACTAAAAATACAAAAACTAGCCAGGCGTGGTGGCCGGTGCCTGTAATCCCAGCTACTCAGGAGGCTTAGGCAGGAGAATCATTTGAACCCGGGAGGTGGAAGTTGCAGTGAGCCAAGATCGTGCCATTGCACTCCAGTCTGGGCAACAAGAGTGAAACTCCATCTCAAAAAAAAAATTATTTTAAAAATTCATTCCGATGTATTATTATTTAATACTATCTAAAGATTTATAAATGTTTGTTAGATTTATAGTTGTAAAAGTTTATCATTAAACCAAGTACAAATAGTTCTTAAGTAAAAAAAAAAAAAAAATGGTCCTTCAGAGCTGAAAGATGGCTTGATAAAGAAACCTTGATAAAGAAAAAGGTCATGATGAGGCCCAGGGCTGCTCTTTGCTGTGAGAAGCCACTAGAGGGTTTAAGCAGGCAAGTGAAATAACGTAATTTTTTAAAAAAGATTAGAGGGAGTCAAGAGTTGAAGCTGTGTTATCTTGGGTCCTCCTTCCCGTCTGAACTCGATTCACTCATTCGTTCATTCAACAAACATGTCCAGTGGCTCCTTGTGGTTCCAGCAGTGTCCTGGGAACTGTCAGGTAATCACAAATAATGACCAAGAACTCCAAATACCAGAGATGAATCCAACACCGGGCTGGCAATTCATTAGAAAGTGTGTAAAGTCCTATGGAAGTATTACTTCTGGCTTGGAGAACCAGAACCAATTCCATAGTTAAGGAGGAGACAGGGGAGAATGACATTCCAGTAATGAGCTAAGGCCCAGGAACAAAGAGGTCAAGAATTTTCCAGGCATGGCCCGTGGTCCCAGAGCCATTAATGTGTCTTTCATTGTAATCACTCGTTGCCAATTCATTTAGACTTGTTGCTTCAGCTCCTATAAAGTGGGTCAGTACCAATTAAAGCTAATTTATAATGATAAATCTATAAGGCAGAAAGGCAACTCTTTGCTAATGTATTTGCCAGAATTTGATACCCCAGGAAAGTTTTAATTTGCTGTCACTGCAGTTATCACTTTTACATGAATATTAATGATATACATTATAAGAAAAATGTGGCATATTGGGTTTCTGGAAAAGGTTGACTTTTATCTGTATGTCAGTGTTTTATGTTTATGACTATGAAGAATGAGAACTCTTTAGGTAGTAAAACAGAATTGGGCCATCTCCACGGGTAAGGGGTCAGCAAAGGGAACTGCGGGCAGAGGTTCGAGGAGAGTGGGCAAGATTGGAAATCTTCTTGTGGCCAGTGAGAGAGCAAACGTGGCAGAAGCACCCGGCGGGGCCCCTGGATGGCGATGTGGGCTCCGTGTAGGTGGGCGGCCGGGAAGAGGTGTAGGGGTGTGTGTGTGTGTGTGTGTGTCTGTGTGTAAGGGTTCCAATATTGATTCATGAAACTGACAGTGATTTTTACCTCCTTTGCCAACAACCAGTAGAAGCTCCCCAGCCATCCTGTGGAATATATTTGTTTTATCACAGGGTCCTACCTTCGTTTTGCTCATTTCCCCAACTGAAATGCTGAAATGAGCTCTTGAGGCCCCTTTCGGCTGCTGTCCTGCCTGCCCCAGGTTCCCACCACAGTGGTTATGAAACCATGGAGTATGAAAATAGAAAACTCAACCCAAGAAAGATGAGTGGCAGCCAATTTTTATATGTGACAGTGTCAGGTTAAATTACGTTTTCTTGCAGAAACTCTAACATTAGCGAACACCATTTTAAAATTGATTAATCATATCTGAGACTACAGAGAGCCTTACAAAGGCAGCCCTTGTCCCTTGCCTTTGGAAGACTGGACCACAGCCACCTGGGTGGCAGGGTCCCATCACTGGCTGTCACGAGGCTTAGCCTGCTGCCCCCACCTGCTCACACACTGAACGTCACGTGTGGTTTTGAGCGACTCCATGCGTTGTGTTCGTTTTCCTCTCCCTGCAGCCCGTCTCCAGGGCCTTGCTTTGTCGCGTCTCTGTTCTCCCCGTCACACAGGGGATATTCAATTTAAAAATAAATCAAAGGAACACAAATTTTGAAACCAAAGACCTGATGGGCCTGTTGCTAGCCAGGTGACCTGTGGCACATCCCTTACCCTCCCACACCCCAGCTTTCCCCTCTGATCAGTTGGGGAGACAAAGGCTGGTGATGTGGAAAGCACCTCTCCTAGGGCCAGGTTCATAGGTGGCACCTCCAGCCTAAATGGCAAAGATGTTTCTCTGGTTAAATGCACATGTAAAACAAAATTTGCCCATTCTTAGGCAGCTAGAATTTTTACTAAAATAAAAAATCAAGTAAGCACAGGTAGGTTTGGGTATAAAGACAAGTGCCAGAATTTAAGGAGCTAATAGCTTAGAGCAAAAGGAGGCCAAATCAAAAAACAGGCATTTTGGCTGCCATGACATGTACACATTCCTACAATCTGCCCATTTGTTCATTAAAAAATAATAGGGCCTCAAAACCGTGGCACTTCAATCAGAGCATCAGCAGAAACAATTAACCATCCCAATAAAAGGGATTGCTGGGCTGACTCTCCACCCTACTGTCGCACTCACCCAGTGTCACAGCCGGTGGATCCTTTGTGTCCTTAAACCTTGTGTCCTTTTGAAAGGTAGATCTCTGAGCGCATTCTCCTCTGATAGAGAATGGTTTCATCAAAGTTACAAATCTAATCCAACTGATTTTTGTTTTTAAGTACAGAGGAAGATGAATTCAGTAAGGTTGCAGGATACGTTATCAATATACAAAAATCAGTAGCATGTCCATACACAAATAACAACCTAGCTGAAAAAGAAATCAAGACAACAATCCCATTTATGATCACATCAAAAAAAGGAATAAATTTAATGAGGAGGTGAAAGATTTGTACACTGACAACTAAAACATTGATGAAGGAAATTGAAGAAGACACAAATAAATGAAAAATATCCCTTGCTCATGGATCAGAAGAATGAATGTTCTTAAAATGTCCACACTACCCAAAGTGACATATGGAATCAGTGCAATCCCTATCAGAATCCTAATGGCATCCTTCACGGAAACAGTAAAAACAATCCTTAAACTGATGTAGAACCACAAAGACCCTAAATAACCAAAGTGATCCTAAGAAAGAAAAAGTAAAGTTGGAGGCATCACAGTTCCTGCTTTAAAATTATATTATAGGCTGGGCACGGTGGCTCATGCTGTAATCCCAGGACTTTGGGAGGCTGAGACGGGCGGATCACCTGAGGTCAGGAGTTCGAGACCACCCTGGCCAACATAGCAAAACCCTGTCTCCACAAAAAATACAAAAATTAGCTGGGCATGGTGGCTGGTGCCTGTAATCCCAGCTACTCAAGAGGTTGAGGCAGGAGAGTCACTCGAACCTACGAGGCGGAGGTTGCAGTGAACTGAGATTACACCACTGCATTCCAGCCTGGGCGACAGTGCAAGACTCCATCTCAGAATAAAAATTATAAAGCAAAGATAATCAAAACAGTATGGTACTGTGATGAAATCAGCCACATAGACCAGTGGAACAGAAGAGAGAGCCCACATGTATTCAACTGCTTTTTGACGAGGGCACAGAGGGAACACAATGGGGAAAGGATAGTCTCTTCAGTAATTGGTGCTGGGACAACTGGGTTTCTACATAGACTCGAATGAAATTGGTCCCTTATCTTATACCATACACACAAATCAACTCCAAATGGATATAAGATCTGAAGCCGTAAAACTCTTAGAGAACAGGAGAATGTGGGGGAGAAAGCAACTTGACATTAGCCTTGTCAATGAATTTTTTGGATATCACACCTGAAGTTCAGTCTACAAAAACAAAAATAAATAAACGAGACTGCATAGCTGGGCATGGTGGTTCATGCCTGTAATCCCAGCACTGTGGGATGCTGAGGTGGGTGGATCACCTGAGGTCGGGAGTTCGAGACCAGCCTGACCAACATGGAGAAACCCCGTCTCTACTAAAAAAAAAAAAAAAAAAGAAAAAAAGCCAGGCGGGGTGGTGCATGCCTGTGGTGGTACATGCCTATAATCCCAGCTACTTGGGAGGCAGGAAAATCGCTTGAACCCAGGAGGTGGAGGTTGTGGTGAGCCGAGATCGTGCCATTGCACTCCAGCCTGGGCAACAAGAGTGAAACTCCATCTCAAAAAAATAAAAATAAAAACAGATAAGGCTACATCAAACTAAAAAGCTTCTGCACAGCAAAGGAAACAATAAGATGAAATAGCAATCTATGGATTAGGGAAAATATTTGCAAACCATATATCTGATAAGGGGTTAACAGCCAAAATTTACAAAGTACTCATACAACTCAATAGCAGAAAAACAAATAACTTGATTAAAAAATGGGCAAAGGACCTGGATAGGCATTTTTCCAAAGAAACCATAAAAATGGCCAACAGGATATGAAAAGGTGCGCATCACTAAGCATCAGAGAAATGCAATCAAAACCACCATGAGCTAGCACTTAAAAGAGCACACCCATTCAGACAGCTCTGATCAAAAAGACAAGTAATAACAAGTGTTAGCAAAATAGAGCTAACCATATGACCCAACAATCCCTCTTCTGGTTATATACCTACAGAAAATGAGATCATCACCCCAGGAAGATGTCTGCACTCTCATGTTCTCCCAGCATTACAGCAGACAAGAATTGGAAACAACCAACTTGTCCATCGGTGGATGAATGCACCAAGAATCTGTGTGTATATATGTATATATATACATGTATACGTATATGTATATATACGTACATGTACGTATACATATGTACACGTATACGTGTATATATACGTGTACATATGTATACACACACACACAATGGAATACTATTCAGCCTTACAAAAAGGAGATCCTACTATTTGCCACAACATGGATGAGCCTGAAGGACATTATGCTAAGTGAAATAAGCCAGACACAGAAAAATAGTACATGATCTCACTTATATGTGGAAAATGTCAAATATACAGAGATAGGGAATAAAACAGTGGTTGTGGGGTGGAGGGAAGAAATGGGGAGATGTAGCTTAGAAGTTATGAAGTAGTAGGTACGTAGGATGAACAAAGCTAGAGAGCTTTGTGGTAGTGGTGAGAAAGCTTTCCTCTGGACCCCCAAGCAGGAACGTATGGGGAGGGGTGGTTGGCACATAACGGGTTTTTTCTGTTTTGTTTTTTAGCACCTTGTCCCTTTCCCTTGAAGCATCCTGCGATTTAGGGCTGGAAAGGGTGGGGTAGAGGAGAGAGGGAGAAGAGAGGGAATGTGAATGGGTGCAGGCCACGGTGTGATCTTTTCCTGCTTAGAATCCTGCATGAGGTAGACCTGGAGAAGGGAAGCCCCCATGAAAAGGCTGCAGACCGCTGTGTGACTGTGGGCCAGTCACTTAACATTTTTTTAAAATTTCTTTTTCTTTTTCTTTTCTTTTTTTTTTTTTTTTTTGAGGCAGAGTCTCGCCCTATTGCCCAGGCTGGAGTGCAATGGCGCCATCTTGGCTCACTGCAACCTCTGCCTCCCGGGTTCAAGCGATTCTCCTGCCTCAGCCTCCTGAGTAGCTGGGATTACAGGCTCGTGCCTCCACGTTCAGCTAATTTTTGTATTTTTAGTAGAGACGGGGTTTCACCATGTTGGCCAGGCTGGTCTCAAACTCCTGACCTCGTGATCCACCCGCCTCGGCCTCCCAAAGTGCTGGGATTACAGGCGTGAGCCACTGCGCCCAGCCCTAGTCACTAACTTCTGAGACACCAAGATGAGCGTGGGATTCAGTGGTCTGCATTGTTCATTCTGAAGTGAGTTGCAACATTCTGACCCCCCAGTCCAGAGTTCCCCAGCAGAGCTTGCTAAGAGGGTGGCGTTGAGGACATCTGCCAGTGTCTCCACAGATGCCCACTCTGGGCCCCAAAGGGGTAGATTCTTTCTGTGACTCTCACACTGCAAAGACCTGTCCTGCCCCAACTGCTTATAACTATATATACACATAGTTGTTTTTTCCCCTCTCTTTTACACAGAGGAAATACTTTATATATTTTGTTGTTGTTTCAAAAATTGTATGGAAATTAACATTTCTTGTCTCGGGATGGTGCGAGGCACAGAACAAGAACATCATTTCATTTCCTTATGATCTTCTGTCTCCTGGCGGGGCACCCGGCACCTCTCCTTTGGCTTATAGGGTGGAGTTTAGACAGGACCTAACGACCACCAACTCTACTTAATGACAGGTGTTGGGTAAAAGTTTGCCATGTGAATAAATGAATGTATTCATCCTTAAGGTCCCCTCATTTTCCCCTAGAGTAGCCCAGAGCCTCATTTCAACCTGATAGCCTCAGTGCAGACTGTGATGTGCCCCGTTGGAGCCCCAGCTGGCATGCAGGGCAGTGGGCTCAAAGTGAGGTGCGAGAAGGGGGTATTAATTCTTTGTACCTACTTATAAAAAATTTATTAAAACTATTCCTGTATTAAGATATTTATTCTTATTTTATCCCTACCCTTTTTGCTTCTTTGCATATGTGGTTTCTGCAATGATATATTAGTACATATTTGGCATTTATAATAAAAATATTCACACACATTCATAGTCGGGGCAGTGCTCGTGATTTTTATTAATTGAAGTGCAGGAGTAAAAGCTTGGGAGGGTGTTGCTAGGAGAAGCAGCTTTGCTACCTCCTGCTTTCCAGGAATGGGGAAGGAGTTCCCTAGCAAAGGTGTGGAGACTGCTGGGGATTTGTTCATTCTGCAGTGAGTGTTGAGAGATAGCAGCTGAAGCAGCAATTGAAGATGAATGAACGAGCTTGGGATTTATTTTCCTCTTGTGGGAAAACATGAGGAAATGGATAAAGCAGAGGACAGAGGCTGGCCCAGGGGCTTTGGTGACTTAGTTTTAGGGTATTTCTTTCTAGAGTTCCAAAATGTTTGAAAGGAGACTAACAGCGGTTGTGTTTTGGCCTCAAAAGTTTTCTGCAGGACACCCCACGCCCTGTCAGGGACGCGAATGGGTGCCAGCATCTGAGCGCCTGTGACTCGAGTCCCGCAGCCCCTACGCTGCCCACCGCAGGCCCTCTGGCTGCCGCCTGGTGCTGTGGACGCCTGGTTAATAAAAGGGGAGCATTTGGGGTACAGTAAGAAAAGCTGTAGTAGAACCCCAGCATGTTCCTCTGGTTTAAAAAGGGGACTGTTCTCAAGAGAGAGCAAGGCAACAGTAAATGAGATAAACAGCTCACATAGCATTTTGTTTATTTTCTTACCATGTGCTACTCTAAGGCCTACCATGGGCCAGGCATTTTGTCCAGAGTCCTAAAAACAGGAACTCAGTTATTCTTCACAACAGCCTTAGTGCACACAGGCGTTCGCCCATTTTACAGATGAGCAATTTGAAGCTCAGAGAGGTGGCGTCACTTGCCTGGGCTCACAGTGCTCTGAGCCCCAGCTGCGCTCCCTCCTGGCCTCTGTAGCCTCTTGGAGGTGGGGGCTGGAGTGTGCTTTGCTCCTTCTCTGAGCTTAAAGCAGATGGGGCCTGTCTGGTCCTGGAGTCTCTCTTGTGTTTTTTCTAGTAGGGATTCCCAACCCTTTTGGAATTATTTTGTTTGGTTTCACAACAGGCCTTTCTAAAGATCATCTTATTTTATATGGAATATGTAATATGATTACAAAGATGGCATTGCTTACACTGCCTTCCATGTTTTCAGTGCATACTCTATGGAGGTCCTCCTATCCCAGGTATTCTATACACACTCATTCTGATCTTTAAATTCAACCTGCAAGGAAGAGACTTGTGCCTGTTTCATGAAAGAGAAAATAAAAGCCAAGTGGCTTGTCCTTCACCTAACGAAAGCAAAGGCATGAACCCAGGTCTGTGTTGATGTTCTCTGTCAGAGGACAAAATTAAGTATATAAACAAAAGTCCATCTTGTCGCAACCGAGGGAGATGACTAGTTTCACCCAAGGACTTGGTGGTAAGCTGCTGCCGAGTGGTGTGTGTCCCACCTTGCCTGGGATAGTTCCAACTTACCACCTGTCGGCCTACACTACCTTTCCCTCTCAGAAGTGTTCCAACTTGCAGGGTAAGCTGTGTGTCCCCTTCCTGCCCTGCCTGGGGCTGGATACCACGTGCCTTCCCCCTGAGACGCAGACAGTGTAGGCTGCTTCAACGCCTCGGGCTGATCGCTTTTGATCCAGTGGAGTTTTGAAGTTTTCTCTTCTGTTGGGCTTCATTAATCCCCCAGTTGGTCTGAGGTGCCCCACCCTCCCCCCATTCTAAATGTTTCATGGCTCTTGGTATTCAGGTTAACAAATTAGCCCAATTAGATGGATAAATTAGTCTTTCTAACTTTCTGAAGTCCCGCTGGAGGAGCTTTGCGAAATAGCATTTATAGTTTTCTAACAAGCAAGTTAAAGGACGCCAGCATGTGGCATTTGTTTAAGAGTAAAATGTCTTAAACAATGCCCTACTTAAAAACAGATTTCAAGATTTGCTCCAGGACAGACCCCAAGCAACGTGGCCAAGTGGTACCACTGTGTCACTTGGTACAAGCGTTTCCAAACCGGCTCTCTTTATTTAGGGAGCTATGGCCAAGTACAGCAGAATTTATTGAAACCCACATTTAGCTCCAAAGCTTCATGTTTGCCAGATTGTTTTTTCTGCACCACCCGAGAATTTCTAACAGACTTCAAAACAGACTGCTTCGAATTCCATCTCAGTATTAAATGGTGAAGAGCCAGCAACTCAAAGGAGATTAAAAGGGAACCCCTCAGAAGAGCCTGGCACTGGGGGCTGGGAAGCAATGAGGGAAAAAGCACACCGTCCCTTAATGGTGAGTTCAGAACACATGCGCGTTTTAACCTCACGAGGGCTCAGTTGCTCGTGTGTATAACGGTGACAGTAATCCCCACCTCCTAGGGTTACTGGAGGATTAAATGAGATAATGCACAGAGTGTGCCTGAAACATCATAGGCACTGAGTAAACTTCAGGTCCCTTCCTTCCTTCCTGGCTCCTTTCAACTTTGAGCCTCAGATGCCGGCGTCCCTGTTCCTGGCGCAACTGGCTCTTCAAACAATCTTATTAATGCCTATTAAAATGAAACCCAATAAAAGTGCCAATATTTGGTGTTGAAATAATTGATGTAGCAGAGTAAGCCCCTGAAGCACCCAGGCAGGCCCCTGGTGCAATGTAGCCTCACACCTGGGGGATGAATTTCACAACTGTAATTGCTACCATATAATTCTTATTAATGTTGTGCTATAATTCCTATTTATTCCACGGGGCTTGTAAATGCATTAGGACTTGTCAACATATTATTTTACACTGTTTATGATCGGTAGAATTATGTCCTTCAGGGTTGTATTGTGCAAAAGCTCCAAATAAATGGCTTTGGGCCTCATTAAAAAAGAGCAAAAGAGGCTGCCTGTTGAAGTGGTTCTCCATCCCTGCCGTCTTGCAAAGAAGTCAGTAGAGTGTATTTCAATTCGATTCTCAGCAGAGCTCTTAGCCCTTAGGAATAAAAGAGAATCCCTGCTTCCTGTCTGAGCTGCGTAACTGTGATGGGTCAGCCCTAGCAGGAAGTGTCGCATGAGCTGAAGGGCAGATGCGGTGCCTAGTACTGCGTGTGTAGGGGATCGCTTCGTCTTCCAGGAGCTACCCCACATTCTGCCGCTGGCGATTTATCCTTAGACCTCCTGGCCTTCTATGCCTCTTGCTCCCTAGCGTGAGGGTAACCCTCTTTTAGTTCCAAATTTCCCAGCTCAAATCTATAAAGAAAAAGACCTGAAATTCATTCCACTGAAGTAGAAATGCCTTAAAAGTCCAAAACGTAACCCCCGACCTTGGAGACTTCTGCATTTACTAGGCCAGTAAAGCATAAAACTAAGGGGACAGTGTTCTGCTCATTTGGGAGTGTCAGGCACTAGCATGGGGAGTGTGAGGAGCCTGTCATCGTTGCTTATTTTTGGTTTTGGCCCCAGAGCAAGTCTTCCCTGTGCCTTTGCAGCCACAGGCTGGGTTGCCATAGAACCGAGTTAATGTTCTTGCTCCGCCAACTCCTAGCTGTGAATTGTTGGGAAGCCCTTGCCCTGGTCTCTTAGGTGGGAACGCAGGGCTCCTGCTTCCAGGGTTGTAAGGGAATAGCCGTGTTTGCAGTCCCCTGGTGCCGGGAGTGCCCTCTCCCTGGGCCGTCAGCGCTGCTCTGCCACGGCCACATCTCCTGTCCTGGAAGTGGCCGGGTGAACCTGTGGGGAGATGAGCGCTCCTGACAGTCCTTGCACTTCTCTTGTCCTGCAGGCAGCGAGTATGACGAGGAGGAGGTGGACTATGAGGAGTCGGACAGCGATGAGTCCTGGACCACAGAGAGTGCCATCAGCTCCGAAGCCATCCTCAGCTCCATGTGCATGAATGGAGGGGAAGAGAAGCCTTTTGCCTGCCCAGTTCCTGGATGTAAAAAGAGATACAAGGTAACAGAGGTGCTGCATGCTTGGCATAACCACATGGAAACAGGGCAAGCTTCATGGAAGGCAGCAGCCCTTTCTTGATTTTAAAGCGAGCGTATGGGCTGGGGGGAGACACTCCCCTCTCCTGCATTAGAGTGCGTGGGCCTCACCCCTGTGTGCACACAGGTGCCCTCAAGGAAGTGCTCACCCGCCACCGCTGCTGCCGGGGCTTTCCCCTCTGCTCACCTACGTGGGAGCCTGGCAGTCAAGAGAGAGCTTTTGTAGGAGGATCATGTCTTTGATAGTCTTCAAATTCATGTCATATTGGGGGACCCATCAGAACAGAATATCAAATATGTCAACCTACTTTATTTGCCAAGCACCTTCCCCAACGGATGGCCCTACAGATGGCTCACGGGAGACCACTTTGAAGTTGTAAAAGCCCCAGATGGCTCCCAGAGCCATTTGGTGAGTGTGGAGGGTATTTAGCTTCCAGCTGAGGAAGTTCTTGCTTCCTTCCACCCAGTGGCATGAAAGGGGATCAGGAGAAAAAAGGCCTTTGATATTTTTCTCACCAAACCATCCACTTCAGCTTCAGCTGCCTGTCTGCTGACCCAGGTCTCTGAGGGCCTGGGTGTCATGGGCAGCTGGGGGTGCTAACTTTTCTAATAAGGAACAGGGACAAAACAACGAGAAACAGCACAATAGTCAAGTATGGGTCTAGAGGGCATTTTAAAAAACAAAATTGCAAACTTCCCCATGAGGTGTTAGCAGCTCTTTCACATCCAACTGTGAGCTAGGAGTATAAAAATCAGAAACATACCTGGTATGCTTGATGATATGCTAATTCACTCATAGGCTAGCAGATTGACTATTTTTTAAAGCTTAAAAAAAAAGATAGCATAAGCACTTATATTGCCCCTTCTTAAATATGTGTCTCTGAACACTAATCTATTTCAGTACTTTTCATAGCAGCTATTGATATAAAAGCATGGCACACAAATGTATCACAAAGTTAGCATTTCTAGGTTTCACCTTCCCTAGGTACTGTTACAATTCCATCATGCAAAGTCCAGATGCTCATTGTTTAAACTGAAATGAACTCCCAGGATGCAGATGTGAGAAGCCTCTGAGGGCTGGCAGAGGAGCGCTGCATTTGGGTCAGAACAGGTCTCAGGACGCATCTGTACATTCTGTGTCAGAGGCGTGGAGTTGGGAGAGGAGGGAAGGGCTGCTCAGGGGTTACCTTGGGATACAAAACATCCACAGGATTGTTGGACAAGCCCATTTTTCCAGAGGGCAGCGCTTCATTGCAGAAAGAGACTTTTTCCTTCTTTCTTGATTTGTACAGATAAGGCTGTGACTGGCCACTGCCTGGGCTGGGGCTGGTTCCCACCGCGTCTCCCCCAGCTGTTCCTCCCCACCACTGCGGTCTTGCTGCCTGCTCTCCAGGGCCAAGCACCAGGCCGGGGGTGTCTTGCACCTCGGCCATGTTAAAAGCGGGAGCCAAGTAATGACCTGTACTCGGCTGACCCGCCAAAAAACAAAGGAAATACAAGCTACGCCCTGGGTTCTGGGCACAGGGTGCAGGGGAGGCATCCCCTCTCTCCCACCTCCAGCTCCATCCCCTTTTCTTACTCGCATCCTTTCCTCCTTGTCATTTCTGTTTTGTCTTTTACTTTTCCTTTGCTTGGGTTTCTGGCAGTTTCCCCCTTCCGTTCTCTGTGTCTGGGTTGGTGGGGGCTTTTCTGAGTGTTCTCTCTCCACCCAAGGCCACTGAGAATTCAGTGAGCCTTGGGCTGAAGGGGCTGCTGGCTCCAGCCCCATTAACTGGCAGGTGACATGGGTGGCAGTTGGTGGTCCTGATCCCACGAGGGAAGCGTGAGTTTCCTTTTCTGGCCAGAATGCCAGGTCATGATACACAGGGCCATAGCAGGCTTGTGACCACACCTGTGACCAGGCGCTGGAGATGAGCTGCTCCTACATCCCAAAGCTGGCAGCTGACTCTTTCTGCCCCGAAGTTGCTGGCTGGAAGGCAGGGCTGTGCTCCAGTGCGATTAGTATTTCATCTTATTCACAGCATCATTGCTGGCTTGGGTACTGGAGAGAAGAGGGTGGGATAAGCTGGGTACTGTGGACTCGGGCAGAATCCAGAAGTGCTACCACCTCATTTGTTCTCAAGGCAAGTCAGACTTTTCTTATTCCCTGCTTGCTGCTGGCAGCAGTCTCTGCCAGCCAAGTCTCCTGGGCACTGACCAGGATCTACAGTCCTCACCATTTCATTGGCATTTACGGATCAGACAGAAGATGAGGTACCGAACTCCCAGACCTCATGCAGAGCAGGGAATGGGAGAAGGATCCCACTGGTAAGGCCAAGTCTCCACATTTCCTTCCCATGTTAACTCCTTAGCCTAGGACGCTCCCTGCCCTTTGTAGAGGAAAAAATAATGTTTTCCTCAGTCATCATAAGTTCTAGTTGCAACAGATTCTCTCTAACAAAAGAGAGATTAACAAGAGAAAAACAGTTTATCAACATGTGTATTTCATATACACACAGGAGACAAGACACCCAGGGAATGGGCAGTTCTCATAGCTTATACAGCATCTTCAACAAAGAACAGTTAAGTACATTTTTAGAGAAGTAACAAAGGAAAAGGGCTTTGAGTCTCTGGAAGCAGCAACTTGTGGAAGGAAAAAAGAAAAAAAAAAAAAAGGCAGACAAAGTCCTGTTAGTGTATTAGCTTGTTAATGTAGATTCCTCCAGTACCATCTCCAGGCCAATAAGAGTCTGAAGTCCTCTTCATTGGTTAACCTTTGATCTCCCCAGAAGAAGTGGGAGTGGGCTTTCTTCTGACTTTGTAAATTTGTGTCCTGTTTTGAGGCACACAGAGGGAGAGCAGGGAGCCTCCTTCCTGCATCTGCTGCTGCTGAACTGCCTTCGGCTAAAGAGTCCTTAGGGCAAAGAGGCATTTTTGGGTTGCATATTCGGGTCCCCTGTCCCTTCCTCTCTCCCTCAGTATCTCTCATTTTAATTCCACTCCTTTCTCCAGCACAGCTCCAGTGCCTCCACCTCTGGGACCCCTCACCAACCTCCCAGACTTACTCCCCTCTCCGCCCCTCATAGGTCAAGTTCTCATCCTCCCCACATGCTCTTTCTACATTGAGGCGCCATTTCCCTTACTGCTCCCATAACCCGCAGAGCTCACTGTCCCTCCTCAGCACCCAGCACATGTCTCAGATGTGACAGATGCTCTGAGGGCAAAGGAATCAAGGTGTAGCCCATGGGAACGGGGAAATGTGGGCTCCCCACTGAGCCCCAAAGCCATGGGAGGATTCTTTTCCTTTGTATCCTTCCCAGAGGCGTTCCAGGCCACAACCACTGAGCCCACCACCCTTGCCCTGCTCATGCTCGCCTGAATTCAGGGAACAGAGAGGACTTCCCTTCCTTATAATGCAGATAGGTTTAAAAGATGGGTTGAAGTGCTTAACCTTTGATAATTTTTATGTTAGAATGGTGAGGATTAAGGCATTTTTAAAGTTTTTTTGTTTTGTTTTGTTTTAAGAAATGTTACACAGAACAATACCCCGCCCCCCAAAGTTCCTCTGGAGTCCTCTGCTGCAGAGAGGTACATTGATTGTTTCAGCAACAGAGACAGATCCAGATACAGTGTCCCATTTTCAAACACTGAGAAACATTTAATGATGAGGGAGTGCTCACAAAGTAACATTGAGTGGAAAAAAGGTATTGAGAGAGAGAGTGTGTGTGTGTGTATGAAAAAATAGTGAAAAGAAATACCTCAAATATTAACAGTGATAGTGTCTGTTCTTTTTTATCCTCTTCTGTGTTTTCTGAATTTCTGTAATTGTCTAACTGAACATGTTATTTAAATGACTGAGGGAAGAGGCAATTCTTTTTTTCCTGAAGACCCCACCCAACTTGCTGGACACAGTGTGTGCTGCTGTGCAGTGGCCAGTAGGGAACTGCGTGCACCTCAGCCTCCTGCTTTCTGGGGCTGGTGAGGTGTCCACACTGCTGCAAGTGGTTTCACTTTTAACCCCCACCATTACCACTACTACCATCCCCAATTTGTTTTCTTACTCTTCTTCCTCATCAAATCCCCAAGCAACTTCATCTTCTCCGCTGTGTACAACATCCAGGCCCTGGGAAATTGACCACTGGGCTTATCTAGGGCAAGCGTCACATGTTGTACACATGAAGGCCTGAGTACTGACAACAAAGATCCCATACAGGTAAGGACAGGATGGCCCAGCTCAGCATCTGGACTTCAGGCCTCATGATTTGATTTGGAGTAGACTTTTTAGAAAAGCCTTTAAGTCGCCTGCTGTCTATTGACTGGCCTAATTCCATCAGAGGGGACAGGTAGTTCCTAATGGTGGAACCCCCCCCACCTAAGTTCTCCTTTCTACCTCCTACCTTCCCACTTTCTTCCCTTACTAGCTTGATGTCAGAGCATCACTTTGAGAAAACTCAAAGACAGTTTTCTCCAGACTATTATCCCAATCCTTCCTCCCAACTGGTAAGATTTTTCAAAGACCACTAGCTGGTTGTTCTAATTAACGAGTACCTAGCACATTAGGAGACTAAATGAGGAAATATGGACTATGGATTGGACATCCCTGGGTTCCTATTCCAGTTCTGTAATTTACCAGCCATGTGATCTTGGCCAAGTCACTCACCTTCTCTAGGAGTCAATTCTCTCATCCAGAACATGAGTATTAAATAAGGCAATTGACATCAAGTACCCAGTATGGTAAGCTCTTAATAAATGTTAGCAACTTTCCTTGCCCTTTTGAAGCTTGATTCCATTTTTTTCAAAGACCAAAGAATTTCAGCAATTTCAGCATTTCAGGTTTCCGGCCATTATTTATTTTTTTTTACTAATATTTCTGAAAGATCAAATTTGTTTCAGGACTGATGAAATAAACTTTGGTGGATCTTTTCAGAGCTCCTCTGGTCTTGTAAAGAGGACGTTCCCGCGGCCTGTAACTGAATGGCTGGATGGAGGAAATGTCTTAATAGAGTCTCACTTGACCTTGTACTAACATTTGCGATAAGGGCAACCCACTGACGCTTGTCAACATTTTTTAATCACAGCAGCAAAGACAAAGGAGTGATGGCACAGCAGGTTCTCTGACCAACCCTGGAAATACTTTATGTTTCTAAATGTGCTTCCTGATTTTTCCAGAGTCATAAAGCTGATGTGTGTGTGGTGTTGGCTGTTTTCTTCACAGTCTCATGCCAGACACACAACATAATGTTTACATTCAAGCTGTGAATGGGCCACAGCGCCTGCCGGAATCCCCTCAGCCCTGGCTTGTCCTTCTCTTGGTGAACGACAGATCTGGCTTCACATTGGACTGGCTTTTATGGCTTTAGCAATTTCTGGTCTTAAATCTTTTTTTTAGCCTAATTAGTTATAAAAACCTCAGCCCTCAATGGAATGGCTAAGCCCTGATACTGTTAAGAGTTGCTGTGCCTTTTTGTTTCTTGGTTAATGCTTTTCTATTTTTGGTTTCCTCTATTTTCTGACAAGGTTTGAATGGTTTTGGGGCACAGAGGTAGCTGGATTATTAATGAGCTGTCCTGCATCAAGTTCCCCATGAAAACAAGGACATGAAATATTTTAGTAGCCCTTCATCCACGGAAAAGGACCCTGCTAGGTGCTCAATATTCGTTGAGCTATACATGGGATATTACTAAGCAGGCAGGTGCACATTTCTAGCATTTGTAACCCAGGATACTTTCCACCATATTAAAGTTGAAAGTCTTTATCTAATGGTCATAAAACTAACATTCACTCTCTTTCTGTCTCTCTCACACACACAATACATGGCTTAAAACAATTATCTTTTACAGTTCTCTGGGCTGCCTGGTTCAACAAGGTGGTTCTCGCCTGGGGTCTCATGCAGTTGCTCTAAGACACCAGTTGGGGCTAGAATCATCTGAAGGCTCACTTGGGCTGGATACACACGTTGGCCTCTTCACTCATGTGCCTGGGCCTCGGAGGGGATGGAACCGCCAGGGACTGGCAGGGCATATCTACCCATCTAACATTTCAGTGGGTCTGATTCTACCACCACCACTACCCTCCCCTTTCCTGCCCCAGTAGGCTCTGAAACCCCCAACATGCCTCTTAACAAGACTGAAGTACCTTATGTTTGAAAGGATTGATGCTGGAAGGACAGGGCTGAGGTGCAGAAGGCCTGGAGCCAGGTGTTCAGGGGAGAGTGTTTGTCCTTCTGCTTCAAATCACTGGACAACCTTCAGACTCTGAGCATAGCCAGCTGCTACTTGGCACCCCTGGGTTCAACAAAGTCCAGCAGAGTTCTCTTCCAAGGACTTTTAAAAAAGCATTCATGTGTACTGCACATCTCTAGTGTAGTAATCACCACCACGTTTATATTTAGTAGCAACCCTTCTTCCAGACTAGTGAGGCGTGAACTTGGGAAGTGCTGTTGTAACTTCATTCACTCACAAAGACTTAGCATCGACAATGTGCCAGGCACTGTGCTAGGTATTCATGAGACAACAGCAGGGAGCTGTTTTCTGGGAGCTCTTTGAAGGCATCCCATGAAGAGTGGGAACAATTTGTGTTGGAATCCTTCAGTTGGGCAAGGGACTGGCTCTAGCAGGACTGGATTTAGGTAATATTTTAGGAAACAGCTCACTCTCCTAAAATCTGTGCTTTTTGTTTCAGGCTGTCTCTTCTGTGTTCCCTTACTCTCTAATCTGGCAATTGCTGACTTGGAAATTAAGACCTATCTCAAATACCACACGTCCGCCGTCCCTTCTTAGATCTTCCACCAGTTACTTACTACCCTCAAGCCCATTTCCTCACCATTTAATTGGGATGAGGATTACTGGTGGTTAAAACTGTAGAGAGTGACTCTTACATAGAATACGGAATCTTACATAGAATATGCTGGTGAACTAGCAAAACCGACAAACAGAAATTTAGAAAGCATTTTGATAACTTTAGTATCCAGATGCTAAGAAGTCCAATCTTAGTGACTAACATTATATAACCTTAAATTTTTAAAGTTCATTGTATGTTTGGAATGTAATACTTAAGGTAAGGACTAGTCTGACTACAGGTGCTTATTAAACATGTACAACTGTACGGCGGGGACAAGATTTGGGCAACAAGTAGCTCCCACAGTGGCATCAGAGATACTGGCTTAGTGCAGAGCAGAAAACTGACAAAAACTCTGGTTAAGGCATGGTAGGGAACTGTTAACACAGTTATCTAGAAGCAAGCTGTAAATTGAGTTTCCAAATCAAAAATTTCTATATGTTAAACTTTTGGGATATGCCCTGATGTTTTTCTTTAGAAAGATATTTTGTTGGTCATGCTGAGGATATTTGTGTAGGATTGTTCACTGTTAACTTTCTTTAGAGTGGAAAAGATTCAGAGGATTTTCTTTATACAGTCTGTAAGTCCTAAATATATATTTTATATAAAATTGGAAGAAATCAGTACTTTCATTTTCAGAGTAATTGAGGCACATCTGAAATTTTGAGTCAGCTGTGTGTGTGACCATCCGTACAGCCCATGACCGACACACCAGAATGTCCTTGAAGGGTCCCAACTGGAGTCCTTGCAAAAGACTACACTCTAAACAGCTGCCATCCAGGAACTGCAATCCAGACCCAAATTGAGGTTTCCGAAGTTTGACAGGTATCCTGTGAATCCATGTAATAAATATTTTTGTCTTCTCCACAGAATGTGAATGGCATAAAGTATCACGCTAAGAATGGTCACAGAACACAGATTCGTGTCCGCAAACCATTCAAGTGTCGCTGTGGGAAGAGTTACAAGACAGCTCAGGGCCTGCGGCACCACACAATCAATTTCCATCCCCCGGTGTCGGCTGAGATTATCAGGAAGATGCAGCAATAACATGCTGGTCATAACTGTGCCAAGAAATCCTCACCAGCAGTTGCTGATTTTGAAAACAGCCACCTTTTTTCAGGGGAAGCATTCAGCAACCCTTTAAAGAAAAAGAATTAAATGCATGCTTTAAATTTTTTCTGTAATTTTGGAATGATGTATCTTTGTAGAGTTAATGATTTTGTACATTTGCACATGTAATCATCATACCCATTTTCATTACTTTGATATAAGGTGCTAAACAAAAAAAGCTCTAGGTTCTTCAGCACATTTCCCCCAAAACAAAATAAAATTGAGGGCATGTTGCATATTGTTGAATTGTATTGCGGTGGTATCAACCTGGGGGGAGGAGGGGCTGGCACTGAGATTTTTTTTTCAAGATTGTAATGTGATTGAAGTTTTCAACACATCAACTCACATATGTTCAAAACCAAAATAATACCTTCATTATCAAACTGGTTACCATGCCTTACATAATGGAGTTAGTATTTGTGAGTAGAAAGACTTTAGGTAATGGAAATATAAATAAGAAAGAATGTTTAACATAATATGCTAAAAATATTTTCATATTTAAATAACATACGTAAAGGTGTGCTTTCTGTGTTTTATATTATCTTGCAAATCCTTTTGCCCTTTAAAAAGCTGAAAATCTTGCCATCTGACTTACTAGTCATTTTAGTGTTATAAATGGCATTTTGTACAAAATAGTCTATTCAGTTCGTTCATTCATTTAACACACATTGATTGAGTGCCTGCTGGGTACAAGGGATTCAATTTATGCCTATTGATATCTGCGGACCAAGATACCCATTTAGTGAAATACTTTTTTCCCTGAAATCTGTTAGAAAAGACTTTGAAATACTTCAGTGCAAAGTGTGTGTGTGTGAAGTTTAGTTATATCTTCATCTTCAGATGAAGTTTTAAAGCACTTTGTAGTTCTCTATTGCCAACAATTTAATGTTTATGTGTTGCCAATTCTTGCAACCACTGCCCTACCAAACCTGTGGGTTGCAAATCAGAACTAAAATTCTAAGCACGTTTCAAAGATGAACACTTTTGTTAAGACCCCTATTGCCTCTTCTTCATGCTCATTTTTTACTTTTTTTAAAAGGTACTTTTCTCATCACATTGTAGAGAGGTCTGCATTCTCATTGGAAATGTCTGTTTAGCTTTATAAAACAAACACTTTGCTGAAATAGGAAAATGAGCCTTATTGACAATTAAGTGCTTCTTGCAGCAGGTGGTCAAAGAAAAGCATGACTAATACGACCTATTAGAGTAATCTACATCTGGACCATTCCTTAAGTTTTTCCTCACCGACAGTACCATCATGCCTTGAGTGTTCTTTTCTCCCAAGTGCTATTCCTTAAACACGAGAGTTTACCAGTTGCCTAATAATGCAATAAAAAATGCTTTGAGATAGCTAACTGCCCATAAAACAAACTCAAATTGCTTATAAAGTTTCTTCCCATGTTCCCATTTGATGAAAAGTCTTACATCACATATAACTGGGAAGCAGGGGTCCCTCCTCAATTTTCAGACATTTTGAAAGGATGACAGTTCTGTTTGTTAGATGAGTAAACCTCTATATTCATAAGTTCTAAAATCCTTCATTATGAGGGATTCAAAGTATTTATAAAAACACTGCCCTCTAAAAATTTCCTCAGATCTGAAGTATGGTCTTGGTCCTGAATATACAGTGTTATCCTATGTTTAAAAGGGTGATCCAGACATGAGACGCAACTAGTTGGTGCATAAGAAGGCCCCACTTGGCTATTTCATATCTACCTACAATTGACCAAAAAAAATTTTTTAGGCCAGCAATTATTATTTAGCTTCGCTCTTTCTAGTGCAAGAAACTGCAGGCTGGATCAGTAGTTCAACAGCTAAACAGTCATAAAATAGTCATTGTGCATGTTAAATTTCTTTCAATGCTTTCAAAGATAAATTCCAATTTCTATTTACTTATTCATTGTGACAGTATTACTAAACAGGTAAGGATGGGAATATTTTGTTATACTGTGTATAGTGAATGTATTGTACTGTGTCTGTGAAAACTGTGCTTTAAATTATATTTTCATATGTTTTGTTGGGGACAGAGCACATTAAGTCTGAAAGCAACAGAGGTTTGTTTTAGAACTGAAGGCAATTTAATCAAAATTCCTGTCAAGAAAAGCTGCTTATAAATGTAAATGAAATCACATTTAAAATAAACTGCCTCTGACCCAAAAATAAATATGGCTCTTTATTTTCCTTAGTGTCCATTATGAAAACCAGTATCAAGTTTACCATGGAAATTAATATATCCATTCAGTTCCTCATTCTAAGGCTGTTCAGTTGATGCATGTAGACTTTATTCCCTTACATTTTTGCTTAGATTAGATTAGGCTGTATTACTTTTCTGTCAATAACAAATTAAGCTTGGACTTACTTACTTAAACTATTTTAAAATAAGTTCTAGGCTAGTAAGATGAACAGTGTCTACTACTATAATAAATATTCCAAGGATACTTTTGGATTAACATGGTCCATAATTATTAACTCCAACAAAAATGCTCCCATTGTTGAACATATTTTACCTAAGTATATAACCTATCTGGAAGCTGAAAGTCTCCAAAGCTATTGCTTCCTAGGACTGCTGTGTCCTAACAGCTGGCATATGAATGCCTCATACTGGTTTGCCCTAGACTCAAAAAACTTTTTAAAGGATTCTAACAATATACAAACTCTGCTTCCACAAACAAATACAAGTGACGACATGATATGCTGCAGTTCACATATAGCAACTCAAAATGCCACCAAGTCTAAATATTAGGTTAACATCTTCAATAGCTAGTTTGCTCAGAACAAATGTAAACTATTTTGATGATAACTACAAAAGCGGCAAAATCAAAAGTTGGTGCTTTAAATTATTCACACGCACATTATAAAAGGGAAAGGGAATACAATTCAGAAGTATTTTAAAGGCCCAAACCAAAAAAAGATGTTCAAGATGCTAGATTAATGAAAAACTTTCACAAATAAATTTGACAACAATGAAATTACAGATCTTGAAAAATGTGTCCTCTTTCTTTAATGTTAGTGACAGTTCTATACAGCACAGACATAACTGAAGAAACACATTACTTTGATTTGGGTTTATGTATTGTACTTTTAATCACTTACTGAGAATATTTCAAATTTATATTCTCATCAGGAAAATGTAAAAAAGATACTGATATATATTCTATGATTTTTATGCCACAAACACCCCTGTTATGAGATCATTTAATAGGAAAACAATTATACTGACATCTCTTGTTCCATTTTCCCATTAGATATATACATACAACTTCAAGATAGTTTAAAAATAATCATTCAGGTTATTCTAAAATTTTGCCATAAAATTAGCAAAGTATGCCTTCTGTTAATTGCTAAAACCAATATTTCACATATAAAAGCATGTGATCTCATTCTACATGCAGCTCCATTTCTGAAAATTAAAAACCTATCATTTCATGGGCTAAATTATAGAACTTTCTATATTCGAAGAACTACTTCATAAGACTGTTATGACAAATGCTTTTTATTACATAATATTTAGTAGTCATGCTCAATCAACAAGGTCAACAGAAACTTGTGAATATTCTGCTAAATAATCTAGCACACTAATACATACACGTTTTTCAGTGCAGTAACATTGAAATAATCCTTGTATCCTTTATTCAGACAGTTCTGCAAACTAGGGAATAAATAAAGATACGAACACACAAGAACTTTTTTTTAAAGCAGGTAAGATTAACAGAGATTAAAATTTATTGATAAGCCAAAGACTGACCCTGATCCTAGTAACACCAAACTCAAAGTAGCTCCTGGTCAGAAAGTGCAGTAAAGGGTGCATGAAAGCATCCGCTCTATGGTCTCCTCAGTGGTCTATTTTAGGTGTGGTTTTTTTTTTTTTTTTTACTGCTAAACTATATTAACTCATAATAAAAAGTAACTAGTCAAAATTTAGAACATTCTGATCAAAATGGGTCTGCACATGCCTTTCAAACACCTGCTGGTCATAGTCAGGAGGGAACTGCTCGCTGCACATCGGGCACACCTTCCAGTGACTTTCAACATGTTCTTCAAATTTGCTCTGATCATAGTTAGGAGGAAACATTAACTCACAGAGGGGACACTTCTTGTGAACATCAAAGCTTAAAGAGAAAAATGAAAGAATTACATGTTTCTAATAAATGTAGAACAACAACTTGTCCATATATGACAAGGTTCCATTTATCTAGTTAGCTGATATTCATACTAAACAACCTACCTTAAAAGTCTTTACTCCAGAAACATTTCTCTGCTTCTAAATGCTTGCTGTAGACAATTGTGTAACCCATTTATAGAGCCTCTAAATTCAATTTTACAATTAGATTAACAAAACCGTTTTTCCCCCTTAAAACCTCCCAAATCCAATCACAATTACGTGAAATTAGTACCAAGAATTCTTCCACGTTTAACAGAAAATGCCTTTTGTAAGACTGTAAGGATAAATACAACTCATAACTTCCCACCAGTGCATTTGGTTTAATAGCAAAGTTTTTATGGCACTGGTTCTCAAATGCTTGTATGCATCAGAATCAGTCGGAGGACATGTTTTTGTTTTTGGCCAAAAATACTGTATTTTTAACCAGCAAGATCATTGGTGCATTATTATACAACATTAGGTGTTTTTTGCAAAACTAGTTCCCATCCCCAAACAACAGACAATACATGCATTTGAATGACATTTTAGGAACAGTAAATATTCTTTTAAATACTGCAAGTTAAAAATGTTTTCTGACAAAACTCCCTAAATCGGAGGACATGTTAAAACACATATTGCTGGGCCTACGCCTGGTGTTTCTGGTTCAGCTAGGCCAGGCCCTACACATGTGCATTTCTAATGAGTTCCCAAGGACCACCTTTGAGAACCACTGGCCGATATAACCCAAATTCTACAAAGTAAAGAAGAAAACTACCTGGAATCAAAGCAAAAGCCTGTCCCATGCCCACGTAAATGTTGACTTGGAGGATCAGGAGCAGTAGGCACATTCTCATCTTCCTAGGGGAAAAATAATTTTGGAACTTTTAAGAAAAGTAAAACCAAATATAAATTCCTTAATTCAATCAAGCACATACTGACAGTATAAAAGAAGATTACACTTCAGGAAATTTTCTCTCTGCTATCATTTAATTAGACTTTCAAATAAACATGTTTGAAACTTTGCAGAGTATTTCACTATAAACTAACACTGTGGTGTTCTTGAAATAAAAAGCAGTATTCAGAGGAATAGAGACATACCATTTACACATACCATTTACCATACCTGTATGTGTAAATGAAGCTGAGAACAGTAGACCTTTTCAAACCTATATACGTAGGTAACTTTTACTGACTTTATCATTCTGCAGACTGGGTGACCAGTTTTTTGCTTTTTTTTTTTTTGAGATGGAGTCATCACTCTGTCACCCAGGCTGGAGTGCAGTGGCGCGATCTCGGCTGACTGCAACCCCTGCCTCCTGGGTTCAAGCAATTCTTATGCCTCAGCCTCCTGAGTAGCTGGGATTATAGGTGTGCACCACCATGCCCAGCTAATTTTTGTATTTTTTAGTAGAGACAGGGTTTCACCATGTTAGCCAGGCTGATCTCAAACTCCTGGCCTCAAGTGATCCGTCCTCCTTGGTCTCTCAAAGTGCCGGGATTTCAGGCGTGAGCCGCTGTGCCTGGCCCTACTTTCAATACTGTCAGACTGCATTATTGTCCCAAACGTTCTCATTTAATAACTGTAAGCTTAATTACAAGAAAGACAGTCTCTCTGACAAGATACATCCATTGCATGATATACAGAAATCATAATGAAAAACTAATAAAGTATGTGTGAGTTTGTATATGCATATTCTTGGGGAAGCAAGTCCAACTGGATTAACACGTGTTAAAGCAAAGCAATGCACTAAACTACAAGCCTCAAAACTCTGCTATAGAGGAACAAAATCCAAAGTTAAATATTTCAGAGGTTGTCAAGTGAGACTTCTAAAAATTTGTGCATCTAGTTTTCATCACAAAGAAAACACTGATTTGGATTCCCATGGCTGCATCCCAGCAGTTTTTAGAGATCTGTACGTGCTACATCAACAGCCAAACACACAGGCTCATTTAACACTGAAACCAGGCACATCATCTAAATTGCCTATTTCCTTTTTATCTCTCAGCAGCCGTTAGCTGCTCTCATGTCATGAACTAACAGCATATCCCCAAGCGCAGCCGGCACTGAGGAAGCCTTTATGTTACTGGGTAGGCATGCTTGCCCCAGAGCTGCTATTAATGGGTCAGTTAAGTCTGTCATGGGAAGGAGCACCAAAAAAAGTATATATGGTGTGAAGTGCAACGTGAACAAACAAAAGACAAAATGAGTATTTCTAGTACTTGACTATCCTTCTGACAATTTTCCCCTCTTGAAAAGTAAAAGAAGGGGTAAAATACTTCTGTTTATCTGTGAGTCCCATAGGATATAACTGAGCAAAAGGAAAACGGGACAGATAACCTAATGGGGGATTAAATTGGGAGATAAAACACGAATACTTTATATACTTCAAAAATTCAATCAAGTAACTAAAATCCAGACAGCTTTTAAGTCTGTAGATACAAAGAAGGAAGATGAGAAAGTAGTTGAATCTGCTGAGCTTAGTATGTAGGACAGTGAATTCTGATTTTGTGCCAGGTTACTCTAGCTCCCAGATTTAGGCCTCCCAGCAACAATCTTTGAAACACTGAGTATACTTAAATAACTACAAAACAGTGATAAGGAACAAAATTTTCTCACTCATCTTTGAAAAAAAAATCCAAAATATTGAAATGCTGAAGAAAATAATTGGAAAAGATAAAATGGGGCAGGTCTTGATATTATATTTTTTAGAATTTTTAACGACAAATATTTAAAATAGAATACAATTTTCTAGGGGCCAAAAATGTAATGGAACCAAAAGTCTCATAACCTCCTTTTCCTGTTTTATAATAGCTAACAGCCTACACCAATTTACTGCTTCCATGAATCAGCTAACAGTAGAGTTTGTAGCTAAGGTTCCAGACTCAGACAAACTGTCAGACATGTTAACCCTGCTCGTTAAATACCTGGAGGGGAAAAAAGGTAGAAGTAATTTATACTTTCTAAGTCATATATAATTTGGCAATGATAACCCGATTATTCTGTTATCTTCTACCACCTATTACCTAATAAAAGGGGAGAGGGGCTCAAGAGTATAATTCTACATGTTATAATGAGAAACAATAAGTTCTCATGAAATAAAACATGAACCATCTACCCAGAGCATAGGTTGAAATCAGAGAGTATGCAGTAAGCACTCTAAGGAGCCAATACATATAATAAAGTCTCTCATGATATTGACAGGCAAAATGATGAGTGAAATCTTCACTCGAGAATACATTTATTCTATTTTACTCAACAAGCCTGGTTAATTAGTTTCAAAACCACAGTAGATTAAAAATACTTTAATTTGGAAATGAAGCTTTTAAAGCAGGCCGACTGACAGTTAAAAAAAAAAAAAAGCTACTGGGAAAAAGAAAAGCAAGACAAGAACTTGAAATATCCAATGTTAGGCATTTCACTATTAGTAATAGATCACACAGCCTTACTATACATCTTAAAAGAATATGACACCATGTAACACTGATTTTTTAAATAAACCTTAATCATCAAGGTTATATTAAATGAAAGCATGGAAAGCCAGAGAATCATGCATTCTGTTTTAGAAATATTTCTACCCCAAATTATTAAATTATCAGTTTCAGCACTGAAACTTACAAACCCAAAGGGTTTAACAGCACATTTTAAAATATCACCACCTAGTATTTTAGCTAAACTACTAAAATAATCTTGTAAGCAAATTTTATTGAGAATACCGTACTGAAATATATTTATGAACAGTTCCAAAT
Source organism: Homo sapiens (assembly GCF_000001405.40). Taxonomy (NCBI): domain Eukaryota; kingdom Metazoa; phylum Chordata; class Mammalia; order Primates; family Hominidae; genus Homo; species Homo sapiens. The sequence goes on along the minus strand of NC_000007.14, from coordinate 27,824,848 downwards.
TTTAAGAAATACCTTTTCAGAAAACTTTTATTAATATTACTTTAATCCATTTAAAGATCTAAACGCCCTATTGTTTTCATCTATGTTTACACCCATCAGCACAATACTCTTTCCATTACAAACTGGTTTTTAAGCAAAGGAAACAAGCTACGATAAACTGACATTCAATTTGAAACTCAAAAACTTCTCATTATCTGCTCAGGATATACTCTGTACAAAAACATTCTTGTTTTCTTATTAAAAGCATACGACCACCTTGGACATTTGAACAGTAATTTTTTTTTTTTTTTTTTTTTTTTGAGACAAGGTCTTGCTCTGTCACCCAGGAGTGCAGTGGCACGATCATGGATCACTGCAGCCATGACCTCCTGGACTCCAGCAATCCTCCCATCTCAGCCTCCCAGGTAGCTAGGACTACCGGCGTGTACCACCACACTCGGTATTTTTTTTAAGAGACAGGATCTCACTATGTTACCCAGGCTGGTCTCAAACTCCTGGGCTCAAGCAGTCCTCCCACCTTGGCCTCCCCAAAAGTGATGAGATTACAGACATGAGTCACCTGCCTGGCCTGATGGTAAAGGGGGTTATAACCTGTTGGAAAATAAATTAGGGTTAGATCACACTAACTTCAAAATGCAATCATGATCATACATGGTAGTTCCTCAAAAAATTAAAAATAAAATTACCATATTATCCAGCAATTCTACTTCAGGGTATATGCCCAAAAGAACTAAAAGCAAGGACTTGAACAGATATGTTCAATCACGAACCCATGTTCATAGCAGCATTATTCACAATAGTCAAAAGGTAGAAACAACCCAAATGTCTATTGATATATGCACGGATAAACAAAATGTGGCATATATCCATAGGGTGGAATATTATTTACCCTTATTCAAAAGGAATGAAATTCTGATACATGTTTACAACATGGATGAACCTTGAAGTCATTATGCTAAGTGAAATAAGCCACTCGCAAAAAGACAAATACTATATGATTCCACTTACATAAGGTACCCAGAGTAGTCAAATTCAAATTACTGGTGGTTTTCAGGGACTGGAGGAAGAGGGAATGGGAGTTGTTGTTTAATGGGTAAGGAGTTCAGTTTTACAAGATGAAGAGTTTCCAGAGATTGGCTGCACAGCAGTAAAGTTAACATTACAGAACTATATGCTTAAAAATGGCTAAGATGGCAAATTTTATATTTATTCTACCACAATAAAAAAAATGCCATCTATCATGATCAAGTTATGGCAATACATACTCAGGGGTAAATGACTGAGTTACATAATCTGTATCATCAGTATCCAGACTGTGGGACTCTCTACTTAGCATTTCCCAAACTGTGTTGTAATTCTACCTTTGCTAGGAACTACTAATTGAAATATTTAGTTATCATTCAGGAATTAGTAATTAATATTGAGGAAGAAAAGTTTCACCACTTAACAAAACTCTTACTAAGTTGATAATTATTACTTTAGTTCAAGAGTATTCACACTTTAAGAAATTTACATATTTGCTAAGGCCAAAATCAATGCATAAGAGAAAAGAGAGTACCCAATGACTCTGGGTAACTTTTATTTAAAACAAGAGAATATCTCTTTGCCCCTCAAAACTTTGTATTACTATACAGTATTAGTCAGTATTCCTCCTCTTCTTATGAGATGTTATTGCTTATGCTTTGCCAGACATTCATTTCTAGTAATATATCAATGAAGAAATAACATTGAACTATATATAATTTATCTAATTTAAAAGCATTTAAAATCAGAAAGAAAATAATTTTGCAAATCTCTATTAGTTTTCAAAAGTTTTACTTTGCTCCATATTCAAAAATTAAAAATAATTTTGCACATCTGTTAGTTTTCAAAAGCTTTACTTTGCTCCATATTCAAAAATTAACTCAAAATAGACCAAAAACCAAATATAAGAGCTAAAACTATAAAGCCCTTACAAGAAAACATACGAGTAAATTAAAAACCTTGGAGAGACCATGGTTTCTTAGGTATAACAAAAGTATAAGCAACAAAATAACATAAATTCAGCTTCACTAAAACTAAAAAGTTTTGTGCTGCAAAGAGCACCATCGTAAAAGTGAAGACAACCCACAGAATGGGAGACATATATGCAAACCCTATTATCTGATAAGGGGCCCAATTTGAAAACAGCAGAAGGATTTGAACAGATATTCTTCCAAAGAGGATATACAAATGGCCAGCAAGCACATGAAAGATGCTTAACATCATTAACCACCAGGAAAATGCAAATCAAAATCACAATGATGAACCATTTCACAAAGACAGTAACAAGTGTGGCTGAGGATGTGGAGTAAGTGGAACCCTCATACACTACTGATGGGAATGTAGAGTCATGCAGCCACTGGGGAAAACAATCGGGCAGTTTTTCAAAAGGTTTAGGTAAACATAAGAGTTACCACATGACCCAGCAGTTCCACTCCTAGGATTTCCACTACAGCAGTTGCTAGTGGAACTGACCTAGTAATTCCACTTTCCCCAAAGAAGTAAAAAGGTATGAAAACAAAAGCACGTATGCCATAGCCAAAAAGTGAAATAACCCAAATGTCTAACACATGAATGGGTAAACAAAATGTGGGACAGGTTGAGTCCCCCTTATCCAAAATGCTTGGGAACAGAAGTGTTTCAGATTTCAGACTTTCTCAGATTTTGTAATACTTCATTACGCTTGCCAGCTGAACATCCCAAATTTGAAAATCCAAAATGCTCCAGTAAGCATTTCCTTTGAGTATCATGTCAGCACTCAGTTTCGGATTTTGGATGCTCAATCTAACCACCCAAACAAACAAGAATAAAACCCATTCTTCATGTTAAACATGGATGCATGCTAAAACATGGATAACTTTGAAAACATGCTAAGTGAAAGAAACCAGTCACAAAAGATAACAATTTTATGATTTGACTTATATTACTATGCAGAACAGACGAATCTATAAACAAAGTGGACTGAGGGTTTCCTGGGCTGGTGGGAATAAATGGGAAGAGGTTAACCGCTACAGGCTACAGGGTTTTTTTTGCTGGTGAGGAAAATGTTCTAAAATTGAATGCGGTGATGGTTGCACAGCTCTGTGAATACATTAAAAACCACTAAATTGTATACTTTAAATGGCAAATTGTATAATATGTGAATTATATCTCAAGCTATCACAAAAAATTAACTACTTTTTTTTTTTTTTTTGAGACCGAGTCTTGCTCTGTTGTCCGGGCTGGAGTATAGTGGCACAATCTTGGCTCACTCCAACCTCTGTCTCTCAGGTTCAAACAATTCTCATGCCTCAGCCTTCCAAGTAGCTGGGATTACTGGCGTGCACCACCATGCCCAGATAAATTTTTTTTGTATTTTTAGTAGAGATGGGGTTTTGCCATGTTGGCCAGGCTGGTCTCGAACTCCTGACCTCAAGTGATCTGCCTGCCTAGACCTCCCAAAGTGCTGGGATTACAAGCTTGAGCCACCATGCCCAGCCCAACAATTACTTTTCTAAGATGGCCTGAATTTTAAATAGTTTAATAGGCAAAAATGGAACAAACACATTTCTTTAAACTCATTAATAACATTTTAAAAGCCTCTACTATATGAAAGGTATTATACTAATATGGTATAGAAAAGTGAATATTCAGAATTAAGAGATGCCAACCAGCTATATATTATCTGTTGGAAATAACTGTGTACAAAAAATTTTAAATGGAACAGCAAAGATTCATTTAATCCTTTTGATGACATATTCAATTACAGGCTGACTATCTTTAATCCAAAAATCTGAAGAGCAAAATGCTCCAAAATCCAAAACTTTTTAAGCCCTGAGATGACACTTAAAGGAAATGCTCACTGAAGCACTGTGGACTTTGGATTTTCAGATTAGAGGTGCTCAACTGTTAAGTATAATGCAAATATTCCAAAATCTGAAAAAATCTGAAATCTGAAATACTTCTGGTCCCAAGCATTTTGGATAAGGGATAGTCAACCTATATCTATTTTTTCCTTTGTTGCTTATGCTGTTGGTGTCATATCTAAGAAACTACTGCCTAATCTAAGTCGTAAAGATTTATCTGTATGTTTTGAGTTTTGTAGTTTAGCTCTTAACATTTAAAATCAAATTTTGAGTTAATTTCTGCACAGGCTATGAATCAAGAGTCTAATTTCATTCTTTCATCGAACTGCATATACAGTTTTTCCAGTACCATTTGTTGCAAAGACTATTCTTTTCCTCTTGAATTGTCTTGGCTCTCTTGATAAAAATGAATTGACTGTAATCACACACTATTTTTGTGAACAGAAAACACATTAAAATTAAATTTAAAACGTAAGATAATATATGAAAAATGGCAAGTTTGAGAAAGGCAAAAACTCAAACAGTGCAACATGATAAATGGGAAACAGCCCTCAACTCTCTCAAGCACTGGTTCTCAATCATTTTGGAGTAACAGACGCTTCTGAGAATAAAAGCTAGAACTCACCAGAAAAAAGAAAAAAATTGTCTATCAACAAAAAATGTCTGCAGTTTAGGGGTTCACAGTGAAGGGCTCATGTGAAAAGTTTCAAATAAGCCACATATTAATAGAATGTGTGGGCTTTCGTCTTTGATAGAGGAGAAAGGAATGAAGGTAGAAGAGAAACACTAAGAAATGCAAGAATGCAACTAGAAAGTAAGATATGAATTAAGGGAAGAGATAATAATCTGGCCTTGAATGATTGGGGTTAGGCAGTTTTAAAATAGCGTATCCCAAATGTTAAAAATCATATGATCACCTAAAGATTTTGTTAAATGCAGTCTGATTCTCAGTAAGGCTGGAGTGGGGCAGGAGATTCTGCCATTTCCAACATACTCCTAGGAGATACCACTACTGCTGGTCTACAAACCACTTTTTTGAGGAGCAAGGATTTAGACCCATAGTTTGCAGAACTAGGTATGAAAGTACCTAGGGCACCACAGTAAATTCCGAGGGTTACTGTGGGATAATTTTAATTTTCTAAGGATATTATATATGCAGAAGTACACAGAAATATTCATTAGAGTTGGTCTCCAACATACAATGGTTAGACTTACAATTTTTGAACTTTAAGATGGTACAAAAGCAATACACATTCAGTACCTTCCTCAACTTATGATGGGGTTACGTTCCAATGAACCCACTGTAAGCTGAAAATATCCTTCAAGTCAAAAACACATATTTAACTTATGATGGGTTTATCAGGATGTAACCCCATCGTAAGTTGAGGAGCATCTGCATTTGTCATATACCACGTGAACAACTACAGTCACTGGAGATCGCTCACAGATTCAACTTTAAATGTGCTACACATTCCTTTCAATGCCATCTTATCTTCGAGATGCTGGTTTTGGCAGTTGCTGTGATATAAAGCAAGTGCCACATTGTGAAAATCAATGAGAAACAGGAAATGAAGGTGGCTTGTCCAATCTGATTCTAAGGCTTGAGGAGTTGTACAGTGGCCAATAGTCACACACATCCCATTAGTAACTACTTATTTAGGAATGAAATAAACACATTAATTTTCTTTCAATTTATGTGTAGTTTTTTCTTTTTTTTTTAATGGTCACTAAATTTGTTAGAAGACAAATACTTAACGGTCAGCAAGTCCTTACTTAACATCATGGAGCAGTTCTTAGAAACTGCAACTTTAAGTGAAAGGACTTACAGCAGGTTGAAAGAAATAACATCATTCTTTCATCGGTTCATTACAACGTTGATGAGGGAAAAAACTGGTTTTGTTACACATCATTTCGTTTAAAGTCACAATTTCCAGTAACTTATTATATATGACATTAAGTGAGGACTTACTGTATTTCTTTTGGCCTAGGGGTTACTAGAACTAAGAAAGTATGAAAACCTCTGGTTTAGTCCATTTGACAGGTGGCTAAGACCACAACTTCTATAGCCAATCTCATGAGATTCAATCCTGTCTCTACCCACAGCAGCTAAGTGATTTGGGGCATGCTATTTAATCTGTCTCTTGGTTTCCTCCACTATAAAGTTGTAACAGTAACAATTCCTACCTCATAGGACTGCTATGAAGAACAAATAAGTGACTCTATCTAAAGAGTTCAGCATTAATGGCAAAGAGGGGTATAGAAATGTTTGCTGCTGTCATAATTATGATGTTAAAGTTATTACAATCATTAGGTAAACGGGAGTCACAAAAGGTTTTTGATCTGACAATTGACCACAGTTTCTGGTGCAGAAGAGAGGAGATATGGCAGGTGTAGGCACTAGGGTAGGCTGAAAGAGTAGGTAGGTCACCTCAACCCTGACTCAAAAGTGCTGGGGCCTGTGGCTATTAATCACTCCCAGGGCAGAGAAACAGAAAGAAAGAACAGGTCAACTCAAATTTGCTTTCCATATTCTTACTAAAATTACTTACTAAAACACTTCATTTGCAAGTGATTTTTGTTGTTGTAACAACAAGAATTTTTTTTAATTCTGAATATACATAAGAATTACTTTCTAATGTGAAAAATCTTCTGACTGCAAAATAAAGTTACTCGAGGTGTGCATATTAAGAGTCCTCCATCTCATTACCAAATCTAAGCATGTCAGCAAATGAGCACAAGACTCTAACACTGCTTCTCCTGGGTTTGCAGGAGGGCAAAGCACACAGATCAGAAAGAACATTCTGCTAATTAAACTGAAGCAGATGACTACGGAAGAGAAGGGCTTGTCACATGTAACATCTGTGCCAAGAATGATCAGATTAAATACGCAAAATGTGAAGTAAAGGTGTGAAAAAGCAGTAAGATGATACTCTAGACCTTAAATAGGCTACAAAAGTTCTGACAGTTTTCCTAATTATTCCCAGTAATGGACACAGGAGGCCAAAAGGCAGGAGGGAGAAATACATTTTTCTCCATTATGGGTGTTGAGCACTAGGGCTAAAATCATGCCTGTCTGAACACTGATCAGTTTCTGCAAAGGTTAATAGCAATTAAATGCAGCAAACTAGATTAAATAAGAAACAGGTCATGATACCACTGTACTTGCAAAGAGCACGATAAAGCATTTCTTTTAAATTCATCTTAATGCACAGGAAATCCAAAAAGAGCTACTATGAAGAAAAGAACATATTATCTATCCAAAAAGAGCTGCTGTAAGGAAACAAACCTATTCATTAAATATTGAAGGAATCTCTTAAATAAAATTTACAAAAATAATGACATGCTATACAAACTAATTCAATTATCATCAGTATTGTGTTGCTGCCAGAGAATAAGAAATCCTACCTAAATACTAAAGACATCTCAAATAGTATTTCTCCAAAAAAGAAAACCACTATATGATACATACACTTTTCTCTTTTTCTGGCTGAAGATAATGAAGAGTCCACACTAAAATCTAAAGTGGGATATAAATGCTATAAAGAAAAGATGTACACTGAAGCATAACACTGCCATTAACACTTTGCTGCTTCAAGCCTAACATCTATAATCAAAAGAATATAGTAAGTTACTTAGTGATGTTTAAGATTAAACTATCTGATAACTACAATATTCTGAGATTATTCTCTAAACTTAATCTTTTACTTTAGTATATAAATCCTAAAGTATAAGTCTGAAGCATACTGGTAGATTTTTCAAATTTAAATACAAGCACAGTTTTCAAAAAATCAAGTAGGCAATTGTGTGCAGGCACAAGCACACACTCTCCTTCCACACACACGCATGCACGCACAAAGATACACATATGCACACATACCCTTAACTCTCTACATAAGCTAAAAAATAAAAAAGGGACAGGCTCACACAATGAAAATTCAATTTACTTTGCTATCCTCAGAGTCCTCTAAGCCATCAGGCCGACTAAAGTTTCGAGCAGGCTGGCTGCAGACAACATTGTCTTCCAGTCCCCAAGAGGGGACTCTGACAGGTGGCCTTTGTATTTCATCTGGGTAAAAAGCACCATCTGCTCCATCTGTAATAAAATTTTTGGAAAGGTAGAGTGAAACTGGTTACTACAACTAACATCTGTATATACAGATATGATGAACAGGATATAAAGAACCACTTTGGCATGTGAAAAAAATAGATGTTTTTATTTTTAACCCAGGTGATTTTTTAAATTGTGAACTATATGCAATAAGTAAATAAAGTACTCATCTCATGGTGCATCACTTCTAGATGAAGCCAGTTACAGTGTTAAATATTAAAACTGCTAATTATACAAATAAAATAATGTTTGTATTAGGGTTGATTATACCAGCAGTTTGCTAATCCATGAAAATATAAACCATAAAAAAATCTCCAGATGCAGCTAATCCCAAACCAAAAATACTGTAATAACCTCTTGTTTCCTGAGATGCATAAGGATTACCATATTGCAGAACTGGTTGTGCATTTGACAATGTGAGAACATAACCATTTTGCTCTGAGCATGTTTTGAAACATTGAGGACTCTGGGAATTCTGACCTTCCATTTTCCTTTCTGCTGGATTTTCTAGACTCCTTTTAAGTTCCTAAAATTAACAAAAACAAAGATGAATAAGCAAAGCAATAAAATATTTCATAAATACAGCAGTATTAAACATTTAGTCAAAATATAACAATAAAATTATTTCCTATTATGAAGTTGGAATGCAATTGGAAACACAGTTAGAAAAGCTGGCTCTCAACTTCTCATAAATGTATCCTCCACATATAACAAAATCAGAAAGCAGGATAAAGCCGATGTATTTTCAAATTTATTTGTGCCAAGAAAGTACATCATTCTCATTGAGTTAATGTAGGGTAAACTGTGAATCTCTTACAACTTAGGTATGAATAAAAAGTCTTTTTTTTTGAGACAGAGCTTCACCCAGGCTGGGGTGCAATGGCACGATCTTGGCTCACTGCAACCTCCACCTCCTGGGTTCAAGCAATTCTCCTCCCTCAGCTTCCTGAGTAGCTGGGATTACAGATGCGCACCACCACACCTGGCTAATTTTTGTATTTTTAGTAGAGACAGGGTTTCACCATGTTGGTCAGGCTGGTCTTGAACTCCTGACCTCTTGATCCACCCACTTCAGCCTCCCAAAGTGCTGGGATTACAGGCATGAGCCACTGCACCCGGCCAAAAAGTCTCCTTAAAAAAAGAAAAACGTGAATTCTATCACTTAAGATTTTTTTATAAAAATGTGTCCTGTATAAACTCTTTCAAAACACAAAGAAACATTTCCTAACTTGTTTTACAAAGCCAGTATTATTCTGATACCAAAAACAAGGATTTCACAAAAAAACTAGAGACCTTATCCCTCATAAATATTGATGCAAAAGCCTTAACTTATAGCACGTCAAACCCAATATTAAAAAATAAAACATGATCAAATGGACTTTATCACAAAAAAAGTCATTTTAACATCCAAAAACCAAATGCAGTTCAACATCCAAAAATCAATAAATGTAATTTACCTTTTAATAAAGGGGAAAAAGAAACATGATCATTTCAATTGATGCAGAAGAAATATTTTACAAAATTCAAGTCATTCATGATTTTTTTTAAATCTCAGAAACTAAAGAATAAAAAGGAGCTCTCTTAACCTCATAAAAGGCAGCTATAAAAACCTACTGTGACCCTTAATGGTGAAAAACTAAATGATTCTACTGAAGATCAAAATGAGATCAATAATAATAAGACAATGATGTCTGCTCTCAACACTTCCATTCAAAATAGCCAGTGGATCAAGGCAAAATTAAGGTAGACTGGAAAGGAAGAAGTAAAACAATCTTTATTCACAATGGTATGAGGATAAATGTAAAAAATCCCAAAAAATCTATAAAAACTAGGAAAATGGCCGGGCACAGTGGCTCACGCCTGTAATCCCAGCACTTTGGGAGCCCGAGGCGGATGGATCACAAGGTCAGGAGATCAAGACCATCCTGGCTAACACGGTGGAATCCCGTCTCTACTAAAAATACAAAAAAATTAGTCAACCGTGGTGGCACACACCTGTAGTCCCAGCTACTCAGGAGGCTGAGGCAGAAAGAATTGCTTGAACCTGGGAGATGGAGGTTACAGTGAGCCGAGATCGCGCCACTGCACTCCAGCATGGGTGACAGAATGAGACTCCGTCTCAAAAAAAAAACTAGAAAAATGAGTGTAAATAATTTAGTCAGGTTGCAGTATACAAGATCAATATGTAAAATCAATTGTATTTCTACATACAGCAACAAATAATTGGAAAATGATATTTTTAATAATTCTACTTAGAGTAAAATCAATAGATAAAATGTTTAGGAATAAATATATGAAAGATGTGCAAAGCCTATACACTAAACAAAATAATGCATTAAGAAGAGCATAAACAAAGGGAGACATATAACATGTTCATGGACTAGAAAACTTAGTACTTTTATGCTATTAATTCCCCCCCCAAATTAACTATAGATACAATACAATGCCTAGAAAATCCCAGTAGGCTTTTGTACAAATTAACAAAATAATTCTAAAATGTACACAGAAACACAAAGGTCCTGTAATAGCCCATATGTAAAAAGCAGAACAGGCTGGACATGATGGCTTATGCCTGTAACTCCAGGGCTACTGAGAAATAGGAGATATATTTAGAACAAGAAAGGCATTCAAAAGATGTCCTTCATCTCTTGCCAAGACTGAAAACCCCAGAGATGCTACTGTAGTAATTCAAGACTGGCACGTGACTACAGAAAAAAAAGAAAGGTTAAATCCAAGAAACATTTCAAACACGATTCAAAAAAAAGAAAAAAAAAAAAAAGGCCAAGTGCGGTGGCTCACACCTGTAATCCCAGCACTTTGGGAGGCCGAGGCGGGCGGATCATGAGGAGTTATTTCTTTCAACCTGCTGTAAGTCCTTTCGCTTAAAGTTGCAGTTTCTAAGAACTGCTCTATGATGTTAAGTGAGGACTTACTGACCATTAAGTATTTGTCTTCTAACAAATTTAGTGACCGTTAAAAAAAAAACTACACATAAATTGAAAGAAAATTAATGTGTTTATTTCATTCCTAAATAAGTAGTTACTAATGGGATGTGTGTGACTATTGGCCACTGTACAACTCCTCAAGCCTTTGAATCAGATTGGACAAGCCACCTTCATTTCCTGTTTCTCACTGATTTTCACAATGTGGCACTTGGGAGGCCAAAGCAGGAGGATTGCCTGTTTGAGACAAGCCTGGACAACATAGTGAGACCCTATCTCAATAAAAAATTTTAAAATGGCCAGGCACCGTGGCTCATACCTGTAATCCCAGCACTTGTGAGGCTCTGGGTGGATCACTTGAGCCCAGCCTGGGCAACATGGCAAACCCTTTCTCTACATGAAATACAAAAATTAGCTGGGTGTGATGGCATGTGCCTATAGTCCCAACTGCTCAGAAACCTGAGGTGGGAGGATCACCTGAGTCTGGGAGGTCAAGGCTACAGTAAGCCATGATGGCACCACTGCACTCCAGCCTGGGTGACAGAGTAAGACCCTGTCTCAGAAAAAAAAAGAAAAAAAAAAGAAAAGAAAAGAAAACAAGAAAAAATTTAGCCAGGTACAGTGGCACATGCCTGTAGTCAGCTATTTCAGAGGCTGAGGCAGGAGGATCACTTCAGCCCAAGAGGTCGAGGTCAAGGCTGCAGTGAACTACGATCAAGCCACTCACTCCAGCCTGGAAGATGGCAGGGAGATGCTGTCTTTAAGAAAAAAAAAAAAAAAAAAAAAAGCAGAACAAAGTTGGAGGACTTATGAAACCTGATTTCAAGACGTATTATAAAGCTACAGTAAACAAGACGGTATAGTATTGGCATAAGAATATAGATGAGGAGCTGGCAATCTTTTTCTGCAAAGGGTCAAACAGTATATATTTTCACCTTTGTAGGCCACACAGTCTCTGTTGCAACTACTGAAATCTGTCTCTGCAATTGCAGTCATAGATGATACCTACATGAATGGGCATGGCCATGTGCTAATAAAGTTTTATTTATATAAAGCCAGATTTAGCATATAGGCCTTAGTTTGCTGACCCTTGATAAAAATCAATAAAATAGAATATAGATTCTAAAAGTAGACCCATACTTATAGAGTATTTTCAACATTTAAAATACCTCAAGATGTAGAGGAAATTCTATGGAGGAAAAGGATGGTCTTTTCAACATGATCTTTAAAAACTGGGTACTTATATACAAAATAAACTTTGACTACATATCATACCATATAAAAAACAAATAGATCATAAATCTAAAGTAAGAGAGCTAAAACTACAAACCTTTTGGAAGAAAAAAATAGGAGAATATCTTCATAACCTTGATTTAGGCAAAAATTTAAGATAGGACAAACAGCATGAAGCATTAAGACAAATACTGATAAACTGGACTACCTCAAAATTCAAGGCTTTTGCTTTTCAAAAGATAATGTTGTAAAAAAGGAAAAAAGAAATCACAGACTGGAAGAAAATAACACCAAAATATCTGACAAAGGAATTATATCTGGGATATATAAAGAACTGTCGCAACCAAAGATGACAGACAGCTCAATAAAAAAAAATAGATTTGAACAGAAACTTCACAAAGGAATATGTACAAATGGCCTGCAAGCACATGAAAAGATGCTCAGCATCACTAGTTATCAGGGAAATTAAAACTAAAATCCACAATGAGATAACACTAATACACCCACTAGGATGACTAAAATTAAAGACTGACAAAAATACCAAGTGCTGGTGAGGATATGGAGCAGTTGGAATGCTCATACACTGCCAGTGGGAATACAAAAATGGTACAGCCACTTTGTAAAAACAATTCGGCCGTTTCATTAAAAACATACACTTACCATATAAGCCCGCAATTCCACTCCTAGGTATCTACTCAAGAAAAATGAAAACATATGTCCACAAAAAGACTTACGTAAGAATGTTCATAGCAGCATTATTTGTAATAGCAAAATATCAGAAATAATTTAAATGTCCATCAGCTGGTAGATTAATGTCTATCAACTAATGAATGGATAAATTCTGCTTTATTCCAATTACATGAAATGCTAGAAGCCATAAAACGACAGGGACAGAAAGCAGACCAGAGGTTTTCTAGGACAGGGGGGTAGCAGGAGGGGACGAATGCAAATGAGCAAGAGGGAACTTTGTGCAGTAATGGAAACGTTACACTGCTTGAATGAAACGGTAGTTACAGAACTACATGCATTTGCCAAAAGTCATCAAACTCTATTTAAATGAACAGATTCTATTACATGTAAACTGCACCTTAACAGAGCTGTTAAAAAAAAAAAATCAACCAGAGGCCTTATTAACAAAGGATATAAGAATGAAAAATTTAGTCTGGAAAGTTGAGCTGGTTTTGCTGCTTGTCATTTCTTGGGGGTAGAGATGAGACTGTGTCTAAGTTAACACATTTTTACCTATATAAATGATCCAATAAATGGACTAAGTAACCTTAAAATGAAAGTCATCATCAAGAGCAAAACTTGCAAACATTAAGAAAAATGCAAGTCAACTTAGGTTTGATAAGAGATGCAGGAATTAAAAGTTCTTTCTAAGCAAGTCCATACATAACATACACGTCCACATATCAACTATGCCAGGTACTGTGTAAAACTGTGAGGTTAAGATGGCATTCCTGCCTTTCAACCACTCATTATTTAACTGCAAAAATAAGACTTGTGAAATTTTAAGCAAAAAAGGAAAATACTCTTTCAAGATACCTAGCACACCATCTATTATGTAACAGGTGCCGTACTAGGAACTAGAGATACAAAGATTAACTTGAAATGGATTTTGCCTGCAAAGAATTCAGTCTAATAAAAGGTACAACTCTAGATAAATAATTAGCAATTAATTGTGGTAAGTGGTCTCGTATAGAGATGAAGGTAAAATGCAATGTATCAAAATGGAAACACTGTATACTAGGAAGAGACTATAGAGAAGAGCCATTTGAGATGGATCCTAAGGAATTTTCACCAAGCAGATGAAGAGCATTCTGACATAAAGTAAATAAAAAGATACAGAACATATGAGAAATAATAACGTATTTCAGGCTTGGTAAAATATGACTAGAGCAAAGGATGCATATTAAGAGCAGCAGGAGCTGGGAATGGTGGCTCACACCTATAATCCCAGCACTTTGGGAGGGAAGATCACCTGAGCCCAGGAGTTAGAGAGCAACATAGCAAGGCAAGACCCTGTCTCAGGCAGGAGATATAGCTGAAAAGACAAGTTGAAGGTCAGATGTGTCAAATCTGTCATACAATTTACAATGGGCCTTCAGGTTTTTTAACAATAACAACACGGTAAAAATGGTCCTTGGTAAGGTTAATCTAGCAAAACAATAATGGGCATACTCAAAACCAGAAGCAAATTAGTAGGAAGGCAGCACAGCATGGTAGATTGGAATCAGGCTGACCTAGATTTGATTATCAGATCAGCACTAATAACCCTAAAGAATTTACCTTTTCTAAGCCTTACAGGGCTATTGAGAAATAGGAGATACATTTAGAACAAGAAAGGCATTCAAAAGATATCCTTCATCTCTTGCCATGACTGAAAACCCCAGAGATGCTACTGTAGTCATTCAAGACTGGCATGTGACTACAGAAAAAAAAGAAAGGTTAAATCCAAGAAACATTTCAAACACGATTCAAAAAAAAAAAAAGGGCTGTGCGTGGTGGCTCACGCCTGTAATCCCAGCACTTCGGGAGGCTGAGGCAGGTGGATCATGAGGTCAGGAGATCAAGACCATCCTGGCTAACACAGTGAAACCTTGTCTCTACTAAAAATATAAAAAATTAGCCAGGCGTGGTGGCACACACCTGTAGTCCCAGCTACCCAGGAGGCTGCAGCAGGAGAATTGCTTGAACCCAGGAGGCAGAGGTTGCAGTGAGCCAAGATCGCGCCACTGCACTCCAGCCTAGGTGACAGAGCAAGATTCTCCGTCTCCCAAAAAAAAAAAGGCACAAAAGAAGTTAGAGATAATAAAATACTTATTCAAAAGTTTATGCAAATTAAAGAAGTAGAGTTTAAATTCTTCTGTAAGCAAATAATACACTACTGAAATAGAGTCAAGGGTTTCATGAAAAGATTTAGGCTGCATTGGTACAGTCAAGCAACTTTATAGAGTTCCAACCTAATAGAGAGTTTAATCTAATATGCCTACTCTACCATCAAAGATACAATAAATTATTTGCAAATAGGATTCAGGGTAAGAATAGGATTGGTGACAAGCAGCTTTGATTCCTCATGGGGGACAGAGAATGCATGCACATGGACAAGATAGTTAAGGTTAGGTTCTTTTGCAAATCAGAAGACTGAACTCTCCCCTCCAAAACATAATACCTGGACTTAGAGAAGGTTCTTAAACTTGCATTCACAAAGCCCCTCAAGGGGTCCATGTTTAGATTTCAGGAGGTCCATGAACTTACATGGGCAAAAAAAATTGTATCTATTCACTAACTTCTAACTAAAATTTAGGATTTTCTTCCATTAGGAATGTAGGCCAAAAAACACAGTAATGGTTGTGGTACCTGTAACTTGGCCACCTACAGAGATCAAACAGATTTGTTTCATATTACATTTGTTGTAGCCATCTCAAAATAGCCTTTATATTCATCACCACTTCAAAATTATGGTCATTATCAGACATGCTGCTAAATCTTACATTTGTTTCGAATTACATTTGTTGTAGCCATCTCAAAATAGCCTTTCTATTGATCACCACTTCAAAATTACAGTCATTATTAGACATGCTATTAAATCTTATTTAACATTTAAAAGAATAAGCACATACTCTATCATATATATCACAAATTTGTCTTAATATTTTGATAACTACAATAATGTGTTTCCTTTGTGATTCTACACATTTTGCTCTATTCATTTTAAATCATTTTCTGAAAATAGACTTTGTCAAAATATCAAAGGGTTCTAGAAACAAAAATGGTCAAGAATCCCTGGGGGACCTCTCCTACTTACAAAGGCATGGATAACATAAGTGTAGCTATCTTAACTGAGCAAAACAGTATTAACTGCTGACTCATAATTTTCCTAAAATAGCCACCACAATTTAAGAAAGAGATTTTGTCAGAAGTAGTCATCTCTTACTGTTCCAGCTCCCAGGAACAAGTCTGTTTAGCTGGTTGCCTTTGCCAGGGTGCCTAAATACTTTTTTTCTTCGGTACCCAAAATGGCTCACAGTGACCCCGGTTTTACAAATTATTTGACAAGTTAAGGATGTTTCTGATACTCCAACTGGTAAATAGGAGAAATAATATATTCCTCTTCTCTGCCATCATGGGAATGTTCTGAGAGTAAAGGAGCGCGGAGAGTACACCATAGGACAACTAAATATGTAAATTTTACACCCTCCACCCTACCCACCAAAAAAATGAAACAAATGTTGAACTCTAGTTAGATGTGCTTTTCACAGTGCTATGGGTTAGCAATTCTGAAATTATTTTCTGTGTATTCAACACTTGAGTAAATATATCAAGGAAACTCAGACCAGGTTCCTAGTCTAATTAGAAAAGGAAGTTATATTATGGAAAGAGAGAAGACTAGAATTTATGCTGTAGTTTTAGACTACAATTGGAGGTATAAGTATTTACTCATAGTTTTTTGTGTGTGTTGCTATTTTTTAATATACAGAGAGGGAAAGAGAGGGGGAGAACCATATTTTCCAGCTCTGTCTGCTAAGGACTTTGAATCAATGAGGGTACACCTACAGCCCAGATCTTGGTTTCTAAACTACATACACCAGTAAATGGAACAGGGCTCCTTGGAGAAAAGACTGATTCCAGGCTGGGGCAGGAAAATAACAAGATGAGCCTGGAACATCCTTCTGCACCAGAAAGTAATAAGTGCTCAAAGAATAATGAAAGACACATTAAGCCACAAGAGCTAGTATGCAGGGGCTCTTATTAGTTAAATCTGATACAATCTGAGTATCAAAATGATTATAAAAATAGACTGTAATCCATTGACTAAAACGGGAATCCATGAGTCTACAATGATAAATATCAATGAATAAATAAACAAATTGGGGAGAAAGAAAAGATAGCTCTTACAGAAAAATTCTAATCAATATAGAAGGAATTATGGAGTTAGAAGATCATTAATAGATACTAAAATACCAGGTGAAAGTCTGATAAAGAACAAGATATTTACATGGTCTCAAAGTATCTCCCTACAAATTACTTATTAATTACAAAGGGAAAATATTAATTTTATATCAGTAAAACCTGGTGGACAATACCTTAACCAAATAATGAAAGATCACCAGTATTGAGAAGGATATTTAAATTCTATAGTATTCCTGGCAAAATTCATAACCTAAGTTTCATCGTGATGAAATATTAAACCAAAATTAGTATTATATTAAATAACTGGCCCATATTTTTCAAAAATGTCAAGGTTAAGAAAGGCTATAAAGTTGTTCCAGATAAAGGGAAACTAAACACATGACAACTAAATGCAATGTATGATCATGGATTGGATCCTAGATCAGGGAGGAAAAGACTATAAACAATAAACAAAGTACTAAGGATACAATTTCAATATGTATTGTAGGTTAGATGATAATACTGTGTCAGTGTTAAACTTCCTAAATCTGTTAACTTTAACATGGCTGAAAGAACATCCTTGTACTGAGGATACAATATGCAGGGACTGTTATGTCTTCACCTCCAGTTACTGTCAAATGTTGGGGAAAGAATATAAATGAGAGTTCACTATACTATTTTTTCAACTTGAGTTTGAAATTACATAAAAATTTAAAACTACAAAAAGTTCAAGAGCCCCATATTCAAAAACAATAACCAGTTACAACATACAATGAAAGAGAAAATCCCATTTTCAAGAGGAAAAACAAAAATACTTAGGAATAAACTTTAAAAAGAATTCTTCCACACCCATAGGAAGAAAATTATTTAAAATTCCTGAAAGACACAAAACAGATTTGAACAAAACATCCCATATTGCCTGTTCTTTATTAAAAGGTAGAAATATCACCAAGATGTTAGTTATCCCTAAGTTAATGTATATACTTAATGCAATATCAATAAAAACACCAACAATCATTTCTAGAGCTAGAAAAGTTGGTACTAAAATTGCTATGGAAAACTAACCCTTCAAGAGAAAAGCTAGAAAAACACTGAAAACAAAGAGTTATGAGAAAGGACTAACCCAACCAAATATTAAAATAGACTACAAAGTTCTTACAATTAAAACACCATGTTACTACCATATGAGTAGACAGATCAATGGAACAGTACTCAAAGTACAGAAAGAGACCCAACTGCATATGGAAATCTATTATACAATAAATGTAGTATCTCAAATCACTGACATAAAACCGGCATTTTGATGAATGGATTGAGATAACTAGATAGCAATTTAGAACGAGATAAACTTAGATGCATTCCTTCTGTGATATCCAAGAATAAATTCTAAATGGATAAGAAATTTTAATGTTAAAAAAAAAAAAAACTGATGGTGGCTCACACCTGTAATCCCAGCACTTTGGAAGGCTGAGGCGGGTGGATCACCTGAGGTCAGGAGTTTGAGACCAGCCTAGCCAACATGGCAAAACCCTGTCTCTACTAAAAATATACAAATTAGCCAGGCTTGGTGGCGGGAGCCTGTAATCCCAGCTACTCAGGAGGCTGAAGCAGGAGAATTGCTTGAACCTGAGAGGCAAAGGTTGTAGTGAGTCGAGCTAGTGCCACTGCACTGTTGCCTGGGCAACAGAGCAAGACACCACCTCAAAAAAAAAAAAAAACTGAAACTCTATCAGTATTAGAACAAAACACAAGTGAACTCCTCTATAACCTGGGTGTAGGGAATGCTTTCTGTGGAAAACTAAAAATTCAAATGCAACACATCAGTAGTTTTCAAAGCTGAGCATAAATCTGAAACACTTGGAGGGTTTTTGTCAAACACAAATTTTGGGGCATCACTTCCAGAGCTGCTGATTCAGCAGGACCAGAACAGGGCCCAAGAATATGCATTTTGTTGTTGTTGTTGTTGTTGTTGATACAGAGTCTCACTCTGTTGCCCAGGCTGGAGTGTAGTGGCACAATCTCGGCTCACTGCAGCCTCTGCCTCCCGGGTTCAAGCAATTCTCTCACCTCAGCCTCCCAAGTAGCTGGGCTCATGGCATGAGCCACCATGCCTGGCTAATTTTTGCATTTTTAATAGAGACGTGGTTTCACCATGTTGGCCAAGCTGGTCTCGAGTTCCTGACCTCAGGTGATCCACAAGCCTCAGCCTCCCAAAGTGCTAGGATTACAGGCGTAAGCCACAGCACCCGGCAAAGCATATGCATTTCTAACAAGTTTCCAGATGGTGCTAACATTGCTGGTCAAGGCAGTACCACACTTTAGACTACACAAAAATAAAGAACATTTACATGGTAAAAGTAAGTATAGTGAGCATAGTCAAAAGTCAAATAAACTGAGAGAAAATCCTTACCACATATGTATCACAAATAAAGGGGTAATATCTCTAATAGGGGAAAAATATATATATAACAAGATAAGTAAAACAAACCAAAAATCAGAGAATAATGAGCCAAAGAACTCACAAAAAAGATAAGATGTTTAACCTTGCTCATAATAGAGATGCAAATTAAAACTACACTAAGGTACTATTCCTAATCTCTCCCATATGCAAAAATTAGAAAGCCTGATTACAATTTATATGGGAAACAGGTCCACTTCTCATACATTGCTGGTGGAAACGAAAAATAATACAAATTCTATGAAAGGGCATCTGGCAATCTCTAACAAAACTACACATGCATTTACCCTTCAAACCAGCAATCACGCTTCTAGGAATTTACCTTGAAGGTACCACCCCAACACCAGAAAACTACATGTGCATAGAATCATTCATTGCAGTATTATTTGTAAAATATTAGCAACTACCTAAATGGCCAAATACAGGAAGTTGGTTGAATAAATTATGGTATGTATAATGAAGTACTACACAGCTGTTTAAAAAAAGATGGAGGATTTCTATGAGCTTCATATATGGAATGGTTTTCAGAATATAGTAGTGCTGAGAAAAAGCATACACAGGTTGAGCATTCCCTGATAAAAAATCCAAAATCTGAAATGTTCCAAACTGAAACTTTTTGAGCACTGACATGATGCCACAAGTAGACAATTCCCCATCTGCCACATTATTTTTTCACTGTTATTAATGGTACATAATAGTTTTTGCTATTAAGTACTTATGTGTGAATTACGTGTGAATAAGTGTGAGAAAATGACTGCTATCAGTAGCCTGAGGACCTCACTTGTAACTGGCATCTAAAGTGGGAGCAGTCCTGTGGGACTGAGCCTTAACCTGAGGGGTCTATGCTAACTCATGGTAGTTAGTATCAGAATTGAACTGAATTGTAGAATACCAGTTTTGGCATCAGAAAATCGTTGCTGGAACAATACCACACAGACATACATAAACAAGGACAAAGGAAGGTTCGTCCTTATAGTAGAATGCCAAAGGACAAATGTGGAAAAAGTGATGAGTTGAAAAATCAGAATTTCACAACTATCACAGTAACCTCATACAACCTTGAAATCTAACTTGCACTTAGAATGGCTCTTTTATGATACATGATTTTGTAACATCGCTGGTCATTTGGAAAACTACTGGTTCACTGAGTTATGTGGATCTTCTAAATGCTGACAAATTTTGCTATACAATTAAAAAATACAGTCTAAATATTACAACCATCTCATTAGAAAAGTTTGTAAACATTGGAAAGCATCAAGCTTACACTGGAAGATAACAAGTTTTTCAAAATTCCAGTTTTTGCTTAAAAGCTCAAATATTATCAATGGCAAAAAAAATTATCAATTGTTTTTCCCTGATATAACAGGCTCATTTCATTTCACTTTGAGAAAATATCTGTCAAATACCCAAGTCTGAATATAGAAATTGTTCTTTAAAGTAAAAATGGTTTCCATGAAAAAAGAGACTAGCTCAACTCACAACTCAAACAAACAAGCACTTTACCTTTATTAACCATCATACTTCATTAGGCAACAAAAGAACTTTAGGGGTACTTTCCGTTTAATCACACAGAATACTAAAAAGACATGTACCCAAGGATCAAGCGTCAATAAAATTAACACATTTTATTGTTTTAACATCTTCAGTGCAACTGGCTTTTTTTTTCTCTACTGTGAGCACATGGTGGTGATGAATACAATAACTACTAATGCAGTTTGGTGCCACTGCCTTAATTCATAATAATACACAAGCAGTTTTCCACACTGCTTTCACACAGTGCAAATGTCACAGCAGGGAGAAAATCAAATAATGTTGTAGTATTATTATGAAAATTGTTTCTTTGCAGGCCCCTGAAAGGGGATTGGGAACCACCAAAAGGACCACAGACCACACTTTCAGAAATGCTGCACTATAGTATCTTTTACATTACAAATGTATTGCTCTATGTGAATGTGAGGTTTTGCTGTAAGTCATTAAACAACTTCAAAAATGTTTCCTATTACAAAAGAAAACCAGATAAACATTTCACGTAATTTTTAGAAATTTCACTGTTTTCCTAAATTTGAACATTGTACTGTCACATGAACTTCAAAATGTGTCTCTTCATAAAGCTCTATTATTATTCAGTTTCATGTGATACACATTTGTTTAACTACATTGCTCAATACCTTCTCCCTGGAGAGGTTTTCCAAATGTGAAATCAGACCACTTATTTCTTTGTCTTTCTCTGCCAATTGAAGCTGAATAAAGAAAGAAATTTCTTTATTTTTTTTCATTTACCTACTCCCTCCTTGCAACTTTGAGATCTGGTTTATACTGTTTTACGAAAATAATTCCTATTACTAAATCCACGTATTTTCCTCAGCTAATTCTTTGACTTCTCTGAATTACTTGTCATTTATTGACCAACTTGCCTTATTCTTAAAACTATTCCTTTGGTTTATGTGAAATTGCATGAATATTTTCATCATCCCATGCCCTTTTTTTGTGTTTTTTTTCTTCCCAGTCCAAATATGAGTATTCTCCAAAGTTTCTTCTTTGGCCTCTTCTCTCAATATTCTCTCTGAAAACTCACCTTCTTCCAAACCTTCAAATATCACGCCCCCGGGAATAAATCACAAATATTAACTCGTGTACCACTTTCTCTTTCCCAAGTTCCAAATCTGCCTTTTAAATTGATGGTTAATGTCCCAAGCCTACTTTCGTACTTCTGTTAACAGAATTCAATCTCAGACTACACTGTGACTAAAGCTTAGAAACTATATTGGAATACTTTTTCCTTTTCCTCTTTCTCCACTCCCCAACACTTTCAGTCTCTAAATCATTCATTCATTCAGCAATCACCCACTGGTCACCTATTACAGTTTAAGCATTAATGGATACAAATACAAATAAAATCATTCTTCAATGGTTCTTCCCTAAAGATGTCTTTCACAGCTTTCTCTTGTAGACACATGACCCATTCAATGGCAGGTGATCAGGGAAGGTACCCAAAAGGAGGTGGTCTTTATCAATTCATTCTAAGAATATTCCTACCTGATTTCCTCACCTTCAAACCCTTCCCACCTCTAAATCCTCTTCAATGCTGCCAAATTATTTTCAAAAAGACTCGCTGTGATTGGGTCTCTTTTCTCCTAGAACATTCTTAACAGAACTAGCACCGAAATTCCATTTTAGGCCTTCTAAAACCTGGCTTCAAGCTATCATTCAAGCCTAAGCTACTCCATTATAGATACTCAAGTCCTAATGATCAAGACTGCTCACAGTTCGCAGACTACGCGCTCCACTTCTGAACTCCAAACGTGTCTTAATGCTCTTCCATCTACTTAGAATGCTGCTGCTTCCTTTCCCTAGCTCTGCTTCTCCTCCCCTCCAGTTTGTTCTTTCAAAGGTCTAGTTACTCCATAATGTCTTCCCCCTAAATATTTGATTGGACACAACTCTAAGGCAATTAAACTTATCATTCATGTGGAGCTTTATCACATTTTGCCTTGTCTGGTCAGTGTTAGTCTGTGTCAAAACAGTACAAAATAGGGCAAAAGAAACTAAATAAAAAGCCAAACACATTTACCAACTACGTAATTTTAGATATGTTGTTTGATCTCAATGCTTACTTTTAACATTAATGAAATAAAATTACCTGTTTAGCTTCCCATGGCTTATAGATGATTACCTAGGGTGGTGTGAAAATTTTGTGCATACTACCATTACACTTCTAGCACTCTACCAGATTATAAACTCCTTAAGCATAGCACTGTGCCTTATGTGATCGCCCACATAATATCTAACATAGCACTTTATGTAAAATAGGCTTCAATAGACATTTACTAAACCATTTTCCTAGTCAATATGCAAAAAATTCTTTTCATATGAATTCATGATTCACACTTAATAAATAATTAAGGAAGGTTCCAGTTATTGAAAAGAATATCCACAAGGATCACAGAAATAATAAGCTAATGTAACTTAGCCTGTAATGTGCTACATCTCCAGCCCCTAAAAGGGAAAACTAAAGTAATTCTAACTTTAAAATTAGATCATAGATACAATTAGCTATGATATTTAAACCATTTAGAATTCCTGGTCTTCAGTAAAAAAAAAAAAAATGTAAATTATATCTACATACATTTCTTAAAATATATTAAATTATACTTTATTCCTTAGAAGAAATACATATTTCTACTTATTAAGTAGCTGGACAGCCTGTTTTTTTTTTTTCTCTAACATTCTTTTTTTTTTTTTTTTGAGACGGAGTCTCACACTGTCACCCGGGCTGGAGTGCAATGGCATGATCTTGGCTCACTGCAACCTCCGCCTCCAGGGTTCAAGCGATTCTCCTGCCTCAGCCTCCCGAGTAACTGGGATTATAGGTGCCCACCACCACGCCTGGCTAATTTTTTGTATTTTTAGTAGAGACAGGGTTTCACTATGTTGGCCAGGCTGGTCTCAAACTCCTGACCTCGTGATCCGCCCGCCTCAGCCTCCCAAAGTGCTGGGATTACCGGCGTGAGCCATCATGCCTGACCTTCTCTAACATTCTTACAGTATCATTTATCATTTGGGCTTGTCTGTTGCCTAAGATTATATTGGCAAAAATAATTTTCATCAGTTAAGATTACATCACTTGCTTTTACAGTATTTCATTTAGGATCACAGTCACATACTTTAGTGATAAATGTTAAAACTCCAGCCAAATTTTTAAAATTACTGATGACATATTATTGTACTCCAAAAAAAGTCAAGGCCCTAAAATAATTATTTTTATTTATTAATTTTTATTTTTTAGAGACTGGTAGGGGGGTGGGTATCTCCCTATGTTGCCCAGGCTGATCTCAAACTACTGGACTCAAGCAATCCTCCCAGACTGGCATCCCAAAGTGCTGGGATTACAGGAGTGGGTCACCATGCCCAGCCATCCTAAAATAATTTTACATATGCATTCATGTTTGTTTCAAAATGAACAGGAGGATAATGATCACTTTTCAACTTTAAAAATAAACACAATTAAAAGATGTAATTTTAATAGCCATCTGAACCCACAGAATTAAAGCCACAATAGCAATGCAAATGGTATCCATTTTCTCAATTCAAAGTTAATGAACAGTATTTATGTAACTAAATATATAGTACATTTTTATTTGTAGAAAAAACTATCAATTATCCATATTTAAAATGTACATTAGATTGAATAAAATTATACATAACTAATTTTCAGAAGTTTATGCCTTAAGTTTACATACAAGGAGTACCAAACTTACTTTATAATTGTCCTGTACTTCAGCTAGTTCAAGTTTTACATTTTCAGCAATTTTCACTTGTTCTTTCCATTTCAGCTCCATTTTTGCAAGTTCATCAGCATATTTATTGCATTTTGCTTTCTCATCCTAAATGAAATTAGTATAATTACCAAAAGATTTTAAATTCATGTAGAGTGAAAATCTATACTAATGTACTTAGATATGGGCTGAACATTTATTATAACACTGTTGTAACAGCATAAAAATTGGAATAATCAAATGTCTATTAATAGACAATTGGATAAATCATTTTCTATCCACACAATGAAATAGTATATATATTTTTAAATAAGGCAGATGTACAAATTGACAAGAAAAAATGTTAAGATACATTAATTGAAAATAGCAAGTTGCTAAAATAGAATATATAATCCATTTTTGTTTATAAGTTGTTTTACACAGTTATAATACAATATCTATATGTTTGTGTTGTATACAAAAATATAAACCAAAATATTAATAGTTCTTATCTCAGGGGATCAGAATGATAGAGGTAATTTTTGCCATCTCTACTCTTCATTTCTGGAACACTACAACATTTCACAATAAGTATATATTACTTTTGCAAAGGGAGGAAATAAAGTCATATTTATAATGCTGTTGTTTCCATGCAGTGATAAACTCTAGGATTTGCTGACCAAGATAATTTTTAGGTTGACTTCTTATACATTGCTCTTCTCTACAACCCAGATTATCTTAAAGGAGGACTTACAAATCATGACAAAAAGGTAATTAGGCCAATTCCATTTGGAACATTTTGTTCAATGTGAACGCTTAAAAATATACTTTGAGCAATTCAATGGAGAGGAAAATCTTTTAAACAAATAACGCTAGGTCAGTTTAATATCCATACCATACATTCCATATTATACACAAAAATTAACTCAAAATGATTCACAGACCTAAATAGAAAAGCTGATTATAAAACTTCTAGAAGACAACACAGGAGAAAATCTTTATCTCCTTGGATTAGGCAAACATTCCTTAGAAGGTAAAAAGCATAAAACATAAATGAACTGATAAACTGTACTTTATCAAAATTTAAATTTTGCTTTTCTAAAAACATCATTAAGGAAATGAAAAGGCAAGCTACAGACTTGGAGAAAATATTCACCTTACATATATCAGACAAAAGACATATACAGAAAAAAAAAAAACACAACTCAAGATGAACAACCCTATATTTAAACTACCAAAAAGATTCGACCACTCACACAAAGAGATAAAGAGCAAATAAGCATAAGAAAAGATGCTCAACATCAAGTCATTATACAAATGCACATTAAAACCACAATGAGCTATCAGTACACACCCATTAGGCTGGCTATGTAAGATGGTACAAACACCTTACAAAACAGTTTGGTAATTTCTTTTTTTTTTTTTTTTTTGAGACAGAGTCTCACTCTGTCACCCAGGCTGGAGTGCAGTGGTGCAGTCTTGGCTCACTGCGACCTCCACCTCCCGGGTTCAAGCGATTCTCCTGCCCCAGCCTCCCATGTAGCTGGGATTACAGGAGTGTACCACCATGCCCAGCTAATTTTTGTATTTTTAGTAGAGAAAGGGTTTCACCATATTAGCCAGGCTGGTCACAAACTCCTGACCTCAAGTGATGCTCCCACCTCGGCCTCCCAAAGTGCTGGGATTACAGACATGAGCCACTGCACCCAGGAGGTAATTTCTTACAGAGTTATTCAACTACAATATCACCCAGGCAATTCACCCCTAGATATTTACCCAAAAGAAACAAAAAAAAACATATGTCCATAAACAACTTCTAAACAAATGTTCATAAGCAGCTTTATTTGTACCAGCCGAAAAACAACCCCAACTACCCATCAAGTGGTGAATGGATAAACAAATGATAAAATAAAAAAGGAATAAATATATGCAATAATATGAATAAATCTCAAATAATCATGCTGAAAGTGGGTAGAAAAAAGTACATATTACATGACTCCATTTTATAAAATTGTCTAAAAGGTAGGCTAATTGATAGTGACAGAAAGCAGGCCAATAATTTCCTAGAGATAAGGATAACGAAAGGGATGTGTTGCAAACAGGTACCAAAAAAACTGGGAGAGTGATGGCACTGTGGTGATAGTTTCACAACTGTGTATGTCAAAACTGATCCAACTGTATACTCTAGGTACGTGCAATTCATTGGATTTCAATTATACCTCAATATGGTTGTTTAAAAAAAAAAAAAAGCACCCTGAGGAAGGTTTTTGCTTGAACATTATTCTATCTTCCTTTCAATACTATTTCTATAGAAAAATCTTGAAATATTCATCCAGAATTGTTTCATCTTTAACGAAAATGTAGTTCACTCTTACAAAAAACTACCCTGAATTCAAGAGTAAAACTGTTCTAATCAACCCTTCCACAGGATTCTCTCAAGCAAAAAAAAAAATTCATTTTAACTTTGGTTAAAAGATTTTGCTATTTATAAGCAACAAAATATTTTAAATAATTACTGTAAATTAAATTACAGTAACATGAAGCTAATGTGTAAATTTTATTCTATAGCTCTAAAAAATGCCCCTCCCCTCCCCAATGCACACAAAAACACACAAAGCACATTTAAAAAAACAAACAAAAATCACTTGCACAAACAACACTTTTTCCTCTCTATGCCAAATTGATATAAATGAGAAGCATTTTCCCTTTTCCTTTAAATATTCCAGTACTGAATACTACACCAAGAAGGCTGCAAACCAGAAAAGTCTGAATGAAGCTGTTTAAAATAATCAAAATAGGCCGGGCGCGGTGGCTCATGCCTGTAATCCCAGCACTTTGACAGGCCGAGGCGAGTGGATCACGAGGTCAGGAGATAGAGACCATCCTAGCTAACATCGTGAAACCCCGCCTCTACTAAAAATACAAAAAATTAGCTGGGTGTGGTGGCAGGCGCCTGTAGTCTCAGCTACTTGGGAGGCTGAGGCAGGAGAATGGCATGAACCCAGGAGGCGGAGATTGCAGTGAGCTGAGATCACGCCACTGCAATCCAGCCTGAGCGAGAGAGTGAGACTCCGTATCAAAAAAAAAAATAAAATAAAATAATAATAATCAAAATAAACACCGTAAGAGACAATTCATTTGGTTAACATTCCCTTTTCCACTATGCAAGTCTAGTCACTTTAAGATGTAAAAATCTTTGCTATTATAATAGTAATTTATTTTATTTATTATTTTTTTTTAGAGACTCGCTCTGTTGCCTAGGCTGGAGTACAGTGTGCAAACTCGGCTCACTGCAACCTCCGCCTCCCGGGTTCAAGTGATTCTCCTGCCTCAGGAGACTGTAGCTGGGACTACAGGCATGCTCCACCACAGCCTGGCTAATTTTTGTATTTTTAGTACAGACAGGGTTTCACCATGTTGGCCAGACTGGTCTCGAACTCCTGGCCTCAAGCGATCCACCCACGTCGACCTCCCAAGGTGCTGGGATTACAGGCGTGAGCCACCGCACCTGGCCGATAATAGTAAATTTAAAAACAGCACTTCCCTTTTATGAAGTTCAAATATTTTTCATGCATCTTTATACGATGACAGATAATTTCTAACCTCAATTAACTATTTGCCCATTACCCAAACAAGAACATTTTATTAGGTGAAAAGAAAATAGTAACTTTAGGTCTCATGATGCTACACACACGCCTATGTGAACAGGTACACAAAACGCCCACCTCATCATCCCAAAAGCCAAAGTGAAACTAAGTAACACTATATGGAGATGGAAAAGAAACTCAAAGATACCAATCAATTGAAACAATAAAGGTAAGCTAAGTCATTAACATTTTATAAATCTCTTTCACTTACAAGGTAGTTAACTTACCTGCAAGAGTTGTTTACATTTATTATACTTTTCTGTTTTGTCAGCAATTTCTTTGGTCATTTCACAGACTTGCCCCTTTGTTACTATGTCAAAATCTGCCTCTGCTGTAGAAAGGCAGAATATAAGACTGTTAAAAAGTATTTTGCCCCTTATATTATCTTCCTGTTCAGAATAACTTAAAGGTCAGTATACTGTAAAATATAGTAAATGGAATGCTGAAGGACAGAAATATCTATTCATATCCTAGATATACAAAGAAGGATATATAAACTCTAGTTGAGAATTGTTAAATGTGTGTTTGGCCAGAACCAAGTTCGCATTCAATAATAAAGGATTATTCTTTGATTTTTTAAAAATTTGCTAAAAAGCGGCCGGGCACGGTGGCTCATGCCTGTAATCCCAGCACTTTGGGAGGCCAAGGCGGGTCGAGGCCGAGGCAGGAGATCGAGACCATCCTGGCTAACACGGTGAAATCCTGTCTCTACTAAAAATACAAAAAATTAGCCAGGCGTGGTGACACACACCTGTAGTCCCAGCTACTCAGGAGGCTGAGGCAGGAGAATTGCTTGAACCCAGAAGGCAGAGGCTGCAGGGAGCTGAGATCACGCCACTGCACTCCAGCCTGGGGGACAGAGTGAGACTCTGTCTCAAAAACAAAACAAAACAAAATTTGCTAAAAAGAGTTCCATAACAGCACAAAAATTGTTCTCCTTATATAACTGAATAGACAGGGTAAGTAGGAAAACCATACTCTGAGAATTCTCTTTCCCCTCTCTGAAAGCCAGGGTCTCACTATGTTGCCCAGGCTAGCCTCAAACTCTTGAGCTCAAGTGATCCTCTTGCCACAGCTTCCAGAGTAGCTAGGAGTACAAGCGCATGCCACCATACCCCACCAAGAACACATTTTAAATCATTCTTCTAGCCCTTCATTACCACTAAGTCTTTATTAAGTAAATACCCTATAACACCATTTTAGGTACTACAGAGGATACATGGAAACAGAAGGCTCAATTCTGTCCTACAGGGGATAAACCTAATATTTAATAGTCTAAGATGTTTACATTTAAAAAGACTTAAAAGATCAATTACTACACACACTAAACAAGAAAATATACTTTCTCTAGTATTTAACGTCATTACTGTCAAATTTACATAAAAGTGAAAAAATCAGGACAGATGAAAACCTAGTTAATCCAAGTTTTCATGTTATTAATGTTCTCACTATGTCTCTCTATTCTGTTCTATAAGTTAATAAACTAATAAAAACTTAACTCATCAGCCAACAGGTACATTGACAAGGGAAGAAGTACCCCCATTGATCCAAAGCAGCCAAAAATAAATGAATAAATAGAAAAATATGAGAATAATAGGGGATTTTTTCCCCTGCAGAATTTAAAAATTAAAATCCACAAATAAAATGCTTCAAAATTCCATAGATTTAATGGAACATAAAGTAAAAATTCAATTCGTGGCTTTTGTCCTATGTAGCCCAAATGAGTACTCACAAGCACCAGCTCATTTTTAACATGTGTGAATAGTCTCAAGAAGATAACTACTAGTTTACATTCACATTTTATATGTTCATGTTGTGTATATTCACCACTTGCATGACTCTATTTTACATTTATACCCTTATTTTCTTGTTGCCTCAATTCCTTCACTTATCACATGAAAATTTTTATGAACATCCTGAAATTCTAACACATGGAAGAAGGCAGTATAAGTACTTTTCAATGTAGGACACCCTACACAAAAAGTCTAAAAGATTTTTACCTGCAGAAGGTGATGGCTTTACATCTACAGTAGAGGCAGAAGTGGCTGGGTCTGTGTTTACTGAAGCATCATTCACTTTCTGCTGATTCCCCGTTTTCTTTGTGAAGACATTATTATTATTAGCCTATTCAAAATGTTAATAAGTTGTTAAATGAGTCAATGAATTAGTTATATTTCCTCCTTGCAGTAACTAAGTAAATAATATTTTTACATATTACTTTAGGAAATCCTAAGAAGTCCACAAAGCTGCTCTTGTTTTAAAAGCCAACAAAGACTAAAGTTATACACATCATTTTGCTAACTGACCTAAATGTTGCAAAAGAAATATACTATATTTTGCTTTTTCTTATAAACTCATCAAAAGACCACCAAAATAAGTCATTCACAGAAATCTACTACAAAGTTATAACGTACTCAAAAGGCCCCAGGCCAAATTCATACATGTGAGTGAGTCATACTTAAAGTATCATATTTTTTCACAAAAGCCTTCCTACTTTACTACATGCATTCCTTGCTTGTCTCCTCTGATTTAAAAAAGTAGGACCAGGAAAGTATCATATGCATCACATAGTAAAAGAGAGCTATAGTACCACTTTCAATTTCAGGTTTTAAATATGTTTCTTCTACATTTCCAGGAGTTCCTCAGATAGTAAGCCTTGTATTTAAGCACAGTTTAAGGACCCACATTGAAACATACATACCTCAAAACAAAAACATCTTCTTTGGTATATTACAAATCTACCTACCTATTCTCAAATGGAATAAAAAAGAATTAGCTAACACTCTTTAACTGTTCCTAATCTAATAGGAATAGGAATCTTCATAATATGAGTATGAAGAACTTGCCAATTACAACTGAGACACCATCTAAGACCTAGGGATGATTAATGGTGAACTCCAATGAGGATAGATGTCATGGTCACAAGAGTCAATAATAAGTATTGAGTTTTGAGTGACAGATATTTATCAAGAACTTAAGAGGGAAATTATCTAGAAAAGAAGACTTTTTTCTGTTTTTTCCTTGCTACTGCCCTTGCTTCCTTTGTTGGCTGTCCAGTAAATTAAAATTCCAGACTTTTTTAAAGAAGAGTTATTACAATATTTGGCCAATGACTTGAAATCAAGCAGAGATAAATAATATTTAAAAGGTTGATATTTGGAATATTACAAATTTGATTTTCGAACAAAAATACTAACAACACATTTTACTATGTGTAAATTTAATGATACTTACTGATTGATCTGAAAGTTTGTTTATTTGTTTTTGGAGCCTTTGGCATTCCTTAAATTTTTCTTTATAATGGTCTGCAGCCATCTGAAGACGGAGTTTCAGATCTTCAACTTCTCTTCTTAGTTCGTGTTCCAGTGTATCAGTCTTGTCCTAGAAAGAAACAAACATTTGAAGAAAAAAATAAAAATCTGATACCTCCTAATGTTAATAGTAACCCCAACTTCAATCTTACTTTTTTTCTTTTTTTTGTTTTTGAGACAGAGTCTTGCTCTGTCACCCAGGCTGAAACACAGTGGCCCAATTATGGCTCACTGCAGCCTTGACCTCCTGGCTCAAGCAATCCTCTTGTCTCAGCCTTTGGACTAGCTGGGACTACAGCTGCACACCACCACACCTGGGTAATTTTTGAAAATTTTTGTAGAGATGAGGTCTCACTATGTTGCCCGGGCTGGTCTTGAATTCCTGGGATCAAGCGATCTTCCCACCTCAGCCCCCCAAAGTGCTGAGGTTATAGGTGTGAGCAACTGTCCCCGGCCACTTTTTTATTTTGGGATTTTGGCTACAGAGCAACATAGGGTCTCTTGTTAAGTCCAGTTTTACATTCTTAGGACTAAGGTTCATTTAAAAAACTAGAGAAAAATAATCCACCTCCTGAAGAGCAATTATTACTCCCTTAAACAACCATAATACTGTTTTATACAGCTAGTAAGAAATTCCAAACAAAACAATACATATCTGACATCAATATATTTAATCAATAGGGCAGCTTTCACCAACCATTAAGAATTCTGCTTACAGAAGTTTTCCTTACAGCACACATTAACTGTAAGCCAAGAAGTCACAATGACTAAACAAAAGGAATGAAAATTTTAAATTTAAAATAAGGCAGAAATCTGACCTGTCTTATCTTAACACAATTTACTACTTTGTGAGATTATAGTGGTTTCTTAAATCAAAATGCAAATTCAAAATTAACTTGTTTTACCTGATCTTTTTTCATAGCATTTAGTTTAAGTTCTGCCACTGCATCAGCTAACTGCTTTTTCACTTTCTCGTTTTCCAAGCGTGCAGTATGCAGGTCTGCCATCGTTCTGTCTCGTACGTTGACAGCATCACTGAGTTCTTTAGCCAGAAAGACAACTTCTTGCCGAGTTGCCTGAACCTGTTCCTCTGCTTTACGAAGTTGCTCCTTTAAAAAACAAGTATCTTCCTGAAGAAAGCAGATAAATATATTTGTAATTCAACCACTCAAGTAAAAAACAGAAGCAGAAACAATTTTCGCACATATTTCAACAGGGCCAAAATTTTAGATATTGGTTTTTCTACTCATGACTTACAGAGTATATGCCTACAAAAAACTTAAGAAGTAACTTTGTTTTAGGTTCCCTCTATAACAACCCTATGTACTTGGTTTCACTGCTACTACTTTATACACAAGGAAGCTAAAGTACAGCGAGTCAGGCAACATACCCAGTGCTTAAGGACCTGCCCAAACTGAGGCTCAAACAAAAGATCCCATCCCCCAGAATCTCTTCAGCTAGAAATACTGACCCTCATTTTGTATGACTACCAGTAAAAATCATTCCGAAAGCTTCTTTGTAACACCAAAAATTTTGGTTAAAAGATGTTTCCTACTTTCTACCCCAAGAGACATCCAATATAATATAAATCTATTTCATATCATTATAAAAACACAGAACAGATTTAGGCCTTAGTTCTAAAAACAAAATATTGATATACAAATAGTAAAGACGAGGCATTGGGAAAATGAAAAGTAATTCATACTGCTTGACAAACCTAAAAGTATCTTTAAAAAGCTAAAATTGCCATGGTGAAATTATTTCCTTTAATATTAATGTTTAAACATTATAACATTTAAACATTATAAACACAATAAATTTAGTTTATTCAACTTCCTGTTTTTAATCTCTGTACTAAAAATAATGTAAAATCAGGAAAAAAATGCAACCCAATATTGGTTTCTAAACTGTTAGCCCCTTAGAAGGAAATGTAAATGATGATTTTATGCAGTGTTGGCATGGACAAAATCTTCGGAGGCATCACACTAATAGATCTACCTATAAAAAGATCGCCAACTTCTATATGTCAAAGGAGAAGAAAAAGAACTAGAAGAAAATTATATGTAATATATTCAAGAAAGGTATAATAATACTTGATATAAATAACTTTTCTAGTCAATAAGGAGAAACAAAACAAAAGTCAAAAGTCATGAACATACAAAATTTTCTAAAGAAATAAATGCGATTATGCAGTAAAAAAATTCAACTCACCAACAATCAAACAAATAAGTTAAAACAAATGCCATTCACCTTTCAAACTAACAAAGATCAAAAAAACAGTAACATTCCAATATTTGCATGGGTTTAGGGCAACTGGCACATTCACAAACAGGTGGGCTTATATAAACTGTAACTGGCATCTTTTCTCATCAGATATTTACAACATTCATCAGCACCTTAAAAATTCTCACAGCTTTTGATCTAGCAATTTTATTTCCATAAGTTTCCAAGAAAATTATCAAAGGGTATAGACATAGGTTTAGCTTTACAAGGATTCAATAAAATACTAAAATAATGAAAAATCATTAAGAACCTAAAATGTCTACCAACATGAGAATTTATGATAAACTATGATATACTACCTCTATATAATCAAAGTCTGTGCAGACATTACAAACAATACATATCTCATATACTCTTGGTGGGAATAAAAAAATCAATAGAACATTTTTTTGAAAGGTAATTTGAAAATAACTATCAAAATTTAAATACTCATTGACCCAGTAATTCCACTTGAAAGAACTTATTCTACGGATTATAAATGTGCCTACATATTGCTATAAGGATGTTTACTGCAGGATGCTTATAAAAGCTGAAGACTATAAACAATCAAAAACAATCAAAAAACATATACTACACAGTTGTTAAATGAAGAGAAGAAATACTAGGCAGTTGTTATGATGAATGAAAAAGATCCACATGTGTATCATAGTGCAAGATATCCATTTATAAATTTTTTTAAAAGGAAAAAATGTATAAATTCTAATTTGTGTTAAAATATAAATATACGTATATTCATAAATTCAATAATAACTTACTTATCTGAGAAGGGATGAGGATTACATTTTACTTTGTATCCTCATGTACTGTTTAAATTTTTTTATAACCATCACCTCAAACTACTTTCACAATCTTTTAAAAGCTTTAGCAACTAGTAGTCATTTTTCTCAGGTACTTCCATAACTACGCTTTTCCTCACAGAAGTCTTGCTTAAATAGGAAAAAGATGCTTAGAGAAATTTTTAGCATCTTATTAAATAACAAATAATCAAATACACTTCTCATGTTTGCACTGGCAATCTGTTACATTAAAAAGTAACAAGGATTAACCATTAATTCTAAATGTCATGCGCTTCTGACGTTTTAGGTATTACATTAACTATGTCTGAGTATTTTTAATAGCAAATTACTAAAAATAACATCATAAGAAATAATGAATCAATCAAGGTAAATCTATATAATGGAATATTATGTGGCCATTTTTTTCAAATGAGGAAGATCTCTACAAACTGATATGGAGTAACTAGCAACTTATTTTGTTCAGTGAGAAAAAGGTGCAAAATGGTATGTATAGTAGCGCTACCTTTTTTAAGAACGAAGAGGATAAAGAAGGATGTATGTACATGTACACATGCATATATAAGCTTATTTTTACAAAAAGAAACATAAGAATAAACTAGAAACTTATGAAAATGTTTATCTATGGGCATAGGTAAGAAAAGGGTTTAAAAAAACAAGGAAGAGATTGAGACCTCAGAGTAAAATTTTTCTATCATTTTGACTTCTGAACAAAGCAACTGTTTTACATATTCAAACAATAAAAATAAATCAAACAGAAGAATAAAAGCAAATATTAAAATTAAATACAAGCAAATGAAATTATATTACAAATTTATAACATAGGTATGCAAAAAAATAGTTCAAGTAACTTTTGAACATGGCGTTTCTATACATCCTTAGTGAAACATATTCTAAGAAAAAAGAGCTGTAAAAATACCTTAGCTTTATTTAGTACATTTATTGTTGGAAGTGGCATTGATGTAATAATTGTGAAAACACTGGTGTGTACGGCTGGATGGAAACACATGAGTAATAATGATGTTTGGGAAACAAGAGTTCTCACATTGCGAGAAGAGAGATATAAATATGGAATGGAGCAAAGGAAGGAAGAATCCTAAGGTACTAAATCTGAATTGGAGCTATCAATATAAATTAAAGATGCAAAATACCCACTGAATGTGCAAAGCAGCAGCCCCATAGTAGCAATAGGATCCAGTTCTTGGTTTCAAAATACCATTACCTACTAAAAAAAACAGAGTTTCTTGGAGAAATGGTAATATCAGGTCTGGGGGAACAACCTGAAGTTAGAACATACAGTTGTGCCATAAAGCAAGAAAGTATTCAAAGCATTATAGGAACATATCAGGACAAAAAAGCAGGCTTGAAAAGGTTCCCCTGGTTAAATTCAGAACAATTTGGGTATGAAAAAGAATAATGATGATTATGCATAATATGCAGCAAAAAATCAGTAAGTCCAAAGTTATATTTAAAAAAGAGGGAAGGGTGACAGGAATGTCCTCATGATAAAAGATTACCTACAAATAAATGTAGAAGGCATAATAGAATTTTTTAAATCACCATTTTTCTATCATTAATTATTACCAACATAATAGCTGATGCAGGTGAGGAGCATCAAAGGACAATAAAAACATTGAGGAAAGGCTGTTGGAGAACAGGGTGTTTATACAGATTGCTTAATAATCACAAACAGGGAAAGAAAAGAAAGGCACCTATATAGAGACAGGTAGGCATAACTTTAAACAAATTATTAAACCTAACATTATCAAGAACGAAACAAATTGACATTATATAACTTTTGATATGACTCCAACAGGATGGACAAAACATCATCTATGTCTTTTCTTGCAAAAATGTCTCACCTGAATCTAGTCATGAGAAACAACAGACAAATCCAGATTATAGAACATTTTCTCAGACTAGCCTGTCTTCTCCAAAAATATCAATGTCATAAAAAGTGTAGGGACACTATTCTAGACTGAAACCGACTCAAAATACAACAATCAAAATAATATGTAGTCTTTGACTAACTGTGAATCACAAAATTTTAAAGATTATATAAGAATACATTTGGGGCAATGTGATTGTGAACTAACTATGAGAATGACTGTTATTCAATCAGTGCTAAATTCTTAGGTGTAATAACGGTGTCATGGCTATGAAGAAGAATGCACTTGTTCATAAGGGAGACATGCTAAAGTATTTAGAGTAAATTATCGTAATACTTGCAACTCACATCGCTCAGAAAAAAAGGCATATAAATGAGGGAGATAAAACAAAGAATGGCAAAATATTTTAGGGTACATCAGTATTCATTGTTCTGTTCTTCCAACTGTTTTGTAAGTTTGAACTTTTTTAGAACAAAAGCTTGGGGGAATTAAAAATGAAAATCATATTGCATACATTTCATAGGTATGTTTTACAATCTTCAAATATATATAGCAAAAGTACTTACTTTACTTGAGGTTGTAAGCAGGAAAGTTCTTTGCAGATTTTCCTTTTCAGCCAAACATAACTGCAGCCTGCCAATCTCTTCTTTGAAATGAGTAATCACGCTTTCTTTGTTCCCATCTAAATTTTTTAAAGTCTGGACCTCTGACATAAGCTTGGTATTTTCTATTTCTGTATTCTTCAAATGTACCTGTAATGGTGTTTGAAAATGTCAAGAATATTCTAACTCCATGACCTAAGTTAGTCAAAGTTTAAAATACCATTATATTTCTAACCCAAAGACAACGAAAGGAAGGAAAGACATACTAGACTAGGATTTAGGAGACCCAGGTTCTGCCAAATGACTAGTTAAGCATGCAGGAGCAGAACACAGCTTTTCTAAGCTTTTTTATTTTCCAGAGAGATTATTCTAAGCCCTAACAACATCACCTGATCTCTAAAGTCTTTTCCTTTGATTTAATGGTTTCAGGTTCTCTTTAAAAATGCAAATAGATTTGGTTGTTCTTTTGGGGAAACAAATTATGTTATTTGGCATATTCAAATCTGGCACGACAAGACTCTGGAAAACTAGAAGGGGTGCATTCAAAAACAACATCTCAAACAATTCCATTTTCTGCAGGCGAAAAGTACGATATCATTTAGTTTCAATGTGCTGAAAAATGTATTTGTTGACTAACCCAACTATATTGATTTTCCCATGACTCTCGCTATTGCTGATTTGCTCCTAACACACATACAAATCAAATTCAATAACTGGAATTATAAATACAGACCTGTAGTGTACACTATCAAGTATATCCTGCTTTCGTTAAGAGTACTGAGGAGAAATGAATTAACTTACTTCTTGCACTTTACTCTTTAAATATACAGAATGCTGAAGGACTAATTCCTGTTCACAAGGATAGAATATTAACTCCTGATTCTCTGAAGACATCAGCAACCAACACCCTTGCAGCATCACTTTAAAACGCTACCTGATGTTCATAATCATCAGCTCATTAAATTGACTTAACAAGAAACGGACTTAACTCAGAATGTTCTTGAAATTCCTCATCTGGAATTGCCTTCAGGAAATGCTTATGAGCCACTTAAAAAAATAAGTCTCAATTTGCACCCACAGCATTACTGACAATTAAGCTAACTACCCTATATTTCAGGGTTGCTTAAAAAAATAAATAAATAAAAACTGCCAGGCACGGCGGCTCACGCCTGTAATCCCAGCACTTTGGGAGGCTGAGGCGGGTCAGGAGATCGAGACCATCCTGGCTAACATGGTGAAACCTCGTCTCTACTAAAAAAATACAAAAAATTAGCCGGACGTGGTCGCGGGCACCTGTAGTCCCAGGTCCTCGGGAGGCTGAGGCAGGAGAATGGCGTGAACCCGAGAGGCAGAGCTTGCAGTGGGCCGAGATCGCACCACTGCACTTCAGCCTGGGCGACAGAGCGAGACTCCATCTCAAAAAAAAAAAAAAAAATTCAAAACTTCAAGCGGTCAAGATTTGTTAGCAGTGAGGATATTTTTACAAAATGACATCTCTGAAGATATTCTAAAAGTCAAACTCTAAAATGGGATTATTACTAAATTAATGTTCTCCCCAATGTGTATATATATATATGTTCTTAAAAAGGAAAAATAGTTACATGAATTGTGATAAACAAGTATCTTAATTCCATTAAACCTCTTCAACTTATTACACACTACCTGTTAAGTATCTAAAACAGCAGCAAATTAATTCCCTGAAAACTAACTTTTAGGGGTGATATACAACATGACTGTGACTTCCTCCTTGCTCTCTCCTGGATCACTCACTCTGAGAGAAGCTAGCTGCCATGCTGTGAGGATATTCAAGCAGCCT
The DNA here is from genome assembly GCF_000001405.40 of Homo sapiens. NCBI lineage: Eukaryota > Metazoa > Chordata > Mammalia > Primates > Hominidae > Homo > Homo sapiens. Next base: position 27,785,751 of record NC_000007.14, on the reverse strand, counting down.
ATGAAAAGACCACTTCAAGAGGAGCTGAAGGTTCTCCTGCCAAAAGCCACTGGAGTAAGCCATCTTGAAAGCAAACCCTCCAGTCCCAATCAAGCCCTTAGCTGACTGCACCCCTTGCCAACATCCTGACTGCAACTACACAAGAGGCTAGAGCCAGAACCACTCAGCTAAGCTGCTCCTAAATTGCTGACCTACAGCCCCTAAGTTCTGGGGTCATTTCTTTTGAAGCAACAGGCAATAGATATGGTAAAAAATAAATTACCTTATAAAGTTCCTTTTCATCCTTCTCTGTCTTCAACTGACATTCAAGTTGTTCTCTTTCATGTTGTGCCTTCTTGAGTTTGTCCTTTAAACTAAGATAGGTATGATAAAGTAACATTATAATGTTTTAAAGTTTTAAAATTTTTATTGAATTTATTTTTTAAAAGCATGAGAAATACCTGTCTAATTCGGTTTCTTTTTCAATTGCTTTATGTGTTACTGACACAATATCTTCCTCAAGCTGATGGGCTTTGGATGTAGCATCACTGAACCTCTTCTTAAACTCTTCATTTTCCATTTTTAAGCTTTGTGTTACTTCAGTAAGACCCTGAGAAGTGACAACAAGGTATTTTGAGAAAACACAGAAACATAATCAGTAAAGCAAATTTGCATATCTTTAAGAAAACTATGTATTCTTAGAATTTTAATCCCACATTTGTTCCCTCCAAATTTGAGAAGCTAAGACTATAAAACTTGAAATGATAACATATATTTAAATTTTCATATACTAAATTAATCGATAATTTGTTTTTTGTTTGGGGTCTCACTTTGTCACTCAGGCTGCAGTATGGTGGCACAATCACAGCTCAGGTGATCCTCCCACCTCAGCCTCCCAGGTAGTTGGGACTACAGGCACCCACCACCACGCCTGGCTAATTTTTTTTTTAATAGAGACAGGGTTTTGCCATGTCACCCAGGCTGAAACTCCTGGGCTCAAACAATCCTCCTGCCTCGGCCTCCAAAAGTGCTGGGACTACAGGCATGAGCAATGATTCGTTTATTTATATACATTTTCCCCCCACCTTCAGACTTTTCATGTACCCTGTATGTTGATTTTACTAACTTTTCTCCACCAGGGGGCAGGCAAGAAAAATGAGAAAAAAATTTTAAAAATTAGTCACGACATATCAAGTCTTACACGACACCATCAAGGTTAACACCCACTTTTTCTAGCACAGGTCACTAACTGCCATCAAAGCACTAACATATGCCTAAAGCCATGTTCCTAATCTTCTTGCCAGTGTGACTCAGAGGCCTAAACAAATATTCAAAGACACTAAGACAAATATAAAAGAGGTAGTAAGTGCAACAAATTGAATGTTGAATTGAATTTCTACTTGGAATATTCTACTTTAAATGGACAATTCATAAGACTCAAATATAACAGTGTATATAGGGAAGTGCTTTGTTATAGAAAACTATATTATAAAAGAATTGGTAAATTAAGATAAAATTATTTTTATTAAAGAACAATTTTAAAATTTCTCCCCAAAACAGTAATACTTACCTACCCAGCAACAAAAACTAAAAAAATCACCGTTCTGCCAAGTTAAAAGTATGAAAGATTATATAGTATTTATAATTCACTTTAATTCACATAAAAGAACTCACCCAAGTATTTTCTTGATAGAATATCATTTTAAATATCTTGCTAGAATATGAACATTGCTACATTATTTTCTAAAAGTCAGATACACCCTATTGACTTATTTTTGGTCAAAGCAAATGTTTGTCTGACTGAATTTGTAACACTAACCAAAAACTGTTGTACAAAATGCTTTTTTGGTTCCAATGCCATAATACCAGAGAAAAAAACAAATAATATTTATTTCCTCTGCAATCATAATGATTGCTGTGAAATTGGGCACATTTTCAGGATTTGTCTTGTTGATTTATAAAGATGGCCAGAGAGGTTTCTAAATAATGTTCACATTTTTTTTATTTTTAGTTTTACCACCAGTGCTCTCTTGGCACTGCAAATACACTACAGATTTAACCCAAGTATTTCTCCCTAGGACAAAATTACTTTCCAATCCTGTAAGTAATGAAGCCCTATAACGGGTATACAGCATTCTACAAAATGCATAGGAAAAGAGAAAAAAATCACTAGCAACTGAATGTAAATCATGAACTAATTGCTTTGAGTCAGTTAACTTTACAGTGAATTATAAATTAACTCTGACTACAACAAGCGTCTTAGACTTTCTCTGGTGCCCATAAAGGCACCTGATAGCTTCCCAGCATACAAGCCTCCTTTCAAAACACATGAAAACGATAAAGTAAGGATTATTCTTCAGGCCTGTAGTTTTCACGTCTGAGTTAAGCATAAGCATCTTCAATGTGGCTCCGTCGTTCTTAGCATGAAAAAGCTAAGAGCTTTGCCATTTCAAACAACTAGGAATCATGCTTTCAAAAATTAACTTTAAAAGATAAAATCTAAAAGACAATTTTTCTAAAACACTTTTAGTCATTTGTAAATCATGCCAAAAGGACATCATAATTCTAATATTAAAACAAAGAAAACCTCCATCAGATAATTAAGCCTGCTACATTGTATGCCGATATGAAAACAATCATAAAAATTGGGGCAAAGGGAGATAAAGAGATTTGAGTACTTCAGATTCATGCAGGGACTTTCCTCCCACTCCTAAACTAAAAAAATCACTGTTTCCATGAGCCACTATTACCAATTCCCACAAGTCATAACTCTCACTTATGAATAACCCGATAAAAAGATTATGAATCATTCATCTAGGTGGCTAAACACATTTTAAAAGTATTTAAAATAACAGAGCACATTTATTCTCATGTTAAAAAATAAAATTCTGATTATAAACAAAAGCATATGAAGAAACCAGATACAGTATCACTAACAATTATCTAGAAAAAAGGTATGGTATTCTAGATTCACACATACACAGAGTAAAATTTAGTAAACTAGCACCTGAACACTTTAAATAACAAATTATTGACAAAACAATTATTTATGAAAATTGCTAGTCAGATTTTAAATCAAATATCACTCATTTTACTTAATCTGGCTTTTCTCAAACACCTAATTTTGAAATCAACTATAATACCAAGTTATGATGACAGCTACACAGACTATAAAGACATCTTCTCTGGTTTCTACAAATCCACCAGACAAAAATATAATATTTGGCCGGTGTGGCAGCTCACATCTGTAATCCCAGCACTTTGGGGGGCCTAGGTGGGTGGGTCACCTGAGGTCAGTAGTTCAAGACCTGCCTGGCCAACATGGTGAAATCCCATCTCTACTAAAAATACCAAAGAAAAAAAAAATTAGCTGGGCGTGGTGGTGTGTGCCTGTAGTCCCAGCTACTTGAGAGGCTACTCAAGCAGGAGAATTGCTTGAACACACGACGTGGAGGTTGCAATGAGCCTAGATTATGCCACTGCACTCCAGCCTGGGCGACAGAGAAAGACTCCATCTCAAAAAAATAAAATAAAATAAAACAAGAAAAGAAAACAAAAAGTTTTTAAAATGGAAAAATCTTATGGAATTTGGATACAAAGAAAGAATATTTTTGCACAGCTGTACATGTTTGTGTTTTGAGCTAAATGTTATTTCAAAAGAATCAAAAAGTTTTTAAAAAGAGAGTGAAAATGTTACAGTGAGCTAAGGTTAATTTATTTTTGGAGAAAAAAATATTTTATACATTTAGTATAGTCTGGCCAGGTGCGGTGGCTCATGTCTGTAATCACAGCATTTTGGGAGGCCGAGGCGGGCAGATCACCTGAGGTCAGGTGTACGAGAGCCTGGCCAACATGGTGAAACCCTGTCTCTACTAAAAACATAAAAATCAGCCAGGTGTGGTGGCGTGCACCTGTAATCCCAGTTACTCCGGAGGCTGAGGCACAAGAATCACCTGAACCCAGGAGCTGGAGGTTGCAGTGAGCCGAGATCACGCCACTGCACTGTACTCCAGCCTGGGCAACAGAGTAAGACTCCGTCTCAAAAAAAAAAATTAATTAATTAATTAATTTAGTGTAGTCTAAGTATACAATATTTATAAAATCTACAGTAGTGTACAGCAATGCCCTGGGCCTTCACATTCACTCACTACTCACTCCCTGAATAACCTAGAGCACTGTCAGTCCTGCAAGCTCCATTTGTGGTAAATGCCCTATACAGGTATAACAAATTTTACATTTTATACAATATTTTTACTGTACCTTTCCTTTTCTAAGATATCTAGATATGTTTAGATACACAAATATTTACCATGTGTTACAACTGCCTACAGTATTCAGTACACTAACATGCTGTACAGGTTTGTAGCCTAGGAGCAACAGGTTATACCATATAGCCTAGGTGCGCAGTAGGATATACTATCTAGGTTTGTGTAAGTACACTCTATGATGTTTGCACAAAGAGGAAATCATCTAACAACACATTTCTAAGAACGTATCCCCATTGTCAAGTGGTGCATGACTATAGTAAAAAATGTGAGGGCTACCTTCAATTCACTGAAAAATCTGCTATGAACAAATGTACTTAAATTCAACTTTTACAGAAAATAACAGATCCAAGCACTATTTTTGTGGTTGGAGTGGAGAGGAGGGGGAAGAGAGACAGGCTACAAATATATTAGTGTCTAAATTATTTCCTGAATATGAATTTATTCCACAAACTAGTGATTTTTTTTTAACATTAGGTTTCATATACATTTTTAAAGAGTTAGGGAATAAGTAAAAAAATTTAGGGTAGTATAACTTTACTTAAAATTACCTTTTAATTAAATTGAATGGGAACTACTCAATGATGTAGTCTTATGAAATAAACTATGAAAATGCTTCATTGTACAGTTCTGTACTTATCAATACAAAAATTATGGGTTTAAAAGTATATAAATATATTGTAGAAATAATATATTATGAGTTTCTTAAAACTATTACTTTGTAAAGCAGGTACAAAATTAAAGTAATTGGCTTGAAAGAAATATATTGCTATGTATACATAAGTTATAATCATCACCCCATGTATTAAAATTAAGCCTTTTGTATCTTTTCTTGATGACAATTGGCAAAAACAAACAAAAACAAATTCAATGAGATCATAAATTCAAAACTGGTTTTTGGCAATTCCATGTATTAGATACTAAATGCCTTAAACTGCCTCTGTCCAAAACCAGGTACCTAATGCTATGATAACAATAACAGCTATCTTGAGAGCTACTGTGTAGGAAATGTTATGTGCTTTATGTATAATACATTCTCATTTGATGAGCACATGGCCTAAGAATTAGGAACGACTATAAGGCTCGTTCACATGAGAAAAGTGAGCCACAGAGAAGTTAAGTAGTTTATCAAAGGTTACACAGCTAGTAAATGGAAGAACTGAGAATGATTTCAACTTTCCAATATCTTTAAACAAAAGTTTTCTAAAATAATAACTGAAAATTTTAATAATTGAGGTACTGAAATTTTGGTAATTTGATTTTTATCTACTCTTGATATGACCTTTCTTAACAGTGGTACTAATAAATAGATTAAGTTATAAGATACTCTCCAAAGATAACTTCCAGATCTCATTCACAAACTGCTAAATTCAAAGACTACTATATTGGTGTTGTGTGTTGTGGCAGAGACTGCTGGTTGTCTGCCAAATTATGACCTCCTTTCAACCATAGTAACTACATATCACTGCCCAACTATACTGTATTCCCAGCTTCTCTTGCAATGCATTATAGTCATCTAAATTATCATCAGTTAAATATAAATGAAATGATATATATTACTTCCACCTCTATAACTTACACTATTGATCATGCCTTGTCTAAGATCTCTTTCCCCTTTCATCCAGCTGAAACCAGGATATGTCAGTGACCAAGTTTCTATCACGAAGACATAAATTCTCTAGGAATCTAAGGGTGGGCAGTGGAATGATATAAAAGGTAACAAGGCCCCCGAATAATCATGCAAAGCAAATCTGCGATCCCCTCCCCAGACTTCAATGACTTATGACATAGACTGTTACATTAAGAACAACAAAAACTTTACACTGTTGGGTTTCTTTGTCTTCACTCTAATTCATTATTTATCCCTGACTAGTATTCAAATCAAGTAACTCATCTGATACACTGCCATTAAGACAAAAAATTAAATTGGCTATGTAATAAAGTATAAGATATGCATCACTGATCATACCCAAATTCAACTACTATTGTAAATTACTTTAAATATCTGAATCTTGAAGAGAAAATGTAGCAACTAAAAGCCAAAAATAGGGAAATTACAAAGCTAGTTCAAACACTGCTATGATACTGAGTACACTTAATCCAAAAACAGCCAATTTGAAGGGCAACAAATACATATGGTAGAGGATCTCAAAACAGCAAAGCACTTGTCAGAAAGTGCCTCAAGATATTTGCCTCAAAAATCAAAAATCTAGATATGAGCCAAGCACAGTGGTGCACACCTGTAGTCCCAGTTACTTGAGAGGCTGGGGTGAGAGGATGGCTGGAGTCCAGGAGTCTGAGGCCAGCTGGGAAACATAGTGAGGCCTTGTCTCTATATTTTAAAAAGAAAATTTTACATCAAGATATAGAATATTATTAAGCAATAAAAAGAAACAAAGTACTGATCTATGGATGAACCTCAAAATCATTAAACAAATATTAAAAAAAAGGCAAATATAGAGACAGAGAAAGTAGACTCAAGGTTACCTAGGGCTGGAGACAGGGGTATGTAAGGAGTGACTGTTAATGGACTCAAGGTTTCTTTGCAGGATGATAAAAAACATCCTAAAATTAAATTTTGGTGATGGTGGCATGACTCTATAAATATACAAAAAACCATCCAAATTGTATACTTTTTTTTTTTTTTTAAACGCAGTCTCACTCTGTTGCCAGGCTGAAGTGCAGTGGCATGATCTTGGCTCACTGCAACCTCCACCTCGCAGGTTCAAGCAATTCTCCTACCTCAGCCTCCCGAGTAGCAGGACTACAGGTGCGTGCCACCACACTCAGCTAATTTTTGTATTTTTAGTAGAGACGAGGTTTCACCATGTTGGCCAGGATGGTCTCGATCTCTTGACCTTGTGATCCACCCACCTCAGCCTCCCAAAGTGCTGGGATTACAGGCGTGAGCCACCGCACCTGGCCAATTGTATAAGTTTTTTAAAAATCAAGGTAACTGAAGTTAATATAGGTTGGCTTTTGGATGCTTGCTTTCTTTTATATCTGCAACTGAATAATCCTGGATACAATCTTACAGAACCTATCTATATTCTTGAGTACAATAAAAAGCATATTAAATAAAAGTCCACGTTTGTTAAACTACGTAATATAAAGTACAAGCAGCTACTCAAGAGTGTGACTAGGCGAACAGTACTAGACCACCGACAGTTACCAGGCTATATCAAGACAAGACACTTGTACAAAATATAAATCAACTACATCACTAACCACACTGTTGGGTTCACCTAACAGCTTTTCATAGCAATACTTTCTCAGTGAAGAAAGTAATGCATTTACATACATTGCAGTGTACATTTTTCATTCCAACACAGACCAGTAACAAAGTTTCTGAACCAGCTACTTTGAGTACCATGGAATAGAAAACTAAGAACAGAATGCCAAATACGTGCAGAAAAACCATACAGGCTTTTAAACCTGGGTACCTAGAATACCAGATAATTCAAATCACTTGAGAAAGAATATCTTGGCTCCTCTAAATAAACATTTCTCCTGATAGCGACTCTAAAACACACAATTAGATGCAACTAAAATCGTGCCAAGATAAAGTAACAAGAACCAAATGAACTCTACCACCTGAAAACTAAAAAACTGAATGAAGAACAGCTCTCAAGCCACTGGACATCAGGATAAAAGGTCAGTGATCCCTGAAAGAAAAGAAACAACAGAGGTCACCTCTATAACTGCTCCAGCTTATTACTGTCTAGAGAGACTTTTAAGGCCACAGGGCAAAGAGGCAAACTCAGGCAGAATCCAGTGGTCTCCCTGAGTTATGGAGAGAAACTGAGAGTCTAGGAAAGCTAAGGAGAATAGTTTCAGGAGAGAGTACCAGAGAAGAATCATGTAGAAAAAGAACTCGAGAGATCTGCAAGGAGTCCCCCTCAAGTCTTGAGCTGATTAGTGATCAGCATATGCGTGTGAGGAAATTAACCCAGGCTGGAGAAAGAATCACCCAAAAAGGACTACAGGGAACAGTGCCTGGAACTCAAAAAGGGCCAGGAATAGTGGTTATTCCTACCAGCCAGAGTGGAAAAACTCATAATTCATGGGAGAACAATTACAGTATTCTCTAATTGAAAGAAGGGTCTTTCCTCAGTAGTGGGGAGAGAGTAACCCCAGTCTAAATGCTGCTCTGGTACCACTAAACAAAGCTTGAAAACAAGGCTCAAAAAAATCAAACTGTTGCCAAGTAATTAAACCACATCCCAGAACAAAGCTCAAGAATATTTTTAGGAATATAAAAAATATCCCAACACCCAGCAAGGTATAATTCACAATATATGACATCCAATCAAAAATTACTAGGCATGCAGAGAGGCAGAAAAATATAACCCATAATGAGTAGAAAAGCCAATCAATCAAAACTGATACAGAAATGAGCCAGATGATCAAGTTAATGAACGGACATTTAAACATGTGTATTCCATATGTTCAAGAAGCTAGAAGAAAATTGAACACAGTAAACACATAGAAACATGAAAGACATGAAAAAGACTCAAATCAAACTTCTAGGAATGAAAACAACAATGTCTGAGATAAAAAATATATATATACTGGATGGGACTAATGGCAGATTAAATATTGCAAAGAAAAGATTAGTGAACTTGGAGACAAATAAAATTTAACTATTTAAAATGAAACAGAGAGAAAAGGGACTTAAAAAAAAAGCACAAGTGAAAAAAAAAAGCACAAGTGAACTCTGAAACAACTTTAAGCAACAAAACATATGTGTACTCGAGTCCCTGAAGAAGAGGAAAGACAGAAAAAACAGCTGAAGAAATAATGGCCTAAAATTTTCAAAATTTAATGAAAACCATAAGTATACAGATACAAAAAGGTCACTGAACCCCAAGCATAAAAAATAAAGAAAATAAAGAGGACACAACATAATCAACCACTTAAATTCAATGATAAAGAGTAAATCTTAAAAATAGTAAGAGGAAAAAAACACATTAAATATAAAGGAAGAAAAATACCAATGACACTGAATTTCTCATCAAAAACAATAAACGTGAGAAGAACCACATTTCTAAAATACTCAAATACAAAAACTATCTATCTAGAATTCTATACACAACAAAAATCTCTTTTAAAACTAAAGGTAAAATAAGACTTTTCCTAACATACAAAAGTTGAACAAATTCATCAACAGAAGACCTGCACTACAAAAATGTTAAAGAAAGTCCTTTCAGGTAGAAGGAAAATTATACCAGACAGAAACCTTTATCTATGCATTTTACCAGGTTGGTTCTTTATAAGAATCCTTAAAATTACTTACAATACACTGAAGAATACTTAAGTACTCCAAAAGGTACCACTACCATTTTGAAGGGAAAATGGTTAATTCAATTTCCTAAATGTTAATTTACATTACTAGAATTTCAAATTTGAAGTTGCATAAAATCTCCCTAAGAATTATGTACCATGGTAAATTTATCAGTCAGTGCTTGACCAGATAAGCAAACAGCTGGGGAGAGAGAGAAAGACAGACAGACGAACAGACAGACTGAGAGAGACACTAAGAGATTTGATCTTGTGTAACTGTAGAAGCTGGAACTAGCTTGTGTAAGGCAGGCAATCAAGAAAGACATCATAAAGTGGGAAAAGCAAGAACAAAATAGGATCCACAATCACCAGATGAAGCCCACCAGAACGGACTGAAAACTGAAGTCCATGTTGGTTTTTATTCTGACCCTGATAGTCTCAAGATGTCTTGAGCATGCTGGGGTCCTTCCTGACAGACCTAACCCAAGAGATGGAGAAACTGAAAGAGGATTCCACAGAAGGTAGGGCAATTGCAGCCTGGCTACTACTACCTCATACCAACAAGGTGAGCCAGGAGAGAAGCCACAACTTGTATAAGCTACAAAAATGGCTGCTGCTTCACTTCTGCCTTCAAATCTCATGCAAGAATCTCTCTTGTGTCTCATCCTAAACAAATTACAGAGAAGAGAACTCTGGAAAATAAGTTCAGCCTAGCAAGGTGACATATTACAAAGCTACCACCACAAAATTCCATTTATCAGAAAGAACTCCATTTGACTTAAGTTCCCGCAACTCAAAATTCTAAACTTTAAACTTTTAATACATATGATCCTTCAATTGTATTATCAATGAGTTTCATCTAACCATACCATTATGTGTCCTGGTATATTCTGATAAGAAAAATTTCTTCTATAAATGAGAAAACCATTTCAATGACTAATATCCACAAAGACATTACATTACTGTACTAAAACTATATGCTGATTTTTTCCCACAATTTATCCTTTCTGAAATGGAGATGCATCTTACAATCAACGGTATGTCTTAGTTTACTTGGATTATTTTTTTCCTGGCAGTAATGATGTATAACCATAGCTTCTCAGGCTCAATGAAGCAAGATATTAAAGGCTTCCCAAAATCTTTGCAGGAACTACTGATTTTCTATTAAAATTGTAATCAGGACAATCTTAAATAAATGTAAACCAAATTCCATAAAATGTGCAACATAATTTAAAAGGTATTAAACTTCTTTTTTCTGGTTTTCAATCAAAACATGCTAAGTAAATGGGCAATGTGGCACAGTTATGTGATCGCTAGAGGGAGACAAATGACTGCTGAGTTTTAGTAATACAAAATCTTTCAATTCATTTGTTAGCTGTTAAAAACTGGTATTTTCATCCCTTTAAATACCAGAATACCCACAATATTTATAAAATGATAAAGTACAAAATAGTGCTTTTTTAAAACTTCTTAAAAGAACTGGAAGGCCACAGAAAAACACTAAAGATGCATAAAAAGAAAACATTGTAAATAGCTCACATATAGTAAACCAGGACTGTCCAAGAATGATAGTTTTTAAATATATGTTTTTTTAAATCATTTTTCAAGACCATAAAATCCCATATTCCAAATAAAACGTCACCTTCAGACCCTTCTTTTGACTACAATTAAAGCTGGTCAGAATGCCACAAGCCCCAAAACTCATTGTTATCTATTTATTCCATAAATACTTGATGAATAAAGAGACATACTATACTTGTATCTGTTATTATAAGCCATTGTAATATAGTAACAAAAACACCTAGCTTGGGTTTTCAGGTTCTCAACTTTGCCACTTGTTAACTAGACGACTTATCCATGAGGAAGCCTGAACTCAGAAAAACTAAGTGACCACCTTATTTCAATGAGAATAAAAAGGAAAACTCTATCTGATGACAAGTTGTTCTTTGCAGTATATGCTGTCACTCTACAACAACACAAAATATCTTTACGTTTTAGAGAAGAAACAGCCAAAAAGATAAAGATAGCTTAAGAGGTCCACACTAACCAGAGAAGAGATCTTGCACATTCTCTCACTCCCATACCTATGATACTTCCCAAATACCTGGTGATGTCTCCTACCCAGTTTGTGAAACTTAAGAATCAAAACAGTATGAATACATTTAACAGTTTGTAACATCCTCCATTACATTGTTTTGGCAATATTACTTTAATATTCTCAAATATAGTTCAAAAATGCCTTGAAGTACATCACATCCATCTTATTATTCAAGTTGAAAATACAATTATATGAAAAAAACTCAATTCATAGTTTAGGCTCCAAAAAAATTATAAGCTAAATTAACTGAAAAACTTAACAGAGGCACAGCTCTTTTTACTCCTATTTGAAAAACAAGATTCAAAATCACTGGTTCTCTGAGCCTCAGTTTTAACTCTTTCAATTTCCAATACGTATCTAGCACTCCAAAATACAAACAAGAACACAATGAAACACACAAACTGCTAATTTTCACAGAAGTCTTTGATAAATGTAAAGATGGGGTTTCAAAAAATACTCATCAGTACAATAGATTATTTGGCAATAAAAGGAGTGAATTAACAATATATATTACAACATGGATGAACCTTGAAAACATTATGCTAAGTGAAATAAGCCAGTCACAAAGGCCACATATTATATGATTCCATTCATGTGAAATGTCCAAAATACACAAATCCATAGATACAGAAATTTCAATTAGTGGCTGTCTGGGACTGGGGGAAGCAATCAGAAGGTAAACGGTAGAGTAACCACAAGTAAGTAAAAGCTTTCTTTTGGGGATGAATTTGTTCCTAAATTAGACTATGGTAATGGTTGCATGATTTTGTAAATACATTAAAATCCATTGAATTGTATAAACTGGTGAACTTTATGATACACAAATGACATCTCAATAAAGCTGTTTTGAAAAATAATCAATTAGATCAGCTCACATCTTTGGCCCTCAGAAGTATACAGCAGTGGTTAAAAGCACGGACTGGAGCCATACTGCTAGCCTCTATCACTTACTAACTGTGCAATCACGGACAAGTAAGTAGCCTCTCTGTGCTACCTCTGAAAAATGCAGACGATACTGCTTACTTCACAGGACGAAGTTAGCTAACATATGTAAAGCACTCAAATCACCATCTGGCTTTTATTAAGTGTTATATGAGTTATTTTTATTAATGAGCCTTTTTCAAGAGAGGAGGGGAGAAATCTTCCCTTACAGTTGAACCAGAAAGGAATGGAAAATTATCCTTAATAATAGAGTTACTTTTTAAATCTAGGATGTACATGAATAATGAAGTAGATACCACAAAAATCTAGGGGAAATACAATATGTAATTTATTGTTTCTCAATTTATAAACATTATCTTGTTTTAGTTTTAATCTACTTTGTAATCCTAGTTTATTCCTTCAAGCAGCCAATTTCATAAAATAACATTAAAAACAAACACATAATTTAAACCAATCTGTTGTAATAATCCCAACATATCCAATTCTTTTAATTTACCAAGTTAAAGAATTGTAATTATCAGAATTTCATTTAGTTTTAATTATTAGAGCACTTTAGAGTGATAAAAGTCAATGTGATAAAAGATGAAAAATTTTATTAATAAACAATTACAGAATTTAATTCACTTTTATTTTTTGTCAAGTATGGAATAGGTAATAAGCTAGTCATATTATTTTATAAAAGAATGGAAATGCAATAAATTTCTCCTATTATGAAGAAAATGAAGGTCTCTGCTTATTACATGGAGAATCCATTACAAAACTTTAAATGAAATTATAGATGATACATCAGAACAATCTTTCAGATATTCAACAGTTTATATACTCAGTACCTCAAATAGAAGACCTCTAGAACTACTATAGGATTCACACCATGGAACAGATTTAAAACAAGTGCCAAGAAATGTCACAGATTTTATAAGCCATCCAACCAGACCAGTTTGAAAGTCTGGAGTTGTAGCTGCCCAGCAGGCATGCTTGATTAAAATGGAGACTAATTTTGGAATATGAAGCAAATTCATAAAAAAAAAAAAACTAAAAGTCCATTGACTAGTAACAAAGAGGAACTATCTCTCCTGGCCAACACGTTTTATCCCCAGAAATAAACAATTGTCACCACATATGTCTTATAACTTAGAGGGTTTTTTTGGTTACATTATGTATCCATTATACTTTTAGAATCTGAGGGAAATGCTATGAATTTCCAGTCCTGTTGGATGACACTTTATATTGTAGTCCTTCCTTGATGATTCTCTGGTTCCTATTATGAAAAACAGTAAAATAATAATAGCTACTTACATTTAGAGAGAACTTCCCATGCATCAAGTACCATTCCAGGTCCTTTGTCAATTTTTTTCTATAATATGGAATATCATTTAAAAAATCACTTTCAAGTGCTTCCCAGAGAATATGCCCCAATGCAAGAATGGCAGCAGAGAAGCAGTCTCCTCCAAGATTCGTGACTGTCATCAAGATTTAAGAGTTGGCATAAAAACTTCTGCTGAAGACCTCTTCTGAGCACCAAGGCCACAATGTCCTACAAGTTTTGCTTCATTAATCCCCTGACCTCAGTCTACCACTTTAGTCTTGTCTGTAGTCCTTAACCCCTTTATCACCTGGAGAGCACAGAGAATCTGAGACTGTTTAAATCTTAGCTACTACTCAAATGGACCAGAGAAATGGCCCGATGTGTGTGTGTGTATATATATATGTAATTTCACACAAATGAAGGCCTATCATTCCGCCATTCCTATTCTCACAATCATCCATTCCTTCCTTGGATTTCAAAGTAATCAGAGTCAAAACCTCAAAGCCCACATTTCAGGATATTCTTGATCTCATGGGCTTAGGACATGGTGAAATGGGCCTTTTTCATGAGTCATCTATCTCACCTTGATCCCTCTGGCTTGTAATACAGTGAAAAAAAAAAAAAAGATTGACATTAAACTTTGGAAAACTACCAAATCCAGGTATAAATCATGAGAAAAATATGTGAAGAATGGAGAAAAAGAGAGTAATAACTACACAAAGCAGCAAGAGAATTACAACAAATGAGTAAAAAAAAAAAAAAAAAAAAAAAAAAAAAAAAATTGCTGAATGTCCTAATAGTCATCGAGGGCACATATTATGAGATTTTACTATATTTTAATACTTGGTATACCTGCTTCAAAGGTTCAAATGAAAAAAGTAGTTCCTTAACCAAATGGAAAATCCTACTCCTATAGTCTGCTGCAGGACACTAAGTGTTCCCCAGGAGTAAAACTGGGAAATACTTGCATATTTTTAACTAAAAAGGCTAACGATAGAAAAGACAGAATTGAAGACTTCACATTTATAAGGAGATTTGTAAATGTACATAGTACTTGACATTATGTTTACCCTCTAACTCAAAAGAGCAATCCTCAAACAAATAGAACAAAGCAAGGAAAATCTTTTCAGAATTTAAGACTTACTTGTATAACATCTCTGCCCAGGTGTGCAATATATAACCACTCCACTGGAGTATACAAATGTTTGAGAATCACTGCACTAGCGGTTCATTTAGCAATTATTAAGCAATTGCTGGAGGCCTTGTTGGACAAAAGGATAACAGAACAGACCCCACCCTCAGGAAACAATAGCTCAATACTGTAAATGGGCATAAATATGCCCAACCGGCTCTACTGTACATGAGACTGTAATATATAAGATCACAGTCTGTGTAAGTTTCAGAACAAACTGCTTTTCTTGTGAAAATATTAAATAAACAAGTCAATGACTAGATAACTGTTTTTTCACTGTTTTTGGCTTCTTACAAGTCTATTTCTATCACTAATGAAGCCACAATGTTTTCTGCTTCATTGTACCTGTCTCTCTTTTTCTTAGCTCAAGAAATTCTGCCAATTTTAACTAGTTTGTTTCTTAGGATAACATAGCATTTCACCCATTAAAAATTTCAAAATTTTGTCTAATACTACATCTTATTTCACCAAATTATGCTTTTTTGAAAAGTAATTTTAATTTATGTATCCCATTTTTCCTTTATTCAGCGTTTATCATTTCTAATTGTATTTCTAAACAAAAAAAATCAAGTATTCTACAATTAGATGTAAAACATCTGGAAATAGTTGTCAGGGACTACCTCAACAAGCCTGGTACCAAAAGTCTAAAAGTATTTTAACCATCTTACAAACATAAAAGCAGCTGTGGCAGAAGGTTAATAGGAACTGACCTGTTCTTGTATAAACGTCTATCTAAAAGGCTACTTTTCTCAGTACCTGGTTTTCACTTACTTAATTGGTTCAGCTCTTTAAAAAGGTGGGTTTCAGGCAATATACTATCAACTTCAATCAGTTACATAAGACACAACTAACCTTTTGTTCTGCTTGCAGTTGGTCACATCTTTCTTTCTCATGGTTAAGTTCTCTTTCCATTCTCCCAACTTGTTCTCGAAGTTGTGCTGTTTCTTTTTCCAGAACGGCAATTAACTTTAACAGTTCTTCTTTTTCTTTCATGGTTTTCTCAATTTTCAACTATAAAGCAAAAAACTCAGATTAATTAGTTTTTTGCTTAATCCTAAAATATGTTATTACAAATTTAGTTTTCCATTTCCAAAAAAAATAATGAAGACATTCACAGAAAGAACTCTTACATTCTACCTACTTTATATCAATCAGCCTTTTTTTAGCCTTCAGTTAGAAAAATTCATCAATCATAAATTTAAACCTTCTTTTGGTTGAGCAAAGAAGAAAATATTACAAAATGAGAGAACTGTATTATGAAGTTGGCTGCTAATCATTTTTGAGATCAGAACTAAAAATAAGGCATATTAATGTTCCCGTTAATTACAGGGCTTTCTTATCCACAGTAATAATCAGATACTCCAAGAGGAAAAGTTGTACCTCTTCTTGAATGCAAACCTATAGGAAATCTTTGAATCTATCACAAACTTACTATATGGTATATAAGGCCTTCATCTATGGAATTACTACTAAAAGTGCTGATTCCTTAAGACACCAAGAAATGTATAGTTTCTATATATAAAATGGCCTCTACTTGGCTAAATTAAAACACTCTTCATAAGTAAAAATACAAATTTTAGGACAAACATGCAGACTGTAACAACATATTAACAATATACCTGATTCTTATGGGAACAGCTAATAGTTCAGGAAAATATAAACTTCAATATTCTAAAAGATTACTAAATAAATGGTCATAAGATAGTAAAACAAAGTTAATATTTCTCTTACAGGAAGAATGAAGACTCACAGGGAAGACTTAACAAAGGTGGTATTATACATTTAATTGGTAAAATGTTTTTCCTCCATACACCCCAAATTGGTTTTCCAGGGTCATGGGATTATGAAATCAAACTGATTAAATTCTAAAATGGCTCTTATCAAAGTTGAATAGCTGCAAACTTTCTGAATGACTCTTCTACCTGTTCCAACAAATCAAATCAAAATGCCAGGAAAAGTTTATTTATTCAATCATTGAATTTTTTTATATCTTATCTATTTTTAAAAAATGATTTGAAATAGTTTGCAATAAATGGCATTCAATAAAGTCAACAGAAAATTAGAACCAGGCAAGTATATCACCCATAAAGGTTAATGTCATTATTAATTTGGCATTAAATCTGGCTCAAAACTCTGGCAACTTAAAAATAAAGATATATCTTGACATAGCACAACATAGACTTTATAAAAGAATCACCTTTTCCAGTGATTTATTTAATTCACATATACTTTCTCAAGAGTTCACTAAAGCTTAAGTAGACATTTTTAGAAGAATTCAAATTAGATAAGAATGTATATGTCTCATTTCTTGCCTCAATTTTGTATTTTGGAATATGTTAAGCATACAAAATAGTTAAAATTTTACAATGATCATCCAAACATCCATCACCTAAATTCACTGATTATTAATATCTTGCATGTTTATCTCTTTATATACCTAAGTTTATGTATCCTTTTTTCTTCTAAGCCATTTAATGTGAAATTGCAGACACTTCACTCCTAAATACTTCAGAGCAAGCATCACCTAATAAGGACAGTTGGCTTTAAACCACCACTATTATTATAGCTAAGAATATTAAGAATAATTTTATATCCTCCAATAGGCCATAGTCAAATATCCCTCACTATCCCCCCAGTTTTTTTTTAAATCTAGGACACAATCAAGGTCCACAGATTGCAAAATTATGTCTCACTAATCACTTTTAATGTCAACAGGACCCCAGATAATGTCTCACATTTGTAATAATTTTGTGCAGTTTTAGATAAAGATTTTAATGAATGTGAGAATTTTAAAGACTCACCAAAATATTTGTTAAAAAAACATTTAATCTCAGAAATATTTACTTAAGAAACAGCAATTTTCACATTCTTTATAAAGTACCCTTTGTGGAGTAGGAAGGAGTGAAACAGAATGAGATATGTCTCAATCTACTTGAAGAAAAAGTACAAGATAAATGTGAATGCCAAAATGCCCATCACTTTTCTGTTGGAGGCCCTGAAATGAGGGTGGTCTAATAAGTATTCAAAAAGCTACAATATAAATACTGACTGCATTCTTAAGATCTGGGTTTGTTTCAGCATCTTTGACTGGCATTCAAATACAAAGCTAAAAACCTTGATCATCAGGCAGTTGCACCACAAAATGTTTTAGTCACCCTATAAAAGTTACATTTCTTTAAGATAAGAGAGGAATTTCTGTAAAGGGGAAGGAAAGATATGAAAGAATTCACAATAAAAAATCATTAGTTCCTCCTAACCTAGTTTGACTGTCTAATAAAAGTATTCTATCTGTAACCTCTTGTCTTTTTACTCCAGTCTCAGTTCTTTGAGGTAAATAAAAGTAAAATCAAAGGTATTAAATATTTACATGTTAAAAAAATCTATCCAACTATAAAGAAAAAGCAATAGCTGCAATAGAAGAAATATGAATATAAATTAGCCAAAAATGTATACTGAACCAATTTGAGAAACTATTTTTCTTATTATTATAATAGAGGGCACTATATACAATTAATCACAATAACTCAAATATAACACTGTAGTTTTTTAGGTATAGGATAAAGATATTGAAAAATGTGATCTTAAAATGAGAAAAGAATGTCACTCTATTTTTTCTGTCAATGACTACTAAAAATTAATACACAAGGCATTATTAGACCATCTACATAGTAAATTTATATTAAAGCCATGATCATGACTCCACAATATTCTATTTACAAAAACAGTAAGGAGTAAATAGCTTTTTAAATTTTCTTTTTAAATTATGGTTAATCTAGGCTTATTCATTTCATCAGAAGTACAACAGGAATCATTCTAAAAATGTCCAATCTAAATTAAGAGACTGGGAAGCTCCCCTGACTCACTGCCACACTTTAGAAAGAGAATGCTCATGGTAGTGAAACAAAGTTCACATCCAATTACAGTTAGATTTATTGATTTACACCATTATCCCAAGCAGCTTCATCCCCAAATCGGTAACATTCTACAATGAACTGATTACGCCACCACAAAAAGTTAGGCAAAGGAACATAAGGAAAGCTTTAGACCTAAACTCTCCCAATTGGTACTTACTGCACTATCCACTATGCGCAAAATAAGGATAGGCCCTAGGGAAAGTCTCTGCCACAGTGGAACCAACAGCATAATTGTGGCCAAAAGATTTTTTTAAGCATTTCAAAAAAAGACACTCTAAATTTATTATTTTAGTTAAAAAGCATTCGATTTTTTTTTTTTTTTTTTTTTTTTTTTTTTTTTTTTTTTTTTTTTTGATACGGAGTCTCGCTCTGTCGCCCAGGCTGGAGTGCAGTGGCACGATCTTGGCTCACTGCAAGCTCTGCCTCCCGGGTTCATGCCATTCTCCTGCTTCAGCCTCCCGAGTAGCTGGGACTACAGGTGCCTGCCACCACGCCCGTCTAATTTTTTGTATTCTTAGTAGAGACAGAGTTACACCGTGTTAGCCAGGATGGTCTCGATATCCTGACATCGTGATCTGCCTGCCTCGGCCTCCCAGAGTGCCGGGATTACAGGCGTGAGCCACTGCGCCCAGCCAAAGCATTCGATTTTTGTGGCAACTCTCACATAACCTTAAAATTCTTAAAATGCCAACCAACATGAGCTCTGTTCTTAAAATTATCAATGAATCACTATCTCACTGTGAACACCAACCTCAAGAAGGCCTGCTTTTGTGGTCACCACTAACATGTCAGAATTTCCTTCATCTTCCATAGTAAGCAGCTCTTCAACTGGAGAAGAAGCTCGAAACTGGAAAGGTGTACTTGCTCCACGAATTTCACCCTTATGGGTAACGTAACAGAACTGATAAAATTCTCCATCATCATTTGGAAGGTAATATCCTAAGAGGAAGTTAACAAACAAAATTATTAAACTTCCTATTATAAAATTCATGTTATTTCAATTTAACAATACTTGCCATGTCTCATTCCCCACACTGTTCTTGACAAGAATCTGGGATATGTCCTTCCTCCTTTCGCAAATTATCAAAACTAGATTCTTCCTTCCTACTCAAAGTTAAATTTTTTCTTCTCTTAGGTTTAAGCTTATATTCCCAGAATATCCTTTCCCCTTGTATCTTCACTAGGGCAAAACCCACTCATTTAGGACAGGCAAGTATATACTTTACAATGGGAAAGAGGCTGGAGGAGGAGCAAGGGAAGAACCAATATAAAAGTCTACTGAGGACTGGGAGTGGGGGTGGGAATATGTCATTTAGAGAAATCTTCCCTCCAATTTGACATTCATTACATGTAAATAAGAGATATTAACTAAAGTAATATGCTGCACATGTGAACTATATGAAGGCAGAAAAGATGAGGTCTGCTAGTGCAGTATGGTAAAAATAAGCTTTAGGACCCAGTGCGGTGGCTCATGCCTGTAATCCCAGCACTTTGGAAGGCCAAGGTGGGCAGATTCGCTTGAGCCCACCTGGAGTTAGAGACCAGCCTGGCCAACATGGTGAAACCCTGTCACTACAAAAAATACAAAAATTTGCCAGGTGTGATGGCATGTACCTGCAGTCCCAGCTACTAGGGAGGCTGAAGCGGGAGGATCGCTTGAGCCCAGGAGGTCAAGACTGCAATGAACCATGATGGTGCCACTGCACTCCAGCCTGAGCGACAGAGTGAGACTCCGCCTCAAAAAAAAAAAAAAAAAAAAAAAACAGAGAGGAGAGGCAGACAATCTATAAGATAAGAGAAATTCTTGTGGCGCTTTAAAGCAAAGTAGCAGTCCACAAAAAGGAATTAAGAGAGGGGTGGAGCATGTCAAAAAAAAATACAGGAGCCCACTTGAAAAGCTCCAAATGGCTAAAGCTGAAACAATTTAAGTAACAAAAAAAATATGGTATTAGACTTTATTTCACAGAAGAAATTAATGATTCCATGGAGAAGAAGAAAATTCTTTCTAACGTAATGATCAACTAATAAATATACAAGTAATGAACTTCATTAGGCAAACACCACAATAATCGTAGGCAAGATGCACAGAGGGATACTAAAATTAGTGGCTGAAAATATGAGGAGAAACAAGATATTTCCACAGTCTCAAAGTAGCTCCCTCATAATATTCATTAATTACAAGGGAAAAAAATAATAACTTTATTTACAGTGGAGAAATCCAGAAGACACAATCTTAAACAAGCAATCAAGATTATTATAACCAGTAATAAGATGTATGGACATCACATACTCCCTGATAAAATGTACTGAGAAAGGTACAATACTGTTTCTATGGCATTCTTCCCAAAAATGCATAACTTCAATCTAATCATGAGAAAACATCGAGCAAAACCAAGATGAGAGACAAGCTACCAAAACAAACAACACCACAAAATGCTAACAGTACTTCACAAGAAAGTAAAGGTTATGAAAGATAAGGAGGAAACCAAGGAGACTAAGACAACATGACAATTAAATACAAAGAGGAATTAAAGACTGGATCTAAGAACAGAAAAAGAACAGTAATGGAAACACTGGTGAAATCTGAGTAAGGTTTGTACTTTAGTCAATAGTACTGTACCACTGTTAAACTATTGGTTTCTTAAATAAATGTACCATGGTCATGTAAGATGCTCACATGACACGAAGATGGGCAAAGGGCATACAGAAATTCTGTGTACTACTTTTGCAAGTTTTCTTTACATCTAAAATTACTTCAAAATACAAAGTTTAAATAAATATCATAGACATGTATCTGGCAACATACATTTTTAAAGATTTTAAAAATCCACCCTCCTAATAGCTACTAAAAACTTACTAATTCATACCAACTTCCAAATAGCCACTAGGCTTATTTAAAAGCTTAACTAGAAAACAAATATATAGCATAATTAATCAGCTCTGGCATCAAGACATTAGAAACTGTACAAACTAGGTATTCAAGGTCTGATTCTTTTTTTTTTTTTGAGACAGAGTCTCGCTCTGTCACCCAGGCTGGAGTGCAGTGGCCTGATCTCAGCTTACTGCAACCTCCACCTCCCTGCTTCAAGCAATTCCCCTGCGTCAGCCTCCCGAGTAGCTGGAATTACAGGCACACGCCATCACGCCCAGCGAATTCTTTTGTATTTTAGTGGAGACGGGGTTTCACCATGTTGGCAAGACTGGTCTTGAATTCCTATCCTCAGGTAATCCACCCGCCCCGGCCTCCCAAAGTGCTGGGATTACAGGTGTGAGCCACCGTGCCCGGCCTCAAGGTCTGATTCTTTAAAAAACAAAAACTTCACTAAAATAAACTGCTAAAAAATATGGTTCAAAACCATTTGAGATAGACATAATTATTCAGAGCTGCAATTTAAAGCTGCCTGGAAAAACTTGTCAGATGGATACTGAAAATAAAATGGGAAAAAGTGAAAACTAAATTTTCGAGTCAAATTTTACAGACTGTGCCTTTAGTATTCAACAAGATTATAATAAATAAATAAGGGTTCATTTAGGAAAACAATCACGTTTAGGTATTGTTAGATGTTTTGGGTTTTGCATTTCAGGATTCTCATTACTCATCCACAAAATGAGCAAAGTGATTTGCATTATGCTTGAAAGCCCTTCTATAACTCTAATATTCAATGACTAAGCTTTCCCTGACTTCCTTATATAACAAAAAAGTTCTAGGCACGGAGATGCTTTTATTTCTGAATTTCAAAATTCAAAATAAAAATGAACTGTTGAATTTTCAGAAACTTGTAAAACATATTGCATTTAGGCTTAGTGCCCATGAATTTTTGAGACAGGTTCTCACTCTGTCGCCAAGTCTGGAGTGAAGTGGTACAATCTCGGCTCACCGCAACCCCAGCCTCCTGGGCTCAAGTGATCCTCCCCACCTCAGCCTCTCAAGTAGCTGGGACTTTAGGTGTACACCACCATGCCTGGCTAATTTTGGGGGTATTTTTTGTAGAGATGAAGTTTTGCCAAATTGCCCAGGCTGGTCTCAAATTCCTGGGCTCATGCAATCCATCCTCCTTGGCCTCACAAAATGTTAACATTAGAAGTGTGAGCCACCATGTCTGGCCCAAAAATGTTTTTAAAGTATTAACAGAAATAAACTGGATGCTTTTCTCTACTTTTTAACCACTTTTAAACTTACTCCTAAGTCCCTAATAAACAAAAGCAATAGTCACTATAACAAATTGAATAAATTTTTTTCAACAGATGGAGTCTCACTATGTTGCCCACACTGGTCTCTTAACTCCTGGTCACAAGCCATCCACCTGCCTCAACCTCCCAAACAGCTGAGATTACAGGTGTGAGTCACCACTTAAAAAATAAGTTAACCTGGCAGTTAACTTATTTTTTAAGGGGAAACCAATCACAATAAAAATGACTAAAAATAAACCAACAGCTTTCAGGAAAGAAGTTTTAAATGTAACAAAACCGGTTCCAATACACACCTAAATTTTATTATCTAAAAAAGGCTATTAAAAGATAAACTACATATATAACTTACAACATTTCCTTATCCAAAAAACATCTATGAATACCTAAATCATTGCCCATATTTCACCACAAGTTTTATCCTCTGCATACTGGTTTCCTGGCACAGAACAGAAGGAAATTTCTTTATATATGCAAGTTCCATGAACTCACATTGCCAATTAATGTTTAGACCAAACATATGCAAAATTCAGAATAAAGTGAAAAAAAGTTTTTAAACAAACAGACCACCAAAATCCAAAGCAATGACACCATCAAATGCTGCTGAAAATGTGGAGCAACAGGAACTCTCATCATTCATTGCAGGTAGGAATATAAAATGGTACAAGCCACTTTGGAAGACAGTTTCGCAGTTTCCTACAAAACTGAACATGCTCTTATACAATTAATTAATTACATTCCCTGGTATTTACTCACATGAAATGAAAACTTACATCCACACAAAAACTTGCACAAGAGTGTTTATTGCAGCATTATTTGTAAGTGCCAAAACGTGGAAGCAACCAAGATCTCCTTCAATAGATTCATAAACTATGATACATCCATTCAATAGAATATTAATCAGTAATAAAAGAAATGAGCTATTCAAACCACTAAAAGACATGAGGGAATTTTAACCACATGTTGCTAAGTAAAAGAAGCCAATCTGAAAAGACTACATATCGTTATGATTCCAACTCTATGACATTTTACGGCAAAACTGTGGGGACAGTAAAACATCACTGGTTGCCAGGGTTTTACCAGGAGGGAAGGAGAGATGAGTTGGTGGGACACAGGAGACTTTTAGGGGAGTGAAGTTATTGTTCTTTATGATACTGCAACAGTAGGTATATGTCTTCATACATTCATCAAAATCAACAGAATTTACATCACACAGTGAACCCTGATGTAAACTATGAACTCAGACAATAATAGTGTATTAATATTGGTCCATCAATTATAACAAATGGAGCACACAAGATGTTAAAATAAAGGAAAGCAGGGAAGGGTGGTGTAAGGGATTGCAAGAGAACTCTACTTTTCATTCAATTTTTTCTGTAAACCTAAAACTGCTCCAAAAAAGTATGTTAATTTTTTAAAATTAAACTATCTGAAGCTGATTAATCTGAGCCTAGTTATTTTAGAAGGCTGCTCTGCACATGTCACCAAAATCCAAGTCAGATATTGCCTGATAAAAAAACAGGACATTTTAACTTAGATAAGACCATATCAATTAGATAATGTTAACAATTATTTGCTGAAAACTGTCTGCCATGCCACTGGTTCCCAAACTTCTACATAACAGAATCACCTGTTGATCTTTTCAAAATTCTAAAACCCAGGCCATACCACAGACCAATTAAATCACAACATCTGGAGGTGGGACATAAATTTCTGTGTGTCTTAAAGCACGCAGGATTCCAAATTAAAGTTAAGTTTGGAAATCACTATACCAAAGCTATGTGCATAGGCTCCAAGTTATGCTGCCCTTAAAACAGGCTGATGCTCTCTCTTAGCGACTATAACAAAAACTGACTGAAACTCAAGGGAGGGATCACTGTAAAAATTTTTCAGCCAGGTGCGGCGGCTCATGCCTGTAATTCCAACACTTTGGGAAGCCGAGGCGGGCGGATCACAAGGTCAGGAGATCGAGACCACCCTGGCTAACACGGTGAAACCCCATCTCTACTAAAAATACAAAAAAAATTAGCCAGGCATGGTGGCGGGCGCCTCCGGTCCCAGCTACTTGGGAGGCTGAGGCAGGAGAATGGCGAAAACTAAGGAGGCGGAGCTTGCAATGAGCCGAGATCGCGCCACTGCACTCCAGCCTGGGAGACAGAGCAAGAAGCCGTCTCAAAAAAAAAAAAAAATTCTAAAATAAATAATACTAGAAATGTTTATCCCAAATTCAAACTGTTTTTTGGTTCCTTTCTGAAGTAAGTATTTGCATGCTAACAAAGTATTTTCATTAAATAAATATTTTAGTATAGTTTGGTTTTTTAAAGGTTTTTCTTTTAGTTTGTTAAAACAAATTTAATTTTTAACATTCTGAATATGGTAAACCAGATCAGATAAGGGAGAAATGATTTGGGGTTTCATTTTAAAGATTTAGGGCCAGGCATGGTGGCTCACACTTGTAATCCCAGCACTTTGGGAGGCCGAGGCGGGTGGATCACCTGAGGTCAGGAATTTGAGACCAGCCTGGCCAACATGGCAAAACCCCGTCTCCATTAAAAATACAAAAATCAGCCAAGCGTGGTGGTGAGCACCTGTAGTTCCAGCTACTCAGGAGGCTGAGGCACAAGAATCGCTTGAACCCAGCAGGCAGAGATTGCAGTGAACTGAGATCACACCATTGCACTCCAGCCTGGGTAACACAGTGTGACTCCGGCTCAAAAAAAAAAAAAAAAGATTTACAAAATTTTAAAATTGCATTAAAATATGTGAAAATGTGTGAGACAATAAACTTTATTTTAAATCATTCATCTCATAATCCTGAGCACATTTTTTTAAAGTAGTGATTCATACAATGTAAACTTCTTTCTGCTAACATAAGAACATTCTTAACAGAGCCCATTGCTTAAAGATATGAGAAACCCAGAGGAAAAAGTCTTAATTATTAATAGCCAGCCCCAGGGGAAAGCAATAAAGTCCTAGAATTTTTTTTTTTTAAACATAAAGGCAAATAAAGTTCTCAATAGCAAAGAGGCAGTTTTAGGGAATGTTCAACTTGGGGTTAAAGGATACAGAAAATTCAGGTCATCCATCAACTTTAATGGAGAAAAACATTATATTTTTATTTTTACTAACATCTAACTAAAATTTTAGCATGTACTTTGATTACTATCAGTATTTGTGATTTTTGTCACTAACAGGAATTACTTATATGTTAATACCACATTACAATTGTTACAGGTATCTCAATGTTATCTTACTTGGAAATCATGGCAGTGATTAAATCTGCCAATAAAATACATCTTGTTAACACACAGATTTTGAAGCACATGTATTAATATATCAAAAATTTGTTACTGTGATATTTTAATTATTTCAATATAATTGGTTTTCTTTGCAATTTTATGTCTTATTTTATATACATTAAAATATTATTCTGAGACAGAGTCCATAAACTTCACCAGACCAAAAGAAATCTATGACATATACAAGGGTAAGAATTCACTTTAATACAATCCTAAAGTCAGTACAATTATAATACAAAATTACTCTGCAGCAAATTCTGTGATAGATCTCTGAATAAGTGTTATTTTTTTTTCAAGTTTTTAAGTTGTGCTAAAAAACACATAAAATTTACTATCTCAAGCATTTTAAAGTGTATAGTTCAATGTTAAGCACATTCATATTGTTGTGCAACCACCACCACCATTATCTCCAAAATTGTTCTCATCTTTTAAAACTGAAACTCTCTACCCTCATTAAACAATAACTCCCCATTCCTCCCTTGAGGGAACCTGAATGCCCTGCAGACCACCATTCTACTTTCTGTGTCTATCCCTACTCTAAGTACCTCATATAGCGGAATTATGCAGTATTTTTCTTTTTGTGATTGGCTTATTTAACTTATCATAACATCCTCAGTGTTCACCCATATTGTAGCATATGTCAGAATTACCTGAATAAGAGTATTTTTTAAATTTTGTAAATAATGCCAAGCTAACACAAAAATGAATTTTATATTACTTTATCATTTTATAATAAAGGAACTTACACATGACAGAATTCAAATAACTATAAGTTCTGTTAATCATGTTTGTGGTTTGCATCTGGACTATTTTCCTCACCTCTTTTTTGTTACATTATTCTAATATCTGTTATTACTATTGTATTGTTTTCTCACTTGAAAAAAAAAAATCTCCAAAAATTAGTACCTAAAAAGAAACCCACTCTTCAGTGAAAGTTAAGACAACAACCAATAACTTTTAAATGTCTACATAAAATATCATGTGGCCTACACCAGACAGTTACATTCTTAGGGCTTTTGCTAAGTAAAGACACTAACTAATTCAACTTTGGTACCCTGGAGATACCTGAACAAATCATTACAATGGAGTACAACATCTTTAATGGCAATAAGACATCTAGTTTCATTGAGTTCTGCAGTTTTCAGTCCTTACCTTGGAATGCTAGTACACAATTGACTGTTGATCCTTCCACATAATGTTCAGGCATAGGGGACCATAAAAACGTGTAATAATCACGAGCAGTACTCCATCCAACCTAAAGGGAAATAACAAAAAAGGCGGATTTATAAGCAAATAGTTTAATATTAGGCTCATACAGCATACTGTTTATTTATTGTATTTTACAGTTAAAATATACATTTAATATGTTTACAAATCATGAGTATTTTAACAAGCATGTCAAATTATTTCTAAATTAAACTACAGCCTAATGCTATAAAAATCTACATAAATTGAATAGTAGAGTTTCTACTATATTAAAATGCAATTTGCTATCCAATTTCTCAAGGATAATCTAACTATCCATATGATCAAATATAAAAATGTGTTTTGATTAAAATTTAATTTCACTAAACACAGTGAGTTTTTAAATACTTGTTATTTATTTTTTATTGACCACAGAGTATTATTTTCAAAGGTGGCACATACTGAATGTCTAGCAGATCCAACAACTGAGGGAGTTATAGACTAAAGAAAATTAATATTTAAAATATTAGACATGCATTACAAATTCACCTCTGAAGAATTTTCACATATATCAAAATTCAAAAAACTTAATTTATACCTC
This sequence comes from Homo sapiens, assembly GCF_000001405.40. NCBI lineage: Eukaryota > Metazoa > Chordata > Mammalia > Primates > Hominidae > Homo > Homo sapiens. The sequence continues at coordinate 27,757,499 of NC_000007.14, read as the reverse complement.
CAATGTAAGTGTTTTATTTGTTTTACTTAGACATCTGCCTCCCCCTAAATCCACTAAATTCACTAATCTCTCATCTTTGGCAAGTCTTGCCTGCAGCCAATTGGCAAATTTTGTAAAAAGACCTTTAGCACCAAGATGTTTATATATGCACAAACAGACCACCCATGTCTCACCTAATGCTAACACATTTTCTACTTACAACATGAATATATACATACCTCAATCTGTATTTTCCAGATGGACTAAATACCATGTTAAATATTGAAAATTGGAGATGTTTAAAACAGGTACTAGATATCCATTTGCTAGGAATATTACAAAAATTTATGCATCAGCCACAAGGTTAGATTATCCATGTTCTATGATTCTGATTGGCCTGATTGTAGACAACAGAATACTGAAGCTGGACGAACCTTAGTCACCTTTAGCCTCCAAAGGAATGGTTGAAACTACAGGTTACAAACCCAGTAAGAAGTGATAAAACCAATTTAGTGGTTCATGACTGGCATTTATTTTGTAATTATATAGAAGAGAAAGTACTGGAGTATATTAAGGGTAAGTGTTTCATGAAATTTAGTTTCTGGTGTATCTGCATGCTGGGACAAATCTTACAATTTACTTTGTTCTGTGTCAAGGTAAAAAACATTTGACACTATTCATCTCTTTACGGATATGAAACCTGAGGAATCAGTGAACAAGTCATTTACCTCACCTGTTTGAGCCCATTTTTTTCCTTTCACAGTTGTTGGAAGAATTAAATTAGGTAATGAACCTAAAAGCAGCATCTGAAGTGCCTAATCCATGGCAAACACTCCATGAATGGTAGTTATTATAGGTGTAGTATTTTGTAATAACTAAGAGCATAGGGTGTGAGGTCAGAATACCAGAAAAGATAATTTGCTAGCTGTATGGTTTTGGAAAAGTTATTCATTTCTATTTTCTCCTCTGATAACAAAAACAGTCTCAAAAGGTTGTGTCTGTATTAAGTGAGTTCATCCCTGTATTTAGCACAGTGCCTATCACATAAGTGCTTGTTAGCAGCCTGAGAACTGAGCCTACCAAGAAGTTGGGGGCAAGATACAATCCTGAGTAAAAAGTCAGAAATATAGAACTACACTTCAAATTGCTTTTGAGTAAGGAAAACTAAAACTAAACAATAGTTCTTAAGTTACTTAGAGAGGGGCATGTTGGGCATACATAAAAAATAAATGTAGAAGTCTCTCAACCTGGAAAGATACAGAGAATGGGCTCCTTTGGGATGTAACTGTCTTATATCTAAGCTCCCACATGAAAGTATGCTAGAGTGGATAATACTGGAAGGAACACAAAAGATGAACATCAGGAAATTATGCAGGAGTCCACTGCAATAATAATAAATCTAATTAGAAGGGTCAATAAACCATAATGTGTCCAAACCAAAGGTTGATTCTCTGTTTTATTTTCCTGGTCACCGGGCTAGAACTTGCTGCTCAATGCTACAGGACACACTGAAATGCAAGAAATCTTGTCTTTTAGTCCACCATTACCAAGTGTAAAGAAAATTATTACACTTAAAGTTAATAACAGCAATTTTCAAACATTGAAAAATGGCAGGGAGAACATGGCAACACTTTGGACAATGGGACAAAATACCAGTTATATAAAACTGCCAAAATACATTGCTTCTAGGAGATATACCTGAATCTAGTTAACCAGTTAATTGTAGTCACAGATACCACTGGAGGCTGTATGTATGTTAAGAGAGAAACTAAAGCAATGAATATGTCACATACTTTAGTTTGAAGAATTACAACAGCAGTGGGCATCATTCTTGTTACTACTGCAACAGCAAAATAAATGAGAAAATGGAAATTAAACAAGGGTGACAGAGAAGGGAGAAAGCCACAAAGTGTTCCTTTTAAATAGGATTAACATTTCAGAAAAACATGTTGGATAAGTTTTGATCATAAAGGAAATTCTGAGAAAGAACATACAGAAGACCAGAATAACATCAAAGTTACCTAGAAAAACATCAAGATAATAAATCCTGGAGAAACATTGAGAAAAAGACAGAAACATTAGGTTGAGGAAAGCATATGAGACACCACTTGGAAAGAAAGAAAGAAATAGAGAAGAGGGGACTGATGTTTGGAGATGAATAAAGGGAGACAAGCCTTGGAGTAGGAAAGGCACTGAAAATAAATGAGCTGATTACATATGGATATAGGAGGATTCCCAAGAAATATAATTAAGTGAGGAAAAACGCCCACAAAAAAGTATCAAATGAGCCTATGAATTTTTCTAATCCAGAAACATACAACAACAGACATCACTGGGGAAGGTAGGAGTACAATGGGTAGAAGCATTCATTTTCCTTCTTCTGTATACAATGTAGCTTCTAAAAATCATGTTACTAGAAAAGTTCCTTTAGGAAAAAAATGACTGCAAAAATGCCTAGATATACACAGGGAGTATGCAACATTGATTCAAAAGAGAAATATCATAAACAGCATAAATTCCTCAATGAGATAAAATGGTACAGAACTAATTGTAAGTGATTAAGTGAAAAAATCACGGCATTAAAAAAGGCATGAGATATGCCAGCAACATTCAAAATATATGCATTAGAAAAAAGACAAGCCAGGTGGGGTGGTTTACGCCTGTAATCCCAGCACTTTGGGAGACTGAGGTGGGGGGATCACGAGGTCAGGAGATGGAGACCATCCTGGCTAACACGGTGAAACCCCGTCTCTACTAAAAATAAAAAAAAATTTAAAAAAATTAGCCGGGCGTGGTGGCGGGTGCCTGTAGTCCCAGCTACTCAGGAGGCTGAGGCAGGAGAATGGCGTGAACCCAGGAGGCAGAGGTTGCAGCGAGCCAAGATCGCACCACTGCACTCCAGCCTCGGCGATAGAGCGAGACTGTCTCAAAAAACAAAAACGAAAACAAAAAACAAAAAAGACTGAAAGTCTCCTTCCATTAATAAAACAAGGCTGGAAGGAAATACTTAAAACATTAACAGTGCTAACCATTGATATTAATTAGGTAGGGATATACTTGGGTAGTGGGACTGTAGGACATTTTAATTTTATAATTATAAATAAGTATAATTATAAATATTTATATATTATATATATTATAATTGTAATTTTTTTTTACAACCAGAGGACTTTTTTTAAAAACAGAAAATGAGTGGAATGAGACAGGACTGAAGGGGAGACCAAGGCAGGAAAAGAGAAGAAGGAGGAAAAAAATTTGAAAAGGAAAAACAAGGAACAAAGAAACAAAAGCTTGAAACAGGATATTCAAGCATAAAATCACTGTTTGGATCCACCTTCTAATCAGGCAACTTAGTTTTTGATGTGCTTGACAGCAGGATGCAGTGAAAACAGTACCTTACAGGGAGGTTTTGTTTGTCTAGTATAGGACATGTTATGCATTAGCAATGTGACTTTGAACATGTCACATGACCACTTTGCACTTCCAGTTTCCTCAACTAGAAAAGTATCTCGGAGATGTGAGAATTCCAATTAGAACAGTATCTCAGAGATGTGAGAATTCTAAGACTCTAAAGTTTAAAAAACAAAAACTCATGGACCTTTAACATTACTACAGTAGTCATCCTTTATCTAAGGTTTCACTTTGTGTGGTTTTAGTTACCTAAGGTCAACCAAGACCCCAAAATAAGTGAGTATAGTACAATAAGATATTTTAATATTTTGAGAGTGAGAGAAACCACATTCACATAACTTTTACTCCGGCTGTTTGGTTAAGTGAAAGATCTGATTATTCAAAATTAGCAACAGAGTTGCTAATGATGCAGGCTGGGTATCAGGTAATATAACAATTTCATGTTACAATTGTTCTATTTTTAGTTATTGTTGTTAACTCTTACTGTGCCTAATTTATAAATTAAACTTTATCATAGGTATGACTGTATCAGAAAAGTACAGTGTAAATAGAGTTCAGTACTACCTGTAATTTCAGGCATCCACTGGGGATCTTTAACTGTAAGGTAATTTAATTTGTACTAAGCATAAATCTAAACATACACCAATTCCTCATGCTTATGTACTTATACAACTAAGACCAAATCAAATTCATAAACACAAAACGGAACAAAACTCAAATATAATGTAACATATAGTATTTTACTGCAATTAACGTTGGTTTAATAATAAAGATATGGCATCAGGTGCAGTTCTTTTTATTTTTTTATTTGAGACGGAGTCTCGCTCTGTCGCCCAGGCTGGAGTGCAGTGGTACAATCTCTGCTCACTGCAACCTCCACCTCCTGGGTTCAAGCGATACTCATGTCTCAGCCTCCTGAGTAGCTGGGACTACCAGCATGCACCACCACACCCGGCTAATTTTTATATTTTTAGTAGAGACAGGGTTTCGCCATTTTGGCCAGACTGGTCTCAAACTCCTGACCTGAAGTGATCTGCCCACTTCAGCCTCCCAAAGTGCTGGGATTACAGGCGTGAGCCACTGTGCCCAGCCTGCATCAGGTGCAGTTCTAAATCTTTCCCTGTAATTTTACTTCAATTCTGTCACTAAAGAAAATCCATGCTGAACTTATTAGCAACTCTGTTGTTAATTTTGAATAATCAGATCTCTCACTTAACCAAACAACCAGAGAATAATTATTGAATGCCAATTTACATAAGGTTCAAATCTCAGCTCCAACGTATAATGGATAACTTTGAACAAGTCACTTTATTCTCTGAACCTCAGTTCCCTCATCTGTAAAACAGGGAGTATAATGCTCAGATGAGAGGTGAATGTATAAAATTCCCAACATGTTAAATGTTTATTTTCATTATAATTAAAACTAATCAATCAATACTTCAGAGGGAGTGAAAAAACTAAAAGGAACAAAAACCTCCAACCCAGTCTATATCCCTTGTTTGGCTTCACTCATTTCCCTACCCAACCTGGACTTCACTATCAGTCAATCATTTCAATAATGTACTCAAAACCACCATAGTATCCTTTGTCCTCTTAACTTCCCTTCCCATTCCCACCCTTTTCCAACACCCAATTTGAATGACAGCCACTTCTGGCACTCTTGACACAACTCCAGATGCTGAATCTCTCTGGAAAAAGTCATAAAATTGCTGCTTAGTAATCTTCTGGTTAAGCCACTCCGATTCCCTATGACATTATTCCACAGTAGCAAGACCAATTATCTATACTCAAGCCCTCCCCAACTTTTAACATATGACCTTGCTCCTCCTTACTGAGATGCCATAGAATGAGTGCCAGTTCTAATTCAATTGACTGTTGACATATCCTATGAATTCTACTTATGGATTATTACACACAACTTACTTCCTTCTCCACTTTAGGCTTTCATTATCTCACATAGAAAATTAGGATAGTCTAAACGTTCTCTTTACCTCCATTCCTTTCGAATTCCAATTTATCTTACTCAGCACTATAAGATTAAGCTTCACTTCTAAACTTTATTACTCCTTACTTAAAAACTATCCCTCAAATATTAAAACAATCTACAACATGATCCAAACTAACTTTTCCCATTCATCTTCTAAAACTGGTATCTGTAGCTGGGCATGGTGGTTCACGCCTGCAATCCCAGCACTTATTTAGGCTGAGGCGGGTGGATCGCTTGAGCCCAGGAGTTCGAGACCAGCCCGGGCAACATGGCAAAACCCAGTCTCTAAAAAAATAATAATAATAAATTTTTAATTGATAGCTGTCCCAGGCAAATCAAATTCCTTAACACTTTCTCAAGCATACTACTTTCCCATCTTCATTCCTCCTCCCTTACAATTGCTACCCAGGCACTCTCTTCCTGCCTGCTTGTCAATATGGTGTCTATCAAAATCACTCTAGAGGGCAATTTGCAGTACACATAAAGTGCTTAAAAACAAACAATGCCATAAACATGGTGATTCTACTTCCAAGAACTTACCTTATGAAATAAGTAGACAAAATAAAGATAGGTAGAGATCTTTATTAAGTATTAATGATAAGCATTTAGCAACAATGTAAATTCCAATAGTAAGAAACTGGTTCAACGAATATATACACACACTATGATGCATCAGTAGTATGTGTGTATATATTTATTATACACACATTATGCATGTGTATAATTATTTGTAATTTTATTACATGTAGCTATATACCAATATGTTAACAATAGTTAACAGTAGGTAAAAGTGTTAAGCATGATTATTTTCTTCCTTGAGCCTTCCTGTATTACCTGAAATCTTTACTACATGCCTGAACTTCCTATTGAGTTTTAAAGTTTTATGCTGGCAAAAAGGATGGAAAGGGTATTAAACAGAAGATTTTTTTTTCTTTTTTGCTGAGAGAAAACTTACAATCCTTAAAGTGCACAATGAAAGAAGTATAGTTTAGCATTACCAAAGCAAAAAGGCAGCAGCAGGAATGACCAAAACTGAAGCTGGAAATAAAATCTTATACAGGAGCCCTGTATGGCTCTAGGTTATTTGGTCTTGGCATTATTCTACAGATGATGAAGAACCAATGAAGAGTTTCAAACAACAGAAAGACATGTTCAGGTTTCCATTTTACAGCTTATATAGAGCAGTTAAAAAACAAAGGTTAGAGGACAAGAATGAAAGTGGGTAAAACAGCTGACCTATTGCAATAGTCTTGGTAAAAAATATGGAAGGCATGAACTAGTGATATTAAGGATTTAGAAATATGTAAGCAGTAAAATGGTTAGAACTGATTGTTTGGATTTGAAGGGAAAGTCACAGTCTTTTGGCTTTAAAAAAATGAAAAAATATAAGAAATAAACAAGTAGTCTGCAGGAAAAAGGTAATAATTCATCTTCCTGAAACATACTTTTTCAAACAACCTATACATATACAAAGACTTCCCACTGTCCTTCAGAAAAAAGTCCATAAACTCTCTAACACTGAAGGTCGTCCATAGACAGAATGAAACTTATCTCCAATCTCATCTCCCACAACTTCCCTAACTGAAGCTTATGCTCTAGTTAAACTGACTTACTCATTCTCATGAACATTCCTACCTCTAAGCCTCTGCTTATACAGATTCAGTATCCCTTATCCGAAATGCTTGAGACCAGAAGTGCTTTGGATTTCTAAATCTGTCAGATTTTGGAGTATTTGCATTATACCTACTGGTTGGGCATCCCAAATCCAAAACATAAAATGTTCCAATAAGCATTTCCTTTGCACATCATGTCAGCATTCAAAAAGTTTTGGATTTTAAAGCATTTCAGATTTTAGATTTTCAGATTTAGGATGTTCAACCTGTACCATTTTCCTGCTGGAAATGCCCTTCTTTTTCCTCAGTCACATTTCTGTTTTCTTCCTCTCTGCTCTGTTACTACAGAAAACATCAGTTCTCAATCAGTATCTTTAACTTGATACCAGTATCTCCCATAAAATCGAAACTACTACTGAGGCCAGGTGCGGTGGCTCACACCTGTAATCCCAGCACTTTGGGAGGCTGGGACAGGAGGATCACTTAAGCCTAGGAAGTTAAAACCAGCCTAGGCAACATAGTGAGACCCTGTCTCTACAAAAAATTTTAAAAATTAGCCAGGCGTGGTGTTGTGTCTATAATCCCAGCTATTTGGAAGGCTGCGGGGAAAGGATCACTTGAGCCCAGGAGGTCAGGTTGCAGTAAGCCACTATCCCACCACTGCACTCCAGCCTGAGTGATAGAATAAGACCCTGTCTCAAAAAATAAGAAATAAAATTTAAAAACTACTCCTAATTTCATAAAATTGTTACAATGAATGTTTCTCCATTTTGGGATTTGACAAGCCTAAAAAACTGACACAAAAAGTAAACAGTAAATAACTATTGTGTTGTATTCAGAAACATCAAGAAATGAGGAATTCAAAGAAAGGAACTAAGTCATTAAATGCCAAAATTGTTTTGTCCAAATGTTTTTCTGCCTTCCCGTCAGGCTGGACTTTTACTTCTAGACACTTTCAATGTGCCTAATTTCTAGCAGCTATTCATTTCTTTCTTCCTTGTTGTTTAACTTTATACAGATTAGACAATCAAAATTTCAAGCCCATAAAAATCTTAACTAAAATAAAACAAACTGATTCTGAGGAAGACTACAGAATAACACAGGAGAAAAGTGAATGTGTTTTACTGTTTGGACATTCGTGACATTATTTTGACTGCTCAGAGGACATTCTTATGTTTTGGTTTTCCACTACATTTTGAAGAGTTAAAATTGCCAGAAAAAGTCCTGCACAGTGAGGTGTACCACTGTAATGATCACCTTCATTTTCAAGAAAGTATTATACAAAATCACTGGTAAAATATAAGAACTAGAACTCCTGCCATCAAAGAGTTTACTATTCAGTCATGTTAAACAGAATACTTTAAAACTGTGTAATACAAACAGAATACTCTTAAAACTGTGTAATACAATCTGAGCAATATTTAAGCCATGCAGGACAGTAGAAGGGATAATAACATGGCTGTCAAGCTGTATAAAATTAATTTCAAATGACTGGAAAAAATGGTAAATAATATAAGAACCCAAAGAAAAAGATCTTTTTTTATTGCAGGTAATGAATGGAGAAAATAGGAAAAGAAGATTCTGAAAAAATTTTCACAAGTCCTTAAGTGAAGGTAAACTTTCTGATCAGGGAGAGGAAAATCTGGTGAAATGGAGTTCCCAACATCCATTTTATCTACTCCCCACTGTTAAATATTTCATGGTGATGTTTACAAAAATGAGTCTTAATGCAGAGTTAAGGCAAGTAAAAGCTACTTATCAATCTGTTTTAAAAGAAAATTTTAAGTGTTTACATGGAGAACATATTCAGAAAGCTTTCTTACCTTGAATATACCAACCCAATCTTTTGGATGTGGATGAATATATGGAGTTAAGGTGTAATGACATTCCAGGTGTGCATTAGGAAGGTAACTCTTGGCCACATTTTGAAAGATGACATGGGCAAAGTTGGAAGTCTGCAATGGGACTTCTTGAAAGGATGTCATTGTGAATCTGAAACAAGTAATTCATACAAGTTAAATTATACCAACTAAGAATAAACTTATGCCTTCAGAAAATACATAATATTTAATATAAGTTTCATGAATATTTGCATGTCATAATTAAGAAAATATATACTTTGTAAATACTGGAACTTCTTAAAAATTGATTAAATATAAAAATACAGACAAACTGGAAAAATAACTAAAACCCATTTGGCTCAGAAAGTTATATGGGCATTTAAAAGTTAAAAAACCAAAACCAAAAATTAACTCTCCTGGAAAGCCTAGCCCTCTGCTTCTATTTAAATCAAAAGCAAATGAACCAGAGGTGTTTTTGTGCACACGCTGCCAATATAAACCTGCTGGCTCCTAGTAACAAACACTAAGAAACAGAAACAAGAACAGTTAAAAGTCAGTATTTTACTGGCTATGGGTCAATTAACATTTCCTTCCTATGTAGAACCCTTGGGCTTCATCATTCTCCTCCCTAACCTAGCCCATCCCATTCATCTCTTCCCCTCTCCCTAGGTTTTGGGGTCCTATAACTAAACCTGACGCTAACATCTCTGTGCCTACATTCCTGCCCTTCTAATCCCCTGGACCAGCATTTCTCAACCCTGGTTACACATTAGAATCATTAGGGGCCTTTAAAAAAAAAAAATAGATGACAACAACTTTCTGGGATTGGGGCCTGGGAGTGTGTGCATGTGTGTCTGTGGGTGTGTATACGAATATACATAGCCCTGCCCCTACATCGCCCCAAGTAATCTCAATCCTGTATGCAACCAGAAAAGAGAACCACTATCCAACAACTTCTACCTCTCACTCATTTCCACAGATCCCAGACCCAGCCTGTCTTCTTGGGCTTCTGTTACAAGCTTGTTCAAATCTCTCAAACCATGTAAAATCTTAGCTGGTCTACTTGAAATGGCTCAGCCTATTTGTTCTTCTCCACCTATAACAAACCTATCATTTCATCATAGGTCCAATCAATGATCCTACCTCAACTTCTAGTATTCACGTACCCTTTCCACATGTTTACTGATTAAAATAAACTTATATTTAAAAATAAAAATAAAAGTGTAGTGTTAATAAAATACACACTGTTGAAAATCTCTTAGAGATTCATGAACGCTCACTGGCTTAGTAAACACCAAGCACTGGATAGCAGATGAATGGTGAAAGCAGATTATAAAAACTGCAAGATCCAAATGTTTTCCCTATTTTGTGCTCTACTTTTGAGAAAACAGAAACAAATGAGGATTTACCCAAAAAAGCAATCTGTAGAGTTTGTCACAGGCTCCGTACAATCACTAATTCTACAATACACATAAGAAACTATGACTGTCCTGACTGCACTTGCTTGAGTCATTAAAACAGGCATCTCTGTAATAATGGGGAAAACTGGGGCAAGGTTTTTGCTAACCAAATTAATCTAATTTACTTCACAAATCAATGAAGTTTCTACAGAGCAAGCACAGCAGTAAGGCTCTACTCATATTTTAGCCATTAGTAAGAAGGCTTATTGCTAAGATCTAAAACAGTGTGCTTTTACAACTGTTTCTTTTGCTGACCTGTTTGAAATACTAAGGCAAATTTTTAAAGTTTTGTAATAATAAGCACTTTAAAAAATATCAACTTTCTTCTTGTGTCCCCTCTGCTTCTGTTATGGCCAAAGTCCTGCTTTACTGAATATAATGGATATCCCAAAAAGAGACTGTCAATCATGAACCTGGAAACCACTGTAGAGTATCAGGCTAGTTGTCAGCCTCTCCCTACCTGAGGTTTGCAAGCATTCCAAGATAAAGAGTATATTCAGTAGCAATCCCCCTTTACCTCTGCACTAATAAAGGGACTTTGCTACCAGCAACCATATTTCATGGAAAGACTTAACTATGAATACTCTCTACCTGGTAACCTAAAGCCATCAGAAAAATGAACAGGTAGCATTTACAAACACTGGAGAACTCTGCCTAAAATAACTGAAGAGTTTTATTATTTTGTTTCTTTGAGTTGTCTGAGCTAATTTGGGCTCCCAGGGAGGTCATGATACTAATGAAGTCATTAATGATTATCTCAAGTCACTGGCTTCACAAAGGAAAAAAAAAAAAACACCAATTCCAGTTCTTTAAAAAAAAAAGAAAAAAAAAAAACTCACTACTGGTTACAAGACACCAACAAAAGAAACTATAGCTAAATCAACAGAACCAACATCTATTAGATACAACTACCAAAACTGAATTAAGAGAATAATATTTTTCTATGAAGTGAGTGAATAGTCACGCTTCCTTTAAGAAAGATATTCAGTAAGAAGGAAATAAACTAGCTTAGAATAAACGTCCCATGTTTTTAATCAAAAGCTGATTAAGGATAATACTTTTTTCTTAAAATTTAACATATCATTTCCTAAAATAAATTAAACCAACAAAGCTGTAACTATTTTTTTTATAAAACAAGGCAAAAGTGTTTCAACTTCTGTTAACCTCAATTATAACAGTTTTTTAAAAACCCACAATCCAACCTTATACTTTTAGTTCACTGAAGTTTTTGAGGTACAAAATAGCACATAGGTATACATATATGTATTTGTATATGTTTACAAATGCATCAAAAGGAACTCAAGAAGTATACACTATAGAGTTAATAGTCTTATAAGGGATGTGTGTAAAAAGAAGACTTAAGGACCTTAAATTTTACATCAATTTATTGTTTGAATTTTTACAAGTATATATAAATGTATTATTTCTATTGTTTTAAATAGCCCTATTAACAAGAAATTCCATTTTTAAACCCTCCCCTGAATTTCACATTTTCTAATAGAAAACACTAGTATTTCACTTTAAAATATAGTATTCACAATGGTTACAAGTCTGAAAAGTAAAATAATTTGTGATTATCCTATTAATGGCCTTCATTAATCTCTCTCCAACACTCCAATCTTTTTAAAATTTCATTGCTATAATTATAGAAATATTTTACAAAAGTCATTCCAGTACCTTGTCATTTTTTACTCTTATTAAATTACAATATAGCTACTAATCATTTAAAAAGTTTACATGGATGAATGCAATCAAATATAATTATGTCATTATCAACCCATTTTAAATAATAAAATTTCTAATTCCCACATAGTTCCTCTGGTTCACTCCTCCTACAGATAACAGACTTAGGCAAGCTTACAAAAATGTTGGAATTCACTGAGAATGTCAAGGTCGCACGGGAGTGGAGAAATAATATGCAAAGTCACTGCATCACCTTGTGGTAATGCCTGGGAAGTGTAGCTTCACTAACATCCTGAGAAAAAGTACAAACCTCCTCTCAGTTGGAGAGAAGTACACTCCCTACACAAAAAGGAAAGTAGAAGCAAGCAGCTTTACCATGTCAAATTCTGATTCCCCTTCTCTAAAGTGCACCTCTACAAACAGGAGTATAGTAAGTAGGCAAGCCAAGGATAAGTATGAAACGTCCAGTCAACAATTAAGGGGCCAGACACATTTGGCTGGGAAACAAAATCAGAAATGCTTATACATGCTGGCTACAGTGCCCTCTTCCAGGTTTCCTACTACACTTCCCCAAGTTCCAATGCCTCTAGAATTTCTTTATGTGTGTTATGCTGTAAACTGTATATTATAAAGTCTTTGGTCTAAATTCCAATTTTATTATTTTGCGAATGCATTAATGTCTATAAAAAAGATAAATAATATATAGTGGGCACTCAGTTATGTATACAGCTAAAATAAACATGGGGTGGGGGCAGGGAAGCATTTCAATGTTATCTTTACTTACTCCTCTTGTAACTTTTTCAAGCCCAAAGCAGATTTGACTTTTGTGGTAGTATTTTTCCAGTGGTTCCCAATACTTGTTTTACTTTAGCCCAAAAATGTAAGCCTTAGTGAACTTACTGAAAAATAGACCATAGTAAGAACTTCTGTACATTAAACATATGAAGCCAAATTAAGCTTTTTAATTTAGATAAATACTAAATATAATTTGCCAGTCCTAACAATTAGAATTCAAAAATAAGGTAATTTTGTTATGTGTGATAATATAATTATGGTGATTCTGTGTTTTTCTAGTCTTTATCATTTAAAGATACTAAACTAGGCCGGGTGCGGTGGCTCACGCCTGTAATCCCAGCACTTTGGGAGGCCGAGGCGGGCGGATCACGAGTTCAGGAGATCGAGACCATCCTGGCTAACACGGTGAAAACCCATCTCTACTAAAAATACAAAAAATTAGCCGGGCGAGGTGGCAGGCGCCTGTAGTCCCAGCTACTCGGGAGGCTGAGGCAGGAGAATGGCGTGAACCCTGGGGGGCGGAGCCTGCAGTGAGCTGAGATCACGCCATTGCACTCCAGCCTGGGTGACAGCGAGACTCCGTCTCAAAAATAAAAAATAAATAAAAATAAAAAATAAAGATACTAGGCCGGGCGCGGTGGCTCACGCCTGTAATCCCAGCACTTTGGGAGGCCGAGGCGGGTGGATCATGAGGTCAGGAGATCGAGACCATCCTGGCTAACAAGGTGAAACCCCGTCTCTACTAAAAATACAAAAAATTAGCCGGGCGCGGTGGCGGGCGCCTGTAGTCCCAGCTACTCGGGAGGCTGAGGCAGGAGAATGGCGTGAACCCGGGAAGCGGAGCTTGCAGTGAGCCGAGATTGCGCCACTGCAGTCCGCAGTCCGACCTGGGCGACAGAGCGAGACTCCGTCTCAAAAAAAAAAAAAAAAAAAAAAAAAAAAAAAAAAAAAAAAAAAAAAAAATAAAGATACTAAACTAACTGTAAGTGAAATGTCTTGATGTCTAAGATTTGCTTTAAAAACTCCAGGGGAAAAAATTAATGTTAGAGGGGGTAATAAAACAAGATTAGTAAAGTGTCGGTTCATTTTACTGTTCATTCTCCTTTGTGTATGTTTGAAAATTTCTGTAATAGTAAAACCAAAGCAAATAAAGAAATGAAACAGATTAGTAACACTCCACATATGACCCACTGTAGCAGAAACACTGCATTTTAGAATATGAACGCTTTGTACCCTTAGAAGTGTTGTAATTCAGGTAATGGTTGATAGAGTTACTGAAAGTTTTTCACATCTTCAGCTAAAAAACCTTTAGAATTATCTCCAAACTTTAATCCGATAGGACACACAAACATATGAAAGGAAAAAATGTCCAGCATTCAAATAGTTTCCAATTATTCACACTGTGGCTCAAAAAAAGAAAGACTAACAACTCTCAACAGACCTCTGCTCCCAAAAAATGTAATCAGCAATTTTTCTAGGAGGCAACAGCAAAAGCCCCAGTCTATTAATTTGCACCCTTGCAGACATCCCTATTTCCAGAATCCTTTACACCTGAGTGCCAAGACATTCCGCCCAGGTATCACCCGCACCACTTTTATTTACTTTTTAGATTTTTATAAGTTGGTTTCTAAAATGCTATGATATTGGCCCACACATATTAGGGTAGAGGACATTTTTATCTTCTTCTAAAGGTTTATTTGGGACAAAATAAGCTTTAAAAAGACAGAAATGCATAAAGCCCAGATTTAACATATCCATTCCAAAAGAATACAACAAAGTCCCCAAAAGAAGTATACAAGGAGCATCATTAGGATCTTTCATGATTATTTTAACATTATTAAAAAGGTTGAAACTTTGAATTCCAAAATTTTACTTTTGTTATGGAAAAGGTATTTGCTGGTTAATTCTACAAACATGGCTGCAGTGAGAACTATAAACAGCGGTCTACAATTTAAGAACGTGATGGGCTGGGTGCGGTGGCTCACACCTGTAATCCCAGCACTTTGGAAGGCCGAGGCAGGCGGATCAAGAGGTCAGGAGTTCGACACTAGCCTGACCAACATGGAGAAACCTCGTCTCTACTAAAAATACAAAAATTTGCCGGGTATGTGTGGGGAAAAGCAAGAGAGATCAGACTGTTACTGTGTCTGTGTAGAAAGAAGTAGACATAGGAGACTCCATTTTGTTCTGTACTAAGAAAAATTATTCTGCCTTGAGATTCTGTTAATCTATGACCTTACCACCAACCCCGTGCTCTCTGAAACATGTGCTGTGTCAAACTCACGGTTAAACGGATTAAGGGTTGTGCAAGATGTGCTCTGTTAAACAGATGCTTGAAGGCAGCATGCTCCTTAAGAGTCATCACCACTCCCTAATCTCAAGTACCCAGGGACACAAAAACTGTGGAAGCCTGCAGGGACCTCTGCCTAGGAAAGCCAGGTATTGTCCAAGGTTTCTCCCCATGTGATAGTCTGAAATATGGCCTCGTGGGAAGGGAAAGACCTGACCATCCCCCAGCCCGACATCCGTAAAGGGTCTGTGCTGAGGAGGATTAGTATAAGAGGAAGGCATGCCTCTTGCAGTTGAGACAAGAGGAAGGCATCTGTCTCCTGCCCGTCCCTGGGCATGGAATGTCTCAGTATAAAACCCGATTGTACGTTCCATCTACTGAGATAGGGAAAAACCGCCTTAGGGCTGGAGGTGGGACATGTGGGCAGCAATACTGCTTTGTAAAGCATTGAGATGTTTATGTGTATGCATATCTAAAAGCACAGCACTTGATTCTTTACCTTGTCTATGATGCAAAGACCTTTGTTCACGTGTTTGTCTGCTGACCCTCTCCCCACTATTGTCTTGTGACCCTGACATAGCCCCCTCTCGGAGAAACACCCACAAATGATCAATAAATACTAAGGGAACTCAGAGGCTGGCGGGATCCTCCATATGCTGAACGCTGGTTCCCCGGATCCCCTTATTTCTTTCTCTGTACTTTGTGTCTTTTTCTTTTCCAAGTCTCTCATTCCACCTAACGAGAAACACCCACAGGTGTGGAGGGGCAACCCACCCCTTCAGTGTGGTGGTGCGCGCCTGTAATCCCAGGTACTCAGGAGGCTGAGGCAGGAGAATCGCTTGAACCTGGGAGGCGGAGGTTGCAATGAGCCGCGATCGCGCCACTGCACTCCAGCCTGGGAGACAGAGCAAGACTCCATCTCAAGGAAAAAAAAAAAAAAAGAACGTGATGACTAGAAAACAAAAACTACAATGTTCTTTGAAGTTGAACAATCAGTTTGAAAAATAAATAAAACCTTATTAGAAGTCGGCATCATCAAACAATCCTTCAAGTTTACCCTTGAAAGGAACAGAACGAAAGAGAAAGGCTGTCCTAAGCTCCTTCCCTAAACCCGAAAAGCACTTTGAGGACGATCGACCCACTTTTAGTTTCTATTCAAATGATCTCTTTAAATCCTTTAGGAATTGAGCACCAAACTTGTAACTATTAATTGTTCGTGCACAGCTCGTAGAAATTTTAACATTAGCAGAATGCAGACAGCTGAAAAATCAAGATTTATTTTCCCATCTAAAGCCTAACATAATAGCAATTCATAACCACTGTGTGAAACCGGAAATCTAACACTGTGTATGTCTAAAGTCAAATGCCAGTGTTTTCTAACAAAACTTTTACCAATAAGGTGTGTACACACACCCACACAGACGCACGCTAAGCTCAATTTTTTACTAATAAGGTGTACGCGCGCGCGCGCACGCTAAACTCTAGCCACAGATTCCCTAAGCCAGGAGTGCAAGTCGGTCGGGACTAGTCCACACCTTGCGAACGGGGCGGGGTGGGGAATGGATTCCAGGTGAAGCAGGCCATCAGCCAGAACCGCCAACTCCGCCCGCGGCCCTCAAAAGTAGGCGGCGCAGGGAGTCTCCGCCCCCTTCGCCACCGGCGACTCAAACCAAAACAGCTGGGTTTCTCTCCGCAAAGGCAAACCCCAGCGTCCTTCTCGGACGCGACCTACGTGTTTTCTCAGCTTACTGCGCCGGTAAAACCCACACTGCCCTCAAAACAGTCACCCCAGAGTTTAGCCTTGGACACCAGAAGCTTTTCCTTCGGGGGTCGCCAGCGTCACTCGTCCCCAGCCAAAGGGCCCCCGTCCCACACGCCTCCCCCAAATCGCGAAGGCCTGTCCCACGGGCCTCCCACCGCGTGGGGCGGCCACCCGTTGCCATTCCAAAACTCCACAGCTGATCCGAGTCGCCCACACCCCCGTCACAATCGCAGTCTGGAAAGGAAGGTTTGTCTTCGGGAAGGAAAGCCTCGTCACCACAGAGACCTCTCCCGAGACCGGCCAGGCCCCTACAGTACAGGGGCTGAAGGGTGTAGCACGAGCCCTAAAAGAGATGCAGCTGGAGGCCGCCCCGCACAAGGCGCTGGGGTGGACCGGGGAGGCGCCTTACCCAGTGGAAAGACTCCCGGATCAAGGG